>NC_000018.10:58287528-59537528 GCF_000001405.40 Homo sapiens
ATTAAAGTAGTTAAGTTCTGACTTCATAGAACAGAATCTAAACTTTTGTTCATACTGCTTTTGTGTTCTTGGGCCATCTGAAAACCTTTTCTGTGTAAATATTCCTGCAATATGCGGTCTTACAGAGGTCTTATCACGCATATTTCCCTTTGCTTCCTTATGTATCGTATTTTTTCAAGAAGAAGACATTCAACTTTAGAGACAATGGAATCATTGTGTTGTGGCTTTAATTCAGGTCATTGTCCTTTTGTGAGTTGCACGTGTGCGCGAGCCTGTGTGTTTTGCTTGGAGGAATAGTGAATAAGCAAGGAGCAGAGTCCATTTGCTTTTTCTAACAGAGGGTGGGGCAGATTCTCTCACAACCATTAAAGAAAAAAATAAGATACCAGCAATAATGATAATCAGTCATGCATATGTAATCGTGTGTAGTTCATACTTCAGATTCATATACAGCTGAGCATGATCTTGAATGTTACAGGAAGCAAGCTTGAAAGTCAAGTTACAGTAGAACTTTGCTAATTCATGCCTGACTAATTTGCCCACCCAGTAGTTCCTACTGAAATCTTGCCATTCCTCTACCAACTTTCAGAAAAATTTGATAGCAGGCTGTGGAGAAGGCTCATGTTACTTCTTATGTCAAGGTGTAAACAAAAAAGAGAGCACAAAATACATCCATCAGACCACATGAAGTGAAGAGAGAGAAAACATCTGCTGAAAGCCGGATTCTCTGTTTTTTTCCTGCTTTTTAAATGTAATCTGTCTTTGTTTATGCATGCCCTAGAAACATGCATAAGTAACCCTGAGTAGTCTCTTAGTTTAAGAAAACCTACTATAAAATTTCTTGTTGTAAAATAAAATTCTAAAAGGAATAAGTTGTGGACATATAAGTATCAGACAGTTTATGTAAGACTTTACATAGGATGCAAGGTAGGCTGTAATATGATTTGGTAATTGTTTTATGGGGGAATTTTGTTTTGTATAGCGAAAAAGAACAGTGAGTGATTTAACTGAATTTTATAGTTTAATATTGTTGTTGTTTTAACTAAAATCTTTGGTTTGCTATTGCAAAATGAAAGAGAAAGGAAATTTTGGTTAATGTTAACTTTATTTCCAAAACCATGTGATGGATGCTGACCAAATGTGTCTCAATAGTGCCATTGAGGTCTG
Source organism: Homo sapiens (assembly GCF_000001405.40). Lineage (NCBI taxonomy): Eukaryota > Metazoa > Chordata > Mammalia > Primates > Hominidae > Homo > Homo sapiens. The sequence continues at coordinate 58,288,696 of NC_000018.10, forward strand.
TTGCCTTTTTTTTTCTTTGAGGTGCTAAGTGAAATGTGTTTTGAACCTTGAATGTTCACTATGCGACGTTCTTTGCATTACAGGTAGATACTGCAAACTTGCTTCAAAAAAACTAAAAAGTTCAAATAACTAATGGTTCATATTTGTTCCAGTTAGTAAATATCACGACAAGGTATCATCGTCATCCCATGTTCTCAGTATAGATTCAGCTTCATTTCTTACACCACACACCCAGAGGCATAAATGGAAGTACACAGACAAAAGGAAAGGCCTGAGTTTAAATGTAGTTATCATGTTCAGTGTTCGACATTTTATTCTGAGAATTTAAGTGTTTCTACTGCAGTACCACAAAGTCAATCTGCATATTACTTTAACTAGATCACTTGTAAAAATAAATGAATAAATGACCAGTGATGGTTCAGTGACAAGAGTGCCAGATGAGTCATGAATGTTTTCACAAGTAAATTTGATAGTAAACTGCTAAGTTTACTGTATACGCTGTGTACAAATTAGCTCAGATTCAAGATTTTTGCTCTAACAACTGAACGCTCAGTTGCATCTTTAAACTTTTTGTTGCGTGAGAGGGGCTGAGGGGCAGGTGGGAGGAAGTCAGCCTGCAGGTGGGAGGTTTCTGTCTCAGGATTGCTGATACCCCTGCATGCTGCTGGGTTGCAGCCTTGGAGTATATGGCCTATGAGACATGGCATGTCTGATTTGATGGAAAAAGCAGCGGAGAACCAGTGAACCAAGCTATTCCGTGTATTGACTTTTTAATACGTTTACTACAAGAATCTGCCTTTTAAAGTACTTTTAAATAAGGTTATAAACATAAGTGTGTTTTGGACACAGCCTGCAGCAAGCATGCCTCTCGAGGTGTAAGATGAGTCAGCTACACATGCTCAGGGGCCCGTTCCACCAGCCACAGTAGCTGCAGAGGGTGAGAGCAACTGAAGCAAGAGAAGCTCTTAGTAATTAGGGGAAGGAAGCCTCCACTTGACACCGCATCACCACCAAGTATTTATTGAGTGTCTTTGGTGTGCAAGGCAGGAGAATATCTTCTATGGATTCTACATATTTCAGGGTTACCAGAGTTATAAAATCCCTTGAAATCTATATGCACAAATTGTAAATACGTATGCAGCTTTTTATAAGTGTTCAAATTCTGCCTTAATTGTGCTCAAGGATCAGGGTCTCACCCCAGCATTGTATACCATTGATAGTCATGATTTCCTTAGTGAAATTAAGTAAATTGACTTTCAGAGACTTTATTTCATATTCATCATGTCCCCATGTAGCCATGAAAAAATGATATGTTTAATATTCATCTATTTGTATGATTAAAACAAAATATCCGCAACTACTGACGATTCAATGATCAGATATTTTACTGTAAATTAATATCATCATAAACTCCTAGACATTAGACTTCAGACATTCAGAGCCCACTCGATGCTTGGCACAAAGCAGGCACCAAATACATATTTATAGAATGAATGAACAAATGAAGGAAGAAACAAAGAAATGACTAATGCACCAACCATTTATCAGGAAGTTTAACAGGGAAATTCAACAACCAGATTTGTTTTGCTAATCTTATTAAAGTGCAACATGTTTGTTGTAAAAATAGATCCACATTCGTCATTGAACTGGACAGTCTAAAATAGATCCAAACCCATTGTTTGATTATACTTCACAAATGTAAGGTAAAATAGATGATACTATCTGTCATTTGCTTGATGCTATTGGCAAATGTGAAGCAGTTACCAGCATAAAAGCTTGGAGGTTACTCCGAATGTATATAAACAACAGTGGCTAGGCTCACAAGTGGGAGAGAGTCTAAAAATAGGTAGGCGATCCCTTATCTCGTTGCATTGAAAATTGTGTTTATATGAAGTGATATTATTAGAAATGATGTGTGAGAAAAGAATTTCTGCAATGTCTCCTACAAATTAGAGTGAGAAAATGTATCTTTATGCAGCTTTGAACAAAGGATTATTATTGCTGGACTGTGGACCAAAATTTTAGTCAAGTTTTTTTTTTTTAATGAAAAGAAACTGTTCATTTATGCAGACATACAACTTTGTGTCCTATAGAGACTTGTCATCTGCTCTTAAAGTTAGCACCCTATTTTTCCTCTGGATGTCCACTGAGAAACCCACTGGTGTGATGGTCATTGAAAAAGAGAGTTGTGTCAGAATGCCCTAAAATCTTAGTGGCTTAACACATTCCCAAGTTTATTTCTCATTCACACTACCCGTCAACATAGGTTGGCAGGCATTCGGATCCACAGGGTCACACAGAGAACCAGGCCGACCGACCCACATGGTCACACAGAGAGAGAACCAGGCCGACCGACCCACATGGTCACACAGAGAACCAGGCCGACCGGCCCACATGGTCACACAGAGAACCAGGCCGACCGACCCACGTGGTCACACAGAGAACCAGGCCGACCAGCCCACATGGTCACACAGAGAACCAGGCCGACCAACCCACATGGTCACACAGAGAACCAGGCCGACCGACCCACATGGTCACACAGAAAACCGGGCTGACTGAAGTTTGCACTGGAGCTTTTCACAGCCCCCACTCAGAGGTGAGATAGGTCACCTTTTCTCATTAGCCAAAACTGGTAAGATGGCCTTCCCTGACCACAAGGATGCTGGAAAGTGTAGTCATCTTTTCTCTGTGCCTGGAGAGGAGAGAGAAGTGAAAATTGGTAAGCAATATTTCTATTTTAAAAGTGGTTAGAGTGTAGTGCAATGAATCTAGCACCATTGGTTCAGTTTTAAATGGACTGATTCCATTTGTCTAATTCTGTGTCAGTTGGCTGTTTTCTGACCCCTGAGAATAATTTAGTCTGGCTGATTCCCCCATTGTACCAATTGCCTGGCATATGACAAATGCATTTTTGCCTGTAAGACAATCTTTGCCTAGGAAAGACAGCCCTAATTTTTATGTCTTGTATTTTCCAGTAAGCTAATCTGGAGTATCAGTTTTTAAGACTGATACACAATTAGATGAAACTAATTAAGGACAAAACATTTGCCACTTTTAACTGTTGATAAGTGAAACTGAGATTTCCCCCCACCCCATGGATACAGTGAACATTTGTCAGCAGCTGGTAATGGCTAGTATAAAGATGTATTCAGTTTTCCCTTCCCTTCCTCTCCCTCCAGCCTTCCAGCCACCCCCTTCCCAAACATTTATGCTCATTTAGAGAAAAGCAACCCCAGTTCTCTTACCTGGGATATCACCAGTATAAAAAGCACATTCGTATAAATTATCTGGCCTTTAATTACCTGTAACCCTGTAGGAAACCCCCTGGGAAAAGTACCACAAAAGAACGCAGCTCTGGGGGTCTGTGAGAGGCACCCAGTTCACACCCCTAAAGGACAGAGCGAGCACTCAAACGCACAGCTTTGGGTGCCCTCTGAGGCGTGCACTGGCTGGTAGCAGTGGGTATCAACCATGGAAGTTCACGGAAGATTAAACCGCAAGTTCCCACGCAAGGCCAAGTGGCTGCCAGGACTTGGAGGCACTGACCCTGAGTGGTCCTTCCACCTCAGCGTATACTGTCACTGCTGCCTCTGTGGCTTCCCCTTTCCCTCCAAGTAGAGATAGATGTCTCGAGGTGCTCCCCACCCCAGCCAGGTTGTCCTCTCCTGGGTGGCATTTTCCTTTCTACTCTCTGGGGCTTTCACCACCCCACTGGGCATAACTCTCCACAGGCTCCCCTGGGAGGGGTGCCCCCACCTCACCCGCCACCTCACTTCTCAGCCCCTCTTCCCATCCAAGGGCTCCCTGGGCTGCCCCCACCCTAGTCATGATCTCGCTCCTCTACTCTCTCGTAGTACTTTATTTTTACCTTGCTCCTGGCTCACATTACATGCTTATCTTGTATTTATAGATGGTTCTATATATGTCTCCTTTTGCATCCTTTTCTCAAAGCTCCTGTGAGGCCAGGGATGGTTTTATGCCTTTTCTCATCCCCTTATGTTCTAGTATAATGCTTTACACATGATTAAATTCTCATCAGATGTTGAATGAATGAGCTTATTATGCATTACTTCTTAGTACAAAGAAATATTTGGAACGTAAGCTCTGAAATGTTGATATTCTGTGGATGCTTGGATTACATACAATGTCCTAAATAAACACTTGCCTGTTAAGTAGAAGTCAGTCTGGAAAGTGATACCTTTAGATCCATAAAATGTTTATAAGGCACATGAATGGACAACCACGTTGTTTTTTGCTCTTTTATATGTTTAGGTTACTGACAGCCCAAAATACATTAGCTTGTCTTTGGGCTAGGAGGTACCTAAAGTTGTATTTTTCTCTCATGTCATTTTCCTGGGTTTTTATCATATCCAACTTCGTAATGTCCAGGAATTTGAGATTAATTCCTCAAACTTGTCGAATAATACAAGAGGAAACTTGTATAATACAGAGCAAACTTGGTTGGTGAGTAGCTGCTAGAGCAAACTTGGTTGGTGAGTAGCTGCTACAGCCCATACATGGATTTGTTTCTTCAGGTGGGGGGATAATTGTATCCATGGACTCTTCTTCATTAACTGACGGATCAAATTATTTTATGAAGCTATGATGAGAAATGGCTTGTGCTCTTGGGAAAATCAATGCCAATGTAGGTAATGCACCAGTCTAGCTGGTTTTTAATTTAAAGAACAAATTATCTTCTGGAATAGTAATAAATCCCCCTTTGGAACAGCAAGAAGACATCAGCTGTTGGATATGGGATAATTACCATATGTTTCAATGTCGTAAAAAGGCACAGCAATTTTAATAACCCAGGTTGTGTACAAGAAAGCTCTTGCTTCTGAAGAATCCATCAACCATGCGCTATGATCATGTAATAATAAACTGCTGTTTACTTAATGCTGTTTTTATTTAAAGTTTTAATTAACATAACCTAGTCTTTGCAAAACATCTGATTACCTTTGACTCATATGTTTTCTGGTATATAATAATGGGTTCTCATGAGTTGTTTATTTTATAAGATCTCCTGTTTACTCAGAGTAAGGAAAATTTTTTTTGAGGTAAGGTCTTGCTCAGGCTGGAATGAGTGGTGCAGTCTCAACTCACTGCAGCCTCTACCTCCTGGGCTCAAGCAATCCTCCCACCTCAGCTTCCCAAGTAGCTGGGACCACAGGCACATGCCACCATGCCTGACTAATTATTGTATTTTTTGTAGAGATGGATTCTCACTCTGTTGCCCAGGCTGATCTCGAACTCCTGGGCTCAAGTGATCCTTCCACCTTGGCTTCCCAAAGTTCTGGGATTACAGTCATGAACCACCATGTCCAACCAGGAAATTTTGGTATTAGGAAGTTTCCCACATACCATTTGTCTTTGGTGCCATGAACACCTATTTTGTCTAATTTTTATACCAACCTTTCACTTTGGCACATGGGAAATCTGATAAGGAATCGATATCACGGAAATACACATCACACTTTCTGCTTGCCGCTTTCTTCCAAAATAAACCCAAGGATTCCCCTTTTCCACCACCACCTTAATTTAGATAACCAAGATAAATGAGAAGGTTTTCGCACTTGATGGTGGGATTTCTTATCAAGGCTATTGAATTTGGTTTGGCACTGACTAATTTTGGTATCCATGTGTTTTTAGAGTAAGTTGTAGCTAGGGTGGTGGGGTGATGGGGAGACTCTCACTGAATGGCTCTAAATTCAGTATTTTATTCTTTAACCAAGCAGCTGTTCACACACATTTCTTAGGAAGTGGCTAAATAAAAATATGGCAGCCCTGGAATGAACAGAAACTGTTGCTCTTTCAAAAACCAGCAGCTACAAATAGTGATTTTTCTTCCACAAATACTTGTTTTTCTGTGACATTCTCATTGGTTTTATTCAGTTAAACTCCCAGACCATGTTGATTTTTTTTTGCCTTTTATTTTTTGAGCTCATAGGTAAAAGGAGTTGAAGTGATTTTATTTTCTGTTTTTGTCTTTTTTTTTTAAGTTTTTGTAGAGACAGGGGTCTTGCTATGTTGCCCAGGCTGGTCTTGAACTCCCGGGCCTCAGGCAATCCTCCTGCCTCAGCCTCCCAAAGTGTACCCAGTCTCAAGTTTTTTTCACATTATATATTTGTGTTCTTTCTGTTTTTAACTAATGGTCTCCATTATTTAGGCTATATTAAAATAACAATAAAAACAGAGCAGATACAACAGAATTCATTTGGTTGGCCATTGGAGCTGTTTTTCCTTTTTCTTTTTAAACTGACTTTATTTTTTTGGAGCAGTTTTAGGTTCAGAGCATAATTGAGAGGAAGGCACAGAAATTTCCCATGTATTTCCCCCACACAGGCACAGCCTCCCTCATCATCAGCATCCCCCACCAGAGTGGTATGTTTGTTACAGTTGATGAGCCGACATTGACACATCATCACCTAAAGTCCATAGTTTACACTAGGGTTCTCTCTTGGTGTTGTACATGCTGTGGGTTTGGACAAATGTATAATGACATGTATTCACTATTATGGTGTCATACAGAATAATTTCACTGCCCTAAAAATCCTCTGTGCTTCATCTGTTCATCCCTACCATGCCCCTAAACCCTGGCAACCACTCATCCTTTTACTGATTTTTACAGTTCTGCCTCTTCTGGGATATCATGAAGCTGGTGGAATAATGCAGTGTGTAGCCTTTTCATAGTGGCTTCTTTTACTTAGTAATATGCATTTAAGGTTCCTCCGTGCCTCTTCATGGCCTGATAGCTCATTTCTTTTTAGTGCTGGGATAATATTCCACTGTCTGGAAATGCCACCGCTTAGTTAGTCATTCATCTACTGAAGGACAGCTGGGTTTTGGCAATTATGAATAAAGCTGCTATGAGCTTTTTAAAAAATAGTTTAAATGACATATCAATACTTTAATATTTAAAATATCTCAGTGATCATATAGCCTCAGAAAGCACAGTTTTCTGAGCTGGGTGTCATGTTGAGTGGTGTTAGAGTGCCGTGCTGCGTGCTCAGGTGCTATGCTGTGAGGAAGGATGATAGGAGCAGATTCTGTATAAGCAGATGCACAACCACCCACAGCTGCACTTTGGCACCCAGGGCAGACAAATAAAAAGGGGGCAAGATTTTTTTAGGGGAGATTCCTGGCAGATAGAGATTTTCTTCAGAATGTACAGATTTATTTTTGGGGGGTGGTTAGGGGCGACAGTTGTTTTAAGCAGAGTTTTGAAGGAGTTTGGTTTGGTGAGTGAAACAGTATTTCATTTTTGATTGCCTTTGTTTTTCCAGCAAGAAAGCTACTCCTGGTCTGTGGGCACACACCAAAAGGCTTTGGGCAAGACAGAGGGAGCTTGTGTGTGCCCCCAGACCGGAGTCATACCACAGTTGTCAGATCACTTTGCGGCAGACCTTCCGACAGTCTCCTCATCTCTCTTGTGGAATTTGAGTTTGACCCACAGGTAGCATTTTTTATTTTGGTGGTACCCTGATGTTTATAAGGAACCTCAGGACACTATTAGTTAGGAAGGAGATTGTCCCATGCAATTCAGCCTTGCAAGAGCTTCCTGGTTGATCTAGGGACAAGGTGTCTATCACTCAGCCCTCCAGGTCTTTTCTTCCTAAAGCAGGCTTTGGAGCAAAGCCTGACCGGTCTTTGCCTATGACTGAGTTTCCCAGGGCTGCTGTACCAAACTACTACCAGTTCAACTTAAAACAGCAGACATTTATCCTCTCACAGTTTTGGAGGCCGCTTCAAAGTAGGTGTCACTGAACTGAAGTCAGGATGTCCGCAGGGCTGCGCTCCCTCCAGAGCCTCTAGGAACACATCTGCCCCTTGCTTCCTCCAGCTTCTGGGGGCTGCCAGCGGGCTCCAGCCTCTGCCGCTGGGGCTGCCTTGCCTCCTCTGCTGTGTCAGATCTCCTTCTGCATCTCTCTTACAAGGACACTTGTGGGCCGGGCGCGGTGGCTCACGCCTGTAATCCCAACACTTTGGGAGGCTGAGGCAGGTGGATCACCTGAGGTCAGGAGTTTGAGACCAGCCTGGCCAACATGGTGAAACCCTGTCTCTACTAAAAATACAAAAATTAGCCGGGCGTGGTGGTACGCACCTATAATTCCAGCTATTCGGGAGGCTGAGGCAGGAGAACTGCTTGAACCTGGGAGGTGGAGGTTGCGGTGAGCTGAGATCGTGCCACTGCACTCCAGCCTGGGCAATAGGGCAAGACTCTGTCTCAAAAAAAGAAAAAAAGTTAAACGAGTGTCTTGGCACTCCCCTGTAATCCCAGCTACTTGGGAGGCTGAGGCACGAGAATTGCTTGAACCCAGGAGGTGGAGGTTGCAGTGAGCCGAGATCACGCCACTGCACTCCACCCTATGCAATAGAGTGAGAGTCTGTCTCAAAATAAATAAATAAATAAAAATAAACAAGGACACTTGTGACTGCATTTAGGGCCCAGAACAATCCCCCATCTGAGGACCTTTCATTTAATCACATCTGCAAAGGCATTTTCATGTAAGGTAACATTGAAAAGTTTCAGGGGTCAGGACCTAATAAATTTTGTGGGCCAGTATTCAGCCTACTGTCCCCTAGTTACAACAAGGATGGGGCAGCTTATGGACGAGAGTGTCAAAAAATTCAGATTCTGTCCTACAGGGATCATCTTACCCTGCAGCTGAGTTGAGTGATTATTGAGAACATACTACGTGTTGATGCTGTTGCTTAGCACTGTGGGAGATACAGAGATACATAAAACTCTGCTTGCCCTGAGGTTGCTTGTGGTTTTGTTGGAAGAGAAGACGTGTGTGTAAAATTAGTCATAAGAAAAAGGTCGTGTTTGATCCTGAGAGCCAGATAGTGGTACCCAGCAGTGAGCATCCAAGCCCTTATCTCCCAAATAGGAGACTTTGTAGGCTGAAAACTGGCCCACAGATTTATTAGGTCCTGACCCCTGGAACTTGTCAATGTTGCCTTACATGAAAATGCCCCTGCAGATGTGATTAAATGAAGGGTCCCGGTATGGGGGGTTGTCCTGGATGAGCTGAGTGGGCCCTAAACGCAGTCACAAGTGTCCTTTTAAGCCCCTGCTGTGCCTGTTCTCTTGGTAAATATCTCTGTGTGCTGGAACATTTGACCAGAGAGAGATTTCGGTGATCATATCCATATTTGACTGTTTCCTATTCCATAATTTGTCGCTGTCTCCGAGTCTTTTCCCGGGAGCCCCCTATTACAAGTGCACCTTTCTGTGTTTATTCTTCCCTGTTGTGCTTCGATGATCCCTTTTTTCTATTCTTCAGTGGCTTTTTCTCCAGTAAAATAGCAGTTTAAATTCTTGAAGGGAAACAATTAAAAAATAATGTCTCTGGGTTAACAAGTATGATTACCGTCATCTAAATCAGTGATACTACATGAGAATAAAATCAAGGAGACTTACATTTACAGTAGATGAATCTATGATAATATGCCCTACCGTTTTGGGTAATTTAAATTTATGCTAGTTCACTCTGTCTACATGCATGTCATATCTTAGTGTAAATTATAGAAATATCCCTATAAAAGAAAAAATAATTTTTTTCTGTATATGTTTTAAGGGAACCTGAATTTCTTTGGGTTGTAATGCATGATACAGATAGTATTCTGGGAATACCTGATGTTCAGCTTATCCCTGGAACCCTGGTTATCTTAGTAAAATATGCAGCAACAATATAGAAGACAATCCTGAATTTTCCACTGCACAATTAGGGCTTGATTCACCGTATGACTTGGGCAAATTACTTAACTTTTTGAAACCACACTTTTCTGATTTTCAAAGTATGACTAATAATGGTTTCTGCCTTAGGATTATTAAGATGATTAAATGAAATAATGCATGTGCAACGTTTAGAACATTGCTTTAAAGTTTGTCTTTTCCTTCTCTCTCCCCTTTTTTCCTTTAAAATAAACAAACATGTTTGAGGGCTGGGTGAGTTGATGGGCTCCCTTTAGTGCAGCACTTCTAAGTAATCACTGTTCCCTCTGGTTCATTCCATTGAGCACATGATGACAAACATTTCTGGGGATATCATGTCACCTTGGATATAGAACAGTCTCCTAAATTACATTTTATATGACAATGTCTCACTGTATTTTTGTCCTCTTGAATTGCAGCATAGCATATTATTTCTTCCAGCAAAAAGCAAAATTAAATAAATAAGTGATTAAGTTGCTGGCTGTAGCTGATACTGATTCATGACATGACTGAGGATTACTTAGCCATCACATTGAATTGATGACAGTTGCCTTCTAAATATTATCTTTAGTCACATCCCTCGAATGTTTGCAGTGACTTTCACTCCTCAACTAGAATATGCACGTTTACATACACATGCGATAAGGCTGAAGAAGGCTTGTGGCTCAGCACAATTTGGTCTTGTATGCACAGTAATCATTCTGAAGTGTATGATTCTGTTTTATTAGAAATTCTCACTTGAATTTCAAGAGAATAAAGGAGGATTCCTCCTACACAAAGCTGCTAATTGTTTGCACACTGTGTGCATCCCGCATGATAAGCGATTTGAGAAGGTGCCACATCAGTGCCTTTATCCAAGTGTCACCTCCTGTCTACAGTTCCCTTAGCAGGGTGAAGGGAGAAAGATGCAAAGACTGAGCTTGGCTGAAACAAATGTATTTTTGTCCCCTTGACTTCTTGAATTGCAGCAGAGCATATGAATAACATTGATATATTTCTTGGCTGCTAGACAACAACGTATTTCTTTGACAGATTGACGCCTGAAAAGAAAAATACAGTATGTACTAATGAATCAAAACATTTTTTAGTACCTTTGTGTATACTAAATGTATTTTAGTTTCTATCTGGAGCTAGTTGCCATTTACTGTGGGTTTGAAATGCCCTAAGTTATCTTCTATGGATGGGTAGAATCAATTTACCCACACATTGACAGCTTTTACAGATAGGTCCTGTAACAGATATAATTAAGTTAAATTTCATAAATAGATAGGCAGTCTCCTCCCCAGTCCTGGTCCCTTTGGGAGATGAATTGGGGTGGGGGTAATGGAGAGTTTCAAAAAGGCTTTCCGGTGTCTTTTTTTAAAAATAAGGTTTTAAGAGTTTCATGGTCAGCTGTTCTCAGTTTTTCTCAAGATGGTATCCAAAGTAAGGCTCAAATTTATGATTTATCTTCCAAATGCTTAAATGGTCCATTTATGATCTGCCAGATGTTACAATGACTAGCTCCCCAAGGAACGATCAAGAATGTGCCAATGTCTGGGCAAGATTTTTATCCAGCAAAAAGAAAAAAACCATAAGAATTGGAGGTTTTACTTTGAAAAGTAAAATCAGCCACATCCATGACTTAAGAGACTGTACATATTGTCATGGGTAAGGATTTAGATCTTGGCTCCACTGCTTACTCACAGTGTACCCTGGACGAGTTACTAGGCCTTTCTGTGTTTTACTATGCTCTTTTGTAACACAGGGAGAGATAGCATCTATCTTCTAAGGTTGTTGTGAGGATTAAGTGAACTAACTTGTGCAAAGCTCTTAGAATAGTGCTGGGCACAGAGTGGTGAGTGCCTTGTATATGCTAATAGTTGTTGATTTATAGCTTAAAATTAATTGTGTGATGCAAATAGGAGGGTTACCACCCCAAGCTTAAATGGAAGTTTTGCAGCACTTTGCACTCTTGAGGATGTATCTGGGTTTAATAGTACCTTCCATCTAGTGCACAAGTCTTCTCCCAGGCTCATCCTCCCAAACACCTCTCAGTGTTATCCCCACTTTGCAAATGCAGTAGTAGCTGGGCTCACAGAAGTTAAATAACTACACCAAGTCACCATCCAAAAAGGTTCAGGGCCAGGAATAGAGCGAAAGACAGAATACGGAGCCATGCTCTTTTTGCTGTCTTTCTCAGTGCTCAGTTCTCAGAATTACTCAGGAATGAGAGCAGAGAAACTCTGTATAGGCCATGCCTGGAGTTTTTTGCACATGGCAGTCAGAGAGTCCCAGCTCAGTTCAGTGCAGTATTACCGAATTCCAGTATATGCTGGGCTCTGTTAGGTGCAAGGGGTTCCAGGATGAATGAGTCTGTGGCCCAGTGGACAAGGTTTGCCCCTGTGTGCAGCTCTGTCTGCTTTACTAGATTTGCTCCTCAGATTCTAAATTGGAAGTATGTGCATATTGCTTGATTTACAGATTATTAGAGAATTTTTTTCAGTTAAACTTTGTCCAAAATAGACACTAAGGGCAAAGGAAACTGGTATTATTACAGCAGGGTGTATCTCATAAGCTCTGAGAATTGTACATGTATAAAGAATCTTTGAATCGCCGAGTCTTAGCCCCACGTTTTATACAGCACAGAAATACAGCACAGAAAGTTTAGGTGATTTCCCTTGGGTTCCATAGTGTGTTAGTCACCAGGTTCCTTTAACTCTCTCAGTACTCTTTCCTTTAAACTATGGAAGAGCTCAAATGATTAAATCAATAAAAGAATGACAACTTATAGAGCTCATTTACGTGTCTGAATATATCAGTTTAGCCCAGAGTATCTGAACTCCTGGGCCATTGCTATTCACTGACCCCTTCTCCTCCTCGTGTTCTAGTAAAATTCAGCCCATGAATATAGTCATTAGAAGTTGAATTTTAATGAAATTGGGCGCTTTGATCAATGGGAAGGTTGAAAGTTATGTGGGAATCATCTATATAGTTTATAGCTGTGACTATGTAGGCCAGCTCCTAAGTGCCCCCTGCAATGTGTCACTCTCTCTGGTTTTCTTTCCAGGGAGGTACCCTGTAGAATAACAGTCTAATTTACCTCTCAGACATCTGCTGTCTTTCAGACCTTATGCTAGTTTTGTGCATATCTTCATGATTCCTCTAATAATGCATTGGATTATAAACTATTATCTCCACTTGAGAGACGCTCAGAGAGGCTAGGGAGCTTACTCAGGGTCAGAGGGAGTGCAGCTGAACAGTTCTGCCAGGGTCCCTGTGATTGTTGGAGCAGCCTGTGTTTTTTCAAGCTGTTGTCTGTGAATCGTACGGTAGAAACATGGTGCGTATTTCTGCAGCCTTAGTTCTAGCCATTGAAATATCATGGAGTTGAATGCAGAATACCCATTAATGTTTAGGATGACCAAGAAACTGTGCCCAGGCCCCAAGCCCAGCTCTGTCATCAGAGGTGAGTTACCACTGGTGCCATGCCCTTTGATTCCCTACAGGCGCCCTATGGAGGTGCCCACCAGTGTGCACTTGGAAGTGTGATGGAACGCATCACATCCCCTTGTTGCCCCTGCCCCGGTGATAGGGGGATTCACTAAGAACTTCAGCATAGTGAGAGAATGTAACTGAAGCTCCTGGGTTAGTGCTGCTTGGTATCCCAGTTACTTTGTAGATTTCGGAATCTTTTGTCGTCTAGCCTGAGGATTACTGTTGATGACACAATTTTCTTTGGGATTATAGGCTTCATGTTTCATACAACCAGCATATACGTAAATGGCCTCTTCAGTGTATCATGTATACACATTGGTGAATAGCTTCCCACTAGATAATGTTTTAAAGGGGAAAAAAAGAAGTCATTTCTAAAATCCCAAGAGAGTGTCCCCGTTTTGAGGTTAGAGCACGTTTTTTAGCCTTATTTAGTCTTGCATCTTGCTCCTTATGCTACCTTTCATTGCTTTATGAAATTATTTTTTAAGGGATACTTTCTAACATTCCATCCCACTTTTTTTAAAGCTCGTTCATATACTTTGTCCTCACAGAATAGAACAGGGTTTCTCAAATTGCACACACTGAACTCTGCAACACAACAGTTCCTTCATTGGAGACCAGATGAATTGAACCACTGGCTTTCTGAAAATAACTGTATGCTTTCCAGTTGGCCAGCCTTGGCAGGGACCCACTACTACTCCTATTTCTCAACAGTCAATTTAAAATATTGACAGTAGCTTAATAACATTCAATAGTAACTTGCAGCAGCCTTTCATATACCCTGACATCTGAGATATGTACCAGTTTATGAAATAGAACACGCAGATGGTCTTAGCCCCATTTTCCAGATGAGGACCCTTGTCCAGGGAAGGATTGGTGCCCATTTAGCTAGCTCTTTCCCAGCAAGCAACAGTACCCAAGGCTCCATGCCCCAGGCCTGGGAGGACCCCTCCCACGGCGTACTTCAGATCTCCACCTGTGACTTTGAACACATGCTTCGAGGTGATGTACTTCTTGGAGATAGTGCTTTCCTCATCTCTTCTACCTTGTAGTCGTCAGTAGAGGGCATGCAGTGCAACAGAAGTGGATTTCAGGACTGAGACTAGGGTGAGGCAAGAGAGGCATCAGAATGCAAAAGTGAAGTAGACACCTGCCGTCAGCACTGGGCAGCCCTGCTCCTGGGGCCTTACTTGACTCATCCTGGTGGGTTTTCCAAATGGCAGAGGTGCACAACCACTTCTTGCAAGCATGGGCACTTGAATTGTAGCCCATGTACACAGTGATTCTTGGAAAAAGTCATGAGTAATGAATGGAACTTTTCTCTCCCAGGTTGATCTTGTGTTTTGAGACATAAAGAGTCAAAGGTTGGTGCCTAGGATGCTCATTCTTATTGTTTTTGGTAGTTTGATTGTTGAAGGCTTTTGACACGACATTGAAGTGAATATTTGGGGCATTTTGCTCCTCTGGGCTTTTCTCTAAAGCACCCTCACATTTCCTCTCTCATGTTCCTGGGCTTTCCTGGCTTTGATGCTAGCCCCACTGTGTGTTCCCATTAATAGCCCTATGTAGCCTGGCTCCTTATTCTGGAAACTGTGTAACTTTTGCTCTTGATCTTAAACACAACTCAGTCTTGCAAGGAGCTCCGCCTTTGGTCTCAGCTTCTTGGGGATTTCCCTGGCAGCCACATAGTGAACTATGTCACACTCTCTGTTTTACCCGTTAATAAGGAAATACTCTGGTACATGGAGCTTTGCTTGCTGATCTTTTTCTAAGTACTCTGGGGGCAAAAGGAAAAGCAGCTAGAGGATAAGGATGTAACTTTCTTCAAATTAAGCCATCCTGACCCGTGGTAGAGATTAGCCACTAAGAAATAGTGGAAACAAATAACTGTTTCACTCTTGAGTGTTAGCATGGAAGAGATTCTGGTTGAAATCCTAGTCCTGCCACTTTCTGGTTACAGAAACTTACATTACTTTTCTTTTGATGTTTCAAGGAGATAGGAGTTAAAGAAAAATGAACACCAGATTACTAGAACATTCTTATAGAGTTGCCCAAAGATGGAATGGACACCTTCCAGAGTGGAGGGGAGGGAGTAGGATTGGACAGTAGTCCTCAACTGGGAGCACTTCTTCCCCCTGACCCCACACCTGCCTCCCAGGGACGTTTGACAGTTTTGGATTGCACAAAACTGAGGGGTGAGAGTTGCTGCTATATCTAGTGAGCAGAAGCCAGAGATGCTTCCAAATACCTTACGAAGCATAGGACAGCCCTCACGGAAAGAATTATCTAGCTCCAAATGTTAATGATGCTGACTTTGAGATACCCTAGTCAGAAGTAACATTTATTGGCCAGGGGCAGTGGCTCATACCTGTAATCTCAGCACTTTGGGAAGCCGAGGTGGGAGGATCACTTAAGCCCAGGACTTTGAGACCACCTGGACAAGACCCTGTCTCTACAAAAAAAAAAAAAAAAAATTAGCCTGATGTGGTAGTACATGCCTGTAGTCTTAGCTACTCAGGAGGCTGAAGTGGGAGGATTGCTTGGACCCAGGAGTTTGAGGCTACAGTGAGCTATGTTTGTGACACTGCACTTCAGCCTGGGCAACATAACAAGACTCTGTCTCAATTAAAAAAGAAAGAAAGAACATTTGTTGAATCTAATTTTCCCATGTAATATCAATGACTGTGCAAGATAAAGTGGTTTTTATCCTCACTTTGGATGAGATTGGCCTTTGGTGATTGAGAAACCTTCCTTTGGTTGTTCAGCTACTTCTAGATAGACATGGGATTTTAAACTAGCCATCTATATGTCCAAAACCCATCCGCTTTCCACAAACCCATTATGTAGTTAGCTCCCCATCACTGATGATGTTCAAAGCTAAGCAGGGTGAGCAACCACTTGAAAGAGGGGATGGATGAGGATACAAGCCTAAGATGTATGTTGCACTAAATGACTTTTGAGGTCCCTCCTAAAGATCACATTCTCTGGTTCTATTTTGAAATGGGATTTGTCTTTTTAGCCCCAGTGTTAGAGTGGCAGCCAGATATCCCTTGGCTATGACCAGTGAAATCCCTGTGCTTTGTGCACCTGTGAATCTTACTCCTATTAATATCCCAGCCCTATCAGGCCAGAGGGCTAGGGTTCCAAACAGGGGCAGCCAGAAATGCACCATCTTCTGCATCCCATCTGCATTCCGGGCCCAGGCAGTTATTTTTACCTCCATATGTAAATGGGCCCAGCGATTTCTCATTTAGGAGAACAGCAGAGGCACAAGTGAGGAGAGCTGGAGAAGGAGGGGAACCTATCATATACTCTGAGATTGCAATTTAGTATCAGTTTGCTGATCAGTGTCACTCCACTAGTTTAATAAGTAATTATAGTTTCTCTTTTGTGAACAAGGAAAACGGGTAGCTTCACCCAGTGGTTGTCAGCCCTGGCCAAAAATTAGAATAAGATAGAGGGCTTTTAAATCACACCTACAACTGAGCCCCTCCACCAGAAATTTAATTTTCTGAGGTGAGGCCTGGGTACAGTGATTTGAGAACTTTGCAGGGATTCCAGTGTCTAAGCAGCCTGGGCACCTCTGGTTAATGGCACACCTCAGTGCTGCGCATTCTGCTCCAGTACCTGCTGGTGTTACTCTGTCATAAAGAGACTAGAAAAAGAGTGAGTTGGGCCCTGTTTCTCAGTGTGTCTTCAGTGGATTGTAGGGAGAAGGAGGCCCATACTCTCTGCCTAAACGAGCACCTGCTAGACTCCGAAATCTAGTTAATGGAAGTTTCTCCTCATCCTTGGACATCCTTGTTTTATATGGTATACGTTCAAAATACATATAATCTTTGGTTTAATTTGTTTTACAAAGTTTTGAAGTTTTCCTCTCCACACTTTTCTCATCAAGCTGGTGTGTGGAAAGAAGGAATTTTTCTTTTCCATTGCTGTCATCTAAAATTGTTGTGTCGGGTGGGGAGGGGAGGGAGCCG
Organism: Homo sapiens; assembly: GCF_000001405.40. Taxonomy (NCBI): domain Eukaryota; kingdom Metazoa; phylum Chordata; class Mammalia; order Primates; family Hominidae; genus Homo; species Homo sapiens. The sequence goes on from NC_000018.10 coordinate 58,305,871, forward strand.
GGAGACTTAGCTTTAACTACTTAGAAGTTTTCAGGGAAATGTTTTTATAACAACCTAGTTAATAGTTTGACTTTATGATAGATTCTGTTCCTTCATTATTTTGTCCTCCAGTGGCTTTTATACCCAGCAAAGTGGACCATGGTGTATGATTCAAGAAGGGTGAGGAGTATGTCTTTCTTTGGAAAGGCAGGGATGGAGGGTTGTGATTTAGAAAGGGTAAGCAGGAAAGGAGAGCCACAGAAGGCAAGCACTGTTCTCATGCCAGATCGGTTTCAAGGAAGAGGACATATGGAAGGATCTAGAAAATGATTTCTCTAGAATTGTCCATGTCCAAGTCCCCTGGAATGTCTTTGTATATCCCCAGAGCTGTGCATGCTCCAGTTTGAAGAGCTCTGCTTTAAAAGATATCAGGGGTGGGGGAGATGAGGGGGGTGAAGTAAAAGAATAAAAACTATTCAATTCCATTTGTTTTCTCTTTCAAGCTCATACGTTACTCATTTCATTTTTATATTAAAATATAGATGAGGAAGGAAGGGCACATGGCAAGATTTGGCAAGCATAATCCATGAGGGGATATGGAGTTGGGGATGGCAGCATAGCATACTAGGATTTTTGAGGAGGGATTCGGGGAGCCTGTTCATGTTTTCCTTACAACTCTGGTACATGAAGTACAGGTTCTGCATCATGATGGAAGACTGCCTGGGTTCATGTTTGGGCCACTACCTACTAGCTCTATGACTTTGGGCAAGTTTCTTTCTTCTTTTTTTTTTTTGAAATGGAATTTTGCTCTTGTCACCCAGGCTGGAGTGCAATGGTGCAATCTCAGCTCACTGTAACCTCTGCCTTTTGGGTTCAAGCAATTCTCCTGCCTCAGCCTCCCAAGTAGCTGAGATTACAGGCAACCGCCACCACGCCCGGCTAATTTTTGTATTTTTAGTACTTTAGTACAGACCGGGTTTCACCATGTTGGCCAGGCTGTTCTCGAACTCCTGACCTCAGGTGATTCACCCACCTCAGCTTCCCAAAGTGCTGGGATTACAGGCGTGAGCCACCATGCCCAGGCAAGTTTCTTAACCTCCTTATAGCAGTGTTTGGCACATGATAGATGAGCTACAGGTTGGCTTGTTATTCCTTGCAATCCTGAGTTTCTCCCCAGAGTAAAGCTGGAGCTTTTCCCCCAGCCAACTTTGGTGGAGTCCACTGGGCAGAGATGTGATTTCAGCCAAAATATGGCTAAAGGAGGAAAGGATCTGAGACAGCCAGGTGGAAATGGCTCCCCGGGAGAGCCTCTGACCGACCCGCACACTGGGAGGAGTGCGCACTGGGGTGGAGCCTTGGGAAGTTGGAGCCATTTGCAGCAGGGAGGAGCCTGGCCCCTCGTCTTCTTGGATGGTACCTAGGATTCAGTCTGCGAGGCAGGAAGCACACTAGCAGGACTCCAGCTTGGTGGAGAGTTCCTGCTTTCCTTTTTTTCCTTTTTGTCCAATAAATCCCATTTTTCTCACCCTTTAAATTGTGAGCCTAATTTTTCGTAGTCATGTGACAAGGACCCCTCTTAAGCTGAACTAAGGAAAAGTCCTGCAGCAGATCTAACTAGAATGCCAATGCCTACATTGAGGCTGTTTAATGGAGAGTTTATGAAAAGTTAGCTAGTGTCCTTGTGTAAACCTGTATGACTCTAGTTCAGAGTCTTCAGTAATTGCAATTCAAGAATAAAACCACACGGCACTTCCATTCCCGTGTAATTTGTTGTTGCTGGCTTGTGACATTCTACATATCCCAACTATGAGACAGCCAGGCAGTGGGATGGACTGTGAGGTTCAGATGCCCGGAGATATGTGAGGAAGAGCTTTTAGCAATAAATATGAAAATGAAATCAAAGTAAAAACTGGCATTGAACCCCTGGTGTACTTAGGCTTACTTTTACCCAAATCCAAATCATTTCTTGACACTGCATGGTTACCAAGAGTGTCTGTCATTCAATATTTCAGATTAAGATCTGTTCTTTGGTAGCTAAGTTCAGAGAAAAAAATATAGGATCTAGAAGTATCATTGCTATTTTTTCCTTGATACATTTAGTCTGGTATTAAAATTGCTTGCAGAAGATTTGATTTTAAAAAAGTAGAAAAGAGACACTTATCCTGGTAAAATTATCCTGAAATCTTAAGAAATTAAGACAAATTGCACCATAAAACCAGAAGCACAAAATTAAACAATATTATATTAAGAGAACCCAGTGACACATTTTCCTTCTAAATTAACTTTAAAATTAACTTTTAAATTAAGTTCAATCTCATATCAGTTTGCTTTGTAAGAAATAGAATATATGTACATGTTTGCCTTATTTTTAGCATGTTATATTCATTAAAATGTTTTAGTTTATTCAGCAGATACATTTAGCATTTCTTTCACAAGAAAGACAGTGAAGGAACAATTAATAACAGGACCCCAGTAATACCTGGGGGGTTTCTACATCTGCATTTTTTGCAAAAATAGAATAGCCTTCTAAGAAGCTGTCAGTGGCATTTGTGCAGCTGGACAGCTTTGCAGCAGATGTAACAGTAACTGTGATGCCAGGCTGTGCCCCAGAACCTGTAAGCATGACAAGCTCTGGCTTCTTCCCTCCTCTGAAAAGGTACAACATTGAAGAGGCAGTCGTTTCCCCTAGATCTGTAACCAAGCACATCTGGGTGAAAGGGGAAGACATCTCTTCACAGAGAGGAGAATAAAGGCGGTGACCATCAGGGTGACAGGCAGCATGGACTGTTGCCACCTGTGCTGCAGGCAGCTTCAGTGCCTGGATGGTGGGACAGCTGGTCCTGCACTCAGCACGAGTCTCAGGCAGTGGTCTGGCCGCGCCTCCCTTGGGCTGCTTCTTCCTCCACCGTCCTCCACTTTTGCTTTGTGTCTGCGTCAAGTCAGTAACGTTGGTCTGCAGCTCCCATCCCTCCTGATGGGCACTGCACTGAGGCCTTAGTGGGCATTACCTGATGCCCTCATCACCCAGTGTACAAACACCTGCTGACAAGAAGCGTCCCTGAGCGGAACCCTTCTGCTGGGACACCGCACCTTCCGTGTCCTGAGTGGGCTGCACCCTCGTGGTGCTCAACTGGGTGACTTCACGCTGTCCTCAGCGCTGTCCTCGGCGCTCTCTCTCCAGTCAGCTCTCCTGCTCAGGCACCTTTTTGGGACACAGTCCTTGCCAGTTATTCCCTGTTTAATGTCCTCATGTGTCTTCACTTGCCCTGGGAGACTGTCGTCTTGAGAGAGCAAGCCATATGGGACCCTGAGGCCTGGCCTCAGTTTCCCTCCCCCCCACTGCCCCACGGGGCCACGCCTCATCAGTGGCATGGACCTTTTAGTCAGCGAGCCCTCAGCCGGATGCTCCCGTGCTGGCCACTCCTGTCATCCCTGCTCTGTCCTCCCTGCAAACTCCTCCCTCAGGACCCTGCTTGAAGTTACGTCCTGCACAGTCATCCCTGGCCTTCCCTCAGCAGAATCTGTCACTCCCTCAAGGTGTCCCTGCAGTATTCTGCTCATGCCCCTGCTACGTGGCAGAACTCTGTTGTCCTATCCTGTCCAGAGCTCCAAAGCCCCCAGACCCTGTGGCTGCTGAGCACTTGAACCATGGACAGTCCAGGTGAGGATGTGCGGGGAGAGATGCCTCCTGCCTGTGGCTGAGCCCTGCCTGAAGGAGCTGATGAGGAAAAGCTCCTAAGCACAACAGTGCTGCTCACCTGGGCATCTAGTTGGCAGAGTCCTATCCCAGTGTTCGCACCCCCAGTTTCCTGGGTCTTAAGTTCAGATTATCAAGTGCTCCTCCTGCAAAAAAAAAAAAAATGGTGATTCTTGTGGCCCTTAGTTGACCCCGCACCTGGGATATGCTTATATTTGGTGTGGGGCAGAGAACTGAGTGTTCTTGAACCACTTCCACCCAACCAGAGGGAGGTGGGGACATCAGGTACACCTCATCCCCTGATGTCACAGCCAAGTACCTGGAGCCACCAGGACTCCCTCTGAGCCCACAAAGGAGTGTCTTCTCACCACCCCGATTATACTGGTCTAGTTATGCTTTGGAGTTAAAGCCAGGCTGCTATTGCAGGGCTGCTGCAATCCTTGCAAGCACAGTTGTTCTTTGCTTGCGCTTGCTCTCGCTCTCGCTCTCACTCTCACTCTTGCTCGCTCTCTTTCTCTCTCTCTGACTTCAGTTTAACTTTTTAAACTTCAGTAATAAGTGTTCCTCAAAATAGATGGTCTTCCTGGTTGTAGGTACAGCCAGCAGGGTTGAGTTCTGCTGCCTTCCAGCATGGTTTTCCTGGGGCCTGTAAAAGTCCTGCAAATTTGCTCTGACACTCTGTTGACATGGAGGTCCTGTTTGTTGTTATAAATAAGGACCAGTGTCTCTAGGACACACCTTACTGTGTATAACTGAATGGCAGATTTTGTCCCTTACTTCTTAAAAATTAAATGGCAGAGGAGCTGGCCATGTAAAAGCCCTGTGTGTGTTTACCAAAAAGTACTTGAATTTTGTTTGGGTTTTGTGTTCTGGTGCATATGAAGTGAATTTTGGTAGGAGTATGTGCATTCAGAGAATATGTCATCACACTTTTTTCTTTATTTGAGTGCCACTTGGCTCTTATTTGATTAAGGTAATTTCAGTGACATATTTTGAAGCAATTCACCTTGAAAGGCAGAGGCACCACCCAGGTGCAGAAACCTTCCTTGGGTTATGCAACGCCCAGCGTGGGTGGAACCGCACTCACACTTTACCTCTTCCTGAACCACAGCCCTGCTCTGATTGCATGATGGAAGCTGAGGTGCCTGACAAGTGGAAGGAGGAAAAGGAACATTCTGCCTTCCTTTTCTCTGTAATGCCAAAGCTGGCGTCATGCATTACTGAGGGCCTCTGTCAGCACTGGGGCCGGCCAGTGGCACAGCTGATGGGGTAGCTGCACTCGCTAGTCCTCTGGGAAAGCCCAGGTTGTTTTTCTGGCTTAGTGTTAGAGGCAGCTGTGATGTTTACCTCGATCTGTAACATACAAAGATCTGATCATATGCTGTCTTTGCTTACATTCTATTATTGTCTGACTTATGTTCTAAATTCTCTACAATTCCCTTCCATTTGTCTTAAGAAACTCTAAACCTTTTTTTTTTTGGAAATCACTACTTAATGATTTTGAGGATGGAACCCCAGACAGTTGGTAATAGTGGATGGTTTTCCTTTTCTGTAGTTGAGTGGCTTTCTAATTCTTTTGATGGCACACAAAAAGAAATTAACCTTAGATCACAACTTAGTACACACATTTATGTATGCATGTAACTGAGATGAGTTCCTCAAAATAGCACATACCTGTGTTTTATGTGAGGCACTGATATTTTCTGTTCTATATTATGCTTAACTTTAAAAAATACTTCCTGTGTACCATTTGTGGGACTGTAACTCACAACTTAAAAAATATTACCTTGATACATAGCTCCAGAAATACACATGGGTCATTTTACCAAGAATCACCAGTGCTTTTGCTCTGTTACCCCGGCTGGAGTTTGGTGGCACGATCATAGCTCCTTGCACCCTCAACCCCCTGGGCTCCCAGCTGGGGGTCTTTAGGACCCCAGCGTGACCTGTGGGTAGCCCTTACTTCCTTTAATACTTTTCTTCTGCACAGTCAGGTGCTCTCCCTTTGAGCTTCCGTGTGAAGTTCACTGTGCACCCAGCTCTGCTACCACCGCCTCTGTCTTGAAAGGAATAGGGTGGGGTGGTCATTGGTGTATAGTAAGATTCGAATCACATCCTTCAAGTACAGTTCTACCCTAAAGATAAGAGTCCCTGTGGTTTTTGTTGTTGTTGTTGTTGTTGTTGTTTGAATGGATGTGTTCTTTGAGAAATTGAGTCTTGAGTATTTTGTGAGGACATCTAAGCCTGGCGTCCACGTCAGTGCTGACAGATTTGACCTAGTGTGCACTCCCATCTGGGGAAATGCCCATAGGCTATAATCTCTTTCACTGGAGCGATTATAATAGCCCCCGGGCTTCAGGTCCCAGTGGCATCCACCCTTGGTGGCAGCATACCCCTCTGCATGAACAGGGCGCCCACTTGTCCCCTCCTTCTTACTTAGTAGTGATTTTTAAATGGGAGGGTGGCAGTCCTGAATGTAGTTCATCAGTATTTACCGCACAAGCTCTAAAGGACACAGTGTTTTATTTGTGTATTTATTTAACTTTTCCAATATCGGAATATGAATTTTTGTTTCACCTGATAGGACACGTTTCAGGGGCTCCATTCTACATTGTCATTTCACAGGAAAAATATTTGATGGCTCATTAGAAGGGAACATCTATTATTTTGTTACTGAAAGGCACATTTTCAACCTTGAGAATTGGATGGCAGGTAATGGCATGGAAATTGACAGCATTTTACCACTTAAAAATAACCACAAGAAATACCAATGTTCACCGAATGAGTTGAAGTTAATTTGGTTTTGTAGGCTATTGTAGTTAACTTGATGCTTGATGGAAATAATTTTGTATTGGAAATCATTAAAAATTGATTTGATTAATGCTTTTATAATGTTGGTATGAGGTGTTGCACTGTGGTGGTGATGACCTAAGGGTGCTGTGATGGCCTCAAACGTTGTCCCTCCGGGGCCCACAGGCAGGATCCCACACACTAGCACACCTCCCAGTTCCTCTTACCATCAAACAGAGGTGTTCCTTCAACATGCCTGCTCCTCCCTGTGGCATAAAGGCACCAGGAGGTTCTCTGATCCCCTGTTAGATCTCCTCTGCAGGGTTGAAGACATTTTTTGTTTGTTTGTTTGTTTGTTTTTGAGATGGAGTCTTGCCCTGTCTCCCAGACTGGAGTGCAAGTGACATGATCTCAACTCACTGCAACCTCCGCCTCCCGGGTTCAAGCGATTCTCCTGCCTCAACCTCCCAAGTAGCTGGGACTACAGGCATGAGCCACCAAGCCCAGCTAATTTTGTGTTTTTAGTAGAGATGGGATTTCGCCATATTGGCCGGGGTGATCTCGAACTCCTGACCTCAAGTGATCTGCCCGCCTCAGCCTTCCAAAGTGCTTAGATTACAGGCGTGAGCCACCGTACCTGGCCATTTTTGTTTTTAATCGGTGTAGTGTCCCTAACCTAAATATTTCACATGGCCTGAACTTTCTGTAGTTTTAGCAGCAATGGGATGCTTTGAAACCTAGATCTCTCACCAACTACATCTTCCATTGACTGGTGAAACACTAGTTTAAGCCAATTCATTTTGACCATGTGCATTTTTGTGCTTGATCCCTATTTTATTTCAAAAATAATTTCCATCTCTATTCATGTAAACTAATAAGAGCCTTCCGTTTCCTTTAATGGCAAATTGTCTCATCTTTTACTGTTTTAAAACATTTTTTTAACATCATGAGAAAACGTGATAAAAGGTATAAGTGTAGTTTCCTGGCTTTTGCAGTACCTCAGGGAATTCGGTAAACTGTATTCCATTTGAGGAAAGGAACGGTTGGAGTAGGAGGTAGTGTAAAGATAACATAGCAAATAAGCATTTTACCAGAACCCTCTGAAGTCTCATCAGACTGTGCCATCATCAGAATCCCTCCCTTCTCATCTACACCGTTTAAAGCCAGCATCCAGTCAGAAGCCCAGAGCTGGTACCGCCTTGCTTTCCTGCCAGTTGCTGACATATGGCACACAGTGTCAGTTAAGGGCACAGGCTGATGGGCAGCTTGGCCACATACCTCTCTGGCTTCCTATCTGTAAAATGGGCACAATCATTGTACCTGCCTCTGAAGGTTGTTGCGAGAACTAGACGCAGCCTTGGCACAGAGCCCACAGAGAGTGAGCACTGTGTAAAGACTGGCTGCCAGCCATTAGTACTGGGTGCCTGTCTTTTGGTGTCTGGGCAAAGCTTTAACCTGTTTTATCAGTTTAGAACTCAGATGTCTCCCTGGCAAAACAACACGGGCATATAGATATTTTGTGAAGTTTTGTTGAAGTGCACTTAGGTTAATGATTCATGGGCAGCCTTTCAAAGCTATCAGGCTGTGAAACAGCTTTGAATAAGATTGTCTTGTCCTTCTGCTGATTGTCTTTTCCTTCCCACATTAGCAGCCATAGCAGGAGGAGGAGAGGTGGCAAGTGGCCACACTACTCTGCTCACATTAAGCAGACAATTTATGGTCAATATTCAGTGAATTTCTTTTTTTTATAGTACAGTTAACTGATATTTATATTAGCTTTAAAATTATAGCAAAATCAGGCCAGGCATGGTGACTCACACCTGTAATCCTAGCACTTTGGGAGGTCGAGGAGGGCAGATCGTTGGAGGTCAGATGTTCGAGACCAGCCTGGCCAACGTGGTGAAACCCCATCTCTGCTAAAAATACAAAAATTAGCTGGGCGTGGTGGTGTGTGCCTGTAGTCCCAATTACTCAGTAGGCTGAGGCAGGAGAATCGCTTTAACCCAGGAGGCGGAGGTTGCAGTGAGCTGAGATTGCACCACTGTACTCCAGCCTGGGCGACAGAGCAAGAGACTCTGTCTCAAAAAAAAAAAAAAATAGTGAAATCAGCCAAATAGAGAACTAACAGGCACACTGCCTAATTCCTTGTGTAACTGTCATTGGTGTGAGTCACTGGGGCAGCGTGATTAGGTCTGTGAGCTGGATAGCAAGGCTGTCATTATTCTCAAGGCCTTCTGCTGACTGCTGCTCTTGGTAAGACATACAGAATCTGTGGGCACCTCCTCTTACCGCTCTATGCTAGATGAGGCGTCTCCACGTTGAGTTGTAGTAGATACAGCTAAGAAAGTAAAAGAAATGAAAATCTCATCAAAAGGATTGGGGCTAGTCTCATTCTTCATGCATACCCAAACCGTGGTAACTTTGATTTTTTTATTATCCAGAATGGATTGTTTAGAGGAGACAGATGGCTTTCCAGTTCATCAAATTTTTTCAATTATCTAAAAGGAATTCCTACGCTTGGAGCAAGTCATTTCAATAAATCTCATTCATATTTACCTGCTGCTTCCTTTTAAATGGAAGAAGAGAATGTTTTTCAAGTACACTTGAAAAATAGCATATGTGAATTAGAAACTTCCTCTGTAAACTAGCAGAGTAGAAATAAGAGGCCAGGATTCAGCACCAGGTAGGCTGGATTCCTTCTTAGGTGGCTCAAGCTGGCTATGGGGCTGGTCTCATCATATCTAAAGAACTGCCCAGCTTTTACGCATTTTGAATGTGGTGGAACCAGCTGCATCTTTTTATATGAGAGCGGCAAATAGTCATTGTGTTCCAGTTTGCTTCTCGGGTCATCTAAACATCAGAGGCCATGCCACAAGCACCGTAACTGAGGGATATAGTGTGACTGTGGTCCAGGCCAGTGACCTCTGGAGCTGAATCATGACTTCCCAGATGACTCCCAGAGCCTGAGAGGGGACTGGTGCGTGGCTCCAAATGATTTTCACCTGGGCCTCTTTGAAGTCGGGAGAGATACGTGCAGTATGGTAGATGTGGAGAGGGAGAGGCATGGTGTGTCCAAAAATTAGCAGGACCTGATCCATATACGTGGACTCTGAAGCAGTGCACTTACTAGATTAAAAAAAAAACAATGTACTTACTGGATTTAAAAAGTGTGTATTTTTTTGTGAGATGCAGTTTGTAAGATGCATTGGTAACTAGGCCATATACTTTTTCCATTGGCTCTCAGCTCTCAAGAAGCTCTTTAGTTTTTAGCATTGGATCAGTAAACACTTATTAAAATGTTCCCAGCATTTGTTTGCCATCTTCTCTTTCAGCTGGGCCCAGCTGTGCCCTCAAACCCTGCCTGTCTCTTCCCTGACTGATCATGTTCTCCCAGCTTCTACAGAGGCTTCCATAGCATTGTGCTTGGTAGCAGACACCAGACAGAATCTCAGCCAGCTCAGTCCAGGCGCACGGGCTCCTGGTCTCCCGGGGTGTGGTTACTCGTGTCTCCTCGGGGCCTTCCGCCCTCCACATTCCAGTGCCAGGCCCTGGACCTTTGTCTCTATTCATGATAAAACATTTTTAGGAAATGCTGACGCTCAGTGAAGAAATGGAAACACTAACTCTTTGTTCTCTTCCTAACAGACACGAGACGACTTCCTGGGCCAGGTGGACGTGCCCCTTAGTCACCTTCCGGTAAGGACAGTCTCATGTTTGATGCTTCGTGCTGGGGGCGGGGGTTTCTAATTGTTTGTAGTCAGTGTATTTTCAGAGTGGCATTTCTTCACCACGGTGAAGAAGGCTGAAATGAAGCACGTGTGCTGTGGCCTTAGTCCTTTCTGGAAAGTGGTCCTTTCAAGGGGATGGAGGAGAAGCTGGCTGTAAGAGTAGTCAAGGGTGCCTGAGTCGTGCGCTTGCGTTCCCATCCACCAGCTCCCTCTCTTTTCTGCACTTCAGCTGCTCCACCTTTGTGTATCACATCTTACAAAACAGACACCTCCTTCACTCAGGCCTCCCTTCTTGTCACTTACTGTCTCTGCTTCCTAATGCATCCTCCGGGTCCCATCAGATGTTTGCACTCTTTGTCTGGAACCGCACATGCCATTTCTCTTGGATTCCTGTACACAAACTATAATAGCATTTCCCAGATTTTGGTGTCTGGCTTTCTCAGTCAGCATGGTGACAAAAGAAGAGCCTGTTCATTCTGAGTGAACTTGTCAGCTGGGAACACCCACCCTCGCTGGAACACGCACTGAGTTAGCATGTGTGGTGCTGCCATTTCTCTCTGCTCAAAGTAGCGGAGCAGTCGAGGCTGTTGACTAGTGACGGGCATTAGGGCTGACACCCGAAACAGGAGGCAGGGCAGACAGAATGTGTAGGTAGGACCTGGAGGCCTTGAGAAAGGTGGATCCCCATCTCCTATTCCAGCTTCAGTTTTCCGGCTTGTCCCAGCCTTCCTCCTGGCCTTCTTCCCTGGGCAGCACAACGACGTGATAGAAGTAGCAGCTGAGAGAGGAAAGGCGAATGTTTCTGCCTTACAAGGGCATTGTGTTATTTTTTTAAATGCTTTGTGTGAGCAAATAGCATAAATAGTCTATAAAGTAAAGTGACTTTACTTTATTTACTTTATTTAAAGCTATTTAAAGCTAGCATAAGCTTCCTGCTGTGTGGAAATTATGGCTGTTTCCATATGTTAAATACCAAGTAAGCTTTGAAGATGTGTTGTGAAGGAAGGTGATAGCAAGTAATTTACTCTTACTCACTCAGGGGAGCTGTTAAGGAAGAAAGTCGCAAGGTTCCAAAGGACTGGAAGTGAAAGTGATATTCTTAAAATATCTTGTTTGTTTCTTTTTAAAACTCTGAAGCTCCAGGGTGCCACGGGAGGGGCCTGCCCAGGGCTTCTGCGTGAGAACTACTCCATGAGCCATCAGAAACCTGACTGCTCTTCTCAGGTCACGTTGGGAGGATGTGACTATTTCACCTTTTGTGAGCAAAGACCTCGCATCCTTCTACGTTGGGAGGTCTTCTGTGTATGTTCTTCAGACTGAAGCTGCGATCCTCTCACACTTTTAGACAGTGTTGGTTGATGGGCCAGCTCTTTTATGGACGTCTCCAGCCACCCTTTCCCTAATGTAAAAACCACATCTTGGCCAGGGGAAATTATTTTCTGAGAGGCAAATATTCTAATATTTGGTAAGAGGCAAAAGTGACATGTTTAAAAACCTTGCTCTGACAAGCTCTTTTTTGAGTGAGTGAGCAGCACCTGGTCTTGAAAGGTTGAGTAGGGCTCCCAGAAAATAGAAAAAGGTTCCTCCTCCGAGGCCAAGTCAGTATAAAGAATAGTTTAGCTTTGGATTCTGAGTGGAGGCAGGGTCAGTGAGCCTTCAAAGAAGGAAGCGGTGCAGAGGCACAGGGCAGGAATAGAAGCCAGCCGATTGCAGAGGGTAGAGCCGTGAACGCCCAGAGAGGACCGAGTGCCCCTAGTTACTCGTGTGCCCAGAGGGTAACTTGCAGTGGCGTGCTTCACCTCCATACTTCAAACTGACTAGCTGTTCACAGCCAACTATAGTCAGAGAGATGGACCACAAAGAAAACAAAAGGAGAGGCGTGAAGGTATATTCTTTATTCATGTGGCAGTAGAACCCAAGTTGCGTGTTCTGAATGCACGTGGCTTTTGAATCCAGGATTTCAGGTGCTTTCGTGTGTATGTTTGGTCGTGTGTATAGGATGCTCATGGGGAAATTACAGTGGCATTCTGTTTGTGTGATAGCACACAGGTATGAGTGTGGAGAGGGCGGGAGCATATGCGTGTATTTTGTGGATCGAATTATGGATGCTGTGTTCTTGATTAGTATATGACCATTGTCAAGGTGGATTATTAACAGTCTGTAGATTCAAAATTTGTCAAAACCACCAAGCTTTAGATAAAAGGAAATAGACCAGGCACAGTGGCTCATGCCTGTAACCCCAGCACTTTTGGAGGCCGAGGCAGGAGGATCGCTTGAGTCCAGGAGTTAAAGACCAGCCTTGGCAACATGGCAAGACCCTGTCTCTATAGAGAAACTTAAAGATTAACCCAGCATGGTGGCACATGCCTGTTGCCTCAACTGTTTAGAAGGCTGAGGTGGGAGGATCGCTTGAGCATGGGAGGTCATTACTACGCTGAGCCGTGGTTGTACCACTGCGCTCCAGCCTTGGAGACAGAGCAAGCTCTCCTTTTGCTTTTACATTCAGAGACCAAGAGCAAACTTAGCTGTAACTGTACCATCATTGACTTTTCAACTGCCGTTTTCACATTTGTCTGTTAAATTCAGTGCATCGTTGTCTAAAAATTCATATGATATTTGATAACTTGAATCTATTAATTATTTAGCGATAAAGAGAACTCTGAGATCTGTATTAACAGAGTGAGATTTCTGGCAGGTGTCTGCCTGTTGCACCTTCCTCTTGACTTGTCAGCTCTGTCTCCCCTTCCCCTGGAGCCCTCAGTAACCCACCTTTGCCCAGCCACAAAATCTCTTCGTCCCTGGGAAAGGCAGTGGGGCAGAGAGAGCTATTTTAAAACATTAAGTTTTCCTAAATCCCAGTCATGTGCCACTTAAGACAACCATGGCTGACTCTGGAATTTAAATTTTCCTAGATGAGGCATTTTCAGGGTGGTGGTATTATTTGATGCCCTGCCTGTACTTGGAGGTAGCTCAGCTGACCAACATCCTTTTACCCCTTTTGTGTTTATGGCTGATGGCTGGTAGCAGGTAGCAGGCTGATGGTTCCCTCTCATGAGTGCAGAATTCAAAATCATGGAGTTTGGAGGGACTTCAGAGACACTGATTCACTCCCAGTATTTTCCAGGTGAAAAAGCCTGGGCCCAGAGAGGGAGGGGACTTGCCCAGCAATAAGCAGGTCATTGGTGGTGCTGGATCTGACCCTGGCTCTCCAGCATCATTGTGAGCCTGTGATGTGGTCAAGGGTGTGGGCATGGGGTGGATTCGCCCAAGGCTTAGGTGCTTGCAGTGGTTGCATACAAGTTTCGAGTCTAGGGACCCAGCAGGGCCCTCTCCTTCCATTTGCCTGCAGAATCCTTTATCTCACTCTATTCCATAGTGAATGCACCTAGGCTGAAAGCAACTACTCTCTTTCAAGATGAAAGTACTGAGTATCCAGATTTTCTTCTGAATGCTTTTACCCTGGAACGGGGGCAGCATTGTGGCTATTGTGGCTAATAGCACTGTTTGCAGCAGTGTGTTTAAGATGGCTTTCCACCAGGAGCACCCTCAAAGCCATCCTGGGAGGCTCCACTCAGCTCTGCTCCAGGGAACAGGATCAGATTGGAACCTGGATGAATGCCAAGAAGAATCTTGTAGTTATCTATAAGATCATCTTCTAATTCAGGCTAGAGAATTTCAATGAACGTGAACTTTGATTTTAATGCCCTACCTGTTACTGCTTGGCATTGAGTTGGCAGTACTGACAAATGATATGAACGTGTAGAATTGGCCAATGAACATGGCTAGTGTTTGTTGAGTGTGCCAGGTGCCCTTGAGAACTTTATAGAAACCAACTCAGTTGATTGGTTTGATCCTCACAACAGCCCTGTAAGTTATGGTTACTGCCCCATTTTATAGATGAGGACACTGAGGCCAAGAGAGATAAGGAACTTGCCCTTAGCCACTTGGCTCTGTAAGTAACAAAGCCAGGATGCAAACCTAGGAGATCTGCCTTTTGACCTGTGTGATATCAGTCATTTAAGCTGCATAGGGTATGGACAGACTCAGGTTCAGAGTCCCTCTAAGCTCCGTGGTTTTCCCTCTTCACTCTCTTGCATGTTCTCTGCTGCTCCTAGATTGCTCATGCCCACTGGTGATCCTGTAGGCTTTGTCATACTGTTTGATTTCCTATGTTTAAACTGTCCTTTCTCCCTGTTCTCTACCTCTCAAAGCCTTCCCATCACCCTGTATTGTATTGAACTCCACATCCAAAACCATTTTGATTTCCAAGTCAGAGTCCGTCTGTTCCCTGTACCCCAAGTCTCACAGAATGTAACCTCTCTGTGTCAGTGAATTTGTTCTGCCTTAGCTTCTAGTGGATTGTTGACATGATGGCTCTTCCCTTGTAATTGTAACCATAAGGACTGCTATACCATGTTGTATCCACATGTCGTTGACATAATATTGCTCTCAAATTATTTGTTGGTTGGCAGGGCATGGTGGCTTATACCTGTAATCCCAGCACTTTGGGAGGCCAAGGCAGGAGGACGTCTTGAGCTCAGGAGTTTGAGACCAGCCTGGGCAACATAGGAAGACCCCCATGTCTATAAAAAATAAAAATATTAGCCAGGCATAGTGGCACACACCTGTGGTCCCAGCTACTTGGGAGGCTGAGGTGGGAGGATCACTTGAGCCCAGGAAGTTGAGGCTGCAGTGAGCTATGATTGTGCCCCTATACTCCAGCCTGGACAGCAGAAGACCCTGTCTCTAAATTAAATAAATAAATGTTGGTTTAATAAATGAAAAAAGGAAGGAAAACCAGCAATAGTTTTCTTAATAAATTATCCATTTATTTCCTTATATATATTTACAAACCTTTTGGTAGAAAATATTTTCAAAATGTATGTTTATTACTGCCTCATAAGAACAGTCTAGAAAATATAATTTACTTCATTCAATGATAGTGAATTTTGAGAGCCTCCATAGTTTACTACAGATCAGATGAATTGAGTGCTTACGTGAGTACCTACTTGGTGCCAGGCAATGTTCTTGGCACCGGTGATCCAATGGTGAGCAAATTCAAGTCTCTGTTCTCATGGGCTTACATTCTGGAAGTGATGGATAATAAACTAGTATGTCAACAAATGAACAGGTACTTTCAGAAAGTGATATGAGGAAGATACAGCAGGACGATAGGATGGGGGGTGATAAGGGTGGCTGATGGTGGGAACTCTAAAGGATGAGACCTGGGATCTCACACTTGGATGGCAAAGTGGAAACAGCCATGCCATCCAGAGTCAGCTGTCCAGCAGAGGGACCTGCCTGTGCATGGGCCCTACTGCAGTACATATAATCTGCATCCATGGCAGATGAGGACAGGATGGTTGGGAGTACAAGGAAGGAAGAGAGAGACTGGTTCCCAATGAGGTTAAAGTTGATTCAAGGCCAGATTATAGTTGGTCTTCTAAGTCATAGGAAAGAATTTTCAGTTTATTATGAGAGGAGTAGGAACCCATTGAGAGTTTAAAGCAGAGAATGACATAAACAGATAACATTTCAAATAGCAGTGCATACGTACATACATGTGTGTGCATGCACGCGCACACAAACCTGATACAGTAAATCACTGGACTGGTTTATCTCTTGCTATAAAAGTATTTGAAATTGTGTTTAATTGAAGGGTCTAGGTATTTGAGGTTTTACTGAATATATAGTATTTAAAGATTAATGAAATAGTCACACTTATTTATCCAATTTCCTGCTTTGGTAGGAACTTCACAATGAACTTCACACAATCAAATGAACACTGATTTCTTTAAAAATGAACAAATACTCCACTTGTACTCATAGCTTCATGAACTGAACCTCAGCAGAAGGTTGATCGGTGCTGCTTCCTGGGGTGATCTCTGTGCAGGAGATAGTCTTTCAATTCTCTTAGGCTGATGTTGTGAGATTTTAATACAAAAAACAAAGTTTCCCTCAAAGATTAAATCTTGTATATTCTTCTGTTTACTCCACCCATATGTGTCTCGAGTCACAGGCATATAGCAAGGCACTGGTGACCGCTGGTTCTCCGAAGTGAATCAGCTCTGTGAGACTGAGGCCACACCCTGCAGTTAGAAATTTTACTTGGCAATGACAGCTGTAATTTTGTCATTTGTCTGTGGCTGGGGCTGGCTCCTAAAACCCGGTGTGGATAGTGACATCTAGTGGATCTCTAGTAGATCAGTTCCGTGGACTGTCAGGTACCAAGTGAAGAAACACATTCAGCGGTGCCACATTCTAAAATTCAAAATATATTCTCTGTAATCCAGTTGCCTGTATCTAAAACATGAAATTATTAGGAATATTAAAATTTAATTTACTGTTTTTTCCCCACAGACAGAAGATCCAACCATGGAGCGACCCTATACATTTAAGGACTTTCTCCTCAGACCAAGAAGGTGAGGCTTGTGGGTATGGGTGGGTGGGGATGCCTGCCCTGCATGCTGTAGGTATAGGTGGGGATGCCTGCCCTGCGTGCTGTGGATATGGGTGGGTGGGGATGTCTGCCTTGCTTGCTGTGGTGTGGGTGGGTGGGGATGCCTGCCCTGCATGCTGTGGGGATGCCTGCCCTGCGTGCTGTGGGTATAGGTGGGGATGCCTGCCTTGCGTGCTGTGGATATGGGTGGGTGGGGATGCCTGCCTTGCATGCTGTGGGTGTAGGTGGGGATGCCTGCCTTGCGTGCTGTGGATATGGGTGGGTGGGGAGGCCTGCCTTGCATGCTGTGGGTATAGGTGGGGATGCCTGCCTTGCGTGCTGTGGATATGGGTGGGTGGGGATGCCTGCCCTGCGTGCCGTGGGTGTGGGTGGGTGGGGATGCCTGCCCTGCATGCTGTGGGTATGGGTGGGTGGGGATGCCTGCCCTGCGTGCCGTGGGTGTGGGTGGGTGGGGATGCCTGCCCTGCGTGCTGTGGGTATAGGTGGGGATGCCTGCCCTGTGTGCTGTGGGTATGGGTGGGTGGGGATGCCTGCCCTGTGTGCTGTGGGTATGGGTGGGTGGGGATGCCTGCCCTGTGTGCTGTGGGTATGGGTGGGTGGGGATGCCTGCCCTGCGTGCTGTGGTGGTTGGCTTTTGCTGAAGACGATTTTAAGTGTCCTTTGAAGTCACAACCCTTCTAACCAATTTTCTTCCATTATGTGTGCAGTCATAAGTCTCGAGTTAAGGGATTTTTGCGATTGAAAATGGCCTATATGCCAAAAAATGGAGGTCAAGATGAAGAAAACAGTGACCAGAGGGATGACATGGAGGTACGTGGAGGGCGTCAGGCCTCTCTCCTTGCCTTGAGATCATATTCATGTTTTGCTTTCAAACTTTATAATTGAAGGAAATAAAAGTTTAGAAAGCTTAAATATAAAAAAAAGTACATATGTCCGCAAATTGGTCATTGATAGTCTACCAGTGCAGTTATTTGTTTTGGTTAAAGATGAACTTTTTATGTTACAACACCAATCCTCGGAGAGATTTCTCTTTAGACAATGCCATGCCTATTCCCCAATTTTAGCCCCACAGCTCTGTGAAAGTCTCCTCACACATTGAATCCTATTATTGCTATGGACTTGCAACTCTTTGTAAATTCTTTTTAGCCATTGAGGTCGCTTCAAAGTGGGTGGAGGAATTTAGAAAATCACTTTTTTTTCAAGTTTCTTACTCATTTGGCCACAGGTGACAGCCTGCAGTAGAAAAACCCTCCTCTAGAAATGCCATTCTGCAACGAGCTGACCAGAGGAATGTCCCTTTTTTCCTTCCTGACAGAGCCGCCTGTATTTACCTTGTCACAGACTGATGCTGTGGGTCCTATCGTACCTTTTCAGCACACACCTCGGCCAGTGCTGTTTTGTTAGGCAAATTCTCATATTCTCAAAGTGTCCATTAAACGAGACCTCTCTAGGGCTTATTCTCACATCTGTTTGCAGCTGTTGCATATATGTGATATGTGAATAATGTGTGTGGAGAAGTTACCCGAACACTCCTCCGCCTGAGAGATCATATTTCCAGGCATTATTTCATTTACAAGCCTTCATCTCTCTATATACATGAAGAGGAATAATGTGGGTGATAGAAATTTATGAATGTTAACATTTCATAAGCATGTCAACAGATTTTCATCTCAAATCCAAGGAATTTTTTACACTCTTCTTGCCTTCCAACCGCAGTAACCAGTGAATTACTTAATTTTCCAGTGATTTTAGCAGAGGATGTTAGGAAGGGAATACGTAATGCCTAAAATACGTGCTGTAAAAATGGAACTCGAATTTTGGTACCATGAAACCCGTTGGTGTGGACACAGCCAGTGTAGAGGGCCTGAGTAGAAGGCAGCAGCTTCCAGACTCCTGGCTCCTGCGGTTGTTTGGGATGCAAAGAGGAGGCTTCTCTCTCAAAGCCCACCTCCCTGGGGAGCAACAGGACTCTGGGCCTCTGGTCCCCTGTGCCATGAGTTCTGTTAGAACACAGGTGCAGCGCAGCTCATCTTCCCTGCTCCCTTTACCTCATAGAGGTGTTGAAAAGATGGCAGCTGTACTGTGACGCACATCATTGGCAGGGCTTTGTACAGCCTTGGAGGCCCTCCAGTCAAAATAACAAACATGACGTATGGAAAGAGTATGATGTGACTTAAGTAGTGTCACCGACTGTGCAGATCCAAATTGTGTTGTCCTGCAATGTAGTCATCTTAGAGGGCAGCACAATTAATTGGCCATTACTCAGAAGATTTTTGAGGCCTTTCTAGAATTGATATATATATATTTTTTTGGCCTTCATTTGGGAATTTACTCAAATGTGGCCCCGAAGCCATGGCTAGAGCCAGAGAGCCCCAGAGCAAGGAGAAGGGCATGCAGGGCATGCTGTGATGACCTCTTACTCACAGCCGAAGAACCAACCTCATAATCGTCCCTTTAACTTTATTCCGCAGCATGGATGGGAAGTTGTTGACTCAAATGACTCGGCTTCTCAGCACCAAGAGGAACTTCCTCCTCCTCCTCTGCCTCCCGGGTGGGAAGAAAAAGTGGACAATTTAGGCCGAACTTACTATGTCAACCACAACAACCGGACCACTCAGTGGCACAGACCAAGCCTGATGTGAGTACCGTGTGATGGTCAGGAACACGTGCACGTGCAC
This sequence comes from Homo sapiens, assembly GCF_000001405.40. Classification (NCBI taxonomy): domain Eukaryota; kingdom Metazoa; phylum Chordata; class Mammalia; order Primates; family Hominidae; genus Homo; species Homo sapiens. Next base: position 58,325,203 of record NC_000018.10, read on the forward strand.
TGCACAGCTAGGGACAAATATGGCGGCCCTTTGGGACAAGGCTGGGAAATAAATCATATGTCTATAAGAGCAGATGGTGGTGTGGTACGAGATTCCTCTCCATTTACGTAAAGCATGCAAGAGCAGTCAGAACTTGTATATTGTAAGCGATTGCCTTTGAGTCACATGCTGCTGTTTTCAATATGAGCTGATTTATTTTCTATGTCTTCTTTTATGTCGATTCCTGAAATACAAAGCAGAGGTTGTTTTTCTTAGACTTATTTTACATTTGTTGATTATATTGTTTTCTTCTTCACCTTTCTCTCCCAACTGACCCAGAACAGAACCGGCAAGCAAATTGGCTTTGCAATTTTCTGTTTTCTCTAAGTTTTTGGATGTTTACTCTCTTCAATGCATTGATTTGGAAACCTCAAAAATTTTTTTTTCTTTAAGGAAATTTGAGCCCCTTAATATAATCAGAAACACATGGGAGAGTTGCAAAATCAGAATTAGTAATTACTGTGTATTTTAATCCCTCACCAGCCTCAGGGATGCAGTAAACCAATTCCTGTTTTGTTCCCTCAGCAATTTGTGGTTTGATTGATAGCAAATAAACACTGGTTAAAACTCATGGACTTTAAAAATGGTTTTGTAGCAGCTTGTTTTTAAATCATTTTATACAGCAAGATCTAAGTCTATTGATAATACATCGAAGGGCAAAAAGAAAGTCTTAAGGAAAAGGAATTTTATCCTAGAAATTATGAGCTGCCTAGCAGCCAAGACAAGGAGGAAATTATCAATGAACTATACAACTTTCAGTATGTAATAAAAGCAAGTCTACTGGGTAGTATAATTTTCTTGTCTACTCGAACTCTGAAAGAAAGTGGCTAATGATACATTTTAGACAACAAGCAGTATGAGGTATCATGTTCTTAAAAACCTTTTATCTTTAGAAATTGTAAAGATACTCCACATATGACTGTGGGTGGGGAGGGTGGCCAAGTTTTCTGGTCTAGGTTTTGTTTAATTTAGAGATAAAGCTTGCAGAATCTGGAACAACGAATAGCCTGTCTTCTCTGAGCCCCCAGGTGGGTTCTCGTGAATGTCAGCTGTTCGTGATCAGCTTTAGACTACCCAGCACGGGCATTAGCTCAGGACAGCAAAATGGTCTCAGGACAGCAAAAATATCAGATCAGCTGGGTAATGCTGAACTATCTTTTGTTAAAGTTTTTTCCCATGGAAATAGCTTGGTTGATTCTTTTTGTTTTTTATATTATTGCTTACTATTTCCTTTTGATTAATGCCCATAGCTATTAGAATTATTGTAATCCATTGTAGCTATTTGTAGTAAAAATGAATTTGGACCCACCTTGGGCTTGGTTACATGTAGTGACTAGAAGAATCTTGGTAGCAATATCCTAAGCAAAGCACCATTACCTACCTTTGCTCAACAGCATGAGAAAGGAGTACTGAAAAGGTAGATCCTCATGCGACCTCTGCAGAAAAGTGGCCAGGAGCAACTCACAAAGGAAAAAATCCTGATAGCTAATATGTATATGGAAAAATATTCAACTTCATAAATAAGGATCATGCAGATTAGAGTTTGTATTTTGGGGACAAATAGGGATAATTGCTACTTTCTCTGCCTCACAGAGTTGTGAAACTAACGAGGGAATTCTTGAGAAAACACTTCATACATTTTAAAATATATACTATTTTTTTGATGGCTCCACAGGTGTAGACATGTCCCCACACTCATCAAGAGGTGTACGTTAAACATGAACAGCTTTTTAATGTGTTGATTAGACCTCAATAAAGTGATTTAAAAGAGAAACCATCTTTGGTGGCAGTGTCCCAGAAACTAAAACAAAAGGTATAACTTGCTGGCTCTTCACTAGTCTAGAGCAACAAGGGAAAAATGCAGTTCTTTTTCTGTTGTTGTTTGAGACAGAGTCTCACTCTGTCACCCACAGTGGCACCATCTCGGCTCACTGCAACCTCCGCCTCCCAGGTTCAAGCGATTCTCCTGCCTTGGCCTCCTGAGTAGCTGGGATTACAGGCGCCCGCCGCCATGCCCAGCTAATGTTTGTATTTTTGTGAAGATGGGGTTTCACTGGCTTGGTCAAGCTGGTTTCAAACTCCTGACCTCAGGTGATCCGCCCACCTCAGCCTCCCAAAGTGCTAGGATTACAGGTATGACCCACCACGCCCGGCTGAAAAATGCAGTTCTTAATCCAAGTTCGGGCTCACATGTAGTTTTGGGAGAAGGCAGAGGCATAACTGCCCCATCAAGGAGGCAGCAATGCCAAAGGGAGAGGCTGAGCCAGGAAGGACACAGCAGAACTTGGCAGAACCTGAGGAGCGCCTCCTTCCAATGGGCATAACTTCTAGAAGGCAAGAGGAAAGTTAGTTAAGGAAAAAGAGTTTCCACCACAACCTCTGCTAGCAGGCCCTTTATTGGGATACAGTATAAGTTCATTTCAGAATGTGTGAGAAAACTTTAAAATTTGTGTTTTAGAAAGAGTCTATAATGAGTGTTCTTGATAAGTACTATATTTCAGTTAGTCTGAAATGACGATTTCAACTTTTGAGATACTGACTTGTGACATAATTTTTGTTAATGGGATATGTTATCTTATTGAAAGTATCTGTGAGAGTTTTCCCTGAAAAAATTTTTGGCATTTAAACTTGTACACTAAAAGCCTCTGACTAGTATTTCCCCCAAAGTATGATTGCCTATAATTTACTGCAAAAAAAAAAGTTTTCTTTTTTCTTTTTTTTTTTGTTTTGTTTTGTTTTGAGATGGAGTCTCACTCTGCTGCCCTGGCTAGAGTACAGTGACATGATCTCTCAGCTCACTGCAACCTCTGCCTCCTGGGCTCAAGTGATTCTCCTGCCTCAGCCTCCTGAGTAGCTGGGACTACAGGCACGCATCACCACACTCGGCTAATTTTTGTGTTTTTAGTAGAGGCGGGGTTTTGCCATGTTGGCCAGGTACGTCTTGAGCTCCTGACCTCAAGTGATCCGCCCGCCTTGGCCTCCCAAAGTGCTGGGATTACAGGCATGAGCCACCATGCCCAGCCCAAAAAAGTCTTCCAAATTGAATCAAAACTTTTAGATCCTGAATTGAGAACATCACATGACAAAAAATAGGGTATGATGTTTTGGTGTTCTTCAGACCCCGGCTGACTTGAGAGGTTATCTCCTGATGTTATTAGGATTTTTAAAGTAGGGTAAAGGAGGTAAATGCAGTGTCACGATTTTGAGATTCTGTTAAAATGAGCTAGAAAGCAGCTGAAAAAAATTCATGTTGGATCAGGTGTACTTTCCTCCAGATGACAGCTTTGAATTTGTCCCTTTTGTAGTCTTTGGTCAAATTGCTGGTGACCAGAAGTAGCTGCCTTGTCATTGCTGGACTTCTAGAAGGATTGGGACTGCCCAGCTGCTGTGTGAACTTGCCTGTCACCTCTGCTTCCAGAGGTCTGACTTGTCACTGTGGCAAATGGGCAGAGGACTTTGATTTCTGTTTTTTATTAAACACTGAGGTATATTTTGAAATGTATGCCTGAAAGATGCTCAAAATGGTGTGACTAATGCATTTTAAAACTGCATTTATTTGATTGAAATGAACCTTAACCTATACTTTAGCCGTAATATGGTGGGAGAATTCTCACATTGGATGACCAGCTAGTTGTCAGTGTTTGACGCTGACACTTTAGTGGCCATCTGGCCCTCCGTGAGCATTGAACTGTCATGAAGGGCCCGATCTCAACCACTTCTCTTCTTCTCTTTCCCCCTTTCCTGCATGCTCAGGGACGTGTCCTCGGAGTCGGACAATAACATCAGACAGATCAACCAGGAGGCAGCACACCGGCGCTTCCGCTCCCGCAGGCACATCAGCGAAGACTTGGAGCCCGAGCCCTCGGAGGGCGGGGATGTCCCCGAGGTACGATGTCCCCAGAATGGTGCAAAGCCCGGCAGCTCCTTCTTCCCATGTTCTCCAGCTTGATTTTATATCATAATTTCTTCTGTCAGTAAACATTGTTGAGAATGTAAAGATTACAGTGACGCAGGGAATTAATTACCATCTGAATATTAATTTGAAAGTGCCTATAAAAGCCGTATTTGACAAGTATAGGTGGCTCTATATTATAGAAATGGGAATAACATTATTTTTATTTTTATTTTTTTTGAAGACAGTGTCTTGCTCTGTCGCCCAGGCTAGAGTGCAGTGGTGCAGTCTTGGCTCACTGCAACCTCCGCCTCCTGGGTTCGAGCAATTCTCCTGCCTCAGCCTCCTGAGTAGCTGGGATTACAGGCACGCATCACCACACCCGGCCAGTTTTTGTATTTTTAGTAGAAATGGGGTTTCACCATGTTGGCTAGGATGGTCTCAATCTCCTGACCTCGAGATCCGCCTGCTGCCTCAGCCTCCTAAAGTGCTGGGGTTATAGGTGCATGCCATCACAATGGCTAATTTTTTTTTTTTTTTTTTTTCCTAGTAGAGACGGGTTTCACCATGTTGGCCAGGCTGGTCTTGAACTCTTGACCTCATGATCCACCTGCCTTGGCCTCCCAAAGTGCTTAGATTACAGGCGTGAGCCACTGTGTCCAGCCCACATTATTTTTCAGTATGAAAATCTTAAGATATTTTTAGTTTGTAATTTATTTTTCACAGGGGTCTAACCATGTCTCATTAAATGACAGCTTGTTTTTATCATAGTTGAGCTGTTGAATGAGCCCTGTAACTTGTTTGGGTATCATATGCATATTTTTATTGAGTCGCTTTGACACTTGGAAGAGATTTATTACCATGAAAATATAAATTTAGGTGAACAGAAATGTGTAATTTTCCCTTTAAATAGTTATGGTATGTTACTTAAAACGTTATGAATTAAACAACAAATTAGCCATAATCTTCCATGCTATCTTACCAGCTCTGTTTATGTACTAAAAATCCATTCTTCTTAGACATTGTGTTAGGAAGATCATTTAGAATGCGGCGATTCAACTTGGAAAAGCAAAAGTAATGATTCCATAACACATTCACTCTAAGTTATTTTATACCATTGTTTAATTACAGCGTATAGCTTCTATGCTGCTCCCACGGTGAATCCTCAGTGGTTAAAAGTAAAAGAAAATCCATGACAATTGTTTATAAACTCCAGAGAAGTGTGTGTGTGTGTTTGTTTTTTTGCCCACACATATAGTAACAAGTGCTGGAAATCAGTCACTGTTCAGAGAGGCATTGTTATAAAGTGGTTAAGAGCACAGCCTCTGTCTGGAACCAGGCCTCTTTGATTCACATCATGGCCCTACCACTTGCTAGATGTTACCTTGGGCAGGTTATTTTCTGTGCCTCAGTTTCCTCATCTGTTAATTGGGGGAGTTATCTTCCTCGTGATTATTGTGAAGGTTGTGTGCCTCATGAGAGGCACTTAGTAGGTGTTAATTATAGTTATCACCGGGGCTATTGTTGTTACATGGTTTCATTGGGGAGCTGGGTGGATCCCTACTTCTTTCTAGTGTTTACCCCAGTGTCTCCTTCTCTGAAAGCCTTGGGAGACCATTTCAGAGGAAGTGAATATCGCTGGAGACTCTCTCGGTCTGGCTCTGCCCCCACCACCGGCCTCCCCAGGATCTCGGACCAGCCCTCAGGAGCTGTCAGAGGAACTAAGCAGAAGGCTTCAGATCACTCCAGACTCCAATGGGGAACAGTTCAGCTCTTTGATTGTAAGTAGTGGCCTTGTTTGAAAGAAAAGCTGAGCAATGTTTTATTGTTTTTTGTTGCTTAAGGAGAATCTCTTACGTAAATAGTGACCAAGGGTCTTCCAGCTCCCAGCTAACTCTGACATTTTCCAAAGTTCCTCCTTCCCTAGGAGAAGCAGGACTGTACTAAAATTAGCCCAAGCAGGTGAGAATCTTTCTTGATTTGGAAGGCAGCTTTGCTCACCCTTATACCACTAACACTTTCTTGGTTTATAAAGAACTCAAAGAAGTAAAACTCCATGATGTCTGTAATTATTAGCTTTAACCTTGTAGAATTCCTTTCCCAGCCAAAAGGCTCATGAAAATAGTACCTTTATCACAAAGGTAGTATTTCACAGTAACAATTAAAAGCCATCAGGCCTAATCAGTCCTCTTAAGTCATATTCTGCAGGATTTATCATTCTCATTTCGCTGATAAGGGCACAATGCTTAAGTGGCTCATCCAAGACAAGGTTTGAGTGGGAGATAGAAGACGTCTCCTAAGTCCCAGAGTATGAACCCTTGAGAAATGTTGTGAAATTGTGACACTGTCATCAAGGTAGCATTTTAACTTGGGCTCTCAACCATCAGAAACATACTTTCTAGAAGCTTCAGATGGGCCCAATGCCTGAGCCCAATGGAATCAGTCACAAAGACTTCCATGTTTGACAATACAAAACTGTGCAGAAATAACCCATAGAAAATCCCTGCTTGTGCATAGAATTAAGAGCAAATGAAGTCTCAGTGTTTCTCAAGAAACTGAACTTAAAAATGTACAATAGTAAATGATGATAGTCACTCCACTGAAAATGGCATCCTAAAAAAAAATAGTCATTACTATGACCATAACAAACATAAATGATAGCACTGCATACAATGTAAAAGCAAGTAAGTACTCACAAAATTGTTACTTTTTGGTTATGGTGTTTTTATTTTAAAAGACAGTATACGCCTCTATTACATGAGTTGCATTTATCATTCAGTTAATGTGATTTCACTTTGAAATTCTGTGACTTTTTCAAAAAGAGATGTGTCGCCAAGATGAAAATGTAGTACTAAATGGACAGGATAAAAGAAATTGCATATATATGGGATATTTGAACTGATAAAACTGTTGTTATAGAAACAACATAAACAATGAAGCCTTGTATTTAAAACCTATAAAAGCAAGGAGGTACCACAGAATCCATGGCAGTAACACACCTTTAGTAAACCAAGTAAACACTGTAATTTTTTTCAGCAATAATCATAAGTTAGCAATTCTAATTATTTAAATGAGGAGCTCCTGAATTTAATTATTCTAGATCTGTGAAATATCATTAAGACCCAAATACAATGTTGTATTATTTCACATCGTGTTCACTGTTAAATGAGAGTCAAATCGGATATTTGCTCATTGGGATTACCCTGTATTCAAGGGGAAGAACATGAGCTTTGGCTGGGCACGGTGGCTAATGCTTATAATCCCAGCACTTTGAGAGGCTGAAGCAGGCGGATCACCTGAGGTCAGGAGTTCAAGACCAGCCTGGCCAACATGGTGAAACCCCGTCTCTACTAAAAATGCAAAACTTAGCCGGGTGTGGTGGGGTGCACCTGTAGTTCCAGTTACTCAGGAGGCCAAGGCCCAAAAATTTCTTGAACCCAGGAGGCAGAGGTTGCAGTGAGCCACGATTGCGCCACTGCACTCCAGCCTGAGCAACAGAGTGACACTTTTATTAAAGACTGATTCTTTCACAGTAACCAATGTGGGAAGATGTGAATTGTCCCCCATCCCTACCACAGAGTCTTCTTGTACCATTTACTTATCACAAAATATTAAAAATGAGTAAATACTAGAAACTGATACTATGGATGAACTTGCCGATAAGGAGACTCTGGCTTCTGTGTGTGACCTGCTGCTAATCTTCATTCATATCAATTAGGCTTCATTTAACCACATAGACTAATACAAACAAGTTAGAGGAATATTAAGACACTACACAGTAGATCTTTTTTTTTAGCTTGATCTCACTATTTTTAATCATTCCTGTCTTTACTACTTGAAGTCCACTTAGAAGCTAAAATTGGCTGAGCATGGAGGCTCACACCTGTAATCCCAGTACTTTGGGAGGCCGAGGTGGGTGAATCATCTGAGGTCAGGAGGTCGAGACCAGCCTGACCAATATGGTGAAACCCCATCTCTACTAAAAATACAAAAAATTAGCCAAGTGTGGTGGGGGGGGCTTGTAGTCCCAGCTACTCAGGAGGCTGAGACAGGAGAATCACTGGAACCTGGGAGGCAGAGGTTGCAGTGAACTGAGATCATGCCACTGCACTCCAGCCTGAGCAATAGAACAAGACTCTATATTTAAAAAAAAAAAAAAAAAGCAGCTAAAATTATAAATACCAGATCTTTCAGAAGTAGGCCAAGATGATGTCTGAGCTCCTCTGAATATAGGATGCAACTGACTCTTTTTCAATTGTAGTAATCAATAAATGTTGGGTAGCCACATATCACTATTTCTTCCGTCTATTCACATCACATTAAAATTTACCCTGAGGGTGCATCTTAGAGCAAACTACAAGACTGCTAGCTTCTTTCTGTTTGTAAAGCAGCATTAGAGTGTTGCAGAGTCCTGTTGAGTCTCCTTTCTGAAAGTTTTGGTCTCCTCTTACTTTTGCCACTAATTCTAAGGACCAATCAAAATTCCAGTCTGCTTAACTGAAAATTAAAGTGAAAGATAACTTTTTCAAGGATGACTGTCCTTGCTCTGAAAAGATGTTTCATTTAATTACCTTCTAATATCGAAGAGCGGTGAATATGGTTGAGTGATATGTTTGTTAAACCAATGAAAGTTGCTTTTAAGAATATATTTCTTGATGCTTCCTGTCTTTTCCTCTCCTTCCAGCAAAGAGAACCCTCCTCAAGGTTGAGGTCATGCAGTGTCACCGACGCAGTTGCAGAACAGGGCCATCTACCACCGGTAACCCATGCTAATTTCCAGTCATCAGTTGACTTTTTGGGCTTTCATTTACAATCATCTGGGCTGCTGCAAAAAGAGTTTTTCCTGTGTAAATTTATTTACAATATAAATGAGATGTTTTTAAATTTCCTGGCCAATTGCCCTAGGAAAGTGGATTTCCAATACAGAGAATTGTTACTGCCACCCATCTCTAAAATGCTGGAACCTCCATTGCTTTAGTTTTTCACCCAAATTTATACCAATTTTGATTTGCTCACTTAAACCTCTTGGTACATTAGTTAGTAATTCCTTTTACCTTATTGAGTTACTATAGTTATGCTCCAGTGATCTGTACTTTGAAAACACATTGAGTCCCTTTAACCAGGAAGAACTCTTCTGGGCGACCGTCCACATGTTCCTTTCCCTTCCTAATGACCTGAAGTCTGAACTCTACAGAGCCTCTGTACCTTCTCTTTAAAGGCAGCTCTGCTCACCAGGAATTGGCTATAATTCTTTCCAACTCTCTCATCATTTTAATAGCTATCAGCAAATGTAGAGGTGTAGGGGATTTTGTAACATCTGATGTATGTAAAAAGAAATATTCAAGTTGGAAGGCAGACTAGAACTGCCCTGAGAGATGTTTGATGTACACATTAAAAATAAGAAATTTTACATAAATTTGTTTCTTCTTTTGGAGGTGAAAATATGTGGTTTTAATGTGTTCAATTTGATATTTTACCTTGACAGTTTTTGTCTGTTGCTACAAAACCTTGATCATTTTTAAGACTAATAATGTATTACGTATGAATTTGAAGGGGGAAAAGTGCATTTAAGGTTTTTGAAATCACAGTGTCTTCCCTCTCATGTATGTTTTTTCTTGACTTCAAAGGATATTTTGGCCTAGGTTTTAATTTTTTATGTTTGAGAAAAAATTAATGAGTATACTAGTCAAGGAAGCAGTCAAAATAATAGAGTCATTTGTGACTTACACTGGAGAGACTTAATAATAAGCTTGATAAGAGCGTCTTTTCTGGGATGGTTTCAGTACAGGGCTCCCAAAAACAAAATAATCAACTGAGATGGACTGGTAGGATCCTTCTCAACCTCATGATCTGTGATTTTCCTTGAACGAATGGCACTTTCTCTCCTTTTCAAAATCAATGTCAATTTTATTTCCCAAAGAACTCACTTTCCTGGAAACTGGTGATTCCTCCCTCTTTCTTTGTACTTTCTGATGCTGTAAACTCACTGATCACCAGTGGCCTCTTGAGTTTTGAGTGTGGGGAGATTTCAGAATCTGCTAATTATTTGACAATGGCAGGCAAAACCAGACCAGCTTTCCATTTTTCTCTAAGGCAGCTCACTCTTTTGAGGTTGTCATTGTTTACCCAGGTCAAGGATGAGCCACCTTGGGGGGCATAGGGGTCACGCTTCCTTTGTGCTACTGGTCATCAGCGACTGCTGGCTTTGTCTGGATAGGGTGGGTTTCAGGGATTCTGATCTCACGTCACCTGCCTTACAGCGCTGCCACAGCAGTGGGCCCTGATTCAGACAGCAGGGGGTCATCCCCTAAGTGCATTTCACTGATGTAAATTATCATTCACAGCCCAGTGCCCCAGCTGGGAGAGCGCGTTCATCAACTGTCACGGGTGGTGAGGAACCAACGGTAATGATCCACTTTATCAGACATCAATAGCAAGAGGCCGTGAGGCAGTTTTAATATTTCGTGTAGTGGTGAATATACGCTGTTTTTAAAAATAAGATTAGCTCCTTTGTGCTACAGAGCTGCACACGTTTCTTATTTTAAGCTTCTCATTTGGGGATTGTTTAAAGGTACTGGGTAAAATAGAATGATTTTTTTAGTCCCACATAATTTTATTAGGAATACTATCAGGCTTTGGTTAAGTGCATTTAACTTGACCATTTAGAAGATATTTTTGACTTTTAGTGTTTGTACTCCTGATAAGTTTTTCCATTTCATTAGAATGCTTGGTTAAAGTAATTTGGTTGGAAGATCATCAAAGAAGCCACAGGAATTGCATGAGACTGTGTGTGTGATTCCTGGATGTGCCCAGGGCCCTTCTCTTTTCTGTATCTCCCCTACCACATTTTTCACAGGGGGTTAGACTTTTCTTGTCCCCAGAATGCACCATGACCCTTTCTCTGCCACCAGGGGCTCTCCTCACACAATGAACAAGTTTCCGTAATTCCAAGGGAACATAATTAGGATATATAAGTGATCTAGAAAAATTTATGTTTCTCTAAGCCAACCATTCTTATTCATTATTTTAAAGAATGTATGGTATTCCTGTCTGTGGGTGACTTAGATTTGTATTTTAATTGCCTGTTTTCTACTTGATCCCTAAAGTTAGGCTAGCTTATAGTTTATGCTTCGCACTGCAATAGCTGTTTAAAGAATTTCCTGGCCGGGCACGGTGGCTCACGCCTGTAATCCCAGCACCTTGGGAGGCTGAGGCAGGTGGATCATGAGGTCAGGAGATCGAGACCATCCTGGCTAACACAGTGAAACCCCGTCTCTACTAAAAGTACAAAAAATTAGCCGGGCGTGGTGGTGAGCACCTGTAGTCCCAGCTACTCGGGAGGCTGAGGCAGGAGAATGGCGTGAACCCGGGAGGCAGAGGTTGTGGTGAGCTGAGATCGCACCACTGCTCTCCACCCTGGGCGACAGAGCGAGACTCCATCTCAAAAAAAAAAAAAGAATTTCCTTATTGTTTCACCTGTGTTGTATTTTGCTATAACTGCTCATTACTTGTGGATAACTTTACGTATACAATTGCTGATTTTCTAAAGATGTTGATGACTTCAATTTAATGCTCAGCATTGTACAGAGGAAAATCAAACTGGCAACAGTCAGCCCCAGAACACTCAGCTCAGGTTAAGATATTGAGCTACAGTGGTTTACATGAGTCATGTGTTGAGTGAGGCAGCCTCCAGTAGAATTCAAGAAATTCTACATGAACTATTACCCACCGTGCACTTGTAATTTCTGTGGGAGTAGTGGAGCTTTGAGGGGGACAAGATCGTTTTGTGAGATAATTTTAGTTGAATTCAGTGCTGATGAACATCATCTGTATATCACCTATTTTTGTATTTTGTTGGCCTTGCAACCTGCGTGTAGCTTTGGAGTGTTGTGGTAGCTGATGTAGTAAATGAAGTAGGAATGGAATCATTGCAGTACCAGGCTCCATGGCAAGGGTCACCTGGCAGGACAAGGTGACCCCTCTGAATGAGATCCCGGGTGGCACGTTAGACTGCCATTTTCTTGCCTTCTTGCCTGCACTCTCCCCTCCCCGTCACTGAGTTTCAGCATGGGTTGGGTGTTTTCTTTCCACAGGCTTGGCAATATTCATTCCTAAGTGTTTCATCTACTTTGGTAGATGTAGATAGATCTCCCTACCTACTTAGGTTTGAAAGGATCACATCCATTTCTCTTCTGCTGTATCCTGCATGTTTCTCTTCCACATCCTTTGTCGTGAATGCCCTTGACTTCCTGTCTTGCAATTCTGTCTCTTCACCCCGTGTTTCCCTCTTTGGCATCCCCTCTGTTCCTCTGCACATCACTCACACTGAAGTGTATTGTCCTGGGCTGGAGCCATCATGGTATTATATCATCTCACTGCCCCTGTGCTCTCACAGACATACGGCTGTGTACACATAGGTACACATTGTGCCACTTTATTTTATTTTTTTTAAATGGGATGTCATGTATACATTACTTAGCAACTTGGTTTTTTTTTAACTTATGTTCATTCTTCTGGGACATGTTAATAATTACATAATATTCACTGACGTAAAGGCACTACAGTGTTAATTTCCCGACATTCAAGGACTTTCTGCTCCCCCTACCCTGCCCTTTCAACTCCATACGCTGTGCTGAAGTAACCGTCCTGATATAGCTTTCTTTCTATGATAGTGCTTTCATTCCTGTAGTCTAATAAACAGGCCCTGATTCTCAGCCAAGAAACCACAGCCCTTTGATTTATGGCAAATAAACGCACAGTGGTGTCACTTTCTGGCAGACTAAGCCAGGGCCCTCCCCATGAGATAAAAGGAGAGGGATAGCACAGTCCTTTCAGTCTTTGTTGTATATATTCTAAAAATACACGAGCCACCATTACTGGGTTGGTGCAAGTCTTGGCAAATCTGTGATGGTCAGTGTCAAAGTGGTTATTTTTAAAAGCATATTGAAACTTCTGCAGTTTACAATCGTGTTCTTTATTTTAATGAAAGAAACAGAGCCACTAGGAAGTTCTAGCTAATGGCTTTTGGGCATCACAAAGCAGTAGTGTATTCAGTCTATGATGAAAAGCTGTGAAATGTTAAACTAAGTCGCCATTTCTAACTGGTTTGATTACTTTTTTGTTAAGCTAGGGTGGAACATGCTCACAAGCACAGAACAGCAGAAGGCTGGTTTTGGCTTCCTGGCGGGCCCTTCCATGGCCTGTCTGTAGAAGCTGAGTCCTGCCCCCTCAACTAGCCGTGCAGGGTGGGAGGCAGTGTGAGTTACAAATGGAATCATCAGCACAAGTTGTTCTATGTGGTCATTTGGAGAGAACACTGTAAAGAAACATTTCCAAATTGCCCTCTCACATAAATGTAACTAAATTACAGGTTGCCAGTTCAGTTCTCAATAGAAGAGAGAATGAGCATTTTAATCAAATTCAGCGTTCTGTACTACACTCCTAATTTTCCACAAACTGATTAGTGCTATTCACTGTGGCTGTATGAAAGTAACCTGTATGGCCAGGTGCAGTGGCTCACACTGGTAATCCCAGCACTTTGGGAGGCTGAAGCGGGTGGATCAATTGAAGTCAGCAGTTCGAGACCAGCCTGACCAACGTGGTGAAACCCTGCCTCTACTAAAAATACAAAAATTAGCTGGGCATGGTGGCGCTTGCGTATAATCCCAGCTACTCAGGAGGCTAAGGCAGGAGAATCACTTGAACATGGGAGGCGGAGGTTGCAGTGAGCCAAGATTGTGCCACTGTACTCCAGCCTGGGCGACAGAGCAATACTCTGTCTCAAAAAGGAAAAAACAAAGTAACCTGGTTGCTAGAATTCATACAGCTTTAGGATTCAGTTCTGACATGATCTATGACACATCCATGTGCTTTCAGTTGATCAGTTGCCTCCCAAGTGTCCTTTCCAGAGATTGAGTAACTGCAAAAATATCCTTAAGGTTTCCAGAGCTAAGGTTTCCGGAGCTGAGTTTTCCAGGGGCGGGGCCAGGGGGAGTGGGGAGTTATGGGAGGGAAGGGGCCTGGGAGAGGGGGAAGTGGATCACCAGAACGGCTGAAGGGGAGGGCTCTGGGCGGAGGGAGCTGAGAATGTAACACATTCCATTTAGTATTTCATTGATTGTATAAACAATAGTAGGTCAAAACTTGATAGCACATACTTTGCCAGAGATACTAATTGACCAGGAACTTAGGTTACAACTTAGCTCAGCAGGGGAGTCCATTGAAGTGCCCGGATCCACGTAGCTCTTTGTGTTGGCATCGCTGCTAGAGGAGGAGGGGAGGAAGGAGCTTCACTCAGGCTGCATGCTAATTCATCGATGTTTAATATTCATGAAAGGATTAAGTCAGTGTTGATGTTTCTTCTGCTCCTGCTGAGTCTCCACACCTGGATCCAGAATGCTCCATGATCCGAGTCTTTGTGTCTTTATAAACTATCTTTAGGGAGCTTTAGGACTTTATCTCGGGAAATATTAAGGAAATGGTTTTCCTTAATATCAGCAGAAAGTTTTCTTACACATAATCTAAAATCAGCTGCTTCATGATCTTACCCAGGTGATCTTTCTCTGAATTGTGCTTTTAAGCCTGGGAGGTTAACATACTGCTTCTCTGTGGATGGGGTTTTCAAATTACCCGGCAGCATCCTTGTTGGTGCTTTCTCTAATTTGAGATCCTGGAGTCCACCAGGGAACTCCAGGTGACCACCTTCACCAAGACACATTGCTGGTAGTGCAGGGAAAAGGTGGCATAAGCACAGGAAGAAGTTAGGTTCAGAGGAAATTTGTATCCTCAGCCTAATAGCAAGAAAACGACAACTGCTAAAATATCTGGAAGTAAAAGAAGCAGCTTCCTTTTGTAACCTCACGTGAGAGGTTATTCCTAAGGCATGGGCTCCTCCTATACCTTTAGATTCCCCTAGGAGCCGTGGTATAGCTGTGGTCGGCTTCTGGTTTCTGAGCTTTTCCCCACTTAGAGCTCTTTCACAGGCACAGATATTACATGCATCGCCTATGCATTCAAGCCCTCCTGGGACAGCCCTGATCTCCAGCATCTGTCCCAGTGCCTCCATACATCATCAACACATCCTTGTTTTTCAGTGTTTCTCCATCCACACTGCATTTCTTAGACTGCTTCTCAGGGATCTTCTTGTGATCAAATGTGGACTGTCTAAATACAGTCACTCTATGCGGGGCAGGTCTCTAAACCCAAAAACTGCCAAGCTGTGTTCACCTTCAAAGAAACACACTCCTATCAGCAGACTTGGGTGCACATAGCCTGGGGTGTGAGGCTGGGTGCTGGGAGACTTCCTGAGCTGGGGCACACAGATGTCCTGGGTGGTCCTCCAGATTATATGCTACTGTGTGACCATCAGTATCCTAGAGAAGGGGCTCTGTGTTGGGATTTTAAAATTTTGCCCCAGAAGCTACAGTGTTAGGGTCCTAAGCTGATGGAGGAATGTAGGCCTAAGCTAGAAGAGCACCCCATGGGAGCTACATCGAGGAGAAACTCAGAGCATCCCTCTCATACACAGTGACACTGGACAGTTTGAAATACCTTTAAGCTCTACCTGGTTTGGCAGTGGAATTTAGTAGCTAGAACAGATGATAATGTTTTTCCCTTTCCCTGTGATCACCTTGGCAGCAACCCTTTACGTTTGAGACTACGGGGTCTTAGAACCAAGTTCTGTAAGAATTTGGACTCTGCAACTGTATGGGGTTCATTTCACAGTAGATTTGAAGCTGTTGGAAATCTATTGCTGTTTTCCAGACACTTGTAAGTGTTTTCTATATAAATAGATCTAATTAACTTTGTCTAGAGAAAATAATTATCTGGGTGTACCTTACTTTATTAAACTGATCAGAAAACAAATGCAAGGTATTAAATAATAATGATTTCTTGCACAAACAGCCATCAGTGGCCTATGTACATACCACGCCGGGTCTGCCTTCAGGCTGGGAAGAAAGAAAAGATGCTAAGGGGCGCACATACTATGTCAATCATAACAATCGAACCACAACTTGGACTCGACCTATCATGCAGGTACGAAGATTGCCATCCAACTTAAAACCGCAGGCCATAGAAGCCGAAATGTACATGACCGAACTCCTTTCCTGGTGTTTATGTATTGTTCTGAAAGACCCGTATTTGTAAAAGCTTTCTCACAAAGAAAATGCATTACTTTAAATACAATAATAGCCTAAGGAAGAATTTGCTTTTCAAATCAGTTTATCACTGAATATATTTTAAAAATGTGACGTGAAAGATATTTTCAAAGTAAGAGCCTATTGCAGTGTGTAGCTTCTTCCCTGCCCAGCCCCCACTTTAATCCGAGGCTAGTTTTTATGCTGGGCTAGTGATTCATTTTTATTTCCCTTGAATGTGTTTCCCCATCCTTTCCCCCATCATTATGTTTAATTATTTCCTCCACGCTTTAAATAGGCCAGACCTCTTATTATTGCTGTTTGCGTTGTTGTTTGGGTTCGCGCTCCTAATCACACACACCGGGAGATCCTCCTATGAAGCTAACTTGTTTTTGCCTCCAAAATAGCTTGCAGAAGATGGTGCGTCCGGATCAGCCACAAACAGTAACAACCATCTAATCGAGCCTCAGATCCGCCGGCCTCGTAGCCTCAGCTCGCCAACAGTAACTTTATCTGCCCCGCTGGAGGTGAGACGGCTACCTCATCTAACTGGACTCACTCTGTCCTGTGACTCCCATTCTTTCTTCTCTCTTAACTCTGCCTTCAGTTTCGCAGCCACCTCCTCTCTCTGATCAGTCGTTGTGTTGGTAGTGAAGGGTGTTCTTGTGCAGCCTTTCTACCTGCTTCTCTGTCTCGCCCAGTTAACATTCCTGGACTCTCTCACCTGATTCTCATTCTCATTTGGCTAAGGCCGTGGTGACTTGTGCTGGACGTGGGCACTCTCTTTTCAGGACTTCCACCGTTCTTGTTGTGTTTCGCTTCTTTTTGCCTGTTACCTCATTAGAATTGCGTAATCCCTCTTTCAAATACCAAGTGCTGATATTGAGTTTTTAAACATAGCTATTGCTTTGATCATTTGTTTTTCTTTCGACTGTAGGGTCTTTCATTCTATGGGCATACATGTTTCTGATGCATATTTGCATCTCTGCATCATGGCTGGGCATCTGCTTGTGCTCTCTGTCGTGTTTGTGTTGTTTTGGTGCCATCCTTTAACATCACAAATGTCAGAGTTAGAGAAGCCAAAGAGCAAATGTTTGAGGTCCTAAGCTTGACTGTGTCTTAGAGACAGCTGTGGGCTTCTCCACGCCCTGGGTCCAGATGCTGATAAGTGGGAATGGATGCTGTCTCTTCCACACTCTGATATGAATGTCATGGGTAACAACTGTGAGATTCCAGATCGTTGTATTTATTGATGTAGCTTTTTTCCTTTTTGTGCTCTAAAACTTGCCAATCTGTTCTTCATTAGACTGTGAGCTCATTAAGAGCAAGGGCACATTTTTCTCCACTCTGTAAAATCTCCATCCATAATGCTTAGTACAGAACAGTATTTTTGGTACATACTGAGTAGCTACCAAAGGATGGTGGTTATAAGTACTTAATATTGTTGTGTGTTTATCCAACAGAGAAAATGTAAAGTTAGATTGATTTAAAAGTAAATGAATGACAGAAAACAGGTTTTGGGGATCTTCCCTCTTGTCCATCTCCAAAGAGAAGCCTTCTGCAATACCCAGGTACATTTTGGCACATTGGAATCGCACATGCTAAAGAGTTCTAATCCTCATTGTTATTCTTTAGGGTGCCAAGGACTCACCCGTACGTCGGGCTGTGAAAGACACCCTTTCCAACCCACAGTCCCCACAGCCATCACCTTACAACTCCCCCAAACCACAACACAAAGTCACACAGAGCTTCTTGCCACCCGGCTGGGAAATGAGGATAGCGCCAAACGGCCGGCCCTTCTTCATTGATCATAACACAAAGACTACAACCTGGGTAAGGCTGCTGCTTTTATTTGGCTCCATTTTCATCATGAAGTCTGGCATTAATTCCTTGATTTCCTTAGTGTTTGTAGTTCTTGCAGAGGAATTGGATTGACTGTAAAGGGTGTCTCCAGAGGGTCTCCTCAGCCTGCATCTGGCCCCTGCATAAATGGGCGGGTGGGAGTGGGTGGGCACAGGCTGGTAGCTGTCTTTGGTATTGGTGCTGGGACTGCCTTTTCTCCTGGGAAGCTCTAGTTTAGACAGTTCACCGTGCTGGATGGAAAGGTATTGCTCTGTGCTGTTAAGATTTTGTTAATTGATCCCGTCTCACAAAGTAATCTCACTAGGAGTTATAATCATTTTCAAATAATTTTTTCTTTTGTCAGTTTCTTCTTGCACTTTCATTGGCATTACCCACCTTCTTTTGATTTGTCGCTTTAGTTTTTACCGTTCACATCAGATCAGTATTCACACATCTGAGGTACATTTTCATGCCCTTGATCATGGGGTAGGGGATGTACTGAGTGACTTTGGTTGTAGATCTGATAGCTCCTTTTTGTGATCATTTTGTCAAAATTGATTTTTCTTACCATGCAACTCTTTCATGTACTCCTGAATTGTACCCAAGAAAGAATCTGTACATTGTATTATCTTGAGCAAAATGAGATTAATCAAAGGCAAATATGCATATCTTTGTATTTCTGTGTCAGTTCTTTATTTCTTTAGCCGAATCGGTGGCTTTTTCAGTGTAGTATATGATTCTTTTAAAAGTCAGTTGGTATTTTCCTGCTATATAATCTCTATACCTGTAATTACACTGAAACCGGTTCCCGTATTTCTGGCTATTTTTGATGCTGCAGATGGTTTTTCTTCCGGTTATGTCCCCATCGAATTGTCTAGCTAGAGTTAACTCAGAGTTTAACTTGGTCCTACTATTATCTGTGCTACTTGCTCAAAACTGATGTTATGGGAATGCTGGTTGAGTTTTGGTGATTGTTATTGGCCCTAGCTCTTCGGTCTTGGACCAACAATAAACATACACCATTAATTCCCATTTCTAGTGATGGACATTAAGTGTGTCCATTTGATAGACCAGCAGCCTTATATTCAAGAACAAGCCCTGCTCAAGGGGATTTGGGCTGTCATTTTATGCCTTGCCCATTGTGTGGTATCAGTTCAGTCCAGCAGGTCTAGAGGGCGTGCTCCTAGAATCCTTTGAACCGTGGGACATTGTGTCTTCAAGGGCATTCTTGGCATTTGGGGCAGGGACATTTGTGCCTTCAGTTGCAGACTATTTAACAAACTTGGCTTCTGCTACCAGGTGCTAATGGTCACCATTACCCCCACCCCAACATAGTGATGACCAGAAATGCCCTACACATTTCAAAACAGCCCTAAGTGAGAACCACTCTAAGAGCTCTTTCTATTTTGAAGTAAGGGAATGGCCTGCCAAGAGAATTTCTCATTTAGATCTGGTAACATTCATTTGGTAAACTGATAACTGCTTCTAAGGCATATAATAACATGTAGGTTTGACTCCCCTACTAGTCTGAAGATAATGTTACAGATTTGCAAGCAAGCCAAGAGTAAGAGACGGGCAGCTCGTTGGAAAATATAGTAATGGAGTTCTTTTTTTTTATGTCTTTTTACTTATTACCATGGAACCCCTGGCTGTCCTGCCAGTGTTCTCATTTACTATAGCACTGCTGTAATTTCAAGTCCTTAGCCAGAAACAGGCTCCAGAAATAAGGGCTAACGAATATAAAAGTAGATGGATTAGTGTAAGGAGCCACTGTGGCTTGCCAACATAAGCTATGATTTTAGTAATTTTAACTAGCTTGGTAATCAAATCCCCTAACCTTTTCACAGCCTTTCAAGCCACAACAACAGTGTAATTGCAGCTGGGCAGATTGTATTTTAAATTAAACAGCACTCGCTTTATTTATTGCTTGCAACATTGCTGAATGAAACCCATTTTTACTTTCCAGTTGCGCCTGTTTACCCAGATACTTGTTATTGACTAATTTACTGATTTAAAATCATAATCTGTTAGAACAACGTTTTGTTGCTGCTGCTAGTGTGGGAAATCCTCAAGGTAACAACTGGAAATTCCACAAGCTACTCCCCTTCTTAAGCGAATTCAGATGTGCTGACACAGCTGCGCTATCGCTTCTAAACAAAGGCCTAGGCAGGATTTTCCCTGCGGAAGACACACTCTAAATTGCCTGTTCATTTTGACAAAAGATGAAGAGCCGGAGGGAAGCATGAAGATAATTTGCAACTTAAAAATCTGTTTTGAGTTGGTTTTAGGGTTTGCTTTGTTTTTTATTTTTGAAAGAAGAAGAGAACAAATGAGAGAACAGCATAGCTATTCTTAGATTTGAGCATTAGAATAGAAAAAGGAAAAAAACTGGTAGGACAGGTTGAAAATGATGAAAATAACACTCCTTCCCCCATCGGCCTGGGCACTGTTGATTCTTACACCAACCAGAAGCCTGAAAAGTATCAGGACATTTCCCCTCTATACATTGAGAAATTAAAAAATTTATTGAAATATGTCATGAAAGATGACCTTTTACACACACACAGATACTGAAGGCAGTATGCCATCAGTATTTGGATAAAGTTTGGCCTCATTCTCTTTTTTTTAATTATTATTTTTTTTGTTTTTGAGACGGAGTCTCACTCTTGCCCAGGCTGGAGTGTAATGGCACAATCTCAGCTCAGTGCAACCTCTGTCTCCCGGGTTCATGCGATTCTCTTGCCTCAGCCTCCTGAGTAGCTGGGATTACAGGCACATGCCACCACACCAGCTAATTTTTGTTGTTTTTTGTTTTTTGTTTTTTTTAGCACAGACAGGGTTTCACCATGTTGGCTAGGCTGGTCTCGAACTCCTGACCTCAAGTGATCCTGCCGCTTCGGCCTCCCAAAGTGCTGGGATTATGGGCATGAGACACCCTGCCAGGCCAAGTTTAGCTTCATTCAAAGAAAGAAAGAAAGATTGGCTTTGTTCCCCGCCTGGGTCAGGCCTTTCAGGGAATGCATGCTGGAGACCAGGGGCTTGGGAGGGATGTACCAAGGAGGGATGTTCCATCCTCAGCAGCTCAGAGCACGTGTATACGGGTTGAGTATCCCTAGTTTAAAGATTCAAAATCCAAAATGATCCAAAGTCTGAAACCTTGTAAGCACTGACATGACACTCAAGCAATAAATGCTTATTGGAGCATTTCAGATTCTCAGATTAGGGATGCTGAAGTGGTAAGTATAACTGCAAATATTTTGAAATTCAAAGCCCCTCTGGTCCCCAAGCATTATGGGTGAGGGATGTTCAACGCATATTAGTATATTTGTGCCTTTCACAGGATGAAGCATGGGCTTGCTTTTGTAGCAAGAAAGATTACACCCTAGTTAAGTTGCAGGTTTGTTTTCCATCCAAGTTCAAACTAATGAAACTTATTACTCTAGGTGTGGTTGCTGGTCTCTTCCAGGATGGAAAAGATAAAGAAAAAAGGCACTTTTTTTTAATCCCTGTGTTTTATATATTTTGAATTAGGAAAGCCCTTTTTAAAAAGATACTGCTCTTTGCATCCTGTTTAAAAACACTTTGAACTTGATGGAGGGAAGCAATTTTATATTACACATGAAAGAGTTCCCGTTATGAAACTGAAGAAAGGAAGAAACAACCAGGCACACTTTATGCGTTGGATCATTTATTTTCATTGCATCAGAGCCCTCGTTAGTATTCCACTTTCTCATCAGCTCTGAAGTTGTCCATAACTAATAGAGAGCCTTGACCGCCACTTCATGTGCCCTGGCAACTAAGGAGAGATGCCTGCCTCCTTGAGTGGCTCGGTGGGAGTCAGGGCTTGAGGGTGACCACTAGCCTTAGCCCTCAGAGCTGATTCATGGCAGCTGCTGCCATTATTTTTATTATTTTTGATAAAATAATATTATAAGCCTCAAGGCCTCTGGCCCTCACAGTCTATGAAGTCTAGGTTTCCATGCAAGGCCACTTTAGCAGATCTTTGAAATTCGGTTGACTTTATACTTCATGCTCTGCCCCTCACTGCCTCCCTGACACTTTTCTCTAATTTCAGCTTCTTTTCACGCTACGGCCCCCCCCGCCCCCCCCCCCCCTTTAAATCACCAGCCTTTTACCAATAGGGCTGATTGTCTTTCACGGTAGCCTACATGTGATTCCAAGGTCAGGCTGGCCTTGTGTGTAGCATTCAGAAGCCCTGCCCTCTTTCATGTAATAGCAGTCCTCAGCTTTCTCTAAATCTGGCATGGTCATAGGCTAGGTGGAAGCCCAAGGGTCCCCCGCTGGTTGTGGCGTTACCTGGTCCGGATCAGAGTTAGCATTGAGTGGGTAGCTTTTGAGAAATTCAGTGCTTTCAGTTTTTCCTCTGTCTGTAGTTAACCAGTCATGAATGTTTACCAGATTATCAGCTTCTTGGACCTTCTCAATCCTAAATCAGCTTAGCATATTTCTTTATGTTCTGTGTATGTCAGTGTACTGCAGAATACTGGATTATTTTGTGCCTCTGCTTAGCCTTTTAAAAAAATATATTGGGTTCAGGGTCAATATGCATCACAAACTGCTAACAGGATTTCTTTCTTCATTTAAAAGTTCACCTAGCTAGCAAGAAGCAAGGGTTGATTTTTGTTGTTCGTGGTCTTTTTTGATTCTTGCCAGTTCCCAAGATCTATGATTATGATTCAGTGATACTATGACTTACACGGTTGACTTGGGAAGCAGAAAAATCTAGTAATTTGGCAGCAGCAAAGGCCCTATTATAAAATTGAATGAAGCTGATATCAAATGTCTTCACAGTTTACTTTTTTTAATCTTAAGCTTATTTGGTTGATAGTGGTTTTTTTTTTGAGTATAAAGATATGGATTCTCCTTTTTATGTTTTTGGAGGCAAGACTCACTGCATCACCCAGGCTGGAGTACAATGGCACAATCACAGTTTACGGCTCACTGCAGCCTTGACCTCCTAGGCTCAGGTGATCCTCCCACCTCAGCCTTTCAGGTAGCTAAGGCAGGCATGCACCACCACACTCAGCTAACTTTTTGTGTTTTTTGCAGAGATATGGTTTTGCTTTGTTGCCCAGGATGGTCTCGAACTCCTGGGCTCAAGCAGTCCTCCCGCCTTGGCCTCCCAAAGTGCTGAGATTACAAGTGTGAGCCACTGCATCTGGCCTTACACTGCATTTCTTTTTCTTTTTTTTCTTTTTTTTTTTTTTTTTTTTTTTGAGACGGAGTCTCACTCTGTTGCCCAGCCTGGAGTTCAGTGGCACAATCTCGGCTCACTGCAACCTCTACTTTCCGGGTTCAAGCAATTCTCCTAACTCAGCCTCCCGAGTAGCTGGGACTACAGGCACACACCACACCCGGGAAATTTTTGTATTTTTAGTAGGAACGGAGTTTCACCATGTTGGCCAGGCTGGTCTCAAACTCCTGACCTCCTCAGCCTCCCAAAGTGCTGGGATTACAGGCATGAGCCATCGTGCCCGGCCTACACTGCATTTTAACTGGGTCTACATAAGTGAGAGTCAGCTCCTGGACTCTGGGTCATAATCTTTGGGCAACTTCCTGTTCTCTCTGAAACTCCATTTCCTCATCTAAAGAAACAGACCATGTGCCCAACCTCCTACCAAGGGTCTGTTGCAGGATTTTACATCTGACCATGCCTCATAAATCATGCAGCCTGACCCAGGTTGTCAGAGTACATATTTCTCTTTTGTTGATTCTCTGTGGTATCTTATGAAGCTTATGCTTTAAGAAAAAAATTTTGTAAACGTTTAAATATTAAGACATAAATGAGAACTTAATCTGCAGAACTTGGTCAAGAATCTCAGTAAAGTTGTATCATAACTTTGTGAGTTTGCCTGATGAAAGCGACTCTCCCTGGAGTAGCCACGTGACTTCACAGACCAGATTGACATTCTCTGCTGAGTTCAGAAGGAGTGGAGGGGAGCACAAGTGCTGGAGGAGGGTGTGGCAGGGAGGCCTATTCCCTAACGTGTTAGGCTGGCTCCCCTCACCGGGAGCTCGGGACCCATGGAGAGATTTCGAAACCGTTGTCCCCACTCCCTCTTTGTGCCACATTCACTGGCACCCTCCATTCTGGTTTCCCTAGTAACATCACTGCTGGGACTCTCTTCCCCTTCCCCTTCTCAAGGTCTCAGGGAAATGGTTAACCTTTCATGTAAATATTCTTACTCTCCTCTCTCCACCAAGCACAAGAAGGAAGAGTACAGTCTGTCTCGAGAGACAGTCAGCCAGGCTTCCTGTACAAAACAGAGATGGGACCCATCTCACGCTCCAGGCATGGACAGCCTGGTTGCCTTGAAACAAACAGCTCAAGAAGAAAAGCACCCAGTAACTGCACACAGATACTTCCACTTAGCATCTACTGTCTTTTACATTTTTCTTGCAGGAAGATCCACGTTTGAAATTTCCAGTACATATGCGGTCAAAGACATCTTTAAACCCCAATGACCTTGGCCCCCTTCCTGTGAGTACACTGGAGACACATGGAATGGTCTGAATATGTGTGTTCCTTTATCCGCTCAATGTTGATGGAGAGGCCCTGTGGACCTTCTCTATCTCCAGGCTTTGTGGATCTCATTGGTTTGTGTTTCTTAACAGAATTGGGTGTTTAGCTGAATTGTAGTCATACATTATAGTTCATGTGATATCCAGTACTTATGAAAGAGGTTTCTGAATTGCTAGCTTCTAGCAGAAGATAGACCTTGTACACAGGATGTTCAAGAGACGTTCTCTGCAGGTGACAATTTAAGTGGCACTCATTCATTTTGTAACTTAGCAACCACTGAGTTTCAGTCATATTGCTGATTAAGTCATCAGAACAAAAATAATGAAAATAGTATGGGAGAAGAAGGCCTAATTAATCATAGAAAGTTTCTATAAGTCATTTAACCTGCAGATTTTTAAAGTTTTTTTCTCCCTTGTTGGTGACGGCTCAGTAGGAGTTGAGCTATATACTTAAAATTGGATTTTGAATGAAACCTTCACATACATCCTCCTCAACAACTCACTCTCAGTTTGAAAAAGCCGTAGGGGGTGACAGGGCAGTGGTTGGACTCCAAGGCTATTTTTAAATGGGAATTTTTGTTGTTGTTTTCCAAGTGTAAGAACCTTTTTGTTGCCTGGTATATTAGGGCAACATTGGAGGCTGCGAAGGTTAAGGTTCAATCATTATTCATTAGGTTATACAGGTATCCCACACCAAATCTGTTTGGTTCCTGGGTTCAAATAGAAAGAACCAGAGAGTTAGTTTAGAAAACAAAAGAAAGCATTTTTTTCTGAATCTGTTGGATTCCTGAGGTTCAGATAGCAAATATGGATAGTTCAGATAATGAGGGCATACCAGCTTTATCTTGAAAAAATTCTCCAAATCTGTTTAGTTCCTGAGCTTGACTAGCAAAAGTTCATGGTGGATAATACCAATATTAGATCATCAACTGCCTGGACAACACAAATACAGTTAACCATGTCTAACATTTTTATATTAACCCCCTCTTCCTTTCCTTTAGTACTCAGTATTTATTTAATTAAATGGTACTCAACTTCAAACTCCACTGTTCCATGGAATGCTGCGGTTTCCCTTTGAAGCTTTTGAGCTAGCAGCCCATTTCCGGTTCTTCATACAGTCAGCGCATCTGAGACCTGAGCATGTGATAAAGCGTGTTGCTAGACATGGTCAAGAGTTAACTTGAAATGTTCATATTTAGTTCACGCTCAATGCATAAATGTACCCTAGCAGAAAAGAGTACAGAGGTGTTCTATAGTTTTTAAATGTTGCCTTTGATTTCAGAACTCCTAGCTAATGTTTATATTTTCTCTCTCCCTTCCTTCCCCGGATACTAGCCTGGCTGGGAAGAAAGAATTCACTTGGATGGCCGAACGTTTTATATTGATCATAGTAAGTAGGCGCTGTTATGGACACACAGGTGTTGTGGGTTAGAGGGAAGGAGTAATTCAAACATCATAGTGAAAGCTTTGTCATTTTACTCTTTATCTAGGCAGCCAGGTGTTATGTGGAGAAAATGATACCAGAGAATCAGTGCCTTCATACGGTACTGTGCATTCACCCCAAGTTTGCTTAAAGTAGCCCATCAAACTTTCACCCAATCTGATCTTGTGACCTATTAACGTGTTTTTTTTTGTTGTTGAATTTTTAAACCACATTTTGATTGTTGATCCCTTGACTTTTGCACATTTAATAAATACACTCTGGTAATAGAAAATAAGATTAGAAATGATGATTTAGTCAAAAATCTGTGAACAGTGCTTGAAGCAGCATGTAAGTTTTTTAGACACTGCCTTCAAGGGTCCTATGGCAGGATGCCCGCTCTGACCTTATTTTCTATTCACGGCATGTTTCCTTGCACCCACAACACTAATATATATGTATTTTCTGGAAATTGTAGTATATTTGCTATAGACATTTGCTCCAGCACCTATGAAAAAATGTGTGGTTTCTCATTCCAACTAAAAGTTCAACTAATAAAAGTTTGCTTTTTAGCCAGTGGGATTTTTTTTTTCTCATTCTTTTTGGAGGTGCCATGTTCTTCATGGAATCATATTTCTATGTCCCTTAAATTTTCTGAAAAAGTATATTAAAAAGAAGCCTTCAAATAGATGTAAAGTTTCAACCATGAGTGCAATTTGGTAGTATCTTGGTCTTTGCTTTCATTTGGTTCATGAACAGAAAGTTAGGGTTTCCCTGGCTTCACAATTTCATAACTAAACAAAAGCACGTTGATGAGCCACCTGCTGAGAAGTCTGGCCACAAGTAATCCTCACACGTATAGGACTGGTCACTATCTCATAGGCATAGTACGTTTTTCAGATGTTACTAGGAGGCAGAGACATTGTGAACAGAATTTCACTTTCAGGCCCTGGGGGTTGAGGGCTTATTATAAATGGAATTAAGCAAAAGTACCAGCAGTTTACAATTCAACTGAAAGTAGAAGTCCTAGGTGTATTTAGAAGAGTGAGCTACCCTTTGTTTAAACCAGATATTTCAAGGTGCAGAGACTTAGTTTTTGTCTTTTATCAAAAAATGGGCAGATTTGTCAACTGTCCAGAATTTCATAGTAAGCATAAAGTATTTTTCCTGCTTTCATGTATGTGTATGCCCTACTTTTTTCCTTAATATACTATTTATTTATTGTTTTAAGAGAATTTACTAAAATGAGAGAGAGGCCACACCTCTTTTTCCCATGAAAAACAAAATAATAGTTTCCGGCTTGGTGCAGTGGCTCACACCTGTAATCCCAGCACTTTGGGAGGCCGAGGTGGGAGGATCAGTTGAGGTCAGGAGTTCGAGATTAGCCTGGCCAACGTGATGAAACCCCGTCTCTACTAAAAATACAAGTAAAAACTAGCTGGGTGTGGTGGCGTGCACCTGCAATCCCAGCTACCCGGATGGCTGAGGCAGGAGAATCTCTTGAACCTGGGAGGTGGAGGTTGCGGTGAGACAAGATCATACCACTGCACTCCAGCCTGGGCAACAGAGGGAGGCTGTCTCAAAAAAAAAGAAAAAAGTTTCCTTTATAGTATTTTTTATACATCACAATCACAGTTTTAAGACAGGTGTGAATAATACTGATCATTTTACTAAAACAGGTCTTTACTGGTAACACATCCTGGTCTGTGACGCATGGAGAGCATTGCACACAATATTGTGACAGTTTTCTGGCTGGAGATGTGATGCTTAGGTCCCCCTAAAAAGAATGTTGTGAATGTGTTTCGTATACCGCAAGGAGCCAAAAACAGAAAAACACAATTACAAAGGGCTGTCGTAGCATGCGTTAAAATAGTGAAAATCACTGACTATTTCACTTGTGGTGTCATAGACCTAGTATGATACATAGCAGATGCTTGATACTTGGTGACTTGAAATCAGGTTCATGGAGGATCAGTGGTGAAGCTCTTAGGAAGTTGTTGTGCTTGATCAGAAAGTGAAGTGAACTCACTTGAGGAGCAGTAGGTGCCCCCACTCCGGCTTTCCACCCCCACCGGCCTGAGGCTAGCGCAACTCCGGCTTACTGGAAGGTGGAAGAAGGTAACTACCTGCTAGATGCCTGGGCTTTTCCTTACTCCTGATCAGTTCTGCAGTTACTCCAGCACTCTGCCCAAACATTTCCTCATTTCACTTGACTAGAGCAGCACCCCCGAGGCTCCATTATACTCTGTACAGAGCTTGATGCAACTAAGCTGTGCCAATATATTTGTGGCCATTGACTTGGAGATTAAAATTTATTTTGCCCTTGCACAACCATATTGAAAGATTCTGTTAAAGAGATATAGCATAAATTAAGTGACCAAAAACCATTTAAGAAAAGGATTTGTTTACGAGTGCCTCCTTAGCTGTTCATGCTACGTTTCTACCATCGCTCCATAATTCATCAAGGTTTACTCAATGGAAAGCTGTAGAGCAGTACACGTCAGTGAAACAGTTCAAGTCATTTGCCTTTCCACAAAATTCAGTCTGTGAAAACTGCAGAATACCTATCTTTTGAAGAGGCTTTATCAGGCTGACACATACATTCCAAATGGGTTGAATTACCTGGAAGATAACATTTAGGAATGTCCTTTCTGTCAGAAGAAAGCCTCTTTTTCTAAACAATCTTATAGCAAAACTCAGCATCTGATTTTGCTGTCATAATGCCTACAGGACAGGAACCAGGTTATGCCCACGTATGCCACAATGCCGTGAGTGCCGTCATCTTGTAAATTGCTTAGAGTCATCTTGTCTTCCAGCATACCTGGCACGTGGGTCCACCTGGAATTACAGATGAGATGATGAGATGCACTTGTCTTTTCAATAATTAATTATTTCTGCTTTGTAAGTTTTTCCTGAGAAGTTAGACATTTTCAAGATGAACAATACTCAGCCATCATAAAGATTTAATTTCAAGAGCAACGAATGATCGAGACTAACCTCTTTAGACTCCTCGATTCCTTTGTTTGCTGTCTATGGAATGGCTCCTGGCTCTTGGGCCTCAGGTGGGAGGTTAAAGGAAGGTCTTAAACTGAATCTCTACATCTTGTAGGAATGATGTCATTCTTCTTAAAGACCAGACAGGCCCAGCAGCTGAGTAATTGGCCACAGGTATCCTATCTACAACATTAGAAGAGAAAATTGAATTCCAGTGATTTTGTAAAGTCCTATTTTAGTCTTTCCTGTCAACAGTCTTACTAGACCTGTTCATCGTGACTAAACTGAGTTTCTCATCCTTCCACTTCCTTCTTGTCCTTTTATTGGAAATATATCTCAAAGAGGAAAAGCAAGTTTAAAAGCCAAAGTTCTTTAAAAAAAAAAAAAAAGGATAACTGGCTACCCCATACTTTCATACATTGACCATACTTCACTGAAGAATTCTTTATCATAACCATGTAGAAACTTGTGTTGTTCCAAAAGCTTAGGCTCTTTTTAAAGGGACTTTGTTTTCACCATCAGCTTCATTCAGTCATTAAAAAAATAATGCACTAAGTTCCTGTTACCTGCTGGGACTGGTCTTAAGTGGTAGAGAGGGGATTGCAAAGATGAATAACACACAGTCCCTGTCCTTGGGGAGGTTAGGTCCAGTGGGAAGTAGCAGGGGATATTTCAGGTGTTAGAGGAGTGAATCAGTTGTTACACAGAAACAGAAGAGGCAAGGACTGCATCTGCTTGGGAGGTGGTTGGGCACAGGGATGGGGCCCTGAGAGAATGGGTCACTTTTTAGATGGATGACAAACACTGAGTAGGATTGAGGCAGTCAAAGCCCCAGGAAGAGTGATCCTAGGATGCGTGGAGGTGTGTGAATATGTGCAGATGCTGCCACGTTCCGAGAAACGCAGCATTGCTCCAAACAGCTAGTGTGCCGCAGGGGCGCACAGGCCAAGCCAAAGGGTATCTGCCCGGTGTGGGGACTCGGGCTCAAGCCACAGGCAGTGGGGAGCTCCCAGGGGATTTCCCAGAGGGGAGGGATGGGGTCGAAATCGTTATTTAGAGAGATCCTTTTGGCAGAGCTGTAGAAGATGTCTTGAACTGGGGTTGGGGGGTGAGACAATTCCCAGTGACGCCCAGAGAACAGTTCAGGGAAAAAAAATGAGCCCTCTAGCAAGAAGCTTATCAGGAATAGAGAGGGTTGGTCCGGGACCACCAGAGTGAGTGACACGGCCAGGTTCCTGATTGGGACAGTGAGTGGATTGTGATACTGCACATTGGAATGTAAGGTCACGTTACCAATTTTGGTGTTGGGTGATCAGAGGTTTGGTTTTGGTAGAGTTAAGCTGAAGTACTTACGGGAAACCCAGATGCAGATGTCCAGGATGGAGCTTGAAGTTCAGGTCTGGTCTGAGGACTTGCGAATCCCAATGAGTCAGGAGTTATTCATTTATTTTCTGCTTTGATGACAATATCCATTGATACGGTTATAATCCAAGTTGGTGTTTTAAGGCGCAATTTTTACTCAGCTGTACTCCGTTTCCTTTATTTGGTTTTCTTTTCTCTTGTTTTCCATCACAATAGCAACTTTTACTTTCCAAAGTCTTCTGTGAAAGGTAAGGGACCCAAAAATGCCTTTTGCTTCCATCAAGATTCTCTCAAACAGTTGAGATTTTTCATGTAAATTTTCTGCCAGCATGAAAACAAAAGATTCTAGAATCATCACTTGCTTTGGTAGCTTTTTTTTTTTTTTTTAGCTTTTCCTCTGCTTCTATTAAAATAATAATAAGACTTTTTAAAATTCCTAATATGGTCATTAAAACAGAATTCACTAATTATTCTTATCAGCTCACTTACAGTGTATACAGAAAATAAACAGAATCAATATTCTTCCCCTGCACTCCCCCGCCCCGGTCCCCAAGACAGGTGCAGATCGGGCTGGAGCATAGTGGCACAGTCATAGCTCACTGCAGCCTTCCCCTGGGCTCAAGCGATCTTCCCACCTCAGCCTCCCAAGTAGCTAGGACTACAGGCGTACACCACCACACCTGGCTAATTTTTTTTTTTAACCTTTTGTAGAGATGGGTCCTCACTATGTTTCCCAGGTTGGGCCCGAACTCCTGGCTTCAAGTGATCCTCCTGCCTCAGCCCCCCAAAGTATTGGGATTACAGGCATGAGCCACTGCTCCTGGCCACCCTTTACTTTTCAAATAATTTTCTTCTTCTTTTTTTTTTTTTTTGTTTTTTACTAACCTAGATATCCAAAAACTCTGGAGAACCTACTCTCCCTAGTGTGCCCCACCCCCCGTACCTTTCATGTGAGTCCATTGCACTCTCTCTCCCTCCACTCCACCCTAGTACACACACAGGAATCCGTAAGGTCTTTTTAATTATGCACAGTTACAAACACCAAGTGATCTAAGGCAGCTGTTGTGTATTATCACCTACACAAGTAATGGTATAGATAGCATTGAACAGTCTTGTGCACATTAACTCACTTGGAAGAAAGCAAACCACCTTTTGCCAGTGTGACCAAACAGAAACCATGCTCTGTAATCTTCCTCTGCTGTATCTAATTCTCTTTTTTGGACTGCCTAAGCTGCTTTGATTTTTGTGTGCATATGAGTGACGCATGTAATAGATTATTCATTTGTTCAATGCAGGATTCTTAATTGAAAGCAGTTTTTCAACACCATAAGTAAAGAGAAAAGTATTTGAAATGAGAAAAAAAATCGTGTGTGTGTTTGTTAGCCTTTTGGGAAACTAAGACTTTTTAAATGCTTTTTTTCAACTAAATGAAAATCAAGATCAAGTTATAAATCCTTAAAAGAACAGGGGTTTATAATTCCCATTTTAGCAAGTTATTTGCCCAAAACAGTATGAATAGATGGTTTATCTTTAGTTGTGCATTTTTGATTGAGTGTTTTTAACTAAACAGTATGTGAGGGGGGTTGCCATATAGACTGTAGTTACCTGCTAACTCTGAAATACTAATTTGTCTTTAGAACACAGGGTGGGGGACTGGACAGCTTTTGAAGAATCCAGAAATACTTCCTTCCAAAACTTTCTTTACATAGAATAGATTTGAACTAATGTTCTGATTTTTTTTTTTTTTTTTTAACATTTTCAGATAGCAAAATTACTCAGTGGGAAGACCCAAGACTGCAGAACCCAGCTATTACTGGTCCGGTCAGTATTTTCAAATTCTGCCTCTTCAGTATAAGATTTTGGTTACGTGTTTACGTGTTTCTTGTGTATTACTGATAACGGTGATGTCAAGGGACAACGGTGATTGAGTAGTTGACTAGAAACAGAGCACTTTGCTGCCATCTCCTTACTGAAGTTTCCAGGTGAGGTACAGCTGCATGTGCCTTTTCAGATGGATTTCATTATAAAGGAAAACAGCTTGATAACGACAGCAGAATTAAACATTTTTCTTCTCCTTTATAAAAGGGTGGACTATAAGTATAGTCAAAATTCCCTCCCTTCCTTTTTATATGAAGCAAAACCAAGCCCTATCTTCATAAAGTGTTATCATTTCTTTAGGCCAGGAGTAGTAAATGTATGCCAAAAGTTTAAATCTTTTACAACTTTCAAAAATCTGTAGAAGTTTGGGTGAGATTATAGCTAAGTTCAGGAGCTGGCAGAGTTAAGAGTTTGGAACTCTGCCGACCCACAGTGTTCTCATGGTCCCCTCATATATGCCGGGTGGAAAAAGAATCAATTCTGATGCAGGCGTGATGACCTCTTAAAACACCGTAGCACACTGTGTTCATAAGGCAGTGTGAGAACCCCACTCCCTGAAGCATCAGGAGACATTTGGTATCTCACACTTGTTAACAAGTCTGTAGAATGGGACCACACTCATCAGCAGAGAGCACACCACCAGCTTTTGTCAGTGGCTATACGAGTGCAGGGAGGTAATTTGGAATTACAGGAGTTGTACTGCGATCAGCAGAAGATTGCAAATTTGGGATTCTTAGACCAGAGGAGCAAAAGGAACTGAAGTTTGTTATATCACATGCTGAGCTAAGAGGCCAGTAGGTAGATTTAAAATTCCAATTTCATGGCTTTAATCTGATTCCATTCAAATTATGTTTTGAATTAGTAAGATACATCCATTTGAAAACTTAAAAGATACTACATTGCAAATGTGCCCCGGTAACTGACTCCTGTTAGTTACTTGTTGGATTTGTTTAGTCATTTGGGTACTATTTCCTAGGCAAAGTGCCCAGTAGTACCTGGGTAAAAACAGTCAACTTTTTTCTCTATGCGGCTTAAACACTGCCTTACTCTGATGCTTCCTTTTGATATATATATATTCGCAGTCACAGTTGTTTATTGGAATATTATTTTCTCTTCTACATCATTAGAACAAGGTAAATTCAAGAAACTATTCTTTTTAAGTGACAGAAGACTTTTGACATAACTTTGAAGCCTTTTCAAAATATTTTTATCACTTATCAATTACCGGCCGTCACTCAAACACTGCTAGTCCTTATTAAATCTTACTGAAAATTGCTCAGCATCATAAAGCCAAGTAGATTTGCCCCCAAGAAAGAGCTCTCTGCTTTCTGTTAATAAAAGACCCTTGTTTATTCCTTCATTTTTATTATTATTATTCATTATATTGCTTTCAATAGAGGAGAATCTGTATTTAGGTAGTTATCAACTTAGTGTAGACATTTGGCCTTTGTTGTCATTCAGTTCTAAATATTTGGCAATTTTCATTTGATTTTTCTTCTTGACTTATACATTATTTAAAATATGCTTTTTAGTTTCTAAGAGTATGGGAGGGTTGTGCCTATTCATTTTTTTTTATTGATTTCTAATTTTATTGCATTATGGTCAGATAATATTGTCTAGAGAATATTTATTATTGGATGTTTATTTAAAACTTCATTGGAAGCTTGATCACTTTTTGTAAATGTTCTTTTTCTTTTTAAAAAGAATGTGTATTGTGTCTTTGGTTGAATATAGAGTTCTTTTTGTGTCCATTAGGTCAAGCCTGTGGTGTTCAAATTATCTACATTCTCATTGCTATTTTGCTATTGGATCTAATCAAGATAGTTCTGTCAGTCTCTGTGGTGACTGTTGCCCTGTCGATGTTGTCTGAGGTGTATATAACTACATTCTCTTTCTCTGTTCGTATTTGCTGTTTAGCATATCTTTTCTCTCTCGCGATATTTTATCTTCTTTCTTGCCTTTTGTTCAATTGATAGAGTACTCTCTATTTTATTTTCTCTATGTGCTTGCAGGCTGTACTTTCTATTTGTATTCTTATAGCTCTCACATTAAACTGTGTAACCCACATACTTGACTTAGGGTTAAAATGAATCACTGTCTACTCTCCTTAACATCAGGACCTCAGGGAACTTGAATGCCATTCTTCCCACTCCCATTTGCCACGTCATTGTTGGGTGGAATTTTAAAACTACCTTGCTTTAAACTTTCCTAATAGTCAAATAGTCATTAATATGTTTTATCTTTTTTCTCCCTACTGTCCATACTGATTTAATTTTACCAAATGTAGACAAATTTCTTTGCCCACCATTGGTTTGCCCACCATTGGTTCTTCCATCCATTTTTTTTCTGGGGTGAGTTTTGATCTTAGTGAAGCCTAGTCCAGTTTATGGTTCTTACTGTGTGGTCTGCTGACCAGAGTATCAGTATCGCCTGAGAGCTTGTTGGAAATGCAAGTTTTCAGGTCCTACCCCAGACCTACTGAATCAGCACCTCTGGGGGTGGGACACCAGTCTTTGTTTTAACTGCTCTCCCAGGGATTCCAGTGCCCCCTCAGGTTTGAGCACTTCTGCCCAGCAGCACTGCCAGTGACAGTCTGAGAGTGGTAATATCTCTTAGTCTTTGACTCAAAAGGTCTCATTTGACCTCTCTGAAGTTCAGCTGATGATAGAAATCTTGGTTAAATTATTTTCCCTCAGTGCTTTGGAGATTCTCCTGCATGTCTTCTGGCCTCCATAAATGATGATAACAGGTTTGCTGTCAATCTCATTGTCGTTTCTGTGTAGGTAAATGGCTCTGTTCTCTAGTGATTTTGAATTTTTATTTGTGTCTTAGATGTTTTACAATTTCGCTATCATCATGTACCTATGTGTGGAGTTCTCTTCATTTATCTTGCTTTGGACTCAGGCTTCTTCAGTATGGGGATTGTGTCTTTCCTCTGTTCTGGAAAATTCTCAGCTATTATTTCTTAACATACTGCATTTTTCCGATTCTCTCTAAGTATCTGTTTCTGTAACTCCTATTGGACATTTACTTCTCTTTCACATTGTCTGCTTTATCTCTTAACTTTTGTGTTTTCTGTCTCTCACTGCTGTATTGTGAGTTATTACTTAGCTCTTCCAGTTAATTCTTTAAGCTTTTTTTGTAATCTCTTTATCAGTTCATTGTGTTTATTATTTCAGTGACTAAATTTAATTGCTCAAAGTTTTATTTGGTCGTTTAAAATTTGCTTTTGTCTTCATAGTTATTTTGTCCTGTTCTCTTTATCTCTTTATTTATTTTTGATGCTTTCATCTGCTTATTATTTTTAAGATATTTATTTCTTAGCCTCTTTGAGATTATTCTATTATCTCTGGTCCTAGGATCATTAAATCTCCCACTACGTCTGTAGACTCTCCTTAAGAGTGTAGATTATTGCCTAGTTCAGTTTATAATTTGTGTGTGTGTGTGTGTGTGTGTGTGTGTGTACATGCATGCAAGAGGGAGAGAGAGAGCATGAGCAAGCTCATTTTTTTTTCCTATGAGGCTTTTGTAAGTCCTGACCTGTATTTACTGTTAACTTCTTAGCTTGGGTTCATGCACCCCCAGTCAGTATAACTGTGGACCTCATACCCACTTTGGCACAGGCTTGGAGTATGGATTTATTACAGGTCTGTTTCTTTTTGTTTTTCTCCCATTTATGGTCCTGGACAGAAGGTAAGCTTCCTTGCAACTTCCCTGGTCCGGTGGGTAGAGTTTTCTTGTCCCCTTTCCAGATGTTAGGTTTTAAACAATGACTGTTCTTTCTCCATCATGTAGACCAAAGGCCAAGTTCTGTGTCCCCATGGGAGATTAAAACCCAAGCCCCTATGTCTAGGTCCAGTGCCCACTGATTTCTCTAATTGTGAGTCTTTCTGCTTACCTAGTACCTAGAGTTTCTCTTCCCAAGTTTTAAAAATATCAGTTCTAAGTAGGCCTAGCGTTTCTACATATTTTTAGGGAGAGGGGACCCTTTCTGTGGCAGCTCAGTGTTCAGCATTCCTGTAAGTTAGCATGCTCTGTGTATAGCAGATATCACTAGTAATAGCATTTAGTAAGTGATGTTCACACATGCTGCTGTCATGAACACTATCTCATGTTGTGTAACACTTTCATTTTTCCAAGAACTTTATAATCAGCCGACTTGAAACTCACAGTCGTCCCCTCAGAAAGGCAGGGCAAATGTTGTTATTTCCAATTTGTCAGAAGCTCAGAAAGCTTATTCTGTTGCTGACAGTCCTTGCAAGGGTCAGAATCAGGACCGGAGCCCCAGATGCGCTGGTGTCACTGATGTCCCCGTGCCGGGCATGAGCCCTTCTGTGCAAGGAGCTCCAATGTCTCCCGGCCAGTGATGATGTGAAAACATTTAGAACCGACCTACACAATAAGGCAGATTTTCATTCTGTACCCAAAACAGGAACACAGATTTAATGCAGAGCAAAAGGGCTTTAATCAACAGATATGTTCATTTTTCACGTAGACCTATTTTACAAGCTAACTTGTAAGCCAGAAAATGACATTCGAGATTTTCAAGTGAGAACAAATGATTTGGTCCAATAATTAAAAAAAAAAAAATGTACGTGTAATCTCTTCAGAAGCTGCACTGGAAGGATGTTTGTCCTGGTACGTTGTTGGAAAGTTTTCAGGAAGAGAATGTAAAAACTTGCTCTTCTTATTCTATCATGAGAACTACCTCTGGAGAGAAAAGATAATGAATGCAAGAGGAAGACAGTGATTTTTCAGCTTTCACGCATCATTCCCCAGAAGGAGAAAGGCTTGAAATATCTCAACATTTCCGCCCACACCTCCTCAGCCCCTGCCAGGAGACAGAGCAGGCAAGGGAACGGGCATCATAGGCTGGGGGCCACATGTTGAAATCTGCTCCTTGGGGAATTTGTCATTTAAGACAGTCGAACTTGCATACACAGTGATGACTGTTTAAGCTTTTTTTCCAACATTTTCAGGAGTAGGGGGAACTGTGATGTAACAGTGATGTTTGGAGAACCCTCACGAATACAGGAACAAACAAAAAATAGTTGCTGGGAATCACAGACTTTCAGAAATAGAAGAGCTGAGTCACGTTTGTTCATCCAGTCAAATTCTTCCACTTAACAGTGAAGAAACTCCTTAGTAGAGAGGATGTGATGCAGAGCCAGCTGATGAGAGTCTACCCGAGAGTGCAGGCCTTCTAACGCTGGCAGGAGAGAGTGGAAGGAAGTCACTTTTTTAGTTCCTATGGGGTCATTTTTTTCCTCATGGCACTACCACGGTTTATTCATTGATTTCCTATTGCCTGTTGCTCTCAACAGCTTGTGAGCTCCAGGAGGGAACTGGGAAAGCTACCTTTGGTTTATGTACTGTTATTTTTCTGGCACCTAAAATGCCTTGCACAGAGTAGGTGCTCAAGAAGTATCGGTTGAATGGACGAGAATGAACACCAGAAAGTGAGAAATAAACTAGAGAGGAAATCTTAGTTTGTGACGGGATGTACTGTTGGTAGAGCAGAAAACATGATCTCTTTATTGGCTTATGTCAGAACATTGTATTCTTTTTCTTATTTTGGTGGTTGTCCAGGTATTAACAAATTTATACCTTGCCTAGACTCAGAATTGCTATGTGGTTTCATCAGACTAAACACTGCCTAAAATAAATAGGATGTGAGGTCAAATCTGTTGTTCAGTGGAAAATCAAAGAAGACTGGCTTAAAAACTAAGAAAAGACCATAGGCAGTGTAAATTGTCTATAGATTGCTCCTAAGCTATATAAAGATGATGTATTTTTTGCTCTGGAATTACAGAGCAAAACACTGACGTGCTCATTTTCTGGAAGAGTGGTTGTTTGTTTTGTTTCGGGTTTTTTATATAAACATGTCTTAAAACTATAAAAGAGGGAAGTTCATGTTCTTCATTTCTTCTGTTTCTGGTCAAGATAAGTATGGTGAAAGTGTAAGGTTTGGAGTCTGGAGATACTAGACTAAGGATCAGTATATTTTATTAACTTAGGCCGAAATGATAACAGCAGAAGTATTCTCTGCTGAAATTCATACTAGTGGCTAAAAAGCAATGAGTTGTTTTCGAGGCTGTCATAGTTAATGTCTGTGTATATGCAAAACCCAATCCTTTTTGCTCATAAAAATATCGTAAGCTTTTTCAGTAGCCAAAACTCACGGCCCTGACTCTAAGATATTGTAAGCTACTTTACAAGGTAGCAAATAAAGATTATTTAAATGACTACATTAACATGTTACTCCTTTGCCTGAAGAGATATCACAACTTTTGAATGACTATAGTTAACTCAATTCCTGAGCCCTCAACTGGGGTACTATCACTCTATTTCATAGATAAAGCATTTGAGATTTAAAGAAATCCTTGCCCAAGACCACTAAATATTAAGGGACAAACCTTCTGACTTCTAAATTGAGGATTTTTTGAGAATGCCATCTGCCTGATTTTATATTCCTTGATAGGAGTGTCAGTTCACTTCCCTTTCTGCTCGTTGTATTTCCCCACAAAAATTCGTTAAACCGTAATTAGACTTTTCAAAATGCCAACGTAGGTCATTCTGGGTTGTATGTTAGAAGTATTTAGCCAATAACTCTTACCTAAACCACAGCAAAAAAGAAAAACAGAAACACCCTGACTCATATTCTGACAAAAGTCACTTGGAAAGCATGTTTAGTTTGTGTAGCGTACCCCAAATGGTTTCTCAAATAGCAGTATAGCTGTTTTCAGGGGTGAAAGCTGCATTCAAAGCTGATTAGCCCTCATCAGTTCTAGGACTTTCCCCTGTGCTGTGTAGACATTATCTAATTTTTCCATGGATAATCTGAGAAGTGAGAATTTACGGTTTATGACTCATGAAATTCTCTTGAATGTTGCCTCAGTATACATAAAATTTCAGGTGTATTGTTTGCATTATCTATATTTATAAATTTATCTTCCAGGCTGTCCCTTACTCCAGAGAATTTAAGCAGAAATATGACTACTTCAGGAAGAAATTAAAGAAACCTGTGAGTAATCATGCCTTCCAAAAATGCTTTGTGTTAGTCATTTGTAAGTTACCACAGTCACTTCAGTGAGAACAACTTGGTTGTTACTTTTATATGAATGCTAAAAATATTACCTTCCTTTTCTCTCTGCACTTTGATCCTCCTGGTTCTAAAATCTGAATTTTCTTTTTAACAGAAATGGTAAGTGAAAATTAACTCAGTGTTACATATCAAATCACCTGAAGGGTAATTTCCTATGTAATACATAAAAAGACAGGAATGATTTTTATGGGATATAAAATAATTCAGAACCCTAGTCACAAAATCTGTGGAAGCCTATTCAATTATGCGCAGTTATCATATTTAATTAACCTGGATCCCGGTAAGAAAAATGTTCAAGTCCTTCCTTGTAAATGCAAAAGCTTAGTTTCAACTACAGTATTTATAATATAGTGTTATATTTAATTATAATAATTGGCAGTATTACGTCCAAATGTAATTTTCTACTTATAATTATCCCTGGCAGTTTAAAACCTAGAAACTCTAAAAATTTTTATGGGCAACATTTTAAATTATAACATTGCATTTTCTAATGACACACCATCCCCAAATTGTTCAACATTGCATCCTCTGTTTTACTTTCCGATTCCTCCTTAGCAGTTTTCTCTTCAATTTTCTCCATCACTATGGTTACACCTCTAGGGAGGGGAGAGAAGCGGCTGCAGCTCAGACCCCCTCTGGTGGCCTGGGCTCCATTGCCATCTCTCCCTGCCTCCTCCCCTCAGCTGGTTCCTCCTGCCCGGGAACATCTCTGGATGGGGCACAATGTCTGCTCTCATTTAGGGGTTTTGGTCTCTGTTCCAAAGTCCTGATTCAAGAGCTTGCGGGTAACTGCTATTGAAATGATTCTTTGCCTTCAAAACTCAAATGATCACTGAAAATTCCACAGTTTTCTTTGTGAGTCATGTCCCCTGGTAATGATGATGACTGTGGTCATCA
The DNA here is from genome assembly GCF_000001405.40 of Homo sapiens. Classification (NCBI taxonomy): domain Eukaryota; kingdom Metazoa; phylum Chordata; class Mammalia; order Primates; family Hominidae; genus Homo; species Homo sapiens. The sequence goes on from NC_000018.10 coordinate 58,365,312, forward strand.
CCCAGTCTCACTCTATGGCTCTCACATAGCAGTGTCTGCTACCCGGAAACCATCTCTGCACATTCATTCTTACAGCCAGACCAAGCCTGGACCGCCTCTTTGCAGGAGGCAGTTGCCACAACCTTGGTCAAGTGTTTTGTTATTTTCATGTCAGCGAACCATGCTTTGGGCTGCTTTCCCCACACTTGGCATAATCAGGATCCCACTCCCCATGGCAACAAAATGGACTTGAGGCAGCGTGGATTATATCTACCACCTGGCGGCCCTGCCACAGTTGAGCATGGATAGGCCCAACCTGGCCAGGTGGGGATTATTACAGGTTTTGACTACCTGGGCTAAAGTCTCTTGAGTGAAGCAACAGATACAGTCGACTGCCTTTCGGTTGCCCTATGCTGGAGAAGTGCCCACAGTTGTTTATTAAAGGGGGCAAGGAGGATGTTCTCCTTCGCAGCAGAGTTCTAACTTTCCTGAGCATCGCTAGTGGATGCCGTGTGTCCCATCGTGACACAGCAAGGCTTTCTGTCTGCAAGGGAAAACCCCTAAAGGAGAGAATCTCAGTTGGAACCATTTGTCACTGCCTGTTTCTTTGAGGACTGCCAACTTTTCTACCATTTGCTGTTGTTTTTATTAGAAAACAAAGTGTGTATTTACTGTATGATTATGTGTTTTCTTTTGTCTTTTGTGTAGGCTGATATCCCCAATAGGTTTGAAATGAAACTTCACAGAAATAACATATTTGAAGAGTCCTATCGGAGAATTATGTCCGTGAAAAGACCAGATGTCCTAAAAGCTAGACTGTGGATTGAGTTTGAATCAGAGAAAGGTCTTGACTATGGGGGTGTGGCCAGAGAATGGTTCTTCTTACTGTCCAAAGAGATGTTCAACCCCTACTACGGCCTCTTTGAGTACTCTGCCACGTAAGTATATGGCCACACCCAGTGTGTGTCCCCCACTGAGACAGTTGTATGAATTTAAACAGAATGAAAGGATAAGCAGCTCATGAGTTCGAGATGCATTAACTCTGCTGAGTTTGTTCTCTCCTCACCCCACAGCCCCTTGCAAGTCTAGAACAGGTTCTGACTCTACGTGGTGAAATAGTGTACTCTGCGAACATCTAACATTGATTTTTTTTCTTGTCTATTGGGTTCATGGAGTTGAAATTGAAAACGTGGATAATTATGATAAGGAACAGGAGGCGATTTTCATTTGCAGTGTTCAAGAGGAGGACTTGTCAGTGTTAGAATTCAAAAACAAAGGAGGTGTTTTTTGAACAAGAGTCGTTTCTGAGGTCTCCTGTGTAAAGGCAAATTGTAAGGACTTTGAGGACCTAGGACCATGCCCTGCTCCTGTAAGGAAAGAACCAGGTTTCCCCTTGCATTAGGATTTCATCATTGCCAGGCTTGGAAACTGAGGCAGACTAAATTGCTTTCTGAGCAATTAAACATCAGCTACTTCCAGGCCAGCCATTCCTCCTTCAGACTCTGAATCCTCCAAGGGTTGGGCAGTACCCAAGCCCCCAGTAGAATAGTCATTGACCTTGCTGAAGGGCATTTGTCATCACTCCAGCCCTGGGCTCTAAGGGGACGTGGGTTCCCCCACATCTCCCACCTGGTACCAGTCTCCTGGGGGCTCATTTGGAAGGCCGCCTCAGTACATTCTTCCTGGTTGCTCTAGCCAAGAATTGCCCAATTGATTTGTTGTTACTGAGTCCCATGAGAAAGCCCACTATGTACAATGTATCCAACTATTGAAGGTGGAGGGCAGGGTGGAGAGAGACAAGATCTTTACCTCTTCTCCACATTTTCAAAGATACCCCCACCCCGGAGGAATCAGTCTGTGATCCCAGTTTGAAAACTACTGATCCACATGATTGTGAACCAAGCAAGATCATTTGGACAAATCTAAAAATTTGCAGGTTTGCATCATTGAGAGAGCCATATCCTGTTCCTAATCCCCTCGAGGCCTTTTCAGAGCAGAGTAGTGGTCAGAAGACAGACCAAGGGTTGGGCCCATAGCAAACATCTTATGGCCAAGCCAAAAGCCTCTGGAAGGAATTAAACTTCCTTCATCACAGAGACGACCTAAAGTACTCACATCTTTGGGAATCCCTGCACAGCCCCTTTATTATGTGGCGTTTCTCATCTCCCCAAGATATTTGGCTGAACCATATGAAATAGACACTTCGTAGGTCAAAAACAGTCAAACATCAGCGTCTCTTATGGTTTAATTGACTTTAGAGGGCACATGCGTCAGCCTCCATGGTGGGTCACGGTTGAGCATGTGGTAAGTCAGGTCCTCTAGCCCACACATTTTCCCACTAGGTACAGAATGCTCGCAGGGACACTGTAAAAGTTGAGTGACAGGTGGCAAACAAATATGCAAAATCTTGCATTTGAAAGTGTGATTGGGCTTTTCTTCTCTTTCTCCTCAAAAGGGACAACTACACCCTTCAGATCAACCCTAATTCAGGCCTCTGTAATGAGGATCATTTGTCCTACTTCACTTTTATTGGAAGAGTTGCTGGTCTGGCCGTATTTCATGGGAAGCTCTTAGATGGTAAGTCTTGAAGTAATAAAAATAGGTCAGTGCTGCTTGCGGTTTGCTAGTAGGTGTCTTATCTTTCGCATCATGGGTTTTTAAGCAAAAGCTTCACTGGTTTACTCATAAAGTATTTTTATGTTTTGCCCATAATGGATGTCCTTTTCTCTGGTAGCTTATTTTGGGCACTGAAGACATAGTGTCTACACACAGTTAAAAACAAAAGTTTTTTTTTAACTTCAGTGTAAAACACAGAACATTATGTATTTATACATTTGTATGTTTTCTGGAATAACTTTAGTGAAAGCAAGATTTGATAACAGATGGAAAAACTAATTGAAAAGTTAATTAAAATGATCTCATCTATCTAATATCCTGTGATTATTGCGTTTGTCCCCAAATTATTTTTTAATTTGAAGGGACTAAATAATTTCAAAATAATGTTACTGCTTAGCTAAGACATTAACCCTGAAACAAATAACACAAAATAATTTCATTCTTATTTAAAGCATATAGATCATGGAAGAATTTCAAGGTACCTTGAAAGTTAGAAGTCAAACCCTCTACCTGGCGGTATCTATAGGCTTAGAGACTTCTAAAAGATTTGGCCAATTCAAAATAGTGTCCTTAAGAAAACACTACAGAAATCATCAGTGAGAAAAAAGCATCAGAAATACTTTTTAAGAGCCTGGAGGTAGAGTGGTTGAGGATGGGAAGAGGGAGAGTAGGATTTGAGATTGACATTGCAGTAACTTATAAGAAAGATATTTCCAAGGGAACTGTGTTCATTGCATTTATAGAGCCTTAGCTATTCTAATAAATAATTTGTATACCCTCTGTACTTTTCCCATGAATATGTTTTTACTGTTAATTGGTAGCTGATATTGATGCTCTGATTTTGTTGCTTTATTTGGTAGCAGGGCGACAGTAAACACTTTTTTTCCTCTAGAAGGAAACTAAACCACACACTCTTTCCATGTATGTATAGTGTGAATATATTTTAATTTCCAGCTTTGGAGTCATGCCATAGATTGTTTCAGCCTGCTCCAATTCACTCCAACTTTCTCAGAAGGTCAGTTTAGTCACCGTATGCAAGTGAGAAGATGCTGTTAGTTGCTACAGTGTCTTTAATACCCTCTCTAACAGGGGGTAATAGAGAAGCATAAGATATGATCCTGACCTTAGTCAGCTTATATTTTAGCGGGGGGAAAAGAGATGAGAACAAAACCAGAAGAATCACAGTGATAGTGTCTGAGCAGAAGGGAGTGCATTGAGTCCTCAGAGGAGAAAGTGACTTGGCTGGAGGCTCAGGGAATCTTTCCCAGGATGAGCTGCACCTCGGAGGTGGGGTAGCATTTGAGCGTTCAAAGGCTGGGGTCATTTCAGATGAGTGAGGACCAGCCCAGAGTCAAGGCCTTGTGGAAGAAGATGGGCGGAAGCAGGAACCACTCAGGGTCTCAAGGAGCTGGCTAAAGTGACCCCGACAAGAGTGATCACGATATAAACCTGGAATTGCACATTTAAGAGTCCAAGTGCACATAGATGGGCCTAGTCAGCAGTGTCTTCAAATTTCCCACAGATGGGAATGTCCCTGTCGGCAGGGCTCATTCTGCACATCTGTCCGATGGGAATGTCCCTGTCGGCAGGGCTCATTCTGCACATCTGTCCGCTGCTCCCCCTGGTCGGCTTCATGCTTTTACTTCCCCAGACACTGGAGTCTATTGGAGCCTGCATAGGGCCACGCTGAGCCGGGGAGAATTGGCCTGTACTGCAGAGGGTGGGTGCCTGGTGGGGGGATGAAGGAGCAGAAGCAGGAGCCTGGGGTGCCAGGTCTGGTGGGGTCAGGACCCCCTGTGAGGAGGTGCGTGATGCCTTTGGATCAGGTGAAATGGAGGCACCTGCAGGACGCCTGAATGGTGGGAGGCCGACCTCGCTGCTGTTGCCTCCCTGAGGCCTCTGCCGTCCCTCCGCGGGGGGTTGCACAGGCCCTCTCCGGGGCCTTCCCCATTTCCAGCCTGTCCCCTTCCTGTGCTTTCTCCCCATCGCTGCCCAAGCAATGATAACAGAAGACAGATGGAATTTCACCTGGCCTTTCACTGACTCCCCACTGCCCTCAGAGAGCACCCCAACTCTCCAGCACCCCATGTGGGCTCTGCACTGCCGGCCCCTTCTCTGGCCTGTCTACCCGCCCTGGCAAACGGCTGGCAAGTCCCCAGCCTTGTTCCTCTGCTTAGTGTGCCCTTTTCTCCCCCAATTCCTACGCCTGATTTGCACTGCGGACTCTGCTTGACCTTGAAGCTCATCTGTCACCTCCCAGAGGCCTTTCTGGCCCCACTCTGCTGCGCCATCTCTCTTAGCACAGCTGCCCTCCTCATGCCACTCTCCCCCTGATCTCGCCTCCTCGCTTGTGCAATACTGTAGAAGGCCCTTGGTTACTCCTTCATGGTTTCTCATTTACATTGAAAGCAGGTTAATCTTTTCTTTCATGCTCTGATACATAGCAGTGTCAAAGACCTGAAACTAAACCCAGTGTTTACCGTGTTTTAGGTTTCTTCATTAGACCATTTTACAAGATGATGTTGGGAAAGCAGATAACCCTGAATGACATGGAATCTGTGGTAAGTAAATGCACGTCACACACTGGCCATCACCGGGCACTCGTGTCTTATGAGAAGGTATTGGAGAGCCATATTTGTAGTCTCAGCCACTTTTATGGGTGTTGCATTCCATGTGAACAACAGGAGACATTTAATTGCTTGAAAAGTTCATTGATCTAATTCTTGTAATAAATCATTGTTCACATTTCCTGGAACCATGGTACCTAGGGTGGATACATCCAAATCCCAGTTGCCTCTGCTTACCCGGCATAGGACTTGTGTGAACTTACTAAATCCAAGAGACAGCTGAAGATCTATGGTAGCCTGTGTTTTCTATAAAAACTGCTGCTGCTGAATGTTTAGAGCTTCATCCGCTCTCCCTCTGTTTCCTGACATCATAAAAATGGCAGAGGCAAAGGTCAAAACAATAGGAAGAGTATCAGGCAGACGTCCTAGACATGGATGAGTGACGCCACAGCTCAGGCAAGTGAACACTTGAGACGTTCTCCAAGTAGTGATTTGGGTTTTCATGTTGCATTTAACATTAATTTTACCTAGACAGACCATTTTAGAGTTGGAAGGATTTTATTTTTTTTTTATTTTTTTTATTTTTTGAGATGATGTCTTGCTCTTTCACCCAGGCTAGAGTGCAGTGGCGCGATCTTGGCTCACTTCCGCCTTGCGGATTCTAGCAATTCCCCTGCCTCAGCCTCTCAGATAGCTGGGATTACAGGCACACGCCACCATGCCTGGCTAATTTTTTTTTTTTTTTTTTTTTTTTGTATTTTAGTAGAAACGAGGTTTCGCTATGTTGGCCAGGATGGTCTCGATCTCCTGACCTCATGATCCTCTTGCCTCATCCTCCCAAAGTGCTGGGATTACAGGTGTGAGCCACCGCACCCAGCACGGATTTGCTATAAAACAAAAATTGATGTTCTTTTTATAATATACTTCTGCTTCTGTTTTTCTTTTAATGTACCTATACCCCACATCTACCTCCAGAGTGTATGGGTGTTTGCCCACACGCCAGCACACACACAGGGCCACTGGGAAGCGCGTTTGTCCATTTGGGGTATTTGCAGCTCATTCGTGTTTGCTCACTTGAGTTAAAAAGCCCCTGCATGATGTCACCTGCCTGTGATACCAACTGTATTTTGGGCACGGTTGGGTAGATGAGCTGTGTCCTCGGCCCTGACCAGCGCTGACTCAGTGTTTCTGTTGCTCCTCATTGTATGAAAGGAGAGGAAGAGGCCAGCAGTGCCCTTGAACCCACTGCTGGTTTGCCAGTCATGGTGGGTTGGGATGCACACCTGTGATTCCGGTCTCCACTTTGACCCTGTGTTTGTGCTTTCTGCTTTCATCACTGTATGATGAAGCAGCTAGGAGCACAGGAATTTCTCTTAACGTCTAACTTTATACCACATGCTGACAGTTAGTGCCTAAAGTACAGTGCGTGTATTATTTTTACCCTCTTCACAGCCCGTCGTGTCCCCAGCAGGAGAGACCGTGGAGGGACCAGGGACAGGCGCTTAGGCCTGTGACTGATCCTCTGGATTCTGAAACCAGAGCAGCCACCCTTTTTGCTGACATTAACCTGGAGAGTGATCAAAGCACAAGAAAGGGGATAACTTAAAACTATTGGTATTTACTTAGTTGGAACATTATTTTACTTATTTATTTTTTTGGCGATAGAATCTTATTCTGTTTGCCAGGCTGGAGTACAGTGGCACAACCATAGTTCACTGCAGCCTCTATCCCCTGGCACAAGTGATCCTCCTGTCTCAGCCTCCCAAGTAGCTAGGACCACAGGCACACACCACCATGCCTAGCTAATTTCTTTTTTTTTTTTTGTAGTCATGGCGTCTTGCTATGCTGCTTAGGCTGGTCTTGAACAGCCTCAAGCCCTCCTCCTGCCTCAGCCTCCCAAAGCCGAGGATTACAGGATTATAGGCATGAGCCAGCAAGCCCAGTCTAGAACATTCTTTATCCTTCCTGTTTTCCTCAGATACTTTCACTCTTTTTTTAAACTTTATTTATTTTTTATAGAGACAGGGTCTCACTATGTTGCCCAGGCTGGTCTCTAACTCCTGGGCTCAAGTGATCCTCCCACCTTGGCCTCCCAAAGTGCTGGAATTACAGCGATGATATTTTCACTCTAAAAAGATAGAAAGTATATTGACCAGCCTGGCCAACATGGCGAAACCCCGTCTCTACTAAAAATACAAAAGTCAGCCAGGTGTGATGTCACACGCCCGTAATCCTAGCTACTCAGGAGGCTGAGGCGGGAGAGTCACTAGAACCCGGGAGGCAAAGATTGCAGTGAGCCAAGGTCATGCCATTGCACTCCAGCCTGGGTGACAAGAGCGAAACTCCATCTCAAAAACAAAAAAAAAAAAAAAAAGAGAGAGAGAAAAGAAAGTATACTTATGTCTGTATGTTAAATTTTGTAGACCAGTATGGCAGCTCCATCCACCATCCAGAGTAGGTGCCTTCCACTGTGCATCACTAAGGACAGGATTTAACTGCAAGCTCATTACAACTAAAGCAGTTTGTTTGTTTATAGTTTAAAGAGGAAGGTTTGGTTTAGGTGGAGCAGGAAACATTGCATTAGTAACATATTTCTTGAGCATTCTGCACAGAATTACATTAGAATGTAATTAAAGAAGTCAAATGAGTTTGTATTTTGGGGAAAAAATGCTGAATTTTCACTCCTGTGTCATTCTGTAGGATAGTGAATATTACAACTCTTTGAAATGGATCCTGGAGAATGACCCTACTGAGCTGGACCTCATGTTCTGCATAGACGAAGAAAACTTTGGACAGGTACATGTGGGTAACCCTGGGAACTCTTCTTTAGCTTTCAAGGGGCATTTTTCTTCTTGACGGGCTGTAACACAACTTTGCTGGACCATCAGAAACAACCAGCAGGAGCTGCAGGTGTTAATTTTCATCTCATTGTAGCAGCACCTTTTTGTCATGCCAAGACGCCACACTCCAATTACAACCATTTCTCTCTTCCAGCAAAGTTACAGAAATTCCAAGAGGCCTTGGGGCATGAACCAGCACCTCTTCTAATCCAAAGCAAATGTGAATGTTTCATTTGTGCCTCGGTTTTAGAATTTAGGTACTTGAAAAAATAGTGAGATTGTTGACTTAGCGATGTAAATACATGACCAGGAGTGGGTGATGTTGGAAGGGCCATTGGTTTTTCTCTCTGTTTTATGGTTCTGTTGTCATGGCGACATTTGTCTTGTGAGGCTCAGCATGGCAGGCTCCGGTTTTTCTACCATTCCCTCTGCTTTGCCCCCACGCTGTTATTCAGGCTGGACTAATCCTCAAAGTCAGTTTCAGACTGGTCAGCAGGGATTTGGATGGGCCACTGAAAGTGGATTTCAAAGGTAAAGTTGCCTGCTTGGAATAATTCTCATCATGCTAAGGATCTATGCGATGTATTTGTCTCAATTCTGAAGCCTTTGCTTCATCTGCCACTCAGTAATAATGATGCAGCTTGGGAGGTGTTCTCAATGTATTCTCTGACCCTGGTACCTGTCCTTCCGCAAAAGCCCAGAGGTATTTCCCATCCTTCAGACTAAATCTCCACGGCTATGAAATTAATTAGACCATAGAACTCATTGTAATGGTTGCCCTCTGAAAAATGAAATAGACGTGTTCTTTATTGCTAGATGTCAAAGATTGCTAGAGAATCTTTGAGAAAAGAAGCTGATGCCACTAGAGGATTTAATGACAACTGAGGGTAAAAATTGTTGGATAAGAAAATAATCACATTAATATCAGAATCACTTGTTATTCCCATGTCCTGTGTTTGAGCCAGGAGAGTTCAGTCTCTAGTGTGAGTCCTGGTGTGGGTGGAACCTGGGGAGTCCATAGGGCCCTTCAGTGGCTAGGCAAGGCTCAGAGAAGGACTTCAGGCACCAGAGGCAAGAGACCTTGTGGCTTAATGTAAATGATCAAGTCCTTTAAAAATCTCCTTTTGTGCCCCCTCCCCACTGCCCCCCTTTCCCGGCCTCCTCCCCACCCCACTGTGTTGTGCTTTATGCCTGAGAATCCTTACAGACAGGCGGACACTGTTCTCCTGCACGGGGACCTTGTGATGGGGCAGGGAGGGGTCTTTTCAGCTGCTGCCCCTCTGGTCTCCAGCAGCCTCCCCAGGACCGAGAGTACTGGTGTCTCCAGCCCTGTCTACCTCCTTCCTCTGCTGCCTTTGACACAAATAGCTCACTCCCCCCAGAGACACCTGCAAGGCACAGTGCCTTTCACTCCGGGCTCTCACCCCTCCCCACTGGTCTCCAGTCCCCTGGAAGTGCATGCTCCTCTGCTGGCCCTGTGGATGCAGGTGTCACCCTGCCAGCTGTCCTGCACCCGCTGCTTTTTTGTCTCACCCTTGCTATCTGGATTTCCTCATCCTACCTGTGGCTCCGGCTGCACCCATCTCCGCTCACCACCAGCCTCTTATCTCAGGCCGGCGTCTGCCTTCCAGCCTCCAGAATTCCCAGGTCTAACGGCCTCCTCAACTGCTTCTCCTGAGAGGCTCACGGGTCCCAGTGCTAAAGCCACTTTTTCCTCCCCAGCCCCCACATCGGTTATGGTCTCATCAGTGCCACCACTGTCCCCTCCCACCTGACACTTGGGCATCCCCTCAGAATCTCCCTCTCTCCTCATGCCATCTCCCCTCCTCATGCCATCTCCCCGTGCCCAGGCTTGCTGTGCCCCGTGACTCCCCGTCCTTGGCACGTCCCTGTCTGTGCACTCCCCTAGCCCTGCTCCGATCACTTCTTGACTGCTGTTCTCACAGCCTCCTGTCGGCCGCCCCCTTTCCTGCTTTGCTGTTCTCCAGTGCCCTGTTCTCTAGTGCCTACCCTGTTCTCCAGTGCCCTGTTCTCCAGTGCCCGCCTAGCTGTGAGCCCCTTATGGACTATTTCTGAAATGCAGCCCTGAAAATGTCCTTCTTCTACTTGGCCATCTTGTGACCTTCAGCATAAATGAAAACTGTTAGCATGGCATATGACCCCTCATAATCCAGACCTACCCCCCTCTGGCATTACCCTCTGACACCTCCTTCCTGTCAACCTGTCAACAAACAGTGTGCCTTCAAGGGTTTCCCCAGAGATGCTTCAGTGCCACATTGCTGGCTCGACACTGCCCACTCTGTACCGATGCATTCTCATTCTCTCTCCCATCACCTCTTTCCCTGCCATCCTCGAGGTATTGACTGACGTGCTGTGTGCTGTATGCCCCCTGAGGTCTTCTGGGTCTCTCCAGGGCTCAGCATGTAGTTGATGCCTGCCAGTGCTCATTGAGCAAACGAATGAGGAGTGCTAACCTGGCTTATTAAAAATATGAATAAGGTGGTAAGTAATAGAAATCCTAAGTGTGAGAAAACAAAATCAGTCAAGTCTTGGTGGCTTTTTTTAAAAAGCCGGACCTATTGAAGGGTCTTAAACTGCCAATTTTCAAACGATTAGACATGGTTAGTCACCCTGGAAGTATCTTCCTTTCATTTTTAACATATGAAGGAAGGAGTGGAAGTAAAGAACCAAGGAAGACTGAAAGTCAGTCTTGTGTGTCACATGCATTAAAAAAGTCTTTTCGTAGATTCATTCATAGAAAACCATATGACCAAATTAACCCAATTCAGAAAACTATTAAGCCACAATCAGAAGCAAATGATCTGGGAAACCTTCCTAATTACATTTAAATGTAATTGTTTCCACCTCATAAATGAAAGTCAAACACAGGGTGTTGGAGTTTTTAAGCAGGCCTCTAATAAATCTTCTGATGATCGTTCAGGCCAGATTTTCATTAAAAACAGTTCTCAGACCTCCTCGTTTAATGTTGTGAATTCTTCTGACTTTTGGGTAGGATCAAGTAGAGTAATGCATTAATCAAAACAGACCCATGAGATGAGTAAGATAAGAATTAGGTGCCCAGTTTGTTGAATTACTGCCTTGCCTTTTTGAGAGAGCTATCCTGATTAACAGGGAACTCACGTATTTATTTTGCACTCTGGGAAGGAATTTAGAGCAAGTTAAATAGCTGCATATGGATCTCATCTCCCATATCCAGTCCATCAGCGAGTTGTTCACACACCTCCCAAACCTTTCTCATTTCTGTGCATTCTGCCGATCTCTTCTCTCACTCACACCCAAGTCCAAGCTCCCATCTTCCCCACTAGACCCCCGACCCGTCTCTACATCCAATATGGCTTCTTATAATGGCAGAGTGGTCTTTTTGGAATATAAAAATGAGCATGTCATTCCTCTGCCAGAAACCTTCAGGGGTCTCCCCTGCCCTTGAGATAAAGACCCCAACCTTACTTTGTCCCACAAGGTCCTGCGTGGCCTGGCTCTCCCTGCTCCTCCTCCAGACTCACTGTGAATCACAGGCCCCACTGGGCTTGTCCAACACAAGCCCCTTCCTGCCTCAGGCCCTCTGCTTTCTCTTCCATCTGTTGGGAGCATACTCCCTCCCAGTCTCAGTTCAGGTGTCCCTTCATCAGGGAAGCCAGCCCTTGACCCAGACCCTATGCATCTTCCATGCCTGCCCTGTGGCATGTACCACAGACGACTTTGCATTTGTCTGAGTATGTTTGTGTTTAGTGCCTGTCTCTCCTGCTCAGCTTCCTCCCGATGATGGCAGCCGCATGCCTGCCCTGTGCTCACTCACTGTCGTGTACTTCCCACAAGCACTTTGCCTGGTGCATGGTGGGTACTTGTAGTTGTTGATGTGGAAATCTAGGTGTTAGCATGATGCCCGGACAAGCCTCTCACCTCTTTGGCCCTCTGCAAAACTGTTGACTCTGACCCAGAAGAAAGCCCATTCCTCCCCAATGCCAAACAGTCAAGTCACTTCCACAGTGGGGCAAAGCAAGTGCAGTTGTCATGGGGTGAAACAGACATGCAGTCAGCCTTCCACGGTGTTTCAACCTTCTTTTTTTTTAATTTCACAGTTAGAAATATCAGACCATGAAGTTTGGTAGCTGTTCCTTCATGTAATGAAGCTGCAGCTGTTGCCATTATTTTGCAATTTGTTTTCTTTCTGATTGGTAAGAATCTGGGGCTGCTGGTTTCTAGGGCCTAATATGAAAGTTTCCACTGAAGAAATGTCAGTGTTTGAACTATGATCCTGTGCCAAGCAGGAAGAATAAGCCGTACCCCCATTCACTGCTGTGCACACATACCTGCCCCCACCGGGAGGAGGGGCCCTTTTAGGGCTGTAACAAGTGAAAATTCTTTATTGCAAGTTCAGCAGAGCAACGTCTAATTTGGTTATGGGTTTGTTTGTTTGTTTGTTTTTTGAGACAGAGTCTCGCTCTGTCACCCAGGCTGGAGTGCAGTGGCAGAATATCGGCTCACTGCAACCTCTGCCTCCTACTTTCAAGCAATTCTCAATGCCTCAGCCTGCTGAGTAGCTGAGACTACAGGTGCAAGCCACCATGCCCAGCTAATTTTTGTATTTTTAGTGGAGACAGGACTTCATCATATTGCCCAGGCTGGTCTCGAACTCCTGGCCTCAAGTGATCTGCCCACCTCAGCCTCCCGAAGTGCTGGGCTTACAGGTGTGAGCCACCGTGCTTGGCCTGATTTGATTGTTTTGAAGAGCTGCCAGAAGTTTCAAGAGGCTGTGCAGTAGTTGGAGGGAGACCATGGGCAGCAGCCATATAGGAAGGTTCTTTAGGATCGGGTCGAGCCAGTCTCCATAGGAATGATTACCCAAAGGGAACAAGGAGGACATCATCTCAGACATTGAAGTGGTTAGTGGCCCTCCCAGAAGCCACAGCACATTCCACAGGTGTACTGTGGATCTCTCTGTTAAGATTTCATGGAGAGAGGTGGGCCACTGGCAGAAAGAATCTAAAAAGGCTCTTTAGGGGGTGATAATGAATTAAAAGGTAGAGAAACACTTGGGGGAAGGCAGTGAGTGAAAAGGCAGAAATGGTCAATGAGGGAGAGGGCAGAGCATGTCCTGGCGGAAGCCAGGAGCCAGACGAAGAGCCCGGAGCTGGAGGTGGCTCCCAGGAGCGCTGAGGCCCCGGCCCCTTCAGGCCAGTCAGGGACACAGAGGGGTGGCACCTGGGGAGACGGGAAGTGGGAAGGCTGGCATGGACTTGCTGCCTCCCTGCTGTCGGTAGTTGCGCTGCTGGAGAGGCTGGGGAGGATGAGGAAGGCCTGGTTGGTGGAGTGATGGGGGTGCAGGGTGCTGACTGCCCCCGAGGCCGTGCCCTGCAGGATTTGTGAGCACCCATCAGTGGGCGTTTGCCCAGCAGTGCTCCGTTTCCAAGAATGGAGTCTGACAAGCAGATAAGCCTTGCTCCACCCAAGTCCAGCATATTCCATATGAGCCAAGCTGTTTCTCAGCAGCTTCCCAGGCAGCGCAAAGCATTTATGGAGGGTCAGGGAGATGTGTGGGAATCGGGTTGTTAACTGGCCAAGGCAGGGAGTCCCCCAGAAGTTCCTCTGATCTCTGTGAGGAAGAGAGCCAAGTTTATGCTGGGGCCAGTAGACTTAAAGAGGAATTTTTCTACTGCAGTGTTCTCCCACGAGCTCTTGCTGAGCGCCTGCTGTGGCTGGGCATTGTGTTCCTTGTGTGGGGTCCTCCAGGAGCCCAGGCACAGGAGGGCGATGGCCCAGAAAGCCCTGGGAGGGCGGGGTGTGCGTTTCGTGGCTGAAGGTGGCAAGAATCCACCCCACAGAGCAGGCTCTGCAGACTGCTCACCAGGGAGCAGGGCCCCTGGGTGCCAGCACCAGCTCCATCTGCAGTTCGCTGTTTCTCCTTGGTCACTTTGCTGGATTTCTGCCTCCGGGATGCTGTCCACCCTCATGACGGGGGCCAGGGCGCTGCCGCAGCACCTATAGGAGATGCGCAGGGCAGAGAGCAGCCCCTGTGTGACGCTGCCCCGATTTCTCCCACTTAGGGTTGACACTGTCACGGTACCACCCGGTGTTCAGTGCTGAGGACATACAGTCCCTCCCCTCCTGTGGTGGCAACAGCTGATGTTAAGAAGGGACAAATTTGGGCGAAAGGAGAACACAGGCTGTAGTTAGAGTGATGGTGAGACAGGAATGAAGGCCCGCAGGGAATCTGTGTGCCTGGAGGCGAGCATTAGAGTCAGATAGCCGCCTCTCCAACCCCCATGGAGCCTCGTGCCCAACCAGCAAGGACTCTGGGGCATCGGCCAGTGGCAGTAAGCCAGTGTGGTGGGCTGGACAATATGCCTGCACTGCAGGAGACGGTGTCACGATCAGCCCCCGACAGCCGGTCTCAAAAGTGGAATTTGAAGAGTGGTCATTGCTTCTCATGAAAGTGTCGCCGTAACTCATGAAAGTGTCACCTGTAACGAATCCTAGAGGGATGCATTTCTGTACCACGGAGGGCTCGAGCCGAGACACCGAGATCTGGGGGCGTGACCCCTAACCTAGTAGCTTAGGGAGCAGAATTACAAACCCCTCATCCTGTGCCCATCCTTGGGCCCTCTCCTCACTCCCCCACAGAGAAACCCAGGGTCAGAATCAACCATGAGACTTGACGGCTGCCCACAGGATGATTTACTGCTGTGACCTCATTTAGCATGGGTTAGTGTGGGCCCATTTTTTCTTTTCTTTCAAAAATTATTTATTTATCTAATTATAAAATATTAACCTCCATAATAAAAATAAAGCCAGTATAATAAAAATATGTAAAATAAATAAATGTCACTTATTCCCAGTATCTCAAGAAAACTCAGGATTAAAATTTTTATTTACATTTTCCAGAATTATTCTCTGTAAGCACAAAACAGATTTTTTTTTTTACAGAAGTGGAATTGTACTCTGCATACTGTTTTCTTTTTTATTTTATTTATTTATTTATTTATTTATTTATTTATTTATTTTGAGATGGAGTCTCGCTCTGTTGCCCAGGCTGGAGTGCAATGGCATGATCTCGGCTCAGTGCAACCTCAGCCCCCTGGGTTCAAGCGATTCTCCTGCCCAAGCCTCCTGAGTAGCTGGGATTACAGGCGTGAGCCACCACTCCCAGCTAATTTTTGTATTTTTAGTAGAGATGGGTTTTACCATGTTGGCCAGGCTGGTCTCGAACTCCTGACCTCGTGATCTGCCCACCTCGGCCTCCCAAATTTTTTTTATTATACTTTAAGTTCTGGGATACATGTGCAGAATGTGCAGGTTTGTTACATAGGTATACACATGCCATCGTGGTTTGCTGCACCCATCAACCCATCATCTACATTAGGTATTTTTCTTAATGCTATCCCTCCCCTAGCCCTCCACCCCATGACAGGCCCCGGTGTGTGATGTTCCCCTCCCTGTGTCCATGAGTTCTCATCGTTTAACTCCCACTTATGAGTGAAGCTGGAAACCATCATTTTCAGCAAACTAACACAGAAACAGAAAACAGTTTTCAAATTAATATATCACACATACCTTTTCATGTCACTGAATATCAGTCTATAACATTCTAATGACTGTGCTGAATTTTACTTTGTAGACGTGCCATATATTTTTAACCATGCCCTGTTGGTAGACGTTTAGGCTATTTTAGTATTTTCTATATAAACATATAATTCTGTATAACCCTGGAATACTCACATATATACATAATATATATAGCATACAAATGTATAATCTGGAATATACATTTTGTGTACTTGACTAATTTTTTTCCATTGCTATAAACTCCAAAAGAGAAATTACTGTGAGAAGGGATATATAATTTTAAAATTGTGATGCCTATTGCCAAATTATAATATCTTCAGAAAAAGATTGAACCAATTAGACTCCCACCCACAGTGAAGGGGAGAACCAGTTCTCTGCACTCAGCAACACTGGCTTATTTTCTCTCTCATCCCTGGGCGCTGCTTTTGGAGGAAGCAGAGTGTTTTCCTCCTTAGCCCTCCCCTCCCCACTTTGTCTGTGGCCGACCCGCTCATTCAGTAGCTCTCTGGAAATTACAACTTTCAGGCAACACCAAAGAAGGCTCTGTGATCAAAGAGAGAGGGCTGGATGAATGCTGGAAGGAGTGTATTACAGGGATTGTGGATGCTTATCTACTTGACCTCCTTCCCCTTCCCTGTGCGAGGGGAAAGGGTGGGAGGAAAGATTCGGCTTGAGTGTAGCCGAGCTGTACCGAAAGCCTTCTCGATACCAATGCCTGGGCTGGGATTTATTAACTTGTCATTGACGTGGATCTGATAAGAAAACTCTTACCGAAGGAACAACAAGGCAGTCTGGGGAGGAATAAATGGGGAAAAGAAGAAAAGCCAACCTGGGTTTATTAACACATAGAACAAAAGGTATGGATGAGCACTGTCCACGCACCTCTGAGAACCAGCCACGAACTGGCAGAGTTTCACTGTAGAAACATCCCCACCCCACCCCCAAGTGGAAGCTGTTTGGCATCCTCCATCCCCAACACGGCCTGTACGGGGCAGGAGCAGATGACCCCTGGGAGAAAATGGGATGCACTGGGAAGATGGCAGCTAGAAAGGGAAATGGAGAAATGAAGGATGTCAGCAAAACCGGAAACGCAGCAAAGGGATTAAAATTCACATTGGGCACAGTGAAGAGTTCAGTTGACTTTGCAGAAATGGAAAGCATAGTGGAAAAATGAGATTCCTTCCTGAATAAAGAGAAAAAGAGAATGTCGAGGGACCGGATGGATGATGAATGTGTTTTACGTTGAAAAGCCATCTCAGTGTGAATGGGAACAAGAGCCAGTGCGTGGAGAAGCCGCATGAGAGACCCAGGTGTGAGTGCTCGGGTCAGAGGGGCTCAGGATCTCCTGGGTGCAGGTGGCAGGACCAAGGAACCCCTGGAGGTGGCCTCTGCCAGGGCATAGAGTTCATCACAACATGGAACCTCCATCCCTCCTGGGTACCACCCTAACACTTACTTTGGAAAACCCTCTCCCCTGGCTTGGTTTACTCTATAATGCAACCAGCAGGCAGAGGAAAAAAGATTTAGAGGGAACCCCACCAAAATAGTGGCATGGCTTTCTTTCAGTAGGAGAGGTGTAGGTGCTATATTTTTCCACCTTTTTTCCCCAAAATTTCTACAATGAGAAAAAAACATTTTATTTTAAAATAGTAGGCCTCTCTCCCTTCCCTCACGCTGGTTACTGTGCTATGTGGCCTTATGGTAAGCTAGGTCTGGGTCAGGGCATAGGAGAAAGGGCTGCCCTGATTGCAGCTGCTTTTTTCATGATCATGGGTGGTGCTAAGGGAGGAAGCTTCAGGGCAGATGAGTGAGGAGAAGGCGTCCAATGCAAATAAATGCCTTCAAAAACCAGATAAATCTGTCTCTTCAGCCTGGATCCTTAAGCTTCTTTCTTGTCTTTAAGTTTCTGTTTGCATTTTTGAAAGAAATACCATGCATCCTTTTTTTATGACTAGAAAATATAATTTTCAGAAACAGAATGCATTAGAATTTGGATTTCTGGAGTCTTGATGGGTGTACCCTGTTCTTTTCTCTGTTAAACATAATTAGTTTCCTGATAAATGAATAGCAGAGGAAAAAATGTTGCTCTTCATTATTGCTAATATATGAAGAATAATTAAAAGTCATAAATAACCATAAAACAATTTGCCTTTAATGATAGCATCTTTAACTGTGTAACATCCTAGCAAAAAAGCCTCATTGGACATTCTCTTGTGCACAGAGCCCATTTGCCGGGAAATATTTCTGAATACATGTTGTCTTCCCTTTATAGTAAGACATTGTCACTCAATAATAATATGCAAGATAACTTCGTGATAGTAATTGTTGTTTTGTCTTTGTAATTACAGACATATCAAGTGGATTTGAAGCCCAATGGGTCAGAAATAATGGTCACAAATGAAAACAAAAGGGAATATATCGAGTATGTATACACATATTTACTGCCTTTTCTTTGAATAATTGAAATGCATGTTTGGTCACTGTCCCTTGCTGAAACAGCTCATGCATTTATTATGGGCATGAGTTTATTGGTCAGTTTTCAACAAGGTAAGTTCTTTTCTGGCTTGGGCTAATGGGAAGTTGAATATGGGATGGAAAGTCTGTCTTGTATCATGACTCCATTGAGCTGCCCTATAAAGGAGCAGAGGAGGGAGAAAAGGTCTATATTATTGAGTAATACGGCAAATACTCTTTTGGAATATGTGGATATCAACTAAGATTTAGAATTGCAACGGAGAACCACGGTGTCAGTGACCAGCAGGGCAAAATTAGGAACCAACAAAGAAAAAATATTTTGTCTCTCTCCCAACTTCTTTTCCATAATAGAAATGTATAGAAATAGTTAAAATGGATAGGAAGAATTCAGCATGTGCAACCCTAAGGAATTCTTTCTGGTATTTGTAATATTCTTAACTCAACTTCAGCCTCAGTGGAACAAAATGTTGAGTCTTTTTGGAAGTCTAGCTGTTAAGTGATTCTAAGACATTTGTACCAGGCAGAAGTTTTTCTCTGTTGGGCACGTTACGTTTTCTTTTTTAGTGTATATGTGTGCTTCAAATGCATAACTCTGGGATCTTCCAAGGAGATCCCCTGGTGCAGGGGTGAGGTGAGCACTGCAGTGTGTGGTTCCTGGCACCTGGTTTCTGCTCTCTTGTGGGTCGCCACAGTGGCCCTGAGTTCCTCGTTTGCATTCAGTGCTTCGTTTCAACAGGCTAGGCTCCCTCCTTTCTTCTCATTTGGAATTGGTCAGAGGTCTTGAAATCAGACAGCTCTTGCATTGACTGTGGGTCTTAGCACCTTTCAGTGTGATCTGCAAAGAAAAACCTACTGTCCTTCCTAATTAGGAAGAAACGGAGCGTGTTAGAGTCTCTACTCAGAGATCCTGGCAAGGAGTGGAACTATTACATGGCGGACTCTTTTCACTCTCAAGTTGAAAGCTTGTTATGCTGAATACATAGACTAGAAATAAGGTACCTCGGTTCTTACCTGGCCACATTAATTGGCACTCTCGTTCTGAATATGAACAATCTTAGCTGATGACATCCTGGCAGACACCATTGTCTTCCTTCAGAAAGTACAGACTGTGAGTGGGGTTTAAAAAATATTCTAGCTCAGGGTGACCCAGGTCTCAAGTCTGAGGACTCTGACATGCGTGGTATGTGTCTTGCATCATTCTTTGCAGTTAATTCTTTTAGGGTTCAAACGTGGTGGGAGTCAGGGCCAGGCAGGGTTCCAGCTAGCTTTACTTTTAAAAGTATAATTGAAATCACCAACTGCTCCCTGATACCTCTGCTCCCCTGGTGCCAGAAGAATGCTGTTGAGCTGTTCATTGTAGCCCAGGAGGTGCCACCTGAGAGGCCGCACAGTGGTTGTGCTGCAGGCTGGTCCTCAGGGCCATTACCATGGTTACAGTGTACCACCCCGAAGGTGAGAACCCTTCAGAATGATGGAATGCCTGAGATGACATCCAGAGTACATTTGCCTTGCGATCAGTTTTGCTGTGCATTAAACACTGTCGCAGGGAACTTGGTTTTGGTGAACTTCAGTTGCATAAGGAGGTCTTACCATTCATCCTCTAAATTTTGGCATTAAATTATGAGTGCAAATCATTTTGCTGATAAAGCTTATATGTTATTGTTGAATATTAGCACATTGGATACTAGAATGAAATATTAGATAACTAAATGCATTGTCCTGAGTACACTTTACAAATATGTATACATATATGTGGGTGTGTATACGGGTGTGTGCATCTTATACATGTATACCTGTGTGTTCATACCCCATGAACTTTTCCCTTTTCTCCATGTTGTCACATTTTAAAGCAGTTAAAGCATTTAAAGCATTTTAAAGCAGTTAAGCATTTAAAGCAGTTTAGGTCAGCCAAACCTTGATGTGGGGGAAGTTAATTACTCTTTTGAAATCTCCAGTGAGATTTTAGGTTTTTCACGGGTGTTCCAGGGAGTCTTGAAAGAAGCCATGAATAAACTAAACAGTGGGGGCACAGAGGAGACCCTCCCCTCTGCTCTGCTGTCGTGGATGGAGGAGAAGCACTCCCTGTTGCGGAGAAAGCAGTGAGCACTAGTGATGATGGAGGTGGTTCAATATTGTCCTCTTTTCTCCTGCAGCTTAGTCATCCAGTGGAGATTTGTGAACAGGGTCCAGAAGCAGATGAACGCCTTCTTGGAGGTAAGCCATGCTGGCCAGGGTTCTCTGCCATGTGCCTCTGGTCCCGGGTCGATGGGGGATCGCGCTTCTCCTTTAGCTAGTGTGGTGGAGCTGATCAGAGACAGAGGCGAGGCTGGGGACCCTGCAGGAAGACCGGGATCGCACAGCTCACACCGCTGGCCAGTCTCCAGCACAAGAGTGTTCAGCCACCGTGCCGCCACCTCCTTTTCCTTTTCACGGGTTCTCCTGCTTGACTTCTCTTATTTTTACATTTGTCCTGTTTTTAAAGAGGACGTTTTACAGACTTGATCTAGAACCATTGTCTTGGAGTTTCAGGCGGTACCCAAGAGAAGGCTGCCTTTTGCTGCAGTGACAGGTTCCAAGAAGCCCGAGGGCTCAGAGCTGAATGATGAAGCGCAGTCCCCAAAGTGCCTGGCCACCCCTCCCTCCCTGGATCACTGCTGCCTGGGCTTGATTGATTGATTGATTGATTGATTGATTGATTTTGAGAGAGATTCTCACTGTCACCCAGGCTGGAGTACAGTGGTGCGATCTCGGCTCACTGCAGCCTCTGCCTCCCGGGTTCAAGCAATTCTCCTGCCTCAGCCTCCCAAGTAGCTGGGACTACAGGCACGCGCCACCACACCCAGCTAATTTTTGTATTTTTAGTAGAGACGGGGTTTCACCATGTTGGCCAGGATGGTCTTGATCTCCTGACCTCATGATCCACCCGCCCCGGCCTCCCAAAGTGCTGGGATTACAGGCATGAGCCGCCGCGCCCAGCCATGGACATTTTTTTTTAATCCCCTGCCCTTTTTCTTTGTGGCATAATTCATTGCAGGTTCTCTTCTATACAGATACATGGAAAACACATTTTCTTAAGCTGAGTTTTTATTTATTTTATACCCAGCCACCTCATGACAGCTTTTACCCTGTTACAGAGCAAAGTGGGCACTGCCCAGATCGAACTTTTAATATCAGGGATGCTCCCAGGCCCCTAGCAGTGGGTGAGGGATTCATCATTTTAAACAGTATTCCACTTGGACCAAAAGCAAAATTCTTTCTTAAATATGATATAGTATTAGTTACCTCAAAGATCACACAGGAAACAGCCTCGTGTCCACGTGACTGATTTTCTCTGCACTGAGGCAGAGCTCTCGTGGGGTGATGCTTTCCCTTCACTCAGGTACCTACACAGGATGCGTGAAAGCCCGGGCAGCACACTCAGAAACAGCTCGGGGCCTTAGGGACTTAAAATGGGAGGACAGAATGGCAGGTTTCACTCTTTATTTAGATAAGAAATCCCAGGAAGCAGATTCCTGGGCCCCACCGCAGGCGGTCCACACCTTCAGAAACGCGGCGTTCGCAGCGCGCAGGGCCCAGCAGAGCTGAGCTCATCCTAGATCACGCCACAGTTAGTGGTACCTGGGAACTGGAGCATGGTTTTCTGTACGCACAGTGTCTGCACCCATCACCTGCCTCCCTCTGTGTTTCTTCTCCCTGCCTCCAGCACGTTATTTTTAAGCGTGTCTCTTACACATCTGTAGCCTGTGCATCTTAGGACGCACTGACTCACAGCAGTGTTATAAATGGCTTTTGGAATCCACCCTGCCTACAGTATCCCATATTTTCATCAGGTTTCAGAAATTACTCCACTACTTGAATCTTCTAGATTCTATGCTTTTTCGAAACTGTTATATTGTGACTGTGCTGTTTTTACTGGAACTATAGTTACTTGATACTGTCACTGACATAGGAATCATCAGGAGAGATTATATTTTTTTCTGGCTAACCAGAAAAGTTTGTTTTTCCTGTGAAATTTTTTTTTTTTGAAGGCAATAGGTGTTTAAGATGTTTTTTTTTTTTCTTTCAGGGATTCACAGAACTACTTCCTATTGATTTGATTAAAATTTTTGATGAAAATGAGCTGGAGGTTTGTATTATAAACATTATTTTATGTAAAGTGGATTTTTTAAAGTATCTCTCATTACTTTACAAGTAATATTTTAATATTCTTGGATCCATAATGTCCTAGAGAGTAACTTTAGATGAATTATATTACATGTCTCTTATAGGGCTTATTTGCCAATGTGGTTCTATTACATGTCTCTTATGGGGCTTGTTTGCCAATGTAGGAGTAAGGAACAGCAAAAATAATCAGCTGTAGTTGCCTTGTCCATCAGAGGGCAGTTCTGGAACATGCCTAGTAAGTAGAGGCCACTGAGCAGAGCTGGGATCATGGCCCTATGCACCAGGCGAGGCAAATTGCCACAACAAGTAGAAACAAGGTTTGCAGTAGCCCTCTGGACAGCAGAAACCTGCTTACACTACCAGACTGGCCAAGTATCCTCTGCTGCATCCCCATCCACCCCCACCGTGGCAGCCAAATGGGGGTCTTGGCCACAAGGTGGCCGTAAGCATCTACTTGGGCCTGTAGAACGACGTCTCATTGAACTTGAAGTGGTTTATGTTGAGTGAGGAAAAATGTCAGAAGGCAACAGGGTTGTAGCAAAAGGTAGTTTAGTGATTGTCTAGTTCAGCTTCTTGGTGTTGACATAGTTGAGTAACAGCCATTTTAAAAACAAAGGAATATCTCGCCCTTTGTTGTGTCGAGAGAAACAGGGGAAAGACTGTCTGTTGAGAAGCCGTTGGTGGGACTCGGCCATTTGCCCCGTCCATAGCCAGTGAGTGTTTCCCATACACTGGCCTTCTATACTTTTATCTCAAAACAGAAAGTTCAAGATCGATGATGTCTATAGAAATCATATACCTCAAGCCTTTCCTCTGATAGGTGGGAAACTGAGGCAGAGAGCAGCTGGGTTTACCCAGCAAGGTTTTGGCACGGTCAGGCCTAGGAACTTTATTTCCAGGCTTCTGGCTTAGTTCTGTTTCCATTTCATTCTGGTACCTTTGCATAAATATCTTCCATTTGTCCACAGGAAACCTCCCCTGATGGAGAGTTGCATAATAGGAACGGCAAACCTTAGACTAAATGCTAAGTCGAAGACCCAGTTGTGCCTTAGCGTATGTCTGCCATTCTTAGGCCTCTGGGCAGATGAGGTGATTTGTCATCACTGGAATTGATCAACCTGGAGGAGAGTCATAAGCACTAATTCTTTTGTGGGTAGGGAGATGCTTTTAGATATTCAGAGGAATAACCTCTCAGGAGGAGAAGCAGCCAGGGTAATGCACAGATGCTGCTGGAGCGTGAGAGAATCCACAGGTCCCATGCGTAAGACTAGAGGGGTAGGGAGGACGACTGTGGCATTTTTATATCCGATACGACATGCCGTGGCTTGCGCAAGGTTCGAATTGAGCTGCCCTCGTGACTGCTGCCTCTGTGATCTGCTATGGCAGGTGGAGCCTGGAACAGGTGTCTGCCTTCCTCTGTTGTTATGATTTGCTAGCTTACCTTCGCGGCACAGTGACCACATGCTGGCACTGAGGGTGGTCATTTCTCAGTGTGTGATCTCGCACCTTTCACATCCTGCTTTTACATCTGGTAAATTTTCTTCCTAGTTGCTCATGTGCGGCCTCGGTGATGTGGATGTGAATGACTGGAGACAGCATTCTATTTACAAGAACGGCTACTGCCCAAACCACCCCGTCATTCAGTGGTTCTGGAAGGTAACTCCGGGGCCCAGCCCCAGCCGGTGTCCTCCACCTGAGGCAGGATTGAGGGCTGTGTGGCGCCCTCCATTGTGGTCTGACTTCAGGACTGATGCTGGCTTTGGGGTCTGTTAGAGCTTGGACTGCTGGGGGAGGGAAGAGGCAAACTGAGCCAGCAGCCCCGTGGTGGCTCCTCTGTAACTGTAGCAGACAGCTAGACTTGAATGAAGTTGGTCCCTACAAAAGCACACTGGCCTTCCTTGACCACCTCGTGAAAGTGACTTTTATTTGAGGGACTGGTCCTCCAATGCGTAAATAGAAATGGGGGGCTTCTCAGGGCAGAAACAGGCTTCAGGGATGGCTTTGCAAGATGCCACTTTCTGTTAAGAAGTCGTTTTCTCAATTTTTAAAATATATTCCAACAAATATTTTGATCTGTGTATCTTTCAACCAAAGATAACACAACATTTGATTTATTATCTTAGGGCCACTGTTTGTATCCTGTTCAGCTTAGGAGGGAAGTAAAATAGGAATGGGTTAGTCCAAAGGAGATATAGTAAACAAACTTAAAAAAAAAAAAACAGTTATCCCCCAAAAAGGCTGATTATTTACTTCACCCCAAAAAGGAATCATTTAACTTTTTCAAATTTATTTTTATTTATTTATTTATTTATTTTAAAGATGGGGTCTCACTGTGTTGCCCAGGCTGGATTCAAATTCTTGGGCTTAAGCAATCCTCCTACCTCGGCCCCTCAAAGTGCTGGGATTACAGGCATGAGCCACCATGCCCGGCCTTTTTCACATTTCTAAATGCCTTTTATTACTATTTCAAATGCCAGCAGGAATACAGAGATAAAAAAGCAAAATCTTCAAAGCCTAGTCCAGGTCTCACTTGGCTTGTTTTAGATGTTTGCCTACAGCAGTCCAAGTGGCATTACCAGTAAAGCCACCTGGATTCCCATAATAATGCAGATATGTAAGATACACAGATTATTTTAGAACCCCATCTTTGCCTTTGTTGTTTTGTTTTTGTTTTGTTTTGTTTTGTTTCATTTTATAAAATGATGTCTTCTAGGGAACGTGTCTACAATCTGAAATCCCATCTCATAACCTGGCTTCCCCTTGTGATGACAAATCTTAAATACTGTATATTTATAATTGGCTTAGGGGGAACTGGTAAGCCTCGAACACAGAAACATGAGCTTGGTGCCATCAGAGAGTTTGCTTTTTATATCATTTATTTTGGCCTATTGGCAGAAGAAGAAAGAGACGGACATTGTGATCACTCAGTCTCTTAGATTAGAGAGGCCAGCTAGTATTGTGGCCATAAAAAACCTACTCAGTTTTCAGAGTCAACTGTCTAGGTCTTACATTGCAATATAAATAAGATTAAGTTCTGCCTGCCTGCATGA
Organism: Homo sapiens; assembly: GCF_000001405.40. Taxonomy (NCBI): domain Eukaryota; kingdom Metazoa; phylum Chordata; class Mammalia; order Primates; family Hominidae; genus Homo; species Homo sapiens. Next base: position 58,390,587 of record NC_000018.10, read on the forward strand.
CAGCAGCATGTGCCATGGGTCACGTGGGGGGTATAATGACCTTCTGCCTCTGTTCATAGGCTGTGCTACTCATGGACGCCGAAAAGCGTATCCGGTTACTGCAGTTTGTCACAGGGACATCGCGAGTACCTATGAATGGATTTGCCGAACTTTATGGTGAGCAGGATACCATTGGATTCAGTTGTCCTCCTGGGAATTTCCAGCCAGGCATGAACTCTGGCCCAAGAACCCTGCCGCCAGGCCTCTGCAGAAGGCTAAGTTTCAGGACAGTGTGCCATGCATAGGTTCCATGAAAGTTCAATGAAAGTACTGTTATCTATACTTTATATAGATAACATGGTGCTTCTACTTCGAGGGATTGGGGGGCAGTTTGTGAAGAGGTCCATAAGGCTGCTCTTTTTTTTTTTTCCTAGTTTAGTTTTTTAGTAAATCGTTAAAAACTAGGTTTTGTAGGGTCATTTATATGGTCGTAAACTGAGGTATAAAGTCACCTCCAGTAGGCAGAATTTTTCAGTGTTTACCATAGATTTAAAAATCACTCTGTACTTTGCATACTGAAAGTCACATTTCATTCACCCTCCCACCCACAAAACTAGTTTGAAGTTTAAATTTCCAGGGCCCAGCTGAGAGGCTGTAGCTGCCTGCCTTTCCACGTAACTGTTGTGTTTGTTAATCTTGGTGCAGTTCCATTCTGGAGACTAAGCAGAGTCTTTCTGTGAGGTTGTGCAGACCTCTGGCTTCCCTCAACATTAAATATCAATGTTGCAGCAGAAGAGAGTGTCTTGGGCCTCACCCCTGGGGGCAAACCCTGCCCTGACAGTAGCTGGACTGCAGACCACACCATAGCTTCATTCTTCTGCCCCAAGCAATCTTAACATTTCTTTTTCTTTTCTTGTCTAGGTTCCAATGGTCCTCAGCTGTTTACAATAGAGCAATGGGGCAGTCCTGAGAAACTGCCCAGAGCTCACACATGGTGAGTGACAAAAACACATGCATGTCAATGCAATATCTGAACTGCTTAGCTGGGTATGGTGCTGGGCTCAAGGCTATTGAATGCTCTGTTTCCTGTCTGTAAGTAGCTTAGAGAATTAAAGGACAGTGATGTGGATGAAAATAGAAATTGTACAGTAGTGCTAATAAGACATAATGCACTCAGTATGTTTGGCACATAAAGGGCTCAGGCCTCCCTGCTGTGGGGAATTTCTCCTCTGAGCCCAGTCCTTCCCTCATTATTCTAGGTAGTGGAGCTTTCACTGTTCAGCATACATAGATAAGGCAGCTCTCAACCTGTATAATAAACACGTTGGGTTTTTACTCCAACCTTAAATTGGTTGAGAAGTTAGGACAAAATACCCTGTAGAAACATCCTTTTTCAAAGGCCTTCTATGCCCATGAATAACCTGTAATTCCCTGGAATTGAGCAGTAACATGACTGTGGTCGGAGGAGGGTAAGAGGGCTGACACGTGGCCAGGGATGCCCAAGCGTGGAGCGTGGCTGCCCTCAGAAGGCCCTCTCAGGAGGCACAGTGACGCAGAAGGGTCCCAGTTGTTTTCTGAACAGTTGCATGAAACCCAGCACAAATGCAGACTGGATGGGATCAGTTTCTTGAAGCCGGGTTCAGGGAGCTCTTGCTAACTCAAACTCCCATGTCCCTCGTGTTGGTTTTTCTGCAAAGGCCTTTATTTCTTGCTCCTGAGGAAGCAGCAGAAGTGGGCCTTCTGGAAAACGGTGAGCAGCGTAGCCCTGTGTTTCTCATGCAGCGGGGGCTGCAAAGCCTGCTCTGGCCATAGTGAGCTAACATAAGCAACCAAACACTCCCTGCAGGAAACGCCCTCCCTTACACTAGAAGTGCTGGCCAGGAGAGAATTCTCATGAACATGTGTTTGCGAAAAATTGGCTGTGAAAGGTTTTTCACTTCTGTCGGATTCCCTTGCCTCACCAGAAAGGTGTTTTTTTTTTCTATTCGTACCATTCACGTGACTCTCCAGATGGAAACAATGTGGTCATTGCCTGTCAGAGCCTTGAAAGCAAGCTGACTCCAGCCTAAAATTCATGAATATTCAGAGCAGTCATTGTCCGTGGTTCTCTGGCTTTATTCTAAGGGAAGAATGTTTGAGTAGTTCAGAGCTTTTATCCAAATGGTGTCCAAGTCATATGTGGTTTTCTGGGTTCTACTGGCCTCCATATGAAGGCACCAGCGTTGAGCCAAGCCCCAGGACTGTGGGTGGTGATGCGAAACTCAAGCTCATAATACTAACCAGGATGAAGATTAGGAAAAGCGAAATTATTGGGCACAGTCATCATCTGTGGTCAGGCACTGCTTAATCTTTATGGCAGCCTTATGAGATATGTTATTCCCTTGGGCTGTCAGAAGGCTGGCCCAGGGCTCACCAGAGTCACAGATTCCCAGATCACAGGATTTGAACTCAGAGCTACCAGAATTAGAGCCTGCACCCTTTACCACTACACCAGATACACTGCCTCTGTTGATATACCCACTTTCTTTTTAGACTTTTCCAAGGAAACCAAATTAGTGAACCAATTTCATGTTCATTCAGCCCATGTTTCTCTGTGACTTCAGGGACACATATCTTACTATTGAACTGTCTTTTTTATTTCGGAGCCCACATGATTCTGCCACAAGTAGAACTTCCCAGATAAGACCTCTGAACTCAGTGGTTCTCAACCTCAGCTGCATGTTGGAACCATCTAGAGAGCCTTAAAGAAATCACTGATGCCTGGAATTTGGACTTCATTGGTCTGGTGTGTGACCCAGGCAGTGGGATTTTCAAAGCTCCCCAGATGATTTTTATAGGCTGGCAGGGTTGAAAATTCACAGCTCTTCCCTAGGAAGGGCAAAGATCCACCTACAGGAAGGGAACAACCCAGCTGGCTCTTACCAGAACTTATTTTCCTCTTTATGTGTCACGGAAATAAAGCAACTGTGTAGTTTTCCTAATGATGTTCTCCCCAGACTAACTTGACCCGGATGGAGAGGACTGGCAGTTGCAAGCAACACTGGCTAGCATGAGTGGGACTGTTCTGCTGTTTCTTCTAAATGGCTTTCCTCCCTACCTGACCCTGACTGTATTTTGACATAGGAAACAGAAACTTCACTGGCTGTTTCGTGGCAACAGTTCTGCCATAAAATTTTGCCATACATAGGTTTAATTTCTTCCACGTTTTATGATACACAATTAAAGTTCAGAATAAAAATCTGATTTCCTAGAAGAGCAGAAGCTGAAGGATCTGGTTCTCTGTGATGAGGGTACCTTTCATTAAGCTTTCCAATGGTGATTATTGAGTGTCTGACATTCAAAGGACTTCATTTCATTGTTCTATAAAAGGTCACTACTCAGACATTTAAAATTACTCTTCATTAAGAATCACAGGCCCACCTGCCCTTTTAGGTAGACTCTAAAGCAAACAAAAATCATCTCGTTCAGCCCATGCATCTTCCACGTGAGGACGCTGAAGCCCTGTGAGGACAATGAGCTCCTTAAAGTCACCCAGCTCATTAGTGCAGAGCAAAGCCAGGTCCGTGTGTCCTGACCTCTGAAATGATAGGAACTCACACTCACCAAGCACTCTGTTCATTCCGGGGATGGTGCTCAGCACTTGATGCGATTGACTCATACCATCATCACAGTGGCCCTAAGAGGTGGGTGATGTTATGACCCACTTTTTTACAGATAACACTGGGATGCAAAGCGGTGAAGCATTAAGCAGCATGATTCAGAACCTCAGATCTTGACATCCCGTCTTTGCCTCTCTCTTCATCATGCCAGTGTTTCTCAAACCTGAATAATCTGTGCACCTTTTTTAAAGGGAAAAAATGGTCACAGATTCTCAAGAATGGGCCTGAGACCCCCATAGGGATTGCAGGCCCGGGACTGTGAAACCCCAGCTGAAAAGCCTGAAGCCACTTTCGGTGAAAGGCTCTTTTAAATGCCATCTGTAGATGTGAAGTCCTGTCTTTATTAATATGATAATAGAAAGTTAAAAGCCTGTATTAGTACTTGCTCTTTTAGGATTCCTGGGTTCCTGAGAACCCCAGTTTGAGAAGCACAGTGTTATTCTCTGTCTTTTAGTGTTTAGTGGCTGTTAGAGAATCCAAGTGGAACTCAGTGGGACTTATTCAATATTTAGTGGTTGTTAAACGGCCCTCTACGGTATGTGTTTCTTTTCTGTTGCTGTGACAACGGTTAGCTTTTAGTATATGTGCAAGTGCTGCCAAAGCGAGCACGTGAATGGTTAGCTTTTAAAACCCAAGAAGTTACTTTGCTCATTCTTGGAATCACACATCAATACCTGGAGGGGGCGGTTTTAAACACAGTTTGAGCACTCGCGGCAGAGGCAGCACAAGTGCACTTCAAGAGCTGGGCTTTGGAGCACCCCAGGGCTGTACCTGGCCCCGTGTGACCTTGGGCAAGTTACCTAACCTTGCTGTGTCTCAAGCTCCTCCTCTGTGAAATAGGGGTGAAGCATTAGCTGCCTTACAAAGTGATTGCCAGGGTTCATAACATTGAGACAAGGCTGATGGGGCATGGTGAGCACTCCATGAACATGAGCTCTTACGTCATAATGAGCTGTGGCAAGTGTGCATGCCATTTTCATGACAGATACACATCAGCAATCACCCCCCAACACATACACACACACACAGAGGTGCAGGTTCTGTGGCTAAAGGCTCTGGTCTTGAGCCCCATGTAGACATACAGTAAATGTTGAAAGGTGTTAACACTGATACCATCTCTTGAGTAATTGAGCCCTTGCTGTATGCCGGGCCCACTGATCCGATCCACTTGGCACTCATATGTGCAGTTTCCCCATGTCACAGAAGCACAGAGGCCATCCATTTGTCTGAAAACCCTCACTATTGCCAGGGCGATTTGCAGCCCCCGCCCCCACCTGAAGCCTCCAGATATGTAGGGACTTTTTCTAAATGCAACTTTACATAGCAAATGTCAATTTTGCCTGACTTTGATCAGAGGAGGTAGCTTAGCACTGGTGTTCCCGAGCCCCGGACAGCCTGGGTTCTGTTTGTGGGTCTGCCGTTTGACAAAGACTGTGACCTCAGGAACCTTGCCCTATGTCTCTGCTCCAGGAGCTCCTGTGCAGAATGGAGATAACATGACCTGCTTCATAGGGTTGTGATGAAAATGAAGTGAGTTAATAGGGAGAAAAGCACTTGGCTTGAGGCCTAGTGTGGAATAAGTAATAGTATTAGAGATAGACACAGTCTTAATTCGTGGGTAACTCCAAAAGCATCAGCTCTGTGTTCCAAGGGTTTGGAAATCTTGCCGGTTACTCCCTTCCCACCAGGATTCCTCCGAGATCTGCATCTGACTATAGCAAAGGTTTCATGGACCATTTGAAAATGTTCTTTCTCTGTAAATTACAAGAGCTTATTTAGTGTGGATGTTTCATAGCTAGAGGTTTTTGGGGTTTTTTTCTCCAGGTAATCAAAATTGTTGGTTAAGGCTTTTTTATTCTCTTACTCAAACCTCATGCCCTATTAACCAGATCGAGGAAGTGCTGTTGTGGCTTTTCACCTACACTTTTTGTTCCTTTTGCAGCTTTAATCGCCTTGACTTACCTCCATATGAAACCTTTGAAGATTTACGAGAGAAACTTCTCATGGCCGTGGAAAATGCTCAAGGATTTGAAGGGGTGGATTAAGCACCCTGTGCCTCGGGGGTGGTTGTTCTTCAAGCAAGTTCTGCTTGCACTTTTGCATTTGCCTAACAGACTTTTGCAGAGGCGATGGCAGAGAGCAGCTGCAGGCATGGTCCCTGGAGCCGAGCCTTCACCACGCACTCGTCCAAGTTCGGATGCGGGAACCTGGTCCCAGCTTGAGTTCCTGCCTTTCCCACCACAAATTATCAACTGGTTGATGTGTACACTAATTACATTTCAGGAGGACTTAATGCTATTTATGTTGTGCCTCTGCAGGCAAAGCCCTTAATAAATATTTTACATCCTTTCTAATGACAATGAATGGAATTAATCACTCAACAGGTATAGTATTACGACTCATGTTTACTTTTTAAAATGATTTAGACCGATTTTCAGATTTTATTTCGTTATGATTAAAGATGTCTCATGTACTTGGAAAAGTGAGCATTTTTTTTTTTTTTGTATTTCACTTTCATACCAGGCTTAATGTCAATGACATTTTTATTTTTGAAGTACTCTGACACCTCCACCCTCTACTTTATTAGAATTGGAAGGCAAATTTTTGTCCAAAAACCTACAGACAAGTACTTTGAGAGAATTTCCAATATAATATTAGACATAATGATAATTTTTTCCATACTCAGAATGAAAAACTGGATATTACGTTTTTGTTTTGGGGTTTTTTTGTACAAATTTAGCTAATAGCTACAGGCTGAGAGAATTGTAACATAGCATGACAAATTTTGTGTTGACTTGAAAGGAATCACACCATTATTCCTTAGAAGTAATTACATGTGTTCTAACACATTTGAGACAGGGTTGGACTCCCATTTCTCATCCGAGAAATTACTTAACCCTTCCTGGCGCTGTACAGTCATCTTTTATTCTATTTCCTCTTTGCTGTTTGTAGTAGAGACATTTTGAATGAAACTTGGCACTGCTTGATTCAAAACTGTGGAAACCAGATCTGTTTAGTCTCCTGTTTGTATGCGTTTGCTAATGGTAGCTAAATAACCAGTTTTTGTTGTAAATGCACCAATTCTGAAGGCACTTTATGTACTACATGGAGGTCATATCTGGTTTTGTTTTTATTTTTTTATCATGAACATTAAATGTGATGATGATTTCTTTTCCCTGCACACATCTTTCCGGTGCAATATCTATCAATTGTGAATCTGGCTGCTGGTGTATAAAAACCTGGATGTAAAGCTGAGCCTACAGACCTGTCCTCACCAACTGTTTTGTGATTTCTACTCAACTACAAAGATTTATTTAATGTACTCTTAATCTAACTGAGTTTTGTTACCAATGACCTGTTGCATGCTTCAATACCGTGTACTGCCTGAGTTGTGCCTCTTGTGTGCTAGATTAAAAGTGAGACAGAGACTTGACTTGATCCTCTGAGCTCAAGCTATTGAGCTGGTAGTGGCAGAGGACTGAGGGTACCTGCACAGTTTGATTCTTTTCCACGTGTAAGTCTCCATTGCAGAATTGTCGTGCTTTGAGAAAACACCTGAGGCAGTGTGGGAGTTGAACGACCCTGCTGTCCTTTTTAACCTGTGTTGTCCTAGACCCTGTCGGGGCAGTCAGGGGACACTAGAGATTTGATCTCATGCGAGTCATCAATAGGACAAAAAAGTTGTGGTTTGGGGAGGTCTGTTTGTTACATAAAAAGGACCTTTCGGTGTAAGAAATTGCCGTTTTTACCCTGCCCTGGCTGGCATGTGAGAAGCCATGGAAGGTTGTGGTTGTAAATGAGTTGTCTAAAGGGGTGCAGAGGCCTGAGGTTTCTAAAAGAAGGTAGATTTCTACAGAGCTGAGTGTTGGTTCCTTTTTCTTATTGGTTGAAAATTACCTGGTAGTGATCAGAAAACTTAGATGCTATGTAACTAAAAAAAAAAAAAAAAAAAAAAAAAAAAAAAAAAAAATTCCCGCTCATGAGTTTTGACTATTGGTGAGATGTTTTCCGCTACAGTTAACATGACAAATGTCTCAGTGGCAAAAATCCCCTTTTTGTAAGCCCCCATAGTCTAGAGGCAGTTTTCTTTTTAAGAATCATGCCAGAGCCTGAGTCGAGCAGTATGCTTTCTTGGTTTTTGAGAGTAATTGTGTAATTGTAGAGGGAGAAATCCAATTCTAACCTAAGAACTGGGATTCTTCTGTCATCTTGTAAACCGTATATTGAAAAAAACAGAATGTCACTAAATGCATATTAAGTCAAGTATTGGAAAGTATAAAAGAAAAATCATTCTGACAATTTCTAAGCCAGAAGCAAACAAGAATTACTGAAATCTACCCCATGAATACTTGGAAGGCAGTAATTGTGAGTGACACCTCAGTTCATCAACCCCTTAATAATATCAGCTTAATTTTAATGACAACTAAATATGCTGAAGTGAGGATTTAGTATTTTTTAAAAAAGCAAAACAAGGTTCAGTAGTCCTCAGCAATTCTCCAAGTTTCTCTCTTTGCCTAAAATGGTCATAGATCTTGATTTCTCTGAATCGTGATGACCACACCCAGTCATCTTCACAGCATAATTGCAGGTGGCAGTAAAGAGAGTGTGCTGGGTAAGGAGCAGTTGCTGGGTCATTCCTTGGGCCCCGACCTGCCCGGGGAGTAGCCCTGGGGGAGAGAGGGCAGTGTTGCCTATCCCAGAGGTCCCAGCAGTCACACTGCTCTGCAGGCCGGGCTCTCTTTATAGCCAGAGAAATCACCTTAATGCAGTCTCTTTAGTTGTCTGCTGAAGCTGTAGTTATTATGGGCCACTTACATGAGGCTGAGAAGTACGTGCCGGAGCTCACACACTGCCTGTTGCGGTTCTCTTAACATCAGTTATCACAGCTGCCTGTGGGTCCCGGGTATTTCCATTCCTGCCCCTTGTTGGCCCGAGGAAGGATGTGGAAAGAGCACCTGGTGGGATGAAGGTCCAACAGCCTGTGCCTCTCCACTGCTGGCCCTGGAGCCGGCAGCAGTGAGGCATTCATTGTCTGTGTTGCGGTGTATTCCCAGCTTCAGTGCTCTTTTCCTTTTTGCCTGAAATGTTTATGCTTCTCTGCAGCCAGTCCTCTAACAAATCTCAAGAACAAAGGTAAGACACTTGGTTTTTGTTTCCAGGACCCTTCAGAAGGTGACATCAGATATTCCCTAAATTCAGACAATGAGGGATACAGAGCGACTTGGCATGTATTATTTCTCCCATGTAAGGACAAAGGGACAGATTATTATTGTTATTTCTGAGACAGAGTCTTGCTCTGTAGCTCAGGCTGGAGTGCAGTGGCTCAATCTCAGCTCACCACAACCTCTGCCTCCTGGCTTCAAGCGATTCTTCTGCCTCAGCCTCCCCGAATAGTTGGGATTACAGGCACCCACCACCACGCCTGGCTAATTTTTGTATTTTTAGTAGAGATGGTTTCACCATGCTGGCCAGGCTGGTCTTGAACTCCTGACCTCAGGTGATCCTCCCGCCTCAGCCTTCCAAAGTGCTGGGATTACAAGCATGAGCCACCGCACCCGGCCTCACAGTGACAGATTCTGAGAAACAGCATGCAAAACATTTGAACCATTTTCTACATCTCCCATTGTTGCATAGAGAGTGTGCACCGCTGCTATCTTGCCAGATCCACACTGGTCCTCCCGAAAGCCAGGTTCATACACAGCAACTTTTTAATTATTCTAACAGTTACCCATTAACAGTCGACTCCTGTATTTCTGAGAGTCTTGTACTCACCTCTGAAATTTAAAAACGTATAAAGAGAGCCTGGGTTAATCAGTTCTGCAGCCCCTACGTGACACTGTGCTAGTTCTCCTTCTTCTGTCTCCTCCTTACCCTGGCCCTGCACCCCTGTACTTAAGAGGGAGAGGTGGGAGGTGCTGTCTGGTATCATTTGCTGCCTCGCCAGTAGAGGGTGCCGCTGTGCAGGGTAACTGCCCGCCTGCTCCCTTCCTGACCTCCCCTGACCCCGAAGATCACTACCTCTGTCATTCAGGCATTGGGGTACATCCTGATAAGTCGTGTCAGAACTGCCAATTTCAGGACTGAGATGTGTTTTTAAAAAACAAATCCTTATAAACTCCACTTTGTACTTTAGATTTTAAAACTGGGGAAAAATGTGATATTCTTTGGACCACTTTTTTAATTTATATAAGCCTTAATGAACAGTGTCTATACATTTGCATACACACACCCCCACCCCAGAGTGTTCTCAGTATGTCAGAGAAAGTGCCACAGCATTAGGACGGGAGCTTGGAGAACGTTTTCTAGAAAAGGGTTAGCTTCCTGTTGGCATGAAATTTTCCAAGCAAACCTCATTAAACATCTGTTGTTTGTTAAAGATGTTCCACTGAAAGCAACGCATGTTTCAAAGGCACGTCTTTCCGTTCGTTGGTTTTCTGTGTGTAAGGAGTAGCATTGCTGTTGGCGCCTAACCTCGCGTGCACTGCATTCTCAACCCCGTACCAGTGCATCATCAGAAGCCTTCCTCGTGACCATAACTCTGTGTCTGCAGATATGTGTTCCCGTGTAAGCCAGTTTTCCCCTTTTACTCAGACTGATTTCACCTAGATTGTCACGGTTTCCTTCATGTTAACTTTGCGTGACTTTGTTCTTCCTTTACTACTCTGTATGTAATATATATACATATATACGTACATATGCTGTCCAAATATATTTGTATATATTTGTATAGCATTTTTACACCTTTATTGAGTAATCTGGTTTCGAAAGGAGGTGAGAGTTTAGTCCCTTCTGCAGTTTTCTCCAAGCTGTGTCCTGTGAATTTCAACCCTTGGAGCCTAAGAAAACCCTAGGAAGATGATGTTAATTTGCTGTCATTTCCTAATTCAGGATCTATCATCAAATGAAACATGAAAAAAACAGTGACTTTTAAGGTGAAAAGAGTTTCAAGCATTCCAAATAAATTATCAATGTTTCATAACTTTTTATTATAAACCCACCTCCTAATAGGAAGCCAAGTACTATTTGATACAGTGGTAAAAACCAAACTACCTTGAATTTTTTTAAGGCAACTTATGAATAATGCTCATTTTCACAGTCAGAATAGCTTTAAAATATGGTTGAATTTGATACACACAGGAAGTTTTCTTGAAGAACAATCCTTTCGCTTTTCTTTTTTCTTGAGAGATCTAAAGAGAAACTGTAGATTGTTTTCCTGACAGCAAAAGACTAATGTGACAAAATGAAGTCATTGTAAAGAAGCGATGCAACTTGTCAAATATTTAATAAAGAATTATGGAAGCTGGAACATTTTCTACATCAAGTGTTATGGGTTGTTTGATTTAAAGCTTCTTTGTGAATGCACCATCTTAATTGTTGTCAGAGGGGTTTAAATGCCTGCAGATTTATAGTATGTTCATTTCCTTCATCTCCCTAAAAGCGCCGCACTTTTAAAAACATTAAAGTCTGGCAGGGCACAGTGGCTCACGCCTGTAATCCCAGCACTTTGGGAGGCTGAGGTGGGCAGATCACTGAGGTTAGGCATTCAAGACCAGCCTGACCAACATGGTGAAACCCCATCTCTACTAAAAATACAAAAAATATATATATATATTAGCCAGACGTGGTGGCGCATGCCTGTAATGCCAGCTACTCAGGAGGCTGAGGCAGGAGAATCGCTTGAACCCGGGAGGCAGAGGTTTCAGTGAGCTGAGATTGTGCCATTGCATGCACTCCAGCCTGGGTGACAGAGCGAGATTCCGTTTCAAAAAAAAAAAAAAAGTCTGCCCAAAACACATGGCTTAAGCCTACTAAAAGGATGCACATTTATTCTTATCCGTCTGCTGTTTTGTTCTTTTATTAAACTTGAGAATTACTGATTTTACGTAACATTTGTATAATCCATGTTAGTCTGTTCCTCAAAAGGCATCCTTGTATACCTAGCCCTCAACTTGTGTGAGAGTTAATAAGACTCAATAATGAATCCCCAAGTTGCTTCTCAGAAAGGTGCTGTCAGAATCCCGACCGTGTGTCACTGCCCTGTGCAAAGCCGGTGGCATTTTTCCTCATGCCATTTCATTCCGCTCAGATCATCTCAGACTCCTGGAGAATTTTCCCTTTTTCTTTAGTACTGAGCTTCCTCTTGATGTGCTTAACCCATCCCCTCGGGGCAGAGGAGATAGCTAGCGGGGAAGCAGGACATCATTTAGTCTTTGGTTTCTTGCGGCTTGTCTTTTTCCATTAACAGTAGATGGCATCTTGCCAGAAAGCTGTCCGCAGCACTTGGAATTCCTGCCGCCTCCTCCAGGGTTATGAGTACACATGAGAGGCACAATTGGACAGAGTCACTGTGAATATTTATATGTTCTTTCTTAAAACCACACATGGTGGAACGAATTACATCAATGACACAGTTGCTAGATTAATACGCTTTTAACCTGCTCTGAAGTCCAAGACTCATTAGGCACTTGTGAGATGGTGAAGCCCCTGGTAAAAGTGTTTGCGGTGAGCATGGGTATCCTGAATTCTGACACTAGCTTTCTCGGGGTTGGCTCTCAGAGCCATGTTCAAAGGGGTTCCTGAGGTAAGAACGCAGAAGCCTCTTTCTGGGAGAGAACACTTCTCAAAACAGCTTCCAGAGAGCTCAGGCTGTAGAATCTCTGAGGAATCATTTATAGGACTTGAACTGGGCTGGAAAAAATTTGAGCATGAGTTTACTTAAGACCCAAGACACAGTCCTTGGTAAGTAGGCCGCAGTGCCCAGATGTGACCCAGTGGGGACTCAAGAGGGCAAGAAGGGAGAGTCCCTGTTGGGAACCTTTTAGGGCTGACCTTAGGCCAGACTGGGAAAAAGGTCAGTCTCCCCAATTAGCCTGTTGCTGTGTTCCTTCCTGCCCAGCCCACTTCACAGTGCCCCGTGCTGCTCATGTGCCTCCTCCCCTTTCCTCTGCAAAGTTCCCAGCTGGGCTGCAAGTCTCGGGTACCTGCAGTGTTGACAGCGCAGAGCCCTCCCGTCACCTCCAGGCAGAGTGGCCCTCACTTCACAGGGGCCTCCTGGGGACAAGGCGTCCTGAGCCCTCCGTGCTTCCGGGTGAAGGTCAGAGACTGTCCCTGTGTCACGTTCTCCCAGGCCCACTCAAAGCACAAAGTTCCACAAGGGGTTGTGGCTCTTCCAGGTCCTCTGCTGGTCTTACTGCCTTGGTGTTTGAAATGACGACTGCAACAACTTCATCCTTTTCTTGGCCAGGTGCCCCCAGAAACTACCTTTTCAGATATGCCCTTTTACCAGGGCTCCAGGCCCCCTCCCTCACAGCTCTGCAGCCTTGCTGCACAGTTCCCCATCGGAATTGTGAGGGGAGACCGTGTTTCCTCCACATGCTTTTGCCCACTCCCCACATCAGTTCTTGGAGTAAGCCTTTTTTCCTCTCCAAGGAAAGGGCTTACTTGCAGACGAATTAGTTTGGAAGTACAGTACTAGAGCAAGCACAACCCCAAACTGAGCAGACTGAAACTGAATAGGGCCCAGAGGATGGGTGAGAGCCACATTCCTGTGATTAAAGGCAGATTTGGGTGGTGTCTAAGCAATACCCTTCCTAGGGAGTTTTAAATACTGTTGCTAGAATCAGGGAGTCGAGTTCTCAATCCTGTTTGGCCTTATCCAGACTGAGTACCAAGGCTAAAGGCAGAAGGTTCTGCGCTGCAGAGTGCCCAGGTGTCAGCGGCTCGAATCACGTGATCGCAGAATATGTGGCCCTGCAGGGCCGGCCTTGCTTTGTCTAAACGCTCTCCTTTTTCATGTGAGTCCCGGGGTTCTTGCCCTTGATCAATCCAGATATGACCAGTACTGTGGGCCTGGAGGGCCAGGTTTTGTTGTCATTTGTGGCCTTGGACTCTGCTGGGGCAGCCTTGCCTCCCCTGTACAGACCCAGAACAGCTGCCCCTGTGGGCGCTTCTCCCAGCTAGAAACCTGAGGGCTGATGGGCGAAGGTGGTTGGCTTCCGACTGCCCCCGTGGGCCGCGGAAGCGGGCAGGACCTCATTCACCCCACCACCTCCACCGAGGGGCTTGTCTGCAGCAGAGGGGCTACTCAACATTGAGCTCAGGAAGGGAGGCCAGGAGGCTGCATGAACGGCCCAGCCTGGGCAGTTGGGGGCAGCGGGGAATGGACAGACCACCTTGGCCTGGAGGTAACCCCAGCAGAGACACGGCCAGCAGAGTTCCATCCTTCCGCTTCCCAGTTCGGGCAGAAAACCCAGGTTTTCCCAGGAAATCTGCAAGCACATTAAGCTGGTCTCTCCTTTAAAAAGGTGCAAGGATGGAGACAGTCCTACCTGTCCTGAGCAGGATGGGCCCTGTGCCAAGGGGCCAGGCAGTAGCAGGCTGGCACTCTAGGTAGGGAAGGGGCCAAGGATCCCCAAGAGGAGTTGACAGCAAGATAATTTAAAGAGCGTAAGTAGGCCAGGCGCAGTGGCTCACACCTGTAATGCCAGCACTTTGGGAGGCCGAGGTGGGTGGATCACCTGAGAGGTCAGGAGTTCGAGACCAGCCTGGCCAACATGGTGAAACCCCGTCTCTACTAAAAATACAAAAATTAGCCAGGCGTGGTGGCATGCGCCTGTAATCTCAGCCACTCGGGAGGCCGAGGCAGGAGAATCGCTTAAACCCGGGAGGCCGAGGTTGCAGTGAGCCAAGATCGCATCACTGCACTCCAGCCTGGGTGACAGAACAAGAGACTATCTCAAAAAGAAAAATAATAAAGAGCGTAATCTACCTCCTGTAACACATCATCCCGGCATGGGAGTATATCTTGGCAAACATCCGCAAGAAATTTTGTCTTTCAGGACAGGGACAAGAGCCCACCATGCCCTCTGGGTTATGCCTTGTCTTCCTCAAAATTGAGGAGAAGCCCTTGAGCTGGAGCAAGATCCAAAAAGCTGGAGCAAAAAAAGCAGTAGGTGGGAATTAGGGCCCTCGTACCCCGGGGCCTGCTATACTCTCCAGTCCTCAATCTTCGAACAGTGAACCCCGAGATGTGGAGCTGGGGGAGCTGGCCCTGAAGGCCGAGACAAGCCTGCAGTCCACAGGCACGGGCCCGGGACTGCCCACACCTGTTAGATGGGCACAAACGGGGCCTTCGCTGCCCGGCACCAATCTCCTCTTGCACTGGGGCCCTGTTTCCATGCAGTGCCAGGGGCCTCAATCATTAGCTCTTTCAGTGTAATTTGCCTCTTTTGGTTTAAAATAGTCTTTGGGGGATAAATATTCAATTTCTAGATTAAACTCCTTGTTGAGGCTCTTTCCTCCGGAGGTCCCTGGTGGATCCTCATGGGACAGGCTGAGGCGGGCTCTCTCCTCGGGCCTAGGGTGTCATGCTCTTTGTCCCCTGAATGGGGTCGCAAGTACTCCAGGGCCATCCTCCAGGGACATCTTGCTGGCCTCTGTGATGCTCACCTGAGCCCCAGCTGGTCGGTCAGCCCTGAGGCTCTCAGCCATGGGGTCACCCTGCCCTCACCACAGCCTCCCTTTGTGGCACTCCAGCAGGGCCCTCAGCCCTTCCTGCCTCTCTGAGCTGCTCACCTGCACCTGAGTGAGCAGCCTCCAAGCCACCTGCCAGAGCCTCCCACGGGGCTGGGAAATACCTAGTGGCACTCAAAAGAAAAGGGAAGGAAATGGGAACAATAAGCCAAGCTGCCGTGGAGAGTTTATCTTCAGCCTTAAGCATCTTTTTACAGAGTGAATTTCCCCTGGGGACAGTGGTCTTCCTGCCATCTGCCAAGCTTCTGGGGTCTTCAGTTTACCCTCTTATAATATTTCCACACCAGCCTAAAGAGGTAGATATTATTAGCACCAATGTACATACAAGGAAACAGACTAGGAGGTTAGGAGACTCGCAGAGTGGTACTCTGAACCCAGGTTGTCTGGCTCAAAGGCATCATTTAACCACCAACTCTACTGCCCATTCACTGCCCCTCCATCAAAACCTCCTGTCTGAGAAACCAGAGTGTCAAGACAGAAGAAATCATCAATAACACTGAAGGCAGCACACTAAAGGGGAGAAAGAAGACTGGGAAGTGGTCGTTAGATGTGACCACCTGGAGATCTGCCATCCTACTGCCCACACATCCTGAAGAACAATAAACTCATTCGTACTAAGATGTGAATGACTGATAGGCTAAACACATGACCCTTCCAGAAGAATTTTTATTTTAACAAATACCAAAGGTGATGCTTGGTTTATATCAAAAGGAATAAAGATCAAAATTATGGCATTTATGTCCCAGCAAATTGGGGAGGGTTTTTTTTTGTTTTTTTGTTTGTTTTTTGTTTTATTTTTGTTTTTTGTTTTTTGTTTTTTTGAGACAGGGTCTGGCTCTGTCGCCCAGGCTGGAGGTCAGTGGCGCGATCTCGGCTCACTGCAAGCTCCACCTCCCGGGTTCACGCCATTCTCCTGCCTCAGCCTCCCGAGTAGCTGGGACCACAGGCGCCCGCCACTATGCCCAGCTAATTTTCTGCATTTTTAGTAGAGAGGGGGTTTCACCGTGTTAGCCAGGATGGTCTTGATCTCCTGACCTCAAGATCCACCCGCCTCGGCCTCCCAAAGTGTTGGGATTACAGGCGTGAGCCACCGCGCCCAGCTGGGGAGGTTTTTGAGGGTAGGGGGCATACTTAAGTTTACAAAATCCACTGACGCCAGTGGAATACGGGATGCCAGCACAGTGGGAAAAGACAGCCTGATCTCTGGGACAGCCCCAGTTTCAGCACTTAAAAGACACTGCACTGCCTTTCTGGCTGCCACAGGACAGAACCCCCCGCCTCCCTCCAGCCTTTCCCACACCACAAAACAAGCATCTAATATTTTCCAGGGACCTTCCAGGGACAACACAAACTTCCCTTTGTCCAACAGAATTGAAGGGTGAAGGGACCAGAGACTGAGGACTGGATTTTCTACTCCCAGGAACTCCTTGATGGAGCTCTGAGATGCTGAATTTTTTAAAGAGTTTCTGTTATTAAAGGATTTTAGATATTAAGTTGTAACATACAGTCATGCACCACATAGACATCTCAGTCAGCAATGGACTCCCATAGACGATGGTGGACCCGTGAGATGATAATGGAGCTGAAAAATTCCTGTTGCCTACTCATGTTGCCTAGTGACATCATAGCCTTTGCAACCCATCACCCTTTCTATGTTTAGCTACGCTTAGATGCACAAACCCTTATCATTGTGTTACAATTGCCTGAACAGAACAGTCACATGCTGTACAGGCTTGTAGCCTCGGAGCAATAGGCTGGACCATATAGCCTAGGTGTGTAGCAGGCTATGCCATCCAGGTTTGTGTGAGTACACTCTGATGTTTGCACAACGATGAAATCGCATAACAACGCATTTCTCAGAATGTGTCCCAGTTGTTAAGCAACACATGAACATGACTGTATTTAATATTGTTTATAGCAGAAAGTTAGAGTTTGGGATTTGTCTTTTGAATTCTAGTTATGTAGCTCTCTTAGCAATTCTAAGACTCTGCCACTAGGGTCATCACCCTCCCTCACAACCCCTCTCACCATGACCTCAACCCCCATCCTGGCCCCCTCTTGCCTTCTCTGCATTCTATATTTACTTAGAAGATCCTTGCTTGTTCATGAGTTGAGATTGTCAGGGGGACATGCCCTCCGCAATGTAATGAGTGTTTAAACAACAGTCAGGCCTTTGAACCCCAGGCTCCAGTTAAAAAGTAACAGGCTAGATACTGAATCAATAGGAGGCAAATATTAGCTACGGAGGCTGAGAGAGACCGAGTTGGGAAACACTTGTTGCTGGTGACATGCAAAGAGCAATGGCCATACCCACCTGAGGTCCAGGAAGCCCTGGGAGCCCCATGACCTTCGGCCTGTCATTGTCCTGCTCTACATGTTGTAACATTGAAGCCACCAGCCCTTAATTAGCTTCTAGACCTCCCTCAGTCTGGACTTCTGCAATATCCCACTAAATGGTGTCCACCTGATTTTTCCCCTTCCCAGCCATCTTACACTCATGTGAGCCTGCTTCCAGCAAACTCTGATCTTGTCAATCTTCTGCTGGAAAATTTTCCATGACTCCCCATTGCATTCCTGACTGGTGCGCAAGGGCATCTACCTGCTCTTTGGGACGTGGGCAGGGGGATGGCAGATCTCCAGGTGGTCACATCTAACCACCAATTCCCAGTCTTCTTTCTCCCCCGTAGTGTGCTGCCTTCAGTGTTATCGATGATTTCTTCTGTCTTGATACTGTGTCTTTGGTTTCCATGACATTTCAATCTTCTGGTTACTCTCTCACTCTTCAAATACTCCTACTATTTTTTCTCCTCTCCTAAAGGTAGGTGTTCCCCAATAATTTGTTCTTGGTGAGCTCTCTCTCTCTCTCTCTCTCTGTGTCTCTTTCTCCTTTTCCTCCTCCTCTTCCTCTCATGGCTTAAGTTAGTACCTCCATGTGGACAATTCCCAAGTGTATCTCTAGCCCCAGCTTCTCTCAGGGCCCTCGTCTCCAAAAGCCTAATGGACTCATCGTAGGACATTCCTCAAGTCACCCAAACTCTAAATGTCCCAATCTGAACTCACACTTTTAAACCTCTCCTCCTCCGTATTTCCAAATCTCTGGGAGTTGTTCTCTTGTATCTTCCAGGCATCCACACTGGAACTTCCTCAGTGACCTTTCACATGGTTTTGCTCCCTAGGTTGAAAGAGTGACAAAGTTCAGTTTTCTATTCATGCATTCACTCATTCATTCAACAAATATGCATTGAGTGCCTGCCATGTACCAAGCACTCGTAGGGGTTAGGAATACAGCAATTAAAACAAAACAAAAGAAAGATCACTTCCATCATGAGATATTTATATGTTTCTCATTTAGTTGCCTCCACTAGAAATATGTTTCTCATTTAGTTGTCTCCACTAGAATATGTAAGTACAATATATGGTGTGTTAAATGTTGATGAAGCCAGGGGAAAAAATAAAGCAGACGAAGGATCCAGGTAGTATGGGAGGGTGCAATTTTGGATGGGGTGAGTCAGGGTAAAGAGCACCAGGAGGTGAGTGAGCAAGCCATGAGGCTTTGGGCAGAGAAACAGCAAATCCAGAGGTCTTAAGGAGGAACAGGAAACAAGATAGAGCCCCTTTGGGACTATACCAAGGTGAGCCATCTGTTAGCCAAGTGAAGGGTCAAGTAGAAAGTGGAAGGATCATGGATGTCAAGGAGGTCCAGGCTGGAGCTAAAGCATCATCAGCGTGTATATGGTCTTTAAAGCTGTGGCACTGAAAAGGAGGGGTCCAAGGACAGGAGCATGAGATGGATCCAGGAAAGGAGGAGTGGCCAGAGAGGTGACAGGAAAACCAAGAGACAGTGGTGACCCTGGAGAAATTTGGCTGGGAGGAGAGAGTTTATTTATGAAGGACAGACCAAGCGTGGTATGGCCTGCTGGTAGGTCAGCAAGATGAGGACTGAGAAGCGACAACTGGAATTATCAATGTGGATGTCATTGGTGGCCTTAATAGGAGAGATTTTGCTGGAATTTGGGGGCAAATGCCCCCAAAAGAAGGGGAAGAGGAACTGGAGACAGGGACACCCATCACAGCTCAGGCATCTGGATTCTTACCTTCATTTCCACCCCCTCTCCACCTTGCTTGCCTCTGTAACTGCTGCCCAAGTTATGACAATAATGTCCTGACTGTACCTCCCACTTGTTCCCTTCCCAGTTCCCAGTCCAGTTTGCACTGGTGCAGCCCAACTCCAATATCTACATTCTCTTGCAGAAACCCTTCAAAGGCTTGCCTGTATTGACCAATGAAAATGAAACTAAAATCTACACTCCTTATGAGCAAGGGCATTCAAGGTCAGGCTCATAACTCACCTTTTCTCTACGCTCCTATAGTCACATCAAGGGAACCGTTCCATCCCCATGCAGCCCTTGCATTGCTACCTTCTCGCCTGTGCTCCCACCACTCTCTCTACTCAGAGTGACCTTCCCATATATCCAAATCTAGCCAACCTTCAGGGCCCATCTCAAATGTCACCTCCTCCATGAAGCCCTGCCTGATTCACCTCACCAAATGAAGTTCCAACCCTCCTCTGAGTTTACAGCACTTTGTCCCTTTCTGTCTCTTATTGTGGTTATTAGTATGGCTATCTCCATCCTATACATCACCCGAAGCACCTGAAAGCGTGGGGCTAAATCAATGCTCTCTGTACCTTGGATGCTCAATAAAACTGCCTTACAGTAAACTAGATGGTGCTGGGGAATGGGGATGGGGTGGTGTTTCTGGCTATAGGGAGGTTTGGGATTGTCTGTAGATTTCTGTTTGCGGATCTTTGCTGTTTCCTGCCTGTGTGTGTTCCTGAATAAACAGTCAGACACTGGCCAGGCTGCCGAGGATTGCCCACCTCACAACCCTGACAGAGGGGCCGGGTTGACTACAAGACAGTCATTTGGGGCTGGGAGTCTGAAGGAGACCGAGTTGGGAAACACTTGCTGCTGGTGACATGCAAAGAGCAACGGCCATACCCACCTGGAGTCCAGGAAGCCCTGGGAGCCCCATGACCTTGGGCCTGTCATTGTCGTGCTCTACAGGTGATTACAGAGGCTCACACCTGTAATCCCAGCACTTTGGGAGGCCAAGGTGGGAGTATCACCTGAGCCCAGGAGTTCAAGACCAGCCTGGGCAACATAGTGAGACCCCCTCAAATCTCTACAAAAAAATTTTGAAAACTAACAGATTAGCCAGGCATGGTGGTACTTGCTTGTAGTCCCAGTTATTCCAGAGGCTGAGGCAGGAGGATTGCTCAAGCCCAGAAGTTGGAGGCTGCAGTGGGCCATGATCTCACCACTGCACTCCAGCTGAGGGACAGAGCACGACCTTGTTTCTAAAAACAAAAGTCAGGTAGAGTCTCTGACAAGAGTGCAAAAGGGGAGGCAACGTGACAGTCGTGAAGACACTGAAACTGCAGGAAATGATCTGAGACAGTCACGCTGCCTTGGCCTGAGTGTTTTGGTGCCTGTCGGCTCTCCGACATTGGAAAGGTTTCCTGAAAAGTAGCAAATGAATGAGCTGCCTTTTTTGCTCTGCCTCTCATACTTACAGACACAATTTCCAAGCCTCCTGGTCTCAGCAAAAATTTAGTTCTCCAGAGATGCCAGTTTCCCTGGAGGCCTCCAGGTATCCGAGCCACACTTGGCTGTCCGTGCAGAGGTGCCTGGCAAATGACTCCTGGTGGCTGCTTAGCGATCTTTAGGTTTTCACTGAGGATACGATTAAGGGACCTAGTGTTTGGGAAAGGAGGCAGCCCTGGAGGTGAGCCTGCCCTGCTTCTTGGTGTGGGACTGAGAAGCTGCAAATGAGAATAGCAACCTCCACTTGGGATCCTCACAGCTCAGAATGGCGGGAACATTTCAGGAACTCACAGGTGGAGTTCCCAAAGATCATGAGGGGAAAGCACCGAAAATGTAAGGTGGGGGTGGGGGGGGAACGGTTGCAAAATGGCTGATGGGTCCCAACTCATCTTTATTTGTCTTTCCTGGGATTTTTTAAATAGGAAAATTTCACCTCAAAATCAAGTCTTCTGACCTTGAAGGGCAGAAGATGAATGTAAAAACAACAAAACTTAGAAGGCCTGGCATCCGTCAGCTGGAGCTGAATAGGGGCTTCCCTCTTTAGATGGGGCATGGACCTCCCAGTTAACCACACTGCCCGTCGCTCCCTATTATCACTTCTGGCCCACATCCCTCATTATCTGCCTGGCCTATGCAAGTGTTTGAGTTTGCAACCTCTCTACCTGGTCATAGGAAATTAGGATCAAATCAGGAATGTAAGTTATCCAAATAATCATCCCATTTCTCTTAGAATGTGCTGTTCCCTCTCCTTGTTGCAATACATCCTAAGGGCCTGGGGCCTATTAACTCATACATCAGGCACTCAACTTCTTATAATTTTCTGAGTCTCCCCATCCCCCTTCTTCTAATAGCTCAGTTGGGCTGGGTGCTTCCAAGGTACGTTTCCCAGTTTCCTGTCCTGGAGTTCTTGCCTTCCTCCAGCCTAGAAAGGCTGGGCCTAATGGAGCATTTTCCCCTTTTGATATTGGATGAGTCTAGCTTTATCATACATAAGGAGAAGAAAAAGAGGATCTTAGAGATGAAGTCTTCAACTCATTCTCCCAATCTCAGAAAATTCTTTTATCAAAGACATTCTAATGCCTTAGAAAATCTCCTCTTTTTCAAAACCCTGCCCAAATAGCTGTTTAAAAACATCATCTTCCCAGGGGGTCCTATTTACCCCAATTGGGAACAGCCTACCCAAATTGCATGCTTGGTTCTAAGGAGGAGAAACAAAACAGCCATGTGAAATTAATTCCACAAATCCTACACGAAGATTATGGGGTGGGGTTGGGGAATATGACACAGAATGGGGAAGACAGACGCAGTTTCTTCTGCAAGAAAGAATTCATTCGTTCAAGAAACAATCAAGAAACAATCACTGGTCATTGTTTGCACCAAGGATTGTGCTAAATCCATGGTCTTTGCTATTAGGATTTTCATTTAATGTCAAGAAAGAAACTAATCAGAGTAAAATGTGCCACAGATGCGGGATTCAAAAGTCTTCGGTCTAGATGTATTATGTAATGCAGGTTTGTTTATTTTTACTTTAGGAAAGTGATACCTTTTATATGCCATCCATTATGTAAGATCCTCAGCAGAGTCTGGGGCAGCACCTTGTCAGCAAACCCATTAATATTTCTACAGCAAACATATGAAGAGTCACACTAAGTGGAGTAAATAAAGACTATCAATAGCTGCATGTCAGTTCAGGTCAGGTTTTTGCCATCACATATGGTTCTTGCCACAAGTCAGGTTGCTTCACATTTACAAAAAATGAGTCTTGGAACAGCAGACAAGGGCTTGTGTCCCTTCCCAGAGGTTCAGGTCCAGGTAAAGAAGGGTTCATAGAGGAGACGTTGCTCAAGCTGAAACTTGAAAGATCAACTGGACAAGATGCAGAAGAACTTTCCAGGCTGATGAGCCACAACACACAAGACCACAATCTGCAAGGATTCTAGCAACCCACCGGGCAACTAGGGCCAATCCTGAGGGACACAGGATCCTGCTGCTCCCAGAGGGTGGCAGGTATCCAGGTGCAACAGTGACCAGGTGGTACTGACTACCTGTGCCAGCGTCACACAACTCTGGGCCCTCACTGTAAGCATCCAGGGAACCAAGTCCTGCAAATTGCATTTAAACAAGTTCTCCAGGAGATTTATCCCTGCTAAAGTTTGAGAACCACCAATTTATTTGACACATCCTAAGTGTCAGGCATTGTTCTACATTGTTTTAGAAATACGAGCACATTTAATCCTCCTAACAGCCTTACTGGGTAGATGGAGAAATTAAGATACCAAGAGGATTAAAAAACTCATCCAAGATCGCAAAGCTGTGAGAGATAGACCAGGAAGTCTGGTTGCAGTTTTTATGCTTTTAACCTGAATGCTGCCTTTGTACTGCTTCGGGCACCCATCCCAAGTGACAGCCTCCCTCCACCTGCAGCCACAGTGAACCTGGGGCCTTGCTTCCTCTGCGGTCCCGGCTGTGTTCTCTGAAGGTGCAGATCCAGCCCCATGTGCCCCGACCCACAGGGACCAGGACCCCTGTACAGAGCAGTCCTCAGGAGAAGGAGTGAAAGTTTGATCTTTCACCCCTGGGGTTGGAAGCGACAGAGAGAGGTTGACAAGAGTTTGTGATAAGCCTGTTAGCCTTGGGTTCAAAGCCCATGTTGCTCTCCTTTTTATCTATGTTGTTGATATCTGATTCAATAGCTTCTGTTTGAGGAGGAAAAGCCAGAACGCAGGGGCAGGGGATTGGAGTCTGCTGACCGGATGGTCAGGCCTGGAGAGCAGTGTGCTCTCTTCTTGTGTCAATTCCAAAAGGCAGGGTTTGGAAACAAAGTCAACAGAGAGCTTTTCTTCATCTCCACATAAACAGCCATTCAGCAGTGTTTGGGGAGTTGGGCAATGCTAGATGGGGTTGGGTCAGGGGAGAAGTCAACTTTGACTTATAGGTCTCTAGGCTGGCCTGGGTTTCCGTGTTTCTATCAGCTTGCCTCCAGCTCACATCAAAAGGAAAATGTTCCAGGCTTTTGTGCAGCCCCACCCACCTACCATGGAATTAGTACAGGCAAGGGAGAATGTTCTGGAACATCCTGTCTTCTCGACTCACCCTGGGTGCCTACCATTGGTGTGCGCAAACTCCTCTCACCAAGCAACCTCTTTTTGATGGCCCCAGAGTTCTTTCTTGCTCAACGACAACTGCTTTCTAGCATAAGCCAATTCTGAAAGGACTGGAATTGGGCCCAGGGTGAGGGGTGGGCATAGCAACCATCTACTCTGAGAATTTTAACAATAGAGAGGGAAGATTAGAGATTATTTGCTCCAAACCCCTTGCTTCATAGATGAGGAAACTAAAACTCTGAAAGGAGAGATTTCTTGCCCAGATTACCCAGTTAGCAAATAGTGGGGATAAATCGAAGCCCACTCACTCAACCTCCAGTACCATGGTGGGTTGAGTTTTTCCCATCACACTATTTGACCTCTTATCATTTGTCTCCAGAACTTCGCAGTTCATATTCTTAGTCATCCATTGAACCTCTTCTTCATTCATTCTGGAGTTTCCTCTAGAGCCAAGCGATAGGCTGGAACCTGGGAGGAACTGACAGCAGGATCCATTCCTTCCTTGGAGAGGCCCCGGAGGGGGTGCCTCACCCCTCCTTCCCCCCTCCCTTCAGAGCTCTCTCCTGGCTTTGGAGGGAAGGGAGCAGAGGTGTCTGAGCCCTGTCACAATCCTCATGTCCCCTCATCTGTCACCCACGAAGGCAGCTCCTAGCAAAAGCCTTTGCCGACTGAAGCCACTGAAGTAAAAAGAATGACCTCTGCCATGAGCACCTCTAAAGGAGAAGAAGCAAATGGGTTGAGGAAGTTACAGAATCTAAAGCAGGTGCAGATGGGAGCCCGTTCAGTGGGAAGAGCTTTTCCTTTAAGAGGACCGGAACTCACAATGGGTTCAGTCGCAGCTCTACTGATAGGGGTTTCACTGATCTGCTGAGCGTATGATGTGCTGTCAGAAAGCCCTAGACAGCTTCCTGAATCACTGAGAGGGTTTCCGAGAGTCAATGGAACAAAAAATTAGAAAAGGAATGGTGTTCTGTTGAGATTCTTGCACCCCTTGAAATTTAATCTGTCATTCAAAACGATTCACTCACCGACAAGAAAAACTAAAAATATTTAAGCATGACATTTGCCTTCATTAAATAGTCATTTTGTCATACATGGCTGGAAATTGAGTTTTCTGAAAGATTACTAGGAATTGTCTGCCTCTGCTGCTGGGTGTTTGTGGCTTCAAAATGAACTCGAGCATGGGGGATGCCCACATGTGCAGAAAGGATCTCAGAACTAAGTCCAAGCTATCAATTCATGCATTAGGTTGGTGCAGAAGTAATCGCGGTTTTTGACATTAAAAGTAATGTCAAAAACCGCGATTACTTCTGCACCAACCTAATATTAGCAGCAGCAATTGGATTCAACTACTTTGACAAAAATGCAAAGGGCCTGGTGGCTGTGCCTGCCCTCAGCCTGCTCCAGGGAGGGCACCCTCCTGTCCCTCCATGAGTGAAGCTGCTCTATTCCAAGCTCTGGAAAGTAACTGAGTCATTGAGTTTGTCTCTAGGTGATTCAGGTGCATCAGGTTTCACAGATGGTATCACCCAGGACCCATCTGTGAATTTAGAGACCCTCATTCTGTGAGTCAAACCCACAGTGTTTCCAACCCAGGTCCATTTCACAGGTAAGGGCTGATCCTCCCACTCTGTAATACAAGCGCCTAAACAACATGGGTCCAAGGATCCAGAACTTGACCTGAAAGGGAACAGGCAGAAGGATTCTGCCCCCAAAGGATGGGGAAGGAGGAGGAAGCCACCAAAAGGACAAGAGCGAGGTGCTGGAAGAGAGGCCCTATCTGGAGAACAGAGTGCAGAGAACACCTGTCCCCCAGGGTGGGGTGGGCCTGACCCTCACGAACCATGCTGAGACAGCTGAGCCCAGACCCCCAACAAGGCAGGGCAGCCTGGCTACTGGGCACGCAAATTCAAAAGAGTTTGAGTTTGAGGGCAGAACAGCAGTCTTCAAGAGGCAGAGGATGTATTCAAACTATGAAAATATGAGGCTCAACTCTGAATAATGTTTCCCCAAATTGATTCAAACAAGAGACAAGCTCAAGGTCTACGTGGGAAGCTGCCTGGCAGCACTGTTTTTGAACTAGCAAGAGACTGAACCAATCCAAGGAACAGTTTAAACCAATGATGGCCCCTTTTTAGAGCCGGTTGCCGTGGCACCTGGAAGGAGTTGATTGAGAAGTCTCAATCCATGAAGTGTAAATATAAAGTTTCTTTTCTGCCCCCTAAATTGCCTTTGTGCCCCCTAATTTGCCTTTCAACTGCCTTGTGTCTAATCTCTCCTGACTGTCCTTTAATGACAACTTGGGCAGATCCTGCAACTTTCTGTAGTTGGAGTGTGTCCAGTTCTCTGTAAATTTCAATCTTGTTAATGTTCAAAAGCCTCCCCTCCCCAGCAGCTGCCGAGCGGTGGCCTGGGCCGAGCTCTGAGGTCTCTCCTGATGTTGGGGGCAAGGAAGGTAGCCAGATGGCTGAGTTCTTCCACTTGCTGGTGGCCTGTCGGAGGCAGGAGCTCCCTGGTATCTGCTTTAGCGAAGAAGGTTCTGTAGTTGGAGTGTGTCCAGTTCTCTGTAAATTCCAATCTTGTTAATGTTCAAAAGCCTCCCCTCCCCAGCAGCTGCCGAGGGGTGGCCTGGGCTGAGCTCTGAGGTCTCTCCTGATGTTGGGGGCAAGGAAGGTAGCCAGATGGCTGAGTTCTTCCACTTGCTGGTGGGCCTGTCGGAGGCAGGAGCTCCCTGGTATCTGCTTTAGCGAAGAAGGTTCTGTGGGATCCTGGTGGTCTCTGAGGTGGTGGGTGTGGCTTTCATGGGAGCAGTGTTCAGCTCCACCCCAGGCCCTCTGTCACTGGGGACCTGCCACAGGAAGGGGCTTTGTCCCCTTTTGGTCCAGCCTGGGGAATGCCAGCTCCCAAGGCCCACTTTTGGCACTCCTGGAGCACTCTGGAAAAGCTCCAGTAGGTCCTCTTGGTAGTGCTGAGGCCCCAGAACTGGGATGGCAGGGCTGTCTCTGGCTTCCCAGCCATAGCGTCCTACACCCCACAGATCCCTTCTGCCCTCTAGCACAGGCAGCCAGCGGGTACCCAGCCTCTATGGTCACACAAGCTTCCTCTTGGCTGTCTCAATGCCCTTCTTCCATGGCGTGCCCTCATATGGACCCTCGATTCCGCGGCTCAGCGAGCATCAGGCTGAAGGCCCGTTGTCTCCCCTTCTAGCAAGCTCCACAAGTGACTCTCCAGGATCCCTTTCCCATCCACCTACATGACAGGAAGCTTTTTGGGAGGAAAGGAAGTCACGTCTCCCCAGGCAGACAGAAGTCCCCAAGGCTGATTTTCCACCTCCTCCCAGGCCTAGTGTGCTCCCCACAGAAACCTGCCTGGGTGGTTGATGCATAAGGAAGGTTTCCAAGTCCTCTTAAGTTATTTGCAGAGGCGACGGCGGCCTCTGGTCAGGGCTCTCTGTAGAATGCAGGAACACCTAGCATCTTTTGTTTACATCATCGACCCTTGGCTGTAATTCCAGAACAAGTGGAAAAGTCCCACATCACATCCTATTACTCATCCAAAAATAAAGAATAAAGGAACTCTATGTGTACTGACACAAAATGACCTCAACAATAGATTGTGAAATTTTAAAAGCCAGGTTCGGAACACCATATGTAATGGCCCCAATTTGTAGGAAAATGTAGGCTACAATCTACACATATGTGTCCATGGTCGTAGTCTATTTCTGAAAAGGCACAGGAAATGGGTAACAGTGGTTGCTTTGGGGGATGGGGCCTGGGGTCCCACTTTTCATTTTAGGCTTCTTTCAATGGAAGGTTCAGAGCAGGCACCAGCTGAGACAACAAGCTGGGAAGGCAGAGAGAAGGACCAATTAGAGTTGCCTTTACATTCATGAAGCAAAGGAAAGGAATGGGTGATAGAGGGAAAAGGTGGCATATGTGAAGCAAAGGGAGAAGGGCTTTGGTGCCCACAAAGGAAACAAAGACATATTACTTTTATTAAATTTACTAGCCAGGCGCAATCTGCTTGCGAAGAGGATGAGAGGCAGTTTACCATAAAAGGCACCAGGGACTTATTAGTCTAAAAACAGGAAAAAGAACAGCCAGTGGAAAAGTAGTGAGGCGAGGGAATAATTGTTTCTATAACAAAGGCACAGACTTCACTCTTCCACCCTCATGCAAAGCACTTGCTCACACACTGTCTCATTTCAACATCACCGCCACTTAAGGAGATGCTATGATCAACCCCACTTTGCAGATGAGGAAACTTCAGTCAGAAGCTGCCTTGGTTGGTGTAGATGGCACAGGGGACCAGCCTCCACTTTTTTTCATTCCAAGCGTGATTCTTTTTTCTGCATATGCTCCCAGAAGTCTAGTGCCCTAGATAATAATAATAATAATGGTACTTTTGCATGTGCATATGAGAAGCCCCTGACATGTGTACCATCTCAATCCGTCCTCTCACCAAATGTTGCTCTTAGTCGTGTTTGCACCTTCACTCTACAGAAGGGGAAACAGGTTCAGAGATGTTCAGTGACTTTGATAGGGTCACAGAATTTGAGATTGGTTGAGCAAGAATTGAGTCCTGGGTTCATAGCTCCACCTCCCTGCCCTGAAGGGGCCAGCACACCCTTTGGCCCACCAGAGAATTCTGCCTAGTGACAAGTACCGTGACCATTGGCTCAGCATCCTCTCTGAAGTTTCTGACTTCCAATGCTGCAAGCTGAAATGCAAAAGGGAGAATTTAAGTTTAAAACAAAGTAGCTCTGACAGAGTGAAGTCTTCAGATATGGAATTTACTTCTAAGATAAATAGTAAAACCCTACATTGCAGCATGGGAAAGAAGGAGGTTCCCTGAAAGTTTCATCAGATAACGAAGTCTCTCACTTCAATAGCTCAGTGTATTACGTAGAACACGCTCCTAGTTTTTCTTCCCAATCACATCGGCTTGTTCCACCTATTACACAAATGTGGGAATAAACCATGAGCATCTTGAGACCTGGCTTTACATTCTTCATCTGCATTTTTCAACAGCCCAGGACAAGGCCCGGCAAAGAAGGGCCTCAAAAATGTTGGATAGATGAATGTATGGAGGAATGGATGCATGGTTGAATGGATGGATGGACGGATCCATGGATGGATGGAATGGATAAATGGATGGATGGATGGATGGATGGATGGATGGATGGATGGATGCATGGATGGATGATGCATGGATGGATGATGCATGGATGGATGGATGCATGGATGGATGGATGCATGGATGAGTGGACGCATGGATGGATGAATGAATGGATGCATGGATGGATGGAATGGAATGGATGGATGAATGGCTGGATGGATGGATGGATGGAGGCATGGATGGATGGTTGGATGCATTGATGGATGGATGCTTGGATGGATAGATGCATGGATGGGTGGATGCATGGATGGACGAATGAATGGATGCATGGATGGATGGATGGATGCATGGATGAGTGGATGCACGGATGGATGAATGAATGGATGCAAGGATGGATGTATGGATGCATGGATGGATGCATGCATGGATGGATGGATGCATGGATGAATGGATGCATGGATGTGTGGATGCATGGATGTATGGATGAATGGGTGCATGGATGAATGGATGCATAGATGGATGGATGCATGGATGAATGGATGCATGGATGGGTGGGTGCATGGATGAATGGATGCATGGATGGGTGCATTCATGGATGTGTGGATGTATAGATGTATGGATGAATGGGTGCATGGATGAATGGATGCATAGATGGATGCATGAATATGTGGATGCATGGATGGATGCACGGATGGGTGGATGCATGGATAGATGGATGCATGGATGAATGGATGGATGGACAGAGAGATGGATAGGTAAATGGGTGTATGGATGAGTAAATGAATAAATTTTTCCTGCATGCCCACTTCTATATAAGCCTCATTGGGAATATAGCATCAACGCCTTGAGTGCTCTGGGTACCCTCACCCATCATAAAAGCTTTGAGATTTTCCTCCCCGTTATGCCCTTAGGGAGCTGCCAAGTTTAAAAGAAATCCAGTTGCCAAAAACTAAAGATAAATCCTCGGCTTTCTTTATTCTTAAAAGTGTTAACCTCTTCCTGGTTAATGACCCCTCTGGTCCATGACATTGCAGGGATCCTATCTATTTGGCTTACTCTTGTATATCCAGCACTTAGCAGAATGACTGGAACACAAGAGACACCCAATCAATAGTTACTCAATGAATGAATGCACTCACGTCAATCTCCCATTGAGGACCTCCTCCTTCACCTGCTTATCCACTCTGGCTCACCAATTACAGAGAACATCAGAGGTCATCAGCAAGGTGGAATCTATTCGCTGTGGTTCAACTTTGTCTCCCGAACTGCATGGTAAGCATCTCCTACTTCTGATGTACCCCTTGCAGCACGGGACAGTGCTGGGAGCATAGCTGATAATCAATACATACTTGTAAATAGCATGATTGGCCTCCCTACTGGCCTTAGAGGCACTGAATCAAGTAGTTATAAACCCACCTGTACATGTAAAGCAGCCCCTGCTCTTTTCATGAGCCCTGGCTCCTCACCCCATCTCTGTTTAAGAGCTCTGGATGTCTCTGTTCTCGTGTGTTTAAGTGTATTGGCATCTGTTCTCTTTCTGGCTGTTGCTCATATAAAATCTATTTATTTCCTTTACTAGTGACCACTAAACATTATTGAGTGTTGTGCCTATCCAAAAAGAATGGACTATCACTCCCAATATATGTATATGTTTACTTATAAGTTATACAGATGTTTGAATATATTGTATACATTAACATCACATATAAGATATAGATACTAAAAAGGATTAAATAAATACTGAGGTTCTAACACTTTCTTCTGGCACCACAGAAGACCCCCTGCATCCCTCCAGGAGAGCTTAGTTCTAAGCTGGAGACTCCTGGCCAAGAGTCCAGAAACGCAACTCACTTATCTCCTCTGTTTGCGGGACACTTGTGCCTGCGGAAGATGAGGAAGATAATAGCAATAAAAACAACATTAAAAACAGCTGCCATTTCTTAAGTATTTATTATGAGCCAGGCACTGGGCTAAGACTTTTAAGCCAATTATTCTCATTTAAGTGGGTACTGTCATATTTCATAATATATATTATATATATAAATATATAAATATAAATATATAATAAATATGCAAATATATATTCATAGATTGTAGCTTACTTACCTATATGGTGCGGAAAATGGCAATGTTTGAGAATCCTCATATTTCTTTTTTTTTTTTTACCACTGAGATGGTATTTTAACTTCTTTCTCCATCTCCAAAGCCTGCTGATGCAGGAGTTGGGGTGCGGGATAGAACTGGCACTGAACTTGGAATCAAAAGATGTGGACTTGAATCCCAATCTGGCTCCTCAGGAACTAAGCAAGCCCCCTGAAAGCATTTCATGTTAGTGATGTCACTCTTCTCATCTGTAAAATGGGAATACTTTTAGGTATTTTGCCTTGCTATCATGAGGATTTAGTGAAAGGAAATGCTGCAAAGCATTAAACCTGTGTGTAGCGGAGTGTTCCATCCACCCCACAATCACTTGAGCCATGACATGCAAGAGTACCCATGTGAAGGTGTGCAAAGCGAGGCGGGAGAAGCCTCTTGGAGAAACCCCACTTTTCTATGGCTGATCCGGGGTCTTCCTGGCTTCAACCAGCGTCCCTTTCACCCATCATGCCCAAGGGCAAAGTACTATCAGGTTCTGGGATTGCCTTCTCTAGTATCTATCAGCTATGGCTACCAGTTGTCCTCTACAGGGAATGTCCTTCTTTTGGCCTGAAATGTCAGCTCTTCCTTCATTTTTCCTTCCTCATTCTTCTTCCAGAATCAAAAAGGAGACATAATTTTCCTTGTACAAAACACCAAGCCTTGTCCTTGCTATTACTCAAGCCTAAAGGAGAAGCAGTTCCATGTGGGCAATATTAGCAATGATGGCTGATTTTTTTTCTTTTGAGACAGGATCTCACTTGTCACCCAGGCTGGAGTGCAGTGGCATGATCATGGTTCACAGCAGCCTCAACCTCCCCAGTCTCAGGTGATCCTCCCACCTCAGCCTCCCGAGTAGCTAGGACT
Source organism: Homo sapiens (assembly GCF_000001405.40). Taxonomy (NCBI): domain Eukaryota; kingdom Metazoa; phylum Chordata; class Mammalia; order Primates; family Hominidae; genus Homo; species Homo sapiens. The sequence goes on from NC_000018.10 coordinate 58,422,588, forward strand.
ACAGGTGCTCAGCTAATTTTTTTGTGTTTTTTTGTAGAGATGGGGTCTTGCCATGGTGCCCAGGCTGGTCTGGAACTCCTGGGCTTAAGTGATCTACCTGCCTTGGCCTCTTAAAGTGCTAGGATTACAGGTGTAAGCCACCACGCCTGGCCAATGGCTGATCTTTGAAGCCCCAGAGAACAACGTAGATGAAATTTGTAGATGGAGAAAGAAGTTAAAATACCATCTCAGTGGCAAAAAAAAAAAAAAAAGAAATATGAGGATTTTCAAACATTGCCATTTTTCTGCACCATATAGGTAAGTAAGCTACAATATATGAATATATATAATTATATTATGAAATATTATAGGATGCATGAAGTTGCAGAGGAAGCATTGCACTTCATCTTTCATTCACAGGTTCATTCATCCTTTCAGCCCCAAGTCAGGTGCTGGGCAGATCCATGAAATAACAATAGTATCTCTTCCTCATCACTCCATGGTCAAAGCTTTAGAACCTGCCCAGGGAGCTGGGCTATGTCTGAAAGTTTAAAGAACCTGGTGGAGGACAGAGCTGCATGGCCCAGGACAGTTCCCCATGTATAAGCCGGGAGGCAGATGTCCATCCAGGGGGGTCTGAGGGAGGGCCTCTGTGCCAAGGCCTCATCTCCAATGGCCCCTGATAAAATTCCAGTATGCTGGCTGAGAGTGTGGCCCACGAATCTATTAGCACTTTAATATGAGCTAACTTATCATAGTCTCAGCAGGAGAACAGAATGGAAAAGGATCAGAAAGCAAATCAAGTAAGCTTTCGTATACTTAATTTTTTGGATTGGTATTATACTAACATGGTTCAAAATTGAAACTATGCAAAGGAGTACAGTGAGAGTTGTCCATACCACTTCCAAACTCCAGGTCGCCCATTTCCTTTCTCATGGCAACTACCATGAGCAGTTCTCAGATGTCCTTCCAGACAAATAAGCACAGTTTGCTGTCCTTCTTGTTTTTTTTTTACTGAAATGGAATTGTGTTATACATGCTGCTGGGTATCCTGCTTCTTTCATTTCATAGAAATTTGAGAATGTTCTGTGTGTTTTTAAAAGTATAATAGATCCTTAAGATTGTTTCATTGGTGTGCAACAACAAAAAAAACCCCACACATTTCACATTATTTTTGTTTGTTTGATCTTTTTTCTTTCTTTCTTTCTTTTTTTTTCATTTCACATTATTTTTTAATGGCTCCAGAATGTTTATGAGTATACCTTATGCTATTTGGCCGGTATCTTTCAAGTAGATATCTGGTGTGTTTCCAATCTTTTGCTATATAAGCAATACTGCAATTTTGCACACACTTGTACAATAAATTCCTAAAGGAGGAATTGTGTGTCAAAAGACATAGACATTTGTAGTTTTAATAGATATTACCAAATCGTCTTGCAATTTGTATGCATCTACACTTCCATCGTCAGTATATGAACACGCCTGCTCCTCACACTGTTGCCAACACGGTGTTAAGCTAGCAAATTTTGAAAATGGGCAAAAGGCAGGCCAGGCTCAGTGGCTCATGCCTGTGCCACTTTGGGAGGCCAAGGCAGGCAGATCACGATGTCAGGAGATCGAGACCATTCTGGCTAACATGGTGAAACCCCGTCTCTACTAAAAATAAAAAAAAATTAGCTGGGCATGATGGCACGCGCCTGTAGTGCCAGCTACTTGGGAGGCTGAAGCAAGAGAATCGCTTGAACCAGGGAGGCGGAAATTGCAGTGAGCCGAGATCGCACCACTGCGTTCCCACCTGGGTGACAGAGCAAGACTCCATCTCAAAAAAAACGAAAGAAAATGAGCAAAAGGCAAGAAGGTCCCCAGTATAGGGTGGTTAGGTCCTGCTCCATGTCCCGTGGAGGCTTGTGGTGCCTGGGGAGAAGTTAAAGGCCCTGGAGGTTGCCCTGGAGGAGAAGTCTGGCTGCCTAAGGGAGATGAAAAACTCAGACCAGCTCCACCTGCTTCTTGATCCTGCCAGAGCAAAACCAACAAAATAACTGACAATCCACAATCGCTTTGGGGTAGGTGCCAGGATATCCCTGCATCTTTCTCTGGGGAGGTAAAATCCAAATGTGTGTCTGAACCCAAATGCCCAAAGGCGATTAATTGCCCCAGTTTGCTGATCTTCATGCACTAGTGGCCTCTGGATTGGCTGGTATACAGTGCATGGGGGGACAGCCATAATTAGTTCTCTCCCTGCAGGCAGGGATTTGGTTTCTCCAACAAGATGGTGAAGTGTGAGAAAGGAGGGCTCCATCTTTGCCCACTCCCTCCTCTCACTCTTTTCTGCAAGGGTGATCTGATTAACTGGGGCCTCCAGTAACGGCCTCTGACCTCTGTCTTTTGGTCTTTTGGTCAGTAGAAGACAGGCTCTTCTTTAGCTTTCTGAGGACAAGGCTAGTCTTCTTTGGGGCTTAGATAGCAGTGTGAGTGTCAGAGGCTAAACCTAGCCCCCTTTCCCTTATCTTTGTTATCTGTTGGTTTCTCCTAAGGGATAGGCAGATATGGTGGCCCTATCTCCCCAGCACTCTCGGTACAGAACCAAAAGCACAGATAACCCTAAATACCACAAATGAATGGAAGAAAAGCCACATTTGTTTTTAAAGACCAAGAAAATGAAACCATAAGAAAGTTAACGGAAAATGTAGGTAAAAAACCTTTAAGGTGGGGAGAGATTTTTTTTAAGCATAGAGCAATAGAATAAGTGACAAAGTAAGCAATTGATAGATATAATTACACATACACACATATTTAACCTCTTAAAATTAAAAGACAATGAGTTTGGAAATTATTTGCAACAAAAACATATATCATTAATATATCCTTAATATAAACAAGCATAATATGTCCTAATATAAAAAGAGCTTTTAGACAGTAGTTAGAAAAAAATACTAAACTCTCAGTAGAAAAATGGGCAAAAACATGAAAGATAATTCACAAAAGAAAGCTGGAGTGCAGTGGCATGATCTCGGCTCACTGCAACCTCCACCTCCCAGGTTCAAGTGATTCTCATGCCTCAGCCTCCCGCATAGCTGGGATTACAGGCACGTACCACTACATCCAGCTAATTTTTGTATTTTTAGTAGAGACATGGTTTTGCCATGTTGGCCAGGCTGGTCACAAACTCCTGACCTCAAGTGATCTGCCCACCTCGGCCTCTCAAAGTGCTGGGATTACAGGCATGAGTCACTGCATCCAGCTGCCAATAAACATTTTTAAAGGTACAATTTTAGTGGTAATAAAAGAAATGAATGATAAAGCGAGATGCCACTTTTGTTTATCAAATAGAAAGATATTAAAAAGATATAATAGGTTGGGCACAGTGTCTCATGCCTACAGTCCCAGCACTTTGGGAGGCTGAGGTGGGAGGATCACTTCAGCCCAGGAATTCAAGACCAGCCTAGAGAAACACTGCCTTTACCACATTAAAAAATAAAAGTAGCCCAGCATGGTGGTGTGCACCTGTAGTACCAGCTACTTGGGAGGCTGAGGGGGGAGGATCATTGAGCTCAGCAAGTTGAGGCTGTAGTGAGCTATGACTGCACCACTGCACTCCAGCCTGGGTGACAGAGCAAGGACCTTGTCTCAAAATAATGACAATAATAATAATAATAATAACAACTTAGCAAGGGTGCAAAGTGGAGCACATCATTGATTAAAGTACAAATCAGTATTGAATTTTTCCATAGTAACTTATATATACACACATACACATCAATATATGCTCATAAATATATATATATTCTTTTCATATAAAATGAAGAAGTGACTAGAAGGAAACACCACCGTAGTGATTGTAAGAACAGTGTAAGTGATTGTGATTGCTTCTACTTTCTTCTAAGCTTCCAGAAATCAGAATAAAATACTTTCAAAATAGGAAATATTAAAAAGCATTTCAAAGCAAATAAAAAGTCCTGTATGCCAGCAGCCCCACAAAGAGAGGTTTTGAGTGCCATGCTATATTTTGAGTACAGCTGCTCAAAGCACATTGAGGGAATTTCTCACCAAAAAAAAAAAAAAAAAGAAGATTATGGGGGATTCGACTTCCTTTTCTAGAAATGTGTAGAGAATTCCCCCACAACAGTGAAAACTTTGCTGTAAATTACTCTCTTTTGGATTAGGAGGACCTAAGGCCCAGAACTTGTAGGAAGTGGGTTTGGTCTTGGAAATCCCAGCGTGGAGTTTCTCTATCTTGGAGTCAAGAAAACCCAGCTGTGACCTCCAGGCCTGGAATGTACGAGACACCCAATGCCACTGCCATGACATGACATGGTGTCCCATGGACACCAGCAGCCACAGAGTTCACTCACTGAGGTGTCGTCTCCTCCTCCACCATAATGATGGCTCAGCCACTCTCTCTGTCTGGTTCTGCCCCCACTGCCAACTGCCCAATCCCTGGCATGTTTCAACATTCAAACCCCTGGGAGAGAAAGGACCTGACTGGTTCAGCTACTCATCATTGTCCAAACTAAGTGTTCTCACAAACCAGTCTTCAGTACAAACATTAGCCAATCACCTGGAGCTAGAGGAACTGAATGAGGCCACTGGGGAGGGCTCCTATCTTTCCAGAAAGGGACTAAGATGGTTTCCCTCAAAAGAGATTGGAGAGATGAGAGGTACGCTAGGCCATGTATACAAAGAGTGGCTGGGTCCCACATGGAGACCATGGCTTAAGGACCTTTCCCCTAGGGTGTGGGAGTCCTTGAGCAAATTACTTAGCTTCTCTTCTGGAAGTTTCTACTTTCTCACTGATAAAGTGAGAATCTTAATTCAGCCTTTTTCATAGTATTATGAGGATTTAATGGGTAATGTACATTCAGCACTTATCACAATGCCTGCACATATGAGGCACACACTAAACCCTAACGGTTCTCGTTATATAATGCGTGTGAGCAGGAAGCAGGCTGAGTCGGTTGTGTCAACTGAACCTACCAGCAGATAGCGATGCAAGTTTTATTCACTGTCTCCTAAAATATGTTCATTTTCTCCTCCAGATCTTTGCTAACACCTAGACAGGGCTAAATATAGCTGATACTTTGAAAAAGGTGTTTTAAAGTGAGAATCTGCATTATCTCTGAATGAGTGATAGCTCACTCAGAAGCAGCATATTCTCTGAATTTAACAGGTCTCAAGTCCATCTCATCCCTGCTATTATTACCAACTATTGTTGGTAATACTTGCTGTTATTAGCAACTATTGATGGTAGTCCTATTATTCTTGGTAATATTATTGTTGGACTCTTTCTCTATGGTTCAGTCAGGCCTGAATTCCAATAATTAGCTAATAGCCAGCAAACACTAGCATCTTTCCAGACCAATAAACATTATTTTGACATTCTAATAGTAATAAGGATGCACTTATCAGACATATATTTTTAAATATGTGAAAACAAAGTCCAGACCGGGTGTAGTGGCTCACACCTGTAATCCCAACACTTTGGAAGGCCAAGGTGGGAGGATGGCTTGAGCCTAGGAGTTCAAGACCAGCCTGGGCAACATAGCAAGATCCCATTTCTATAAAAAACTTAAAACTTAATGTATCATCAAGGGACGCATCTGCAGTCTCAGCTACTCAGGAGGCAGAGGATGGAGGATCACTTGAGCCCAGGAGTTAGAGATTACAGTGAGCTGTGATTACACTACTGCATTCCAGCCTAGGGGACAGAGCGAGACTGTCTCTAACAAACAAACAAAAACAACAACAACAAAAACAATGGGCTGGGTGCAGTAGCTCACCCCTGTAATCCCAGCGATTTGGGAAAGTGAGGCGGGCGGATTGCTTGAGGCCAAGAGTTCAAGAACAACCTAGACAACAGCGAAATCCCGTCTCTACTAAAAAAAAAAAATTAGCCAGGCATGGTGGTGCATACCTGTAAACTCAACTACTCTGGAGGCTGAGGCGGGAGAATCGCTTGAGCCCGGGAGGCAAAGGTTGCAGTGAGCCTGTATTGCACCACTGTACTCCAGCGTGGGAGAAAGCGTGAGACTTTGTCTCAAAAAAATAAATAAATAAATAAAGGCTGGGCTTGGTGGCTCACGCCTGTAATCCCAGCACTTTGGGAGGCCAAGATGGGTGGATCACCTGAAGTCAGGAGTTCGAGACCAGCCTGGCCAACATGGAGAAACTCTGTCTCTACGAAAAATACAAAAATTAGCTGGGCATGGTGCCGCACACCTGTAATCCCAGGAGGCTACTCAGGAGGCTGAGGCAGGAGAATTGCTGGAACCTGGGAGGCGGAGGTTGTAGTGAGCCGAAATCACGCCACTGCACTCCAGGCTGGGTGACACAGCGAGACTCTGTCTCAAAAATAAATAATAAAATAAAATAAAATAAAATAAAATAAAACAAAAAGAAAAGAAAGTCCTGCACACAACTGCAGCTTATAGATCAGTATCAGGTGCTAATGGTTAACACACTGATGATATTGAGTATTGACATCTTTACTTGGAATCATATTTTATTATTTTAGCAAGAGTTATAATTTGTCTTCTAATCAAGCTATTTAAATGGCTTTCTGCATTCTGCCAAAATATTTCCTAAAATTCCACCAGTACAAATTAAGTCCTTTGTGTTCATATTTACCCATCCAGAGGCTCCTCTTTCAAAATGCCTAAAGAAGGGAGAGCCTGATGTTTCTAGGTCTTAAAACTCAAACCCTCTGTAGCCAAACTTATCTTCTACTTTAAACCAGCTTTTCTCCAGTATCTACCAAGCAGAAGCAATGAAATCCAGAAACCATGGCCTGCCCATCTTTGTCACTCCCTCTTCATCCTCTACAACCAAGGCCTGATACGCACCCACTGCCCCTCCTTCCTTCCCATCGCCCTCCCCACCCCCACATCTGCTAATTACTGCCTTGTGGCAGTCAGGGAGAGCCTCCTAAAACACAAATGTAGTCGTGGTGCTCCCCTGCTTAAACATCTTCCGTGCTTCTCCTTGCTCCCAGGACAGAGTCCAATCTGCAGCGTGGCCCGCCAGGACTTGTACGAGCTCTCCCAGCGTCCCAGCCCAGCTGTGTGTTGTACACTTCCCACTCCAGCCCCACACTCCAGTGTTATCAGCTGCTCTGTCTCCCATGCCACACTCTCACTGCAGGCTTCTGGCATCTTGTTTCCTCCTCCTAGGACACAGCCTCCCTCTCTTTTCACAGGCTAGCTTCTACCTACTTCCTTGTCTTGGCTCAGGCACCATTTCCTACAGGAAGCCTTCTTAGATCTTTAAGTGCCTTACTATGTGCTCCCATAGTATTTATCACATGGTTGGTTACTAACACCTCTTTATACTTCACTTGTATTTCTCTCTCTCAGCGGGTTAGGGATTACATCAATTTCATTCATGAGTATCTCCAGAACTTAGAGTGGTACCTTGACCACAGTAGGCACACAATTACTATTGAATGATTAACACATTAACAACCTTTGTCCTAGACTAGTAGTTCTTAACCATAATGAACCGTTGTCAACAACAACAACAAAAAAATTCCGCAGACTTCCCCATATAATAGCAGTTTGTACTTTTAAAATCAATTGATTAAGAAAATGCATAATGACCAAAAGTTATATTGAATTCAGTATAACATTGAAATAAATTTATATTTTATCAATGGTAACAGTACCCACATATATTCAAAGGCTTGGTACACAAGTGGAAGTTTCAGGCCCTTGCAGCCTCTCTGAGGTGTCCCTCCTCCATGGTGCAGCCTGCAGGGAATGAGGTTCTAAGGTGGGAGACAGCCTTAAAAGGGTCAGGGCCTCAGCTTTTCCTAATTCACAATTTTGCCTAGTGATGGACCTGTATTTGAGGACTAATGAAAACCAAGAATGACACTGAAAAGGAGAGTAAGAATGTAATTAGTATCTGGAAAGTAAATTCGTTTTCCCAGAACACATAGGTTTTATTCTAGTGGCTAGCCAGTGTTAAAAACTAATGCTGATGCAGGAAATTAGTCATCTTCGTGTACCCCAATTCCTGGGAATGGAGGGATGCCCAGGAGCCTGGTGGGAATAGGGGCTGTAGGCTGTATTCTTACAGTGTATCGGGTTCTCACGACTGGTGCTCAGACCTGTGGATCTTTTTCATTTCTTTTCACTTTGGGCCCTCACCCCCCTCCCCCGACCAACAAACCCACATTGCAAGGCAGCTCAGAATGGAAGCTGTGCCAGCTGATGTGGCCCTTTTGAAGGAGAGCTCACAAGAGGCACCCATGAACCCCCATCCAACCTTTCTACCAGCTCTCCTGTCCCGCCATGGTCATCGCTCACGTGGACTTCGCTAAAGCCTCTTCGCTTCCACTCTTACCCTTCTCCACCCTCCTCTTCTCACTGATCCTTTCAGAATACAAATAACACCCTTCAATAGCTCTTGGGATAAAGACAGAAACCCCACCCCCACCTTTGTCCCCAAGGTCCCACAGCATAGCACCTTCCCTACCACATGGTCTCGTCGTGGGCCTTCTCCCACTCCTCATCTGCTCCAACCACACAGACTCACCTCCGGTTCCCCATTTCAGGCCTTCACAGATGCTGTCCCCTCTACCAGATATATCTCCAGCCCTGTCCCTTTGCCTAGACAATTCCTATCCCTCATCCAGAGCTCAGGCCTAACCACACTTCTTGGAGGAATCTTTTCATGATTCCAGTACTAGCTCAGGCCCCCTCATTGTATCCACCTGGCACCCCAGGCACCTGTACTGCAGCACTTCCAGCTGATCCGGCTCCCTACCAGGATCAAGTTAAAGCTCCCCTAACTCCCACTCAGTCTGGCCTCTGGACTGTCGAGTGTCAAAGCCCTCTGCCTCCAAGTGGAGATCACTCGTTGGTGCTTACAGCTTCACCACGACCTTTAACATGAAGCCAGCCGGGCTTTAGGCAGAAATTTTAGTCCTTTGATGTCTCACTGCACTTGTCCTCAGCTTTGGGAGGAGACACAAAGTCTTCCTGCATCTGTTGCTAGGGTCAGAGGCTGTGGAGCCCTGCTTCTGGTCATGCTCCCAAGCAATGAAAGAACAGTAAGATAAAACCCCAAATGCAAAAGCCTACCCTCCCCACCTCCCAACCACTAGCCCACTCCTCAAAGGAACTACCAGCAATTACGCTATTTGTATCCCTCAAGGAAAAAAAAGAAAAAGTATGCTATTCCCACCAAATAAGTACATGTACAAATAAACATATGCACATAAGTATGTATTCAATTTTCTTTTCTTTTCTTTCTTTTTCTTTCTTTCTTTCTTTTTTTTTTTTTTTTTGACAGAGTCTCGCTCTGTTGCCCAGGCTTCAGTGCAGTGGTGTGATCTCACCTCACTGCAACCTCCACCTCTCAGACTCAAGTGATTCTCCTGCCGCAGCCTCCTGAGTAGCTGGGATTACAGGCACGAGCCACCACGCCCAGCTAATTTTTGTATTTTTAGTAGAGACGGGGTTTCACCATGTTGGCCAGGCTAGTCTCGAATTCCTGACCTCGTGATTCACCTGCTTCGGCCTCCCAAAGTGTTGGGATTACAGGTGTGAGCCACCGTGCCCAGCCTAATTTTTTATTTATATCCAATGTATTCTGATATATTTTTGACTGGGAAGTTATGGGGTTAATCATCATCCTTCACCCCAATTCCTGATCTTGTCTTTTTCTTTTTCTGTGTAAATATCGGCACAGTATTACATTGGATGGCTGTATTATTTACTTAACCAGTCTACCATACAAATATTTAGTTTGTTTCAGTTTTCTCTTACAAACAATGTGGTAATGAATATTCTTATGTACATGTTTAGTGTACTATTGTGAATATATGTATAAATTCTCAGTAACGGAATTGCTGGGTCGAGAGGAATGCACATTTCCAATTTTGATAGGTATTGTCAAATTGTTCATTTAAAAGTAGACCACTACCACTTCTGGTAATGTTGATAGTGTTGAAGAGTGGCAGATTGCCCACGGCAGGGCCAATACCAAATATTAACAAGCTTCTAAGTTTCACTTATGTGTTAACTGAGAATCGATATCTCATCTACACTTACATAATTAGGAGTGAAGTTAACTATGTTTTCATGTGTTTATTTTTCTGTAAACTTCACATTCATATCCTTTCCAGATTTCCATCTTGAATTACTCAATGTGATTGCATTCTCTATTGCTAATTTTTCCTTGGATTTTTTTGTTTTTTTCTTTTGACTTTATTTATTTGAATCATCTAATGTTCAGAGTTTTGTTTTGTTTTTTTTTTTTTTTAGACGGAGTCTAACTTTGTTGCTCAGGGGCTGGAGTGTAGTGGCTCGATCTCGACTCACTGCAACCTCCACCTCCCAGGTTCAAGTGATTCTCCTGCCTCAGCCTCCCGAGTAGCTGGGATTACAGGTGCCTGCCACCATACCCAGCTAATTTTTTGTATTTTATTAGTAGAGACAGGGTTTCACCACGTTGGCCATGCAGATCTCGAACTCCTGACCTCATGATTTGCCTGCCTCGGCCTCCCAAAGTGCTGGGATTACAGGCGTGAGCCACCGCGCTCAGCCCAGAAATTCTTGATTTTAGGCTTTGCATGCTTAAGAATGCATTCCCTGGCCCAAAATTATATTCATTTTAAAATCTATTTTAAAGTTCTACACAATTGCCACAGGCTGTCTTGAAGATTAAGCTGAATTTCTACAGCCCCTAACCCCCATTGAGACATCATAGCTTCAACAAAATGCTGACAGTTGATCTGCCTTTTGTCAGTCCTAGCTGAAATTTCCCCCTACTCACAAATTCAGCCAAAAAAAAAAAAAAGCCAATATACCTGAGGTTAATTCAACTGATTTTCCCCCCTGGTTCCAAAGTTTTTGCCTGGGTTATTGATTTTTTTTTTTTTTTTTTTTGAGACGGAGTCTCGCTCTGTCGCCCAGGCTGGAGTGCAGTGGCGGGATCTCGGCTCACTGCAAGCTCCGCCTCCCGGGTTCACGCCATTCTCCTGCCTCAGCCTCCCAAGTAGCTGGGACTACAGGCGCCCACCACTACGCCCGGCTAATTTTTTGTATTTTTAGTAGAGACGGGGTTTCACCGTTTTAGCCGGGATGGTCTCGATCTCCTGACCTCGTGATCCGCCCGCCTCGGCCTCCCAAAGTGCTGGGATTACAGGCGTGAGCCACCGCGCCCGGCCTGATTTTTTTTTTAACATCTTTATACAATCTGGATTGAAGAAGACATCCCATCAATTCAGACATCCAGTTCTAATTAAAATCTTGCTCTTAAAACATGAGAATCTATTTGAATGCTTTTTCGAAAGCTTTCAGACACAATGATTTCCTTGGTAGTCTTTGGCCTTCTGTGTGCAGCACCATCAGCTGACCTATTCCTAAGAGTAGCTGGGATTTTTCTGATGGCTTATGAACTAGCTTATACTTTATGTGTGTGTGGTGCAGGGGAGGGATGGGCAAAATGGGGGTGAGCTGCACAGGTGACTATTAAAGGGAACTGCAGCTGTGTAAGCCTGAAGAAATTCAGTATTTCTAAAACTCCCAACATCATGGGACTTCTCTCCATGATTTTTAAGTAGGAGTACAAGGAAATCGGAGAGGACAAACAAATTGAAAAACATTTTATGCTCATGGATAAGAAGAATCAATATCAGGAAAATGGCCATACTGCCTGATATGGTTTGACTGTGTCCCCACCCAAATCTCAACTTGAATTGTATCCCCCAGAATTCCCATGTGTTGTGGGAGGGACCCAGGGGGAAGTAATTGAATCATGGGGGCCAGTCTTTCCCGTGCTATATTCATGATAGTGAATAAGTCTCACGAGAACTGATGGGTTTATCAGGAGTTTCTGCTTTTGCTTCTTCCTCACTTCTCTCTTGCTGCTGCATGTTAGAAGTGCCTTTCACCTCCCGCCATAATTCCGAGGCCTCCCCAGGTATGTGGAACTGTAAGTCCAATTAAACCACATGAAAATGAACTAATAAACTGCCCAAAGCCGTTATAGATTCAATGCTATTCTCATTAAACTACCATTGACATTCTTTACAGAATTAGAAAAATCTATTTTAAAATTCATATGGAACCAAAAAAAGAGCCTGTGTAGCCAAGACAATCCTAAGCAAAAAGAACAAAGCTGGAGGCATCACACTACCCGACTTCAAATGATACTATAAAATAAATTTACAGTAACCAAAACAGCATGGTACTGGTACAAAAGCAGACATATAGAAAAATGGAACAGAATAGAGAACTCAGAAATAAGTCCACACGTATACATCCATCTGATCTTTGACAAACTTGACAAAAACAAGCAATGTGGAAAGGATTCCCTATTTAATAAATGGTGCTGGGAGAACTGGTTAGCCATATGCAGAAGATTGAATCTAGACCCCTTCCTTACACTTTATACAAAAAATTAACTCAAGATGAATTAAAGACTTAAATGTAAAACCCAAAACTATAAAAACCCTAGAAGAAAATCCAGGCTATGCCATTCAGGACACAGTCAGGGGCAAAGATTTCATGGCCAAAAAGTTAAAAGCAGTTGCAACAAAAGACAAAATTGACAAATGGGATCTAATTAAAGTAAAGAGCTTCTGCACAGCAAAAGAAACTATCATCAGAGCAAACAGACAAACTGCAGAATGGGAGAAAAATTTTGCAATCTATCCATCTGACAAAGGTCTAATATCCACAGTCTACAAGGAATTTAAATTTACAAGATTAAAAACAACCCCATTAAAAAGTGGGCAAAGGACATGAACAGACACTTCTCAAAGAAGACATTTATGCAACAAACATGTGAAAAAAAGCTCAACATCACTGATAATCAGAGAATGTGAATCAAAACCACAATAAGATACCATTTCAAGCCAATCAGAATGGCCATTATGAAATAGTCAAGAAACAGCAGATACTGGCGAGGCTACAGAGAGAGGAATGTTTTTACATTGTTGGTGGGAATGTAAATTAGTTCAACCATTGTGGAAGACAGTGTGGCGATTCCTCAAAGATCTAGAACCAGCAATACCATTTGACCCAGCAATCCCATTACTGGGTATATATCCAAAGGATTATAAATCATTCAATTGTAAAGATACACGCACATGTATATTTATTGCAGCACTATTCACAATAGCAAAGACATGGAATCAACCCAAATGCCCGTCAATAACAGACTGGATAAAGAAAATGTGGTACATGTACACCATGGAATACTATGCAGCCATAAAAAGGAATGAGTTCATGTCCTTTGCAGGGACATGGAAGGAGCTGGAAGCCATCATCCTTAGCAAACACAGGAACAGAAAACCAAACACTGCACGTGTTTGGGAGCCGAACAATGAGAACACATGGACACATAGAGGGAAACAACATACACTGGGGCCTATCAGTGGTGGGGAGGGGGTGGGAGGGTGATCATCAGGAAAAATAGCTAACGCATGCTGGACTTAATACTTAGGTGATGGCTTGATGGGTGCAGCAAACCACCATGCCACACATTTTCCTATATAATAAACCTGAACATCTTGCACATGTACCCCGGAACTTAAAATCAAATTTCAAAAATAAAAAAAGAAAAGTCCTCAAAAAATTACACTATGATTCAGCATCAAAATGAAAGTTATTTCATAAGCAGGAAGGCATGAAAGCAAAGTGGAAGGAACTAAATTTGATTTTGGTGATACAAATTTTCTTTTTGTCTTGGAGAAATGATCGGTTTTCTATTTTCTTGCAAAGCAGCAACCAGGTGATTTATAGAACCCAAGAAGAAAGACACTCACAAGTGGATGAAGGGTGCTGTTTTGTTACTAAGAAATGTGCAAAAAAAAAAAATTCCTATAATAGGCCAATAAAGCAACAAATTTGTTCCTGGGTCAGTTAGGGAGAGACGGTAGGCTGGGGACAAAGCTAGGGTGGAGAGGTAACCCGGCTCTGGGGACTGAGACTGCCATGTCTGCTGTACTGACTTCTGATCCAGTCCAGTCCTGCTAAAGCAAAGGGCATGGAGAGATCAAGAAGGCCCCATAGGTGCCTGGGACTCTCCACTGTCCCTCTCAATGGCCAAAGCACCTCTGAGTGACAGGAGGAGGAATGGTGGTTAGCGAGAGGGCACAAATGGGCAGATTGGTGCCACCACTTAATTAGCATTTTTTCTGTTATCTGGAACTTGCCCTGGTCACTTGGGAGACTTGAGCAGAAGAGAATCCTTGTCTTGGCATTTCACAAAATGACTTTGTTTTTTCTGAATGAGGTCTCTGGTGATGAAGGGAAAGGGATACAGTCAGAATTCCTTTTTTAAAAAAATTTACATTTCAGAGACGGGGTCTCACTCTGTCATTCAGGCTGGAGTGCAATTGCATGATCATAACTCACTACAGCCTCAGACTCCTGGGCTCAAGCAATCCTCCTGCCTCAGTCTCCAGAGTAGCTGTGACTACAGGCACTCACCAACATGCCAGCCCAGAATTCCTTTTACTTTTAATTTTGTGGAGACAAGGTTTCACTGTATTGCCCAGGCTGGTCTTAAACTCCTGGCTCAAGTGATCCTCCATCCTCAGCTTCCCAAAGTGCTGGGATTACAGCCATGAACCACCCTCCCCAACCCAGAATTCCTTTAAAGTCATGAAGGATTAAAGGAAGAACTAGGATTGGCCCCTCTTTTCTATGGGCTTTGACTCAACCTTCAGCCTGGGTGTTGGGTCTCCGTGCATGAAGGACTCCGAATTCACAAGGCAGCCCTGCCTTCTCTTTCTCCTCCAGCTGCATTTTCCCAGTGCCCTCTGGGCTGGCCCCAAATCTCTGACCCAAGGGGAATCTGGATGCCCTCTGGACTGGTCCAAAATCTCTGACCCAGCAAAGTGAGGAAGGGGATTTTTAGCAACTGGAGTCCACAGTTCCATCTGCAGAGATTTTTAAGGCATGAGCCTGTGGTCTCTGTGATAAGAAACCATTTCATGCCCCTTCACTTAAAATCCAATTAAGTATCTCTCTCAATTCTTCCTGTGTAATATCTGCCTGATGATAATAATAGTAATAATAGTATTTATTGAGTTCTTACTATGTGCCAGGGATATGTATTTCATGTATATGTCTCATTGAATACTTACCATAGTCATGGAAGGTAAGTATTATTACCTGAACTTTACAAATTAGGAAACTTAGGCTCAAGTTCACCCATGAAGGAAGGGGCAGAAACAGGATTCAAACTCCAGGTTCTATGGCTAGAAACCTCCTTTTCTTACCTACTACTCACGGTGCATTTCTCTGAACAAAGACCCCTGACTACCATCTATCCTTATCTTTCCAATCCTTCTACTTTTGTTTTATTCCTGTTCCTAGGGCTGGCCTCCTCTGTCCCCTTCCAACCTATATACCACGTAGACCATCAAAGAGCTGCTGCATGGTTCTCCCCTTGTCTCCTGTGTGACTCCTACCATCCTGTAACCTTTTGTCTTCCATAACTCCCTGGGTCTCCCATAACCCCCTGTGTCCCCCATGATCTTCTGTGCCTCCCACATCCCCTGTGCCTCTCACTATTCCCTGGCCTACAGTAGGGCATTCTGCTGGTCTGACTCTCATGATCCCCTTTGCTTCCCACAATCTCCTGTGCCACCCATGATCCTCTGTGCCTCCCACAATCTACTATGTCCACAGTTAGCAGATAGTGTCCCCTAAGTACCCCCTTGGTTCCACTGGTTCTCCATGGCTGACTGAATTAGCCCTTCTCCTTAGCCTGGCCACCAAGGGACAGTGGGACCTGTGCTAGTGAACTCCTGGGTAGGGCCTAAGCTCAGAACCGGGTTCTAGGACTGTCTTCAGTAGAGGCATGGCTAAGGTGCTGTCTCAGTCCCTGCTCTGTCACCAAGTCCCATCTCTGGCATTCACTGTCTTGTTTGTGTGTGTGTTTCTCAAACACGCCATGAGTGAATGATTCTGAAGTCTTATCTCCTCAATCCCATGCTGAGCTCCTTTGGGCCTTGCCCCTTGTCTGATGTGAGCAGTCAGCAGCATCTATGTCTTGTGCTCAGTGTGAACACTGCCAGACTGGAATTGTGTCTTAACCACACTAATCCCCCAGCTTGACATTTGGACCTTAGGAGGTGATGCAGAAATTGAAGCGGGGCAAGAGTAAAAGAGGGGCAAAGGGGACAGCATGCTACTCTCTCAGGAGTCAGGTGTGACCTTAAGACCATTGATCAAAGAACTAGTTTGGCATCTGGCTCAGTAAATTCCAGAGGAATCAGTGGCTGCATGATGGAAGACAAACTGCACGCCGATTCTATTCTCTGCCTGAGTCTAAAACAAAAGTGAAACAGAAAGCAGTTGCTCCCAGGACAGAAAGCAAGTTAATTAAGTTGATGTTCAAACGATTCTTTATACTAAACACTTTTAATTCAGGATAAATCTTGGCTGAGTTTATCAGTGGCTAAGTGTGCAGGTAGGGGACATTGAAGAGGAAATGACAAGCGTACAGAAAGTTTTGTTGGAAGGAGCTATTGGACAGATCTGGGGGGTACCCAGGTTGGAGGGGAGTGCAGTAAATGCCTCTGTGTGTAAGACAATGGGGGGGAAGATAATGGCGTGGGGGACAAGGAGACAAGGGGAAGAAAGTGACCTGCACCGGAAGATGGGGGAGTGCTTCTTGAGAGAACTCTCCATCAAAGTGGGGACTATGAGAATTACATTCAGAATGATGGGCACACAAGCCCCAATGCATCAGAGAAACAATACCCAAGACTTACACCTGAACTTCCCAGCCTAACACTGGACTTACAGGAAGACAGAGGGAACATTATTACTGTGATCAAATGGCTCAGAATTTCCTGCCAGGTCCCATTTCAAAAACACTAAGCAAAGAGCTATGTTGCTTTGCGAATTATTTCACAGAGCTGACCTTAGCCTGCAAGAAAATTATAGCAGAGACCACCAACTTGGGGTGTGTTTGAGATTGTCCAGAGTATGTGGTTCCTTTAACCCTTAAACATCCCAGATGCTTTTGAGATTACCCTGAAAAGCCTCATGAGGCTCCTGGGGAGGCTGGGGAGTGGGGAGGGAGAATTTTGTGATGCTAGCCCAAGTCCTGGTAGAGAGCTACCTAGGATAGAGCATGAACAAATGAATGAATGTATCCACTAAGTCCTTTCTTCAAGTGGCTTTTCACAAAATGACTTTGCTTTTTCCAAATGAGGTCTCTGATGATCAGGGAAGAGGGGTACAGTCAGAATTCCTTTATTTTAAAAAACTTGTATTTTAGAGACAGGGTCTCTCACTTGTCACCCAGGCTGGAGTGCAATGGTATGATCACAACTCAGTACAGCCTCAGACTCCTGGGCTCAAACAATCTTCCTTCCTCAGTCTCCAGAGTAGCTGGGACTACAGGCACTCACCACCATGCGCAGCCCAGAATTCCTTTTACTTTTAATTTCATAGAGTTGAGGTCTCACTATGTTACCTAGGCTGGTCTTAAACTCCTGGGCTCAAGTGATCTGCCCGCCTCAGCCTCCCAAAGTGCTGGATTACAGGCGTGAACCACCCTACCCAGGCCAGAATTCCTTTAAAGTCATGAAGAGTTAGAAGAAGAACTAAGATTGGCCCCTCTCTTCTGAGGAACTGTGGGCTGTGGCTCAATCTTTGGCCTAGGCGTTGGGTCTTGGTGCGTGAAGGACTCCGTATTCACAAGGTAGCTCTCCCTTCTCCTTCTCAGGACAGGAGGCCCAGAGTTTTGCTGCCACAGAGGTCTGTTCTCAGGGGTCCTGCACAAGCTCTGGCAGAGACCTGCTCTCTTCTTCTGTGTTCTTATGCTCACTTTGAGCAAAAATGCTCAAGGTGATAAGATGGTGATTTTAGAGCACAATGATAGAACACCTGGGGAAAGAACATGGACAAGTTGGAAGAGGAGCGACTCCAAAGTTTGGCAATGGAGCCCGGAGTTTTGAACTCCTCTTGGAAAAGTGAGGTCCTGGGCATTGGAGCCTGGCTTCCTTAGCATGTATGTGGCAGGGAGAGCTGCAGAGGGCAGTGAGTCGCCTTTAGAAAAGTGTCCTTCAAGTCCTGGCTTGACACATGGTACCAGCTGTGCCTTTGACCTGTTTCTTTATTTTAAAATTGAAATAAGAATAATCAAAGATGTTTTCAGGATTCAATAATAATAACACTTAGTAGTGTTTACCCTAGGCTGGGCACTATTCTAAGTCTATGTATATTAATTCATATAATCCTCATAGTGACCTTAGGAAGCAGGTACTACTATTAACATAAATTTATAAATGGAGGCACAAATAGGTTAAGTACCTTGTTCAAGTTCCTACAGCTAGTGAGTGGGAGAGCTGGGGTCTGAACCTAGACAGTCTAGCTCCAAGGTCGATGCTGTTAACAACTAGCCAGTTGTTTGTCAAATATAAAGGGGGGCAGAGAGTAAGAGGCATTCAAATTAAATTCCTTCATTTTCAAACAAATAATTTTCCCCACGTTTTAACATCTCTATAATCTGCATACGGGTTTTCACCATGTTAGCCAGGCTGGTCTCAAAATCCTGACCACAAATGATCTGCCCATCTCAGCCTCCCAAAGTGCTGGGATTATAGGCATGAGCCACCGCGCCTGGCCAGTTTACTCTTTAACCTTCTCTCCTTTCTTCTCAAATCCTCCTTCCATGGGGCGTTGCTTAATCACACTATCTGGAGTCTTTCCCCAGACCTCGCTATCTGCTTGTCTGCTTTTCTTTATTTTGTGGATTGATTGTCCGCTCCTTCTGGATGTGAGCTCTAGGAGGGAAGGCATTTTAGTCTGGTTGTGTTTCTTATTTGTTAGTTTTGCTGCTGTACACCCGGTATCTAGAATAGATATCAGACACCTCGGACATGGTGGCCCCCAACAAATAGTCCTTCTATGAATGAAAGAATGAGGAATGAGGACTCGTTGGAGATTCTTGCTTGGTGTTTAAAGAAGGTTCAGTCTGAGATTATTTGCTCATCCTTAGAAGCAGGAGGCCGTGGAGAGAGGGAGGCGAGGTGGAAGGTCCACGGGCCTGCATTCTAGGCCTTCGCTCATTAGAAATCCAAGGGCAGTGGCCAATCTCTGGAAAAACTATGACAGAAGAATAACATTTGACAGAATGCCAGAGAGCATCTAGATAAATTTTGTCAATTAAAAAAATGAGGAAAGAAAAAAACAAATGCAAGCACAAATTTTGACTAAATCCTAGGTTTAAAAAAAAACTGCTATTAAAGAGAATTGGGGGATAATTGGGAAATTTGAAACTAAGTTCAATGGACCGAGCATGGTGGTTCACGCCTGTAATCCCAGCACTTTAGGAGGCCGAGGCAGGTGGATCACTTGAGGCCAGGAGTTTGAGACCAGCCTGGCCAACATGGGGAAACCCTGTCTCTACTAAAAAAATACAAAAATTAGCCAGGCATGGTGGTGTGCACCTGTACTCCCAGATACTCAGGAGGTTGAGGCAGGAGAATCACTTGAACCTGGAGGAAGAGGTTGCGATGAGCCAAGATCGCGCCACTGCACTCCAGCCTAGGTGACAGAGCGAGACTCTGTCTCAAGGCAAAAAAAGAAAGAAAAAGGAAATAAGCTAAATAGTGCTATTAGAGAATTACTGTAAACTTAGCTCTGATAATGGTACGCAGGTTAAGTAGAGTACTCCTAAATTCTTTGGGGATGTGTGCTGAAGTGTTTAGGGGAGAAATATCACCATGTGCACAATTTATTTTCAACTGCCTTCTGAGAGTGGGCACCGCTCATTCATATGATGACTCTCTCCCATGATCACTGCAATCAAGCCCCTGCACCTATGCACCACCAGTGTTCTGAGCCTGTCTCCAGCCATAAGAAGAGGAACTTTTGTGGGAGAAGGTGATGCGTGTGTAAATGCAGAGATGAAACCAAGACTCGCTGTCAACACTCTGTTTTCACTTGGGTCCTGGCTTGTGACATTGGGTTGAAAGTGATTTTGATTCTCTTAATAACAAATCTGAGGCTGCAGCAACCCAGCTTCCTTCCAGCCCCACTGGGCTTGGCATGGTCCCTGCACATGGCAAATTAGGATCCTTTGTTCTCTTTACTGGTAAATAACCAGTTAGTCCGTACAGTCCATGCCCTTTGTCATTTCTCTATATCTAACTTTGTTTTTTCCTATTTACTTATTTCTTATTTTTAGAGACAGTGGACTCGCTATGTTGTCCAGGCTGGACTCAAACTCCTGAGCTCAAGGGACCCTCTTGCCTCAGTCTCTTGAACTAGTCATGATTAAAGATGAATTCATCTCCCGTTTCACTTAAGGTTTGAGAGCAAATGACAAGCAAGTATTCTCAGCTTTACTACACAGAGAGGAAACTAAAGCCTCAGAAATATGAAGTTATTTTTGTCCAAAGGCAAAAATCCAAATGACAAAGAGTCTTGAATGAGACCCAGGATCCCCAGTCCCCAAACTTCAGCATTCCTCATGGCAAAAGTTTGGCATTCTTCATTGGAACTGATTACTTTTTTTCCCCCCATTTAACAAAGCCTGCAGCTCATGGCAGGAAGATGAGAAAACCATGGAGCGAATCACCCACAATGATTGGAGCCTGCTTCCAGCTGCAGCTAGTGGAAAGTTACCTGATTTTCACTGTTGGTGAAGCCCAGTCTTGCAGCCTGTATCTGAATATACACATTAGGGATTGAGACATTCTAAATTAAACTTCAACCTTCCAAGATTCACATCTACCTTATTTTTTAAAAAGGCACTCATCTTTATTTCTTAAAAAATAAAAAGTCATGGACAGAGTCTTATTCTAGTGCCCAGGCTGCAGTGCAGTGGCACGATCTCGGCTTACTGCAACCCCCACCTCCCAGGCTCAAGCAATCCTCCTGCCTCAGCCTCCCAAGTAGCTGGGACTACAGGTACATGCCACCATGTCCAGCTAATTTTTGTAGCTTTTGTAGAGACAGGACCTTGCTATGTTGCTCAGGCTGGTCTCAAACTCCTGAGCTCAATCAATCCGCCCACCTCGGCCTACCAAAGTGCTGGGATTATAGGTGTGAGCCACTGTGCCTGGCCAAAAAATCACTTTTATAGGCAGCTGAGGTAGAGTTGTGTGATTTGCCAGAAGTTTGATAAACATTCATCGTGTCTCTGAAATTCAGAATCCTTGCAAGTACCGTGGCTAGGAATGTAAAGAAAATCATCTGAAAGCTGAACATGTGTCTTCATCCTGGTTTTCTAAATGAAGGGAAAACCATATCAGCAAAAATGCTGATGAAAGTGACCTGGAAAATGTGGGACGAGGCCTGGGGGTGGGAGGGGTTTATCCTGCCCTTTGAAAGAACGTCTTTGAAAGAACGTCTTTCTTTCAAAGGGCAGGACAACGGGGAGCCCTGAGGAATCTGTTTCACTTTAAAGGAGAAAAAACAACAGTTTTTTCTTCTTTAAAAAGGCACTCACCTTTATTTCTTAAAAAATGAAAAGTCACTTTTTTCTTTCTTTCCCAGACAGAGTCTTATTCTAGTGCCCAGGCTGAAAAAAAGCGCTGTGCACTTTTCAGAATTTCTTTTCAGAATTAGGATGGCTGAAATCAGGAGAAGCAACTTTAAAAGTGCACAGCAAGTTTGCAAAGGCAGTGCCAACACTGCAGCGCCAGAAATGTGACCATAAAAAAAAATCCCATTGACACCATATTTATCCACCGACGCTGCGGAGCACAGGGCTTTGGCGATTTCCAGAGAGCCCTCGGGATGTTTTTCTCGCCTCGGGGTGCACTGTTTGGGCTCTTCCCATAGGAACTGAAGGCCAGTCCCTCAGCCCTGTGGGAGGGCCCTGTCTTCTGTAGGGCCAAGTGTGCAGGATCTCTCAGGTAGTCATAGGCAACCTGAAGGAACTTAGTCCCCCCAGGACCCTAGGGAGCATGCCAGGAACAAACAGTGGTGCCCACTCACTGGGCCCATTTCTTGAGTTCAGCTCTTTGACAAGAAAAAAAAAGGCCATTAGTATATTTTTTCATTTTTACCTGAAAAGAAATATGACAACTAACAGGAAGTATGACACTATCAGGATGACAATACCTGCTAGTGAAATTAAGGCCACCCAGCTCCTCAGATCATCATCAACTGGAATGACCAGACCTCACTTCAGCTTGCATTTGTGTTTACTAGAGAGAGCAACGAGGAGTTTCCTTTTAAAGAATAAGAAGGCAAAATAGCAATGTGGTGTGAAATCTCATCTCTACAAAAAAGTACAAAAATTAGTCAGGTGTGGGCACCTGTATCCCAGCTACTGGGGAGACTGAGGCAGGGGGATCCCTTGAGCCCAGAAGGTCGAGGCTGCAGTGAGCTGTGATCATGTCACTGCACTCCTGCCTGGGTAACAGATTGAGACCCTGCCTCAAAAAAAAAAAAAAAAAAAAAAAAAAAGAAAAGAAAGGAAAGGAAGGAATGAAGGAATGAGAGAGAGAGAGAGAGACAGATTGAGAAAGTTGAAAGAAAGACGAAAGAAAGAAAGAAAGAAAGAAAGAAAGAAAGACGAAAGAAAGAAAGAAAGAAAGAAAGAAAGAAAGAAAGAAAGAAAGAAAGAAAGAAAAGAAAAGAAAAGAAAGGAGGGAGGGAGGGAAGGAAGGAAGGAAGGAATGGAAGGAAGCAAGGAAAAGAAAGAAAGAAAAACAAAATAACAAAATGACCTGAGAAGGAAAAGAAATAATCAGAGACATTAAAAATAATCGCCGGCGGATGGGTCTGGTGGCTCATGCCTGTAATCCCAGCACTTTGGGAGGCCAAGGCGGGAGGATCACCTGAGGTCAGGAGTTTGGGACCAGCCTAGTCAACATGGTGAAACCCCGTCTCTACTAAAAATACAAAAATTAGCCGGGCGTGGTGGCGGGCACCTGTAGTCCCAGCTACCCAGGAGGCTGAGGCAGGAGAATCGCTTGAATCCGGGAGGCGGAGGTTGCAGTGAGCCAAGATCACGCCACTGCACTCCAGCCCGGGCAACTGAGCGAGACTCCATTTCAAAAAAATAAGTAAATAAAAAATAAAAAGCAATAATAATAGCCGACAACAGAATACAGCTAGGCCGAGCAGCAGCCTCCTCTGCTGTCCGTGCGGCTCGCCTGTTGCCTGCTTCACTGCCTGACTGTGGGCTCTGTTTGTCTTGGTCCCCGTGGCATTACCAGAGCTTAGCAGATAAGGAGGAGCTTCATACATAATTGTTGGCGTGAACAAAGGAATGCATGGTTAACTACGTCAGAAATGACCAGTTCAAGAGGAGAATGAGATTGGCTTCCAAATGTTGGTCAAGAGCTCTACGTAGCATGAGCCAAGGATCTATTGAACTTAGTAGGCTCCTGTGACCGGTGACTCTTCTGTCTCTAGAAATCTGGGGAGGTGACCAGGTCATACATGGCAGTCTTCCCGTGAGGAACGTTAAACTGGTTGGAAGTTGGGGTTCTGAGGGGAAGATGTATTCACTAGGTGACCTGTCTTCTCTGCCTCGGTGGCCTCCATGGCTGCCTGCTGGCCGCACACCCCCACTCAGCAGAGGAATGGACTTTCCAATCTTGCTGAGTGTGTTTGACCAAAGGTGGTGCTGACTTAGTGGCCTAAGGTCGTGCCCTCCCTCCCCCACTGAATCGATAAATAATGCGACTTATCAGAAAGAGAAAGAATTGTTTACTTTTAAACCCTGGATCCCATAAAGGGAGAGGGGAGAGGCCTAAAGCCACAGAAGCTGTGGAAGGCGCCATCCTGCCTGCCACAGGAAGGGCCTTGGACTGAGAGGACCGGAGCTGACTGGGGGTAAGTGCGGCTCTCCCCCGGCGCCTGCCGACCCCCCTGAGTGATCAGGCCGTTCTTTGGGGTGGCCGCTGACCGAGAAATGACGGGAGGCTGCTGACTCCGGTGTTGAAAAAGATGCCACCCAGCGCCTGAGCAACAGGAGGTGTTGAACACACCATAACTTTGTCTTCCATGATTATTCTGTTTCCTCAGAAAGCTTGAGGAAAACTGGAGACTTTCTTTAGAGAGAGTAACAGATGGTTTCCGTTTAAAGAAAAATAACAAAATGGCTTAAGGAGGAAAAGAAATGATCACCCTGCAGAGGGAGAGAGGATGAGGCTGGGGAGGAGCTGAGGGCTCAGGGACGGTGTGGGGTTTTATTTCTGCCCTTGGAGTGGCTGGACATTAAGCCAGTTCTTGTTTTTACGATGGCCTGATTCAGCAATAACACCAAACCTTCAAACAAAATGCCGGCATTAGAGTCGTTCCTTTGGCATGCCTCTGTCCAGGTCATATTGTTCCCTCAATAGCACTAAAAATAGCTGGACACCTGTGCAGAAATGAGACAGTTCCTTAGGAATCCCCAAGCCTCAGCAATTCTCTTTAAAAAGAGTCCGTGGAGGCCCCAACTTGGCTAAAAATGTACCCAGTGATTCCTTCTTCACCACTGATTGGTGAGAAACACAGGCATGAATAGGTGCATGAATAGGGAACTTTCCAGATTTCCCTTCTAGATGGATTTCAATGAGGAAAGAAATGCTGCTTTGCTCCCTGTTGACAAGAACATTCTATTTTAAAATTTCCATGCACTTTCAAAATGACAAGACTCAGAAGCATAATACCAACTTCCTTTGTCATGTAGACTAACAGCCTAAAATAATCAAATGGATGCATTTAACACATCTATTTTAAATGGCAGTAAACGTGGATTCAGAGTAAAAAGCATCTCCACTTATCTTTCACTTTTTAAGAAATTTTTTTTTGGTACTGATGGGTTAGGTTTGCAGCAAGGTGACACTTCACAGTCCCCAAAGCACCCAAACCCCCTATGGGGTTGGCCCTAGAATGCTCTCAGCCCCTGGGAACAACATCTTAAAGCAAAGACAAGCTGCTCGTGCCCAGATCTGACCTGAGAAAGTGAGTGTTGCGATATTCCTGGTACTTGTGAATCTAAGACGTCACGCTGGGAGCTGTGGTGCATACAGAATGCGTACAGAGTGGTGAATTTGCTGGAGGGTCTGGCTTTGTAAAAGCTTCCTCCTTAATGAGCTTTTTTTCTCACTTATGAAAAGAAATGCAGGGCATTAAAAGAGGAGCAAACCAAATCTAGCCTGTTTTTCATACTCACGGATCCAGTGGGAAAGCTGCATTCTGAATTGGCCACAGCAGCTAGAGATGCCTGGAGATTTCATCACTGTTGGGAAGACGAGTGCAGGAAGATGACAGCACACAGAAATTTCGTGTGTGTGTTTTCTTTAGAAATGGGATCTCAAACAACTGGGCTCAAGGGATCCTCCTGCCTAAGACTCCTGAGTAGCTGAGACTCCAGGAGAAATTTAGTATTAATAGACTGCCATTCAGGAATGGCTAGCACTCTACCTTTCTCAGGGAGATCTCAGGAAGTAAGGCATAAAGAGAGATGGTGGGAGATTTATGTGGATGGGATCGGGGCCCAGGGAAGCTAAACAGAATCCCTCAAGGCCTTTTCCACACTGTAGAAAATTGTGCTGGCATTTGGACAAGTCACCCTGCTTAATATCAAACATCTTTGCCTTAAGCATTATTTTTTCAAAGGAAATAACGTGTTAATACTTCCCAACCAGTGTATAATGTTTCTATTTGTTATTAGCTCGTACTATTTAAGTTCAGTTGTTAAGTTTGAAAATACTAGAACATTAAAAATCTGCAGAATGAGAAATTATTTTGTGAATGTTTAAAATATTCAAAAGTGGATCCTGACACTAACCACTTTTAATTTATTTTACTAGCGATATATTATTGGATGACTTTTTTTTTTTAAAAAAAGAAAACCTTCTGCTTGTTTGTTTAAACTGCTTTGTAAATTGACAGTTTAACCACCTCTGCAGAAACAAAGTAGTAATAAAAGATGTTGGCCATTTTAGCAATGTTTAAAAATTGCTCACAAGACAGAAAATGATTGGCACTCAATATGTGTTTAGTGATTGATGCAATAATACCATAAAATTATTGTACTGCATAATAAAGTATTTCACTAATAATTTGCTAAAAAATTAGCCTGAGGCCTGCCACTCAGCACAGCACTAACTTTTCATGCTTGTGACAAGTTGTATATGAGCAGGATGGGTTCCAACCTTCCCAATTTCAGAAGAGTATTTTGCAAGAAGGAATTTGTATTGAGAGTCCAGAAAGAAAATTGCCTAAAAGTTTTTAAATCCTCATTTTTCTCAATAAAAAAGTGCCATATGAATCATAAATTAACAAATGCACACAAAAGGAGAAAATGAAAACAAACCATAATTTCTCTACTGAAAGATAACCATGGTTAACATTTGATGTTTTGGCCTCAGGCATGTATGCATTTTTTCACAGAAAGGGACTCATACTGTGTATATTGTTTTATAAACTGTTTTTTAATTCAATAACATATCTTGAATTTCCAAGTCTACCAGACTTTTCTACAGAATCAATTTAAATAATTATGGTCTATCATAAATATATTACTCTTCTCCTATAGCTGGACATTTAGGTTGTTTCCAATGTTTACCCTTATAAACAATGCCACTATGAGCAACCTTATAGGTAAATCTTTCTACAAATTTTTGACATTTTCCTGGAGATAGATTTCTGGGCCATAGAAATTGAGGTTGATTTGGGGTGGGGGGAGTTGGTAAGATTTACCTGTAAAGGTTGATTTGGGGGGTGGGGAGTTGGTAAGATTTACCTGTAATGCATTAACTTCCTCATCTCTTTTCATCTTCCATCTGTTCCTTCCCTTTTCTGTATTTTGCAGATTATTCAAAGCCAAAAGCCAACAGAGCCCCCATGGAGAAGTGGAGGATGCTCAGATACTGCTATGGAGCCCTGAGAAGTGAAATGGGTCCAAGCCCTTGCCCAGGATAGAGCGCTCCAAGCGCATCCTCCGGGGACCCTTTTAATCAGTGAATTGTTCACCTCTCACTGTTTCTTCCCAGCAGAGCTAAGAGACTTCTAGAGCCTCTTGTGGATGGTCAGCGATAGCCCTGGTATGACCAGGAGGTGGCGATTTCTGTTCTAGGTCCCTCAGCAAAGACTAAGCAGGACAAGCCTGGCTACTGTGTTAGGAGGAGCTGTAGGGAAAGGGAAGGACAAGATGGGCCACCACATGCCTGTGTCCACTGCTGGCCACACCCAGAGTGCTAGGGGTTTGTGGCAGTGACTGGGGCCACCTAGAGCAGTTCTAGGGTTCGTAGTCATTCTCTCTGAGTCATGGAAAACTGCCCAGGAGGCGAGTCCCACCTAAGAGAGTATGTGTAGCACTGGCACGGCCTGCTGCCTTGCAAATGACCACATTTCATGAAAGAAAGCCAGGGCCACAGACAGGAACCAAAGGAAATCAGTCACTTAGGGGAAGATAACGAATCCACAAAGTGAAAAAGGGAAAGAAAAAAAGAGGCAACTTCAACACTCCAACCCATGGGAGCAGAACGACTTTCAGCTTTCGCAGGGGGATAATCACTGCAAGTCCAGCTTGAAGAGGGTGATTTCAGGATCTACATGAGAATAAGGCGCAATTTTTTTTTTTTTTTTCTGAAAAATACGGAAGGGTTCATTTACAGCTGTTAAAGATGGGCCGGTTTTAGGGCTAAAGCAAGACTCTGGTCAGATGTTAACAACTCAGTTATCCTGGGGAAAAAATAACTGGCTCCCAACCCTTTCCCTTTTCAGCATTTGCAGGAAAAGAAGGAGTAGGTAAAATGCTTTATTTCCTCTCATTCTCCATGGTGGGCAGGAGTTCACATAACAATTATAAACCATCTTTAACAGGAAAGCCAAGTAAATCCTGTAGGGATTTATTTGGAGCTCCCTTTTTGCTAGAAAATGAGTATCATGAACTAAAAATGGACTCGTTTCCTCTCTCTCCATCTTCCTCTCTTTCTTCTCTCCCCTCATCTCCCACCCACCGCCATGGTGGAAAATGACTGTGGTCAAGAAGATTGAACATTTGAGCAAGACCAGATGCCTTTATATCCAATAGATGCCACGGAGAGTAGATCACAACACATCTAACTGCTGTATCCCCATATAAAATAATTTTAATTTTCCTAGACTGCAGAATTGATCACATTTACTGATGATGGATTGGGAAGTAGGTGAAGAGGTGAGAGTTGGAGAGTATCCATTCATTCGGCCAGATTATTCTCATTTATAATGTAGTCTTCCAATAAGTATTTATTTCCAGAAATCTATTCCCTCTAGAGATTCTTTCTCTCTCAGCCATTTTAGAAAATTGTTGCAAACAGAGTTCCTGTCCATTTTCACAGGAAGTTTTTGCAGAAGGGGTTTGCTGGGTGGCAGTGGAACACAGGCAGTGGACCCCTCTACTACTCTACTGTTCCAGAACACAGAAGCCTTTCATTGAGAGTGTTCAGCTCTTCCCATTGCTCAAGATGCTTGTACCCGTGATGCTTCTTTTCTCTGCTTAGGTCACAATATGTGGAGCTGACAAGGTTCCCCTATTATCAGTGACAATGGTGGAATGTGGAGGTGAAGTTAACACCTTCGTGGCTACAGAGTTTCCTTAGCAGAGCTGTGGAGTGTGACAATGGTGTTTGTGTCTAAACTATCAAACGCCATTATCACACTAAATAGCTACTGCTAGGCAATCCTTCCCTCGATAAATGTCTTGGCATCGTTTGCTTTGAGCAAGAAGGTTCATCTGATATCAGTCTTCTCAATCTTGTGTACTTACTGAATAAAGTCTGGCTCTTTTGCACTCATAACCAATATGGTTAGCTGAACCCTGCCTCTCACATGCTGTTGTTACATACCTTAGCTGGTGATTAATTTTCTTGTTTTCCCAAGTCAATAAAAAGATTGCAGACCAGGCACGGTGGCTCACGCCTGAAATCCCAGCACTTTGGGAGGCCAAGGCAGGCGGATCACTTGAGCTCAGGAGTTCAAGTCCAGCCTGGGCAGCATGGTGAAACCGTGTCTCTACAAAAACTACAAAAATTAGCCAGGCATGGTGGCATGTGCCTGTAATCTCAGCTACTTGAGAGGCTGAGGTGGGAGGATCAATTGAGCCCACGAGGTTGAGGCTGTAGTGAGCTGTGATGGTACCACTGCACTCCAGCCTGTGTGACAGAGCAAGATCCTGTCTCAAAAAATGAAAATAAAAAGATTGCAGAGTTCCTCAGAGCCCCCAACACAAGGCCAGGCACGAGGTAATCATTTAACCCATGCTTATAGACTTAAAATGAATAGTTAGGAAAGTGTTAGACGCAGAAGGCTAAGACTGGGCTAAATCTATGTTATGCAGACAGACCGCAAGCTTATAGGTACAAAATTAAGGTGTGTGGGTCCTTCTCTTTTCGTCGTTAAAAAATCCAACTTTCTAATAAACTTACACATGGTTTCACTGACGTTTCAGAAATTCTAGAATATGTTTGATTTCTACTGATTTCAATCAATTACTAGGCTGATTACTGAATTCGTACACTAGGCCTTTCTTCCTCTTGCATCAGTGAATTACCATCAGAAAATTGTTTATGAAGCATGTGTGAGCTGCCATAGCAAATCTGGGACCCATGCAGTTTCTAGGACAGTTGGCCCAGCCAGGTGCTCTGGTTTGGAACCCATTCTGTCTCTGAGAGGTGTCTAAAGTCAGGAGTAGGTTTCGTTTGTGCCAGACTAAAGCTTCCCTCCCCAGGC
This sequence comes from Homo sapiens, assembly GCF_000001405.40. NCBI lineage: Eukaryota > Metazoa > Chordata > Mammalia > Primates > Hominidae > Homo > Homo sapiens. The sequence continues at coordinate 58,452,209 of NC_000018.10, forward strand.
TTGGTTAAATGAAGTAGGACATGTTTAATCAAATAGACAGGGTTAGATCAACCATCAGAAACAAATTCAACCATTCAACCATTCACTTATGAAATAAATATGTGTAGAGACTACCGTGTGCCTGACACTGTCCTAGGCATTGAAGACACTTTTAAATTAAATGTGTCTGATGTTATTTCCAGAGATGGGCATTCACTGGCTCGCATTATATTTTGGGACCATTGTAATTGTTCCAAACGGGAGCCAAATGAGCAAAACTTTGCGAAATAATTCTGAGTCCCTTGCTGGAAAGCCTCACCTGAATGCAGCCCACACATTTATGATACACTACAAAGGCTTCAAGGTCATGAGATGCCTCTGTCCAAAGAAGAAGAAGAGCACCCCTGCCTGCCCTGCATCTCTTACCACCTCTCATTTCTTCCCTCCTGGCACCATCTACTGTCAAGAAGAGAATCAGACTCCCTGAAATAATTGAGACACTGACATTCCTTTTTGTGTGTATTTTTTTGGCAAAGGCTCTAATTGAACAGGCATTAATAGAGGGCTCTACTGTTATACAGATCACGCTCATGCACACTGTATTAGTCTGTGTTTTCATGCTGCTGACAAAGACATACCCGAGACTGGGAAGAAAAAGAGGTTTAATTGGACTTACAGTTCCACATGGCTAGGGAGACCTCAGAATCATGGCGGGAGATGAAAGGCACTTCTTACGTGGCATCAGCAATAGAAAATGAGGAAAAAGCCAAAGTGGAAACCCCTGATAAACCCATCAGATCTCGTGAGACTTATTCACTATCATGAGAATAGCAGGGGAAAGACTGACCCCCATGATTCAATTACCTTTCCCTGGGTCCCTCCCACAGCACGTGGGAATTCTGTGCGATACAATTGAAGCCGAGATCTGGATGGGGACTCAGCCAAACCATATCACATGCCATTTCATTTGATCCATACAACATGGGGCAAAGATGATCGGTTTGACAAACAGAGTCTAAAGGGTTCTGGAATCGTCTGGTCCTCCAGCCACAACTCAACATGGATCTCTTAAGTCTAAAGTTCTGTCCTGTACCTGCAGCCTCCTTTGGCCTAGTTATTTTGTGAAATCTCATGCTTCACAGTCGAATCTGTGTAGAACCTGGGTTAATCACGCCAGTATGCGATCAATATCCTCATCTCCCCATCTGCTTTGTCAGTGGATTCTGAGGGAAAACCTGTAAATTAGAGAGGGATGAGCCATATAAGAATGTCTCCTTGTGAGTGTTCATTGTGCAGAGAAAGCTGAAAATTGCAAAACCCTGTAATCATGAAATGAAAGAGAAGGAACATCTAAGTGGTAGCTTTGGGGTCAGGAAGAGGGTAGACAAACTGTCCCAACACCAAGCAGCCATCTACATGACCCAGCCACCTGATGTGGCACCAAATGACCCAGAGTCTTGAGGTTCTGAACTGTTCCCAGACTCGGGGACAATGTGAGGACTGGGTCTTCCATGCTCCTTTTCACTCCCACTCACCCTGAGATTTTTCTCAGGTGGAATTAAACAGGGAGCCAAGTGAATAGCATTCTGTGTCTTTTCTGCTAGGTTGGCTCATTTAATGGCTTATTATGATTGCTGCCTGGATTCGTTTTGCATTCGGGATTGGAGACCTGTCATTTCTGTAGATCTCTAAGGAACACACATAGAAGGCAAAGCTTCCCTCTCCCCTTTCTACCTCTAATTACAATCCTGCTGCTCCAAATCTCTGATGATGGCATCTTCCCAGACCAGCTTTTATCTCCCCTTCCCTCCCCAGGATGATTACTGCCAGTCATTTCCAATAAAGCATTCCTGGGGACAGGTACTGACTCTGAATATGGTTTGCAAGATGAAAGGGTTCACTTGGACGTGCAGTTAAAAATCACACTCGTGCTGGGGAGGCAGCAGAGAACACAGTCACCTTGACATGTTTTCTTCCCCGGGAGACAAGCCACTTGAGTCTAGCTTTGCTTTGTGGATCACACCATGGAGTCCTGATGAATCCTTTCATCTTAGTACAATGTGTACTTTGAATGTGAAAGTTGCCACTTGCAGCCTGTCCAGTGTTCTATCCAGCCCCAGAGGAAGTTTTGTGAAATAACATGGCAGTTAGCATGTATCGATGGCTTATCTACATATTTTTATGAACTCTTCTTAAACCTATATTTTCTGATTCAATACTTCATTGAATCAGAAGACAAAGGAATGCTAGAACTGGAAAGCAGTCTACTCTTTGTTCTGATGAGGAAATCGAAGCCTAGGTCTTCTAGAATTTACTAGACAGGTCCACATTCACAGTCCCCTCCCCTGCCTCATCAGCCATTCCCTGAGCAGACATGGGTTGTATGTTTCTATGTGCCAGGTGTTCTACTGGGATCTGGGGATCCAAAGAAGAATGAGGTCAGGTCCTTTCCCTGAGCTATTCTCAATGTAGGAGTTGCACAGAGGCTTAAACAAAGACATGTATGCCTCCGCGTACTAGATGCCGGCACAGAGGCAGAGACAGCGTACCAAGAGGCCTTACTTATGCCCTTGTTTTCTTTCCAGGTGAAGAAACACTGAGTCTTTGATGTTATGATCCTTTTTGTTACTGTTGGGAAAACATTCCTTCTGGTTTATTTTGGTGATTCAACTTCCAACAAGTTATGGATAAAAGGCGTTTCTTTGTTTTGGGAGACAACGCTGTCATAGCATTGTCTCCCAACGTCTTCCTGCTTTCACTTTGCCACTTGCCAGCATAATGAGCAGCTCAGCATCTGTTGAGGGACTGGGAGTGGATGGTACACTTTCCAGGAATGTTGTGGAGAATTTTAATTTCTCCAAGGATCTGGGAGAAATGTTAGCTGGTTGTTCTTCAAAATGCAGGCTGGGTTAATGCTGTTTCCTTCATTGCTGCCTCACAAAAAGCCTCCTCCAAGGTCACCTCACTGCTCCTCAGTTTCCCTTCCTTTGGGACAGGCTCAGGAAAGCCGCTCAGTGTAAATCTGTGGCGGAAGCCCCCAGGCCTTGTGAAGAGGTAGCAGAATGGGGGCATCTGCTTTCTTCTCTTTGATATCCAAGTTTCTAAAAGGAAGAAAAGGGAGAATTACAAAGCACATGCAAGCTCACAAAAATGTAGATGGCTACTGAGGATCCTAAAGGGCCTGATCACAATTCCTCCCTTAATTTAGGGAGCCAAGTGCTTCCCAATGTGCTCTGGAAAAAACATGTGACACAAACATGCACTTAGGATATCTAAACACTGTGCATAGGATGCAAAAATGAGTCAGACTCTCGCATTCACTCCTGCACGCATTCGTCTACTCAATCAACATTCAATTGTGCGTTCCTACTGAGTGCCAGGCATCATGCTAGTCACTGACAATTCACAGAGGTGATGCTCTCCCCAGAACCTAGTTGCTTCCAGCTCAGTGAGGACACACACAGGCAAATGAGTCATGGCTGGGTTGAGCTGCAGGTTCTTTGAAGCAGGTATGGGGTGTACCATGGGGCCCAAAGGAAGAAAACACCGTCCATGGTTTGTGAGAAAGGCATGAATAATACTAAGAGGTGAGCACTCTGGCACTTGTGGTGACCCTGGCAGCCCTCCAATGAAGGAGAACGTTGTGACCTCGGCTAGCAAAGTGTAAAAGTTTTCACTTTGACAGAGGTTGAGTTACATTCAAGTTTCTAAAGCATTCCCCAGCAATTCCCTCCAGACAGCAACTGAGCTATGAATCTGGAATTTATTTGGTAGGGACTTTTCTCTCTCAGAAATGCAGCCAAACACCAAAGAAAAAGATCACCTTTTAAATAAAAGAAGCACATTGTACTATTTGGCAAGTGACTGGGGGCAGGTGTGTGTGTCTGTGTGTTAACGCACATATATGTGAAGAATTTTAATTTCTCAAAGGAGCTGGGTAAGATGCCTTTAATGTTTCATTCGACCGGGACTGTCTCTTCTTTTTCTTTCTTTCAACCAGGGAAAAGCCAATGCTGACCTGCAGCTGGGGCTGAAGTGAGCATTCTCCTATTTACCTTTCAGCCTGAGGCTATACTTTCCTTGGGAGACTGCCCTCGGTACTAGGCTAGGCCCCCCGCACACAATCACATCAATGGTTCAAAAGGGTTTTAGGCCTGCTCCCCAAGTATTCCAGACAGATTGAATAAAGGGCTTCCCCTGATAGCAAAATCCAGCTTTAATTCTGATAAAGTGCTTTATTTTCTGAGACAAGGTTTCGCTCTGTCGCCCAGGCTGGAGTGCACTGGTACGATCTTGGCTCACTGCGGCCTTGACCTAATTTGGGCTCAAGCAATCCTCTTACCTCAGCCTCCTGAGTAGCTGGGACTACGGGCATGCACCGCAAGTCTGACTAATTTTTAATTTTTTTGTAGAGACAGGGTCTCACCGTGTTGTCTAGGCTTGTCTTGAACTCCTGGGCTTAAGTGATCTGCCCATCTCAGCCTCCCAAAGTGCTGAGATTACAGTTGTGAGCCACCACGCCTGGCCAAAGTACATTTTTAAAGGCTTGAGGTGAGAGGGAAAGGAGTGGAAGTGATTGTTCCGTTGAGTGTCTATTGACCCATTAAATACACCAGATAAGAACTAATCTTGTTCTACCCAGAGAACAAGTCTCTTCCTTTTCACTTTTTGGCACATTTAGCGCAGTCAAGAGCTAATTAAAGTCCTTCCCGTTTCTCAGGGCTGCCTGTCTTCCCTGTGGCACATCCTGTTCTGTTTTTTGGCTTGGCTTCCAATTGCAGCTGGATACAAAGAAGTCAGAGGTGATCTCCCACTCGTTTGGATGTGCCAGCTACTATTTTTCTAAATTTCTAGTCCCTCTCATGAGCACTGACAATCTGTGCCTGAGATTTTTCTGGTCTCTGCATAAGTTCAGGATATCTCATATGCGGCCTCTGCTCAGCAATTAGTGGCTAATATTGCTGGGTTGGGTGAAACATGGACACAGGAGCTGTACGTGTCCCCAAAGAAGGAGCTCCAAAAGCCACCCCCAAATGCGGATGGTATATTAGGAAATTTTGTTTGCAAGAGGCAATTTTTTTCTTAGATTATCTCAAATAATTCATTCTCATGACAGTATTTCTTAAACACCTGCTATGTACAAGGCACTGAGCTGGGGTAAGCTTTTTGGAAGGGGCCACATGGCAGGGGGAGAGTAATCACATAGAAACTCACAAATAGTCATAAGGCAGGACCCTGTGGAAAATGCACAGGCAGTCAGGATTCAGGAGCATGTTAGAGATGAGGGCATCTGGTCACCCCAAGACTGCAGCAATCAAGCTGGCCTCCACCGCGATGGTGATTCATTTGCTCCATCTCTCTGTTCTTTCTGCTACCCTAGCTGCCTCCATCCTTGCCGACTATTTCTGCTCACTCTACTGCTGCCTACTCGTGTCCTCTGCTAATCCTGGGGTCCATGGCCCCTGCTGCCTCATGGCCTCTGCCTGCCTCCTTTTGGTGTCCTTTCAGTTTCTTCTTATGAAATCCTAGCCTCCCGAGTAGCTAGGATTACAGGCTCAACACCATGCCTGGTCAGTGTTTTGATTTTTTTTATAGATGGGGTCTCACTGTGTTGCCCAGGCTAGTCTTGAACTCCTGGCCTCAAGCAATCCTCCTGCCTCAGCCTTCCAAAGGCCTGGGATTACAGGCATGAGCCACTGGAGCCCATTTTTAAAACCTAAATTAGATTATGTCACTCTCCTGCTCAAAATCTTTTAATGGTTCCCAGCTCACTGGGAATAAAATTCAAGGATCCCTTCATCCTCTGAGACAGACCTCACCTCCTGCTCTTCCTCTTGCTCACCCCATGCCACCCTCATCCCTGCAGTTCCTCAAACATGCAGAGTGCATTCCTGCCTCAGGACCTTCGTACTTGCTGTTCCCGTTACCTGGACCGTTTTCCCAGATATATGCATGCCACTTCAGTCATGTTTCTATTCAAAGTTTTCTTTTCAGAGAAGCCTTCCCCAGCTTTGCAGCACTTTTTGCCTCCTGACGTCACTTCTTAGTCTATTTTCTGTGTCTACACTAGTAGGTCAGACATAAGAGGACAAGGATGTTGCTGTATCCCCAGCTCACAGAACAGTGTCAATCACAATATTTGTTGGATACAATGAATGGTTGGAAACGGCAGGAATTTTCTGCATGTCTCCAGGCTATGTCCCCAGTCATTGGACCATATTATTGTTAATCAATATTTCATTTTAGCCAATATCCATCCTGTTACAATTATGTGGCTGTCTGTCTCTGTCACCAGCTGGCCTTGTTTCCTGCCAAACACCTTGTCCTTAATTGTCTCAACAGCTGCCCTGTGCATTTCTCATGCCAGATACCAGCCTGAAATGCTGCCATTTCTCTGCCTGAAAAATCCTCAGGATGATTCTTCAAACCCCTGAAATGGACAATGACATTTCATGCACAGGTGCACTTTTCTAGGGGGAGGGTCCAGAGCCGTCACTCAATTTGCAAGAGGGTCCTCCACCCTCTGAAGGCTGAGGAGCTCTGATTTTAAGCATCAGCAGTCCATTCGCCTAAACCACGCTAAGCTTTCTATCTGTGTGGCAGGCCCTCTTGGGGCGCCTTCCACTGGCTGATACCTTGTGATGCCTCTGTTCTTCATACCTGAGCTGGTTTCACCAGGATGTTCTCTGTGCACCTCTAGAAGTTTCCTCCCTTAGGCCACATTCTGAAATCTTAAGCAAAATACCACACTCCCCTACAGCGAGCAGGGTCCCTAATGGCTGCCCCCACGCGGCTGTTTTATTACTGGCAGTGAAATGGGCTGGGTCCAACCCCCTGCAACTGAAGCAGCATCGTTTGTCTGGGGTAATACCCGAGGTTGGTTGTCTCATGCCAAGGAAATCGAAGACACAGACACACAGGGAGTGGCTTTAAGAGCGGAATGTTTATCAGGCAAAAGAGAAAAGCTCCCCCGTGCAGAGGGAGGGGGTTTCTGAATGCATCTCCCGGGTTTGGGGCAAGATGCTGAGAGGTGACAGCGTGCTCACAGCCCTTGCAGCCCTCGCTCGCTCTCGGCGCCTCTGCCTGGGCGCCCACTCTGGCGGCGCTGGAGGGGCCCTTCAGCCCGCCGCTGCACCGTGGGAGCCCCTTTCTGGGCTGGCCGAGGCCGGAGCCGGCTCCCTCGGCTTGCGGGGAGGTGTGGAGGGAGAGGCACGGGCGGGAACCGGGGCAGCGCACGGCGCTTGCGGGCCAGCTAGAGTTCCAGGTGGGCATGGGCTTGGCGGCCCGGCACTCGGAGCGGCCCCGGGCAGTGAGGGGCTTAGCACCCGGGACAGCAGCTGCGGAGGGTGCACCAGGTCCCCCAGCAGTGCCGGCCTACCGGCGCTGCGCTCGATTTCTCGCCGGGCCTTAGCTGCCTCCCCACGGGGAAGGGCTCAGGCCCTGCAGCTCGCCATGCTTGAGCCCGCCCCTGCCCCCGCCGTGGGCTCCTGTGCAGTCCGAGCCTCCCCGACAAGCGCCACCCCCTGCTCCAGGGCACCCGGTCCCATCGACGGCCAAAGGGCTGAGGAGTGCGGGCGCACGGCGGGACTGGCAGGCAGCTCCACGTGCAGCACCGGTGCGGGATCCACTGGGTGAAGCCACCTGGGCTCCTGAGTCTAGTGGGGACTTGGAGAACCTTTATGTCTAGCTAAGAGATTGTAAATACACCAATCAGCACTCTGTATCTAGCTCAAGGTTTGTAAACACACCAATCAGCACCCTGTGTCTAGCTCAAGGTTTGTGGATGCAGCAATGAGCACTCTGTATCTAGCTAATCTGGTGGGGACTTGGAGAATCTTTATGTCTAGCTAAGGGATTGTGAATACACCAATCAGCACTCTGTATCTAGCTCAAGGTTTGTAAATGCACCAATCAGCACCCTGTGTCTAGCTCAGGGTTTGTAAATATACCAATCAGCACTCTGTATCTAGCTAATCTAGTGGAGAACTTTTGTGTCTAGCTCAGGGTTTGTAAATATACCAATCAGCACTCTGTATCTAGCTAATCTAGTGGAGAACTTTTGTGTCTAGCTCAGGGATTGTAAACGCACCAATCAGCACCCTGTCAAAACGGACCAATAGGCTCTCTGTAAAACAGACCAATCAGCTCTCTGTAAAATGGACCAATCAGCAGGATGTGGGTGGGGCCAGATAAGGGAATAAAAGCATGCCCCCCCCCCCCCCCCCCCCAGCCGGAAGTGGCAATCTGTTTGGGTCTCCTTCTACAGTGTGGAGGTTTTATTCTTTTGCTCTTTGCTGCAAATCATGCTGCTCACTGTTCGGGTCCAGGCTGCTTTAATGAGCTGTAACACTCACTGCGAAGGTTTGTAGCTTCTCTTTTGAGGCCAGAGAGACCATGAACCCAGGGGGAGGAATGAACAACTCCAGACGCGCCTCTTTAAGAGCTGTAACACTCACCGCCTAGGTCTGCAGCTTTGCTCCTGAGCCAGCGAGACCAGGAACCCACCAGAAGGAAGAAACTCTGGACATGCCACCTTTAAGAACTGTAACACTCACCGCGAGGATCTGCAGCTTCATTCTTGAGGTCAGTGAGACCAAGAACCCACCAATTTTGGACACAATGCTATTGGTTTTATAAATCAGCTTGAAGAGGCGGTGTCTGATTTACACAGGGTATAGTGGGTTGGTTGGACCAGGTGTGCTACTTACATAGGGCACCAAGAGGCTGGCCATCCCACCCTAATCTTTTATTATGTAAATGAGGTCTTTACCTGACCAGCACCATACTGACTGCACACATGGTGCTAAAGGGAAGAGGAAACTTCCGTGTTGAATATGCGTGGCGTCCAGGTATCCCTTTTCTGTTGGCATAGCTGCTGGTGTCACCTGTGTAGGCTTCCAGCTTGCTTATCTAGGCTTGCAGTTTGAGTTTTCAGGCTGTTTTTATGAAAAGGAAAGCCTTACCAAGGACTCCCTTACTCTCATTAACTGCCTAAATAATTTCTTTTTAGCTACTGTGTCACAGCGACACTTTTTTGACTGTTGTATCGCAGAGACGTTTTTCTGGGAAGAGCTGCCTGCCAGCTCCGGACAGAATGGAGTCAAGTGCATCTGGGTGGGGGAGTGAAAAATGCAGATTACCTGGCCCACCCCAGACCCATTAAATCAGAAGCTGTGGGGATGGGGCCCGCAACCTGTGTGTTAACAAACCCTCCAGGTGATTCTGATGCCTGCTCAAGTTTAGAGCTGCTGGGCGGTAAGCCTGGGACACGGCAGTTCTCGTTAGTGTGTAATGAGAGTGATGAGGGAATCAATTAGCCAATTACTCTACCTTGGAAAAGAGAGGAGCAGTGTGTTCTCAGCCTTGGCTGCACATTAAAAGCACCCTGAGAGCTTTTAAAAATCCCAAGGCCTGGGCCATGCCCCAGATCAATTACATAAGATTCTCCAAGGGGGACCCAGGCACTGACATGTTTACAGCACACCAGGTGATTCTAATGTGCAGCCAACACTGAGCACCACTGCAGTAAAAGAAGACATTGGGTTGGGCACAGTGGCTTACACCTGTAATCCCAGCACTTTGGGAGGTCGAGGCAGGTAGATCACTTGAGGTTAGAAGTTCGAGACCAGCCTGGCCAACATGGTGAAACCCCATCTCTACTAAAAATACAAAAACTAGCCAGAGATGGTGGTGCATGCCTGTAATCCCAGCATGCCTGTAATCCCAGCTACCTGGGAGGCTGAGGCAGGAGAATCGCTTGAACTCAGGAGGTGGAAGTTGCAGTGAGCCAAAATCGTGCCATTGCATTCCAGCCTGGGCAACAGAGCAAGACTGTCTCAATAAACAAAGAATTAGCCTGATGTGGTGGCTACTATGCACTTGTAGTCCCAGCTACTCGAGAGGCTGAGATGGGAGGATTGCTTGAGCCCAGGGAGATTGAGGTTGGACTGAGCCATGATCACACTACTGCATTCTAGTCTGGGCGACAGAAGAGACCTTGTCTCCAAAAAAAAAGCATCAGCAATACGCTTTGCTTTGAATGGCTTAGATAACTTTATTTTTTGAAATATATTTCAATAGCTTTTGGGGTACAATTGGTTTTTGGTTATATGAATGAATTGTATAGTAGTGAAGTCTGAGATTTTAGCACAACCATCACCTAAGTAGTGTACGTTGTACCCAATATGTAGTTTTTTCTCCCTCACCCTCCCACCTTCCTTCTGAGTCTCCAAAGTCTGTTAAATCACTCTGTATGCCTTTGCTTACCCATAGCTTAGCTCCCACTTATTAGTGAGAACATATGGTATTTGGTTTTCCACTCCTGAGTTACTTCACTTAGAATAATGGCCTCCAGCTCCATCCAGGTTGCTGCAAAAGTCATTGTGTTTCATTCTTTATGGCTGAGTAGTATTCCTTGGTGTATATATACCACATTTTCTTTATCTTTGGTTGATGGGCACTTAGGTTGCTTCCATATCTTTGCAATTGTGAATTGTACGGCAGTCAACATACGTGCGCAGGTGTCTTTTTGATATAGTGACTTCTTTTCCTTTGGGTAGATACCCAGTACTGGGCTTGCTGGATCGAATGGTAGATCTACTTTTAGAGAACTTTATTTTAAATGGTGTACATAGAAGTCCATATCAAGTAACAAGTCATTTAGACAAAATAGAGCTTCTTTTTTTATATCCTATAATAAAAAATCTGAAGGCCGAGAGAGAGCCTAGAACTGGAACAGCAGCCTCACAAAGTCTTCAGCAATCCAGGCTCCTTCTAGATGGCCATTCTAGAAGGGTGGCCCTCAGAGTCACAGTGTAACTACTAGAGCTGTCACATTCATGTCCCAGGAAGGAAAAACTTAAAGAATGAGGGAAAAAGAGAATAGCTGCTCTCTTGTTTAATCTTCTGTAAGGAATGCTCCTGGAAGCCCCAACCAGAGAGTTATGCTGAGATCTCATTGGTCAGGACTGTGACACATGACTACCCTCAGCTGCAAGGGAGTCTGGGAAATGCAGTATTATAACTGAGCATCTTGCCATTGAGAGGAATATGGGTTCCGTTATTAAGGAAGAAGTGGGAAATGGATATTGAATAGAGAGAATGAAGATTGGGTAAGTAGCCATCAGTCCATTTCCGTATTAGTCAGAGTTCTCCAGAGAAACAGAACCAATAAGATATTTCTATAAATAGATGTATTATAAGGCATTGTTTACATGATTGTGGAGGCTGAGAAGTCCTACAATCTTCTGTCTGCAAGCTGGAGACCCAGGAAAGCAGGTTGGAAGGCCTGAGAGGTGAAGAGCCAATGGGGTCAATTCTAATCTGGTCTAAAGGCCTCAGAATCGAGGGTGCTGAAGCTTGATGTCCCAGCTCACCCAGTCAGACAGAAAGGGAATGTTACCTTCTTCTACCTTTTTGTTCTATTCAGGCCCTCAGTGGATTGGACGAGGCCCACCCACACTGGGGAGGGCCAACTGCTTTCCTCAGTTCACCAACTCAAATGCTAACCTCTTCCATGAACAGCTTCACAGACATACCAGAAATAATGTTTAAGCAGATACATGGGCATCCTGTGGCCCCATCAAGTTGACACATAAAATCAACCATCATAGTGTCACAAAAATCTTCCTTGGATGTTCATGGATGAATGATTTAGGGGGGTTTGTGCTACAGAACCATATTAGACTCAAAACTAGGAGAGAACTTTCCCAGAAAGCTGTGGGGCATTTAATTAATAAAAACTGCTGTGTCTACACTTTCCTTCTTTGACTGGGTAGTGGGGTTGGGTAGGGAGGGTGGTCAAGATAAGTAGGGGTGGCAGAGACAGAAAGAGACTAATCAGAGAAGTCACCAGGATTCTGAGGTGTTTGAAGTTATAATGAGGTGGGCACTTGTTTCAAGGTTTCACTGTGAATCAGTGAATTGGGGGGTAGAATCTGGAGAGAACGAGATCTGCTGTGACAAGGAGGAATTTTTTTCTGCAAACAGTGAGTGGAGGGTTAATCAGGACTCTTTGGGTCATATGGAATAGAAACCCAACTTCAACTAGATTTAGCAAAAAGGAATTTATTGTCTAACCTAATTGAATAGTATGAGGAGTATGTAGAATTCAGGCATGGCTGGATCTAGGTGAAAGAACCTCCAAGCTGTGGCTTCAGTTATCACCTCTCAGGTGATCCTTGGTTCTGAAGAGCCCTTAGGCAATCTGCTGTATTCCCTGTCTGTGCTTTTGTGGCCCGTCATGGTGAGCAAGTCCACTGGAATTCTCAGGTAACAGGGAATAGAGAGACACATACTATCAATGTTTTCATGTGAACATAATACCCTTATTTAAGGGAGGCAGTAGTGAGGGATGTTCATTTCCTATGTATCAGGCAAGACCAGCTGGATTCATATGGTGCAGGACTATTTGCCCTTCCCTGACTCTCTCTGGTCTCTTCTCTGATTGAGTCAGCTAATGTGATTTGTTAGCCGTTATTGATTTTTTTTTTTTTAATTGAAGTCTCGCTCTGTCACCCAGGCTGGAGTGCAGTGGTGCCATCTCAGCTCACTGCAACCTCTGCCTCCCGGATTCAAGTGATTCTCCTGCCTCAGCCTCCTGAGAAGCTGGGAATACGGGTGCACGCCACCATGCCTGGCTGATTTTTTTTTTTTTAATATTTTTGATAGAGATGGGGTTTCCCCATGTTGGCCAGGCTGGTCTTGAACTCCTGACCTCAAGTGATCCACCTGCCTCAGCCTCCCAAAGTGCTGGGATTACAGGCATGAGTCACCATGCCTGGCCTGTTGTTGATTTTTATACGTTAAAAAAATAGAATTAAATGTTTTCAGCCATGTTTCCACTGATGGGATACCCAGACATGGAGAAACTCTAAAGATAGGCTTCTGGAGAGAGGAAAACAACGCATCATCTAGCAGGCTTTCCGCACGTCTCTCATTTTGGCTAATGGTTCCAGGCAGCTATTTTGGTGGTGTTTGTCCTGTCTTCGTTCTTTTCATCTTATAGGTACCCACAGCATATCAGGGCCTCAATGGGGCAACAGAAATGTATATATGAATAAACAAGCAATAATCCTGGCACTGAAAGGCAACTCATAGCTCAGATGCTCGCCCATATCTGTGTGGGCTTTCCCCCTGCAGAGCTAAGGCAGCCTGACTGCCCCACCAGGACTGGCATCTCTTTGCTGAAGGCTTGCTTTAGCTTCCAGAAGCCTCTTTGCCTACGCACAGGTGGCAAAAGTGCCAGATCCTCCTCTGGTGATGGACAGGAGTCAGCGCATAGAGCCTCACTCCTGGGGAAAAACCGTGAGATGCATGCTCTTTGCTGGCATGCACAGGTCCCAGGGGCCCACCATGGTAACAGCCCCTCTAGGCGCTGCTGGCTGCCTGCTCTCTTCCCCACCTACTGTGCTTCCTAGGATCACCTCCCAAACAGCTGGCATGCAAACCCTTGTCAACAGCTCTGCTTCTGAGGGAACCTAATCCAGGACAACCCCAGATGTCTTGTGGAGACCCCATGAACGGCATGGAGGCATCATAAAGCATGCCCAGGGCATGGGCAAGGGAGCACGGAGAAGGGGACCCGAGAAGGGGGCTGGAGAAAGAGAGATGTGACCTGGGGCAAAGCGAAGGCAGGGCATTCCCGGCAGATGCAATTGCAAGAGCAGGGCTGTGAAGGGCTGAACTGGTGCTTGAGGCAAGACGATGATGGCTTGGAATTGTGTTATTTGTGATTTTCTTTTTTCTCTCTTCCTCATATAAACTGCTCTGGGACTGGAGAGCAGAGATGTGATGTAGCCTTGAGGAGCAACGGATAGTAGGCGTGGAAAAGACAGCACAAAACAAAGAGCAGAAGGTTTTAAATTATTTTTCCCAAAACAGGCTTCTTGGAATCAAGGATGAAGCAGAGCACAGAAGCTTCTCTTCTGCCCAGAGGGGAGACACAGGAGGGTCACAGGGCCAGGCGTAGCACAGAGCATGGGGAAAGGGTAGGACATTGGAACCCTTGGCGGGGGGATGCTGGCACACCCTGGAGGCTTGGGTGGTTGCTGTGGAGTGTTTGTTAGAATTTTATTGTAATCACAGCTTTTGCAATGAAAAGTAATGGCAAAAACCGCGATTACTTTTGCACCAATCTAATAAAAGCTGCATTAGCTGTTTACCTGGGCACTGAGGGGTGATACTTCCATGGCAGCTTCACTGCTCAGGCCCATGGAGTGTCCAGGAGACGATGTCCAGACGCCACCCGCCCCCCCCACCACCATGCTGAGCCTGGGCCTCTTCCAGTGCCACATGTGGCCCTCCCCTTCCAGTAGCCGAGGCAATAATCCTCTTTCTCAGAGCTGCATTCAGGGTATGAGAGGCCCTGGATGGTGGTGGAAACCCTCCCACACCCAGACCCCAACACAGGCTAAATCTGAAGAGTGCTGATAAGGTTTGGCTGTGTCCCCACCCAAATCTCATCTTGAATTATAGCTCCCATAATTGCTACATGTTGTAGGTGGGACCCAGTGGGAGATAATTGAATCATGGGGGTGGTTTTCCCCTACTGTTCTCATGGTTGTGAATAAGTCTCATGCAATCTGATGGTTTTATAAGGGGAAACCCCTTTCACTCGGTTTTCACTCTCTTTGCCAGCCACCATGTAAGATGTGCCTTTGTTCTTCCCTCACCTTCTGCCATGAGTGTGAGGCCTCCCCAGTCACGTGCAACTGTGAATCCATTAAACCTCCTTTTCTTTATAACTGACCCAGTGTCAGGTATGTCTTTACCAGTAGCATGAAAACAGACTAATACAAGTGCCAACCTGTCTGGGCAAGAAGCCAGCTCTGTACAAGGTGAGGGAAATGACAACTCACAACATGGGGAGAAAGTAACGACCTTTGAATCACCTCCTCATGCTATGCACCGAGGCCTGCTCATTGTATGTGAACCTATAGATGATATAAATATATGCATATATGTTATATAAAAGCTCTGAGATTCACTTTTTAGTTGTCTGAGCATGAATGTGACAATTCAATTGAGCTGCTCTGCAATAAGGATGAAAGGATAAAATTAGAACCAATTAAAGTTACTTGATGAAACATAAGCACCATGGAAAATTCCATGTTAAGTGATGGGGTGACCTGACATGTGAAGTCTTGCTGTCTCATCCCCAGTGCAGAGAAAAAAAATGGGCTGGAGCTCTGAGGCCTGCGAGGTCGGTGGCCAGCTTTGAGGGTAGGGACACAGTAGGACCCTAGGAGAAAGGAGAGGTCAGCAAAAGTGGATGGGGGAGTCTCTTTTGGGTATCTCCTCCTGTGCTTTGATATTTTTCCCAGAGGTTGCTGGGGCTTATCTTTGGGGTGCATCACCAAAAATATCCTTCCTGGAAGATAGAGTGATGGATAAGACACCCGAGAGTCAGAAGATGTGATTTCGGGTGCTGGCTTGGCCACTGAGTCATGAACAACTCCTGGTAAACTCACTGAACATCTCTGCATGGAGTTCCCTCATTTGGAAAAGCAGGATTAAGATGTCTGAATTACTCTCCTGAATTATTGTCAAGCTTTTAACTGCTTAATCCACATATATTTTTTTTTAAGACAGAGTCTTGCTCTGTTGCCCAGGCTGAAGTGCAGTGGCACGATCTTGGCTCACTGCAACCTCCGCCTCCTGGGTTCAAGTGATCCTTATTCTTCAGTCTCTGGAGTAGCTGGGATTACAGGCACGTGCCACCATGCCAGGCTATTTTTTGTATTTTTAGTAAAGACTGGCTTTCACCATGTTAGCCAGGCTGGTCTCGAACTCCTTACCTCAGGTGATCCGCCTGCCTCAGCCTCCCAAAGTTCTGGGATTACAGGTCTGAGCCACCTCACCCGGCCTTAATCCACATTTGGAAGAATTAACAGCTCCTTACAAATGGAGGAGGCCAGCGGTACATTATCAACATCAACATCTCCACCTCCACCACTCTTAGGGCCATGCTGTCTGGTAATCTATGGGAAGAGATGCAGGAGTGATCCTCCCTAGCAAGTCTGCATCCCAAGAGGCATATTTCTTGAGATGCAACATTTCCACCCAGAAGTTTGACTTTCTGGGTTTGTGACCAAAGGATAAAGAGTGTTTTGTGACAGGTGAGCATTTTGGTTCCCTGACCTCAAATCACATAGGCAGCAGTTTATTGTACCCGTGAGCAGGCCTGGACCTGCAAGGAATGTACTTCCTCACATTTAAAAGGTGATGTTTCCATTTCTTTGTATCACTTGCATTTTGGCAGAACTGGACATTGCAGGAAAATGAGTTTGAATGTAGGCTTCTTCCCTGGAATGCTTTGCATTTAAATAACTGCTTTAGGCTGGGCACGGTGTCTCACGTCTGTAATTCCAGCACTTTGGGAGGCTGAGACGGGCAGATCACCTGAGGTCCGGAGTTTAAGACCAGCTTGGCCAACATGGGGAAACCCTGTCTCTATTAAAAATACAAATTTTCCATGTGTGGTGGCGCATGCCTGTAATCCCAGCTACTCAGGAGACTGAGGCACAAGAATCGCTTGAACCCGGGAGGCAGAGGTTGCAGTGAGCCGAGATCGCACCACTGCACTCCAGCCTGGGAACAGAAAGATACCCTGTCTCAAAATAAATAAATAAATAATGAAAAACTAAATAACTGCCTTAGATATTCCTTTTCCAGAATTCTTGACCTGGAGTTCTTCCTTGGTGACTTGGTCAAGGATAAGCACTTAAACGGAGGTATCCCCATGTGTGTTGTACTGGTCGCTTATGCCACCAAATCTCAGGGAAACATTGGTGAAGATGGAGACAATACTTCTGTAAGCTTTGGCCATAGCTACGTGTAACTTGAATATAAAAGCAAGGGGGGTCCACATGGGCCAGTCCCCTGTAAACAGTTGTACCAAATCCTAGCACCAAATATGATTAAAAATCAGTCCAAAATCTCTATGTCCTGGTTACATCCCAGACCAATTCAATCAGAAGCTCTGGGGTGAGACCTAGCATCATTTTCTTTTCTGTTTTTGTTTAGTTTTTGAAACAGAGTCTTGCTCCATCACACATGCTGGAGTGCATAGCTCACTGAAGCCTCGAACTCCTGTGCTCAAGTGATTCTCCTGCCTCAGCTTCCTGAGTAACTGGGACTACAGGCACACACTACCATGCCTGGCTAATGTTTTGATTTTTTGTAGAGATGGGATCTTGCTATGCTGCCCAGGCTGGTCTCGAACTCCTGGCCTCAAATGATCTGCCTTCCTCGACCTCCCAAAGTGCTAGCCACAATGCCCGACCCTGGCATCATTATTTTCTGACACTCCCTGATAGTCCAATGCCCAGCTAAGATTTAGAAAGATTGATTTGGTGGGTTGAGGAGGGAAGGGCTGTTTGAGAAAGTGATATTTGAATGGAGATATAAAAGATAAGGAGAGAACCAAGAAAAAAGTTTCTGGAAAAATGCCAAATAAAAGGTACAAACTGAGAGGCTTATTCCAGTAA
Organism: Homo sapiens; assembly: GCF_000001405.40. Lineage (NCBI taxonomy): Eukaryota > Metazoa > Chordata > Mammalia > Primates > Hominidae > Homo > Homo sapiens. Next base: position 58,469,677 of record NC_000018.10, read on the forward strand.
TTGAATGAAATTCAAAGAAAAATGCCATATTTGCCTTTTACACTTTTTTTTTTTTCTTTTTGAGACTGGGTCTCACTCTGTTGCCCAGGCTGGAGTGCAGTGGTGTGATCTCAGCTCCCTGTAGCTTCGAACTCTTGAGCTCAAGCCATCCTCCCACCTCAGCCTCCTGAGTAACTGGGACTACAAACACATGCCACCATGCCTGGCTATTTTTTCTGTTTTGTAGAGACGGGGGTCTTATCGTGTTGTCCAGGCTGATCTTGAACTCCTGGGCTCAAGTGATCTACCTGTCTTGGCCTCCCAAAGTGCTGGGATTACAGATGTGAGCCACCATGCCTGGCCTAAAACTTCTTATTCTTTAGGTAATACTGGCCTAAGGACCAAAGATAATGCCCAGTATCCCCAGACCTGACGGTGAGCCTTACCTCACGATTCAAACTGAGCAGGAGGATCTTTCTAAGGAGGAGCCTCCTCTTCCTCCAGGATATTTAAAATAGGGCTTGGTGGAAGAGAATTTTGCTTGATCCGGGTTTTCAGGATGCCACCTGCTACATAAAATGAACATACAGGGCATTGGGGGCTCAAGGAGGTGAAATCGCTAGGGCAGAGAAGAAGGTAGGGGCAAGTAGATTCATCTCATTAAGTTCTCCCGTGCGAGGCAGTTTTTCTTCCTCGTCTGAAGTCCACCACTGGGAGGGAGAGAGGAGGAAGGTAATTCGTGGACACAGAACCACATCTAATTTAAACTCTTGGTCTGGTGTGGCAAGGGATTTGTTTGAATTATTGATTTCCTGTAACACAGACTTAGAAACAATAGTAAAGACTACATTGATCTTCAAGACCATATCATGAGGCACTATTAGCAAGATGTGCAAATACAGACATAAGTGATAAGCCAAAACTCTCCTGGGAAGCCATAACAGTGCCAAGGGAACCAACTTTTTAGAGTGAAAATTTCTGTTGATTGTTAGAAATGTCTGAGGCTACCTGCAAACAGTGGCTCCTACAGTTGAAATGCATCTGCCTGACAGAGATGCCTGGATTTTCCTAGCACGAGCTGTTCTCTGCCGTCCCCCTTCAGCCGGCTGCTACCCCGTAGAGCCCTGAGGAGGCTGTGTCAAGAAGGAAGTTTCCAGATGCTGGAATGGATCAGCCTAGTTTGCTTTCTGCTTTCTTTCTCCCTTCTGTCTCTGGGTATCTCAGTCCATTCGGGCCACTATAACAAAATACCACAGACTGGGTAATTTAAATTACCCAAAAATTTGTTACCATTCTGGAGGCTGGGAAGCCCAAGATCAAGGTGCTGGCGGGTCTGGTGTCTGGACAGAGCTGGCTTCCCGGTCCATAGATGGTGTCTTCTCAATGTTATCTCATATAGTGGGAGAGATGAGGAGTTTCTCTGGGGCCTTTTTTATAAGGGCACTAATCCTGTTCATGAAGACTCCACTCTCCTGACCTAATCACCTCCCAGAGTCCCCATCTCCTAATACCATCACCTTGGGGGTGAGGATTTCAAATATGTACTTTATGGGGGACATAGACATTTAGTCCATTGCACTGGGTCATTCATGCCTTCCCAGGATTTGCTCCTGAGCCCCTCTAGACCTGTGCCTTGCTGGTGTCCCAGTGCCCTCTCCTGCTTGTTGGTCCGGAGATGCCTCACATGGTCAGGAACCCTGCTCTCTGCTCCTCCATCCTGCCTCCTGTCTGAGCAAGCACTATGCTCTTCAGGTTCCAGATGTTCAGCCCATGCCCATGGCTGAATCCCAGTGCCCCATGAAGCCCACAGAAATAAGCCTGGACCCCTGACCAATCAGCAAAGCCCCTGCCTTATGCATGTCCCCAGCCTGCTGCTCCTCCTCCATGGCTCAATGTAATATCTCTCCCGTTTCAGGAATATTTGCTAGTTGTTTCCCAACATCATCTTAGTCTTGCTTCTGAACCATGGTTCTTGAGAGTCTCCCCACAGGGAGTACCTTTCTTTCTTTGCTGATCTCTCACCTCCCTTTATGCCCTGTTCAAAATTCACCTTTTTCTGAAAGATGGAAAAGGAGCAGAAATCTGGAAGAGCTATTGATCAAGCTGCATTTACCTAAAAACAGCGTGGGGATGAAGTAGAGAGATTAACTCTCCAAACTCTTGTAGCTGGTAATTGTCAGAACCAAGATTGGAGCCCAGCGGTTTTATTCAGACTAGGTACCTTAGTCTCGCAATGCTGCCGTCCTGCTTTAGAAGGCTCTTCAAGTCCGTTATCTCATGCTAAGGGATCTAAAGAAGCCAGAGATTTTTAACCAAACCAAATTGCCATAAGCAAGAACCTCTACCTCTCCATCAGAGAACACCAGCATGGATGGGTCAGAGGTATCCATCCAGTGAACAAATGTTCATTAGAGTGAGCAATGTGCCAAGCATCTCTAGGTACTGGGCTGCAGCAGTAAATAAACCAGAAAAAAACATAACCTGCCCACAGGAAACTTACTTTCTGGTGTGGGGAAGATAGACAATTAAAGAGTAAAATGTATATGATGTCACATGATAATAAAGGCTAAAGAAATAAAGGTGGGGCCAGGCACGGTGGCTCATGCTTGTAATCCCAATACTTTGGGAGGCCAAGGTGGGTGGATCACGAGGTCAAGAGATTGAAACCATCCTGGCCAACACGGTGAAACCCCATCTCTACTAAAAATACAAAAATTAGCTGGGCATGGTGGTGCATGCCTGTGGTCCCAGCTACTCGGGAGGCTGAGGCAGGAGAATCGCTTGAACCTGGGATGTGGAGGTTGCAGTGAGCTGAGATCTCACCACTGCACTCCAGCCTGGTGACAGAGTGAGACTCCATCTCAAAAAAAAAAAAAATAAAGGAAAATAAAGGTGGAAGAAGGATAAAGAGCCTGGGGAGGGAGCTTGTCACTTTCCCTATGGTTTCAGGGAAGAACTTTCTGAGAAGGTGACTTTTGAGCAAAGGCCTTAGAAGGTGGTGGATATCTGGAGAGGAATGGTCCAGACAGAGGGAATAGCAAGTGCAAAGGCCCTGAGGCAGGAGTGTTCCAAGAACAGCAGGATGATCAATGTTGTTGGAACTGAGAACAGAAGTGGGAAGATGAGACGAGAGGCATTTGGGATAGTATAGTGTCTCATTGGCCTTTGGGATGCATTTGGGCTTCATGCAGAGGGAGATGAGAGGCTATCAGAAGTTCTAAGAAGACGAGCAGCATCTTCTGACTCTGGTTTCAACAGGATCACCCTGGCTGTTCAGTGGTGGATGGCCTGAAGGAGGGGCAAGGACAGGATTCTGGACACAAGTCGAGAGGCCACTGCAGAAAGCCAGATGGATGTGATGGTGCCTGGATCAGCGAAGCGGGGACACAGGTGGTGCTGGATATAAGTTGAAGCGAAGGGAACAGGACTTAATGATGGAGTAGATGTGATGCATGAGGAAAACAGAAGCTGCCAGTGCTTGGGATTGGCCGGCTGGAGGGAAGGAGCTGCCTGTGATAAGGAAGACTGGAAGCAGCAGAGCTGGGGGAAGTTCACAGCTGGCATGCTGCACAGCTCCAGGAGGCAACGTTCTCATTCTCCTATATAAAGAGCAGCCCCTAGGATTGTGCAAGGAGGTGACTGTACCCAGATTAATCTTACCCCTTTCTGCCCTAGGCTTCTTAGTAATTTTAGAATCAGCTGGGCAAATATGGAGAAGGAAGCAAGGCTGGGTTTTTGCCAGTGTATTAGAGTTCTCCAGAGAAACAGAGCCAAGAGGATATTCATATAACAGGTCTCGTTATAAATCTTTTTATATATAATATATAGACATGCTCAGGTGTGACAGTTCTAACATTCATAGCTGGCGTGCTGCACAACTCCAGGGGGCAGCATTCCCATTTTCGTACATGAAGAGCAGCTCCTGGGATTATGCAAGGAGGACATACATATATAATATATAATATTTAATATATAAAAAGCTTTATTGTAAGAAATTGGCTAGTGGGCTTATGGAGGCTGGGAAGTCTCACAATCTGCTGTCTGCAAGCTGGAGACCCAGGAAAGCCAGTGGTGTAGTTCCAGTCTGAGCCCAAAGGCCTGAGAATCAGAGAGCCAATGGTGTTAAGTCCCTGTCCGAGGACAAGAGAAGATCAATGTCTGTCTCGAGCAGTCAGAGAAAGTGAATTCTCCCTTCCTCCACCTTTTTTTTTTTTTCTATTCAGGCCCTCAATGGATAGGATGAGGCCTTCTCACAGTGGGGAGGGCCACCTGCTTTACTGAGTCCCCCAATTCAAATGTCAGTCTCCTCCAGGAACACCCCCATAGACACACCCAGAATAATGTTTAATCAAATATCCGGGCACCCCATGACCCAGTCAAGTTAACACTTAAAACTGACCATCACAGTCAGTTACTTATAGAGCCACCAAAAAAGGGTCGGGGAGAGTGAAGACTAGAAAAGATTCTTGAAAGAGATGAGGAGAAGTGGAGATAAGTATTGTACCTCAAGTACTTCCCAAGGAAAGGGAATCGGCTCTGAGCTAGGAGAGTAGCTTGAGGACAAGAGACGGGAGGGTGACTTCAGGGTGCCACAGTCAGAAGAGGGGAGGCCAGGTGGGTTGGTGTAGGGCTTCTATGTTAGATGAAATAAGCAATGGGTTTTCACTAATCCTCATCCTCAAATTCACCAATATGAACAAAATGAATGAACTTTGTGGAAGTACATGCAATGCACAGAGAAATGAAAAACAGCTACAATCCCAGTCACAAGTCTGAGATGAGTATCTGCAGCTAAACATGGACCACACATGTGAATTGGATGGGGGAGGACAGAGATGACACAGCAATTGATTCAAATATTTTTTGAGCACATACTATGTGCCAGACACTTCTAGGTGTTAGGGATGCATCAGTAAACAAAAGAGAGAAACATCGCTGTCCTCATAGAGCTTACATTTGAATGTGGGAGACAAACACTAAAGAAAATAAACCACATAGTATATCAGAGGATGGTACAGAAAATGGTACGAACTAAGTGTGGGAATTTAGCAGGGAGGGAAGATGAGAGCTCAAGGCAGTGGTATCATTTGTTTTCCATTTCAATAAGCTGGTCCAAGTGCTACAGTTTGAAATTGGCCCTGAGTCAGAGAGCACTGAGGACAGCTTTTCCACTTAGGATGCTGAGGTCACACCGTGGAAGGGCTGGGACAGGGAAAAGGCAGCGTGGCCACCTCCTGGGTCCTGGGATTTGGGGACAGCTGTGCTACAGATGATGATATGTATCTTTCCAGCTTTTGAGAAAGGGAGAGATTTCTTTAAAACTATGGGAAAGGAAGCCCAAGCATGCAGATGATTCTCTTTCTTTGGGAATGGTGAGAGCTGGAGGTGTGGGTGGGCTCTGAGAAAGCTGGGGAATATTTCTGTGAGCCAGGTGCCCACCATGATGCCAGGGGAAAAGGTGGCACCAGAGGGGCAGTACAGACACCATCTCTATTCCACTGACCTGGACTTTGAGCCTGAACAAACGCCTGGAAGTGGATGTGGCAGTGAAAGATGAGGACCCTGTTATGGGCTGAATCATCTCCCCCTAAGACTCCTCTGTTGAAGCCTACACCTCAGAATGTAGCATTAATTGAAGAGAGGTTAGTTACCAAGAGAAAGTGAGGTCTGCAGGGTGGGTCTTGATCCAATATGACTGCTGTTCTTATAAAAGGGGGAAATTTGATCTGGGCACAGTGGCTTATTCCTGTAATCCCAGCACTTTGGGAGGCTGAGGTGGGAGGATCTTTTGAGGCCAGGAGTTTGAGACCAGCCTGGGGAACATAGGGAAATCCCATCTCTACCAAAAAAAGAAGGAAGAAAGAGGGAAAGGAAAAGAAAGGAAGAAGGAAGAAAGAAAGAAAGGGAAACGGAAAGGAAAAGAAAGGAAAGGAAGAAAGAGAAAGGAAAGGAAAGAAGGAAAGAGAGAAGGAAGGAAGAAAGGAAGAAAAAGATTAGCCAGGCATGGTGGTGAGTGCCTGTAGTCCTAGCAACTTGGGAAGCTGAGGTGGGAGGATTGGTTGAGCCTGGGAGGTCAGGGCTGCAGTGAGTCATGATCACAGTGCTACACTCCAGCCTGGGCAACAGAGCAAGACCCTGTATCAAAATAAAATAAGGAGGGGAAATTTGAACACAGACATGCACACAGGGAGAGCGCTATGTGAAGACTAGAGTTATGCGGCTGCAGGCCCAGGAACTCCCAGAAGCTCGGAGAGACAGGACAGAGGCCCCAAACAGATGCCTCCCCGGCACCTTCAGTGGCAGCACGGCCCTGCTGGCACCTTCATCTATAGGGACTTCTGGCCTCCAGAACTGGAAGGCAATTCATCCTGATGTTCAAGCCACACTCCCGGTGTGGTACTTCATTTCAGCAGCCCTGGGATTATTCAATACAGACACCAAAGAAAGTCCTGAGGGGAACTGATCACTGGAAAGTAGCAAGCCATGAGCTTGCCATTCCACACAGCTGCAGAGGGAGAAAGAGGAAAGGCCGGGGCAAAGCGGGCAGTGGAGGTGAGTTCTCTCAGCCAAATGGTCTCTGATGCTTCTGGGCCCTGCAACGGGAGCTGATAGACTGGCTTTTCTTGATCGTATGTAATCAAAACCAAGTGACTTTTGAAAAAAAGTCTCTGAGATGATTTCTATCTGGGACTGTGTGGGTCTCATGAAAAACAGAATTTTTAAAATGACTGATGTATTGGCACAATTAGTGCTTGTAAATATTTGTTCGTTTGAAGGCTGTGCCCAGTGATCTCACAGATGAAACTGGCTTCCATCTCGCCTCGCAGCTTTTACAAAATAGCAATAGCAGGCTCTCAGAGGGTTTCAGATCTGCCGCAGCAAAGAGTTGGAAGATATATCCTGTGCTGGGAAGCATGAGAGGTTTTTGTGTCTCTTTGATTTTTTTTTTTTTTAAGTAGTTAAGCTCAAGCACATCTGCAGATCTAAATGGGGGAGAAATGCCATCCTGTTCACTTTGGCATCTGTGGTCAGAAGGAGCAGAACATACACCAGGAAAACAAGCCAAGACCGGGTTGTTGGCAGGCCCCTCCCAGCTGCACCCAGTTGAGCACATGCCTGATACACGCACAAAACCGTATGTCTGTTTATAATAGAAGAGAGAGCACTTTATAATTAGAAAATAATTGTTGCTTCTTTGGGCATTCTCTTTCATTAGACTCTATTGAAACCCCCTGCTCTTAATGAAGCTTGTCAGATGCATGGCTGAGAGGCAGTACAAGAAAAGAACACGAGATATGAATACCAGCTAGCCAGCCACGCATCCAAAACCAGGACGTTCCAGACAGGATACCCACTGGCAAGAAGTCATCCTTTCCCTGCCATCCTCATTCATGAGAAACGTGCTGTTGAAAACACAGGCCCCTTGTAGTGAAGCTTTCACTCGTTTTTCTGATCCACCCGTCAGGGAGCTCCATGGTTGAGCCCTTCTGGAGACTAAGTCATATATGTAAATGACCACCCTGCAGGCACCAGGAAGGGACACAATCCCCAGCTGGATCCACGGCGCTTCCTGGCTCAGTCCCTGGGTTGAGCATTCATTGTATTTAGTCTTCCTAACACTGCACATTTATGAAGACAAATGGGAAAATCAAGAGGACTGGATGTGTTCCAAATTGAACTAAAACAACGTCAATGAGCGTGGGCATTTCTGAACCCCTAGGACAACACCTTTGGTGTAAGAGAACCCACTCCACGCTTACCCTGTTATTTGTCTGGGCAAGGAAAACAGCACTTTATCTCAGAACAGGAGAGGGATGGCTGGACAGATGGCCGTGGCCATACACAAGGCCATCCCTATGCTCTCTGGCTGGGACAGATCCAACTGTGAGAGCTCCTTCTGTCCCTGTCCTCCAAATGTGTGGGGAATTTTTTTGTTTGTTTTTGTTTTTGCTTCTGAGACGGAGTCTCACTCTGTTGCCCAGGCTGGAGTGCAGTGGTGCAATCTCGGCTTACTGCAACTTCCACCTCCCGCATTCAAGCAATTTTGCTGCCTCAGCCTCCCAAGTAGCTGGGATTACAGGTGCCTGCCACCACGCCTGGCTAATTTTTGCATTTTTAGTAGAGACACAGTTTCGCCATGTTGGCCAGGCTGGTCTTGAACTCCTGACCTCAGGTGATTGGCCTGCCTTGCCCTCCCAAAGTGCTGGGATTACAGGAGTGAGCCACCGTGCCCGACCCAAATGTTTTTAAAGATGAAATCAGATTACAATAAACAAAAAAGGGACTTCTAAAACAGCATCTGTGAAAGGAGGCTAGGATGGCTCCATCCAAGAGAGGCACCCCCTGGGCTGACCGCAAAACATGAAATCTGGGAGTAGGAAATCCTTTTCCTCCACTCTCTCTCCAAATGAAGATTCAAGGCCAGCTGGAGGGGAAGAGGGGTGGCTTTTTCATCCTTTTCACAGGATGGTTTTGACTTTCCATTTCATACTTTTCTGTAATTTGTTTTTAATTTTTCAGACTTGTGTTGACATTATTTTGATAATTACAAATCATTACCCAAGACAGTACCCTAGTCTGTCAAGAAGGCCTTGGTCACACCCACACTGAGATACAGCTAGATGATTAGACACATAGATAAATCCAATCAAAATGTGCACTGTACCTTTTGCTATTGTGGAACTTTCTAGAACTTCACTGCTAAACACATCTGTAAGATCTCTGTGGGCAAAGCAGGCTATAGGCTGCCTTGTAGAAAAATAAGCATTTTATAATCTGTAAGCCATGGGAACCACTTCAGCAGAAAGGCTAGAAAGGGCAGATTTTCTGAAAAAGATGACAGGTGACTAAATGAAGTATTTTCTCCTTCAAATCCCTTTACAAAAGAAAAATCCCATTTGTGGTTCCTTTCTTATCAAAATCTGGTGCCTGAGAGTAGTATATAGCATGTGTATATATATATATATATATATATACATACACACACACACACACACATACTATTGTGTATATATATACACTAAGTATATACACTATAAGTATATATAATATATATACTATATATGTAAGTATATATAATATAGGTACACACTACATATATATGTAAGTATATATATAAGTATATATAATATATATACTTATATAATATAATACTGCATATATACACGATAGTATATAGTATAAATACACTATATACTATATGTAAGTATATATACTATATATAAGATATATATATAAGATATATCAGGTACCAGATATATCGTATATATACTTATATATAATACATACTTATATATACTTATATACTATATATACACTATATATACTGTATATACACTATATACTATTCTCAGGTACCAGATTTTGATAAGAAAGGAAACACAAGTGGGATTTTTCATGTATGTGTATATATATATATATATATATGTATATATATATATATATATACACACATACGCACTATTCTCTAAGCATAAAAATACAAAAAAGTACAAAAATATATATATATATTTTTTTTTTTTTGAGACAGGGTCTCATTCTGTTGCCCAGGCTGTAGTGCAGTGGTGCAATCTCAGCTCACTGCAACCTCTGCCTCCCAGGTTCAAGTGATTCTCCTGCTTCAGCCTCAGTAACTGATTATGGGCGCCTCCCACCACACCCAGCTAATTTTTGTATTTTTAGTAGACACAGGGTTTCACCATGTTGGCTGGGCTGGTCTCGAACCCCTGACCTCAAGTGATCCACCCACCTTGGCCTTCCAGAGTGCTGGGATTACAGACGTGAGCCACTGCGGCTGGCTGAGAATAGTATATGTTAAAGTAGAAGAAGCCAGGAGTCTTCCACTGAGAGCCAACCACCCCTCCGTAAGGGGGCTGCATACAGAAATCTCTGTGTTGGCAGCATTGCTTGTGGTGGATGCCTCATGTGGCACCTCCGTCCTGCTGTCAAGCTGCTTCCTCACACATCAGAACCCAGAAGGAGCTGGGCCTTTCCTTGGCCAGACTATCTGAACTCCAGGAGGCCAAGGTACTCCTCTCAGCATTTCAGGGCCCTCCTGCCCATAGTCTAGACTGCCTCTTTGAGTGTGATCCCCGGCAGCCACAGGAGATCCCCAGAAAGTGTGATAGAAACACAGAATTCAGGCCCCGCCACAAACCTACCCAATCAGAACCTGCATATTCCCAAGATCCAGGGATTCCTGTGCACATTCAGGTTTGCGAAGCATCCATCCTCCTGCTCAGAAGTGGCGCTATAATTCTCCCAGCTGTCCAGCAGATGAAATCTGTCTTAAGAAACAGCAAACTATGGAAAAGGCCACATAGGATTCCAGCTATATGACATTCAGGAAAAAGCAAAACTATGAAGATAATGAAAACATCAGTGATTGCCAGGGGTTGGGGGGTTGGGGAAGGGAGAGATGAATCGGTGAAGTACTGGGGAATTTTAGAGCAGTGAAGGTATTCTGTTTGTTACTATAATGGTAGATACCTGTCATGATACATTTGCCCAAACCCACAGCATGTACAACACCAGGAGTGAGCCCTAATATAAACTATAAACTTTAATTAATAACAACATATCGCGGTTGCTCACATCTGTTATCCCAGGACTTTGGGAGGCCGAGGCAGGTGGATCACCTGAGGTCAGGAGATCGAGACTATCCTGGCCAACATGGTGAAACCCCGTCTCTACTAAAAATACAAAAATTAGCCAGGTGTGGTTGCATGTGCCTGTAATCCCAGCTACTTGGGAGGCTGAGGCAGGAGAATCGCTTGAACCTGGGAGGCAGAGGTTGCAGTGAGCCGAGATCGCGCCACTGCACTCCAGCCTGGGCAACAGAGCGAGACTCCATCTCAAAAAAAAAAAAAAAAAGGTATCGATATTATCTTATCAATTGTAACAAACATACTACAATAATGCAAAATGTTTGTAACGGGAAAATCGTAGAGTGGGGTGAGGAGACACATAGGAAATCTCCACACTTTCTGCTCATTTTTTGTAAATTTAAAACAATTCTGAAAAATAGTCTATTAATGAAACAACATTACCATTAACATTCCCATTAATGAAACAAGAATATTGTTGTTGCAAATAGTTGGGGCAGCGGATATTCTTAAGCATTTTGGGGTATATAAAGTGGTCCCTGAGTTGCTATTGTATAGTTTGCTCTTGCCCAATTTCACATTTCACTGAGGCAGCCATCCTGCTTTACGGCTGGGCATGACCCAAACTGGTAGGGAAGGAGGCTCTGAGTGTCAGGAGACTCAAGTGGAATGAGGGCTGGGAGTGGTTAGAGATGCCAGGATCCCTGTGAATTGGTGCACCCCCGCCAGGATTAGCATGCATCTTCTGGCCTACATCTTCTGGCGCGATCCACCATGGGTCAGCCCTGGGTTTAGGCAGCTCGGGTTTAAGGAACAAAGTAGAAAGCAATGGAACCTAAGTTGTAATGTAAGAATGAGGGGAAACCACAGATGCAAATATTTTGTGCTCTAGGAAACCTATTAGGAAATTACCAAATCCTGAAACAATGTAAAATACGGCACACACTCTAAAGAGCAAGTGTCTATAATGATATACACATCTTACACTTTTTGTTTAAATATGAATTTAATTAAACAGAAAATTGTAACTGGCTGTTGAATGATGGGAAATGGCTTCACGTCACAGAACCCACCTCCGGCAACAATAGCGTATTAGACACCAGTGGAACAACTTGATCCAGTGAGCGAATTCGTGATTTCTGTTTACATCACAGCAGGATGTGTCTAGAAATCCCAGGTTAGGAATGACAGTGGGAAGAATTTTGGCTGTGAACAGACTCTTCTCAGCACCAGGTCCTCGACAGCACAACCATGTGCAAATACACAAATATACACATGATGTGAGGTTGGTAAAAATGCTAAACATGTATATAAAGAATGGACTGTCTTTGAGACCAATCGTTGATTCAATCTCCCCATAAACCTGGTCGCAAATCCTGTTCTGAAATCATTTGAGTGAAGACAGCAGGTGATGGGTTTAGAAGCATCTTGGCGCACAGTCGGCTGGGAGTAAGGATTGCCACGCACTCTCTGCAGGCTGTATATTCTCTCCTGTGTGGCCTCAGATTTTCCCTGGCGAGATTGTGTGCTGCTAGCCAGTGGCCATTAGGTTACCCAGGGACGTTAGGTTTTCTTTTCGCCTGGGGTCTCAGGCCCTGCCTTCTTTATTGTCATAGAGTTTGTTTGAACTTTGCTTTTCCCAATGCTCGGCTGCTTCTGTTTCTGGTTGTTGTTTTGAAGGGATTTCAGTCCCAGCATTTTGCAATACTTGTTACACTGGTGTAGTGCTTTAAACTGATCAATGAAGGTCATGGAACAGTTGCCTTTAAATCCCTTGTACCTGTGAGTTTGGGTGGAAGGAAACATAGCTTTTAAAAACAGGACACTTTCATCAGTTTAAAAAGAAAAACTTGAAAGGGAAAACTAATGGTGCATGGAACATATATGAATTTCTGTTTTAGATAAGAATGGCTGCAGGATAGACACAACTATAAGTGAAGGTAAAAAACAAAGACTGTGGAAATAAGTAAAGGCAAAGATCTGCTGGCACATACAGTGATGATCAAAGGTCTTGGAGTATCCAGGGGTCCCAGGTGCTCACGGTTGGAATGTACCAGCATTTTATTGCCCTGTTCCTCATAGCCACAATGACCAGTGCTGGGCTATTTTGATAAAACACAGATCTCTTAGTGATCGAAAGCCACTCCATCACACCGAGAAGTTCTCAATAAAGAATTTCAGAACTTTGGAACTGAAAGAAATTATTTTGTTTAGACCCTTCAATTTACAGTTGAAGAAATTCAGGTTAAGAGGTCATGAGACTACCCCAAGAAAACAACGCAAGTTGATGTAAGAGACAAGATTAAAATGAAGCCCTCTGAGTCTTTCTCCTACAGCAGAGCTCACTCCCCTGGCAGCCCGCTTTGTCCCCAGGAGAAGAAGAATTTTTGTCTCTGGCAGAACCTTTGTCTCCAGTAGGCCCTAAAAGGCTCCATGCTGACTCCTTGGCCAGGAGTAGTCTCAGGGGTTGTTCCTCTTGGTTGGGACATTTAAATACTGAAATTATAAATGGCCATGTTTTCATGTCCCAATTATGGTAGGTTAGTGTGCTCCTTGAATGGACAGCTGCCCAGCCCCTAAGTCTCCCCAGCTATCTGCAGATGAACAAGATCCATCAAAAAATTGGTTGAAGGTGCAGGCTTCCTGGGTTCTGGGCAGAATGTGAAAGGGTAGTAGGCTATTGCAGCTTGTTTAGTAGCTAGGAAAGTGACCCTGCAGGTCTTCCTGCCAGCCACCAGAAAATCCACAAATCCCATGTACACACTGAATCCAGTCACAGCTCCTCACAGAGTGTGGAGGAGGCCAGGTGAGCATAGTGCCAGCCACATACCCTCCCCAATAAGTGGCATCTCCTTGAGATGTCCAAGGGTCCTCCTTGTCACCGCAGATGAGCTCCTTTGTCAAAGGAATTTGCCTTCAACATGAATCCCATGGGGATAAACACTTTGAAGTAGCACATATGTAAACCTATGAGGTCCACGTTACATTCACTCAGCCCCTCCCCATCAATGCATTCTCCACACTGCCAGCAGAGTAACCTCTACAAAACATAAGTCATATCTCCTGCTTAAAATCCCATTGCTGTTAAAACGAAGACAAAATTCCTGAAACTGCCTGTGATCCTGCACTGTCTGGCTGCATCTCCCAACCCATTGACCTCTTCAGCCATTAGAAGTGTGTCCAAGCTCCCTCCTCCCAAAAGTTTCTGCCTGCAGTATTCCCCCTGCATGGGATGCTCCTTCCTCCTTTTTCTAGATAAGTCCTACTCACTTTATTTATTTATTTATTTATTTATTTATTTATTTATTGAGACAGAGTCTCATTCTTGTTGCCCAGGCTGGAGTGCAATGGCTCAATCTCAGCTCATTGCAACCTCCGCTTGCTGGGTTCAAGTGATTCTCCTGCCTCAGCCTCCCAAGTAGCTGGGATTACAGGCATCCACCACCACACCCGGCTAATTTTTTGTATTTTTTTTTTTTTTTTTAAGTAGAGACAGGGCTTCACCATGTTGGCCAGGCTGGTCTCAAACTCCTGACCTCAGGTGATCCGCCCGCCTCGGCCTCCCAAAGTGCTGGGATTACAAACATGAGCCACCATGCCCGGCCCTTGCTCACTTTAAATTCTCAGGTCATTTGACCTTTCCAACCAAGTCACATCCCCCTGTCATAGACTCTCCTGGACTGTGCACCTCCTCTTTGTGGCACGGTCACACACACAGTCTGACATCTGTGAGTGGATGAGATGGTTAATTTCTGTCTCTCCACTCACTGTAAATTCTGTGATAGCAGAGGTCACTCTTTGCTCACCACTGTACCCCAACACCTAGTCCAGTGCTTAGTAAATGGCAGAAGCTCAACAAATAGAGGATGATTGAAAAAAGAGTGGGATGCTTTTATTTTAGTGGTTGTTCAGAATGCGTTTTCATTTGTCTATTTTTGTGTTGACCTGTATCAGTGCTGTGTTCTTTAAAAATATAGTCACATGGGAGGAAGGGACAGCAACTTTCCTCCCTCCCTTCTCTAGAGCGCACCTAGCCAAGCACTGTGCTTGAGGCTACGGATTCAACAGAGAACACACAAGACATTGACTCATGTTGTCCAGTGAAGAAGACAGATATCAAGTCATTACAGTGAAATATGATGAATACGATGCAGGGGAAGCATTGCCGGCTGGTAAACCTGGACAATAATTGGTGGGCTAAGTTTCTGTCAGTTTCCTGATCTCCAAAGTGTGAATAATAATAATGCCCACTGAGGCAGGTGGATCACGAGGTCAAGAGATCGCAACCATCCTGGCCAACATGGTAAAACCCCAACTCTTCTAAAAATACAAAAATTAGCTGGGTGTGGTGGCATGCGCCTGTAGTCCCAGCTACTCAGGAGGCTGAGACAGGAGAATCATTTGAATCCAGGAGGCAGAGGTTGCAGTGAGACGAGATCGCGCCACTGCACTCCAGTCTGGCGACAGAGCGAGACTTCGTCTCAAAAAATAATATAATAATAATAATAATAATGCCCATAGGGTTGTTGAGGGGATGAAATGAGAAAATCCATAGAAACCATGTAGCTCAGGGCATAACACAGTAAAGATTCAGCTGATGTTGATCGTGTTGTTATAATTATCAACATTACAACTGATGCAACTGATGCGGGCTTCCTGTGGAAGAGACTTTGAAGCTGAGAGTCAAAGCTGAGGGATTTTCCAGGTAAAGGGTAGGGGCAGAGGGTGCCTGGCATTCAGGACCAGTGACATGTAGGGCCCAGTACAAAACGAAAACAGGCTCTTTGTTCAAAAAGTAGTAAGAATTTCAAGACAACAAGCACAGAGCATTAAACCAAACACAGGGCCCTTCTGAGTGTGAGGTCCTGTGCACAAATTGCACACGCATGAAACCAGCCCTGCCCGGTGGGAGAGAGTGCTGGCCGTTGTTGCTTAATAGGGCCAAAGGCAAACTGGCAAAAAGAAGTCTGTAATGCTGGCATGTTGCGGATTCTGTAGCTGTTATGATTCAAGAAATCAGGCCTCCTTCATTGGCTGGTAGAAACTATAGAGGTCGACACACCTGGACTGAATGGAGAGAGTTTTTTCCCTGTGCAATCCAAGCTGGGTTTTTTAAGCTCTTAAGGGCGTGAAAGGTTTCCTTCCTCTCGGAAGCTAAAGCGGCAGCCTGCAGCTCCACCCTGCCGTGATTGTTATAAATCCAGCTGCCCCTCCTCCTCCTGGCTGGGGGACTGCTCTGCCCCTGGGAGCCCACAGTCCATGGCCTTGGGAAAAATGACTTGGTTTCTAAAAGCCAAGCTTTCTCGTTGAAGAAAAGGTCAACCAAAGAAAGGAGTTGAATCTGGCAGAGTGGGAAATCGTCTACTGCTAATGGTATCATTTTTACATCTCTATCTTCCTCTGCAGGAGCTCCCTGAAAGGCTGAAATGTCAGCTTGTCAGTGTTTCCTGTATGCCTGAGCGCTCTCTCCCTGGTGAGACGCAGGGCCTGCTCCGTCAGGATGGATGGTTTAATCCCACCTGCCACTGGGGGGGGACCCCGGTTGCTTCACACCAACTCCTGAGCTCCTCAAATGGGGAGTGTCACGAGTGGGCAGGGGCAGCTTCCCTGTCTGAGCACATTGGAAACAAGTCCCGGTCATTTGCATCAGGACTGCCTCGAGGCTTTTCAAATTCAGACAACATCTGGTCTCTGCAGAGAAAAATAACTAATTCACACTGTGACCTCCCAGAAAGATCACCACTTCGTCCTGAAGCACTCCCTTGCCGGCAGGTGTTAATGCCAGGTAAAAAGAGAGCCCCTGTCTAATAGTCTCCACCTCTGGAATGGAAAAAGCTGAGCTGGGTCAAAGGAGCGTGACTTCTGGGCAGCCCCTGGGTAGACTTCTTTCAGGAATCTGCCTCCTTCTCCACCTCCACTTAACCTCTTTCTTTAGACCCTCGCAGAAAGCTGGAGTCAGGCAGCAGAGGCTAAGATGGCTGTGCCTGGGCTTGGTGAGGCCAGAGAGCAAAGGCATCTCTGCACCATCTCAGAGACCCTTTCTCAGCCCTTAGCTACCTTCGAGCCCCAGCTCCAGTGGGCTCTCTCCGCACCATGAGAGGACATCTCTCCAACCTCCTCCCTGCATCTTCTTGAGAACTAGACACCCCTCTCAGAGTTAGGGGTGTATGCGCCCCATCTTCTCTGCACAGATTATGATCTCTCTCAGGACACTGCTTTATGCCCAGAACGCCTGTCCAGGGGAGGCTTTTCTATAAATGTTGAAAGAACAAAATGAATGGGGCCCAGCTCCATGCTCAGCACTACCTTGTCTCCACGCCACATTTCTGAACATCTCTTTCTCTAATTTTCGACCCTCAACTTGGCCTGTCAGACAGTGTTGAACTTCCCTTTCCCTGTCTTTCTCAGGTGCAGACTTTTCTTTGCTACCTAGCATTTACAGAAATTACAAATCTTCCTCCTTTCTCAATTTGGCCTCTGTCTCAGCCAGGATGTTGGGCTGCTGCTTTGACCCGTTCTCACAAACTGACAGCCATCACCAAGGCCATTGCCCTTGCCCAAGAAGAAAAATAGGGCAACATCCTTTGTGTTCTTAGATTGATTATCCCAGATTCATTCAAAGGACATGAATTCAATAACATCAAGCTCTCCTCTACCCAAGCAATGGGAAGTGCAGGTTTCCCTGCTAGTGACCCACCTTACATGCGACATGTGCCACCCGCTGCCTTGAGGGTTGAATCTGGAGCTGTAGGCCATCTCTCCAACAGGATCACCATTGCAGAAACTCGCTATCCTTTTCATGTTGGATAGATATAGGGGGTTGAGTAGCATCCTTGCCCACCCCATCCCCAAAGTCACGTCCTTCCCAGAACCTCAGAATGTGACCTTATTTGGAAATCACATCATTACAGATGGAATTTCTTAAATAAGGTCACACTGGAGCAGGGGAGGCCCTCAATCCACTGTTACTGGTGTCTCATAAGAAGATGACAAAAGACAGAGACACACAGGGGGAATATCATGTGATGTTGGAGACATAAGTTAAAGAGATGCGTCTATCAGTCAAGGAACTCCAAGGATTGCCAGCAAACCCGGAAGCCAGAGGAGAGGCATGGAACAGACCCTCCCTCAGAGCCTGCAGAAGGAGCCAACCCTGCCAACCCCTTGATTTCAGTCTTCCAGCCCCCAGAACTGTGAGACAATCAATTTCTATCACTGTGAGGCTCTTGGTTTGTGGTCATTTGTTATGGCAGCCCTAGGAATCTAACATAATGGAATAAAGAATCTTGTATTTGAGATCTTTTTCAAATATTTTCATTTTTAAAAATCTTAACTCTATAGAATTTTACTAAATGGGTCTTTTTGTCCTTAACCTCTAATTAGTATAATTTTTTAGCCTATCTCTTTATGTGAATCTATCCATCCTCTCTCACAATGTCCAGAATTGGAACACTAAATGTACTCCACTGAACAGCATTCAGACCAGGCGCACTGGCTCACGCCTGTAATCCCAGCACTTTGGGAGGCTGAAACAGGAGGTTAGCTGGAGCCCAGGAATACAAGACCAGCCTGGGCAACATAACGAGACCCTATCTCTACAAAACAAAAACAAAAACAAAAAATATGAATAGCATTCAATATATAGTCTTTTCTCAACTATATTCCCCCTGGATGAGAGTGGTCCCTGCGAATGACCTCGAGACCCTGTTAAAATGCTGATTTGGATTCAGTAGGTCTGGAGTGGGGGTGGAATTTTCTGCATTTCTACCAGGCTCTGGGGGGTATTGATGTCACTGGTCCAGGGACCCCCTCTCCTTTGAGCAACAAGGAGATAAACTACTCAAAAGTGGTGATCTACACTCATCTCTATTTGACTTTGGAAATGCCTTTATATTTAAACTGGAACACAAGTATATCTTATGTTTATGAAGTTAGAGGCAAACAATCTAATAAAGTCACACTGAAACATCCCACCTGGAGAGGAGCTATGGAGGCTGTTTCCACAGTCCTGCCCTCACTCAACAAAGATTTATTCAAGATTTGCTATGTGTTAGAAACTGTGCCAGGCTGATGTCTTGCTTAAGAACGATTCCTCTCTCCTCTCATCCTAATAATGAATGGCATAGCCTTTCAGACTCACACAGAAATCACCAACTGATAGCAGCAGGGTGACTGCTTTCTCTCTGGGATCCGCTCACAACCGTGCTGGACAATGTATTGGCTCCAAACACACCTGGAGAGCAGGGGTGGAGGAAAGTCACAGAAATTTCCAGCCCCGGCTGAGTTAGAGAAACCAAGGTTCTTGGCTGGCTTAATAAAGGAAATGGAGACAGGCAAGGCAAACCCACTGAAAAGTTTTCCTGCACTTTGGTAACCCATTAGATGCCAACCAGAAGCTACATTGAACAGCTTGAGCTTGAGATCCTTTCTGAAGAAGTTTTAACGCATAGGGAAAGGCTACAAGGACAAGGAATTCGAGGTCAGGATGGGGGTGAAGAATTGAAACAAAGCCATGGTCTGGTGTGTGATGTGTGTGTGTAAAATAAAGCCAGGCTGGACTTAGGCTCCGGTAGAACGGATTGTCACCTGCATGGAAAGGGAGGGACATGGGGAGCCTTCCACCTGGAAACAGCAAGAGATTCCCGGAGTGCCACTCATACCCTTCATTTTTCATGTGTACTCATTGATTTCTTCATTGATCAGGTATCAGCTGTGTGCCAGACACTGTAGGGGAACTAAAAGGAATTAATTAATAAGCGGAGCGGCACTTTCCCAAAAGCGGCCATCTTGGAGCAAGCTGTCACATCTCAGCGGGAGGAAGTTCTGTGGAAACGCGGAGGGTGCCATTTTCACACTGCCGAGCAGATTCCTACAAGAGTTCCTACAGGAAAGATGGTTTGGGGTTTATCTGGCAGAGGGAACAACATGGTAAGGTTCAGAGGCACGTTGTGAGCCAGAGCAGGTGTTCTGAGGGGAGATGCCGTCGGAGGATGTGTGAAAATGTTTCAAAGCCGTGCCGTGCCATTTCTCCTGTGGCATGCTGGTTTCCAAAATACGTTCTCATGAGCAACAGTCCCACAAGAGTCTTTGAAATTCTGTGATGTAAATGCTGTGAGAAATGCTATCTGATATCTCTCCTAGGCTTGGTATGGTAGGTAGCTCACGCCTGTAATCCCAGCACTTTGAGAGTCCAGGGTGAGAGGACTGCTTGAACCCAGCAGTTTGAGACTAGCCTGGGCAACATAGTGAGACCCCACCCCTACAAAAAAAAATTAAAAATAGCTGGGTGTGGTGGTGCATGCCTGTAGTTCCAGTTTCTTGGGAGGCTGAGGCAGGAGGATTACATGAGCCCAGGAGTTCGAGGCAGCAGTGAGCCATGATCAGGACTCTACATTCCAGCCTGGACAACAGAGAAAGGCCCTATCTCAAAACAGTCATAATAATAATAATATCTTTCCTTGTCCCTAGGACATTCAAAATACACATCAGCTCTTTAAAGACCATATGAAGTCTCACACTAAAGAAGTCTCCTGGCCGGGCATGGTGGCTTATGTCTGTAATCCCAGCACTTTGGGAGCTGTAATCCCAGCACTTTGGGAGGCCGAGGCTGGTGGATCATGAGGTCAGGATATTGAGACCATCCTGGCCCCGTCTCTACTAAAAATACAAAAATTAGCTGGGTGTGGTACCGTGTGCCTGTAGTCTTAGCTACTCAGGAGGCTGAGGCAGGAGAATCGCTTGAATGAGGTTGCAGTGAGCCAGGATTGTGCCACTGCACTCCACCCTTGGTGACAGAGTGAGAGTCCGTCTCAAAAAAAAAAGAAAGAAAAAAAGAAACTTCCTAAACTTATTCAACCTAGGGTTTCCCAAAATTACTTGACAACAGAAATCTTGTTTCACATAATTACTTTGAAAAGCACTTTTAAAAATTCATGGAGCTTTTGAGGGCGGGGACGTGGTAGTGTAACCAGATCTGTGTTTTCTAGAGAAGTTGTCCCCCTTGAGGATGTCTACAAGGTGACCTTCTCTTGGGGCAGGTAACCTTCAGCAACTTATCTGAACAAATGCCATCTGAGCCACCACTGCCCCTCCCTGGGCCAGTCAGGGGAGCCTCCAGGCAATTCGCCCCTGCTTTCCGCCTGGTCCAGGTGGTGCAGGTCAGATCTTGTCATGGCCAAGCAACTGCTTGGATGGCCCCATCTCCCTCTGAACAAAGTCCAGCCCCTCCCCTTGGTTCCTGGCACTCTCTGCCTTTCTTGCCCAGTGCTATGGCCCCTCCCTCAGGCCTCAGTTGAAGCCACAGTCCCAGCTACCCCCAACAGAAACCAAGCCCTGGCTCTATGTTCCCTCATAGCCTCCCTGGCTGGAGAAAAAAAAAAAAGAATACAAAAAGTTCCCTCTTTCTGCAGAAAAATGTGAGAGGAGGGCAGAGGTGCCCCACCTTCAATGAGTCTGGTCTCTGCGTCTGCTGGCAACATATTCTAGAATCCCTGTACATTTGCACAGTTTCTACTCTCATTGCTTTTGATGGCACCCTCAACCAGGAGGTTCTGTGAGACAGGAGTCCCGAAGAAGAGAGCTCAGAGAAGAGCCCAGGGGAGGGGGAGAAGCACTCATCTACTATGGGTCCGTTTTTGAGGTCGCATGAGTCCCATCCCCATGAATATGCAGGAAGCACACAGTCCATTCGTTAGTATCTGAAATGGAAACGAATTGAAGACAAAGAACCGAGGAGGGGGCGTTGTAGGTAGACACCCACCAGATAAGCAGCCTGAGATTCGCCCACTGTCCTAAGCCCCAGAGCTCTGATCCCCAAAGGGCTGTGCTGGTTTTATCTGCAAATGGGAGTGAAACCACCTTTGCAGAAATTATAACTGAGAAAATTGTGACAGTGAAAGAGATCTGACTGAACTGACTCCGTCTTGCTTCTCACCTCCAAGCTCTCCTTGTTCTTTCCTGGGCAGAGGCCAAACTAACTTGGGGAGGAACTTAGTTTATAGTTTGACTTTGAAACAAAGACGGTAACAGCCCTTTCCCAAAACAAACTCCCTTCTTGCCTGGGAACTAGACTGCCTTTGCAGGACTAACAAATTAGCCAAAAGATTAGAAATTATGGTTTAGGAGTCATGCAGCTGGAGGCTACAAGGTTCTAAACTTCCCCAGTTTCTCCTAGGGATGACATCACAATTGTAAAACCTAAGCCTGGTGCTTGAGATGTTTTTCAGACCCTGCCCTCGATGGATCAACTGGCGCCTCCCAGATCAATAAACTGGCTCATTTAGTCTTGTGGCCCCCACCCAGGAACTGACTCAGCACAAGAGGACAGCTTTGACTCCCTACGATTTCGTCTCCCACCTGACCAATCAGCACTACCCCCACTTCCCGACCCCCAATCCCCAAATTTTCAGGGAGACTGATTTGAGTAGTAATAAAACTTCAGTCTTCCATACAGCTGGCCCTATGTGAATTAAACTCTTTCTCTGTTGCAGTTCCCATCTTGATAAATCGGCCATGTCCTGTCTAGGCATACAGGCAAGGAGAACTTGTGGGGCGGTTACAGGAGCCTCTGCAGGGCCACAGGGCAGGTAATTGAGGTGAGGGAGAAGCGCGTCAGCATTCCCACTAGGTACAGGCTTTTTGAGAATTCACCATTCAGAGGAGCAGCTGGGCTGACGCCCTGGGTGGCAGTGAGGGTGGATAGAGGCAAAGCCACATTTCCAGTGTGCTCCAAGTTGCACAGCGAGGGCTGCAGGGCCTTCCGTATTGACAAACTCTGAATCCTCACGAGGGGTGCTCACCACTCTGGAACATCACTCCGCCGTTAGTCCCTCATTGTTTTCCCACAGGCTCCTTCCCCTCTGCCTTCAAACAGGCAAGGTCTCTTTAGACACACACACACACACAACACACAGAGGCAGACACAAAAAGACACAGACACAGATATACACACAGACACACATGCACACACATACACAGGGACACAGACACAGAAACAAAGACAAAGACACGCACACAGACATATATACGCGCACACACACACGCACACATTCCCCACACCTCCTTTTCTGGCTACCTTCTAGACTTTTCCTTGTCTTTAGTCGACAAACTTGTTTAGTTGCTGGCATCTTGGCAGCACATTCCCTCTCTGATCTGTCATGAGGCTCCCACCTGGTGACACTACATTGGCTTAGACCTTCCTGAAGGCAGTGATAACCTTTTTCTTGTCTATTCTGGTCTTCACCCCATGCTGTCCACTCAGGCTCTGTCACCCCAACCCTCTCAGCCATCCCTGTACCTGCCTCGTGCTTCTGTCTCCTACTGGCCACCAGTCTGTCCTGCAGGGGTGATCTCGAATCTACCAGACTTCTCTAGACGTTCTCTCTGTTCAGATTCATCTCTGAAGCTGGATGACAAGCGATGCAGCACCTGTCCCTGAGTCCTCAGGTCCTGGGGAATGGACTGGGCAGAGGGACAACTAGGGAATAGGGTCAGGAGTGGGAGGAACCCATGGATCCCAATTCCAGACATTTCAACAGAACTGTCCTTTGTAAGACTTCTGGGTAGAGGCCAGGATACTGCTGTGCTAGTCCCTCCATGGAGGGGGCATGTCCTGGCTGGCTCTGTTGGGCCTGGGAGACTCCCCCATACACTGAGAGCACTGCTATAGTAGGGTCTGCCTTGCCAAAAACTGCGAAAATCACCACTGTTCCCTTCAGACTTCCCTCCAGCCTCCAAACTTCCTTAATGGCAAAGACTGGCCACATAAATCAGCCAGCGGGCCAGCCAGCCCTACTACAGAATGGGCTGACCGGATGAAGATGGGATGCAGGTGGCCTTCCAGGACAGATGACCCTGTGGCAGGCGGGGACAGGAGCTATCTGGGGCATAAAATTGCCTTTCTCAAGCTGACAGGCCTGTGAGATTGGTCCGCTGATGCCTGGCATTGGGGACTCAGCTGAAATGTTTGGTGTTCTATAGTGACATGGCCCTGCTATGAGACACTTTAAAGGCATCAGGAATTCTGTTCCAATGTCCCTTTGTTTCCTCTCCTGGCAGACTCATGCATTGCTTTAAATAGTCTGCCTGGAGTCACCACTCATGCACATAAGCCTATTCTCGGGGCGTGTTTCTTCGGATTAGATTGTTTCTTCCCACCTCCAAGTTTGTTTTGGCGCTTCCTCTCCAGGTACGGTGGTGGCTCGGCCTTGTGACTGGGCAAAGCATCCCAGGTGGCTGCCGTCCCCTCCATCTGCTTGTGGGCATTGAAGGCAGAGCCTTTCTTTTGGAACTCAGCTTGGCCGAGTGTGGGAGTCTATTTTGATCTTTTCTCCTGTTCATGGCCAGGACCAGAGCTAGGCACGCAGACCCCAATGGAGCCTGCTTTCTCAAGGCAACTGTCCTCCTGCTACATGAATGAATCATCCAGGCTTCTGTCCAGGGTCTCGGGAATTTGGCTTCCATGTCAGGGACGCTTGACACAAGCCACACATCCTTAAGCCTCGTCGTTCCTTCCTCCGAGGGTAGAAAGATGCAAGGCTGGCTGGCAGCCACTGCGAGGGGTGTCCTTTACGGCTGTCCATATTAATCTTATTTTGGTCTAATGCTTACTGCCAGGGAAGAAATCTGCTAATGGTACTTTTCTTTGTTTTATTTCAATCTGGCAACAGGAAATTGGCTTTTTAGGGGAGACTACAAAGGGCAAAGTATTGGTTCTGGTGCCCTCTGGTGGTTGAACTGCAATCTCGTCGCCTCCCCGGGAACTCCCCGACTGGCTGGAGAGAAGCATGAGTTTGCAGTTCGGCTCCACTGCACGCATGGCTTTAGATCGGTCTGGAGTTGGTTAGGTTACGTTTCCAAATCTCCAGTTATAAAATTAGGCCTTTTTTCCTTGTGTAATTTCCAATTAGAAATTTGTTCAACGGGTTAGTATCTTGGGTCTATCTAGAAAATGGATTACTGGATGTCAAAACAATCTTACTTGCCATACTTTGTAACCTGAAATTTTTGTACTCAACATTTGCCAAAAGATTGAGGTGGCTGAGGCACAGGGGATGTGTTTCCAGACATAATTATATCTCTGGCTCCCAAGAGAAATATGACATACTCCTGTTAAAAGGAACATACAATGAAGTAAAGTTGAATTAAAATGAGTAAGTCATGACAATTCTCTATTTTATTTTATGAGATTAGAGTAATTACTCCTGAAATAGGATCATAGCCTTTGACTTCATTGAACAAGACAGCAAAACAGGTTGCATGACTGGGGTGTCAGCAGCCAAATATATGGTCCTGATTGAGACATATGGGAATTTTTTTTTTTAAATGACACACGGAGCACTGCTTCTTATGGTGGTGCTGTTCCCCCAGCTGAACCCTGCCAGGTACCAGCCCCCCCATAGAACTTGCGACTCTCCCTTTGCATCATGAATGAACTAAGCTCACTCACAGTTGCTTGCTAAGAATCAAGAGAACTTGCTCGATCAACCCTTATTCCTCCATCTTCTCTCCTGCTGTCTGCAGTCTGCGATGCTCGCCTTCCTTTCTTCCCCAGCTCATTTGCCTCCCACCTGGACTTTCCTGTCTGCAGAGTGCCCTTGAACTTGAGCCCTTTCCAAGTCTGTCCTCATGAGTTATCTCCCTTTTGCAGCTTTGACATTCACTGGAGAACTTTTTCAATTGTGCCTCGCCTCCCAGCATTGAGGATCTGCCGTTCACTTTGGGGTGCTGACTTCAAGCAGGAAAGACTTCTTGACTCCTGCCAGCAAGCAGGCTGCCCCATGCCCCATGCCCCATGCCCCATGCCTCCTCACCTGTGAAGTGAGGAGGTCGGGCTTGATCACTGGTTTCCACTCCAGAGGGGTTCCCAGGAGCCTCTAAAGAGGTCTCTCAACCACCTCTTATGCTCTGTTTGGAGAAGTTTTACCTTTTCATCAGTTTTTCAAACTGTGATTGTAAGATATATTTCTTTTGGGAAAAAGACTGTGGCTTAAAAAGGTAACGTTTAAAGAAAAGTTTTTAAAAAACAAAAGACAAGAAGATCTAATATCCCTGCCAAAGCTCTCAAACACTTCAGAATCTCCTCCTCTCCCAGCTCCTGCTCCCTGGCCTCTCCTTGGGTGGGAAGGCAATGAGTAAGTAATACTTTATAGACAGCATTCTGCACTGGGCTCCAGCCGTCAGTGCTTCTAATGGGTCTTGGGCAGCTGTCCCGGGCCAGATAAGTCACATTAAAGCTGAGAACAAAACCAAAGGATTGGATTTCTTTTTAAATCAGGAGGGGAAAAAATGTACCACTTGAAGCTCCCAGTCGGTCTGGGTTCCTGGAAGCTGTTGACTTGAATTTAAAAGATGTCTTCAATAATCATGACCATCTTCATTTTTGAAACTTCTTGGGCAGGTTTCTTCTTTGTTTTGGTAGAGAGTTGTTCTAAATAACAGCACGAAATTTGCCTACTCTGGTGTCAGGCTAAGACATGAGGAGCGAAGGGAAACTAATATTTATCTAGCTCACTTCCAGTTTCAGGGGCTAGGTGTAGATTAACTGGGGGAATACTCAGGGCAAGCCGGAGTGTCCCCATGCTGTACATCACTGACTTTAAGAACTTAGTCACATGCCCACAGTCACACAGCTGGTATGACGAGAAGCCAGGATTCAAACTAGGGCTGGCGGATGCTTGCATCTGCAAGGTTCTGCAGAACACATGGAGCCTGGAAAGGAAGGCTCCGTTTGGAAAATCCTTCTGGGGTCCAGAAGCCTCCATAAATAGGGCACCATATAATTTATCTTCTAAATGGGTACACTTGTTCAGGATCAATGCTAAAGCGTATGGGATGTGAGGACATCAGGCATAAAATGGTACCATCATGGGGAAACTGCAATAGACGTTCATCCCCCTCATCAGGTAGGCTAGGCAAATTCCTACGATGCCAAGAAGCGAGGCTACTATCAGGAGAAATGGAAGCAGCAGCATCAGGGTATGAACTGGGTCTCGCTCTAAATCCCTCGTTCCTTCCTCCCCACTACATCATAATCCCTCCTAATGCGCTGTCTTCACAAGCCCAAGAACATACCCAATTCCCTGAAGTGTATGCCAGCCAGGTCTCTGGTGAGCACAGGGGAGAAGCCTGGAGACAGTTCCAACATAAAACTTCATCATCACTGAGCCATCCCAGGGAAAAGGTCCAAACCGCATTCTGGTTCTAAAACCCAACTGGAAGCTTTGTGCAATCGGCGAGAACTTCATGAATCAGACTTACTGACCTGGAGGTTAAAAGAAAGAGCGATCCCCTTCCTACTTTTTCAGATTCCTCTACTTCTCTCTGTCCTTTATTGAAGCTGAAAATTAGCATATTTGTTGGATCGTGGCTGACACTGATGGTCTGAAGTAACCAGAAAGCTCCCACGGATAAGTTGTTCTCAGCCTTGGGAAAGGAAGCTGGATTCATCCCACCACTTTATTTTCTGTGTTTCTGATGCTTTGACATCTTGTGCCTTACTGGCCCTGGAGAGACTTTACTCCTCTCAGGGCTGCCATATTCCTAGAGAGAGTAAATGATCACCTTCCAGAGAGCCTTTCATATATATGCAAACCAACCAATCCAGAGCCACACCCCTAATACCCCCTCTGTGGTCTCTCATACTGGGGCCACTGTCCACCTGCCCTAATCACCCCAGTGCAGGTACCAGACACTAGGGCCAGCCCTATGTCCCAGAGACTGCTGGAAAATGTCAAATTAGCCAATCCTAGGACTGTTTATCCTCCCTCACCTATTCCTTCCCGAATAAACCATAATATTCTTGCCTGCATTTTCCCCTCACTTCCTCTGCCTCCCAACTGGCCCTGCTGCTTCTTAGATGGCCCCTGGTGGCCTGGTGCCCCCTCTTGGCAGCTGCAAGTAACAAACTAGCTTTTCAATGGCAACTATCTCCTGATCTGTTGACCTTACGATACCTCATACTAATAAAACCTACATTTTGAAATAGAAGCCATCCCCTCCAAAAGTCATGAGCTCTCTTTTCCTCCCCCTTACAGATGGTCTTAGTACGTAGGAAGAGCAGGAGTGGGCAAAGGCGATGGTGGTTCCAACACAGAATTGCATCTTCACCAAGAACAACAAATGGCTGGCTTTCTCCTCAGTGGCAGTCAAGTAAAGAAGTGGGAAGGGGCAGCTTGTTAAAAAGATGCCCCAGTAAAATGTGATCATAGCATCATCTGTGTGTGCCTCACACTAAGCAAAGCACCACTCTGTATTAGAAAAATAAAGCCATCATCAAAAACAGGTAACTAATCACAGCTCTGCCAGAGACATTGCCTCCTATGATTATCATCATGGGGGTCTGTGAGCTGCCTAAAATACTTTTTGGAGAAAAATTAATTTAAAATATACAAATTGAATTCACTGCATTCAATTGCAAAAAAAATTTTTTTTCAAAGAAGCTTTTAATAGTGAAGATATTAAATGTAAAAGAACGGAATATTCCCAGTTAAAAGGCATCCAAGTAATGCCAGCATTTTCTCCCCGTGGTACTCCTATTGGTTATTAATCTTGAAATGTGTTTGCAAGAGTTCTCATTTGTTTCAAAGTTAAGAAACAAATGTGCTCCCCTGTGAGAACAAAGTCCATAAATATTTTATGTAAGTGAGAGAAATGAATTCATTCCAAGAACATTCGTCATCCACAGTTAGGACAAGAAATTCACTTTGCCCACCTCAGCCTGACAGTGTCTGCCTGGAAGGTGTCTGTAAGCCCAGTGTTAATTGATGCACACTCCATTTTTTCCTACTCACCCTTTAGCCAGCGTTGCTATGCCAACGTCAGTTAGCTTCATTCCTACACCTACAGGAAGAGAAAGCAAAGATGGGAGTTTGTGTTACTCAGGGCCCCTCAGGAAGTTGGGCCATCTAGCCCCAGGGAAGGGGTAATGACAGCTCATCCTCCTTCTCCTTCCTGCATAAACACTCGAGGCCTCTTTCATATACGCATCCAGCTTTAGGCAGGGACCATGGGGAAGGTGGCAGTTAGGGGGAATCAAGTCTCATGTGAGCAGACAACCCAAGCCCTCTCGGCTCTGGAAATGAAGTCCTCTGCCTGCCTGGCCCACCCACCCCATGACAAGGAGGGAGCTGGCCACTCTGTGAGAAAATCTGAGGCCTGATGCTTGTCCCGTAAGCAATCTCCCCAGAAATACGGTGACTTTGGCTTAGGTCTGGCTCCCCGTTCTTCAATGAAAGTGGAAACCCTTACATGATGGAAAGAAAAGTAGGCACGGCCTGGGATAGTCAATGCCAATAGCAAGAGGGTTTGATATGGTTTGGCCATGTCCCCACCCAAATCTCATCTTGAATGTAGCTCCCATAATTCCCATGTGTGGTGAGAGGGACCCAGTGGGAGATAATTGAATCATGGGGGCAGTTTCCCCCATACTGTTCTCATGGTAGTGAATAAGTCTCAGGAGATTTGATGATTTCATAAGGGGCTTCTCCTTTTCCCTTGGCTCTCATTCTGTCTGTGGCCTGCTGCCATGTAAGACGTGCCTTCCGCCTTCCACCATGATTGTGAGGCCTCCCCAGCCACATGGGACTATGAGTCCATTAGCCTCTTTTTCTTTGTAAATTACCCAGTCTTGGGTATGTCTTTATCGGCAGTGTGAAAATGGACTAACACAGGGCTCAAGGGGCATGTGTTTAGTTCAAAGCCAAACTTCAGACATATGATTTCTCATTTCCATAAAGATCGTTTTTCAATTCAGGACTGAAGGTTTTCTGGGTGGTCAGTGTTAGACCCCGGGAAACAATCCTGAGTTCTATGTAGACACTGAACCAATGGCCTGGCGAAGCAGACATTTGGAACACGTGGTCCTTGGACTCATCCTAACTGCTACCCACTAAACCATGGTGGGGATAGGTGGGGGATATCAAAACCAAAACAGTAGAACAGCTACCTGAGCTTCCCACTCTGGTTCAGCAAAAAGCAATAGGCACCCATTGCAAGCATATGGAACCCTTTTTTGCATGTGCCTTTCCAGCAGGAGGGGTAGGGAGGGTAGCTAGGGAGCCAGGGAGGCAAAGGGAATAGACTATCCCACTGTTTTCCACTGTGAGGGAGGATAAGAGCTGCCATCCCCTTCTGTAGTGGAAAGAGCCACCCTCTCTCACTCTACCCCCAGTCTCAGCCTGCATCCTGAACCTCTCTCAGGTCTAGTGGAAAGTAAAGCACTTCCCTGATGCCCAGAGTGTGGATTCCCTCTTGACCTTTCCAGAATCTGCATGCCCTGACCACGCACCAATTCCATTCCTGTCTCCTTAGGGTGAGGGTTATGGGCACTTGCTCCAACGCAGTGGACCTCTGCCAGGACCTTACCCGTGCAATCTAGTGATGACATTTTATCCCATGGCCCATAGTGCCACCCCACCAGTGTGTCTGCACCTGCTAGATGCCTGGGTCCTGCCTCCTGTGCTCTTGCCCCTGCCTCTTGGGCTCCATGGGCCGGGCTGTGAGCACTGGCATTCCCCACCTCCAGCACGTGACTTGCCCATGGAGGGCCCTGGCAGCCTAGAAACCAGTTTGGGCTGTGGAAAGAAAAAAACTCAGCATCCCCCTAAAGCCAGCCATGAGGATCAGATCTGCTGGCCACCTACTTCCGTGGTTCCCCACCCAAGTGGAGTGCTGTTTCTGAGGCCCAGGAAAAGACAGCTAAAGGATTAATGCTCGGATTCAGCGTTATCTGCTGGGAGCATGGCAAAAACAAAGGACGTGTTGGGATTCAGGCTGGTTAGGCAGACAGAAGCCATGAGGCCTGCTTTTCTGCAGTGCACCTGTGAGCTAAATTAGACATGGCACTTTGGGAGAACCAGTGACCATTTTAAAAGTCTCTTTCGCAGTTGGTAACTAATTCATCTCATTCTTTCAAAGCCGCTAATAACTCAAACATATGTAGAAATGCTTCACATAGCTTTTATTGCAGGGACTATGCTTTGAAAAAAAAAAAAAAAACCCACCAAATTGCAAACGCTGTCTCTGGACATCTTGTTTCATGGAAAATTGTATTTTAAAATTACAGCTCTAAGCCGTATGGAAGTCCAATTTGAAAAAGTCATTTGGCAAAAGGTCCTTGAACTTGGAGAATTGCTTTCCCTTGTTTCCCACAATTACCAGCTGTCACTTACAGTTTAGAAAGACAGAATATAATTTTTAAAAGAAAACTTCCCCCTGTCAGTTTAATGATTTGCCAGCAATTATGTCAAGGTTACTAGGAATCTCTAGAGTCTAAAGTTAAATCCTAGTGTGCAGCTATCAAGCTGAGTTGGAGATAACAGTAATCTACAGGTTGTTTCTAACAGAAGAAAGGAAATGAACAGCATTAGAAGTTCATTCTCCACTTGGCTGGGCACAGTGGCTCATGCCTGTAATCCCGGCACTTTGGGAGGCCCAGGCAGGTGGATCGCTTGAGGTCAGGAGTTCAGACCAGCCTGGCCAACATGGTGAAACCCCGTCTCTACTAAAAAATACAAAAAAATTAAAAAAAAAAAAAAAGCTCATTCTCCAGAATTCAAGGTCTTGAGTTTTTTGGGTGACAGCTTGTTAGAAGGCGTGGTAGTCTCACCAGCATGCAGGTCTCAGGTCCAAATCACAGGCTCATCTTTTACCCCACAAACCTGCAGGACCTGGCATAATCTTCTAAATGAGCAAATGCAGCCAGGAAGAATTAACTTTTAAAAGTCCAAAAGGGTGGTGATAGAATTTGAGTTTAATTCTAATTCCAGTGTCTCTGTAAAATTATAAAAAGTGGAGTTTCCTTAGAGAATAGATGCGCTATCTCATGCCACAATGACAATGACAGTAAAAATATTTTTTGTCCATCAACAGAGAGTAAATAAACACCATTACTTAATGCCACACCACCACGTTAAACCACACACGTCATTTACAGAGAGATGTGATATTCCATTACTGTTGTTTACTAGTACCTGGAAGTGAAACTAACTGTGCATGAAGCCCTGGGTGCTGCTTTTCAGCATGAGAGCTGAATTTAATACAAAATTAATTCGCAAGGAGAAAAGATGGGGGACAGCAGCAATTGCACAGCCAGAGTCTAAATAGAACAAACAGCTGTCTGTTAAGACCATATGTTTTGTGTGTGTGTGGCAGCAAAGTCTCTTCAAAGAGTGAAGTCTGACTTAAATTTGCAGATTGGCTTCATCTGCAAGGCGGTAATGTTGCATTTCCCAGCTGGCTTGCAAGGAGTCCTTCCAAGGGCTTAGGAGGAAGAACCGTACACATACCAGAGCCCTCTAACATCAGGAGAGACTTGGAAAGGTCTGGAAGTAAATATCTTGCAAATTTGCTAAATTGTTATTTGTGGAAAGAACTTGGAATTCAGAGTCAGAAAATGCGGGTTGGAGTCTTGGACCCCTCTACTTACTAGCTGAGTGACAGCAGACAGAGACAATCACGGTCTCCAGGCCTCAGTTTTCTCTTCTGTAAAATGGGGATCATAATATCTATCTTCTCTGCAGGGTTATTATGAAGATTAAGTAAAAATAATAGAAAAAAATGAATGGATACAAAAACTGATGAAATCCAAGTCAAGTTTCTAGTGTAGTTGATTATATTCTGCCAATGTCAATCTCTTGGTTTTGATAATGTACTATAGTTATGTGAGATGTCACCATTAGGTGAAGCTGGTGAAGCATACGTGGGAATCACTCCATATATTTTTACAAATCCTTGTGAGTCTATAATTATTTCAGAATAAAGGCTGGGGCACAGTGGCTCATACCTCTAATCCCAGCACTTTGGGAGGCCAAGGCAGGAAGATCACCTGAGTCCAGGAGTTCAAGACCAGCCTGAGCAACAAAGTGAAACCCCATCTCCACACACACACACACACACACACACACACACACACACACACACACAAAGAAAAAAAAAAGGAAAGAAAAAATTAGCCAAGTGTGATGGCATACTCCCGTAGTCCCAGCTACATGGCAGGATGAGGCAGGAGGGTCACTTGAGTCCAGGAGGTTGAGGCTGCAGTGAGCTGTGTTTGCGCCACTGCACTCCAGCCTGGGTGACAGAGTGACACCCTGTCTCAAACAAATAAAAAAAAATGGGTTAAAAGAAATAGGAACCATTTATTATGTGGCAATGCTGCAATAAGCGCTTTACTATCTCATTTAATTCTCAAAACAACTCTGTGTGGAAGTTACTGAAGCACTGAGAAAGGTAATTTGCCCACAGGCTACCAGGCTGGAAGTGGCAGTGCAGGGAACAGAACCCCAAGGTGGTCTTGCTCTTCAACACCATGTAATAGCTAGAGCTTGAGATCCTCATCTGGGACAATATCTGACATTTGGTAGGCAGAAAATAATATAGTTCAGATTTTCTTAACAGCAAACAGAAATAGGAAACCCCTTGCAGCAGAAGCTGCTGGTGCCTTACCTATTGCCCACACCCCAACCACTTCTGTGCACCTGGCTCCACCTCTTAGTGCCACACCAGCATTTCTCTGCTTAAGAACTTTCTCTGATCATGTTTTTTATCCGGCTTAGCTTGCCCATGTGGGCAGGTGACAAGTGCAAGGGAGGTAATGCCCCCACCCAGAGCAGCCGCCAGCTGGTGATCCTGGTAGTTGGTGTATACACACTCCGGCTCCCTCACTGAGAAGTGTGCTTTGCAGGGCTCCCTGCAGATGTCAGCTCCAGCGCCCACGGCAGTCACTGGCTAATAATATACTCTACCAGTCGCCTTTCCTTCCCCAGTTGCACTTCCCTACTCCTCTACTGGCGTTTCCTGGGATCCCCTCTCAAATAAGCCATTTGTATGTGAGTACCTGTCTCAGGTCTGTCTTAGGGGAACCCTAACGATGACATCTCCATTCCATAGAAGAAATGGTATTCCTAAACAATTGTGTATACATTGAAAACATGCTATACATTCAGCAGAGAAGCTTAAAATCTAAAGCATTCTAAAGACTCTTTTGCCTATAGAGAATGAAGTACTACATCTTAATTTACCTTATGGTAGATCTGGATTTGAGAATATATTGCTGAGTTTAGGCCTATTGAGGATAGAACAGTAAAGCCAATCTCTGGTTACCTGTTGTAATGGGAAGGCATTATTGGCATGAATTATTGAAACGAAATGACCTCTAGACACAGTGGCTGACGCCTGTAATCCCAACACTTTTGGAGGCCAGTGTGGGAGGATCGCTAGAGCCCAGTAGTTCGAGACCAGCCTGGGAAACCGTCCAGGACGCTGTCTCTACAAAAAAAAAATTTTTTTTTAATTAGCCAGGTGTGGTAGAATGCATGTGCAGTCTCAGCTACTCTGGAGGCTGAGGTGGGAGGAATACTTGAGCCCAGGAGTTCAAGGCTGCAGTAAGCTATGATCGTGCCACTGTACTCCAGCCTGGGTGACAGAGTGAGACCCTGTCCCCCCCTAGAATTTTTTTAAATAAAAATAAAATGAAATGGCCCTCTGGCTGGTTATTTCAGGCTCCTTTATCAAATCTTGTTTCTGAGGAGGCATCAGTAACAGCTTCTGCAGGTAAAGGTGTTTCAAGGTACCCAGCAGGCCTATCCTTCCTCTCCCTCCCCTCCCTCTCCACCCACAGGAACATCTCTGGCCCACAGCATCCCTGGAGCCTGGGCTAAGCTGCTTTCCTCACCTTGCATGTCCGTCACCAGGAGGCAGCCACTTGTTTTCTGGTACACCCAGTGCTGGAAGGTGCAACATTTCTGACCAGCTTCTGATTCTCTTCTCAAGAAGTTTATTTCTTTCCCATCCCTGATGGAATACTTCACAAATTCTCCAATCAGCTCCTCCTCCACTGTAGCATACGGGATATTGTTCTCAGGCCGATGGATAAGAAAAATAGGAATGATCCTGGCAGGGAAGAGAACACAGGCGCACATCAAGGTCTCTACTGGGAAGAGAGGCTCCTGCGGCATTCTACTCTCTCCTGGAGCAGCACGGAGCATAGAATTTGTCCCCAATTCTGCTAGGTTTAGACTACAAATCCATCCAATGACTTTTTAGTGGGTAAGATATGTTTCTGTGTTTTATTTGTTGTTATAAATTCCTCCTTGGGAGGGGGTTTAATTGCTCATGTAGAAATGAATGTCTTCATTGTAGTCATATCTTAATGACCCATCAATCAATGACTATAATCTGTATATCCATTCATCCATTCATCTACTCACCCACCCATCCATTTGTCCATCCATTCATCCTTCCTTCCTTCCATCTATCCTTCCTTCCTTTCATCCATCCATCCATTGATCCTTCTTTCCTCTCATTCAGTCAACCAATATTTATTCAGTGGCCTGTATGTGTCAGATACTCTTCCAGATGCTATTCCTCAAAACAGCAATAAAGAAAACGGAGGCTGTGTTGTCAGGGCTCTCACCTTTAAATGAGGGAGACTGACAATAAACAAGTAAATGCATGGTGCTAAGCGCTAGGTGGGAAAACTCAGCAGTGAAGAGGAGACGGGCATGCGGTGGAGTGGGGCAGCTGTCTTATGTAGGGAGGTCAGAGCAGCCCTTGTTCATGGATAAAGAGCATTTGAGTAGAGGCCTATAGGAAGTGAGGGGAGCCATGAGGACATCGACGGTAGAGCATTCCAGGTCGAAGGCACCCCAAGGAGAAATGCTCAGGGCAGGAGCAGCACTCCTGGCGTGCAGCGGGAGTGCAGGGAGCCAGGGAGATTGGCAGAGGTTGGGGGAGGCAGAGGGGACAGGAAGTCAGGCCTTGGGGGACCTGGGAGACCATTTGGAAAACTTTCCCCTTTGTACTGAGTTGGATGAGAAGCCATTGGAGGATTTGGGGCAAGTGGGGAAGGGACAGGAGGAGATTTCTGCATGACAAAGATCACTGCCTCTCTGTGGAGAATAGGCCAGGGGCAGGGCAGGGAGACCGGGGCCAGGTAATGATGTCCAGGGAGCTGGAGCGGTGATCAGATATGGGATGGAGTTTCCAGCATTATCCATTTGCTGCCACATCATCCTACATGATGATTTCCTACCTACCTCTCTCTCTTCAAAGCACCTACACCTCCTCCCCCAACCGCACCCTCAGCTTCCTGTTTCAGTGTGCAGACTGAAGGTTTAGGAGGACCTCTAAGTGCTGCCACAAGCACATCCATACTCTCACCTCCCGGTCTGTGCCCACACACTGCGCCCTCTTCCTACTACGATGAGCCATCCCTGCTCCATCCTGAACCACCTCCTCTACAGGTGCCCTGGTCCCCGCCCCTCTCAAGTCCTCCAGGTATTGCTCCAGCAGTTTTTCCTTTCTCTCCTCCATCAATATTCCCTCTACAGAATCATTCCCAAGAGCCTAGCAGCATTCCATGATAGCTACACAGCATGGCGACCCCACAGCCCACCCCAACTACTGACTCACATTCGACATCGAAACGCAAATCCGCTGTAGACTCGCTGTCTCCAGTACCTCCCCTCCCATTCTCTCTTAAGCATCTGAAAGAGGCTTTCCCTCGAAAGAAGCCTCTATCAAGGGCAGCACGACCATCATGCTGTTAAGTCCAGTGTTCTCTTCTCGGCCCCCACCCCCTTTGCTCTCAGCAGCTCTGGGCACAGTGGATCTCTCACTTCTTTCTGATACGGCTTTCCCTGGCTTCCTCAAGGCTTTTCTCTGCTTCACTGGCTACCTCTTCTCTGTCTCTTCTGTGAGTTCCTCATCCTCTCCCCTTTAGACTCTGGAGGGCTCTGGAACAGCTCTTCTCTCTCTGCCCACAATCCCTAGCGACTTCCTTGCTTTAAATACCGTTCAGATGCCGATGGCTTCCACATTTATGTCCCCAGTCCAGCCCTGTCCCTGAGTTCCCTGCCCACCATCTCCACGTGATGTCTCATGGGCATCTCAAATTTAACTCTGCATTGGGCACACATGGCCATAAAGATGGCAACAGTAGACACCGGGGATTCCAAAAGAGGGGAGGGAGGGAGGAGGGTAAGGTTGAAAAACTACCTATTGGGTGCCATGTTCACTATTTGGGTGATGGGTTTAGTTAAAGCCCAAACCTCAGCATCACACAATACAGCCACGTAACACACCTGCACATGGACCCCATGAATCTAAAAAAAAAAAAGGAAAAATAAAAATAAAAACCAACCACAATAAAAACATTTAAATGATATTTAAAATTTTACCATGGCAGAAACTGAAGAGCTCATTTGCCCCCACCCCCCACATCTGCCTCCTCTCAGTGACTGGCAGCTTGTGAAAACTGAAACAATCAATTCATTCAATGAACATCCACTGAATAGCTGTGTCAGAATCCTGAAGACTCACCAGGAGGGCAGAGGTGACTAAGACACAGTCCCTGCCTTCCAGGGTCAGCCGTTGGGGAAGGTGCATGGAGAAGCAAAGCCCAGCACATAGTAAATGCTCCTGGCTCAAAATAAGTGTTTGGCAAAATATGAATGAATGAATGAATGAATATATATGTATGTATAATATTTATATATGTTTCTCAATTTCAGCACTGTTGACATCTGGACAGACAGTTCTCTGTGGGGGTGGCAGGGGGCCGTCCTGTGCACGTAGCCTGTTTAGCCGCCTCCCTGGCTTCTACTTCCCAGATGCCAGTAGTCCTTCCCGAATCCTGATCATCAAAAGTGTCTCCATAACCACCACTGTCCCCTGGGGGTTGTGAACCACTGACAGAGAATCTGATCTTACAAATTTGTAAATAGCCAGAGAAGAGATCACCTAGTTTAACATTGACCACGTAGATACCACTTTCAAGGGCCTAAAATAGAACCACTGATGGCGGGCCATAGAGGCAAGAGGAAAATGTGAGATGCTGACTTTTGATGTTCATTAATTTTTTTTTAGTACAAAATGTTTGTCAAATGAGTAAATCAACAAATAGGCTGTAATTATCTAATGTAGGCCCCTAACTATATGTTTAATGGATCAGAAGATCGACTTCTGGGAGGGACCAAGTGATCAGAGTGAAATGGCGGCGGGGCAGCTATAACAGAGACCTATGCATGCAAAGACGTGACCAGCTGCCCTGGGGTAGGGATGGGGCAAAACCCCACAAAGAGCCCTTAAATGAAAATGCCTCAAAAATGGCATGGGTTTTGAATCAGGATCTTTAAAGGTAATTGTGTAGAATAATCCCATATAACATAGTGGCCACACAACGTCAGGAAAAGTTGTGGGGGTAGCAGAGATGGGTGAGCTCCTCTGCTGCCCATGTGGTTCCTTTCTCCCTTGAATAGCGCTAGGACAGACCTGGTCACTTCTCTCTTGAGAGGGAACGTGGGCCTCTAGACCCCCTCTCCCAGTGGAATGAACACGTAAGGCTTGTCTTTCACAATAGGAAGGAAAGCTCGAGCTGGGACCTCAGGTTCTGTGATTGCCACTCAGGAAACCACCTTTGCAAAGACTGTAACAGTGAGAAAATTATGACAGTGAAAGTGATCTGACCTGACTCCATTTTCCCTTTAACCTTCAAGCTGCCCTTGTTCATTCCTGGGCAGAGGCCAAAGTAACTTTGGGAGGAATTTAGTTTATACTTTAACAAACACAGATGGTAACAGCCCCTCTCCAAAACAAAGCACCTCCTTACTTGGGGATCAGACCACCTTTGTAAAACCAACAACTTGGCCACAGGATTAGAAATTATGGCTCAGGTGTCATGCAGCCAGAGGCCATGATATTCCTACCTCCCCACTTGCTCCCATAGATAACATTACTAGTGTAAATCCTAAGACTAGTGTTTGAGGTATTTTTCAGACCCTGTATTCTGATGGATCAGCTGGTACCACCCAGACTGGTAAAACTGGATCATCTGGTCTTGTGGCCTTCACCCAGGAACAGACTCAGTGCAAGAGGACAATTTAGTCTCCCTGATTCCATCCCTGACTCTACTAATAATAAACAATCCCTATTTCCTAGCCCCCTGCATTCTAAACTATTAAAACAAACAAACAACAAAAAAAACCCAGGCCTCCAAATTTTCAGGGAGGCTGATTTGAGTAATAATAAAACTCCAGTCTCCCATTTAGCCAGTTCTGTCAGAGATGTGTGAACCAGAGCAGCTCCATCTTGAATAGGAGCTGGGTAAAAATAAGGCTGAAACCTACTGGGCTGCATTCCCTGATGGTTAAGGCATTCTAAGTCACAGGATGAGATAGGAGGTTAGCACAGGATAGATAGGAGGTTAGCACAGGATACAGGTCATAAAGACCTTGCTGATAAAACAGCCTGAAATAAAGAAGCCAACTAAATCCTACCAAAACCAAGATGGCGACAAGAATGACTTCTGGCCTTCCTCACTGTTACACTCCCACCAGTGCCATAACAGTTTACAAATGCCATGGCAATGTCAGGAAGTTGCCTATTTATATGGTCTAAAAAGGGGAGCATGGATAACCACCCCCATAAAAAGGGGCAACCAGCAGCCCTTGGGGCTGCTCTGTCTATGGAGTAGCCATTCTTTTATTCTTCTACTTTCTTAATAAACAGGCTTTCACTTTACTCTATGGACTTGCCCTGTATTATTTCTTGCGTGAGATCCAAGAACCCTCTGTTGGGGTCTGGATTGGGACCCCTTTCCGGTAACAGCTCTATGTATAATAAACTCTTTTTTTTTTTCAATTATACTTTAAGTTTTAGGGTACATGTGCACAACCTGCAGGTTTGTTACATATGTATACATGTGCCATGTTGGTGTGCTGCACCCATTAACTCATCATTTAACATTAGATATATCTCCTAATGCTATCCCTCCCCCCTCCCCCCACCCCACAACAGGCCCCCATGTGTGATGTTCCCCTTCCTGTGTCCATGTGTTCTCATTGTTCAATTCCCAACTATGAATGAGAACATGTGGTGTTTGGTTTTTTGTCCTTGTGATAGTTTGCTGAGAATGATGGTTTCCAGCTTCATCCATGTCCCTACAAAGACATGAACTCATCATTTTTTATGGCTGCATAGTATTCCATGGTATATATGTGCCACATTTTCTTAATCCAGTCTATCATCGTTGGACATTTGGGTTGGTTCCAAGTCTTTGCTATTGTGAATAGTGCCGCAATAAACATCCGTGTGCATGTGTCTTTATAGCAGCATGATTTATAATCCTTTGGGTATATACCCAGTAATGGGATGGCTGGGTCAAATGGTATTTCTAGTTCTAGATCCCTGAGGAATCGCCACACTGACTTCCACAATGGTTGAACTAGTTTATAGTCCCACCAACAGTGTAAAAGTGTTCCTGTTTCTCCACATCCTCTCCAGCACCTGTTGTTTCCTGACTTTTTAATGATCGCCATTCTAACTGGTGTGAGATGGTATCTCATTGTGGTTTTGATTTGCATTTCCCTGATGGCCAGTGATGATGAACATTTTTTCATGTGTCTTTTGGCTGCATAAATGTCTTCTTTTGAGAAGTGTCTGTTCATATCCTTCACCCACTTGTTGATGGGGTTGTTTGTTTTTTTCTTGTAAATTTGTTTGAGTTCATTGTAGATTCTGGATATTAGCCCTTTGTCAGATGAGTAGATTGCAAAAATTTTCTCCCATGCTGTAGGTTGCCTGTTCACTCTGATGGTAGTTTCTTTTGCTGTGCAGAAGCTCTTTAGTTTAATTAGATCCCATTTGTCAATTTTGGCTTTTGTTGCCATTGCTTTTGGTGTTTTAGACATGAAGTCTTTGCCCATGCCTATGTCCTGAATGGTATTGCTGAGGTTTTCTTCTAGGGTTTTTATGGTTTTAGGTCTAACATTTAAGTCTTTAATCCATCTTGAATTAATTTTTATATAAGGTGTAAGGAAGGGATCCAGTTTCAGCTTTCTGCATGTGGCTAGCCAGTTTTCCCAGCACCATTTATTAAATAGGGAATCCTTTCCCCATTTCTTGTTTTTGTGAGGTTTGTCAACGATCAGATAGTTGTAGATACGTGGCGTTATTTCTGAGGGCTCTGTTCTGTTCCATTGGTCTACATCTCTGTTTTGGTACCAGTACCATGCTGTTTTGATTACTGTAGCCTTGTAGTATTGTTTGAAGTCAGGTAGCGCGATGCCTCCAGCTTTGTTCTTTTGGCTTAGGACTGACTTGGCAATGTGGGCTCTTTTTTGGTTCCGTATGAACTTTAAAGTAGTTTTTTCCAATTCTGTGAAGAAAGTCATTGGTAGCTTGATGAGGACGGCATTGAATCTATAAATTACCTTGGGCAATATGGCCATTTTCATGATATTGATTCTTCCTACCTATGAGCATGGAATGTTCTTCCATTTGTTTGTATCCTCTTTGATTACATTGAGCAGTGGTTTGTAGTTCTCCTTGAAGAGGTCCTTCACATCCCTTGTAAGTTGGATTCCTAGGTATTTTATTCTCTTTGAAGCAATTGTGAATGGGAGTTCACTCATGATTTGGCTCTCTGTTTTTCTGTTATTGGTGTATAAGAATGCTTGTGATTTTTGCACATTGATTTTGTATCCTGAGACTTTTCTGAAGTTGCTTATCAGCTTAAGGAGATTTTGGGCTGAGATGATGGGGTTTTCTAGATATACAATCATGTCATCTGCAAACAGGGACAATTTGACTTTCTCTTTTCCTAATTGAATACCTTTTATTTCCTTCTCCTGCCTGATTGCCCTGGCCAAAACTTCCAACACTATGTTGAATAGGAGTGGTGAGAGAGGGCGTCCCTGTCTTATGCCAGTTTTCAAAGGGAATGCTTCCAGTTTTTGCCCATTCAGTATGATATTGGCTGTGGGTTTGTCATAGATAGCTCTTATTATTTTGAGATACGTCCCATCAATACCTAATTTATTGAGAGTTTTTAGCATGAAGTGTTGTTGAATTTTGTCAAAGGCCTTTTCTGCATCTATTGAGATAATCATGTGGTTTTTGTTGTTGGTTCTGTTTATATGCTGGATTATGTTTATTGATTTGCATATGTTGAACCAGCCTTGCATCCCAGGGATGAAGCCCACTTGATCATGGTGGATAAGCTTTTTGATGTGCTGCTGGATTCGGTTTGCCAGTATTTTATTGAGGATTT
Organism: Homo sapiens; assembly: GCF_000001405.40. Classification (NCBI taxonomy): domain Eukaryota; kingdom Metazoa; phylum Chordata; class Mammalia; order Primates; family Hominidae; genus Homo; species Homo sapiens. The sequence continues at coordinate 58,511,308 of NC_000018.10, forward strand.
TTGCATCGATGTTCATAAGGGATATTGGTCTAAAATTTAATAAACTCTTTATTGCAATTTCCCTGTCTTGATAAATCAGCTCTGTCTGTACAGCGGACAAGGTGAACCCATCCAGCGGTTACATGCACACACCAGCTGGGGCACAGGTCCTGCCCTGCTCACTTGCTCTTGCCTCTGTGAGAGCTGGGAGTGTTCTCCCGGAACAATGCCCTGTACTTCTCCACCCAGGCTGTGCCTTCTCCCAGGAGGTAAGCTGAAGGCTTTACGTGGTTATTAACTTGAGCCAAAGGTGCTTGGAAAAACATTATTTTTTATTAAAACAAATATAGTCATAAAGGAAGGAGGACACAACATTCAATAGAATTTAAAAGCTATAAAATATTACACTTCAAAGAAATTACACCTGCGGGCCAGCTAATTTGGATGAAGCCCCCAGACCCTTTGACGGGCACACAGGCATCCTCCTGTGCCATTTAGGAGCATTTCCTGGAAACTGTGAGAATCCCCTTCACTTCATGAAGAGGACACAGAGGCTTGCTCATGAGCAGAATCTGAGCCAGAACAGTGTCCTTCTAGAACCCCACCCCTGGACACAAGGCCCCTCTAATACCAGCGTACCCTGATTACTATCATGCCAGAGTCTTTGAGACATTCTTTCTAATTTTAAGATAGAACCTCTTTGTGTCTTGTTAAAGAAATTTCAAATTTCAGCCAGATGGGAGTGGGCACATTAGGACAGTGGACCTTTCCCGCAGCCCTGAAATCGGTGCAGCCGCCAAGCCACCCTCTGTCGTGCTTTGTCACTTCTGCAGGATCCAGGGCACCCTGATTCCCTCCTGAGGACCGACCCCCTGTGGCTACTGACCCTTCTGCCAACAAAAGGATTCACGGTTTGCTTGGGCTCTTATTAATTCTGCATCCCTGGTGGGGAAAAAAACCAGAAACAAGAGCTGGGCATTATTCAGGGTCTTAATTAGGCCTGGCCTCTGCCCAGCAGGACGCCATTTGCATAGACAATGTGACTCCATTGATATTCATGAATTCAAAAACAGAAGCTGCCCAAATGAGGAGTGTTTTATCTCCAAGACCTCACATGCTCCGTTAAAAAAGGCTTCTTCAGGCCTGCTTCATTGCCTGGAAATAAATATGGGGGTGGCCCCAGCGGGGGTCAGTCTAGGGGCTGTGGCAGTGGGGGAGGGGGACAGGACTCCTGGTCCTCTCTCTAGACGTGCAGGCTTTCAGAGAAGGTTGGTAATATACAGGGTCAGCTCTGTGTGCGTGTGTTGTGTGTATGTGTTGTGTGTGTGGTTTGTGGTTGTGTGATGTGTATACGTATGTGTGGTGTGTGTGTGCTGTGTGTGTGTGTGGTATGTGTGTGGTATGTTCGTGTGGTGTGTATGTGTATGTGTGTATTGTCTGTGGTGTGTGTGTTATGTGGTGTGTGTTGTGTGTATGTGTATGTGTGTGGTGTGTGTGGTGTGTGGGGGTGTGTGTGATGTGTGTGAGGTGCATGTATGAGGTGTGTGTGTGTGTGTATGTGGTGTGTGTGTGGTGTGTTGTATGTGTGGTGTGTGTGGGGGTGTGTAATGCGTATGTGTGTGGTGTATGTGTGATGTGTGGGGTGTGTGGGGTGTGTGGTGTGTGTGTTGTATGTGTGGTGTGTGTATGTGTGGTGTGTGTGTGGTGTGTGTTGTGTGTTTATGTGGGGTGTGTGTGGTGTGTGGTTTGTGTGTGGTGTGGTGTGTTTGTGCATATGGTGAGTGTTGTGTGTTTGTGTGTGGTGTGTGTGTGGTATGTGTGTTGTATGTGGTGTGTGTTTGTATGTAATCTGTGTGGTATGTATGTGTGGTGTGGGGGTGTGTGTGGGGTGTGTGTTTGTGTTGTGGGTGTGTTTATGTGTATGGTGAGTGTTGTTTGTGTGGTATGTGTGTGTGTATGGTGAGTGTTGTTTGTGTAGGGGGTGTGTATGTGTGTTTTTTGGCTGTGGAGTCCTCTGATTTAGGTTCCATAAACATGGAGTCTGGCCCAGAGGCCCTTCTGAGGCCCCTTACTCCTCCCATGTACCGTCAGCATTCATGTGGTCACAAACTGTCCCCTTGTAAGGAATGGGAAAGTGGTTTAGATAGAAAAATGTCCTAACCTATCTTTAAGGCAGTGGCCTATTTACTGTGATGCTAATGCAGCAAATGAATCAGCCTCCTGATCCTTCACTTGCATGAGCCCTTTCCAAGTCCCTAGATCAATTATTTACAATTTTGTGTTCTTTTCTTTAAAAAGGACCCAAATTTGCCAGGCATGGTGGCTCATGCCTATAACGCCAGCACTCTGGGAGGCCGAGGCAGGAAGATCACTTGAGGCCAGGAGTTGTAGGCCAGCCTGGGCAACATACAGAGACCCTGTCTCTACGAGAAAATTTTTTTTAATTAGCCAGGTGTGGTGGTGAGCACCTGTAGTCCCAGTTACTTTGGAGGCTGGATCACTTGAGCCCGGGAGGTCAAGGCTGCAGTGAGCCGTGATTGCACCACTGCCCTCCAGCCTGGACAACAGAGGGAGACCATGTCTCTTAAAAAAAATAAAACAGAAAGGAAAGAAAGAAGCCCAAATTGCATAAGAGTCAAGCCACACAAAACTTGGGTCTGTCCCTGCTGGAGGGCACTGTGGTTCTGTGTGTGGTAGGGTTGACTTGTGGGTTAAATCTTTTCTTTTTTGAAGAAAACTTAAGAGGACAGACACTGGGAAGAGCGGGGCTTGGGGAAAAAAGGAGCCAGTTCCCATATCATGAAAGCTTAACTCAGTCCAGATGGCTGTCTGTGTAATTAACAGAAAAGCAATTGTAAGTGGGTACTGAAGTGTGTTAAGCATTTCTTGAGAAAGAGCAGAAAGTGTTATACTTTACACATGGTCTTCCAAATGTACCACCCAAGGGAAACTATTTTTCCCATTTTGTGAGTTAACAGGTGCAATGCAGACAAGAATTTCTTCCTTCTTCCTTCTCCCAGTTTTTACTCATAGGTAAATAGCTGCTCTGTCTGAAAGTTCCAACATGCACTAGCTAAGCCCTTTTTCTGTCCATTTAAGCATGCAAATATGATCTCAACCAGACAAAACAGAGCTGCAAACACAAGCTCCAGGCTCCCCAAAATTTGCTTGGGCCAGTAAATATTTAGGCAAAGAGCAGATAAAAGTGGGTGTGATTTATCTCTGGAGGATTCCAGGAAGCAGGTACTATGTTACTATGTTTCTGATCACCCAATCCACTCTTCCCTATTACATTGCCATATTTTATTTTCATCATGGGACTAATCGCCTTGTGATATCTCTTGTTCTGTTCTATTTGCTTACTGTTTAGACAATGTAATAGCTATGAGAGTAGATATCCTTTCTTTTCTATTTAACATGGTAGATTCATTTATTGGCTGGATTAATCCATACACCCATCCATCCATCCATTCATTTATTTAAAGAATATTTATCTTCTTAAATATTAAATATAATATTATTATATTATATAATATTAAATATCCTACCCAGCAAGGGGTAGGATAGCAGCCGTGTGAGCCCTCATGGAGCTTACAGACTGAGAGATCAGCTGAAACACTTGCCCTACTGTTCCTTCTCACTCTCTCGTCCCTCCTAGTCCCCAACGAGTCAGGAGTGTGACACAAGGCAGGGTAAACACACTTACTCAGGTACTTCTCCAAAGCCTTCCAGAGGCTGTGCTTCAGCAGCGTAGATCTTGGCATAATACCTGGCAGTATTTTGAACATAGCATTCCTATATCGCCAAAATACATAGAAAGCCCCAGTGACTACAGGAAATTCAGACAGTATTGCCCAGTAAGACTATTCAGGAGATTTCCCAGTAAGGTAAAGCCAATGAACTGACAAGCCCATCCCCTGGTTGGGGTCACAGAGGCAACGATTATTAGAACCTAGAGTTGGCCACTTAGGGAGGAGCTCTGAGACGTCAAGGAACTGTCCGGGTGGAGATCAAGTGGTCTCCAGGACCAGGTGTCCCTGAACTATAAAATTTCTCGAGCCGGCAGGGCCGAAATTCACCCCAGAACTAAGGGGACTGGCCCCTCATCACGTCATCAGGTGGCACTTGGGGCACTACTGGGTTTCCTGTGAGATCTGCCATTGCAAACCCTTTTCAAAGGTGTAATTGGAGTAGTCAATAATGAACAGCACAGGATTTCTGCCTTAGGAAAAGCTAAGTGGATTCTGCATCCTATGCTGTGGGGCTTTTCTGAGCAAGAATCCAGATGCTGGGAGGTTTTCCAAGACTGTGTCATATTTGAGATGGAGGGAATACTGAGAGAGAAAAGAAAAAAGCAGAGTGGATTGGGAGAAGAAAGGAATACAATGGGCAGAACACTATATTCAGAGAGCAAGGCTGCCTTCAGAAGCACAAAGTCCCACGTGGCAGTGCCGCAGGATCACGATGCTTAATGCTTGACTGTACCTGAGAGATTCATCTAAGTTTAACCTATGGATTTTAATATTTTAAATGTTTTAATTGTTTTAGATGTTTATGGTAAACATTTTAAAGGGGCACAGAGCTGGTGAAAGACCCAACTTTCTTGACAGCTACACCAGTGCCGGTGTAAACAGTGAAATATGTGGACCAGGTGTGGTGATTCATGCCTGTAATCCCAGCACTTTGGGAGGCAGAGGCAGGAGGATCACTTGGAACCCTCCAGGAGGTCAAGACCAGCCTGGGCAACATAGGGAGACCCTGTCTCTGAAAAAAAAAATAAAAATTAGTTGGGCGTGATGGCATGCGCCTGTAGTCCTAGCTACTTGGGAGGCTGAGGCAGGAGGGTTGCTTAAGGCCAGGAGGCCGAGACTGCTGTGGAGCCGTGATCATGCCACTGTACTCCAGCCTGGGGGAAAGAGTGAGACACTGTCTCAAAAAAGAAAAAAAAAAAAAGACGGAGTGAAATATATGGACCAAATATGTGGATAGGAGGAGGAAGGAGCGAGAGAAGCTAAGGCTCTCCTGCCCTATCCTCTCACCTCGAGTTCTATGACTCAATAACACAGAGAAGTGGGAACTCAGCTAGAGACTTGGGTCTGTCTCTCTTCCTATATTTTATACACTACCATTAAACCAAACTCAGGAAGGCAGAAAACAAGACCAATGCTGACCCTTCTGGGTATACCCCACCCCTCTCCCTCTCCACAAAACAAAACCAAACAAAACACTCCAGCAACTAGTGCTGATGTTATCTGTTCCTGGAGACCCTGGCATCTAGTGTAGCTTAGAACCCCCACTTTCCATATCATCCTAGGTCCAAGTAGACTCAAACCGCCAGGGATGTCATAGGGCTTCTTAGAAACAAAATCAATTATATCTCGGGTTAGAACTGGTGAGGTGTCTCTAGGCATTGGCTGAGTCCCCAGTAGCTGGCATAAGGCCAAGAAATTACTCCCGAGAATTGAGAAGTGATCCCCAGCATTGAGATTGAATTGAAACCCCAAAAGAGGAAAAACACCCTTTTGAAGATATTCCCATCAATCCTGAGTCTGATTTTCATCTCGTCTTATCATGGGTGGTTCTCACACCAGAAGTGACAGCCTTTGGGCAGATGGACCCACCTGGGCAGCGAGTTTGTAGTTCCTTTGGATGAGCTCATCATTATTTCTGGTCCCATAGGCAATGGCATTGTGCACCTTAAGCACACAGGCATGGCCAGGTTTGAAGACAGGCATGAGGCCGTGCATCACTGTGCTGCGGAAGGCTTTGCGGTGAACCCCTTCTCCAAAGTGCAGCTCCTCCGTGGCGATCTGACCACGCAGGCGGCCCCCAAAGTAGCTGTCATGGAGGAAGTCTTCTTTGAAGATGAGTTGGCTGAATTCAATCTCTTCACATCCTGAAACACAGCACAGCTTTGGTTGGAAAGAATACCTCCCAGTCCTGCTCCTTGGCTAACTCCACATGGGGAGGGTCCCCACATAAGGACAATGACAAGGCTGACCTGCAGAACCAAGAGGGGGCAGACACACTTAACCCTTCAAAAGAGGCATAGCTAAAAGAAGAGATGAGTGGTTTGGTGAGGAGGAGACAGGTCATTGAATGAGAATGTGGGAACATCAGGGATGGGTTGGAGCAAAACTGGAAAGATCAGGAAAAGAATTCTAGACAGATCTGGAAAATATAAGTGGAACCAAGCAAAGTAACAAAAGTCAAGTTGAAAAGATGGGAAAAGTGTAGAGGAGGGAAGAAAGACCAATGATAAGATCTGATAATATCGGACCAACCTTTCTTTCATTATTGCCCCCCACCCCCCGCAACCACGGAATCTTTGCTGGAATTTGTTTTAATTGCCTGCCATGAAAGTTTAATACCACAAATATACTATCTGTTTATGTACCATATGTATATTTGTTCTTTATACAGAAAAAGAGTAACTTTTTTTTTGCCTCCCAAGAACCAATGTTGGTCCTCTTGGTAGCAATACTGCCTCCATTGAGAAAGCATGTGATAAGTATAGGAAACAGGTAGCAATAAACAAAACAAAAAAATAATAAAAAGAATTGCCTTTGAAGAGAAATCGAAAAAAAGGTAGAATTATTTTGCATTTATTTGTAAAAAGAAAAGTAGAATTATTTTAAGTTTTCTAACAGCTGTTTTTTTTTGCAGAGTGGATTCTACACATGTTTGAGATGACAGTGAATTTAATCAGGAAGGTCCACTTTAAACTAGAGATGACCCAATCAGACTTCTCATTCACTGAGAGAAGAAAATTAGGTGGCTTTCAATGAAATAAGATTGTTTGGATTTTTAAATCCTTTCCACTTCTCAAAACTGATGAAAACTGACATCTTTCTGAATGTTTACAAGAAGAAAGAGATCATGGGTTGTGTGAAAAATCTTACTTCACATTTCTATATACATGCTTCAGGAAATATTTTTCTCTTCTTTTCAAAATATTTAAAATCATACGATTTGAGACTGATGGTAGCTATTAAAACTATAAGGAGACTGAAACTATTCTGATCGGGTATTGATTAAGGTCTCGGCCTAATTACTGCCAGAAAGAAAGAAAGGGAGTGGGGTTTGGTGGATTTTCAAACAGAAAAACTAGGTGAAGAGCTAGAATCTGCTTGAAGAAAGAGGATATTCCTAAAGGTGCTCCTAGCATTTTCACAAAGGCTAGCAGAAGACTATGGGACCCCTGAATATGCCACCCTCAAATCTGCCTCTTTGGTAAAAGCATTGTTGAGCTGAAGGTAATTAAGAAGAAGCAGAGGCAAGAAAGCTCTCTGCCTTCCCTCTATTTGCCTAAAATCAGGACATAAATTTATAAAGACAAAAAATATTCTACTCCCCCTTCTACCAGGAAGAACAAAGGTTAATGACTGAAGACAACTTTAGACCCTGATGGGCCTGGAGATGGACACCAGCCATTAACAAGCATTAATGAGAATCCAGATGCTGGGAGATTTTCCAGGGCTGTGGAAATGCCTTTCCACAAGCTACTGCCCTTACCTACTCAAAGTCCTTCCCTCTGCCCTGTCACTTCTCTAAAAATGCACCATTCTTTGTTGTAGATGCTGTATAAGCTGGAATTCAAACCCCTTCTTAAATGAGCACTTCTGGAGTATCTCCCATGTATATATGAATTATACATGTTCATAAACTTGTTTGATTTCTCTCATTAATCTTTTGTTACAGGGATCTGTTCCAACTAAGAACTTATGAGGACTGAAGAATAAATTATTTTTCTTCCCCAATAACTCCTACTGAGTAACCTGTCCTAGGTTTCTGGAGAGAACTGGGTTGGAGCTGCAGGAAAACAGGCAAATGGGACATTTTCTCAGATAAAGTTTTAGGCAATAGCTGGGTCACAGATTTTACTCTAAGTAACGGAACCAGGAAAAAAATTAATTGATGGAGAAAAGCACAGTTTTATTTTAACAGTTAAATTTAAAAATTAGGTGAGAAAATAGAGGGAATGCTTTTCTGTATCCCAAACCTTCTCAGTTTCATTCTAGTTATATGATTAATTTTAACAATTTGGCCTCTAATACCACTAACAGAGTATAGGAAATGTTATATGTACATACACCAGAGCCCAATAAACATGTATTATATCTGCCATATCCTGTCTTCCTTCAAAATCCTCACATTTCTAAAATTTAATTATTAAAAGTAAAAAGCTTGTGCACCCTATGCTTTAAAATTCAGCAAATCTAATTAACTGAAGATAAAAGTTGGTCCAGGCCATATGCTTAGAAAGTAGGAAGGAAAATTTGTTTGTATAGTACCATACGTGGTATAATTAACAACCCTGTCTATAATTTCCAACAGAAATGCTTATTTGACAAAGATAAAAACATGAAAGAAAAAAAAAATCTTAGACGTATTCTTTGTCTCTTGAAAATCCTGCAGAGCAAGAGCTGGAGTTCTAGGTGGAACTTTCCAAGCTGAAACTCATCTATTGGGCCTTCCTTTGCAGAAGCAGAAGGTATAGACTCTGTAGCTCTGCAGAAATCTGAAAGGACAGCCTGTCCAAAACTGTCTTCCTCAGCGATGGCTGAAATGAGCGCGTCCTCTTGGTTAGAGTTTGCACCTCTTTTAAAGTGAGAGATGGAGGCAAGACTTCATCCTTTAGACCAATCTCTTCCCTGGTAAGAGTAATGAAGGTAACAGGAGAACTGAGCACCTGAGGGGAGGCTTAGGAAAAGCACGAGTGTAGCACTGCAAGTCTCAGGTTGTGAAGAAGGTGCAATTTTCTTTGCAGCTTTGCAGAGCCATCCGTTGCCAGGACTCACACTCCACGCTGCCCAAAGTCCCTGAGAGGTGGCAGTTCCATGAGAAAGAATCAAGAGAGGCCGGGTGTGGTGGTTCACACCTGTAATCCCAGATCTCTGGGAGGCCAAGTCAGGTGAATCACCTGAGGTCAGGAGTTCCCGACCAGCCTGGCCAACATGATGAAACCCCATCTCTACTAAAAATAGAAAAAAATTAGTCAGGTGTGGTGGCAGGTGCCTGTAATCCAACTACTTGGGAGACTGAGGCAGGACAACTGCTTGAACTTGGGAGGTGGAGGTTGCAGTGAGCCGAGATCTTGCCATTGCACTTTAGCCTGGGTGACAGAATGAGACTCCGTCTCAAAAAAAAAAAAAAAAAAAAAAAAAAGAATCAGGAGAGACTCATTGGAATCCACCAGACAGACTCGTCAGATGAGTGTTGGGAGATTCAAATGCCTCACTGAGGTTCCTTGCTACACCCATACATTGTGAAATCCAAATCCTCAACTCAGAGAAACCATGTGGATACCTGCAGCCACTGGTTACAAAGACTGCTCCGAGGTGCAGAAAAGCAATCTACAAATATATTCATAAAACAAAATAACATCATTAAATTGGGCTTCATTTGGTCCATCATTCATTTCCAACTTTCTCATGAGCTTAGCTTTATTAGTTTTTTAAATTAGAGACCATCTTGTAAAAGATTATTTATTCCTCCTATAGAGAATTAAATTAATAAACTGTTTAGTGAGATAGTCCTCTGAATTTAAAAAAAGTGTGATTAAAAGTAATTTTCCAAATCAGCTGGGTGCAGTGGTGAGCACCTGCAGTCCAGGCTACTCAGGAGGCTTAGGTGGGAGGATCATTAGAGTCCAGGAGGCCGAGGCTGCAGTGAGCTATGATTGTGCCACTGCACTCCAGCCTGGATGAAAGAGTGAGACCCTGTCTCAAAGAAATAAAATAAAAGTAATTTTCAGCTTCTTTATCTGAAGGTACAAGGATAGGGAGGGGCCAGGAGTTACTTCCCCAGCCGGGTGAGTCAGTGAAACTGACACCCCCAGTCACAATGGGGCCAGAAGCTGGGAGAAGGTGATGTCATCAGGGTTCAGACCCAGGCTCTACGGCTGGAGTCACTGGGCTATAGCGGTGGTACCATTTCCACCAAGTGGCCAGTAGCTTATCCCCACTGGGGTCTCTCGCCTGACTAGTAATCCTTGAGAAATGAGCTCATGCACACCTAAACCAATGAAACCTAACAAGTGTCTGAGATGTGAATGCCAATCAATGCTAAGAAGCTGATGAAACAGAGACTCCCTTCTGAGAGTCTTCTTATTTTCTGAAGTATTAGGAGTAAGGGGATTCTTTTGCATATTTTGCCTTCTGGGGAGATGAGAGCAGAAATAGAGGAAGGATTTTAAATTATAACACATGTATGCTACACACTAAAGACGGGTATTTAGCATCTGAGTGGGTTTGTGAAGAGCTTGTATTTAAGTTTACTATTTTGGGTTAATATCACAATATTTGCTAGGCCATTTCTTTTTCTTTCTTTCTCTCTCTCTTTTTTTTTTTTTTTTTTTGAGATGGAGTCTTGCTGTGTCGCCAGGCTGGGGGGCAGTGGCGTGATCTCAGCTCACTGCAACCTCCACCTCCCTGGTTCAAGCCATTCTCTTGCCTCAGCCTCCTGAGTAGCTGGGATTACAGGTGCGTGCCACCATGCCGCGCTAATTTTTGTATTTTTAGTAGAGACGGGGTTTCACCATGTTGGCCAGGATAGTCTTGATCTCTTGACCTCGTGATCCCACTCGCCTCGGCCTTCCAAAGTGCTGGGATTACAGGCGTGAGCCACCGCGCCTGGCCTATTGCTAGACCATTTCTAAGTCGAGATCTCAGTTTCTTACTTTTGATACACTGGATGTGACTGCATTTTGATTACTTTTATTACCTGTTTCTGCAGAGATTTCAGGCGTTCTGTTTGTTTTAAAACTCAGTACATGCAGTAAATCTTTAAGATGCTAGTTCAATTAACTGTCAGAATTTATCCAATTTCTCCTAAAACTGACCGTGGATCCTCCCCTGTGCTGAAAGTCATGATCACATGGGGTGAGGCTGGACCACCGTGGTATGTGGAGCTGGCCTTCTGCAGCTCCTGAGAGCTGATGACGGGCGGCTCTTCCCAGTCCCATGATGTGTGATGTCACACTGGTGGTTTAAGAGTGGCCACACTGAGAGTATTTACATCATGGAAATTGTAGGACTCAGAACTTCCCCAACCCTCAGCATGTTGTTAAATATTTACCCCAGCACACCACCAGGCAAGGGTGGGCATGGGTGGGCGTAGGTGGGTGAGTAATTCTCCTTAAGAGGGAAGACACGGCAAACACAGATTCCACCAAACTGTGGAAAACTCAGTGGGAGGCCCGGGGACATCACGAGCATTCATGAGCAGCAGTGTTAGGCTGTGGCTAACACCAGGTGCCAAAAGAAAGCAGAGAAACCCATCTTTTGTTTTCCTTAAGACACAAACGAATGGAGTGATCCTTCAGACACCTGGCTGTCTTTGGGAATCTGCTCAGCTAGTCAAACTGAAAGGAAAATTGAACAAACAAAACAAGCTGTAATAAGTCCCAGTAGCTGAAAAATCCCATGCAGAAGGGCTGAATGCAAGACCGATGCTTAAAGGGAAAAGTCAAATCCAAACTCCCCCTCTACGTGTTCCCCAAAACTCCACTGCTACAGTGTAGCATCCAATTCTGGATATCTGTAGTCTAATGAACTTACAATAGGAAGTATGGCCCTACATTCACTTTGAATTGGCTCATGAATTGTCATTTCTTTCTCTTTTTTTTTTCTGATTTTTTTTTAATTATACTTTTAGGGTACATGTGCCCAATGTGCAGGTTAGTTACATATGTATACATGTGCCATGCTGGTGTGCTGCACCCATTAACTCGTCATTTAGCATTAGGTATATCTCCTAATGCTAACCCTCCCCCCTCCCCCCACCCCACAACAGTCCCCAGAGTGTGATGTTCCCCTTCCTGTGTCCATGTGTTCTCATTGTTCAATTCCCATCTATGAGTGAGAACATGCGGTGTTTGGTTTTTTGTCCTTGCGATAGTTTACTGAGAATGATGATTTCCAATTTCATCCATGTCCCTAACAAAGGACATGAACTCATCATTTTTTATGGTTGCATAGTATTCCATGGTGTATATGTGCCACATTTTCTTAATCCAGTCTATCATTGTTGGATATTTGGGTTGGTTCCAAGTCTTTGCTATTGTGAATAGTGCCTCAATAAACATACGTGTGCATGTGTCTTTATAACAGCATGATCTATAGTCCTTTGGGTATATACCCAGTAATGGGATGGCTGGGTCAAATGGTATTTCTAGTTCTAGATCCCTGAGGAATCACCACACCGACTTCCACAATGGTTGAACTAGTTTACAGTCCCACCAACAGTGTAAAAGTGTTTCTATTTCTCCACATCCTCTCCAGCACCTGTTGTTTCCTGACTTTTTAATGATCGCCATTCTAACTGGTGTGAGATGGTATCTCATTGTGGTTTTGATTTGCATTTCTCTGATGGCATTCATTTCTTAAGTCACGCCATAGCTCTCCTTCTCGGTTGGAAGAGTCCAGAGGATTACTGCTTCTACTCTTTCCTCTGGGAGCTATTTTATGCTTTACAGTAAGCCCATTTCCTCTGGCAGGTCAACCCTAACTGACTTACCTTTAGTATCCTGGCGACTTGACAGCTGTTTGAGAACTAGAAGAAGACAAAGCAGAGAATGGCTTCAGTACAGATGTCCATTGTGAACGGGCAGGGGCCAGTGGTTTTTCATTGAAAACTGTGGTTTACCTTCAGCTGTGAGGTTAAATTCAGCAGTCACTTTTCCGTAGCTGTTCTTGATGCAGCAGTAATAGAGTCCCTGGTCCTTCGGACTGGCTTGCACGATGGCAAAGGAAACAGTGGAGTTGTCCCCTGCACTGCAATGAGGAATATTCACATTGACACACTTCATCATTCTACAGTTGCATTTTTTCCTAATATACTTAAGGAGAAAGAAGCTAAGACTTCCCTGCTCACATGTTTTCAGCCAGTGAGCTGCCCAAAGGGCAAAATCACGATCAGCTGTTTAAATAATTGATTTATCCACAGAGGAGAGTCATTACATTTTGGCTAACACGCTCACTCCAATAAGCAGTAGGTTTAACTGCCATGAGTAGAGCAAAGAATTGAAATTGTGAATTCTGGGAGCTGTTGTTAACATTTCTGCTCAGAATTCAGCTCAATTATGTGACTAATCCGGGTGTCCTGTGCTTGAAGGAAAGTCTGATAACTCCAAACCCAAACTTATACAGATACAATAAGGGACAAGAGAAAACGGGGTTCTTAGCTTTATGCTACATAAGGATTCGTGACTGAGGGCCCCTTTGTAATAGTGTCCTGTACTCCCCTAGTGAGGTACCAACCATCGAACCATTCACTCACCCAAAATTATTAAGTTCCGGTCACTGTGCTATGAAAACTAAAACTGGTGGTGGTGGTCATATTGGTGGTGATGATGACAGTGATGATGATGCCAATAGCTAATGTGCACTGAGCATTTGGTATGTACCAGGCATTGTGCCAAATCACATAAAGATCAATTTCATGATGCCCTCAGAACAACCTAATGAGAGAACTATGTTTACTATTCTCAGTTTGCAGATGAGGAAACTGAGGCATAGAAAAATTTAAGCAAATGATTTTGACTTCATTAAGCTGCCTCCCCAAGTAAATTATGGTTCCCGCCCTCAAGTCTGGGATAATTTGAAACATAGGGAGAGCCACATATTTATTCCAAAGTCTCAAACAAAAAACTTACTCTACAGCAAAAAAAAAAAAAAAAAAAGGATATTCAGACGTTGTTCTGGTTTTGTTCTTTAAAATGAACTTTGTTTAAACATTCACCAAGATTCTGTGTATGTATGTGTATACATGTGTGTGGTGTACATTTTAGCTTGGGTTCGTTTCATAGTTTAACAACAAAAATTCACCTAGCTTGAGTTTGTCTCAGTTGCATGTTCAAAAACAGTGTTCATTATTGGTTGGTTTTTCAATAGACTTCAAGCCTCCAATATATACATTCCTTCCCTGGAATATACCAGTGGCTTAAAACAAAGTTCACTAAACCATTCTACTTCCTTCATTCCTGGGGTCTCTGAACATATCCCACTGTATGGTTAAAACTGGATGTGAACAAGTCCAGTTATAAGGGGAAGACTTCCGGACAGGGCAGTAAAACACAGAGTGGGCCACAGAGGAGGCTTGTGGAAAGTCCTTCTCCAAGGCTCTAGGATTGGCACAGCCTTTCTGTCATTGAAAGGGGAAGGCAAGGGCTACCCGAAGGGCTGGGGGCTGAACTAGAACTGTCCTGTGAACATCTTCCTTCCAGCCTAGAAATTCTCTGATACTTGGCCCAGAACCACGAAGACCGTTTTTCCTGGCTTGGCCCATGGTCCCCACCCAAGGCTTTCTTCTAGAAGGAATACATGTAGGAGTCAGAAAGGTCTGGATCCCAACCCTGAGGCCGACCTCAGGTGTGCTATGTAGCCTGTCACCCTCAATTTCCTCCTCTGTGAAAGCAGAATGAGCAAGATCACCGCTCAGATGTGTCATGAGGAGTAACGTGTCATGACACCGGCGTGTGAAGCTTCAGCGAAAAGCCCAGTCTTGAGCGTGGTCACGAGTCATTACTTCGTGGTGAGCAGTAGTATTAGTGGGGAACAGTAGTATTAGTGTGCTTTCTCCATGATACAAAACTACCTCGGAAGTCCCAAAGAGTTCTATCCAACATTTGTGGAGTATCTGCTCTGTGCTTAGTACTGGGGGATTCAATGATGAAAAAGAAAAAAAAAAAAAAAAAAAGGCACAGTCCTTGCCCTTGAGGGTCTTCTAGTCTGGGAGGAAATGGACAAACAGAAAATACCAATACAGCTGTAGAAAGCAGTAACAAGTGATCTTGTGCCTTTTTTAACCAAGAGGGTAAGTTCAGTTTCATATCCTCTTACCCTGTAAGGGACAAATCTTTTTACCTTAGGAAATGGCTACAGACAGCAGAACAGCAGTGGTGATTAGCTGTGCAGACAAATGCAAAAGAAGCCCATGTCCAGAGTGTGATCAGAAGAACACAAAGAGTGAAGTTGGCTGCAGGGAGAGGGTACTTAGCATGGGGACTTCTCTGAGAGATCCCATCATCCATCACCAGCCCTAAGGAGCCAGGGCTTGGCAGCACCCCCACCCACCACTCAGTCTGGGCTGAGAAGTCCTCGGGTTGTTTCTCCCAGGGCCATCCAAGGAGATCCTCCCATCCCAGCAGCCAGCTCCTCATCCACTGGTTCCCAGCGGGAACAACATGACCTGTGCTCCATGACCTTGCTCAGCTATCAGTAGGGCCGCTCTACGTGGACAGCTGCCCTTTCAAAAGCCCAGGGAACTCAGAAGGACCTCTCTCCCCAGAGTGGAGAATGGGTTCCTGGTTACCAAGAAGGTACTGATGGCCAAATAGCACCAGAGGGTGCCACCTTGAGGTCTCCATGAAGCCAAGACATGCCACTGCTACACAGAGACTCAAACCAAGCTACCACTTTCTTCTTCTTGGTTTCTTCGAAGTATATTAGTCTTGCCCTACCCACAAGAAAGTCTTCTGACACCTAATTTCCACGCTTTAGCCTGTTAAGGAAAGTACCCAAAACTTGCGGACAAAGGAAGAGGATCACAGTCATTGTTCAACAGGATCATTGAGGATGATCTAGTGAAAGAGAATGCTTTGCTATTTCCCATTTACACAGAACCCACTCAGACACTTTAAGTTACAGGTTAACTTTTAGGTTTCTGTGCAGTAGAAAAGATAACTCCCAAAGTTTATTACCTGTCAAACATTAACCAGTTTTATATCTATTTCAAAATGTATTTCCGCATTCCTTTGCCTGATGGACTATCTAAATCTTCATTCCTCAAATGCTCCTTTGAACAACTCTTGCCATTGTACAGGTTCCCTCATGATTTAGTAAGTTCAAGAAGACCTTTGCTCCACGTTCATATTATATTTGAGAGATTTCAACTCTTTGAAAATGATACAAGACAGTGACATATTTCATGGAGGCACAAATGAAGGGAAACGCTGGACTGGAAGTAGGCATGAGAGAAATTAGCAAACATTTGAAAACCCACTTGAAATAATATAAATGATCTCTCAATAAACAAATGAATTATAACTCTTAAATATTCTCAAGTGTTAGCATGGAGAAAGCAAATGGGTTCAACTAAGCCAGACACTGTCACCAAGGAGAAATGAAGCAAACATCACTAGGAATCAAAGGCCTTAGCCACGCGTCATCAGTAAGTAGAATGCTTACTAATGACATATGCTCCCCAGGGGAAGGTTAGGTTTATCGTAAATACACATCAAATGGAAAAGGGACCCGCAAATATTCAAGTGGTAATTCTGAGCTCAGAGCAAGGCTGATGAATGGAAAAACAGTGAAAATACTGGTTAATTGCTCTTGGCTGACAGCTTCAGAAAATAATTTAAAATGAATAATTAGTACCTTTTTAAGTGAAGCTCTAGGGAACCTCCTTGACTTAAAAAGCAAACCATTTCTTTTCCTTTATAATAATTCTTAAGCCATACCTAAGACAGGCAGGGTAATGGTGACATTTTAGGCAAAGTGGTTATGCTATCAATTACAATCCAGTTAGATGCTCTGGAGTGATGTTAGTAGAAATGAAATCATAGCTCAAGTATTCCATGATTACATTTGAGAAATAGTTTCCAGACATATGTTCCAAGCAGACATATATGATTTAATTAAACAGAAAACTCAGATTTTCTCACTTTTTCAGTCTACTGGTGACAAAATTAAGGGGATTGGAACCCCTCCCATTTCTTAGGGAGCTAAACTGGGAACCCTTTGGCAGAGGGTTGACTTTTGAACCAGGTGATTTGTTTCTAGATTGTGTCAGATGAAGCTTGAATTCATCAGTTCACTTGAACAAGCATTTATTGCCAAGAAAAGCTGCTTAAGGAAGCCAGTAATCAGGTTTATTCCACAGGGGATATTCTTGGCAATGATTCTCACGCTCATCTCTTGCCTCCTCATTCTTCTCTCCTTTATTATCTTAAGGACATGGCTGGACGCAGTGGGTCACTCCTGTAATCCCAGCACTTTGGGAGGCTGAGGCAGGTGGATCACTTGAGGCCAGGAGTTCAAGACCAGCCTGGGCAATGTGGCAAAACCCTGTCTCTACTAAAAATACAAAAGAAAATTAGCCAAGCATGGTGGTGTGCTCCAGTAATCCTAGGTACTCGGGAGGCTGAGGTGGGAGGATCACTTAAGCCCAGGAGGTGGAGGCTGCAGTGAGCCGTGATTGCACCACTATACTCCAGCCTGGGAGATGGGAGTAGCACCTTGTCTCAAAAATAAAAATAAAAATCATAGGGACCCAGAAATAAACAGGTTTTCCCATCTTAGTGATGGCTGCTGGTCACCCTCAATAGCTGTTACTTTTCTGTAACCTCATAGATTGCTGTTGTTGTTGTTTTTATTCATCTCCTTAGCTTTGTTTGACCTTTATCAGATTACTGGGAATTTATGAAACAGAAAACACACCCAAGTTAAATTCACAGACATACAGATGAGAGCTCTTTAATCTTAGGACCACAGAACCTCAGACTAGAATATCATTTGACATGTTCCTTCCCCTGATTTAAAAAATGTAGTGAAAGGTTGTGTGACTTCCCAAAACCCCAGAACTCAATTCTGGCAAAACCTGGGCAAGAATCCTCCATCATTTTCCCCATCCAGACACTTGTCTTCCGATATTTAGTCTTTTTTAATATTGTGGATGTGGAATCTCTGCTTCAATTTTCCTTTTCACGTCCTATAATTTATTCTTTTTTCTTTTTTACAACCATGTTGTGAAATAAACAAGCAACAACTGTGAAAAGTAACCAGGGAAAAACATCGCACCTTCTCTGCACTTGGGCTATGGACTTTGAATCTTTTGTCCAGCAGATAGTAGAATCTTCATGAATTTCTGCAAATTGGCAGCTTAATTTTACATTTCCAGAGTGTTCAGGGAACATCTCAGCTTGGATCTTTTTCAGTAATACTGGAGCTAGAAACAAGATATTTGAAGGTCAGTGTAACAAAAGACTTTCCCATTTCATACCATTTAATTCTCATAACAATCCTGAGAGACAGGAATATTAATTATTATCCCCAATTATGGAAGTGAGAATTGAGTCTCTGAGGGGAGAGGTGGCTTGCCTAAATAGTCGGAAAATTTACAAATCAATCTAATAGAAAATGCTCACTTCCATTACTTAAAATTCTTTAGGTGCAGCCTGTAATGCTTAAAGTGAAATAGAACTTGAGAGATTTTTTCTAAAGGGGATGAGAGGTGGGAGGATTTTAGATATCTATTCTATAGGATCTCATCCAAATAAAGATGTTTTTAAATGATTACCAGATCATCCAGGTCGAAATCAGAGCTAGGAATTAGGGAGTAGAATAAAATCTGGATTATCCAAAAAACTACGGCTAAGCCCCCAAAATGTAAAAGACACCTCAACAATAGGTTATTGGCTGAATAATATTCATCTTTTCC
The DNA here is from genome assembly GCF_000001405.40 of Homo sapiens. Taxonomy (NCBI): domain Eukaryota; kingdom Metazoa; phylum Chordata; class Mammalia; order Primates; family Hominidae; genus Homo; species Homo sapiens. Next base: position 58,529,731 of record NC_000018.10, read on the forward strand.
CTTTTATCACACTTGTCTTTGCTGAAGATAACCTAGTAGATTGGAGTGATGTCTGATATCAACCTCATTAGCAAAAGAGAATAGAAGCAATAAGGAAACAATTCCCACTGGTTGGGCTGAGACCTTTGAAATATCACCTCAGTATCAATATCAGTGAGGAACAATTAGCATGCTAATGTGTAATTAGCTAGGGCAGCCACTGGGCGGCAGCCTAGACATTAGAACAAGACAAGGATGAGGCCCCTGTCCCGAGTGGTCGTAACAATTGGGTAGGAAATGAGATTACTGCAGATGTGTGAGTCTATCACAAATTAAGTAGCATAACTCCACAGCGTTGGTAACACAAAAAAGTACATCAGTATAAAACATATGTAATCCGTAGCCAAACCAAGATCACCAATACTGAGACTTTGCTCCACTGCCTCAAATTATACTACGGTGAAAATATCCATGAATTCAAGGTGCTTCTCATCTCTCCTTGGCACCAGCAGATGCTAGGATGACAGAATGCATATTTAAAAGCTAATTCTCTACCCTGGAAGTGATAATGGGCCTGTTGGGTAGCAAATCTTTCAACCAGAGAGTAACCAAGACTGCTAACAGTATCCTGGGAGCCAAGTGGATAATTGAGAGAGAGAGAAAATGTAACAAGTACGTATTGATGGCAAACCCGCATCAGTGCATTTGGGCCTGCTGGTTCCTGCCCAAGCTGAGACCGTGTTCAGGTTCACAATGTCAAACTCTTGGTCCAGGTCTCGACCAAGCCCACCTCCTCATCTGGGCCATTTCCTAGAGGGTCTTTCCAACACCATGCAGTGGCCGGCTTCATGGGTGATGTGGGGACACCTAAATATTCCTAAGCCTGCCAGAACCTGTTGTACCGAACACAAGGAAAATTGGAGGATGGCGGGAAGGGCATGAAATGGGCAGCAGAACTGAATGATGGATGGTCTGTGGGAGATTTGAAGCTTGTTTAGCCGAGGGGCTTTGGGCTTTGGATAGGACCCCTGACTATGTGAGACAGAGGTGGAAAGTGCAGCTGAACGAGCTCAAAGGAGACCTGGAGTGCAGCTAGTTTTTTCTTCCGTGTGCAGGTTGGGCTAGTGTTGAGGGAAAACGGTAGTAAAGTCCCCGGTGAATAAAAAGTTTCTGTTGTACTAAGCTTTGGACATCAAAAACGATTACTCAGGCCTGGCATGGTGGTTCACACCTGTAATCCCAGCACTTTTGGAGGCCGAGGCAGGAGGGTCACCTGAGGCCAGGAGTTGGAGACCAGCCTGGGCAACATAGCAAGATCCCATCTCTAGAAAAAAAAATTAGCCAGGTGCAGTGCGCATGCCTGTGGACCTAGCTACTTAGGAGGCTGAGGTGGGAGGATCGGTTGAGCACAGGAGTTCAAGGCTGCGGTGAGCCATGATCTCGCCACTGCAATCCAGCCTAAGTGACAGAGTGAGACCCTATCTCTAAAGTAATAATAATAATTTTTTAAAAACATTACTTAGGGTTTATTTCTTTTATAATGATCCAAGTCACTGCTCCCCTCATCCTAACTCCCGCCCCACCAGTTAACTGGTGGGAAGGCATTAAATCTGTGCTCCTTTGGGGATAGCAGGGTGGGTACCAGACTGCTGGGTAGGGCACAGTCGAGATGTCAGCCAAGGGGTCTGAAGTGTACCAGCCGGAAAGCAGTGACGAGGACTCAGGATCTTACAAAAGCCATCACAAGAAGGAAGGAGAACTTCCTAATCTGGTGTCTTCCTGGTGGCAACTTTTGTTATTTTTAAGCAATGAAATTGCTGTTGCTTACACTGAGAAAACAAAATAAAAAACCTTTGAGTGCTCAATGGTGGAGTAGATTCTTAAAGGAATTGGCCCACGGCTAGAAAACCGTAACGAACAACTAGAAGGTGATAAGTTGAAAAAAAAAAAAAAAAAAGGACGGGCATGCGGGCATGGTGGCTCATTTTGGGAGGCCAAGGCGGGCAGATCACAAGGTCAAGAGATCTAGACCATCCTGGCCAACATGGTGAAACCCCGTCTCTACTAAATATACAAAAATTAGCTGGGCATGGTGGTGCACACCTATAGTCCCAGCTACTCGGGAGGCTGAGGCTGGAGGATCGCTTGAACCAGGAGGTGGAGGTTGTAGTGAGCCGAGATTGCACCACTGTGCTCCAGCCTAGTGACAGAGCAAGGCTCCGTCTCAAAAAAAAAAAAAAAAAAAAAAAAAAAAATAGGCTGTTGTCAAGGGCTGGCCCTCTGAATGCTGCCATTCCAAAAGGTAAATGCCAGAAGAGAATTATTTTTCCTGTCTCTTGTCATCATCTGTGTTGATTCGTATGGATTAGTGCCCACAGTGGATTCATATTAGATAAATATTCAGTGCATTCATTATCAAAGTCACCATGGAAAATAACATGTCCTTAATAAATGGATGAATATGTTGGTCAAGCAGTTATTTCCCATCAGTCGATGGCCCTTCCAGTACAATAACCTAGTGCTGGTTTGTAGTTAGATCAGGGAGCTGTGATCCTAAAGAAAAGTGGGTGCCAGTGTTCCAGAAACCCGTTCTAATTTTCTCTGCAAAGAAAATCCCCACACGAGAGGGGAGAGGTTGGCCGCCAGTGGCAACTCCTCCGAAGCTGGGAAAGGACTGCAGGGTCAGAACCTACCCCGGCATGGGCAAAACCTGCCTGGGACTCCCATTTACCTGCTGACTCAAGGGTAACTCTGGTGAACCTCCCCCTCCTGCTCCGTCACCAGATGACTCCTACCTTCTGGCCGAGGCCCTGAGTTTTTCAGAGAGGAGGAGCTGTGGATGCCAGCACCACTCTTTCTCCTAATGCTAGGTTGGTATCAACTCAGACACAATGATCTTTTGCCTGAACTAAGCTCTCTATTTATTTCATAAGCATACTGAGCATAAGCATTGCCTCATTTTTTATTTAAAAACACTAATTTAAAAAAACAGTAACTAACAACCATGAGAGCTGTGTTAGGCCATGTGCCATTCAAATTGCTTTGCATTTTTATACCTGAGAGGAGTCTTATCATTAGCACCCCCATTTTACAGGTGGGGAAAGTGAGGCACCCAGAGGCTAAGGCATTTGCCCAGGGCTATCCAGGTACTGCCAGAGGCCAGACTTGAACCCAAGCAATATAACTCCTAATCTATACCCTAACCACCATGATACAACTTGCCCCAGATGGACCCAAACACCCGCTAGTATCTCTAACTGAATCTTTGCCTCTTAATGGCCTCTGTGTTGTGGGTGGCATGAGTAACAACCCTTCAGTGGTCTGGCCTGGAAAAGTCTTTGGTTGTCTCTACCCCGTAGTCTCCGGCAGGGCCCTCTCAGGACAAGGCTGGCTGCCCTCGCATCTACCTGCTTTGCTCAGACCAGTGGCTCCCAGAAGGCGGCATGCTCGGTCTTTGCAGCCTTTAGTGCAATGGCGAGGTTGTGCTGCAGCTGAAATCAAAGTCTTTGACGGCGATTGATTTCAACACTGCCTATCTGGACAGTCCTCTTACCCATGGGTAACTTGAAAAGTCACAGGCAAGAATTCCAAAAAGGTGGTTTTGCTTGTCTACCTTTACCTGCAAAGGAACCCCTATCCCCAAACAAGGGGGTTGAGGCTGGTCCCCAGAGGCAATCTATTCAGCCTCTGGGCTGAAACCAATTTTGAGAGCTTTTGAAACATTGCTTCATTCTATTTAATTTTTTTTTTTTTTTTTGAGACAGGGTCTTGCTCTGTTGCCCAGGCTGGAGTGCAGCTGGAGTGTGGTGGTGTGATCACAGCTCACTGTAGCCTCGACTTTCTGGGGTCAGGTGATTCTCCTTAGCCGCAGAGTAGCTGGGACTACAGACGTGCGCCACCATACCCAGCTAATTTTTTGTATTTTTCGTAGAGATGGGGTTTCGCCATGTTGCTCAGGCTGGTCTCAAACTCCTGGGCTTAAGCAATCCTCCTACCTCGGCCTCCCAAATTGCTGGGATTACAGGTGTGAGCCACAATGCCGAGCCATTCTCTTTAAATATGCTTTAAAATATAGATACTAATAACCTGATTGGATACTTCCAAACTCTTCAGAAGGCAGTTTTGTCTTTAAACCTTTCTGCAACAGGGGTTAGGACCCATTTGATGGGATGGGAATAACAAACGCCAGCCTCAAAATCTAAGGACTCAGGTTAAGAGAGGAGAAAATTCTTCCCTTCTGATCAGCCATCCGTAGCTTTTCGCTCCAGAGCACACAGGCCACTGTAGCTTGCTGCAATATTTTCTCTTCTGACTTCTACCAGGGTGTGTGGGGAGAGAAAGAAGAGCTCTGAAATAAAACAGGCTAAAATTTGGTCTATAAATGGAATTTGGGACTGAAATGATTCCTCAGACAAAGTAGAATTAACTGCAATTTCAGGACTTTTTTTTTTTTTTTAACAGCATCATAGGTAGAGGTTGATCAAGGACTTTTGAGGCTTGAGTGGTCTGAAACCTAGAACAGAGACCTCAGAGGATTTTAGATTTAGATAAATGGGAAGGGTGAGTTGAAAAGAAATGTTACACTCAAATTTGGAAGAAAAAACCAAGGTTCAAGGAAGTTATTTTTAATGAAAAATCAGTGATTAAAGAGGAGAATCCCAATTTGTACCAAAATATTCATTTCCACAAATCCTGCTTAGTGCATGGTCTATTTCATTATACTAATTAGCTACACTGATTAATGCTTCTGTTTATATTTTTAAATAGATTTTGTAAAAGAGGATAATGAAACGGAAAAGCACCTTCATCACATTCCCCTCCAACAGACATGCCTACAGGCGGCCTTTATCAGTGGTTCTCAATCGTGGTTCTCCCGATAGATCACCTGGGAACTTGTTAGAAGTGCAAATTTCACACACTGGGGGAGGGGAGCAATCTGGGTTTTAACAAGTCCTCCAGGTGATTCTGATGCCACATGCTGAAGCCACTTGGCCACAACCATAGCATCAATGCCCACCTGGGGGACACTGGCCTTAATTGCAAAGGACCCTCGAGGACACAGGAACTGGATACCTGGTCTACAAGCCCAAACTTTAACAATGATGGACAGCAACAGAACCTCACCTCTTCCTTCTCTTTTGCAAGATGGCTTTTTTGGGTCTTGTTTCTCTTCTGTGTGTGATAATGATGTTTCGAGTTTGGGCATCTTTTTAAGAAAGGCTGAGTTCTTTCTGATATTTTCCTTTTCTTCCAGTTTCAGCCTCAGTGCTGCCACCCTGGACAAAATTTTCTTCTTTACTCCCTCAGCTAAATGTCCACTGCCTGGGGCTTCTGGCTTCCTCTTGACCTCCTCTGACCCCGTCACTGCTGTGAGGGTCCCTGGCGATTTGCCTGCTCGGGCTTCCAGGGACTTCTCTCTCTCCCTGGACTTTTTCGCACAGCCCAGGGTGCCCTTTTGACATGGATCCTGCAGTAATTTAGGGGCTTTCTCTAACTCACGTTCTCCTGAAATAAATGCCAAGGTCTTCGCTGAGGAGCTAGATGAGCTTGGGGGTTTGGTTTCCCCAATTTGAAGCACCTCTATTTTAGGTTCCTCCATTTTGTGGCTTATCAAAAAGTCTGTGACATTTCCTTCAGGAGATGAAGTACAAGGGAACCTGGTAAGATCAGGAGAAGAGGGCAAAGGTTTCCCACGCTCATTCTCAATAGTTCCCCTTTTCTGTGAAACAGGAAACACATACTGACGCTTTCTGGGCTCAACTATGTCATTTTCAGGGACGTCATGAATTTGGCCTGTGGAGTTGTGCGTGTCAACCCCAAGAGAAGCGTGAGTCATTATTGGAAGACAACTAGAAAGAGGTGAAGTGGGGGAAATCAATTCTGCTTTGTCCTTTTTGCTTTGCTCAGCCTCCCCTAAGCTCCCATCACTGCTTTCTTGTATTTGGCCTATGCTACATCCACTTGGAATTCTTTCACCGCCTTCGCTGGGTTGCAGGACTTGCCAAATGGCAGTTTTTGCCTCCTCAGGTTGAATTTGTTCAGCCTCCTGCTTCATACTGCCTTCTTGGCTTCTGCTGATTCTATTTTCACTCAGAATGGTTCCCTGGAGACATGGAACTTGCAAAATGGCCGGCTGGATTTCCGCTTCGTGGCCCATGTTTCCGTCATTTGATTGACCCCCTTCTCTGGCGCCCTGTGGTGTGGTTTCAGAGGGCTCTGGTTTTCCAGCCCTGGTGTACTCTATCACACTTATCTCATCAATGGGATCTACAGAGGACTCTAGGATTTTAGGGCAGGTCAGAAACTTTTTAAAGAAGGCAGTGTGATCCATCTTGAGTTGTTTTTCCTCCTGGTCTTGACTCACATTGTTAACATTTTCCTTCCCTCCAGTTTCAGAAGCCGCTGACAGTGAATCTGTGACAGATAACTCCTTTTCATCTACAGGGTCCACGGATGACTCCAGGAGTCTGGGTTGGCTGAAACCCCGGGAAGAAAGACTTCTCCAATGTACACTGATGGTGGGCTCTTCGCCTTTATGGCTTTCTCTGCTATCAGCAAGGGCTGACTCAGCATCCTCTGGACTGTGAGCCAATGCTGCTATTTCAGAGGGGGCCAATTCAGGCACAACAGCATCTGCCTTTAGACTATCAGGTACAGCCCAGACCTTGTCAGGAATTATGAGACCACCGTCTGATGCCTTGCTCTCAGAATTTGTCAGTTGTCGTGGTGGCCAGATTTCAGAAGCGGAAGCCTCTAGAGTTATAATCTTCAGCTTGTTGCCTGCCTCCCAATTTCCAGGTCTATATTCTTTAGACTCTTCCAAAAGGATATCAGAGAGAGATGGAACGTTGCTCAGAGCCTGACTGTCTTCTTCCCCAGCAGTTTCAGCCACCACGGAGACCCTCGTCCCCCAACCTGAGCGCTGCCCTGCTCCTTCCCTAGAGCTTGCGGGTGAGTGGGCCGTGGGCACCAAGTTTCTTTCCTCTTGTGCAGCAGATGTCGTAGGCAAACTTTGTTGGAAATCAGGTGCAGAAAGAGAACCCTGCTGGGACAGGCTCTGCTGCTGGACCCCCTGCTTTGTTTCACTTCCTCTTTCTTGGAAATTCTCTTCATAGCTCCTAAAGTCTGCTCTGTCCACAGTCTGGCTCTTATCTCCAGACAGGTTATCAACCTGAAGAGGGGAATTACTGCAGAAACCCTCTCCCTCTGGGAGCTGCAGGACATGGTGTGGGACTCCTGGCACACTGGGTGCCCTGCAAAGTAGCTCTTTTGTAGATTTGATGGTAGCACCACTTAAAATATGATCCAACTGCACTTGGGAAGGAAATTGGGAAACCTTTTCATGGGATGCACGAGGGAACCTCTCCTCAGTGCCACCTGCATGCTTGTCCTCAGGAATTGACACAGCAAGGTATTTGGCTGGGTGGACTTCGGTGGCAATGGTAACAGTTGATGTGTCCTCAGTCTCCCTGGTCGCTTGAAAGCACTCATTATTAGCAGTTAATGTTGTTGGCTTCTCCCAAGGAAAACTCACAATTGAACTATAACTGGCTGGTGTGGCTGTGGTGTCTGCGGCACTAGGACTGGGGCTCTTGTCACCTCCTTCTTTAAATTGCACTAAAGGATTGTTCTCAGAAGAAAGGAGCTGTGTTTCATCAAGCCCTCCTGAGTTGCTGGGGCTTGGCTGCTCCTGGCCAGCATGTACTGTGGAGGCCAGTGGGTAGGTGGAATTCTCCACCTTGGCTAGATTTTCTCCTGTGGCACCTTCACTAGCTGTGTGTGAAATGTTCAAGGTGAAAGTACTGGTAAAAAGAGGGGACATGACTGAGTTGCCGTCCTTGCTGCTTTTGCACGTAGACACTGAAGTCTCAGACACTTGTGTCTGAAAAAAGACTTCCAGTGTCTTGTCATTAGAAGAACATAAATCAGATACTTTGTTTTGACCTTCTGCCAGTTCCGTATCTACAGAGCAAATTTCTTGAGGCGAATATTTATCAACTGGTCTCCCAACAAGAGAATCTATGGTATCAAAACACGTTCCTTGGTCACCAGCCTCAAAACACTCCATTGCACACACTGCTTCTCTGTCCCTTGGCTCATCACACACATTTTCCAGGGTGAGGGCAGTATCTGTGGGTTCAGGGGAAGCAACAGAGACAGCCACAGGCTCCCTGAAGTCAGCACGAGCATCCTTGGGGAGATGCCTTGAGAACACACCTGGGGACATAGTCTCATCATTGGCTTCTGAGATGCTCTGCTCATATTTTAGGTCTTCCCTGAAATTGTCAGGTATGTTGCCATCTCTGTCTTGTTTTTCTTCATGCTGTGGACCACAGGTACAGGGTTTGACCTCCGAGTGTTGAGCTAATGATGCATTTTCCTTGTGGACCCCTCCTAAGTTTGAGAAGGAAATTGTTGTGGTCCCAGTGAATGGGGACTCCTCCCCAGCAGGCTCTGAGAAAGCTGGCATCTGGCTGCAAGAGATTGTCTCTCTGACTGTTTCCTGAACTTGTACCTAGGAAGATGAAAAGTGATATTAGTAGAATTGTTCATGGGAGAGCCCACAATAGGGCATAACTGCAATCCCAAGAGTGTTAATCCTCAATGACCGTAATAATGGACAAGAATGATTGAAATCTAAACATTAATCCCCCAACTCCCTCTAGCTATTAGAGATTTCCTAGAAAACTGCAAATTTAAGCAACTCTGTGTTCCAGGGGGCCCTTTGTCAAATTCATCATTATAAGCAAAAAGCCTCCTGACAACCATCATTTATTTAATGATTTCTTTCTCTCTTAGGAAATAGATGGAAATAAATCGAATGTTAACTGTTTTGATCAAGTAAGTCACAACAAGAGCTGTGCGCATCTTTCCAGAAAGATGAATCTCACATGATCATAATAAATGAAATAAACAGTACTTGCAAAACAGCAATAAGCAATCTTTGTCCCCAAAATATAACAGCTTGCTGGTTAATAATTGCTATGGTTTGGATATTTGCCCCCTCCAAACCTCATGTTGAAATTTGATCCTCAGGGTTGAAGGTGGGGCCTAATGGGAAGTGTTTGGGTTATGGGGGTGGATCTCTTACGAATAGATTTATGCCATCCCTCAGGGGTGGGGGGAATGAGTGAGTTCTCAATCTATTACTTCCTCGTTGTTAAAAAGAGTCTGGCACCATCCCCACCCCCACCCTGCTTCCTCTCTGTCCATACTATCTCTGAAAATGCCAGCTCCCCTCTGCCTCCCATCGTGAGTTGGAAGCAGACTGAGGCCCTCACCAGATGCAGATGCCTAATGTTGAACTTTCTAGCCACCAGAATCATGAACCAAATAGGCCTCATTTCTTGATAAACTACCCAATCTCAGGTATTCTGTTATAGCAACATGAAGTGCACTAAGATAACAATGTTACTAAAAAACAGAGAGAAGGCTGCCTTTGAACCCACCTCTAATGAATAAATGGACTTATGATTGGCCACCAGCACTGCCAATCATTTCTTTCCTAGAGAAGCTTATAAACATCCCAGAATGTATCCCAGACTTTAAAATAGATGCCCAGTGGCAGGCAGACCACCTCTACAGGAAATAGAAGATTCAGGACTGCTTAGGTTTTTGAGAAAAGGGGAGAGGGGGAGGGAGGGAGGAAGAGAGGAAGGCAGAGAAAAAGAAACCTCACATTCTGAGGATTGAGCCTTTCATGGTACTATATGAACGTTCCATGATATTGGATATTGTTCAAGGAAGCAGCAAACTCTTTGACTAAATCCTTGTCTCATGAAACTTTTAGCTCATTGATTATTTCAAAACAAAGAAAACTTATGTCCAGCCAAGGAGAAGAAAATTACTTCTAATTTCTGAAGCAACTCAGTCTTTGCTCCCAGGACTCCTGCCTTGGACAGCCACATTCAGATGTGCAGGGAACAGATGACTGGCCTTGGCGGGATGGGGTTCAGGGGTGGGGATGAAGTCTGTCTCCCAGCGTATGACAAAACAGAGCTGAAATGTTCATGGGCATATTATGGCTCCAATGTCATGAGATTGATTCTCATAAATCATACATGACAGTCAGTCTTACTACCTTGTGGTCAATCCCTGTATGTACTGCCCGTGGGAAGCAGGACAACAGCATAATCACACCTCTTTCCACACTTCCCCCAGGCTGCTTACAGCCTGTCAGTCATGCATCTCTCATTTTCTCTTTTAAAGCTACTTTGAGGTTCATTTAACTCATATTTGATGGGCATAAAAATGCTAACTAAACAAGAAAGAAATTTAATATAAACTCCATGAGGGCTAGGACTACTTAATCTTTTCAACAAATATTTAGTGAATGCCTCCAAAGTACTAGGGAGTGTTTTAGATAATGGGGATACAAGACAGGCAAATGCTCATCTACAAGGAGCTCCCATTCTGTGTTCTAGTGAAGGCCTGTTATAGCGATTAGCATGCGGTAGATGCTTACTAAGTGTTTGTTGAGAGAATGAATAAATGAATGAACCATGTACCAGTTGAGACAGCTGTAGCCAACTTCACCCATTAAAGCTCTACACTTGAAAGGGTTTGAACTTTCATCTGCTCCTGACTTTGCAACAACCCCATTTTAAAAGAGACTTTGAACCCTAAGCACTACTGGTTATCCTGGTGTTCCCGGAAAGAAAAGTATATTTATTCCCTTTCTATATCCCTTTTTCTTCTTTATTAAAAAGAAGAAATATCATTTCTGGGAAATAAGGGATAAGGTATTTTTTTAAAAGAGTTTGATGTGCATATGCTTTCCTCTCTATACCTCAATATCTGTAACACATGTAAAGAGTACTTTTCTGGTTTGGTATTTTGGTTCAGCCTTTTAAGAATATGCTATAGCACAAATAGACTGAGTCATTAAGCACAGAAAACATGGGGAACTTCCTGGTCATTATGTGAAATGTATAGAGAGACTGCCCCATCAAAAGCACCACCACCCCTCTCTCCGGCCTTTCTATCCTGCCTGCATTTCCACTACCTATGTCAGTCCCTTATTTTAAGGTCCTGGTATTATCACAGTATCATCAGTGTCAACAGACATTTATGGAGTAGCTGTCATGTGCAGAATTCTCTGTCAGGCACTGGGCAATTTTTTCCAAAGGGCTTCAGTTAAAAAGTTACTATGATATTTACTGGGATGGTACCTTTATTCTTCCGTGATTGATTACTATTACATCAGCAAAGTAATAAGCGGGTACCTAGAAGAGACTGACCTCTGAAGAGAATTAAACACAGGACAAGTTTTCATTAGGATGAGCTTGGTCACTGGAATAGATCATCATAGTATCATGCCGTGATTTACAAAATAATCATATTCCATTGAGATTTATTTGCACCTTTCCTCTTGTATTAGTCAGTTCTTGCACTGCTATAAATACCTGAGACTGGGTAATTTATAAATGAAAGAGGTGTAATTGGCTCACGGTTCCACCGGCTATACAGGAAGTATGGTGGCAACTGCTTCTGGAGAGGCCTCAGGGAACTTTACTCATGGCAGATGGCAAAGCTGAAGCCCACATCTTGCCCGACAGGAGCAGGACCAAGAGCGAGCAAGGGGGAGGTGCCGCACACTTTTAAACAACCAGATCTCACAAGAACTCACTCATTGTCACGAGACCAGTACCAGGAGATGGCGCTAAGCCATTCATGAGGAACCACCCGCATCATCCAATCACCTCCCACTGGGCCCCACCTCCAACATTGGGGATTACATCTCAGTGCAAGATTTGGTAGAGACACAGATCCAAACCATATCGCCCCTCTTACTTTTAAATTAAAATTCTACTTCAAAATACCCTAGTGAATCTCCACATGTAAAAAAATTGGTTGAATCCTTGACCGTGTAAATTCATACATTTGACACACATTTAGTGACCATCTACTTTATACCAGGCACTGTTCTAGGCAGCTGGGAAACATCAATGAACATAACAGAGATTGCTGGCCTGTGGAAGTTACGTTGAAGCAACAAACCGTACAACTGGCCCGCTGCTGATAAGCAATTCCATAAATTTGATTTTAACCAATGGGGTTTTTTTTGAAGTGAAGCCTTTAACAGCCCAGTTCATATTTGTACTTGCTTACGGCATCAGTTTCAAGAGCAGGCTCCTCGGTTCTCATCCAGAGGCCAGCTCACAGAGAAAGGGAAACCACAGACTCACACCTTCCCAATGAGTCAGACCTTTCTTTTAGGAGGAGATTTCTTAGTTAAGTCATTACAAAAGAATGCTAGCAAATGATTCTTCTGCTGTGCACCTATTCTCAGCATAGAATGAGTGCTGAAACTTCGAGTGAGTGCTGACACAATTTCCTTATGTAGGGAAATTGTACTCATTCAAGTGAAAAAAGGAGTGTTTGGGGCTCTAGGAGTAAGCCCAACATAGTGTGTGGTGCGTGGACTTGGAGGACTAGCAACCAGCGTTTGTAGCCCAGCTTAATTGGATATAGCATGCATGACCACGGGTAACCTCTTTAGCTTCTCTGACCCTCTGTCTCCTCCTCTAAGACTAACCACATGCATGTCTGCACCATCTTGTCAAGTGCCTGACATATTGCCTGGTGCCCAGAAGGCACTCACTCACTGATACTAATTTTCCTTCTTCTCTGTGAAAAAACAGCAGTAGCTCAGGAAAAGAGGAAGTTGGGGAGCTCTGACAGGCAGAGCCTTGAGCTATGAGCTTTATGAGGGTTTTCTCATCTGATCCGTAAAATAAATCTGAGAAAAAGATGTTATCATCTCTTCTTTACTGATGAGATGAATAGCCTAGGTCCAATCATAGAAACCACACAGTAGGTTATATAAGAGAAGTTCAATATAAAGAACTATTGACTGTGATAGAAGAGTGCTATAAGGTATAAGGAAACTGTCTATAGTACTCTAGGTAAGGGAAAGTACCAAGGAAGGACAAAGTTGGAAGAGGTTTAGACCTACTTGGAGAAGGTGTGGTTAGGCCACCAGATAGCACAGAAGTTCACTGGTGCATCCAGACCAGAGCTGGCCTGGAATTGCCGAGAAAAGCAATAGACCTCCCTTCCAAGTGCAGGCCAGGAGTAGGTGGTCAGCATGCAGTGGCGTGGGTGTGCAGGGGAGTCTGGGCATGGGTGGTCACAGGGGCTGAAGCCTTCAGAGCTTGTGGGCTACATGTGGTGTGGGTCAGGAGTTTGCAGAGTGCTAGTTTGAATGTCCACTCAAAACTCATATTGAAACTTAATCCCCAGTGTGGCAATACTGATGGGTGGGGCCTTTAAGAGGCGATTGAATCATGGGAGCTCTGCCCTCATAGAGGGATTAATCCATTTATGGATTAATGAATTAATGGGCTGAAGGATTGATACGTTATCAAGGGAGGGGACCTGGAGGCTTCATAAGAAGAGGAACAGAGACCTGAGGTGGCATAGAGCGTGCTTAGCCCCCTCGCCATGTGATGCCCTGCTCTGCCTTGGGACTCTGCAGAGAGTCCCCAGCAGCAATAAGGCCTGCACAAGATGCAGGCCCTCTGCCTGGGACTTCTCAGTCTCCAGAGCTGTAAGAAATACATTTCTTTTCTTTATAAATTTCCCAGTTTCAGGTATTTTGTTACAAGTAAAGAAAACGGACTAAGTCACAGAGGGAACAAGTGCTCTGTGCACCAGACCTCAGGCGGCTATGTGTAGACCACACAGGAGCTTGTGGAGGCAGTCTGTGCGTTGATACAGGCAGGAGGCTTTAAGAGCTGGGGGCCATGCGGGGCTCTGGGTTCCAAAGAGAGAGGGCAGCAGAAAGGGTATCACTACACTAAGGCTACAAGGTTGCAGATGACCACGTTCTGGGGCCCATGGCTGAGGCAGGATGACCACAGGCTCTCCAACTCCACCAATGCTGAAATGACAGGAATTCTCTTCCTCCTGCAGTGTCCTTCCAGTGCCTTCTGCTGAGAAAGCGTAATACTGTGCTTACTTTAAAGAAGAATAATGGAATTTCGTTAGTACAGGGCACATATTAAAGGGTGAATTCAGAGCTGAGAGGAATGAATTAAAAACCGACACATGAGGTCAATGATGTTTGGGGATGAGAAGTCTCCCCAGGGTCCCACAGTCAAAGGCAGAGCCAGGATTTAAAGCCAAGTCTGTGAGGCTACAGAGCCCTTTCCAACCCAGCATTTCTAATCAGGTAAGTTGGAATAAACCTCACCTCACCAAGGGCTGGGAACTTCCCCTAATTTAAGTCCAGAACTTCTAAGCTCCTGAAACACTTTGGATATGAAACTGCAAATGTCCTTCTTAGGTGCAACATGGCCATCTCTCAATTTCTCTACTTCCCTACAAGGTCTAAGGGTAGGGACTCAGTTATTCATTTCTGAGTCTCCAGAGCCTAGCACATAGGGACTCAAATAATTTTGCTGAATGAATAAGCAGATGAATGAATACAGGAGGGGAAAGGGTAAACCAAATTTAGTAATGTTTCCAAGCCTCTTTTTGAAAGCAGCATTAAGCTTGGAAACTTAACGCTTGAATAGCATTTTTCAATTGAAACCCCATTCAACATGCCTCTGATTCCACAAACATATTATTTTCACTTATTGGCCTTTCCAAAGTTCTGCCTCCTAGGAATGTCTGCCATGGATTTAATGGAAAGGTGTGTTTCCTCTTTGTGCACCCCAGGATGTTCAAGGTTATGCTTTTCATCATTAATGAGTGTCTTTCATGCCAGCCAAGTGCATGACACTAATTTGAGTCACTAACAATAGAAGGTTGTATGAGATAAGATCCCTCTCCTCAAATAGCTTATAATCCAGTTGAAGAGACAAGATGTACATGGAAAACAAGATGTACATAGATAACAATTCTTGACAAGTTGTGCTAATAGCCAAGTGGATGAAACTTAACTAACAACGCTGCTCCAGGACAGAGTGTGGAAGGTCACCACTGTATCATCCTCTTCCATTTCAACGATAAAATTCCTGCAGTGCAGAAATCAGAGGTTGTAATCTTACGTCATATGTTTCAATTCTAAGATACTTCTTGAACATTTCCATGCAGTCTAAGGGACTTCTCTACTGATTGGAATGGGCAGATGTGGTAGATACTGTTGGCTGACTAATTCAACAGTACCGCCAATCCCCTTGTCTCTTGCTACCTCCAACTAAGAAGGCTGGAAAACCACACACTCTCCCAGCCTCTTACATAGCTAGATGGGGCAAAGGGGTCAGTCTGCCTAATGAGATGTTCAAGGAATCCCACCAAGGGACTTCTGGGGAAGCTTTGCTTTCCTTGTGTAAGGTATAGACATGGTGGGTACCTTGCCTATCCCCTCCTTCTTCCTTCAATCAGGATGTAATGCCTGGTGCTGCAGCTCTCATCTTCCAGTCCTGGGGCATGAAAATGAAAAGCCAGCACACTATGACTGGTGCAGCAGAAAGAGAGAAGGAAGTTGGAGATTTGCAGTCATCGTCGAGCTACTGGAATGACACACAGACTTTCACTAGCCCCAGACTTCTTGTGAACTACAAAAAAAAAAAAACACACACACACACACACACTATTAGCTAGCTGACTATTCTGTTAACTGCAGCTTCTCAGCAGCCTAATGGATAGAAGAGAAAAATATATGGCTGAGGGAAGAAGGGGAAGCCAGGTGAGGGTCACCTTGGAACCCTCTGGAGGCTCTGGGCAGCTCCTGGTAGGGATTAGCTGGAAGGGGACAGTGTCCCGTAGAGCAAGGGGTGTGGTCCCTGGAAGGGAGCTCAAGGTGCTGGTCAAAATGCCAAGGGATCAAAGGGCCTTAGGCAAGGTGAACTTGAAGTAGAGTGGGGGAGGGAGAATGGGAAATATGAGAAGATTGATTGTCAAAGGAGAGAGGCCACAGTTCTAAAGCCAATCAGAAGCCCCGGGGCCAGGAGGGCCAAGCCACTCGGTCCCTAGCTTCAACTGGTCAGTCTTCCGTGTGCCAACATGCCCTACCATGCATAATTTTCATTCTCCAACTTCTTTTTTTTTCAAAGTTCTTTTAGTGTTCTTTCCTTCTTATCTGGATGAGGTAAGTAGAAATAGCACTGTGTCCTTCAACAGTTGTCTACACATCATCAATTTTCCCTTGTGGTTCCAGGAAACTTTAAATGAGACCTTCCCCTCTCTCCAGCCATTCTGGGCTGTTGTAGCCTCCCCCACGGATAACCTTTCCTAAATATCTGCTGAGCTGTCACAACAGGCAGAGCGTCATTCGGCCATTTGTCATTCGATAGATCAAATCCATACCACCTGGGGCTGCAAAACTGAAAATAGATAGCCCGGTCCCCAGCCAAAGAAAGCTTAAAGGCAAGCTAGAATATTTCAGGAACTTGAGTTTATTTTTAGGAGTTGCCTGATTGCCCAGAAAGAAGCTTCTCTTGAAGGCTTTGAATATTAGGATAACACGTAATAGACTGGAGGACTGTAACTTCCTTGATATTCATCTAAAACCTCCAGTCCTGAAACAGATCCTAAACACCCCTATATCTGACCAGCTCTTCTTCATTCCATTCCCTCCTAAGGGACAAGAAATCCTCAGCCAACTGGTGTTACAATTCTGTCTTCATTTCTTGAGAGTCATAGAGTTTGTAAAATACTGATTTGATCTTTTGCTGGGAGAGGCCTGGGTTTCCATGGTTCACACCCTTCCTAGGAGCTCTGTGAGTTCAGTGGGAGTCTTTGCCTGGTGACATGGTACGAGTGGAAGGGCACTAGAGCATGAGCCATGAGCATATGAATTTATTGTACATCTCAGGTGAGGTGAGCTAAGTAGTAACGCTACTATTAGTAGTAATAATTGCTAATCCCTACAGCCTTTTTAACACACGGCAGGCACTGTTCTAACTGCTTTACTTACATTAATGCAGTTAATGTTGGTAAAATGGCATAGAAATTTATGACTTGAGGATTTTGGGTTGTACATTGCAAACGAAGGGATATACCAACTATTCCAACACAGGCGGGGACCATGTAATGGCAAACTCATGTGAAATGGGTCACAAAAACGGCTGTCTTCTTTTCCTGCATGCATCTGTGTTTTCCTGCATAGATGATGGGAGATTTCTGGGAAATGAGAGAGACAGAGTGAGCCATAATTTCCATAAAGTGCAACTGTATGCAAACATAAGAAAAGATGGTGCTATGAAGCCCCATGATTTCTCTTGAATTCCACTAGGCATTTCTGAATAGTCTCTGGGGGGTTTTTTGGTTTTGTTTTGTCTTTTTGCTTTTTTATTTGCTGTGTCTTAAAAAGACACAGGAGATGAGAGAAAAATGGAGTAGGGTGATGGAAAAATGATTTGAGTCTCAGAAAACTGGGGTTTGGTCTTGGATCTGCTACTATACAGGAAGTGGCTGTAGAGAAGTCACCAGGTCTCTCAGAGTCTTTCTTCCACAGTAAAGTAAGAGTTAGATAACACCTCTTGCTTCCCAACAGCTTTGGTGTTCTGTGACCTGCTGCCAAGTAAATGGGGCCTAAGCTTCACCCCTCATTTGCAATCAGAGGTTCCGTGGACTCCTATGGCTTCTAGATCTAATCTTCTCTATTAACAATGAGAATTGTTAGGGAAAAGGATACAGCATGTCACCATGTCACCATAGGTAGACCGATTGAAGATTGAGCCAGTGGGACCCCAGAGAGGGGCAGGAAAGAGACAGTGGGCTGGAGAACGGCTCACCATGAACATGCACTCTCTGGATTCCAAGTTCCTCTGCCTCCCTGGTCTCTTTCCTTCTCCCTCCTCTAGGCATTAAGTGCCTTGTGTCTTTGGTAGACTGCACTGTGTTGGCGTATAGACCCTATGGTTCATCCTGCAGAGTCCTAGAGGCTTACAGACCTAGTCCAAGCCAGTGAAAATCATCACAGCCACAGAATGCAACACCAGTGGCCTAAGCCTCCAACCTTGTTAGCCCTTTGTAAGATACAGGCTGCTTTGAAGAGCCAAGAAAAGTTATGGCTTCTTCCCAGAAAGTCTTGTTTTACCCACACAATGTTGCACATAATTTCCGGGGGGTTTCAGACCCCCTTGGGCCTATGGATATCCTGTTAAGGGCTCGTTGAGCCTCAGAATGAATCCCTGCTGTATGTAGACCATGAGCCTGGGGTGAGTGGGATGGTATTGTTTACGTCCCACAAACTGAAACTTTCCTGCAGATTTCAGACAAAATGATAAGGGGAAAAAATTAATTCTTAGTCAGGTTCTAGGAGAGTATTTTCAAATCAATATCTCTCTTTATAGTTTTTAGAATTTGTGAGTAAAAGCAAAACCAAGGTAGTAGCAATTACCACACTGCAATGACAATAATACATTACATAAAGCAAGTTCTTGTAAACTTTAGAAGCAGGAAATACTTGTCACGATTACTACACTAGTACTTTGCCTCTTCAGTGTGGGCTTCAAAGTGTACAGCAGTGATGGTATTCGGCTATTGGAAAATCTGAATATAAACATAAATATTAAGCCAGTCACCTGCCTCAGATGCTCATACCAAAAAATGGCGAGAAAATGCAGGTTTGGGGATTGAGGATTCTTTATATCCTATATCTCTTCTCTAGTAAGTCAGCAGGATAGTGATAGGACCTCGGGTTTGGTTTCCTGTGTTTTGTTTTTTTTTTTTCTTTGAGATGGAGTCTCACTATGTTGTCCATATCACAGTGGTGCGATCTCGGCTTATAGCAACATCTGCCATCCAGGTTCAAGTGATTCTCCTGCCTCAGCCTCCCAAGTAGCTGGACTTACAAGCGAGTGCCACCATGGCCAGCTAATTTTTGTATTTTTAGTAGAGATGGGGTTTTGCCCTGTTAGCCAGGCAGGTCTTGAACTTCTGACTTCAAGTGATCCACCCACCTCGGCCTCCCAAAGTGCTGGGATTACAGGCGTGAGTCACCGCGCCCAGCCAGGCTTGGTTTCTTGATTGGCAGAAAATAACCCCTCTGGCAGTACAATCACAGGTGACGCAGCAGGCAACAACGATTACCTGCTAAGACTGAGAGACAGCTTCATTCCAAAAAAGAGACAAAATTTCCTGGGATATTGAGATCGCTGAGAGGGACAACAACATTAATGTTGTTCTACTTGGTGCAATGAGCATGGTAAATGCTCAGAAATTATGTCAAATGAGTGAACATCTATCCAGTCTGATCTTTGTCCAACATCCCTTTGCCAACATATGTAGGAAGGTTTTGCCTCTTCAGTCTGGTTCTCTTCTCATGTCAGATCTCAGCATCTCTCTGTTGAGACATTGATCTCCTACCTGAAAATTGCTCCAGGCTCCTGCGTTTTGGTTAATATGTAGCTTCTACTAAACTAAATCTCTTATTCATCACTAATAGTTTGGTGCCTGGTTTGTTGGGGTCTTTTTTAGATCTAAACCGAAGCTTTATGTTCTCTTTTGAGTAGAGAGAGAGAAGCATCTTTTGTTTTAACCACAAATAATTGAGGTTTCAAGTATGTACCACTTAGAAGACATCAGCATAACTGTACCGACTATAGCCAGGCACCATGCACTGAAAGTGAGGATGTCCAGTTTACCCTGGGCACAGAGCTATAAATTGCAAGGTACAACAGCAGGGTTGCATTTAAAGATGAGGGAAATCAAAGGTAAGATGTGAACTGAGGAGGACTATGGTGCAGATTACACCAGAAATTCAGGGGCCCCTTTGGATGGATCCATCGAAACAAACTTTCCCCTTGTAGATGGAAGGAAAAATAACAATTCACAGAAAAGTTTCTGGGAAGCTGAAGTTGGTAGGGAAATGCCTGGAGAACCAAGGAGGAGGAAACATCTGGAATTCAATGTTGTGATTTGAGCTAGGAAGGCAAAATATACACTGAGCTGATATTTGTGCATATGGTGGCTTGAAAATTCACACACCTTACTTCTCAGGTGCCTGAGTAAATGCAATCCCTTTATTTTGTCTCTGAAACCGATCCTGTCTTCCTCATGGGCCCCCAATCAGGGATGTGGGAGATGAGTGGAAAATAACAAAATTTTCTTTCTGATTAAGCCTATTCTGGTCCAATCCCTTGGGCAGTCCTCTAGGGAATGCTCACTTTCTAGTACTGCTGGCCCCACCCTCTGGAAGACAGTGTCTGAGCTGCCCTGCATGGGTAGGTGGAAGGGTGGCTAGTTCCTGTGTCCTGAAAGGGAAGCAGGCAAAGCTCTCCTGTCCTCTCAGTTTCCCTTAGCTTGCTCCACCACAATCCCGGCATTGCAAAACGTGGAGTCAGGACCTACGTGCCCCTCTCACCCTGACTCTGTCTCCGTCACCTTCCTCCTCCCAGTAGCTCTGAGCAGGGAAGGCTGTGTCCACTTGTCCACACCCTCACACCTGTTTGCTTTCAGATTGTGCAGAGATAAGATTCTCTGATCTAAGAAGAAAGGAACATAGAAAACTCTCTCAACAAAGCCAGACTGTAAGGTTATTGTCCTGCTTAAACAAATACAAAACCTATTTATTTTCATCTGTTTGCTTTCCACAGCACAACCCTTATCTATGCCTCTCTCACAGTACAACCCACATTCTGGTGTCTATGACATACAACCTCCTTCCCCTCCTCCATCACGTACAACCCCATCCCCATCTCCATCACGTAAAACCCTATCCCTGCCTTCATCATGAACAACCCCATCTCTGTCTCTATCACATACAACCCCATCCCCATCTCCATCACCTACAACCCCATCCCATTTCCATCATATATGACTCTACCCCCATCTATATCATATACAACCCCATCCCCATCTCCATCATATATGACTCTACCCCCATCTATATCATATACAACCCCATCCCCATCTCCATCACCTACAATCCCATCCCCATCTCTATCATATATGACTCTACCCTCATCTATATCAGATACAACCCATCCCCATCTATATCACATACAACCACATCCCCATCTCCATCACGTACAACCCCATCCCCGTCTCCATCATGTACAACCCCATCCCCACCTCCATCGTGTACAACCCCATCCCCGCTTCCATCACGTACAACCCCATCCCCACCTCCATCACATACAACCCCATCCCTATCTCTATCATGTACAACCCCATCCACATCTCCATCACATACAACCTCATCCCTATCTCCATCATATACAACTCCATCCTCATCTCCAAAACATACAACCCCATCCCCACCTCCATCACATACAACCCCATCCCCACCTCCATCACATGCAACCCCATCCCCACCTCCATTACATACAATCCCATCCCCACCTCCATCACATACAACCCCATCCCTACCTCTATCATATACAACCCCTTCCTCATCTCTGTTGCATACAATTCTCTTCACCTTATCACCATCTCACCCCCGAGATGGAGGTAACCCTAGTTTCCTGGGCTTCTTTAGAAGGTCCCAGAAACAAAAATGGAAAAAAAAAAACCCACATTTTTTTTCTTAATAATTCACTGTATCTACACTATTGGCAACTGTACCTGTTTCCTAGGGCTGCAAATGACCACAAACTGGGCAGCTTAAAACACCACAGCTTTACTCCCTCAGTTCTGGAGGCCAGAAGTGTGCATTCAAGGTGTCGCCAGGGCTGCACTCCTCTGGAGGTCCTCCCTTGCCTCTTCCAGCTTCTGGTGGCTCCTGGCCATCCTTGCCATTCCCTGACCTGTAGATGCATCACTCCAGTCTCTCCCTCCGTCTTCATGTGGCCATCTTCCCTCTATATCTTTCCGTGTGTCCTCTCCTCTTCTTATAAGGACACCAGTCACTGGATTTAGGGCCCACTCTAGTCCAGTATGACCTTATCTTAGCTAATTATATCTGCAGTTTCCATGTGCACAAAATTGCAGGGAACACGATTCAACCCACTAAAGCAATCCATTCTTTTTCCAGCCTGTCCTTTTGGCCCCCCACTCCATGGTCTCCCATTTACTGTCCACAATCAGCAGTGAAGCATAGTCACTTGACTGGGTGGGTGGTGTACACTTGAGAAGAGAAAGGTTTCAAATGAGATTTTAGTGGCAGGACAATGATAGGGAGGTTGTCCCTCTCCTGGAAGTTATGCCTACTTCTGTGCTAAGCAAAATCTGTCCAGAGAGTGGAATTCAGTGCAGCCAAGTCTATTCCTTGTCACCAGCCCAGGCTTCCAGACCCTGCAGTCAGCACCAGCCACTTCAGAATGTTCTGATGAAGACCAACCCATGCCTGAGTGGAATGTTCTGCTATCTCCTTATGAAGAGGCAGGGACTGAAGAGTTCCTTAAGTTTATGGTCAGATTTAGACCCTGAACTAGAAATTTAAGAGATGAAGGAGTAAATGGTTCTCATGATGGTTATTTTCCCACCCAACCCCATCAGTTTGATGGTAAATGTGAAAGCACTTGTTTTTAAATCATCACTTTAAAAAAAAATGCCCCAAATCGCAAGGCAGTATCAAAATACCTGTGCTGACTCAGAAAGATAATTTTTCAAGCATCAGCAGAAAGGGGAACTTACAGAATTTGCAATTTTACCTCCTGCCCTACCTCCCACCCCAACCCCAGTTCTGCAAATGTGGTAGAGGCAGTCAATTGGAGGGGGCGGGGGAATATAATTTTTCACGTTTCTGTCTTGCCTCATTAATCTAATTCCTTTCAACAAATATTGACAGACACTGTGTTTCTTCTGCGCATTCCAAGATGAATCAGACCTAGTGTCTGTCCCAACCCAGCTCACAGAATAACACCCCAGCTGGGCAAACAAATGACTATATGTAAAGGCTAGCACAGAGACAGAAATAACTTGCTACAGTAGAAATAATCTACTTGGGGGAGAAGAGAAGGGACAAGTGTATCAAGGAAAGATACAGAATCAATATATTTGCTGCTGATGCATGTACATTCATTAATTCCTTTATTCAACAAATACTTGTTGAAAGCCGTCTATGTTCCTGGCCTTGTCCTAGCTTCTAAGGAAAACATCGCCAGACAAAGTCTCTGTCTTCTTGAAACTTACATTCTGTGTAGGGAGGTGGTCAAGACTTAGGGTCGGCAGGTGTTCTATAAGGAGACAAGGTTGTTAATGATCTAGAAAGAAAGCTATGGCAGTGGCCCAGATGAAATTATGAAGCCTGGGCTACCGTGGTGGCTGGGGGAATGGAGAGTGGGTTGATTGTGTCCCGCAAAAATAGGTTCAAGTTCTAACCCTTGGTACCTGAGAATGTGACTTTACTTGGGAGTAGGTTTTTACAAATATAATCACATTAAAATGAGGTCATACTGGATTACAGTGGGCCCGAATCCAGTGACTGTTGTCTTCATGGGAAGAGAAAAATTTGAACACAGAGACACAGAGGGAAGAAGGCCATGTGATGATGGAGGCAGAGATTGGATTAATGTTGGCTCCAAACCAAGGAACCCCCAAGGGCTTCTGGCCACCACTGGAGCTAGGCCAGAAGTATGGGATGGCTTCTCTCTCAGACCTCCAGGGAAAACCAATACTGCCAACTGTCTGCTGATTTCAGACTGTGCCTCCTCAATTGTGAGAAAATAAATGTCTGATGCTTGAAGGCACCCCGGTTTTGGGTGCTTTGTTATGGCAGCCCTTGGAATTTAATACAGAGAGGAAAGTTCCATTGCAGAAGACACTGCGGAATTAGAACAGACAGGATTTGGGAATGGGTTAGACACAGGGCCTGAAGAATGCTTCAGCAACCACCCTCAGGACTCCAGCTCAGGGAATTTCACTACAAATAGGCTCAGTGAGGGATGGAGACTGCTTGCTCCAGTACTTGATACACCAAGTAAGTGCTTAATAAATGTTGATATGTTTAGGCTTTGTGTCCCCACCCAAATCTCATCTTGAATTGTAATCCCTATAATCCCCACGCATCAAGGGAGAGACCAGGTGGAGGTAATTGAACAATGGGGGCGGTTTCTCCCAAGCTGTTCTCATGATAGTGACTTCTCACGAGATCTGATGGTTTTCTAAGGGCCTGTTCCCTGCTTCACTTGGCATTTCTCCTTCCTGCTGCCTTGTGAAGAAGGTGCCTTGCTTCCCCTTCACCTTCTGCCGTGATTGTAAGCTTTCTGAGGCTTCCCCAGCCATGCTGAACTGTGAGTCATATTAAATCCTTTCCTTTATAAATTACCCAGTCTCGAGCAGTTGGGGTTTTTTTTTTGGTTTTTTTTTTTTTTTTTTTTTTTTTTTTTGAGACAGAGTCTCACTCTGTCACTCAGGCTAGAGTGCAGTGGCATGATCTTGGCTCACTGAAACCTCTGCCTCCCAGGTTCAAGCGATTCTCCTGCCTCAGCCTCCTGAGTACCTGGGAATACAGGTGTGCGCCACAAAGCCTGGCTAATTTTGTATTTTCAGTAAAGGCGGGATTTCCCCATGTTGGCCAGGCTGGTCTCAAACTCCTGACCTCAAGTGATCCGCTGCCTCGGCCTCCCAAAATGCTGGGATTACAGGCATGAGCCTCTGTGCCCACCCTCAGGCAGTTCTTTACGGCAGTATGAAAACAGACTAATACAAACGTGTTAGCTCAGCTATCGTCTTTGGGGCTGGAATGATGGACATTCGTGTGGATGCTTCTCAGGGTAGATCTATGTGGAAGACAAAGGCAGTCTGCCCAGCACAGAGTTGGTTCAGAATGGTAAGAAATCTGCCACTCTTGTCTCTCTGACTGCAGGGGTTTGGAGAAGAAAACTAGGCACCATGGTTGCTGGTAGTGTGATGGGCTTCAGAGTTCATTTCTCATTCCCTGTCACTAAAGGCCACATCCTGATCCACCAGCCCTGATCATAAGACAGACAGTAGCATCGCGGAGTGGGCACTGACCTGCAGGTGCTCCTCCTTCCACCCCATGGGGGATGTCCCCTCCCTGGCAGCCTGCCAAGGGTCCCCAGCCTCTAATTCTCTTGAGGATCTTGCCTAGGATCCCCGAGATCAGTGTGTCTTGTGCTTCAGTTGGTCCTTTCGACCAGCCGTGAAGTAACAGGCTTCTCTGCCCTCCCTTTTCTCAGGTCTGGAGATTCAAAGGATCTGGCCTGGGGGTTAACAAGCCTGTTTATGCCCATCATTGGAACCAGCTTGATATGGTTTGGCTGTGTCCCCACCCAAATCTTATCTTGAATTGTAGCTCCCATAATCCCCATGTATTGTGGGAGGGACCCCATGGGAGGTAATTGAATCATGGGGGCGGGTTTTCCTGTGCTGTTCTCATGATAGTGAATAAGTCTCACAAGATCTAATGGTTTTATAAAGGGGAGTTCTTTGCACACCCTCTCTTATTGCCGCCATGTAACATATGGCTTTGCTCCTCCTTCGCCTTCTGCCATAATTGTGAGGTCTTCTTAGCCATGTGTAACAGTGAGTCCATTAAACCCAGTCTCGGGTATCTGTTCATAGCAGTATGAAAATGGACTAATACACAGCTCAACAGGCATATGGCAGGGTCTGCCTGGTACAATCTTAACACACAACACTTCAAGAGGGTGGGAACACAGAAAACTGCAAGTTCGAGTTGTTCGAGTAACAACTGGTTAAGCCAGAGCCTCTTCTTAACAATTAGATTCATTCCATATGTGGATTTGGAAGTAATTAACCTGCACTTCTTTAAAATATGTTAAAATTCACATTTTCAGGAGTACAGTAACTAGCTTAGGTGAGATAACACTGAGATTCGAATCATATCTAGGTACCCACAATGGCTAAGTCTAATCATTTCTTGGTTATTATCCTGATTTTCTCTTCTTTGTCAATGTATAATATCACAAAAGAGCAAAGGTAAGCACTGAGCAATTCAGACTTGTTCCAAGCTGTCCGAAGGGAAAGAATTCTCATGTCTGACTTTGAATAGCACCATTATTAACCAATATTACTATTTATTGAATTGTTATAAAGTCTACCTACTCTGGAAATGTCCTTGCCAACCAGGTGCTAAGTGTACCCTTTATCATCTGGTGGGAAGTTGCAGGCCAGCTTTGCCTTGCACACTCCTGGAGAATGGGAGGGGCATGCATGAGGCCCGAAGAACCCCAACCATTTCAGTGGAGATGCTGGTGGCCCAACATGGTGAACACTGTCTCATCCCCCTGCCCTGAGAGTAGGCTCTGCTACTTGTACATGGTTCTAACTGTGAAGGCCCTGGGCCTTTTAAAAACTTTTTTTGAGACAGAGTCTTGCTCTGTCACCCAGGCTGGAGTGCAGTGGCACAATCTCGTCTCACTGCAACCTCTGCCTCCCCGGTTCAAGCGATTCTCCTGCCTCAGCCTCCCAAGTAGCTGGGATTACAGGCACCCGACACCACGCCTGGCTAATTTTTGTATTTTTAGTAGAGACGAGGTTTCACCATGTTAGCCAGGCTGGTCTCAAACTCCTGACCTCAAGTGATCCACCAGCCTCGGCCTCCCAAAGTGCTGGGATTACAGGTTTGAGCCACCACGCCCAGCCTTAAAAACTGTCTTTTAAAGCTATTCATTAATTTATTGGACTAGATCTCACACACACACACACACGCACACACAATTCATGAGGTATGCAGTGAACAGGTATATAGTAAAAATTGTGTCTCTCCACCCAGTTACTCAGTCACCTTCACCAGAGGCCACCACTGTTATCGACAGTTATTTTAGTTTTGAGGAGAGCTAAGGAACTCAGACCTAAAATGGAATTAGGGAAGCTATTTAACCTCATCGATAGAGACAGAGCCTGGAGTCAGCAGCCTGCATTCAAAGCAAGGCTTCGCCGCTTCCTGACGTAGAGCCTGGCTGACAGGCTTTATCTCACAGGGCTGTTGAGATAATGAAATGAGCCAGCCGCTGCAAAGTGCTTAGCCCAGGCACCGTGCATTTCTACCTTCAATACGTGTCAGCTGTTATTAGCTACGGGGTGGTGGAGCTGGTGGAGGAAGGTGGGAGGGAAGGGTGGGGCATATTTAATCCTTTCTGGGGAAAGCCCTAAGCCCTCATTATACCAAGGGTAGAAATCCCTAGGAATCTGTTAGAAATGCATGGTCTCAGGCTCCTCCCCAGACTCGCTGAATCTTGACAAACTCCCCAGAAGAGAAGCACTGTCCTGTATGAACCTAGAGCCCCTGAGGGCTGGGCCACTGTCCTGTGTGAACCTGGAGTCCCTGAGGGCTGGGCTGTGGCATCCCTGCCCCAGGGGAGACGGTGCTGCTGTCTCTTCATTGCAGACATGAGCCCTTAGACTTTGCATGATGAAAGCTCATGACAAACGCTACCTACTCCCGAGCCCCCAGCTTCCTATTCCACATAAGATCTCCTAAGCCCAATAACCTGTGACCTCACAGATGAATGGAACATGTCCTCTTTCGTCCTGTAGCTCCACGGTAACCTGAGAGATGGCCTGGAGGCAGGGTGGCATGTTGTTTTTAAAGTGATACAAGAGACACAGTGGAGACCGTCCAATGAGTGGCATGGCTGCCAGGATGCCAACTGGGACACTAAAGCCCTGGCAGTGGGGGCTGCCCAGCAGGGCTGGCCACTAGAAATAAGGTCTGTGAGGGTTGAGGGCCGAGAGGCTGGAGGGGCTCATGGGTGACCAGTGCTGCTGTTTGCCACTTGTTCTAAACCAGCAGACCATGGCTAAGAACACTGCCATACAGGAAGCCGCCCTTCCTCTAGGGCAGAATCACACATGATGGTGGGGGAGGCGTGTCATTAGACATCGTCCAAACCCACAGAATGGGCACCACCGAGAGGGAACCCTCATGTAAATCATGGGCTTTGGGTGATGGTGATGTGTCAATGTAGGTTTACCGATTGTGACAAATGCAGTCTCTGATGCCGTGTAGATAGTAGGGGAGGCTGTGCATTTGTGGGAGCAGGACATATATGGGAAATCTCTGTACTTCCTGCTCAATTTCTCTGTGAACCTAAAAGTGCTCTAAAAAAGTCTATTAAAGAGAAAAAGAATTATATATAAGAATTACGTATAAACTATAGTGTGTGTGTATATATATACACATATATATACGTGTGTGTGTGTGTGTGTGTATATATATATATTTATATTTTGTCATTGGATTGTATTTATAGTTTGTCATTGGATCAGCTGTAAAAGAGGAAAGAAAACCAACATTGAGGCCCAGGGCAATAGCTTTTAAAAAATTACAATAGAGCTGAGTACATGCAGTCCCAGCTACTGGGGAGGCTGAGGTGGGAGGATTCCTTGAGCTCAGGAGCTTCCAGGCTGCAGTGAGCTATGATCACACCACTGCACTGCAGCCTGGATGACAAAACGAGATCCCGTCTCTAAAATATATAAAAATAATCACAATGACAACAGAAATCACTTAGAGCTGGACTATCCAACCTGGGAGCTTTGAGCCACATGTGGTTAGTGAGGCTTGAAATATGCCTAGTTTGAAGGAGGAACTGAATTTTTAATTTTAATTAATGTGCATGTAAATTTAAAAGCTGATATATGTGATATTGTTAGGGAGAAATTTTAATAGGTTTGGAACAATTTGGATATGTGAATCTACCCTTCCAAATTAATTTCATGAACTCTAAATACAGATCAAGTATTTCCAAAGAATAATTAGCATCCAAATTGAGATATGCTATGAATGGAAAATATACACCAGAGTTTGGAGACTTAATACCAAAAAAATGTAAAATATCTCATTAACAATTTTTATATTTACATATTGAAATATTTGGTTATACTGAGTTAGTAAAATATATTATTAAAGTTCACTTCACCTGTATCTTTGTACTTTTTAAAAATTTGGCTTCCAAAAAAAGTAAAAGACGTAAGTGTCTTACCATCATACACTGCTGGTAGGAATGTAAAATGGCATAGCTGCTTTGAAAACCAGTGTGATGATTCCTCAAAAGGTTACACATCGAGTTACCCAGCAATTCCACTCTTAGGTACTTACCCAAGATAATTTGAAAACATATGCCCACAAAATGATCTCGCACATAAATGTTCATAGCAGCATTACTCGTAATGGCCACACAGTGGAAACCACCCAAATGTCCATTAACTGATACATGACTAAAACCAAACCTGGTGTGCCCATAAAATGGAATATTATCTGGCCATAAAAAGGAGTATTGATAGATTCTCCCACATGGGTGACCCTTGGAAACATTACACTAAATGAAAGAAGCCAGACACACAAAAGCCATCTACTGTATGATTACGTTTATACAAAATGTCCAGAACAGGCAAATCTATTCAAGACAGAAAGTATAGTAGGATTTGCCAGGGGCTGGGGGAAGAAGGGGAGAGGAAGTGACTGTTAATAAGTATGGGTTTCTTTCAGGTATAATGAAAGTGTTCTGAAATTAAATAGTGGTAATGGTTGGTTGCACAATTTGTGATTGTACTTACAAAAAATTACATACTTGGCTTGCATTAAATTTCTATTGGACAGCACTAATTTTAATGAGATAACTATTTTCTTTCCCAACTGTGATTAGTGATGGTATATAATCTAGCCAAAGCTAATCAACGTGGGGTGATTTTTGCCCCCATCCCCACCCCATGGGACCTGTGGCAGTGTCTGGAGACATTTTTGATAGCCACAACTGGGGTTGGGGTGAGGGGAAGAGATCGCTACTGGCCGGGGATGCTGCTAAACATCCTACAACCCACAGGCAGCTGCCCGGAACAAAGAATTATCTGGCCCACAATATTGTAGTGTGGAGGTTGAGAAACCCTGCACTAAAGGCTGCTCAGAGGATCCCTGCCCCAGCTACAACATCCTTTGCCCCAGCTACAACATCCTTTGCTCCATCTCTGCTGCTTTGACTTCCCAGGGGTCTGATTCAGGGTGTGGCCTTCTCAGAAGACTTTCTCCTGGAGTCCACCCCATCACAGTCCTCAGGCCAGGAACTCCTAGTGATTCTGTGGACTTGGAAACTTCCTAAGAAGAATCCTGAAAGGGCCCGGGGATTCTATAGTTGATTGGCTATGGAGTCTCTGACTCAGGCCTGACCTTCTGAGGCTTCTTGAGTCCCCAAGTGTGATACTCTCCACAAAGCTGGCTTCATGCCAGGTAGATTGCCATTTTTCTTGTTGTTTTCT
Source organism: Homo sapiens (assembly GCF_000001405.40). Classification (NCBI taxonomy): domain Eukaryota; kingdom Metazoa; phylum Chordata; class Mammalia; order Primates; family Hominidae; genus Homo; species Homo sapiens. The sequence goes on from NC_000018.10 coordinate 58,559,734, forward strand.
CTTCCACGTCAGATTTTCTAAGCCAAAGACAACTGGAATTTGCACAGTCTGCGTGAGGAATGGGCTGCTTCTCTGACACCTGAAGTAAAAACCCAACCAGGGATATCCAGACTTGCCTTCAAGCATGTTATTTTGAAATTACCTACTCTGTCTGTTTCTGATAACTGCTGTAACAAATGACCACAAATTTAGTGGCTCAGAACAACATAGATTTATTACTTTACAGTTCGGGAGGTCAGAAGTCCAACATGAATCTCACTGGGCTACAATTAAGGTGTCAGGAGGGCCATGTCCTTCTGGAGGCTACAGAGGAGTGACGTGGTTTGGCTGTGTCCCCACCCAAATCTCATCTTGAATTGTAACTCCCACAATTCCCACATGTCATGGGAGGGACCCAGTGGGAGGTGACTGAATTATGGGGGCAGTTCTTTCCCGCACCGTTCTCATGATAGTGAATGAGTCTCACAAGATCTGATGGTTTTGAAAACAGGAGTTTCCCTGCAGAAGCACTCCCTTTGCCTGCTGCCATCCATGTAAGACATAACTTGCTCCTCCTTGCCTTCTCCCATGATTGTGAGGCCTGCTCAGCCATGTGGAACTATGTATCCATTAAACCTCTTTTCTTCCCATTCTTGGGTATGTCTTTATCAGCAGCATGAAAACTAATACAGGGAGAGAATCCCCTCTGTCCAGCTTCTGCAGTTGGCCTGCATCCCTTGGCACATGGTCCTTTCTCGACCTTCAAAGCCAGCACAGTAGCATCTTCAAATCCTTCTCTGACCGATGCTCCTGTCTCCCTCTTCCACTTATAAGGACCCTTGAGACCAAGTGGGACCACCTGGGTCAAAGATAATTTCCCCATGTCAGGGTTGATAACCTCAATCACATCTGCAAAGTCCCTTTTGCCATAATTCACTTCAGTAACATATTCACAGGTTCTGAGAATCAGGATGTGGATGTCTTTGGAGGGAATTATTCTGCATACCATACTGTTACGTGGGCATGGGCAGTCTACTTCAGGGGGGCAGGGTCACTTAGGCACACTCTGCTGCCTTTGTTCCATAGGGAAAAGAAATAGGGTATTTTTGTTTTTCCAGAGTTGGAGAATTTGCCCAATCTGAGTTCTCAGGTAGTTAGATGCTGACTTTCCAGATCTAATTCTCAGCAGGCCTATGCCCCAGAATGGCCAGTGAGAGATTTACTTTTCCATTTTTATATCTTTGAATAGCTTCAAGTGAATTACTGTGATTGAGATTTTTTTTATTATTTGGGATTACAATGCTTCTGAAGTTGTCACACTTGCTGAGTTTAAATCCCCTCTAACAGGTAAACCTATCAGATTACATGACAGTGTTCAACTTAACATTTATTGAGATCTGTCAGATACCGTATGTGCCCAAGAAAGCTCAGCAGTGACCCACAAGGAATATAAAATCTAGCAGGGGAGATAAAGAAGTATACTGCCAATCTAACCCCAGTGTGATGTGCAGCAAAGGCTCTAAAGTCAGTAAAATAGCTTTAGGACTCTACTGGGGAGGGTGTGAGGAAGGGCTGGATGGTTATGCGAGGATGCTGAAATATTGAAAGGGTGATGAAATAAGCCACATTGGAACACTGGGCCTTCAGGAATGGGCCAGAATCCTTTAAGGTCAAATCTAAAAAGGGGTTGTCCTCAGTGTCCTGGAGGACAGGAAAACAAACCTTAATGGTAGGCATTAGGAAATTGTCTTAAAGATCCCGCCCCCAAAAGCAGACCCTGAGACAAGAAAGTGGATGCAGTTAGTTTATTCAGGAGATGATCCCAGAAAACATGGGGAGAAAGGGGGAATATAAGATGGAAGCAAAAACCACCAGGAAATGGGAATGAATGAATGACTGTGGGCTGCTGTGGACAACAGGGGCCTGATCACTGGGGATCCTCTAAAGAATCGTGTGATGAATGTCTTAGACTCACTCCACAGGAAGCTACGGAGTCTGGGACACTGTCTACCAACTCCCACCCCCATTGGTGGAGGACTTTCCTGACTTCCAGATCCACTTTCTGGTGTGGCCAAGCAACCTCCCAGCTCATGAAGTTCTCAGGCTGTGGGAGCTGTCAGGTGGTGGAAACTTCACCTGCAGCTGCAGGGAACCTAGGTGGACTGAGTAGCTATGGGGCAGGGCATTATCAGCACCTGCCTTGGGAGTAATTGAGTACTTTCAACAATCTGGATGCTGGGGCCAATCCATGGGGTTCTTTCCCCTGAGTTATTCTGACTACACTCAGTCAGCATTCAGTGATCATCCTCACCTTCACCCGCTTCAATTTGTGCTGTGTTGATCTGATTTTCTTATGGAGCTTGAGTTCCAGTTTTGTCACTTACAGATAGAGGTGCCCTGGGCATGTTAATTAACCTCTTTGAGCGTTATGGGCCAGCTCACAGTTTTGTTACATGGACTACCAGAAATGCCAAATGTTGGACATTAATATAGTACTTGGAACACACAAATATTCAATAAACAGTTATGATTTTGTGGATGATGGCAACACTTCTGTTTCTCTCTACCATCAGTGCAGACTTTTGACCTATAGAAGTTGAGATGATGATCTAAAAATTTACCTCCAAGATGGTTTCATTTTCAGTCTTTTTAACTATAGAACTGACTGATGTAATTTGTGACATACTGCTTATTTTTGGTAAGTAACAATTCCATTTCAGAAAAATGCCTTACTGAAGTGTCAGTTGGTGTCGTGCCATAAGCACAATATCAGCATCATTCAAAAGAACCTAGAGCCTCCCAGTGAATAGGCTAACCTCTGGTATAAATTAGGTACACATGGAAGCTATTTTTGACTACAGGGATGCCCTTTAGTGGTTCACTACATTTATGTACCAAATGGCTCCCAAATTACCTGGAGCTGTGGATGTAATTTCTGAGGGTGAATTTATGTCTCAGCTCAGGCTGCTATCACAAAGGGCCGTATATTGGGTGGCTTAAATAAGAGACATTTATTTCTTCTAGTTATGGAAGCTGGGAAGTCCAAGACAAGGTGCTGCTGATTGAGTTCTTGGTGAGGGTTCTCTTCCTGACTTGCAGGTGGCTGCCTTCTCGTTGTGTCCTCAGATGGCAGAAAGAAGAGAGGAAGCAAGCTCTCTGGTGTCTCTCCTTACAAGGGTTCTAATCTGGTCATGGGGCCCCAGCCTCATGACCTCATCTAAACCCGATTACTTCCCACAGACTCCACCTGCTAATAGTATCACATTGGAGGTTAGGACTTGGACATATAAATTTTTAGGGGTTACAAACATTAGCCCATAGCACCTTAGGATTACAGAGTGATGCTCCCCCTGGGGGAATTTGGCAGCTCATATAATACAGTCTTACCATATATGGTCCTAGAAATATAAGAAAGGAAATGATATCCATATCTATTGGCTCAATTTTTTTTACAACACTCATTTTTAGAGCCCTTGGACTTTTGAGGGGCTCCTATCTAGCATCTAACTTTCAATATCTGCTCATGATCACACTATTCCCTCAGTGATCAAAGAAAAACATTCTCTTGCTGGCTTTTCGTCTCTTAAAGGATTTTTAAAAGCTGTAGTATTATAATATGCATCCTATTTTTCCAGTAAAACAGAGTGGAGCTCATGTTGTGAAACAGCTAGAAAGGGGGAACAGAGACATTTTGTTTTTAAAACCATGAAATGTATTGTCAGTTACCTTAGGTAAGAGTGAAAGAAGTGACTTTGAGACTGACTCATTTAGGCTAGAATTGGTGTGAGGTATAAGGGCATTAAGCTGAGAAAATGACCAGGACTGTAGCTTTGGTTCTGCCAATAAACAAATGGTGTGACCACAGGCAAAGAGATTACTCTTTCTCTCATGAACCTGTAAGTTTCTCAAGGGAAGAAACAACATATATATTGCTTTGTAAATTGTTTCCAAGCATTTAAAAAATATCTTTAAATATTTTCAAGGCATGATTTTTAATGCCTGCATAGTCCAAAGAATATTGTACCATAATATATTTTACCATTCCTCCATTGTTAGATTGTTCTCAGTGTTTCATTATTGTGAACCATGCTACAATGAAAAGACTCTTGTCCCGATGGCTCTATTTATACTTCTGATAATTTTATTAGGCTAATTACAGGGCCAAAATTTACATGTTAAAGGATTAGTAAATATCACCAATTTGACATCCAGAAGGGTTGTACTAATTTGCACTCTTGCCAGCAGTGTAAGAGAAAAATCTGTTTCCATACAGTCTTATTAGCATGAAGTATCATCACATTAAGAACAATCTCTGAAAATTGAGAAAGGAAGGAAAGGAGGAAGGCAGAAAGGAATGGAGTTGATAAGTTTATGATGAATTTCATGAATTGCGTATTTGATGTCTTTGTTCTTTTTTTTTTTTTTTTGAGATGGAGTTTCGCTCTTGTCGCCCAGGCTGGAGTGCAGTGGTGCGATCTCAGCTCGCTGCAGCCTCTGCCTCCCTGGTTCAAGCGATTCTCCTGCCTCAGCCTCCCACATAGCTGGGATTACAGACATGCGCTACCACACCCAGCTAATTTTGTATTTTTAGTAGAGATGGGGTTTCTCCATGTTGGTCAGGCTGGTCTCCAACTCCCGACCTCAGGTGATTCGCCCACCTCGGCCTCTCAAAGTGCTGGGATTACAGGCATGACCCACCACACCTGGCCCTGTTCATTTTTTATTAAGCTATTCATCTTTTCTTACATCACTTTCTTTGTACATCACAAGTGCTTTTCTAAGTTTTTATTTGTTTTTAATATCAGTTTATGGTGGGGGTTTTTGTGCAAAATTCTTACATCATCAGGTTTTTTTTTTTTCCTTTTTGCTTAGACAGACTTTCCTTACCATGAAAGCCACAGTCTCTTCCACTTTGTTTGATATTTATTTTGGCAGCTGATGTAAAATTAGGGATTCACAGGACCTCACTGCCTCGGAAATTAACAGATCTTCATGTTTGACCCCTTCAGTTTACACTGAGGAAAGAGGCCCAAAGAGAGGAAAGGAAATTACCCAAGGATATACAGTTGGTTAATGGCAGAACCAGAACTAAAATCTAGCTCCCAGTTTATGTCTTCCTTTTTTAAAAAAAATTTTTTTAAAAGTTTTCAATATTATCAGTAAAAATAATTTCCTTAAACATTTAAAAACATTAATCACCCCTCCAAATGTTAGGTTCCTTGCTTCCCTCTCCAGAGTTAATCCTATCATTTGAATGTATTCTTCCAGATCTAAAAAATAATTTTATGTGTTTATATATGTATATACAAATAACATATACTACTATGGAATGGTTGGGGGGCATAAATTGTATCGTATTGTATGTATTATTCTTCAGTGTACCTTTCTAATTCTATGTTGTTTTGAAGCATCCATCATTTGAGCAGGCCACATTTTATTTAGCCAGTTACCCATGAACATTTCCTTAGAAACGTTTCCTTAGAAATAATTCTACAACACACATGATGTCACATGCTTCCTTGGGCCTTCATGCAAGCTTCTCTCAAGAGTCGATATTGAGAAGTGAAACTGCTGCATCATGGCTAATGCCCTTTTCAGTTTTAAGAGATTTTAAGAGATTTTTAAAGAGATTTTGCCAAATTAATCTTACTGGCAATGTACCCATTTCCTTATAATATCAGCTTGGTACTGTACTTTTAATTTTTTTATCTATCTGATGAAAGATGTTATATCTTTAAAATTTGTATTTTCCTAATTACTCATAAGGTTGAGCAACTTCTTGCATATTTATTGACCATTTATCTCTTCCATAAACTTTGTATATATTTACCTTTTAAAAATAATTCAATTGTTACGGATGTTTTATCTATTTGATTTTTATATACCCTGGAAATTAATCTTTGTCTATTACAATGTCCTACATAAAAAGTGTATCACTTTAATTTTCTTAGTGGTATTTTTGTTCTATAGAAAAATTTTAATTTGATGTAATCAAAATTATTGATATTTCTCTTTTTTGTTCCTTCCTTCCTTCCTTCCTTCCTTCCTTCCTTCCTTCCTTTCTTTCTTTCTTTCTTCCTTTCTTCCTTTCTTTCTCTTTTTTGAGATGGAGTCTTGCTCTGTCACCCAGGCTGGAGTGCAGTGGTGCAACCTCTGCCTCCCGGATTCAAGCAATTCTTCTGCCTCAGCCTCCCGAGTAGCTGGGACTACAGGCGTGCACCACCACGCCCCGGCTAATTTTTGTATTTTTAGTAGAGATGGGATTTCACCATATTGGCCAGGCTGGTCTAGGACTCCTGACCTCATGATCCACCTGCCTCGGGCTCCCAAAGTGCTGGGATTATAGGCGTGAGCCACTGCACCAGGCCTATTATTTTCCCAAGAAGATCTTATATCTCTCAAGATCATGAAAATCATTTTGAAAAATTTTTTCAGTACTTTATAGTTTTTTAAAAATTTTAACTCAGAGATCAAATAACATCAGTTTATTGGGGGTCCATTGTAAGGTACTGATATCTTTTCCATATGGTGGCTAATTGTGTCAGCATTGAAGCACTTGTCTCTTCCCTACAAGTTGAAAGACTATTTCTATCCATAAACCAAATTCCAGTATTGGATTCTGTACTCTTTCCTCAGTTTGGTTTATCTACTTATGTACGGCAACTCCCACACTATCTCATGACCACAGCTTTATCATTTGTCTTGATATATGATTGGGTTAGTTCAATGCTTTTTCCATCTCCTTTCAGAGATGCAAATTCATCTTCTATCATAGCCAAAGAAGACCAACAAAGACCAACAGAGGCCATGTCTCGCATTCAGCTCCAACAGCAGGCAGTAGATTTGTTACAGAGACTAAAACCCACCTTATTGCCAAGTGACCCTCCTCTCACCAGCCTCCCCTGCTGCCACCCAAATTCCTGCCACTGAACTACTCCTCAAAATAAAACACAGCTGTAAAATGCACACCTGTTTTGGATTAGTTACAATAAATCAGGATCTGTACTTATTTCAGTTCCCCAGACAGGTGAAGAACAAGCTGCGTTTATAGCAAGCCAACTAGAAAGCAGAAGAAAATTCCAGTCACGAGTTTTTGTTTTTCCTCTTAGGGCAAAGGAGGTTACACTTGAGGAGCCTAAATTTCTTGTTGTTTCCAAACTCCTGTGAGTCTTTACAGAAATGCCTCTAAAAGTTGTAGTATTCTCTCTCTAGATCCATCTAACTGAGCCCATGGTTTCCAAACTTTAATGCCCAAGAGAATCCTCAGACCGCATATTAAAAATGCAGGTTCAGGCCTGCATTTATTTCTCAGACAGCATATTAAAAATGCAGGTTCAGGCCTGCATTTATTTCTCAGACAGCATATTAAAAATGCAGGTTCAGGCCTGCATATTTTTTCACGGTGGCTCATGTCTATAATCCCAGCACTTTGGGAGGCCGAAGCAGGCAGATCACCTGAGGTCAGGAGTTCGAGACCAGTGTGGCCAACATGACGAAACCCTGTCTCTACTTAAAAAAAAAAAAGGCCGGGCGTGATGGCAGGCCCCTGAGGTCCCAACTACTCGGAAGGCTGAGACAAGAGAATCGCTTGAACCTGGGAGGCGGAGGTTGCAGTGAGCCGAGATTGCGCCACTGCAGTCCAGCCTGGGTGACAGAGCAAGACTCTGCCTCAAAATTAATAAAAATGCAGGTTCAGCAAGTCTGTGGTAAAACTTAGGGACCTATGTTGTTTTTTTAAACACGCACCTCATCAGGTGATTCCAATGCAAATAGTCCAGGCCCTCACTTTAAGACACTGCCCTGGGGACTCCAAGCAGAGTAGAACCACCTGAACACGAGACATCCAAATCCTTAGTGCAGGCTGTTTGCCAGGACATGTTTCTGTAATGAGTTAGCTCTGTGAGATCGGTCTACAAGAGAATGATGTCAGTATAACCAACACGTGGCATTGGTTCATACGCAGTTTTTCTTTGGCAAAGGGAACCAGAATAGCTGGAATAAATTACAGAAAATTGAGCAGGAAAACAAGCCTTTGACTCAGCCTCTGCATTGGCAGCAGGGGCCCTATTAAGTTGTATTTTAACAGAATTTCAAATGCAGCCTGCCCTCAGTGGTCCTCTCTCCTAAGAAGCAAACTCCAAGCCCGTGTGTCTAAGGGCAGGTTGAGTGGCGCCCCCAGACCCACTTTAACAGCAGCTTTGCTGGCTCAGAGACCCACTTCTGTCTTTGAGGTCTCCGCACCCTCAAGCTGGCTCCATCTGAAAGATCTCCAGCATCTCCACTCTGTTGTGTGTTTTTAATATCTGCCATGGTGGCCTCCTGCCAGCCTGGGCCACCTCCCTGGGCAGTCCAAGTGAGTTTCCCGGGCACATGTTTTGATTTTATTAGTTTCTGGTTTCAAAATGGTCTGTTTCCTAAGTGACCTCTTGGGGATGCTAATTTTCCCCAAAGCCCTTACACTTTAAGGGTGTGATTTTTCAGAATGTGAGGTGTTTCTGGGATGCATATATGGCACTAGGACAGGAACGCCTTATGTGTGAAGAATACCCATTGCCTCTGTTTGAAAAGTGCTATTGAATAACCTGATGCTGTGTTCCTTGGCTAAGATTGTGGGAAATCACGGGCAAGGACTCCCGAATCCCCAAGAAAGTACATCACAAGCTGTATAGCCTTTAGCTCTCTGCAGCCCTACTCAGGGGAGGTGGAACTTGGAACCCCCCAGGATTTAGCTCCATATGGGCTCCAGGACTCTCAACCACAGCTGTGCCTCAGTTACCCAGGGTCAGCTGGAGCTTCCATAAGGCACGCACGCCTGAGCTCTACCCTCGATCTATTGAAATAAGGACCTCCGGGGTGGGGCTTGTATGTCTGTATACAGTTAGCCTCTGTATCCGTGGGTTTTAAATTTGTGGATTCAACCAATCATGGACCCAAGAGATTTGGGGAAAAATTGCATCTTTACTGAATGTGTACAGACTTTTAAAATTGTTACTCTCAGCAATAGAGTATAACAACTATTCACGTAGCATTTACATTGTATTAGGTGTTATAAGTAATTGGAGATGATTTGAAGTGAACAGGAGGATGTATATAAGTTATTTGCAAATACTATGCCATTTTATATCAGAGACATGAGCATCCTCAGATTTTGGTATCTGAGGGGGGTCCTGGAACCAATCCCCTACAGATACCAAGAGACAAGTCTATTTAGAAGTTACAGGCTGGGCACAGTGGCTCACACCTGTAATCCCAGCACTTTGGGAGGCCAAGGCAAGAGAATCACTTGGGGCCAGGAGTTCGAGACCATCCTGGGCAACATGGCAAAACCCCATCTCTACTAAAAATAGAAAAATTAGCCAGGTGTAGTGGCATGTGCCTGTAGTCTCAGCTGCTCGTGAGCCTGAGGTGGGAGGATCACCTGAGGTCCAGGCTGTAGTAAGCAGTAACCAGGCCACTGCACTCCAACCTGGGTGACAGAGACCCAGTCTTGGGGGGGAGAAAAAGTTTCCATATGATTGTGTAGCTCAGCCAAGGCTCTCAACCTTGGAAGTATAGAGAATCACCTGGGAGCTTTTAGAGCTTCCAACGCCCACACTGCAGACCAAATCACATCAGAATGTCTGAGGGCAAAACCCAGGCAGCTGAATGTTCTAAAGCTCCCAGGTGATTCCATGCATAGCTAGGGTTGAGGGCTTGGCTTTGGGGTCTTTTCTAATCTGAGAAGGATCCTATACTCTGTGGACTGGGGCTATTGGAACTTCAGTGTGTGTATGAATCTCCTACGAGTCTGGTTGAGAATGCAGATTCTGATTCAGTAGGACTGGAACAGGGCTTCTGAGCCTGCATTTCTAACCAGCTGGTCCGCGGACTACACCAAGAGTTGCACAACTGCAGGCACTAATGACTCTTTATTGATTATTTAACCCTGACTGAGGATAATAACTGTAGTAAGCCAGGACATTAAACTGCAGGTCCAGGACAGTTAATGGTATTTGGCAGAAGTGGCACAGCAGGCTTTGTGATTAAAAAGAAAACAAATGTTTGTGTTCCTCCCTGGGTCAGCTAAGGAATGGTACTGACAAGAGGCATGCTGGCCACACTCTAAGAGATGAGTGACTAGAAACCTCCGCCCTTCTGGCTGGGCGCGGTGGCTCATGCCTGTAATCCCAGCGCTTTGGGAGGCTGAGGTGGGCGGATCACAATGTCAGGAGGTCAAGACCGTCCTGGCTAACATGGTGAAACCCCGTCTCTACTAAAAATACAAAAAATTAGCCGGGTGTGGTGGCGGGTGCCTGTAATCCCAGCTACTCGGAAGGCCGAGGCAGGAGAATTGCTTGAACCCAGGAGGCGGAGGTTGCAGTGAGCCGAGATTGCGCCATTGCACTCCAGCCTGGGTGACAGAGCGAGACTCCGTCTCAAAAAAAAAAAAAAAAAGAAAAGAAAAACCTCCGCCCTTCCCATCATCGGCTAAGATCTGGCTTATCAGCCCTCTGGAGTCATTGTTTTAATAGTTTTTATTTTGGGAGAATACAATTGAGTATGCAAATGAACTCAAGATCTCAGGTGGTTCTTAAATCCGAGCACTGTATTACAAGATGGTTTAGATCAGCTGCCTTGTATTTTTCTATGCCCTAAAAACATTTACTAGAGCCCTGTGATGTGCCCTGCCTGTTACTGGATGGCCATGCAGATTTTCAGGCTGCTGCATACTCTGCCTGTACCACCTGCCTAGTAACTAGCCTGAACTTAGATTAACATGAAGTTTCATACCACATCAGCTCAAATCTGCTTAGCATAGAAGAAGTAAATTTTCTGCTGATACTTAAAACACAACTGGGAATTAGTGGGCTATGGTGGCAGTTTGCCACCTTTGAAGGCATGAACTCTCAAGGTGTGAATACATACATCATTTAGTAGGAACTATTGGACTTGCACGTCAAGGCCTCTGTCTCTAGGTCTCTCTCTCACCCCCGGCTTTCTGTTTAAATCAGTCAATCCTCATATTGTGGGCAAATCCAGGAAAGACGGCACATCTAGACTTGCTCATTCTTTCCAAATAGCACATAATAGTCCTATTGATTAACTAAATGCCTCTTAGAAACCAAAACACCCTTGGTTTCTTCAACCTTTAGTTCAGCTGGGTTTGATCATCTGTTCAGTCCTACAGGCTGATGGGGGCACCTCTTTCCTGGCTATACGCCCAGCTCGTGGCTGCAAGGCTGATGTTTTCCTGGCCACTGGTAAAATCCCTGGCAAGAAAGTGACCAGAAGCTTTCCTCTGACCTCAAAGAGGAGATGAGACCCTGACATCTTTCTTTTTTTTTCTTTTTTTGAGACAGAGTCTCGCTCTGTGGCCCATGCTGGAGTGGTGCGATATCAGCTCACTGCAACCTCCACCTCCCACGTTCAAGCAATTCTCCTACCTCAGCCTCCCAAGTAGCTGGGATTACAGGCAAGCGCCACCATGCCTGGCTAATTTTTGTATTTTTAGTAGAGACAGGGATTCACCATGTTGGCCAGGCTGGTCTTGAACTCCTGGCTCAAGTGATTCACCCACCTCAGCCTCCCAAAATGCTGCGACTACAGGTGTGAGCCACCGCACTTGGCAAACCTTGAGAACTTACTGGGTGCCTGGCACTATGCTAAGTTCTCTTTTTAAACATAGTTACAAAGTCTTATCAATAAGTCGTGCTAGAAAAATTGAACATCCACAGGAAAAAAAAAAAAAAAAAGAACCTTAACCTAAACCTCATACTTTCTACAAAAATCAACTCAAAATGGATCATTGGCTTCAAATCTAAAACATAAAGCTATAAAACCTAGAAAAAGACCATAGCAGAAAGAAAATCTTCAGGATCCAGGGAAAGGCAAAGAGTTTTAGACTTGACACCAAAAGCAAAATCCATAAAAGGAAAAACTGACCATTAGACCTCATCAATATGAAAAGTTTTGCTTTGTGAGAGCCCACGTAAAGAAGATAAAAAGACAAATTACAGACTAGGAGAAAATATTTGGAAATCTTTAGGAGGCCGAGGTGGGCAGATCACAAGGTCAGGAGTTCGAGACCAGCCTGGCCAAAACAGTGAAACCCCGTCTCTACTAAAAATCCAAAAATTAGCCAGGTGTGGTGGCAGGCGCCTGTAATCCCAGCTACTTGGGAGGCTGAGGCAGGAGAATCGCTTGAACCTGGGAGGCGGAGGTTGCAGTCAGCCAAGATCGTGCCACTGTACTCCAGCCTAGGTGACAGAGGTAGACTCCATCTCAAAAAAAAAAAAAAAAAAAAAAAGGTGTGTAAACCAACAAAGGACTAGTCTCTAGAATGCATATAGAAGTCTCAAAATTCAACCATAAAATAACAGTCCAGTTAGGAAATGGACTTAACAGACATTTCCCCAAAGAAAATATACAACTGGCAAATAAATACATTTAAAAATGTTCAAAATTGTTAACCATTAGGGAAATGCAAATTAAAAGCTACAATGGGATATCACCACACACATATCAGAAAGTCCAGAATCAAAAATAATGACAATACCAAATGCTGGTGCAGATGTGGCGTAACTGGGCCCTCATACATTGCTGATGGGAATGTAAAAAGGTACAGCATCTCTGGAAAACAGCTGGACAGTTTCATTACAAACTAAATATGCAAGCCCCATATGACTCAGCAATGACTGTCCTGGGCATGGGTCCCATAGAAATGAAGACTTATGTTCACATAAAAGTCTGTATATAAATGTTTTAGCCATGAGAGCAAAAAACTGGAATCAGCCCAAATGTTCTTCAACCAGTGAAAGACTAAGCGAACTGCGTGGAATACTACTCAGCAATAAGAAGGAATGAACTTTTGATACACACAAGTTGAATGAATCTCCGGGAATTCTGCTGAAAAAAAAACTCAAAAACTTGTATACTGTATGATTCCATTTATGTAACATGTTTGAAATGACAAAATTTTAGAATTGGAGGACAAAGTAGTGGTTGCCAGGGGCTACCAAAGGGAGAGGGCAGGAAGGAGGTATGCATGGTTATTAAGGGTAATGCAAGGGATCTTTGTGGTAATGGAATTGTTCCGTATCTTGACTCTGGTAGTGGATACAGGAACCTACGTAGGTGATAAATGTCTGTAGATCTTAATACACACATACGAGTACAACTGGGGAAATCCAAATTACATCAGTAGATTGTATCAATGTCAATATCCTGGTTATGACATTATACCATTGTTTTGTAAAATGTCACCATTGAGGGAACCTGGGCAAAGTGTACTGTCATCTCTCTCTATTTCTTACAACTGCATGTGAATGTACAATTATCTCAGTAAACATTTCAATTAAAAAACATGTAATAAAACCGTTTGTAAATGGTATCTAGATCTGCTAATGAATTCTCTTAAAAACATTATACTTAGTGTATTCTGTTGCTTTATGTTTAATTTTAAATTGAGCATTAAGGGAATGCAGCATTATATATGTATATGTGTATATATATGTGTATATATGTATATATATGTGTATATGTGTGTATATATGTGTATATATGTATATATGTGTATATATATGTATATATGTGTATATATGTATATATGTGTGTATATATATGTGTGTATATATGTATATATGTGTATATATATGTATATATATATGTGTGTGTATATATATATGTGTGTGTATATATATATATGTGTGTATATATATATGTTTTTTTTTTTTCAGAGACAGGGTCTTGCTATGTTGCCCAGGCTGGTCTTGAACTCCTGGGCTCAAGCGAGTCCAACGGCCTTGGATTCCCAAAGTACTGGGATTACAGGCATGAGCCCCTGCACCTAGCCAGGAATGCAGTATTTTAATTGGAACTCTGCCAACACTTTTATCTAGAGGCATGTTGCCATTTTTGTCTTCTTTTTTTTTTTTTTTTTTTTTTTTAGTATTTATTGATCATTCTTGGGTGTTTCTCAGAGAGGGGGATGTGGCAGGGTCATAGGATAATAGTGGAGAGAAGGTCAGCAGATAAACATTTTTGTCTTCTATAAAACTTTTGTCCCAAGAAAGTCAGGATTACAAAGAATGAGGATGAGAATGTCATGCGTTGCTCTGAAAGAAGAAATTGTAGTTAGGGATGAGAAAAGCAACTTGAAGCACCATGCAAGATCTCAGTCTTGAAGCAGCAGGTAGGCTGAGCTAGAAACAAGGTGGGCAAAGGAATTCCAGACAGAAAGATGGACCATCCACCACATGTTTTCCAGGTGAGGAAACCAGCTTGTACTCCTGCTTTGCCTCTCAGAGATAGACAGAGGCAAAAGGCAGAAAATCCTGAGTGCTAGGTGAATATGATAGTATCTTCCTTGATCTAATTAGCAATTTTTTGGAGATAATGAAGCACTAATAAAGCAAAGTTATATGTAAATCTCCAGCATTCACAAGAGAACCCAAGTGCAAGATTTGGATGGTGCTGGTTGCGGCAGCTCACGCCTATAATCCCAGCACGTTGGGAGGCTGAGGCGGGGCGGATCACAAGGTCAGGAGTTCGAGACCAGCCTGACCAACATGGTGAAACCCTGTCTCTACTAAAAAAAAAAAAACAAAAATCAGCCGGGTGTGGTGGGGCGCACCTGTAATCCCAGCTACTCAGGAGGCTGAGGCAGGAGAACCGCTTGAACCCAGGAGGCGGAGGTTGCAGTGAGCCAAGATCATGCCAGTCTGGGCAACAGAGTGAGACTCCATCTCAAAAAAAAAAAAAAAAAAAAAAGATTTGGATGGTTTAGAACAGGGGTCCCCAACCCCCAGCCCCAGGCCATGGACCGGTAACTGTCTGTCTCCTGTTAGGAACTGGGCCACGCAGCAGGAGGTGGGTGGCAGGACATGAACCCAGTTGTGAATGGTGCATACAAGGGATCTAGGTTGCACAGTCCTTACGAGAATCTAATGCCTGATGATCTGAAGTGGAACAGTTTCATCCTGAAACCATCCCCGCCCCGTTCCGGCTGTGGAAAAATTGTCTTCCGCAAAACCAGTCCCTGGTGCCAAAATGTTTGGGGACTGCTGGTTTGAAACAAACCAACCCATTCCCAGAGCCAAAAGAGTAACTAATAGGAAGCACGTCCTATTAGCAGAGAGTTGGCCTCAGCATCTTTTATGTGAAGGCAACCAAAGAATGTGCTCAGGAAAATAAAGGCCATAAAGTGGTGGAGACCAACGATCATTAGAATCACACCTAACTGGCTGGGCATGGTGGCTCACGCCTGTAATCCCAGCACTTTGGGAGGCCGAGGCAGGTGGATCACCTGAGGTCGGGAGTTTGAGACCAGCCTGATCAACATGGAGAAACCCCATGTCTACTAAGAATACAAAATTAGCCAGGCATGGTGGCCCATGTCTGTCATCCCAGCTAATCAGGAGGCTGAGGCAGGAGAATCACTTGAACCTGGGGGGCAGAGGTTGCGGTGGGCCGAGATCACACCATTGGCCTGGGCAACAAGAGTGAAACCTCGTTTCAAAAAAAAAAAAAGAAGAAGAAGAAAGAAAATCACACCTAACTATACTTGGCATTTACTCTAGTATTGTATGGCTACTTATCCAGTCAATAATTGATTGTCTATTACACGGCAGGCACTACTCTAGGGACTTGGGTTATATCAGCGAACAGAATACACTGAACAAATTCCCTTCCATCACGGAGCTCAATTCTGTGCTTAGTGCTGATTCCTGATCAGGAAGATTCTTAATTACCAGAGCCCAAGAACACATTTCCTTACTGTACACTTGTGATCCCATGACCCCATACAGAAATGCAACTCCCTCTGGGGCGAACCTGGGCAGCTGTGCAGGAGCACAGACGCAGCACTTCTGATTTAAGGGTGAGGATGATCTTACCCTAGTGTGGCTGCCGAGAAACTTAAGATGGGCAGGCTGTCAGGCCTTGCCTCTGAGTTGGATGAGGAAAGTGAGCTCAAAACCAAGGTGAAGAGTTGGCAGTGTGACCCTTGAAGATGATTCAAGTTAGCCTGGGGTACCCTCTCTGTTTTCCACTCCCAAACTGGGATTAACTTTATAATCTTCCATAAATATAGAGAAACTGGGGGCTTTCCAATATTAGCCTGGGTAGGTACTATTTCAAGACAACAGCAAGATGGCCTTGCATTCTAAAAGAGAGAAAGGGAGACAGGAAGTGAACATACCTAGAGATGCATGTTTAGGCAGGAGATAGTCTACAATATGGCCTTGTTCTTAGAACATTAGAGAGATGGAGTTTTTCTCAGCATGCTAAAAACGGTATGCAGATGAAGAGAAAATACTAGGAAGTAAACTGCTGGTCACTGTTTCTGCAAAAAGGCACCTAAAGGTAAGTGAATCAGGCAAGACTCAAGAATGGGCAAATTTGACCGAGCGTGGTGGCTCATGCCTGTAATCCCAGCACTTTGGGAGGCTGAGGTGGGTGGATCACCTGAGGTCAGGAGTTCGAGACCAGCCTGATCAATATGGTGAAACCCTGTCTCTACTAAAAATATGAAAATTAGCCAGGTGTGGTGGCGGGTGCCTGTAATCTCAGCTACTCAGGAGGCTGAGGCAGGAGAATCTCTTGAATCTGAGAGGCGGAGGTTGCAGTGAGCCGAGATCGTACCATTGCTCCAGCCCAGGCAACAATAGCAAGACTCTGTCTCAAAAAAGATAAAAGGAAAAAGAGTGGGCAAATTTATTGCTATGACTACCAACCCAGGATTTTAACCATTTCAAATTTTTAGGTCCCCATAAACCTCAAATGTCTGAGAATAAATATTTAAAATGTCTTTTGAATTTGTTATGGAGAGAGTCACCTATCTTTTTGTGAACAGTATTATTTTTAAAAGTTGAATTTAATTCCCAGTGACCCCCAGTGCTTCTGTGTCATATCTGTGATGATAGTTAGCCACTTGCTGTAAATTTGGCTACATTGTATACGTGTGTAGAAAATACAGGTATCTCCTACAACTAAATAGAAACTTTTTGCGTGGGTAAAAGAATCTCAAATATGCCAGTCCCTGTGGCAAAATTTTCCTGCTTTACTCAAAGGAAAATAAACACCACAGATAGAAAGATCGTATTTCTAACTCCAGGCTGCACGGAACTGCTCTTAAATGTACAGCTTCCATTCACATTTCTGGTTATCCCTTGAGTGAGAGGTCAGCTCTGCTACTGACCACAGCAAAGTGAGAAAAGGTCTCTCCACTTGCAGAAAATGCAAGCCCTTCGGTTTGCTTTCTGAACAACAGTGTTCACGGTTCTGAGGTAATTGCCTTAGTCACACCACAGCGCACAGGTTGGACCTTCAGCTGATACCTGGTGGAGTGGGTATATAGTGATGAATGTGTGTGTGAGTGTGTAAGCGAGACCTTCCATAGAGTACATGAGATAGATGACCTGGGTCCCAGAAATGGCCCATTTTACTTGACTGACTTGCTAGTAAACAAGTGAGCCAGGGCTCTCGATCTCAGAATTCAGTTTAGGTCACAAGCTGAGGATGACAGAGGGGGCTCTTCCCTCCAGCTCTTTGAAATTTGGGGCAGATGGATGAGACAGCAATTGCCTTCCACAATGGTGGATCTAAAACCAATATCGTCAGTAAATAGGTAAATAGCCCCCTTCCCTTCCACTTCTTTTGAGCTACTTTATCACCTTCCCCCACCTTCAATAATAAAGTAATTTGTCCAGTGAAACACTTTGAGTGGATAAATGACTGTAAAAAAAGCACTTAGCTGAGCACGGAAGAGCATTTTATGACTAGAAAAGGAAATGCCATGTTTATCAACATGAAAAAATTAACATTGTCACTTTATTTTGTATTAACATATGGTCAAAGCACCTCCCTAAGCTTATCTTGGGCATGAAACTGTGGTCATTGGTGTGTGAGCTGCTAAGAGACATGTGTTAAATAACTGGATAGGAGAATCTGGTTCTCCTGTGAAAAGTAAAATATAAATGTGGCTTTTACCTGGCCAGTTTGGCCAGCAGAACAGAACAATTTGCTCAATCAACAGTTACCTAAAATCTGGAGATTTTTAGATTGGCTTTTTTATGACTGGGTCTATAGAAATTCATGTGTCAATTTTTAATATTTTCACAGAGTTAAGTCACTTTGCATTGGGAATATTTTATCTTTGGAGTGTATCTAGTCTTCTATAAAAATAATACTAGTTTTCTAGTACAAAATTGGGAAAAAGGGGAATACAAAGTATAGTAAAAATAACAGACAAATAAGTTTTCTTAGGTATTTATTTACAAAACTCAAATCTTGCCCATATTACAGCGTAAGTCCAAAGCTCATTTGGGACCCTTTGAAACTGAAAATATCATTAAAAATATAAGTTATGTATCAAGCACAACATCTTTTGTGCATTGATTATTCCTATAAATTTAATTCCATCTCTTTACACTCCCAAATCAGTAATAAGGGAAAACAAATTTATTTCTTGGCAGCTTTTTTTCTCTTAGCCTCTTTTATACTCTGTTTTAAACAAAATAAGACAAACATCCAATCAAAAACATCCCACCAGTGAGGCAACAGTTAATCTGCCTGCTTTCCCTAGCATCACAAAAAAAGTGAAGTCTACAAGTCTTTCAGACACACTGAAGTCTTTCATTCATACCACAAATTCTGATTAAAGCCAAGACCTATCATTTTCAAAGCACTTCCCTGCAAATGACTAAAAACAATGTTTTTTTCCCCCTTCTTCCTTTAAAGGCTACACCCAAAACATTTGCTTGAGAAACTTTCTGAATAGTGGCATTGCCTGGTAAAACACATGCAGCAGACAAAATATCAGATTTCTTTTTCCAGCTGTCCAGAATCCCATTAGTGCCTCTTAACTTCTATCAGTCTTTTGCTATAATTAGGATGGCTTAGGGTTTATCTGGGCCTTTTTTTCAAAACCAGATTTCCTTCCGAGCAGCAGCAGCTGTCATGCACAAGTACCCTGATGGTGTTGGGAAACTTATTTTGATTTACATTATGGTATAGCAATTGTGAATGTGAAGTAAAGGAAGAGACACACACACACACACACACACACACACACACACACACGGTTCTTTTTATCTCGTAATTTCTTTAAAAGAAAAGTCTTACCTGAGGAGGATCACTCCAGTCTGGAACCTGGCTTGTTTCAAATAGAGTATTAACTTGCATGCCTTCTCCCTTGCAATTTGTGTTGCCTTCTTTGGAGACTGAGTCTGTTGAAGTTTGAAGGGTTTTTGCTTCTTGCTCTGCCTGGGTTGAAATAGCACATTCTCTTGCATCAGCATGGGAACTCCGACCAGTCGCTGCTGCTGTGGTGTGAGAAGTCTCTCTTTTATCACTCTGGGTTAGTGGGGGCTCAGCAGATTCTTTGGCAGAGCAGAGATGAAGGGTACCTTCTGTTGTACTTTCTCTCAGGTTGGCATTCGGCTTCTTGGGATTTCCCTTCATTCCCGGCTGCCTCACCCTGGCAGATTTCCTTGAACCCCTCTTGCTCCATAAGTCCTTTCCCCCCACTCTCTTGTCAGCTGCCGTCTCCCAACACTGGCTCATCCCTGAGTTTTCTGACTCACCAGACAAGAGCTTCATCTCTGTCTCTCTTACTGATTCATCCATGTTGAGCAGATTGTCACTGGCAAATTCCTCTCTTGCTTGGTGGCTGTCTCTGGTTTCTCCTTGAATTCCTGGATAATCATTTTCAGCAGCCTCGGGAGCAGTGGGGAGTTTATATCTCCCCTGTTCTGTCACTGAAGACGTTCCATCCTGGTGAGGTCCCAAAATGAGAGTCATCCCTGTTTGTGGGGATGAGGGACCGTGCTTGGAGACTCTGCTGCTCCTCACCCCAACTTCTTGGGGTTGTGAGTGATGACCACAGAAGCCAGCAGTGGCAACCATAGGCCCAGCGTCACCCGACACCCGAGACCCACAACCCATTCCACTGAGGAAATGCTCACACCCACCCAGGCAATGCTCACCGAATTCCATCTCTTCGTCATCGCTTTCTAATAAAAAAACATGCTCAGTCCCCAGCAGGTTCCTTTGCCAAACTGCATTAGAGTAATCCGTCATAACATCAGAACATTCCAGATACTCCAGGTCATCATCTGAAAACTCCTCGGTGTAGGTTAGGGTTATCTCTGGGCAAAGTTCATAGTCACTGTCAGAGTCTTCACTGGAAAGCTGTGGGCTGGGTTGTTTGTTGGCCACGGCACTGTCACCTGGGTAAATGTGTGCAGTTGCCTCAGATAGCGGGAGGCTGAAGCTAATGTATTTCTGTACTTTGGGATTTTGCTGACTAGAGCGTAAGCCTTCATCATGAGGACCATCATTGTTCAGGTCACCATCCGTGAACTTTGATGCCATGGAATGCACTGTCTTGTGGCAACATCTGTCTTGTTTTTCATAAATATGACTTGAATTAAGAAAAAGCAACCCATTTGCAATTTCTTCTGTGTTACTTGGATCATAAGCCTCTCCAGTGTGCCTTGTTCCTTTAACACCCAAAGGATTTTCAGAACTGGACACACTAATGTCAAGATTGCCCAATGACTGGAGGGAGAGTGAATGGTTGGATTTGGAGGGGGAGGAGTCAGCTGACCTGGGAGTGCCCGGGGAGATGCTTTCTTCTTCCTTATAAGGATGTTCCTTCTCATCAATCTGATTTGCCCTTTCTTCTTCATGTGTCCCTGTTTCATGTTTCCAACCCCTGTCCCTGTCATCTTCCAGGTTAGGAGACAATTGTGGGTTCTCTGATGAGCACTCAACCTCAACGGAAGCAGAACAACAGATCATTCCAAAAGAGTTTTTAGCCGAGATTTGATAGACAGCAGCATCATTTTTGGTACAGCTAGGATGAAGAGAATATATAGATAAGTTTGCCACATTTGGACATGCATGCCAACATTTTCACACCATGGCACACAGAGAAAATGACCATCATTTTACTGCATGTTCAAGGAGATCTGTGATCTCCCTGGAAAAGAGTTTGTGGCCAAAGGCAACTGACCTCTGGGCTCCGGTGCCCCTAGTGCTGAGAATCCTAGGCAATCAGCATCCTCCCTTGAAACTTTCCTCAACGCTGCCTCAAATGGAAAATGCTGAGGATTGCACCATGACAGTTTACAAATGCCATGGCAGGGTCAGGACATTACCTTATATGGTCTAAGAGGGGGAGAAACCCTCAGTTCCAAGAATTGCCCACCCCTTTCTTGGAAAACTCATGAATAATTCCACCCCTTATTTAGCATATCATCAAGAAACAATCATAAAAATGAGCAACCAGCAGCCCTCAAGGCTGCTCTGCCTATGGAGCAG
The DNA here is from genome assembly GCF_000001405.40 of Homo sapiens. Taxonomy (NCBI): domain Eukaryota; kingdom Metazoa; phylum Chordata; class Mammalia; order Primates; family Hominidae; genus Homo; species Homo sapiens. The sequence goes on from NC_000018.10 coordinate 58,581,016, forward strand.
CCATTCTTTTATTCCTTCACTTTCTTAATAAACTTGTTTTCACTTTAAAAAAAAAAAAAGAATAAAATGCTGAGAATTACTTAGATGAATGGGGAAAATGTTTTATATTCTAATTTTTTCTTCTTGCCTTTTACATCATTTTTATGTTACGGGAATTTGAAAAAGCATTTTTCTAGAGTGAGACATTGTACACAAATAAGTAAAATACAATTCTTCATGTACTGGAATGGCATAGAGAACCCTCAAATCTTTTGAAGACCTTGCTAAGAGGGTGTCATTCTTGCTAGAGGCCGTAAAGATAATACCATGATAGGACTACGTATATGAAGGACAGTGCTGTTTCCTTTTTAATTGAATGTGACTAAAAGTCTAAACCACAGCCCGTGAGCTCCACTGGCTGGAAACCCATGTCCACAGGCCATTCTGACTCACATAGATCAAGCCAGGTTTTCAGCTTTGGCCCAGCAGGGGAGGAACAGAATGCTGGATGGAACGAAGCCTGCTCTCTCAGTTCAGGATGGACGCTGCTCCTGTGGCTCCTCCCATCATTGTTCAGCATCACAAGGAGCCTGCAGCCTGACATACTTTACTGGGTCCTTTCCCACTGGAACTCTTCTCCAGACACTGCAATCCCAGTAAAAACTTGTTACCTGTGTTTTGTATGTTGCACCCTTATTAATCTCATTTGACCGCATTGTAATTGTAATATTGCTGACCTCACTATAAGTATCAGCCAGCCCAGAAGTCAACAATCATTTTTAGAAGGCAGGAGCTGTGGGTCTGGCTTGGTCTGAGAGGCAATGCTTAGGTCTTTATTCACTGTTCTTTGTGTGAAATACACACAAATATCTAACCCAGGAAGGGTCAGTGTGAGACACAGATATAATATGGTCATCCTTTCTCTTCCCCACTGAAGGGACCCCTTGCCTCCACAATCCTATATGTCCTCATAAACCCTCAAGTGTTGAGTCCCAGCTCACATATGTCTCATTTTCAGAAGGCAAAGACATCTAATCCCAATTTCAATAATGTCTTGTTGAGTTGGCAATCTGGCTCTTGGGTAGAAGCCATTCAGGAGCGGCTGAGATTGGCCAAGCTTGACCCATGGCTGATACTGGGCTTTGCCTTGGCCAAGAGCACACATAGAATAAAATTTAAGGCAACTTTCTGGAGAAAACAATACCTGCGCTCCTGTCTATTTCACTAAGTTATTCTGACTTTGCAAAGAAGAAATGTTATACCAGACGAATTCTTCAAGAAGGGGGCAGTACCGAGACAAAGATATCTCTGGTGCTGAAGAATCATGCAGAAGAATCATCAGAGAACTCTGTTTAAAATTCTTGAATCAGAATCCCTAGGTCAAGGGCCTGAGAATCTGCTTTTAAAGATCTCAAAGCCATTCTGATGCAAATTGTCCTTGGCCTACCCTTGGAGACAGCCTCATCCTCATCACTGTCAATCAGGCTTAGGGCTCCGCCATTCAAGCGGACTCTTCTCAGATGAAGAAAAATGTCTATTGCTGCAGTTTCATGTCATCCAGATTGTTGGCGAAAAAAAAAAAAAACTGTGAAATATTTAAAGAGATTTACTTTGAGCCAAATATGAGTGACCATGGCTGGGGCACATCCTCAAGGGGTCCTGAGAACAAGTGCCCGAGGTAGTCAGTTTTACAGTTTGGTTTTATACATTTTAGGGAGACAGAAGTTACAGGCAAAGCATAAATCAATACGTATAAGGTGTACGTTGATTCAGCCCAGAAAGATGGGACATTTTGAAGTGGGGGGTGGGGGCAAGATTATAGGTCATAGGTAGATTCCAAGATTTTCTGATTGGTAATTGGTCAGAAGAGTTAAGCTTTCCCTAAAGAGTTGAAGCCAGCAGAAAGAAATTGTTGAGTTAAGATAAGTGGGTTGTGGAAGCCAAGGTTCTTGTATGTAGAGGCAGCCCCTAAGTAGCAGGCTTCAGAGGGAATAAATGGTAAATGTCCTCTCTGGACCTTAGAAGGTGTCAGATTCTCTCCTGAATCGGGAAAAGACCTGGAAAGGGAAGGAGAATCACTACAGAATGCAGATTTCCTCCCACAAGAGTATGGCTTTGCAGGGCCATTTAAAAATATATCAAAGAAATATATTTTTAGAGTCAAATACTCTGATTTTCTTTAGGACCTGCTCTTTGTGATGTGATGCTATACCAGAATCAGGTTGGAGTTGGGTATCTTCCTGCTACAGAGTCTGCTGTGAGTCTTATGATCTCTATTTTAATGTCAGTGGTGGTCAGTTATGCCTAAACTACAAAGAGAGGAGGGTATAATGAGGCGCGTCCAACACCCTTCCTGTCATGGCCTGAACTAGTTTTTTAGGTTTCTTAGGGATCCCCTTGGCCAAGGGGTGTGGGGGCAGTGGTGCAGCTTAGAATTTAATTTTTGGTTTACAACACTGTCTTCTTCATGAACCTTTTCAATTAATTCTTGGAGATTTGGCCTCCATTAAGCACTGACAGCATAAAAAAGCACTACAAGCTGAGCACAGTGGCTCACACCTGTAATCCCAGCACTTCAGGAGGCTGAAGTGGGAGAATCAGTTGAGCCTATGAGTTCAAGACCTGCCTGGGAAACATGGCAAGACTCCATCTCTGTAAAAAATTTAAAAATTAGCCAGGCATGGTGATACACACCAGTAGTCCCAGCTACTCCAGCCTGGATGGCAGAGCAAGACTTTGTCTCAAAAAAAAAAAAAAAAAGAAAGAAAGAAAAAGGCGGGGGGGCTGTGGCAGGGTGGGCAATAGGGACTACTGGGAAATCCCAAGTAATTTTGATATCCTGACCTATCCAGTCCATGAGCCCTCTGCAGAGAAACCACCTCCCCTGAAGGTACCATGACTTGTGTAGAAGAGAGAGAAAGGAAGAAAAGAAAAGAAGGCTGAGAGGCACAAGGGGCAGTAAAGCAGTAAGAAATCAGGAGAGGTGGGGAGCAGAGATGATTCTCAAGAATCAAGGAGAGAAAACAAAAAGACTTTTAGAAAAACATGGAGAAAATCATTGAGTTAAATACACTCTATTTAAATTCTTAACAACTAAATAAACAGATGGGAGATTGTCATAATTTTGTGATGTATAATTTTATGAAACATGTTTTAGTTGATAAGAGATTTATAATCCATCCTAAGTACAGTCAATGAAGAGAAAAGGGAACTGGATTAAGTATAATTAACTTCTCACTGGCTAATGAGTGCCTTTGAAAGAGTTATGATTTGTGGCTGACACGTCTTTGCTAATTATCTCGAAGCATCCTAAAGAAGAGGGGAAGAAAATCGGGCAAGGAAGCCAGCATCTGCTGGGTGACTCCTACATTAAACAATGTCTGCCTCCTCCCTGTGGGCAAAACTGAGGTTGAAAGGAGTTATTTCCCCAAAGTGACAAAGCTGGAAAGCCATAGAGCCGGGATAAGAAAGAGCCTTCTGCCCTGGCTGCCTGGCTCTGTGGTTGCTGTTAGAAAACTAACATTACCAGAAAGGAAACGACACAGTGTAGAGATCATTCTGCAAATAAAGTGTTTCTGTCCTAAGTCTTCAATCTTGATCAGCCAAATGGCAGACTTGCATAGAGTAATGGGCACCGTGGTGCCCAGCATTATGTTAGGAGCTGCAGTGGAGTGAAGGAGACGCCTGAAACATCATGTCCAGCCCCCAAATGACTAAAAATTGACTGAAGGAAATAGTATTACTTTCCCAGAGAACCTTGTAGATCAGGTCTGTGCTAAGGTGTACAGAACAGACTGGATGGGAAAAAGGAGTTCAGAGAAGGGACTCCAATGGTAGCAGTTAAAATGGTGTTAGTAGGGTCAGGGTGTAGAATCTTTGCAGCATGCTGGCAGAGAGACCTGTGTGCCCCACAGTGATTTGACAGGAATGCAAAACCATCCAGGAAGAAATTCCCTGAACAATTAATTGAATTCCCTCCTTGCATGTCTTTTCTTTTGGCGGAGGGAAGCAGTAACATTCCTCTCCCCTGCTGTGAAAGTCTTGCTTGAATTCTCTAGGTTCTTTATAAATTAATCATTTCCTTATTAAAGAAAAAGAGGTCCATGTTACCTTGAATGAAGCTTCTGAGTTTGAACCCCCAGAAGTGGTCTAAACCAGAATTTCTGAAAACATTTTGGTTTCAAGACTCTTTAACACTCTTAAAAATAATTGAGGACTTCAAAGAACTTTTGTTTATATGGGTTATATCTGTCAATATTTACCACATTACAATAAAAAATTTTTAACTATTTAGTTCATTTTAAAATAACAAGAATAAATTCATTGCACATTAGCATAAATAATGTTTTTATGGAAAACAAATATATTTTTCCAAGGCAAAGCAACATTTCATAAGAGTAGTTTTAAATTTTTTCATATATCTTTAATATCAAGCTTAACAGAAGATGGTTGGATTTTTGTATCTGTGCATTCAGTGTGATACAATACATGGTTTTGATTAATATATGTAGAAAAACTGGCCTGACACATCAATGTATTGGGAAAGAAGGAATATTTTAATAATCTTTTCATCTGATTGAAAATATTCTTATTTGATATATACGAAGATTAGTTACAATGTGGAATCTGAAACCACATCAGTGAACTTTCCATACTTGTTATGTAAAATCCACCATTCTATGTTGCTTTTTTTTTTTTTTTTTTTTTGAGACGGAGTCTTGCTCTGTCTCCCAGGCTGGAGTACAGTGGCACCACCTTGGCTCACTGCAACCTCCACCTCCAGGGTTCAAGTGATTCTTCTGCCTCAGCCTCCCAAGTAGCTGGGACTATAGGCATGCACCACCATGGCTGGCTAATTTTTGTATTTTTAGTAGAGACGGGATTTCACCATGTTGGCCAGGCTGGTCTCAAACTCCTGACCTCAGGTGATCTGCCTGCCTTGGCCTCCCAAAGTGCTGGGATTACGGGCATGAGCCACAATGCCCAGCCCTATATTGCATTTTAAGTGCATCTTTTACCCATGCATGATTTTGTAACATCACACATTGGTCATTTGGAAAAACTTGGCTCATGATATCTTCCAAATATTAATACATTTTATTAAATAATACTTTTTAAAACCACGTTGTTTAATATTATCACTGATCTTATCAGAATAATTTTTAAATATTATAAACTGTTAAGCTTTTGATGAAGGGCACAAGCTTTCCAAAATTCTACTTAGGGAAATAATATGAATGTTAATTTATCAGAGAACAGTGTAAATCAAATCTGTGCTAAGTTGTATGGTAGAAAGTAGAAGCATGGAGGATATGAGCTAGAAGTTCAGAGGAAGGATCCCTGAAAATTCTCACCTCTGTAAATGCAACAAGAACACTGGCAAAACTTGTCTGAATCAACTTTTTCAGGGCTCTGAAAATTAAAGGCAATCTGGGGAGCCTTTATTCGAGAAAAATGGCTGAATCTCAGTAAGAACAGTTTTCTGGTGCTTTAACCTGCCCTAGTTCTATTCCCCCATAACCAGCTCCACAGTAGTCTTGAAAACCAAGACTCCACAACCACAGTGAAAACCAGTAGCCTGGCAGCAGCTGGAGGGGGCAGGACCCAGTTGGGGCTCCTTCAAAGCCCCATACCCAGAGAGTTGTCATTATTTGACCTGCCTAGTAATTCCCTGGAAGACCCCACTCACAAGACTGTTTTTGTGTGATCTGACTTAGAGTTCACCCAGCAAAAATATCTTTTTCCCTAGGGGCATTTGTAAAAAAAAAAAAAAATTATACAGACAATTGTTTAACACCATGGCTGCTTGAGGCAGTAGATTACAATTGGGTTAAACAATAGGGTAACCAAAAAGCTTAAAAGGGAAAGCTGGGAATGAGATGCCCATGGGGTCATTGAAAAGCTGAGACATTCTCCTGGGGATCTAGGAGGCCATGCACATGCATAAGGCTGTGAGCAGCCTTCCTAAGCATGTCCAGTGCATGTGCTTACGAAAGACCTGAGAAAATTCTGAGCTCGCAGCTCTAACTGACCTTAAGGCTCTCTACTAGCAGGAAGTGAAGGCTAAGGCAGAGTTGTCAATTGCCTGGCTGAGTGTGAAAGCATGCTTCATACCTCAACATGCACACACAGCCCCTCAATAAACTGGGAGACCCATTGGTTCCAGGCATCTAAGGAAATCTCTGTCCAGTCATTAGCTGACCACTAAGCTAACTCAGTAGAAACTTCAGGGGTCACAGACAACAAAGAATTAGTTCAGAAAAGTCACTAAGCAAGCAAACAACAACAATAAGCCCTGGGAATGTGGGAGAATCTCATTTCCAGAGTTGCCACGTTACATTGTTTAAAATGTCCAGTTTTCAACAAAAATTATGTGACATGCAAAGAAACATAAAGTATTGCCCATACACAGAAAAAGCAATCAATAGAAACTGTCCCTAGACTTGCTAAACACAAACTTTATCTATTTTAAATATGCTGAAAGAACTAAAGAAAACCATGTCTAAAGAGCTGAAAAAAAGTATGAGAATGGTGTTTCAATAAAGACATAGAAATTATACATACAAACCAAATAGAAATTTAGAGATTTAAAATTACAGTAACTGAAATAAAAAATTCACAAAAGGGCTCTACAGCAGATTTGGGCAGATGGAATAAGAATCAGTGAACTTGAAGTTGGTCAATTGAGATTATCCAATTTTAGGAACACAAAGAGAAAAGAATGTAGAAAATTAAAGAGTTCTGGAGCCTGATGGTATACCAGCTTACAATATATATATAATGAGAGTCCCCATAGGAGAGAAGATAGAGAAAAAAACAGAAGGAATATTGGAAAAAACTGGAAGTCCCTAGTTCAGAGAAGGGACTGCAATGATAGCTTGAAAGTTTGGATTTTATCACTGGCAACAAATACTTTTAGTTTTCCTTGAAGTGGCAGGCTTGTTTTGTTCATTTTTCAGAAAATGTCTGCCAAATACCCAAGGCTGAATAACCATCATTTGTCTGTTATTCTTTTGAGTAAAAATGATAATCCATAAAAACAGTGGCTAGTTCAGCTTGCAACTTAATCATGCAAAAGCTTGTCCTCAAGATGTTCACCATCTGAGGAAATCCAGCAGAGGTGCTGTGTGTATATTTCCCATTTTATTACATGGGGTATTAACAGGGCTACTGAGTTATCAAGATTTAATAAAATTACCCCATTTTTACTGATGCATCAAGGGCATTATTAAGTAAAACTTTTTGTTTGTTGTTTTTAACTGTGGCTGTATGGAAATGCAGAATTCTATGGCAACTAATACGGTTCGGGACCACTGCCATGATTCATGCTAAGCCACCAACAGACTTACCCTTCATTACTTTTTATCATGAGTGTACACGTCAACACAGTGAAAAGGGCAAATAATGTTTGAATTTTTTTTTAATTTTTATTTTAACTTCTGGGGTACATGTGCAGGATGTGCAGGTTTCTTACATAGGTAACGTGTGCCATGGTGGTTTTCTGCACCTATTAACCCATCACTTAGATATTAAGCCCAGCATGCATTAGCTATTTTTCCTAATGTTCTACCCCTTACACTGCTCCCCCTCAAACCCTGTCCACCGACAGGCCCCAGTGTGTGTTGTTCCCCTCCCTGTGTCCATGTATTCTCATTTTTTTAGCTCCCACTTCTAAGTGAGAACATGTGGTTTTTGGTTTTCTGTTCCTGTATTAGTTTGCTGAGGATAATGGCTTCCAGCTCCATCCATGTCCCTGCAGAGGACATGATCTTGTTCCTTTTTATGGCTGTGTAGTATTCCGTGGTGTATATGTACCACATTTACTTTATCCAGTCTATTGTTGATGGGCATTTGGGTTGATTCCATGTCTTTGCTATTGTGAATGGTGCTGCAATGAACATATGCGTGCATATATCTTTGTAATAGAATGATTTATATTCCTTTGGGTTTATATCTGGTAATGGGATTGCTGGGTATGTTTGAATATTTTTAGGATAACAGTTTTGACCCTGAGGATCCCTAAAAAGGTGTTAGGGACTTCCAGAAGTCCAAGGAACACACTTTGAGAATCATTGATTTAAGCTATTCACCAAGGGAAGCCTGGATACACTGTCACAGCAGAACAGCTGGCTGTTGCACCCTGGAAGATGGGCATTAGCATGGAGGGGGTCACTGCTTTGCTTGGTTTGTTCACTTGTGTATCCTCTTAGGCTGATGATATAATTTCTGTGGTTTTTCTTATTTGCAAAGGGGAAAGAAGACCTATGTCTGGGCTCCATTTCCAGAGATTCTGATTCAATGCTTAATACATGGGCCTATGTAATTTAGTTTTGGGCAGGAGGAGGCCGGTTCCATCAATTCTGGAAGGGCTAATCCTAAAAGTTCTTCAGGATTCAGCCAACTTAGCATGATTTTGTGCTTTGGGAACAAGGGTTAAAAATATGAGTAAGAACTAAGCAGGACAAGAATCCACAGGACTAGTAACCCTATCAAAGAGGAATATGAAGACACGAGTTTGGGGAACAGGATGAAACAAGTAGAAAAGGAAGACATAAACGAACGATTTATTTTTTTCTAGCTACCAGCACAATATACCCATCAAAATGATATACTCTTCAGTCCCTACATTTCAATCATCATCATCTTCTTCATCCTTATTCTCATGCTCATCCTACCCTAAGGGTCACATGCATTATTTCATACATCTACCTATTGACCACTAAGGTGGGTGATTCCACCAGCAAAAATAAAAATAAAATCAGTAATCTTGTGTGGCCTGAAAAATGGATAATCCTTTATTGCCTGCCCTGAGGTCACTTCCCTGCTCCCAACAATATTAAAATTGCTGAAACTCAAACTGCAACTCGACCAGGTGCCCTGAAGACAGGGTTCATAGAAGAAGAAGCTGAAGTATTGGCTAGAGGTAAGATTTGGAATTCTCAGCCAGGTGCATTGGCTCATGCCTGTAATCCCAGCACTTTGGGAGGCTGAGGCAGGTGGATCACTTGAGGTCAGGAGTTTGAGACCAGCCTAGGCAACATGTTGAAACCTCGTCTTTACTAAAAAAAATACAAAAATTAGCCAGGTGTGGTGGCACGTGCCTGTAATCCCAGCTACTTGGGAGGCTGAGGCAGGAGAGTCGCTTGAACCCAGGGGCGGAGATTGCAGTGAGCTGAGATTGCACCACTGCACTCCAACCTGGGCGACAGAGCGAGGCTCCATCTAAAAAAAAAAAAAAAAAAAAAAGATTTGGAATTATCTCTGGAATTTAGATACTATACAACCACTATCTTGCACCACAGGCATTCCATTTTATTATGCATTCCACTTTCCAGTGAAAGAAAACAAGATCTGGAAACACGAGGTCTGTAGTGTCTTCACCCCTTCAGCCAGGAATGCAGGGGGAGGGAGGCCTCTGAAGCTCCCCCTCCAGTGGCTGCGAATGTTTTGAGCCTTCCCTCCCATTGCAGCAGGGAGGGGGAAGAGGGCTCCACTCAATAAATAATCACATGATGACATCCGTGTCCTTTCCTTGGCCATAGCACCAGGTGAAAGTCATCATTATTTTCTTAAGCCAAGTGTCTGTATTTTATTAGCTGCCTAACAACTGCTATCAATAATCATTTTTATAACTGAAGGAATAGGAAAGACTTTGGTCTTTCCCAAGCCCCAAAACTATGTTTGTCCTGGAGATGGAAGAATTCTCTGAATTTCTTGATCATATTTTCTATAAGTAACTTGATACCTTTCAAAACAATGAGGAGATTCCTCATACATTTACCAATTTATTCAGTTATTTATTCAACAGATTGATTGAACCACACACCTAAAGAGCCGAAACGGACCTCAGAGCTGTGTCTCTCCCAGGCCGGTTCTCACCCACCTGCCTTCTTCCCCGGTTCTGCTCTCTATCACCAGGGCTGACCCCTGAGGCTGCAACACCCGGCTCCCATGACTGCTGGCTTCTTGCTGTGTTTGACCAAAGAGAGACAGTAGATTGGGGGCTGGGAAGGGAAGAAGGAAGAAACCATCTCTTTCATAGTTCCAGGTCCCATGGGACAGCCTACCAGAGGTCCAGTTTCTGCTCTGTGGCCTGTGACCTGGAACTGGGAGTCTTGACTCCTCCCTTTGTCTCTGCTGCCCAGGAGATAGTGGCTCTGAGTGACCTCACTGTTCCCTGTTGGCTCAATCATCTGTGCAACCCTGCACTAAATGCTTCAAAATGGTTTTTGTCTTCCTGATTAGACCCTAACAGATACAGGAATTGGAACTATCTTACAGATGTTGGAACTGAGGCCCAGAGAAGATGTGACACGTCTTAAGTTATACGGCCAAAAAAATGGTAGGAAATGTCTACCATGTATAAAGCATTGTGTTAGCCACTATGTGGATGATAAAGATGTGAAATTCCTAGGCTCTTTTCTCAGGAGCCTCCCATCCAGTAAGGGAAATGACTTGTCTATACAAACAGCTATAATACAGGACAGTGTGTGCCAGGCACCATTAACAAGCGTGCCAGTTATAAGGATTCAGGTGTTGGGGGCATGCAAGATAATGAAGGGAGGTTTCCTGGGGAGCTCAACAGCTGAAGCAGACCAGGAAATACAGGGTAGGATTTTGGCAGGAAAGATGGTGTGTGCCTGTGGTTGGTGGAGGGGTGATCATTCTAGGCAGAAGGAATAGCCTAAATGTGGAAGGAGGCAGGAAAGCTTCAGGCCCTCCCAGGAAACAATAAGCCATTTTTAATTTGGAACTTGGGGAAGTGGTAGGTGGGAAGGTAGAGTAACTGCGTTGTTCACTGTTTAAACAGGACACTTCAGAGAATGAAAAGGGACTCTCTTAATACACCAAAGCAACAGGCAGAGACTGGGGCCATGCTAGGGAAAGTGAGGCTGGCCCAGGTGGATCAGGAGATATGGTCACCTGCCAAGAGGTGGCTGAGCCCAGATCGTGGAAGGTTTTCCATCCCATACTAAGGGGTTTAGACCTCAGGTTCCAGTTCACTGGGAAGCAAATAAAATAGTCATGTAGGAAGGGATGGAAAATAATTCTGTAAGACGCTAACTGCATTTCATACCACAGACCGGGGATGAGGAGCAAATGTTCTTGCTCTCCATATCTGATGTGACCTGTGGCCCCCAATGAGCAGGAACACCCCGTTCTCCCATGTGTCCTGCTGGACCTGCAACTATACATGCTTAGCACACTGCATGGGACTTGAGAAGGGAAACAAGAAATTAGTAGAAGACATGGTTCCTTCCCCAGGGATGAGACTTTTGGGTATTAAACAGGGAGCAGTACACAATTTGCAAAATCCAGTGTCATTGAATTCCAAAAGGCACAGCCAAGGCAGCCAGCACTTCTGGTGGTTAGGACAGGAGAGGTCACAGGGGCCTGGGCCTTCAGGAAATGAAGCCAGGAGCACAGAACTCGAGCCCCGCAGGGAAGAATTACATTTTGGCTGGGTGGAAAGAGGGGAGGGCATTCCTGGCAGATGCACCGGAGCTGGAATGATCAGGTCATGTGTAAGGGACAATAAAGCAATGAGCTGATGTGGGATTCGCAGGAGGTAGGGCTGGGGGAGAGGGCCCTGAAGAACTGGGGCAGTGGGTGGGGAGGAGCTCCGGTGTGGAGGGTGCGGAATTCTGTCCAGGGGCACTATGTGTGTGTGAACTGCAGGGGAAAGTTTACTTTTCTTCTTCACCCGAGGACAATTCGAAGCCGATTGCAGAGGCAGTTGGCAAAGTCAGTACTGCATAGTGGTTAAGGGACAGACTTAGCAGCGAATGTGCCTGGGTTCACATGCCGGCCCATCTGCTCCGCAGCGTTGGAGAAGCCACTTGACAGCTCTGGACAATAGCTGAACCTCCATCAACCCGGTGACATGAGGATTAAGGGATTAACTCCTATAAAGTGCTGAAAGCAAAGCCTGGCACACAGTAAGACTAAATCAATAGTTCTCAGCCCTGGCTGAACGTTCAAGTGACTTGGAGCGCTTCGTAAAAATACCAGGGCCGGAGGATTTTAGGGCGGGGAGACTACTGCTGATTCTGCAGAGGTAGATACATGTCAGGACACCTTTGTCCAAACCTGTAGAACGGACACCAAGAGTGAACCCTCATGTAAACTATGGACTTGGGGTGATGATATGTCAGTGTGGATTCATGGATTGTAACAAATGTACCATGCCGGACAGAGGGTATGTGGGAACTATCTGTGTCTTATGCTCAATTTTGCTGTGACCCCAAAACTGCTCTAAAATTAAAGTCTATTTAAAAAGAAAAAAAGGGGCTGGGTGCAGGGGCTCACGCCTGTAGTCCCAGCACTTTGGGAGGCCAAGGCAGGTGGATCATGAGGTCAGGAGTTCAAGACCAGCCTGGCCAACATGGTGAAACCCCATCTCTACTAAAAATACAAAAATTAGCAGAGCGTTGTGGCATGCGCCTGTAATCCCAGCTACTTGGGTGGCTGAGGCAGAAGAATCGCTTGAACCTGGGAGGTGGAGGTTGCAATGAGCTGAGATTTCCCCATTGTACTCCAGCCTGGGTGACAGGAAGGGACTCTGTCTCAAAAAAAAAAAAAAAAAAAAAAAGGCAAAAAAGACCGGGTGCAGTGGCTCACACCTGTAATCCCAGCACTTTGGGAGGCCAAGGCGGGTGGATCACCTGAGGTCAAGAGTTTAACACCAGCCTGGCCAACATGGTGAAACCTCATCTCTACTAAAAATACAAAAATTAGCCAGGCGTGGTGGTGCATGCCTGTAATCCCAGCTACTTGGGAGGCTGAGGCATGAGAATTGTTTGAACCTGGGAGGCAGAGGTTGCAGTGAGCCGAGATCGCACCATTGCACTCCAGCCTGGGCAACAGAGCAAAAACTCCATCTCAAAAATAAATAAATAAAAATAATAAAAGGAAAAAAATACCAGTGCCAGGGCCCACCTCTTCCCCCAACCAAAAAAAAAAAAAAAAGCACAATTAAGCAGCATAATGGGGTGAAACCTTCACCATCAGTTTTTTTTTTAAGGTTTCTAGGCTATTCCTTTGGGCAGCCAGCACTCAGAAGCACTGAACTAAATAAATGGACATGGACTCTTGTACAATAGCGAACACGTCAGGGAACAGGCATGTTCATGGTAGAGCCAGGATCTTTTCCTGGGGATGCATGGGGAGCGGTTTCCTGGCTTCCACTTGGCGCAGAAGCTCTGCCCTTTTGACAGCTTTCTGAGCCTCTGGGAGCAACGCAGACCCACCAGAGATTCTTTGAACAAGAAGTGGGCAAACTGATTTCAGAAAGGAAAAAAATCCTATGGCATTACTACCACCACGCTTAGTTAATAGATGACTGACCCTTCTTATTAAAAGAAAACTCAAAGTTATCCAGAAACAATTTCCACCCCCAGCACCTAATAGGTCACCAAGCGAGCATAATGTCCCAGAAATCTTAAGGAGCATTGTGACAATATACCAAAACAATCTTAAGTTTAAACTGTAAATCTATTCTCTGAAAGGCCCATCATCTTGGGAGCAGGACTAAGATGAATGCTCCATCAGACAAGCCATGGCCGGCAGCCCCAGCTCTCAGCAGCACAAATGTCCCTAGCCACAGAGGCCCAGAGCTCTGCTAATTCATCAAACACCCAGCACGCCCCAAGCCAAACTGTGGATGTCCTTATCCAAACCTGCTTCTTGTCTCCACAAAACTGCAATTCCATTCTACCAATTGCTCAGTGCAAAAATCCTGGAGTCCGTCTTTCACTCCCCTTTCACGTCCAGCATCCAGTCCAACAGCAGCTCCTGTCAGACACACTCAGAACCTGGCCGCTTCCTCCCACCTTCTGCAGGACCGTCCTGGGTGGAGGCACCACCGTCTCATCTGAATTACCGCGATGGTTGCTTGCAGTCCCCATCTGTGCCCTGAGTCTTCTCCAGAGGATACATTCACATCACTGAGATAAGAGTCATCCTTTTACACTTAGCCAGAAAATGTCATCACATCTCTGTTCAGAAACCCTCTTATGTGTCTCCATCTCACTCCAAATCAAATCCAAAGTCATGACCATGTGCCATGGCCTACAAGCAATGAGCTGACGTGGGAGTCACAGAAGGTGAAGAGAACCTGCCTTCCCCAGGTAATAACCACATCACCTCCCGCTCTGTACTTTCACCCCTGTGCTCAGAGCCCCTCACCAGAGAGACCTTCCCACCGTCATGCGCCTTCCCTCCCTCGTGCTGCTTTATCTTTTTTCACCTGACCCATTACATAGTTCCTGGTGTGTTAAATGTCTGGCTCCTCTTGCGATCCCTTTCCCATGAGATCAGGGACTCCAGTATTTGCTGCTGTAACCTTAGGGTCTAGAACAGTCCCCGGCATATAGTAGGCCCTCCATGAATCCTTATTTTTGAATGAAGTCCTTATGATCACTCCTTTTTGAATTATATTCCAGGATACATCTTAATAGATTTTGTTTGGGAGGATGGCACTGGTAGGATGAGATGCAGTGATTAACATAATGGACTCCGGGGCCCTGGGAAACAGAATTTTGGGGTTCTAACCCTAGCTTTGTTCCTAACCCATTGTGTTACTTTGGATGGGTCCTGTGATCTCTCTGGGCCTTGGGTGACCTATAGGGTGTAGGCAGTGGACTAGACCAGTTGGATTTGACCAATTAAAACAGAATTTTTTAGGGGTGGGATATAAGCATCAATACTTTTTTAAAGTTCCCCAGAGGTAATGTATAGCCAGGAGTGGGCTAAGCCTAAGCCTTACAGCAGGGTTTCTCCTGTGTTAAAAATGCACACGAATCACTTGGGATGTCATTAAAATGCAGGTTCTGATTGGCTGGTCTGGAGAGGGAGCTGGGATTTTGCCATTCTAACAAGCTCCCAGGGGATGCTGATGCTGGTGGTCCAAGACCAGGCTCTGAGCGGCAACATCTTGAAGTCACTTCCAGCTTGGTGACTCCAACGTTTCCATCAAGGGTAAAGGTCCCCTTATTAAATTCTCAGGAAAACATCAGCTGTCACTCCACTAGCTGCTCAATTTGATCTGAGTTCCCTACTCAATGACTGGCAAGCTGCCCCCGCATGCACTGTGTGGCTGTTAAGAGTTGGTTTTCCTTCTTAAAAAATGAATTGCTGGACCCAGAAAGGGGGAATGAGCAAAACCAGGTCTGAGAATTTCTCTCCCAAAAGCAGGCTCAGAGACCTGTAGTCAGGGAAGAAGCCCGTCACAAGTCAGTGGCTTCCCTTCGTCTGCCGTTCTGTTGTCAGGGCCTCGGTGCTGGCTGTGTCCTGTGTCCCTCTCTATCTCCTTGATCTGACCATCTCATGATGCCTCTGCCTGGCTGCCACCTCCTGGTGCCCACTGGTGAGCCGAGGCAGCCACTAGCAGGCAGACGGGCAAGCAGGGCACCCTGCACAGGGCCAAGGGAGCAGCCTCATTAGGGCTGTCAAGGAGCAGCTCCAACAGGAGAAGAATCTCCATCTGGCTGCTGCAGCAGCCGCCGCAGGGAATGGGAAGTGACAAGGACAGAAAGGGAGCAGTCACTGACACCCTGCAGTTCAAATGGTGACCAGAGCTACTGACAACAGGGCCTTCTCCTACAGCAGCTGTGGGAGGCCTGTTAGATTATTCTGCTCACCCAGTCCCCTAAGGATTCAGCAACAGAGCCTCTGACCACCAACAAGCCACAGTTCATTCAAATCATTTCCCCCAGTTCAGATGGCTGTATGTGGAATGGCTCTTTTGCCTGCTGCCCTTGAGGCAAGACTCAGTGAAGAACAGAACCCCTGGATGCGTTGTGTTAATTCCTCCCACAAATCTTTTGTTTGTTTGTTTGCTTTTGAGACAGGGTCTCATTTTGTTACCCAGACTGGAGTGCAGTGGTATGATCATGGCTCACTGCAGCCTCAACCCCCCAGGCCCAACCAGTTCTCCTACCTCAGCCTCCCAAGAAGCTGGGGCCTCAGGTGTGTGCCACCACCCCAAGCTAATTAAAAAAAAACAAAATTGGCCCGGTGCAGTGGCTCATGCCTGTAATCCCAGCACTTTGAGAGGCCGAGGCAGGTGGATCACTTGAGGTCAAGAGTTTGAGACCAGCCTGGGCAACATGGTGAAACCCCGTCTCTACTAAAATACAAAAAAATTTAGTCAGGTGTGGTGGTGGGGACCTGTAATCCCAGCTACTCAGGAGGCTGAGGCAGGAGAATTGCTTGAACCTGGGAGGTGGAGGTTGCAGTGAGCTGAGATTGTGCCACTGCATTCCAGCCTGGGTGACAGAGTGAGACTCCAACTCGAAAGAAAAAACAAAAACAAAGAATGGCTGTGTCTAACAATACACAGGAGATCTCAGGGCAGAAAGAATGAGCATTTACTTAGCATTTGTTGAGTACCAGCACTGTTCAAAAAGTTTCCTTATGTGTATTATCTCATTTAATCTTCACCCAACCCTGCAAAGTAGATACTGTAATCATTCCCATTTTACAGATACGGAAATCGTGGCAGACAGAGGTTAAGCAACCTGCCCAAGTAAGAGATGAGGCCAAGAATTGGACCTGGGTAGTCTGGCTTGAGAGCTGAGTATCTACTTATGATACTTAGTGTGTCTACTTACACTCTCACAGAGTGCTGCAGATTTCTGATTCTGAACCAGTGGGTCCCTGTCCACCCCCACTGGCTCATCTTAGTCTGGCCCTGTATATAGCCAGAACACTTCCATATTTGGAGCTGTGCTAGCTACTGAATTATGTCCCCCACCAAGTCATATGTTGAAGCCCTAACCCACAATGTGATGGTATTTGGAGGCAGGGCCTCTGGGAGGTGATATGGTTTAGATGAGGTCACAAGGGTGGGGCCCTCATGACAGGATTAGTGCCCTTAGAAGAGATACCAGAGAGCTTGCACTCTCTCTCTTTCTCTCTGTCCCATGTGAGAACATAGTGAGAAGGCAGCTTCTGCAAACCAGGAAGAGGGCCCTTACCAGAACCTAACCATGCTGGCACCTCAATCTTGGACCTCCAGCCTCCAGGACGGTGAGAAAGAAACTTCTGTTGTTTAGGCCACCCACACTATGGTATTTTGGTAGGGTAGCTCAAGCTGACTATGACAGGCAGGGTCTGAGGGACCATCCCAGGGCTTAACCCCTCTCACGGACCACGCCCATTCTCACCCATTCTCAGGTTCACCTGAGGCCCAGGTGTGGGGTGTGGCCTGAAGGGAGTCCTGGAGGATCCAGAGCGGCAGCTCCTCTCCCATATGAGGGGGACTCCACTGAGGTGTAGCCTGGTGTCTCATGGAATGTACTGAGACTGGCTCAGCATTGTGGGATTCAGAAAAAGTGAATGGGAGCATGTGCTTGGGAGAAGACAAAGCAGGAATTCCAGGTGATGGAGCCTGGAGGCAGACGGGGAGGGGCGTGAGGTCCAAGTCACACAGTGGTTCATGGAGAACTCAGGAGGCAGGGGCAGGAGAGGCTCCCAGGCAGGACCTGGCAGAGGCAGGGAGGCCTTGGGGCTGTCATGAGAGGCCCTCAGCTGAGTGCATGAGGAGGAGAAATAGGCTGGGCTGGTCAGGACAGAGACTTACGCTGCCAAACTGAACCCCTTTCTCAGTCCTGCCCTCTCGCTACATCGTCGGGGCAAAGCCCTTCCCGGGACTCACAGGGCCTGATTAGTTTCAGCTCTGTCCATAACTAGCCATCTCCCCTTGTCAGGTAATTTCTTTATGAGCTTTACCTTAGAGGGAGTTGGTCAACTGTTCCCCAGCACTAACACATCACGATTTCTACATGAGCAATACACCCCATCTTTTCAATCTTTCCAGATGTGTCTGCCTCTAATTCTGTGATTACAAGGTAGGGCTGACTCCAAGAACTTCCCTAATGTGCCTGGTCTGCTCAGTTCTCAGAAGGTGTCAATGGAGTGACAGTTTCAGAACGTGACAGTGACAGTTTTCAGTGACAGTACTTTCAGAACGTGTCCAACTTCTAGTGATTGGTGCACCTTTCCCTGACTGTCCCAAAGTCTTGGGAGGGGCTCTTGGATCAACCTGTCACCTGTCACCTGACTAGCATGATTTGCCCTGAGGAGTCTGCACCATGGTGGGAGCAGCCACCCAAGTCCCGTCCCCAGGAAAAGGTGAGTGAGTGTCCCAGAACCTGGCCTATAACCATTCACTCTTCTGAGACACTTACCTACTAAAGTCACCACCAGAATGTGATGACAAGCAGTGGATTCTCAGAAGGGACCTATCACCCGAGGACTAACCGGGAGTTCCTTGTCAGACCCTCGGAACTCATTCAAGCAGGGCTCCAGGCATGGTCTGAGTCATGGCCCTGATGCGTGCCTGCTGAATTCATTCAGGGAGAATGCCACGGGAACCTGCCTCAGCCCTGTGTCAGGAACACAGACACCTTCCAGGTGTCGGAAAGTTCTACCAGTCATCCTTAAGATTTGTTAGACCTACTTAAGCTCACAGGAACATGAAGTTCACAAAATGCTTTCCAACCTTGGATGAAATGCATTTCCATCTTAGCCAAGACATAGCAAGATTCAGTCATCTTTATTTCTACCTGATGATTTCTTGAACAATCACGTTAACCACATTTTTTTTACCCTCCAAAAGAGAAATAGCAGAGGGGAAAAATGCTGCCTTTCTTACCTCCAAACTCTCCTATTTTAATCAGTTCCAAAATTATAGTTTGGGGTGGGGAGCATGTTTAAAGCACCTGAAATAGCTATTATGTATTGAGTATTCAAAATTCTTTGCATGTGTTGATTTAATCCCCACAACAACCCTATTAGGCAGGTACTATTATTATCCCCATTTTTACAGATGAGAAAACTGAGACATAGAAAAGTTAAATAATTTGCCCAGGATGATACAGCTTATAGATCTGGGATTTAAACCCAGATCTTTGGACGCTGGCTGTCAATAGTGGAAAAGATTGTCTGTTCTTTGTAAGCGAAGTTGATGGTGACAATTCTATTAGCAGGTTGTGTGTTCTGAGGTGTTTCTTCCAGCAATGGGGATATCTTTTTTTTTTTTTTTTTTTTTTTTTTTGAGACAGAGTCTCGCTCTGTTGCCCAGGCTGGAGTGCAGTGGCATGATCTCTGCTCACTGCAACCTCCGCCTCCCGGGTTCAAGTGATTCTCATGCCTCAGCCTCCCGAGTAGCTGGGATTACAGGCTCACGCCACCATGCTTAGCTAATTTTTGTATTTTTAGTACAGACAGGGTTTCACCATGTTGTCCAGGCTGGTCTTGAACTCCTGACCTCAAGAGATCTGCCTGCCTTGGCCTCCCAAAGTGCTGGGATTACAGGCGTGAGTCACCGCATCCGGCCCCAGTGGGGGTGTCTTTAAGTGATTCACCTATACTCATTTGCCCAGTTTCATTCATGAACAACAACTCATGTTTTTCAGATGTCTGGCAAACGGTTTAGGTTTCCTTGGGTGATTATGTATAGAAAGAGGCTGATGGCCCTCCCCAGGGCACAGGTGACAAGCACTTACAAAGAGCTCTCAAACCAGAGTATCTTGAGGAAGGTAACACTGTACCCCACGGCTCCTAGGGTCTGTCTGTCTGCCTGGACATGAGAAATAAATGAGAATGCCGACACATTACTGAAGTCACAGAGTCCACATTCTAAAAACAATCCACTCTGTGAGGTGCAACAGTTAATAGCATGTTAGAGTTCTAGTGGAAAAGAAAATGAAAAACTATCCAAACAGGGTTGCAAGCATGAAACGTGTAACAAAAGCAGCTTAAAACCTTGTGTCTGGGTGAGCACTCTCTGGTTCAATACCCGTTTCTGAAATTTCAGTGTCTGTTTCCTGGACACTGGACTGTGTCCCACTGGACTGATCCCACTGGACTGTGAGTGGGATCATAGAGAACTTTGCTTCCTCTTACTTGGCACTGGATTCTAGAGCATATTAAGTGCTCTTAATGTTTGTTGGATAAATGAATGGTTAAGAACAGGCCAAGAGTGGCAGCTCATGCCTGTAATCCCAGCACTTTGGGAGGCCGAGGTGGGCAGATCACCTGAGGTCAGGAGTTCGAGACCAGCCTGGCCAACATGGTGAAACCCCATCTCTACTAAAAATACAAAAATTAGCCAGGCGTGGTGGCATGTGCCTGTAACCCCAGCTACTTGGAAGGCTGAGGCAGGAAAATTGCTTGAACCTGGGAGGTGGAGGTTGCAGTGAGCCCAGATCTTGCCACTGCACTCCAGCCTGGGCAACAGTGCAAGACTCCATCTCAAAAAAAAAAGGATAAAAAAATTATAGGCAAGGGGCAGTCATAGGTGGCTTTTTGAGAAGGATAAAGATACATGCAAATAGATGATTTAAAAGATCAATTAAATTTCCCACAGATAGAAGATACAGATTACAAAATCTGGCTACAAATTCCACTCATGTGAGTACGCACACCTTGTTGCAATGTGACTTTGCCACTCTTCAAAAGTAGAGTCTATTTTTCTTAAATGTGGGTTGGCCTGTGACTTGCTTTGGCCAAGAGAATGTGAGAGAAATGATATTGGGTGGAACTCATGAGGCCCTGCAGCTCCGTGACCTTGGAATGCTGCCCTTAGACTGCCCTGTAAGGAAACCAGTACTGTCCTCCTGGGGGATGAGAGCCCATGTGGAGGAGAGCAAGGCGGGCTAGCCAACAGCAATATCCACTGCCGGGCCTGTCAGGGAAACCACACTGGACCTTCCAGCCCAGCCAATCCGTAAATGGACTTGAGTGGCATGAATGAGCATGAAAAAGCCAGGGAAAACCAGCAGAGAACCAGCCCGCCAGCCCACAGACCCATGATAACTAAGAAACTGCTGCTCTACGAGAGCACACCAGTTTTGTGATAGTTTGCTAAAGTTGCTCAACCTTGGTGCTCCAGACATCTTAGATCGGAGAATTCTGACTGTGGGGATTGACCTGTGTACTGTCCAATGTTCAACAGCAGGTTTGGCCTCCTCCCGCCAGATGCAGTAGCACCCCACCCCCTCCTGTCAGGACAATCCAAATGTTTCCAGACATTACCAAATGTCCCCTGGGGGAAAAACACAAGTGACCCAGGAAACCTTATTGATTTCCCCTTCAAATCCTTGAATAATCAATCGTGAATTTGGGGCAGAGTTGAAAAAAATGTTTTTGCCCCTTTGTCCCTAGACATCTCCCACTGGGTAGTCTGGATGAACTCAGCTGGTGTGTCTGGAACCAACACTGCATTCTCAGATAAACCTGGCCAGTGCTTATGTCCAGGTAGGCAAAAAGCCCTGCCTCTTTTTATGGGATTGCTTGGCTACCCCATGTATTAGCTTCCTAGGGCTGTGTAACAAACTACCGCAAACTGGGTGGCAAAAAGCAACAGAAATTTATTCTTTCACAGTTCATGTGTCCAAAATGTCTAAAATCAAGTTGTCGTCAAGCCATGGTCCCTCAAAGGTTCCAGGGAAGACTCTTCTCTTGCCCCTTCCTAGCCTTTGGTGGCTGCTGGCAATTTTTGGCATGTCTCGGCTTGCCATTGCATCACCCCAATCTCTGTCTCTGTCTTCCCACCGCCATTTTTTCTCTGTGTGTGTCTCTGTGGCTCTGTTTTCCCTTTTTAAAAGTATACCAGTCATTGAATTAGGACCCACCCTGTCAGAGGTGTTTGAACCAGAATGACTCCATCTTGAATAGGGTCTGGGTAAACTAAGGCTGAGACCTACTGGGCTGCATTCCCAGGAGGTTAGGCATTCTTAGTCACAGGATGAGACAGGAGGTCGGCATAAGATACAGGTCACGAAGACCCTGCTGATAGATCAGGATGCAGTGAAGAAGTAGCCGAAGCCCACGAAAACCAAGATGGCAATGAAAGTGACCTCTGGTCGTCCACATGGCTCATATGCTAATTATAATGTGTTAGATGCCAAAAGACACTCCCACCAGCACCATGACAGTTTACCAATGCCATGGCAACATTTAGAAGTTACCCTATATAATCTAAAAATAGGAGGCACCCTCAGTTCCAGGAAATCTCTGCCCTTTTCCCAGAAAACACATAAATTATCCAATTCTTGTTTAGCATATAATCAATAAATAAGTATACTCAGGCGAGCAGCCTATACCGCTGCTCTGCCATTCTTTTACTTTCTTAATAAACTTGCTCCAAATTCTTTCTTGTGTGAGGTTCAAGAACCCTCTCTTGGGGTCTGGATTGGAACCCCTTTTCCGTAATAATCCAACAACCTAATCCAATATGAACTCCTTCACTAATTATACCTGCAGAAATCCTATTTCTAAATAAGGTCGCATTCTGAGGCTCCAGGCAGACATGGATTTGGGGGACACTATTCAACCCTGTATACACTCCATGAGCTGATTGGCTTGTGGTGACTGTGCCGTTCTCCTGGTCATTGTCCCTGCCCGGTGCTCTATGGACCTGTCCCCAGCCTAGCCGATGCCAGGGCAGAGTTGATGAGAGAGCAGAGATGCTGCTTTGTCCCGCTTTAGCCCAGGCAGGAGCGGAGCTTTGCTGCTCCTGGTGCTTCCTCCGCCCCCTTCCCCTTCCTTCCACCTCCCTCCTGCTGGCTCTCAGCACAGCCATGTGATTGCAACCATCAAAGGAGGCCTCCCTGCTGAGGAGGGGGTATATCTAAGTGCGGGTTCCTGGACAGATTTTTATCTGTTGCTTTGCTGCCTTTCTTTACATTATGTTCATAAGAGACCACAATTCCCCGTTTGTATACACATCGTTGCAATTTGCTTTATTATGAGGTAGAAAACGTCTATTTGCATTTTCCTCCCCACTCCCCAACTCCTACATCTTTTGGAAAAAAAAAAAATTCTATTTCAAGCTACAGTGCATACCATAATGTGATTATTGATGTTTCTTTCCCTGGGAATGCCTTCTTGGCTTTCCATTTCTCTTCCCTGCCAAGCACACTTGACCCGTGTTAATGTAAAGGTTACAACAGCAATGATAAATCTCTTCCCCGCCGTCTCACTTGCCTGAAGTGCCCAGGTTCATGAGATGAGGACAGCATGAGGAGGAGAATGCAGGATGCAGGGAAGATAGAGGAAAGAGAGAAAATCAAAAGATTCATAAATCGCAGGGCTCTTAGCCTCCAAGCAGAACTGCAGATTAGATTTGTTAAACCAAAAAAGCCCTTGGGAAACACAGAAACAGGAGCTTTCGAATATCTAAAAACTCAGATTTAATGATCCAAAGATCAAATGCAGGTGAAGAAAAGTACTTTTCTTTGGGCTATGAGCTAATCCAGGGGTTGACGGTATATAGCAGGAAATTTTGAGACTAATATTATAACTAACAGCTAACTTTTAATCTTTGAAAGGCATTTGCACAAAATACCGTTCATTTTCCTCACCAGCATTTAACATATTGGTATAAGTCAAATCCCTTTGCAGATGAATGCTTAGGACGTAGAGCGTGTCTCAGTTTCGGCAAAACACTGGAATCACCTGGGATTCCGATTTAATTGGTCAAGCGCGAAGCCCAAGCATCAGTGGGTTTTAAAGTCTCCCCAGGTGATACTAACGGGCAGCTAGAATTCAGAACTACCGGTATAAAAAGTCAGAACTTCCCACGATCATTAGTGCCCAGCATACTTACTGCTAAGCAGCAAAACGTGACCACATCTATTACAGGGCTCTACCAACATTTCTTGCATTACGACGGAATACTTTTCCTAGTAGACGGGCTATTTTTCAAAATGGCAGCCCAGGAGCTTGGAATGAGTGGATTCTGTTGTGTCAAATCTTCAATTTTCATGGAAAGCCACTGCCCTGCTGGATCTCAGAACAGGGAATGGTGACTCCCTGAACCTTCCACAGGGCAAGTTCCCTCCCCAAGTTTCTCCTTCTGCTTTGTATACCTTCTGCTTTGACTTGCCCACCTGTCTCTGGGGCTTCCTCATGGGCTTCTTATTCCTCCATTCATTTATACCCTCATCCTGTATATGGAACATAAAACAGTAATAGCAAATCTCAATTCTTAACACATGTCAAGCTTCTCTTCTGGCTAAAATGTGGGCATAATATTTTGGTTTACTGTGAGACTAAAATTAATCAGGAAATATGTGTTGATTGCTCAGAGGAAAATAAGCAAGGGTGGGAAACATACAAAGAAGTTCAGTGTGTAGATCCTCAAGGATCTTACCAGGGTAGGCAAACTATAGCCCGCAGGCCAAATCTGGTCCCTCGCCTGTTTTTGTAAATAAAGTTTTATTGGTACACAACTATGCTATTTTTTTTAAAGCATATTATCTATGACAGACCTGAATAATTGTGGCCTATTTTTGCATCTGGCCTGCAAAGGCTAAAATACTTACTATCTGGCCCCTTTTAGAAAAATGTTTGCTAACATTGATCTAGATAAACCAACCACAAAAACAATAGATAGAGAAGGGAGAGATATAGATAGATAGATGTCTCCATCCATCCTTTCAACAAATATTTATGTTGTAGGCACTGTGCCAGGCTCTAGGGGATGTTTGTGTGAATCAGAGAGGGCTACTTCCCCCTGTGAGGCCCACAGTCTACTGAACTTGTCATCAATCCTGAGCAATGAATAACCACCAAAAGGGAGGCCTGTGCAACAAGATCAAAGGAGAAGAGAATGTTTGAGGCTAGACAAACCCATGGGTAACTAGAATCTCACCTGTGAACCTTACAGCTGGTTTCTAAGCTGAATGGGATAAAGACGAGGAAGGGGAGACCTCGACAAGGTTGGAATGAAGAAGTAGGAAAGTCCAGGTCATGGTCAAGGGCCAGCAAATGCCAATCCGGCTGTCTCCCAAGTATACTGGAGTGGTAAGGGGAAGAATGGCTTTCTTTGTTCACCACTGATCATCCATACCAGAGTTGACATTTTGTAAGGGTGTGGACAATGTTTGTGTTATTTACCTCCATCTCTAGCGTTAAGCAAAATGCTTGGCATATGTAGGTGCCTGAAGAATATTATCTAAAGAATTAAAGAATAGATGAGTAATGGGTATCTCAAATGTTAGGCTAGATATGCTGTAAGTCAGATAAGCATTTCAACCTTGGTAAAATGATGTCTGATGTTTATTATTTATTTACATATTTACTTATTTTTGTGACAGGATTTCACTCTGTCACCCAAGCTGGAGTGCAGTGGTGCAATCATAGCTCACTACAGCCTCAAACTCCTGGGCTCAAGCAATTCTTCCACCCTGGCCTCTCAAGCAACTGGGACTACAGGCACGAGCCACCATGCCCAGCTAATTTTTCAATTTTTTTGTAGAGATGAAGTCTCACTGTGTTGCCCAGGCTTGTCTCAAACTCCTGGCCTCAAGCAATCCTCCTGCCTCACCCTCCCAAAGTGCTGAGATTGCAGGCATGAGCCACCACCATGCTCAGCCTGTTACTTTAAACAAAGGACTAGATAGGAGATAAGAAAGCTTTTGTGTTTATGAACAACTCCTCTACAATGAAACTTCTACAAGCATTACATTCTTTAACTCTGTCAGCCTTTTGTTTTATAGATGATGAAATTGAGTTTCAGAGAGGTTAAGCAACTGGCCAAGGTCATACAGCAAGAAAATGGTAGAGCTGGAACTCAGTAAGTCTTTTTTTAAATCTCAGACTCAACGCTATCAGCACACTCCCATGCCTACCAGTCATTTTCATACCATGCTTTGAAGAACCCTCAGGCTCCTCAGAGCCCCATAATGGCACTGTGACCAATTTAGTAGCATTGAGGATCAAAAGCACAGACCCCCTACCCAGCTTCACCCTGAGCAGTTCTCATTTTCTCTCCTTTACTTATTGAGTTTCCTGGTTTTATCCAAACAAAAGTTCTTGGAGGAACAAAAAAAAATTCGAAATCACTGTACAGGACCATACTACTTCCTAAAATAAAGCCAGGGGGTATGGTTTCTAGCCTGAACTCCACCACCAAGGTGCTGTGGGATCATAGTCAGCCACTTCTCCTTCTTCCTACCCATGGAAGTTTGGACAACAATGCTGAGATCCTATCACACTTTCTTCACTTTCCAGAGAGATCAAGATGAAATGAAAAGCTTATTTAATGGATGGCAATGGCTGGATCACCTTGAACAAAATTCTAGATAAAGTTTAACTCCATTGACAGCAGCAAATTAGGGGAATATAATTAGTTACTGAGCAGAGCTCAGGAAATCATCATTGCTGGGTGCTTTGGCAGATGCCTGCCAATGGCATCTAAAATTATGACTCTAGAAGCAAATATGAGCCAATCTTTTGGCCTTACCTCATAGTAATCAGCACATGACAGAATATAAGGATATTAGTAAACAGTCCACAGGGGTATAGCCACTTACCAAGAGAGATGTAACACATGAATATACTGATTCTCAAAGAATTCATAGTTGGAAATAATGCCACTCCCATCGATGGCCTGACCATTCTTATACCAAGTTACCTCTGGCTTGGGCTGACCTGACAATAAAGAAAGAAAAGTATCCTTATTAGTTTAAGTATTTTTAGGAAAAAAAAAAAAACCCATAAAGCTATGAACAAGGATGGACAGTAAGCAACAGGGATGAGGATGATGGATTACGTTAGGTGAGGAATTGAAAAGCCTTCTTCTTGTTGATACAAATAAACACGTAATTCAGCAGACACTATTGAGCATGTTATGTACCTAAGATGGTGCTGTGCTGATGGGTGGCATACAAAATGAAAAATGCTACCCCTAATCTCAACGTGCTATTAAGAAAAATTTTCCAATACTTGGAAATAAGGCAAAGATATGAATAGTATCTTTTTTCAATGTCATATGAAGGCAAAGGCCCATCCAAGCATGATCTTGGGTCATATACTTTGTTTCACTCAATGATAACTACTGATTTAAAGTGAAGGTATATGTTAATTTGTAGGTTTTTATCCAATAGAAATGCAAATAATTTCCATCTAGGAGAAAAGATAATCCTATAAGTTATTGTTTATTGCTCTGTAGGACATTAACCAGTGCTACACCTAACCCAGCAGTTTTACCCCAACATTCCTTTATTAAATTGCCTATACACACCTAGCTCCTCAAACTTTAATAGTTTCTGGTTTCTTCTCTAATTAATTAGTTGAATAAAATCTTTAAAATGTGTATTTCATATTTGCATGGGAATCACCTTACCTTTTTGAAAATTATACTTTAATAGTGCTCAAAGTTAGTGCGTTAGTTATGGCACAAAAGAGAGGAGAACAAAGTAGATTTGCAAATGCCACTTTCTTCCTGAGGATGAAGAGTTTGGAATGTAGGCTTCCCAGACTGATGCTATGCATATGTTACTGATATCATCACAGAAATTGACCTACACTTTCTCTCTTAGAAAAGATTCATCCTTCCCTGGTGTTCAATAATGGGACGTGATGTTAATGGGCTAATCCGGTAAAACCTCCGGGAATTTCATCCACCCCTTGGGATTTTTCCCTCTTGTTACAGAGCAGGAAGGTTTCCATTGTGTTCCAAAGAGCTTTCTCATTAGCCTTCATGTCACTGAAAATATGTCAAAATGTGCCATATGCACAGGAAGGAAAGCCTGGTATTTGGAAACAATACACCATTCTTAATCTGTCTTAGGAACGTTCTTGTATTTCTGTCTTATTTATTGCGTGATTTTTGGTGAGCAACTCCAGAGACCACTAAGATGAGAACCGCATGTTCTGGCCAGGCATGGTGGTTCACGCCTATAATCCCAGCACTTTGGGAGGCCGAGGCAGGGGGGTGAATCACTTGAGTCTAGGCATTTAAGACCAGTCTGGGCCACATGGCAAAACCTCATCTCTAGAAACAATACAAAAGTTATTTGGGTGTGGTGGTGTACACCTGTAGTCTCAGCTACCTGGGAGGCTGAGACAGGAGTATGATCTGAGCCTATGTGGTCGAGGCTGCAGTGAGCTGTAATCATGATTGTGCCACTGCACTCCAGCCTGGGCGACAGAGTGGGACCTTGTCTCAAAAAAAAAAAAAGAAAAGAAAAGAAAAGAAAAAACGGAACTCCATAGAAAGAGGAAAGACAAACGAAGTACAGAGGGAAGAAAAAGTTCGTTAGACCTGCACCTGCACCATGAGCAGGACCTGAAAATGCTAAGTCTCCCTCCCTCCCTCCCTCCCTGTGTCTCCCAGCTAGGCTGCCACTGTGCTCATGCCATGAATGCGCTTTTTTGGCAACTGTGGATTTTTCCTCCTTGCCTTCTCCTTCAGGTAAACACCTGAGTAGTTACCCTGGGGCTTGGAACAGATAGACCTGCATGCAAGGATAAATCCTCCAGTAGCTGCGTGGCTGAGCCTCTTACAGGCATTTGCCTATAAAAAGACACCAAAAAATGGGCTTCCCTGAAAAACCATCAAGGGGTTTCTGATCATAATTCATTTCTGCCTGTTCTTGTCAACCCTGTGTCCTCCTTTAAGACTGTTTCATCACACTCCTTTATAGGAAGCAGTGAATTCCTCCTTTTTGTGGGTACGTGGCTGTTTTGAAGAAAATACATAAAATATTCATGAGCTGGGCCTGGGAACTCATTCTGATCTCTTGGATTCCAGTTTTTCATTCAGGCTGATGAGGGCTGATTGATTTCCCCCAGTTTCCTAATGGCTGACTGTTTTTTTCCCCTGTGCAGTATAGATCTGAACAATCAGCCAGAAATGAGACTTGCATAGGGAAGTGGTATCTGGTATCTTGTGGGTGGTTCTCTTTTCTCCTGCCACTTGCTGGAAACCTCACCTGAAAGTCCTCCCCTTGTTTTTGGAACCTACTGTGGGTCATACATTGAGAGCCACCTCCTAAACATTTCAGAAGTATCTGGGCGAGGGGACCACAGCCAAGTTCAGGGCATGTCCAAACACACGAGGGCTCTGCTCTGAAGACTCAAGGTCAGCTTGCACTGTTCTGTCTGTCTGAATGACGATGGACCATCACGGAGACAGAAGCCTGGGCTTGGAGAGGCTGAGCGCACAGTTCTACACTGCAACTCCAGGCTGAAATCGAGGTTTTATGACAACTTCTGCTAGCGAAAGGCAGCCGTTTCTGAGGCTCACCCCTCTCCTCTCTGGACTTAGAAAAATGGGATCAGAGACCAACCTGGCCGACATAGCGAAACCCCATTCTACTAAAAATACAAAAATGAGCTGGGCATGGTGGTGTGCATCTGGAATCCCAGCCACTTGGGAGGCTGAGGCATGAGAATTGCTTGAACCTGGGAGGTGGAGGTTGCAGAGAGCTGAGATTGTGCCACTGCACTCCAGCCTGGGCAACAGAGCAAGAGACCCTGTCTCAAAAAAAAAAAAAAAAAAAAAAAGAGCAAGGGGAGAAGAGTTTTCTGTCTGCCCTCAAGAAACACCATTGGCACCTTCATGTTTTCAAGGGTAGAGACATAATCCAAAAAAGAAAAGAGAACCACCCATGAGGTACAAGATATCACTTCCCTACCCAATTGTTTTATGTTTATGTTCTTTTAATGATAAATCCTTTTACCATTGGGAGTACCCATACTTGATCAATTCTGAGTTATTTATTCACCAATCCAGAATCCCAGTCCCCTGTTTTTTCTCCACTGGTCACCCATTGCCTCTGTTTTAAGATTTTCACTTCTTATTAGCATCCCTGAAGAAGGCGTGCAGAGGAGAGACTAATTTAGCCAGTTTTAAGATATCAATTAGGGCCAGGCGCGGTGGCTCACGCCTGTAATTCCAGCACTTTGGGAGACCAAGGCAGGCAGATCATGAGGTCAAGAGATGGAGACCATCCTGGCCAACATGGTGAACCACCCCCCTCCCCCCGTCCCTATTAAAAATATAAAAATTAGCCAGGCGAGCCAGCCGCAGTGGCTCACGCCTGTAATCCCAGCACTTTGGGAGGCCGAGGCAGGCAGACCACCTGAGGTCAGGAGTTCAAGACCAGCCTGACCAACATGGTGAAACCCCATCTCTACTAAAATACAAAAATTAGCCGGGTGTAGTGGCGGGTGCCTGTAATCTCAGCTACTTGGGAGGCTGAGGTGGGAGAATTGCTTGAAACCAAGAGGCGGAGGTTGCAGTGAGCTGAGATCGTGCCATTGCACTCCAGCCTGGCAACAGAGCAAGACTCTGTCTCAAAAAAAAAAAAACAATAAAAATAAAAATAAAAAAATTAGCCAGGTACAGTGGTGCGTGCCTCTATTCCCAGCTACTCGGGAGGCTGAGGCAGGAGAATAGTTTGAACCCAGGAGGCGGGGGTGGCAGTGAGCCGAGATCACACCACTGCACTCCAGCCTGGGTGACAGAGAAAGACTCCATCTCAAAAAAAAAAAAAAAAGTCAATTAAAGAATAACAGAAGAGTTCCATCAATTTACCGAAAAAAAGTGATTCATGCCATTCCTCTGTGCTCCATGAATTTAAACTATGGTTAAGGACACCCAAGAAAGAAAGAAAATTAAGAGTGGATTATCTGAAAAAAATAACCAGTGTGAGAGCTGCCTAACCCAGAACCACAAGGTGAAGTAAAGATCACTAAATCGTGTCCAGGAAGTCACTCAAAGAAATCTTTTAGAAACAAATCATAGAGGATGGAGTTGCTTCATTGATTACACAGAAAAAAAAACTTCCAAGGTAATTTTCCCAAATGATGTTTTAGTAATGCCTTTGTGAGCCAAGAAACCTGGTATGCAGGGAGATTTTAGAGGGTGATTAGCTAGTCTAGTGATGGTTACCAGATATTATGCAGCGAAGCACAGCGTCTGACTTCTCAGGAACCTTCTGGGAAAGCAATGTAGATAAAAAACACAGCGGGGGCCTCTGGGGCCCTTCGGAGTCTTTCATCCTTTCATGCCGCACCAAATCTGAAAAAAAAAAAAATCCCCGACATCACCATTTGTTCTGGGATTTCTCTGGCCTTCTTAGGAATTCCAGAAACCACAGGGTGCCGCCCTGGCAGCTCACTGCACGCTGGAGGGTGGGCAGACTGAAGGTCTTTGGGCAGCCTTTCCAGGCCGTGGTGCTGCTGGTAGGTGGGCTGGATCCTTCTGTATTTCGGGGATGTCCTGTGCATTGCAGGATATTTAGCCGCATGCCTGGCCTCTACCCACCAGATGCCAATAGCACCCCCACCCCTCCATGTGTGACAATCAAAAATGTCTGCAGACACTGCAGGGGAATGGGGGGGTGCCCTGATTAAGAACCACGAATCCTATTGTCCTAGGCAGACCCCAGAGCACCCAGAGTTCCAATGGAGAGGGAAGCATCCCATGAGGCTATGGTTAGTGCCACCTCCTCTCATTCCTCCTCCTTTCTCTTCTTAAAGTCTTTTCACACTGTGCTCAAAAAAGTGTGCATATGTCTTTGCCTCCAAAAAACATGTCAGTTGTGTTGAAATGATGTCCAGGGAGGAGATATTTTGAAATTAGGATATGACTGCTCCTTCTGAGCACCAGGTGGGTGCCCTAGGGGAAGGCAGGCACTAAACACTTGATTAGTCACCAGATATATTATTTCACTTAATCTCTTTGAAGCTACTTAAAGGATAGTTACTAATGTCTCCTACATTTTACAGAGGTGGAACCTGAGACTCAGAGAGGTTCAACAACTTGCTCAAGATCACACAGCTCAAGTGGCAGCCACCTTGGGGCTGTCCTTCAGGGCTGTGCAGGCTGACACTTTCAATGTGTAAGACACCACTGGAGCTTTGCAGGGCACAGCTTGCACAAGTATGAGCCAGCCCTGAGGGCGCAGGTTGGTCTGAATCCAGAGAACCCTTTCCTTTCCACGCTACCGCTACCGGCAGATACAAGCTGGCTTCACTTGGCCAGACCTCTCCTTTGTGGAGCCCTGAGCTTAGAAAGGGCATTTAGTTCTGTCTACACAGTAGCGTCCACTTCTTCACAATGGCAGGCGGTTCTCCCACACCACAGAGCTCGGACAAAGAAAAGAACCACACTACAGTGTGGTTAGCCTGAACAGGGAAGGGGCGGTTAGGAACTGCAAATCCTGAATCCAGGGATGCTGAGGTCCCCAAAGCAGACACCTGAGCTAAGCTCTTGGTAGGAGAGGCCAAATTAAAGCAGCCACAGCTGTATTGCCAAAGGGACACCCCTTTCCATATGAGTGTCAGTAGCAGCTTCTTACCCATTTAGAAACAGTTCTTCCCTATTTCTTCCCACTTTTCCAGATTGTCTCAGATACCCTGAGAGACGAGTTCCCCGAGGACAGTTCAAGGTCTCACCAACACCTAAAAAATCTCCTGATGAGCAGAAGTGAGTAGAGGGAAAAGGAACCTGAGTTCAGGGCCAATGATGTTTGAGGAGCCTTGCTGTAGTAGCAGGATGAGCAACATAATTTGCAGGGCCCGGTTCAAGATGAAAATGAGGGGTTCTTTGTGCAAACAGGATTAAGGATTTTAAGATGGTGACAGCAGAGCATTAAACCAAAGACAGCACCTGGCCCGGCATGGTGGCTCACGCCTCTCATCCCAGCACTTTGGGAGGCTGAGGCGGGCGGATCACAAGGTCAGGAGTTCAAGACCATCCTGGCCAACATGGTGAAACCCTGTCTCTACTGAAAATACAAAAATTAGCTGGGCATGGTGACTCGTTCCTGTAATCCCAGCTACTCAGGAGGCTGAGGCAGGAGAATTGCTTGAACCGGGACCTGGGAGGCAGAGGTTGCGGTGAGCCGAGATCACGCCACTGCACTCCAGCCTGGGCGACAGAGCAAGACTCCATCTCAAAAAAAAAAAATAATAATAATAATAATAATAATAATAATAATAATAAAATAAAAAGACGGCACCCTTCTGGGCTCAGGGCCCCGTGTGAAGACACAGATCTTGGCCCATGAGGCCCACCTTGCTTGGTGGATGCTGCCCTTGGAGCATTCTGCTCACAAATGCCTCTAGTGCTTTCTTTTGAGATCACTCCTGCTGCTTTGGAAGTTCCCACAGCATTTCCTTAATCTCAAGATGTTCTGTTTAGAAATATGGTGTGAACTGTATTTCCCAAAAAGTGTTCCCAAACTGCCCCTCCATAAAGCACCTACACTCTGTAAATATCAGGGTTAAAAAATAAATTAATTAAGGGGAATACACTGCCTTCCCTTCCTCAGGGAGAGTGTGTGCAGGAAGCAACTTTGTGCTTAAACCTGAAGTTAAATTAACTTACATGATGGGTGGAAAGAGCCGTAATGTTGAAGAAGTGACATGGTGGCACTGAAAAGAGAGAAAACTGCTTGGGTGTGGGGCAGAACACATGAGATGGGAGAGAGGTTTGAGAGACATACCTGCTGGGACAGGTGTGGAAGACTGAGCAAGAGAGGCTGAACTGAAGATTTTTCAGAAACTATGCATTGTGATTGTGAATTGGGTCCTTTTGACATTCTTTAACAAATGACTTACATTTCCAATTATTTTTGGTTATAGAACTTCTTAAATGTAGCTGTGCAGAGGCTGGATGACATGGGGCTCCGGTTCATACATGTGGTATTTCAGAGCATAGTAATCCCCTCTCAGCATAATGGCAAATTAGTTGCACAGCACAGGAAGAAAATTCATCTGCTAGATAGCAAATAAATACCTCCATTCCAGATTAGGTTACGGGTACATTTGGTGGTTACGGAATGGATATCAATTGGTATTTTTAAAAAACCAGATTTAATACCAGCCCAAGGCTGGTCTTGAATTCCTGGGCTCAAGCCATCCTCCCACCTCAGCCTCCTGAGTAGTGGGGACTAGAGGCTTGAGCCTCCATGCCCAGCTCTCTTACAGCCTTAATGAGATATAATTACCATACCATACACAATTTACTCATTTAAGTTGTACAATTCAATGGCTTTCACTATATTCAGAATTGTGCAACCGTCACCACAATCCATTTTAGAGCATTCTCATTACTCTAGAGAATCCCTACACCCCTTTTACCTCCTCATCTCCCCATTTCCACCCTCCCCCCCAACACACACAGCCAGAGGCAATCACTAATCTACTTTCTGTCTGTATGTATTTGTCTATTATGGATTTTTTTTTTTTTTGTAGGGACAGGGTCTCACTACATTGCCCAGGCTGGTCTTGAATGCCTGGGCTCAAGCAATCCTCCCACCTGGCTTCCCAAAATGCTAGGATTATAGGCAGAAGACACAGAGCCCGGCCTATTCTGGACATTTTATATAAATAGAAGCTTTCACTTAACACAATGTTTTTGGGGTTTGACCATATTGTCACCTGTATCAGTACCTCATTCCTTTTTGTGGCCAATCAGCAATGCTTTTCAGAAGCAACTGTTGAGACAGAGGGATGACTACCCCACTCTTCATATTCCTAGGGAAGTTACTCAAATGGAGGGGGACAGTGGCGGGCAGGGCAGCTCTCATAGCAAGAAAACACCCTCCTGACCAGGAGGCCCCATAGAACTGTGAACACAATACAGGCTTTGCCACCTGCCAGGAACAAATCTACATCCAGCTCTGCCAATTATAAGGCAAGGCATTGAACCTACCTTCTCATCTGTAAAAGGAGGGAATGATAATAGTCTAAGGATTAGAATAATGTATGTCAATTGCCTTGTAAATATCTGTTACATAATTAGTTTTCATAATGGTAATCAGCGTAGTATAAGGAAAGAGTTCACTTGTTTCATCAGTTTCCTTTTCTGCTGTGGGTTACCACAATGATTCTTTTTTAAAGTGATATACCAACTAATGTGTAAAAATGTCTCTGGGTGTAATTGTCACCTGCAATAGTAATTTACAGGACATGACCTTCCATTCTCATTCCTGGAGATCACTGCTATGGATGGAGAAGGAGGAAAGGATAAATCCAGCTGTCAAGAGCTGGGCTGACGTTGAGGAGCTTCTGTGTCATCTGTGACTCCTCCCCAGGTGATGACTTCCTGACAGTGTTGTCCCACATGTGAAAATACTGACAAACACACACTATTTGACTCACATAGTCAGTTTAGTGACCACATATCTGAGCCACAGAGCACTGACTGTACTCTGGAGAGGAAAAGGACAGTTAAGTCAGGCTGTGGCTCGTGTTTCGTGGCTTCTCTGAAGGTGAGAACCCTTGATGACAGATTTATCATTCTCTGCTAGAGATGAACAATCAATATTGAATTATTGGTATTAGTGGAGGAGTTTGTGGTAGGCTTCACAGATGACCTTGGGAAAACAATGTGTTAATTGGAAAGAATGCTGGATTTGCCTTTTTTCTTTTCTTTTTTTGCTGTGTGGTTATGGTGTTATGATATATCTGTATATTTATTGGTTTCCATCCACAGTTCCTGGCTCCTAACTCCCATAGTCCTTGTTATAATGTTGGGGCACTTTTGGCCTTGGGAAACAGAATCTCTCTCTCTGACCTTCTATCCTTCTTTTACCTGTCCAAGGCAGGACTCTGTGGTCAAAAGGCCCTTATTCCAAAAGACCCTCATTCCTGCCTCTTACTCTAGAGGAAAGAATGCCACACAGAGAAACGAATGCCAAGAAAAGTCTGAACAGACAGGCCTTGCTGGGTTCAGATCAGGTGCTTTTTGTCCAATCACATTTCTACATAGTTGTCAATCGTGCCTATGTAGCGAAGCCTCCATAAAAACCCAAAAGGACAGGGTCTGGGGAGCTTCCAGAGAGCTGAACACGTGGAGGCTGACAGGAGGTGAAGAACTCATCCACACACTGGGAGGGTGGCACATCCCAACTCCATGGGGACAGAAGCTCCTGCAAATCGCCTATGGATCTCTGCAAAATCGCCTGTGGTTCTCTGCATCTGGCAGTTTACTTGTATCCTTAAAATAACCTTTGTAATAAACCAGTAAATGTGTTTCCCTGAGTTCTGTGAGCTACTCTGGCAAATTAACCCCAAGAGGTGCTCATGGGAACCCCAACTTGAAGCCAGTCAGTCAGAAGTTCCAGAAGCCTTGACTTGCAGCTGGTGTTCCGGGGGCTTGGGGGGTGGGTGAGGAGTAGCCTTGGGGACTGGGCCCACAACCTGTGGGATCTGACACTATCTCCAGGTGGACAGAGTCAGAACTGAAGCCGAGAACACCCACCAGTGTCTGCAGCTTGGCGTATGGGGTAAATCCACCACAACTTTGGTCACGGAAGTCTTCCTCTTCTTCCGTGTTGATGATTGTTGTTGTGGTGGTGGGAGAGCAGAGAAAAAACAGTTTGAGAGAGATTTTCCCTAAACAGTGGATTGTGGCAAGTTTCTTTTTATTTGTATTTGAATTTATTTATTTATTTATTGAGAGAGTCTCACTATGTCGCCCAGGCTAGAGTGCAATGGCACGATCTCAGCTCACTGCATCCTCCACCTCCCGGGTTCAAGCGATTCTCCTGCCTCAGCCTCCTGAGTAGCTGGGATTACAGGCGTGCACCACCACGCCAGGCTAATTTTTGTATTTTTAGTAGAGACGGGGTTTCACCATGTTGGCCAGGCTGGTCTCAAACTCCTGGCCTCAAGCGATCTGCCCACCTCGGCCTCCCAAAGTGCTGGGATTACAGGCGTGAACTACTGTGCCCAGCCAACTTCTTTCTTTTTAAAAATTTTATTTACCTTTAATTATACTGATCCTAAGTGGATACATTTATGTTCTTAAAAATACATATAAAGGTAAAGTCTCCCAGAGGCATCATCTCTCCATCTCAGTTCTCTACCAAGAGGAAGAATCTGGTATCCTTTTAGGCATTTTTTTCTATTCATTACACATATAATCATCTAAATATATGATAATTTTGTTGTATGTATGGCATGAATGGTATATATGTATGTTGGTATGTATGGTACATGCTTTGTTGACAGTTGGCTTATTTTGCTTAATAATAAGTTTTGGCAATCTTACAGTGTCAACCCAATCCGTAAGGCTCTCTATCAGCTTTTGAAAGCTGCTAAATATTGGTATTCCATAGTATAGCAATATCCCACTTAACCCATCTGCTCTTGTATTGATGTATAACTTGGCTGGAGTGTTTCAGACTTCCAATGACATCCTAGTACATGCTTCCTTAGACACATAACTGGTCTCTAGCCTAAATGCCAAGAAATAGAATTACCAGAGAGAAGACTGTTCACATATCACATTAAAAATATATATATATTTTTGAGATGGAGTTTTGCTCTTGTTGCCCAGGCTGGAGTGCAATGGCACGATCTCGGGTCACGGCAACCTCCACCTCCCAGGTTCAAGTGACTCTCCTGCCTCAGCCTCCTGAGTAGCTGGGATCACAGGCACAAGCCACCATGCCTGGCTAATTTTTTGTATTTTTAGTAGAGACGGGGTTTCACCATATTGGCCAGGCTGGTCTCGAACTCCTGACCTCAGATGATCCACCGGCCCCGGCCTCCCAAAGTGCTGAGATTACAGGCATGAGCCACCCCGCCTGGCCTACATATCACATTTTAATAGCTACTCTAAAATGGGCAGGACCTTTAACAGGTAGCAGAGTGATGTGATGATGTGGGGCGTGGATTCCTGTACCTGCTCCCTAGGCTCAAACCTCAGCTGTGCCACTCAGTAGCTGATCATCTCTCTGCCTCAGTCACTTCTTCTATAAAACTAAGATAATAGCAGTATCTATTCATTTGACCATTATGGAATTTGAGTCAGTCTATGTAATGCTCTTCTGAATAGTATATAAAGTAAGCACTATGTAAGTGTTAGCCGCTGCCAGTGGCTTTGGGTTTAACATTGGCAAGATGAAAAAATAATGTATTTCTCTCAAATTGTTGTAGAACAAAGGCTATAGGAGCGTTATTTGAATATTTAAAACACTCAAGTGATGTCACGTTTTATTTTGACTAATCTGCATCCCCCTTTCCCCCTGCACCCCTGCAATCTGCATCCCCCTTCCCCTACCCTCAATAGTCAGCAAGTCGCATGGCTGCTGTCACCAAAAAGCTTGCTGTCAGCTGAAAGGATCAGGGAAGAGGTCACAGCTCACAAGCAGACCACAGGTAACCGGCTCTTGTGGAGCTGGCAGGAAAGCCAGCAGTCAGGGCGCCTACTCAGCGGGGACAGGAGGGATTAGTTCTGATTACCCAGCCTAATCCAATGGCAATTGTCTTCCTGAATTTGCCATCTCAGTTACTGTAGATTTGGACACCGCACCCTCTGTCACCTAATACCCAGTCCCGTGTTAGTTAGGGAACCTTATCCAAAGATGGTTTCTGTAAATTGCATGGGGAGGAAGAAGACCATGTCGGGAGAGACACTTAACACATTTCGGGTGCCTACTGTGTGTCAGCCCCAAGGCTGGGCACTTCACAGACAAGATCGTATTTCATCTTCACAGTGAACTTGTCTGGTGGGTGTTCTTTGCTATTTCCCAGCTAATGACTTGGAAGCTTCAGTCACTTCTAAAGGTTGGTGTAAGAAGCATAACTTCTCACAGCCTGCAAGTGGCAGAGCTGAAACATGAGTCCAGATTTGCTGGAGTGGAATATTCGTGAGGATGTGGAAAAGAACAAGAACCCTCATTCATTGCTGGTGAGAATGTAAAAGTGGTACAGACAGTTTGGAAAACACTTTAGCAGTTTCTTAATCCATTTCCCGTTTGCCCCGAGAATACTGTTGTCTCCAATCCTAATGTAATATTACATACGTTTCTGTTACAT
The DNA here is from genome assembly GCF_000001405.40 of Homo sapiens. Classification (NCBI taxonomy): domain Eukaryota; kingdom Metazoa; phylum Chordata; class Mammalia; order Primates; family Hominidae; genus Homo; species Homo sapiens. The sequence continues at coordinate 58,619,575 of NC_000018.10, forward strand.
TAGAATTAGAGATAAATTGTGTTTAGGAATAACTCCAAAAACAGTTTTTATATTTTATTTTCACATTGAAAATCAGCCAAATTTGTTTCAGCCTCAAAGAGTGTGTTTATGTAAAATTGAGTACTGGCAGCAAGCTGCACTTTTTGTTTTTTTCTAAACGGGAAATGTGTTTCAAAGTTAAACATAAATTTACCAAATGACCCAGCAATTCCACTCCAAGTTATCTTCCCAAGAGAAATGAAAATGTATATTCACACAAAGACTCGCACACAACTGTTCTTAGCAGGGTTATTCATAATAGCCAAAAATTGGAAACAACCTAAATGTCTATTGGAAATAACCTAACGGTCCAACTAGTGAATGGGTAGACAAAATGTGGCATAGCAATACAATTGAATACCACTGAGCAATAACAAAGAACAAACTATGGATACGGTGGGGCGCGGTGGCTCACGCCTGTTATCCCAGCACTTTGGGAGGCTGAGGTGGGCAGATCGCCTGAGGTCAGGAGTTTGAGACCAGCCAGGCCAACATGGTGAAACCTGTCTCTACTAAAAACTACAAAAATTAGCCGGGCATGGTGTCGGGTGCATGAAATCTCAGCTACTTGGGAGGCCGAGGTAAGATAATTTCTTGAACCCGGGAGGTGGAGGTGGCAGAGAGCCGAGATCACGCCATTGCACTCCAGCTTGGACGACAGAGCGAAGCTCCTTCTCAAAACAAAAAAACAAACAAAACAAAACTATGGATACATGGTATGACATAGATGAACCTCAAAAACATTCTCAGTATGCTCAGTGAAAGAAGCCATACGCAAGAGACCATACAATAAATGGAATTATACAATATAATTATACAATATAATTCCATTTATATGAAGTGTCCAATAGAAATTATAAAGACAGAAAGTAGATCAGTGGTGGTTGGAGGTGAGGGCAGTGGGGAGAATGCTAATAATAAATGTGCCTGAAGGATCTTCTGGAGGTGATGGCAATCTTCTAAAACCAATCTATGGTGATGATTGCCCAACCTAGTACATTTGCTTTTTAAAAAAAATCATTGCATTTAGCAATTAGAAATGGTGAATTATATGATATACAAAATATGCCTTTATAAAGTTAATTTTAAAAATAGGAGCAAGGAGGCAAAAATTTAATGAGCCCCTACTAAATTCACTGCGGCGTTGCCTGTGATAGCAAAAGCTAAATGTCCATCAATAGGAATGTGGTTATTGTATATCTAAAGAATGGAATCTTTTTTTCTTGTTAACAACAATATACATTTAAAAAGAACGAGACAGGCCCGGCACGGTGGCTCCCGTGTGTAATCCCAGCACTTTGGGAGGCCGAGGTGGGTGGATCGCTTGAGCCCAGGAGTTCAAGATCCACCTGGGCAACATGCTGAAACCCCATCTCTACAAAAAATACAAAAATTAGCCGGGTGTGTCGCATGCCTGTAGTCCCAGTTACTCAGGAGGCTGAGGCAGGAGGATGGCTTGAGCCTGGGAGGTTGAAGCTGCAGTGAGCCGTGACTGCACCACTGCACTCCAGTATGGACAACAGAGCAAGGCCCTGTCTCAAAACAAAAAAAAAAAAATGAGACTCTGATAATGGAATAAAAAAAATGCACTGATATGGAATAATCTCCGGGATACATTAAATGAAATAAACAATGTATAAGAGTGCAGGGAATGTGATCACTTTCTTTTTTTTTTTTTTGAGGCGGAGTCTCGCTCTGTCACCCAGGCTGGAGTGCAGTGGCACTATCTCGGCTCACTGCAAGCTCCGCCTCCCAGGTTCACACCATTCTCCTGCCTCAGCCTCCCGAGCTCGAACTACAGGCGCCCGCCACAATGCCCGGCTAATTGTTTGTATTTTTAGTAGAGACAGGGTTTCACTGTGTTAGCCAGGATGGTCTCGATCTCCTGACATCGTGATCCGCCCGCCTCGGCCTCCCAAAGTGCTGGGATTACAGGCGTGAGCCACTGCACCAGGCCAATGTGATCACTTCTATGGGCAAAGAAGAAGGAGGAGGAGGAGGAGAAAAGAATCTTATATGCTTGTTTATACATATATTGACTAGAAATACACGAGAAAGCAGTAGCTTGGTTGCTCCTGGAAGGAGGCCTAAGTGTGGGGGGTGGAAAGAAGGCATGCCATTTGGAGACAGTGATAGTCTTTGTATATCTTTCTGGATACCTTGAATTTATGTATCTTACCTAATAAACAAGTAAAAGCTAACTTTTCAATATTAATAGTGAGCACCTCCATGTGCCCAACAGTGTGTTGGGTGCACAATTTGTCACACAGACGTGGTGAATACTGAGCTGGCAGCAGCTCCCTCTGGATTTGTTTTGAATTTATTTTAGGTGGAAGAGTCTTTCCACTGACTCTCCTCTCCCCTGCTGTTTAAAATGTATGGCAGTTTCCAATCTTTATGAGAGGGCTTAAAAAAAAAAAAAAAGCTCAAGGTTAAATAAAACCTGTGCGAGGCCGGGCATAGTGGCTCACTCCTGTAATCCCAGCATTTTGGGAGGCCGAGGCAGGCAGATCACCTGAGGTCAGGAGTTCGAGACCAGCCTGGCCAACATGGTGAAACCCCATCTCTACTAAAAATACAAAAATTAGCCGGGTGTGGTGGCACACACCTGTAATCCCAGCCACTTGGGAGGCTGAGGTAGGAGAATTGCTTGAGCCCGGGAGATGGAGGTTATAGTGAGCCGAGATCGCACCATTGCACTCCAGCCTGGCCAACACAGCAAGACTCTGTCTCAAAAAAATAATTAAATACATAAATAAATAAAACCTGTGTGAGAGTTTAGTACCTCCCCTGATTTTACAACTGAAAAATGCACCTGAAACACAGACAGGTTAGGTGACATTTCCAAGGTCACACAGCTTGTTAGTGACAGAGTCCAGGTTTCTTGACTCTGATTTTCCATGTACTGCATTGAAAGGATACATCCTCTTGCCTATCTTGGGGTAAAGACAGGGAAGAGAGGAGAACTTATGGTGCTATAAACATACAAAGTGTGACAGTGCTGTAATCGGACCCACTTCCTTGAGTTAACTGATTAAAATCACTTTGGTTTGAAGTTGAATGTCATGGGCCGACTGCTCTGTCCAGTCTAGGAATGTGTCGTCAATGTCATCACAAACATTTCACAGTAAAGAAAGCCCCTCTCTGGCTCGTTTTCCTCTTATCCTCCACATTTGCCCAGGCTCCTTATGTTCCCACCCTCACTCCCCTGTAATGAAAACTCCAAAGCCGCTCCAACTAATCCCTCTTGGGAGAATGTTTACTTTCAATGTGACCAAGAGGTGAAATGCTGTGGAATTTCTGGCATCAGACAATATAGGGGAGAACCTGGAAAATCTTAGGCTATCTTCTGTCTCACTCCCCGCCCCCCGACAGAAATAAGACCAACCCTGAGTGTAGTTAACTGAGCCCGAGTGTAGTTAACTGAGCTAGAACTTATTATGCTGAACTAACCACCTGTCAGCAAGTCCAGTCAGAAAAAAGCAGTGGTGTGAGGACAGGGAAGTTTCGCAGGAGAGTGGTAGTCTGATCTCTGCCACCTTCTACCCTCATCCTTCAACCCAGCCAGTCAGAGTGTCTTAGGGGAACACTTTTCATATAATGCCTCCACTTGCCTTATTTCCAGAAGATTTTTTTTTAATAGAGATGGGGTCCCACTATGTTGCCCAGGCTGTTCTCATACTCCTGGGCTCAAGCAATCCCCCCACCCACCTCAGACTCCCAATACAGAAGATTTTTAATGGTTCTTTATCTAATCTTGTTCTAGTAAATAAAGTGTGCCTTAGAGATAAGGAACATCACATCCAATAAAAAGGGCCGTAGGGTGCAGTACTGCAGCCAACGGTTCATTCCATTTCTTTTTATTTCTTTTGAGATAGGGTCTCCCTCTTTCACCCCGCTGGAGTGCATTGGTACAATCTCGGCTCACTGCAACCCCTGCCTCCTGGGCTCAAGCAATCCTCCCTCCTCAGCCTCCTGAGTAGCTGGAATTACAGGCATGCACCACCATGCCTAGCTAATTTTTGTATTTTTAGTAGAGACAGAGTTTTGCCATGTTGGCCAGGCTGGTCTCAAACTCCTGACCTCAAGTGATCCTCCCATCTCGGCCTCCCAAAATTCTGGGATTACAGGCGGCTCACGCCACCGTGCCTGGCTGGTTCATTCCATTTCTGAGGCAGGACTGTTCTGTGGAAGAACATTTTAACTTGTCTGGGCTGAACTTTAAAGCATGCCCATCCTAATTTTTTTTTAAATTTTTTCTGGCTTACCTTTAGCAGTAATATCCTAAATCTTTAAAGTATAAATGCTCCCCATGGCTAACTTTATAACTAAGGGAAGAAGTGGTAAGATTTCAGAGACCTTTCTCCAAAATATCTAAAATCTCCTAAAGTGGCCATTCGCTTGTCCTCCTAATCAAGCCTCTTCCATCACTCAGCAGCCTGGGGACTCGGCTGGCGATTCCTCACCCTTCCTGCTTTGTTGGCTCTGATTGGTCTAAACTGTGGTGCTCTTGGTCACTGATTGAGTCATTAACCAAAGTTTAAGCCAATCACATGTGGCACTCTCCAAAAAGTAGTTCAGGGGTGACCAAGTCAGTGCAAAGCTTAGGTTGTTCACTCCGTCATCCACAGAAAAAGGAAAGCATGTGAACCTCAGCGAAGGCCAATAGCTATCTTGAGACCGTGCTAAAGCTGGCCTGATAAAACCAAAACAGAGATGAGCAGAGCTTCCAGAAATGCAGGAAACAGCAGGGTCCTGACCAAAGTCCTGGACTCTTCCATGGTATGAGCAATAAATCCCTGTTACTGATTTAGGTAGTTTGAGTTGATTTCTTTCTTTTTTTTTTTTTTTTCTTTTTGAGACAGAGTTTCACTCTTGTTGCCCAGGCTGGAGTGCAATGGCACGATTTCGGGTCACTGCAACCTCTGCCTCCCGGGTTCAAGCGATTCTCCTGCCTCAGCCTCTCAAGTGGCTGGGATTACAGGCGTGTGCCAGCATGCCCAGCTAATTTTGTATTTTCAGTAGAGGCAGGGTTTCACCATGTTGGCCAAGCTGGTCTCAAAGTCCCGACCTCAAGTGATCCACCCACCTTGGCCTCCCAAAATGCTGGAATTAACAGGCATGAGCCACCAAGCCCAGCCAAGTTGATTTCTTTGTTGCTTCTAGAAGGCATACCCTCTCCTCATTGGCCCACAGTGCCTGAAATTCCTATCATTTGGCTCTCCATTCCAGATCTCTATGTTGGACATCAAGTTACAATCAAGTTACCGACAGAAGTAATGGATTGAAGATTAAATGATTTAATCAAAACCATCTAACTCTTGACAATTCTTTCATCATCAAGAAGGCGGGGGAGGAGAAGTGTGAAAAGCGTAGCCCAACCACACTAATTTCTGATTTCCATATTCATTCTTTCTCTTTCTGCCCTCCATGTTTTTAGTTTGCTTTTCTGGATTTCCTTTACATAGAAGGACCACTTTCCATCTCAATCTGTTCAGAAACCCCGCCAGGTTTTCAAACCCCTAGCTCAAATGCTGGTTTCTCTTTGAAGGCTTCCCTGATACCCTCAGCTGAAAAAAAAAAAAAGCCCCCTAAAAACTAGAGACCATTAGCCTCAGCATATTGTCCCCACACTCAGTGTCACCCCCAGCAGCTAGACTGTAAACTGCTTGCCTGCAGGGCACCTGATGGGTTAACCTTTTATGTTTACAGCACTGGCACACTGTATCTGTGTCTCTGGCACCCCCTGAGAAGTAAGGAAAGTTTGGTGGTTGAAAAGAATAAGCACAAATAGGTTTTCTTCAGGAACTGCAGGCCGAAGAAATGGCTACAGCAGTGGTTCTCAGAGTGGCCCCTGGGCCACGCCATCAGCATCACCTGGGAACAAGGAAGAAATGCAAATTCTTGGAAACTTCAGAATCAGAAACTCTGGGGATGGAGCCCAGGAACCTTTATTTTAACAAGCTCTTTAGATTCTGTTGCACTTGAAAGTTTAAGAACCGCTGGACTCAGGAAGGTCTTAAACTAGGGGTTGAGGAGCAAATGAGCGTGTTTAAGAGCAGGGGCCTGGTTATCTAAGAGCAGGATTGAAAATCAAGTGAAAATCAAGGTGGGCTGTGCAGCCAGGACATGAGGATTGCAGTGGAAGGGCTGGCCCTTGAGAGGGAGGGTGCAGTGTAACCAGAACTGAACTCTCGGAATTGAGCTTCTCTTCAACTTGCTGCCTGTCTCTTCGAGCTGATGTCTGAAGTCTCCTGATCAGTTTTGTCTATTTGGCCCATGCCAGGTGGGTGTGCATAGGCGGAAATCCCAATAAGGGCTTGAAACATGTTTAAATGTTTTATTTGATGTAGGTCAGGTGTTTATTCTTTCGTTTTCGCCAACCCTAAGATGACGTGATTACGTTCTCCCAAGTTGCTTTACATGTTTGCATTTTCAGTTTTTCTTTTTGGCAGCATTCAACCCAGAGTAACGTATCCTGGGTTCCTTGTGAACCTGTCTGTAACCGAAGCGAAGAATGTATCGAGGTACTCCAATGGGCCTGGGAAAGAGCTGTGGGGTATCTCAGTAAAAACAAGGGGCAACAAGAAAGATGTCTGATAAAGTTCTTGGGAGCTAGCCCACAAGCCCGCTTGTGAATCTCGTCTGCTCCCTCCCATCCCTGCCTGGCCTTTCTCCCTATTCATTGTGTACTTTTATCACTGACCCCGCGCAATTCTAGCCCACGGTGCGATCCCTATCCTGGAAACTACACTTCTTCTGAGTTGGCCCAAAGCTACTGCCCCTGCTCTGCTCCTCCAAAGGCTAGTCCACTTCAAAGAGTTTTCACCTCCACTCCCGCCCCCACCTCTCTCAATGCAAGACTCGACTATAATCTTTGAGGAAAGGCTGGGCGTGTGCCTTCATTTTCATAGTTTTCATCATGATCACAGGCCTTTCATTACTATGGATTCCCAAACACTCATATTTAAATATGGTAATGATATGTATTAAAAAGCATTCCCAGAGGATGTTGATAAATCTCTACTTCTGCTTTTAGATAATAAGCATCAATTATCCATCAACTATTTTTAGTAAAAAAAAATTTTTTCTTATTTATCATAGATACATTCTAAAATATCTTTTTTTAATTTTCAAACACATTGTTTCCAAGTACAGAATTTTTCTCAAAGAATCTAATTGTGTTATGTTGTATTGCACTGATGCAGATAATGTATAGTTTCTATTACTTTATATAGTTTATTTTATGGTAGTATTCTAAAGTTTTAGCAAAAAAAAAAAAGACAGAAGCTTTTAATTAAGGTGAAAAACTAACTTTCATTGAGAAACTATGATTCGACACATACTTTAGGTATATTTATTCATCTAATCCCCCATCAATCCTGTTAAAGTGAATACTGTTAAGATTTTACAGATGAGTAAACTGGGGTTCAAACAGGTTGAAAAGTTATGCTAAAATTAGGAGTCGATTCCAAATCTGACTCCAAAGCCTTTCTCAGGACCTCCCCTGCTTCTCCCACCTCCATCCAGAGTAAGATACTAACTCAACTGCATCGCATCACAGGGGCTGATACCTACACACAAGTGTTCAGGAGGCTGTTAAAAACTCATGAAACTGGAGGAGAAAAAAACTTTGTAGGTAATGACAATAGGAACTCTGCCCTACCTAAAAGCTTCCCAAAATTATGATTAAATGTTTGGTAAAAACATCAAAAAGACAATGTAGGCCAGGCGCGGTGGCTCACGCCTGTAATCCCAAGACTTTGGGAGGCCGAGGCGGGTGGATCACCTGAGGTCAGGAGTTCAAGACCAGCCTGGCCAACATGGTGAAACCCCATCTCAACTAAAAATACAAAAAAAATTAGCTGGGCATGGTGGCAGGCACCCGTAATGCCACCTACTTTGGGAGGCTGAGGCAGGAGAATCGCTTGAACCCAGGGGGCGGAGGTTGCAGTGAGCTGAGACTGAGACATTGTACTCCAGCCTGGGCAACAAGAGCAAAACTCTATCTAAAAACAAAAAACAAACAAACAAAACAAAACAAAAAAAGGACAATGTATATTTGGGAGCTAAAGTTCATTTAGTTTGTTTTAAGTCCTGATTTCCAAGATCTGAACATGGTTATTGGCCATCCATGCTTTTTAATACAGGATTTGTGAAGTTGTTGATTCGGAAGGTAACCCACAACATCCTTGGTTTCAATTCAGAAGCCACACAGCAAAAAACCCCTTCAATTTGTCCTTAGTTGATATAGAGTTATAAAACATATCACATATCTCTGGAATGACCATTCCTGGTTAATTAATCTTTAGAAATAAAGGCTACCTTTACTTAAGGAAAAGGTTGTGGAAAGAAAATAATTAGAGCAGAAGCAGCTCTAAATGCCGTTCTTGCTTTTATCTATTTTTAAATGATTGCCAAATGTCTGTAACTGACACCCTTAATCAAGGCTTTTAAAGTTTAGATGTGTTCATTAAATTGTAATGTGACAGTGGTGGCATTTAATTGATGGATTTTTTTTTGGCTGACTTTTTGCCTTAAATTTTTTTTTAAATCTATTTAACAACTCGATAAATGTTTACATCAGCCATTTTGAAAAGCCTGATAGCTTTTCAGCAAATTGCATTACCTGTTGTCAGACAATATACTCCTGTGTCTACCCAGATAGGAGAGATTTTCAATCATTCAGTTAATTCACAGTAAAAGGAATAACTCTTGACTAAAATACTCAAATATTTCAGACAAAAGTCTCTGGGGCCTGAGTTACCTGGATAGTTGACTTTTTATGTTGCTTTGCAAAACTTTACATATCACTCGTTTGAGTCATTCTGTATATTTTTTCTAACTGTTAAGATAGACATGATGTGAAAGAAACTGTTTTCATTCATTATTGTCAAGCCAAAATAAGCAAATTTAAAAATAGCAATAATTTTCAAAAAGGGTCAAAATGGACTTAAATTACAAGACCATGAGAGTTTGCCCACTTTAAAACCTTATATGCCCAAATATCCCATATAATCCCTATTGGTTTCATCTCATTCTATTTCATCAGGAAACCATCTGCTTTGTTCTTTGTTGCAGAAAATGTAAACAACTATATATTGAAAGCACAGCCATTCCTTATGTAAAAACCAAAGTCTACATACTTACTTTTCAGTACTCTTTGTCCAAGAAATGTTGTAGGAGGGCTGGCTCAGCTGTGGATTCCCCAGGCTGTGTGTGAGGCATTGATTGGGTGTCCCTGTTCCCGGGACAGGGATTCAAAGGAGTTTATAGGGCTCAGGGTCTTCCATGATCAGGTCAAAGCATAGATGGGTCTGCTTCCAGAAAGTTCATCTCTTCCTAAGAGGGGAAATTCCATGCCCGGGGAAGTTCTGGAAGAAGAGCATTTTTTCCCCGCCCTTCAGTGAACTAGGTCATTGCTGAAGCTGGAGAATATATTTTAGCATCCCTGTGATGAAACTTGAGGGCTGTTTCTGCAGTAGGTGCGACACTTGTTGACACGACACGCTGGGGAGGCCCTGGCAAGGGGGCCTGGTGAAATGCAGCCCCAGGGAGCTGATGAAACCCAGACGAGCTGTCACTGGCTGCTGCTCAGGAGACCGAGCAGCTCTTTACAAAGCCCATGCTGGACCCTGGGCTTAGTTGCTCGCTCCTTAGGAAAGGAAAAACTTGCTGCCTGATAAAGGGATTAAGGCCGGAGTAACACAACCAGTTCTCATACCAAGGTTATCAGGCATTTGAAGTACACATAGGAAACCCGTGGAGGGGGTGTTGGGGAGGTGAAAATATGTGTCATATGTTGTTCATTTAGAACAGGCATTATAGCCATCCTCTGAAGTTCTCTGAGAAAGGCAGAAGCCACAGAAGGAAGGCAGGATCCACCCTCCTCACCCTGCTTACCCCCCCTTACCCCTTGTCTGTCTGTCTGTCTCTCTCTCTCTCTCTCTCACACACACACACACACACACACACACACACACCCCTTCCTATTTTGACTACGATAGAAGAGAACAGACAAAGATCAGAAGAAATCCACAGAAGAAATACCACAGGTCCTATTCCTTCAGATTGCCTGGAATGGTTCTTGTTGGGAAAGTAGATTTTGTAATATGGGCAATTCTTTTATTGAAGTTTATCCAAGTCCAAAAACATAGAGAATCCTTTAGCATCATTCTGTAACTACTTAGCCTCTCCCCAAAAATATTTTAATGTATGACACCTGGAAATTGACAGCTTAGACAGAAACCTCTTTTGAGACTCGTGGAGACAGCTCAAATTAGCAGCTCCAGGGGTGACTTTGAAAGGGACATAGCTGTAAATATTCACTCTGTGTAGGGCACTGCAATCCTCAAAAGCAAATTGTTTTTACACAGCACAGAATGTACATCATTATCCCTTGATGGAATGCAACTTTTCACAAGATGAAAACTCATCTAAAACGATAAAATATTAAGAAATGTAGGGGTGATATGTTCTGTTTTTCAGTTTTATCTTCATGTGAGAAAAAAGATATTAAAGCTGAGGCACTGTAAAATAATGACTATCTCCTGGGGAACACATCTGTGAAATGCCACAGAACACAGAAATTACCAACTCTTTGCAAATGGTCGGCTTTATGGAAAGCTGAGGTCTTCACAATGTAAGGTCTTTTCCAGATAAGAAAGAGGAGATAACTTCAAGTTGGGAATGAAGAGAGGAGGAAAGTGTGATGATAAAGAATAAACAAATGCTGTCGCACACCACAGAGAGAATAAAGTCAAAAGTGAAGGAATGTCCCAAAGCAATAGATAAATGTGATATGGTTGTGAAAGAAGTGTTGCCTGGGAGTTATTAAATGGAAAAGTTGAAATTCACTATGAAACTTAATTTTGTTCCTCTGAAATAATTTGAAAAACCAATTCCCTCAACTCCCAACATTCATCTCCTAGCAAAATAAATGTAAAGAGCAGAAGGTTTATATATGTGCATATATAGATACACACACACACACACACACACACATACACACATATACATGCATGCATACACACATACATGCATATATATACACACACGTACATACATACATATAATGGATTTAACTGTATTTGTTTTATTCATCTCATGAATTTACAGCCACAGAATTTATGTTTTAATCTTAGGTGTCGGGGAGGAAGCATGAAAGAAAATCAGAAACAGAAATCTTGGAATTAAACTCAAATTAGGCCTGTAATCCCTGCACTTTGGGAGGCCGAGGCAGGTGGATCACTTGAGGTCCGGAGTTCAAGATCAGCCTGGCCAACATGGTGAAACCCCCCGTCTCTACTAAAATATAAAAAATAGCTGGGTGTCATGGCTCACGCCTGTAATCCCAGCTACTCAGGAGGTTGAGGCAGGAGAATTGTGTGAACCCAGGAGGTGGAGGTTGCAGTGAGCCAATATCACTCCACTGTACTCCAGCCTGAGGGACAGAGCAAGACTCCATCTCAAAAAAAAAAAAAAAACCTCAAATTAGACCAGGACACTAGTTCTGAATTTTCTGTGAATATCAAAGGAGGGATGGAAGAAGTAAGACGTTGAAGAGAAAAAGAAAGGCATGTATCTGTGCCCTGCTAATAGCATCAAAAAATACATGACTCTCTTTATCACATCTACTGCAAGATTGAAGACCATTCTTCGCAATCAGACTCTTGACATTCCCAAAGATGTCAACATCACTCCGAAGGGACACAGTTATTGTGAAGGGCCCCAGAGGAACCCTGTGGAGGGACTTCACTTACATCAGTGGAGAATTCAGTCTCCTTAGAAAGGAAAAGAAGAGGCTCCAGGTTGACAAAGTGTGGGGAAATAGAAAGGACCTGGATACCATTGGCACTATTTGTAGTCACAAACAGAACATGATCCAGGGTGCTGCACGGGGCTTCTGTTGTAAGACGAGAGCTGTGCATGCGCACTTCCCCATCAACATTGTTAGCCAGGAGTCTTTTGTTGAAATCTGAAATTTCTTGGGTGAAAAATAAATCTGCAGGGTTTGGATGAGGCCAGGTGTTGCTCATTCAGTATCTCAAGCCCAGAAAGACGAGTTAGTTCTTGAAGGAAATGATATTGAACTTGTTTCAAATTCAGCTGCTTTAATTCAGCAAGCCACAACAGTTAAAAACAAGGATATTGGCAAAGAGCAGGGGCTCATGCCTGTAATCCCAGCACTTTGGGAGGCTGAGACGGGTGAATCCTTTGAGCTCAAGAGTTTAAGACCAACCTGGGCAATATGGTGAAACCCCATCTACAAAAAAAATACAAAAATTAGCCAGGTGTGGTGGCGTGTGCCTGTAGCCCCAGCTACTTGAGAGGCTGAGGTGGGAGGATGGCTTGAACCCAGGAAGCTGAGGCTGCAGTGAGCCGTATTCATGCCCACTGCACTCCAGCCTGGGTGACAGAGTGAGATCTTACCTCAAAAAAAAAAAATCAGAAAATGTTTGGAGGGTATCTGTATCTCTGAACAAGGAACGGTTCAGCAGCCTGATAAATAAGATCTAAGAGTTGTCCAGCTACACAAACAAGATGCCAGATGATTCCCCAGACCTATGTGTGATGTTTAATAATTCAGTAAAATACCTCAATTGAAAAAAACACGTGAGTTTGAGATTAAAAGTAAAGACATAAAAATGTTTAGCATTATTCCAAGTAAAGTAATGTAGAGTATAAGAAATTGTGTTTAATCTCTATTTTTCTGAAACTATAGGAAGAATTTTCTTAAAACTTAATTTTAGGAAGATTTTCCTTCTAAGGAATGGAGTTGGAAATGTATTTTTGTATCAGATGTTTATTCTCTCTCTCTGAAAGGCCTTTTCAGCTTTCCCAAGTTCCAACTGTTATTTTCTCGGTTTCTTGAATGAATGAGCGCCACTTGGTTCACCGACCACCCTAGGTCTGCTGGAGACTGGGATCAAATCAGTTCCCAACTAATCTGAACAATTAAAGCAAATTCATTAGGCTCTTATGCTGCTCTGTGCTCCTATAACGTGGACTGGGATTGGTACGTGAGAGGTTTATCTGCTCATTTTCTTCTTCCTGGCATGGAAGGCCCTTGAACACTAGTGGCAAGGCTGATGGCACAGTCTTTGCCAGTAAAGCATATTCTTGGCGGAGGCTTAGTACCAATCACGTGGCAGATCAGGGACTCTGCCAGGGTCCTCGGGCCAGGCTGGAACTGAGCAGGTCACTCCTGCTGCAGTGAGAACTGTCAGTGTTTGGGGAGCTCTCTGGAGCACTGAGAACCTCCCTCCCCAACAATTCATCCCTATCCAGGGTCCAGGGATTCCCCTTAGCAGATGTGACCTGAATCATGCATTTGCAACCTTCATTCAGTTATTTTATTTTATTTTATTTTTTAGACGGAGTTTTCGCTCTTGTTGCCCAGGCTGGAGTGCAATGGTGCAATCTCGGCTTATTGCAACCTCTGCCTCCTGGGTTCAAGCAATTATCCTGCCTTAGCCTCCCAAGTAGCTGGGATTACAGGCATGCACCACCACGCCCAGCTACTTTTTTGTATTTAGTAGAGACGGGGTTTCACCATGTTGGTCAGGCTGGTCTCAAACTCCTGACCTCAGGTGATCCACCTGCCTCGGCCTCCCAAAGTGCTGGGATTACACACGTGAGCCACTGTGCCCAGCCCAGTTCATCTATTTAAAATAGCTGCCAGTCACTCGGGTAGGTCAACTAAACAGGCATTTTCTCCCCTTAAGTGCAGTGGCAAAAGAAATATGAATGTAAATGAAACTCTGTTCTCTCATGATGTTTTTCATCCCGGGTAACATCTTTCTATAATATTCTTAATGAGAAGACGGAATTTAAAAATATTTGCAAAACAGGCCAGGCATGCTGGCTCATGCCTGTAATCCCAATACTTTGGGAGGCTGAGGCAGGAGGATTGCTTGGATTCAGGACTTTGAGACCAGCCTGGGTAACATAGTGAGACCTTGTCTCTACAAAACATCATAAAAGTAGCCGGGTGTGGTAGTGTGCACCTGTGGTCCTATCTACGCAGGAGGCCGAAGTGGGAGGACTTTTGAGCCTAGAAGGTCGAGGCTACAGTGTGCCATGATTGTGCCATTGCCTTCCAGCCTGGACAACAGAGTGGGACCCTGTCTCAAAAAAAAAATTGCAAAACAACAATAAAAATGCAATTTTATCAGAATTGATATATCTGAGAGGGATCTTTCAAGCATATGAGTGTTGTTCGGAACCTGGAATTCATTTTCCCCCAGAGTAGCAAAATTATAAGTGGTAGTTAGGTTCACAGACACAGAAGTATTTTATCCATCATGTTCCTGAAGGACTGTATTTGAGCTATGTAAAACCAAAATAGCAAAACCAGCTCAAAATTCAATGTAACAAAATATGAGAATCTAAGTACCTGAACAAAAAGTACCCAAGTTTCCAAGATAAAAGTTTGTCATGGTTTATTCTAGTGCTTCAGTTTCAGTTTTAGAACAACCACAAAAATGCATTGCAACTCTCAGAACAGGAGCAAAATTCCAATTTTGTAAATGTGAGGCCCTATTTCACAAATGCTAAGTAAAATTCATTAGTTAGTGTGAAAACTTAAAATTTTAAAAATATTTGCATATGTTATATGTACTACTTTGGAACAGTTTACTTTGGTCTTTTTTCTGATTGTAAGAGCAAAACATACTCATTACTAAAACTGCTGGATATTTTCATCAACCAAAGACATAACAATTTGAGAAGCATTTATGATTGGAAAACTTCTCAGCTTTGGTTACTAACAGTGAGTCTCTGCAGTGCTTTTGCCTGGAGCTGCTCCCATTCCCCCACCCTGTTCTGCTGTCACAGGGGTTCTACCAGGGCCACCTGTAAGCACTGGCATTTTCACTGCCATGGTCAAGGGGGTTTGCTGGATTTGAAGCAGTGGACAACACCTACGCCCAGCAGTGTTATTGATGGATATGATCCTGGCAGCAGGCGAGTGGAGTGGGATTGGGGCAAGCATCTGGCTGATGCGGGCTGCATGTGTGTGCAGGGCAGACCATGGGGAACCTGGCTATCCACACTTTCCCAGCATGTTCAGAGGAGACATGAAAGGGCCCAACAAAAAGTGAGTATCAGGCAGACTTGAAAATGGAAGAAACTTAAGTGCAACTTTTGTGCTTCAAAAGCCATCATTACCTGCCACACACTGGAAGAAAATATTTGCAAATCATATGTGTCATGAAGGATGTACAGCCAGAATATATATTTTATTTATTTTATTTTTTTTTTCAACTTTTATTTTAAGTTCCAGGGTACATGTGCAGGATGTACAGATTTGTTACATAGGCATACATGTGCCATGATTATTTGCTGCACACATCAATCCATCACCTAGTTATTAAGCCTAGCATCTATTAGCTATTCTTTCTGATGCTCACCCTCCCCACCAGCCCCCAACAGGTCCCAATATGTGTTGTACCCTGCCACGTGTCCATGTGTTCTCATCATTCAGCTCCCCTTGTAAGTGAGAACATGTGGTATTTGGTTTTCTGTTTGTGCATTGGTTTGCTGAGGCGGAGAGAGCAGAACATATATTTTAAAAACCCATGAAACTCAACAATAAAAAGATTAAAAACCCATAGCCAGGGATGGTGGCATGTGCCTGTGCTCCCAACTACTGGGGAGGCTGAAGTGAGAAGATTGCTCGAGCCCAGGAGTTTGAGACTGCAGTGAGCTACGATTATGCCACTGTACTCCAGCCTGGGCAACAGAGTGAGACCCCATCTTTTGATAGATAAATAAATAAATAACAAAAACCCAATTTAAAACATGGGCAAAAGATTTGAATAGACATTTCGCCAGAGAAAATCTATAGATGGCTAATAAGCACATGAAAGGATGCTCAACACGTTAGGCCAGGCACACTGGCTCACACCTGTAATCCCAGCATTTTGAGTGGCCAAGGTGGGAGGATTGCTTTAGTCCAGGAGTTCTAGGTCAGCCCTGGCAACATAGCAATACCCCATCTCTACCAAAAAAATGAAAACAAAACATTAGCTGGGTGTGGTGGTGTGTACCTGCAGACCCAGCCACTCAGAAAGCTGAAGAGGGAGGATCACTTGAACCTGGAAGGTCAAGGCTGCAGTGAGCCATGGTTGTGCCACTGCACTCCAGACTGGGCAACAAAGTGAGACTTTGTCTGGAAAGAAAAAAAAGATACTCAACACCTTTAATCAATAAAGAAATGCATATTAAAATGGAAACACAATAAAACAAAGAAATAGAAAAAAACATATTGAAAAAAAACCACAATGCCCACAAGGATGGCTATAATAAAAAAAAAAAGACGAACAATACCAAATATAATGAGGATGTGAAGAAGAAACTGGAACCCTAATACACTGCTGGTGGGAATGTAAAGTAGCACAGCCACTTTGGAAAATAACTGGTCATTTCTTAAAACGTTAAACACAAGCTTGCCATATGACTCAGCAATTCCACTCCTAGAACCCTCCCTATGAGAAATAACAACACAAGTTCAAATAACAACCTGTATGCCAAAAACTGAAAACAATCCAAATGTCTGTCAACCAATGAATGGATACGACAAGCTATGGCCCGTGTACTATTCAAGAACAAAAAGCAAAGGACAATTGATTCATGTTACAGCTTGGATAAACCTCAAAAACCCTGTGCTAACTATAAAAGGCCAGACACAAAAGACGACATATTGAAATATTCCAATGTTATGAAAGTCAAAAAAGACAAATTTATAGAGACAAAACATCGGTGGTTTTCTAAGGTTGGGAGAAGCAGGGTTAGCTGCAAATAGACATGAAAGAATATTTTGGGATGATGGGACTGTTCTTGAACTGAAGTATGATAACAGTTGCACAAACCCATAAATATAGTAGAAATTATTATACTGTACACTAACAATGACAAAATTTTATGTAAATTATCCCTCAATAACACTGTTTATGGCTGAGTGTAGTGGCCTAAGCCTGCAATCCCAGCACTTTGGAGGCCAAGGTGGGAGGACCACTTGAGGCCGGGAGTTTGAGACCAGCCCGGGCAACATAGCAAAATCCTGTCTCTACCAAAAAAATTAGCCAGGCATGGTGGCATGCACCTGTAGTCCCAGCTACTCAGGAGACTGAAGGAGAAGGATCACTCAAACCAAGGAGGTCAAGGCTGCAGTAAGCCATGATTGTGCCACACTGCACTCCAGCCTGGGTGACAGAGTGAGGCCCTGTCTCAATCTTTTTTTTTTTTTTTTTTTTTTTTTTTGCAACGGAGTCTCACTCTGTCACCCAGGCTAGAGTGCAGTGGTACAATCTCAGCTCACTGCAGTCTCCACCTCCAGTGTTCAAGCAATTTTCCTGCCTCAGCCTCCCCAATAGCTGGGACTACAGGCACGCACAACAACTCCCAGCTAATTTTTTTTGTATTTTTAGTAGAGACGGGCTTCCACCATGTTGGCCAGGCTGGTCAAACTCCTGGTTTCAAGTGATCCACCCGCCTTGGCCTCCCAAAATGCTGGGTCAATTGTTTTAAAAAATGTAAAACAATAGAATAAAACAGTTAGTGGATCCCTTGCTTATCTTGCCCTACAATAGAATATTTTCTGACTTTTATTCTTAAGTCACGTTCAAAGCATCAAACCTACTTGATAAAACTATGACTTGAACGACTACTCCAGATTTTCATCCCCACGAGTCTGAGAAGCAGATACCTAGTGAGTAAATCCTCCTGAACATGATATTCCTCGTGACAGGTACCCAGAGAGCCAAAAGTCTAAGGCAAGAATTATCACCAGCCGCCTCCTGTCCCATTGCTCATTTGACAGTGTTACTATGCTGTTCCCTTATGTACCAAGACAGTGTGGAGCCTGTCCTCCAACAAATGGAAAGGCGGCAGGGAGAACAGGGTTCTCTAGGAGCTCTGCAAAGGTCAGGAGATGGGGCTCCTGGACTCTGTTACCACCTGCTACTGGCTGGTCAGGGAGTCTTGAAGAAGGCAGTGCCCAAGTTCTTATTAATGACATTCTTTTTTTATAAAAGGCATAATGAAGCTTACCTGGTCTTAAGTCAGAGTTTTTAGCAAAATATTATGTTTCCTGTCCCTACCATTTACTTTTATGGTTACATGGCCAATTGAGAGATTGATCAATCCTACCTGATTGATCAATCAGGATTGCCTGTAGCAAAATTTCACAAAGGAAGTTCACTCCAAGCCACAGCTTTCTGAAGCATAGTCTACCCCAGTTGCCCTCTTTCCCCTTTCTGGAGCTCCTAAGTCTCATCCAAGCCTCATGCAACTAGTCCTTTTCTTGGTGTAAAAGATCCATGAGGCTGAGTTCTGGGCTCAGTTTTGCCAGCCCCACGAACTCCCATCTTTGTTGCCCCCAGGAGAGGCCATGACTACACCCTTGATAACTTGGCCCTTTCCGCTGTCTGTGTTCCACAGCCCCCTTTCTCGTAAGCTGTCCAAACCTGTCTTCCTGAGGACAAAAAGAACTTCACTACAGGGTGAAAAACTGTCTTCCCAATCTGCAAATGTGGCTGCACGTGACAGGAATAATTTAACTACCAATTAAAGTGTGTGTGCTACAGAAGCACTTCTCATCCTCATTTGCTTTATCAGTGTTCATTTATGAATCCATTTTTTTCTGTCTATTACCCATCGGTAATGAGACCTTAGCAATAGCCTCCGAGTCTCCTCTTGCCAAATCTGCCATCACCACCCCTTCCCAGCACCACAGACACTATCGTGGGGACTGCCCAGACAGCCAACGGGCCAATCTTCTTAGACACTTGTTTTTCATCTCTCTCTCTCTCTTGCTTATAAATCTTCTGTGATTCCCCATCACAAATAGAATAAAGCTAAAACATCTCCACTTGACATTCCTGAGTTTAGCCGGCTCTTTCTCTGTTGCAGTTCTCTTGTCTTAATAAATCGGTTCTATCTAGGCATCAGCCAAGAAGAATCCACTGGGCTAGGTTACAGAAGAACAAGAATAACTTCAAAAGCACTTTTCAACTACCCCATCCAACTTCCTCATTTTACTCACTTCACAGATTCAGACAAAGATCCAGACATACTCAAAGAACTGGTGGAGTAGGAAGTGGAGATAATTCTGCTGCATTCTGAAAACCACACCATTAAAACAGATTAATTCCTGGTGTTCAGAGAACCATTTACATTGCTGATGAATTCATTACTTGTGCCACAATGCTTTCTTACCCATTGCTTGGCTGAAAAGAAAAAAAAAGTCTCAAACCCCATAAGTCCCCATTTTCACTTTTCCCCATATCATAAAGCTGAAATGCAATAACAAACTCGCTTTCCGTTTTTGTCATTAACATAGCAATTTATTCTATTACTCCTAAAGTTTTGAAGACAAATATCAATATCAATGTCTAATTTTGTTGCCTCTCTCTCCAACCAGTCTGTAAGTCTTATGAGATGTTTGCTCACCCTTCTATCTCCAGCAGTTAGTGTAGTGTTTGGCTTGCACTGGCTCAAATGACAGTCCTTGAGTGAATGAATGGATGGCTCTTAGATACACGGTCTTCTCACTGCAGTATATGCTCATTCGCTCTCAAAAGACTAACTTAGCAAATGGCACTGATTAAGGTGGAATGTAAGATCAATCCTAGTTATTCTAAGAAGCCTTAACAGGTACAGCACCAGCCCCAGGAAAAACTAAAAAAAAAAAAAAAAATTTTTTTTTGAGGCTGGGTCTGGCTCTGTTGCCCAGGCTAGAGTGTAGTGGCATGGTCTTTGCTCACTGCAACCTCCAACTCCTGGGGTCAAGCCATCCTCCCACCTCAGCCTTCCTAGTAGCTGGAACTACAGATGCACACCACCACACTGAGCTAATTTTTGTATTTTTTGTAGAGATGGGGTTTCAGCATGTTGCCTAGGCTTGTCTTAAACTCCTGAGCTCAAGCGATCCTCCTGCCTCAGCCTCCCAAAGTGCTGGGATTATAGGCATGAGCCACTGCACCCGGCCAAAAACTGAATTTTTGAAGTGTCATTTCCTAGGCCTTTTCTTTCAATCTCCTTTTCTCCCCATTTTCAATATTTCCTCTGCCCTGACCATGTAATATTGTGGGACCATTTTCCCCTATAATTTTCATATCAGTATAAAAGTAGTGAGAAGAACAAAACATAGACTGCAGGATATTTTCATCTCATCTTATTGTAAGCTTAATAGACCTTAAAGCAGTTAGCTTTGAACTTTACTATGCGTCAGAATCACCCGAGGCTCTCATTCAGATGCAGATTTTAAGGACCCAGAGACTCTCATTCAGCGGATCTGAATACAGGGCCACAAATCAACAGTTTAAATAAGCTCCCAGTGAACAGTACACCATGAATCACTACTTTAAGACATTTATAGACAATCAACCACATTTCACCAGATTGTGTAATCATTTTCTGCCCAGTATTTTTCCAGTCTGCTTTAGGCTAGAGTAAAAGTCTGTGAAAAATTCATACTCAATATACTGTTAGGAATTTAATGCTTTAACATTGGAGAACATTTGCATTTTAAAGAGAATGCCCAAAGAGAGCAAACATTTACCTCAAAGCAATGAAACTCAAAGGTTGATTCTGAGTTTCAACCATCATCACTAAAGGAGTGGGGCAGTAAAAACCACCCTGTTTAATATGCAAATGTACTCTCGTACTATTTAAATAAAGGAAGCAGTCTGATCAGCGAAGTTACCTGTTTTCTGGGGTTTGTTTACACCATGCTGTTTCAAATGTAGGCTTACTAATCTATCATGGTTTAGGCTACTAGTGAGAATAAATAATATTAACTTCAGCTCACTCTTATTAGCACCTCTGCCCCAAGATGTGTGAACCTGGACGTGTTTTATCTCCCAGAGTCTCCTTTGTTAAAAGAGAATGATTACAGCTCCTTCCTTGGGTTATGTGAGGATTAAGTGAGCTACTTATGCACATTCCTAACACCGTACTTGCTATGTAGGAAGTATCCACTAACGGTTGGTAATTGGCACTATGATAGGGGCTGGGCAAGCAGATTTGCAGAGACAAAATTCCTGCCCTTAGGGAGATATGCCCAGGTAGCCAAGGGAGCTAGGGAAGGGACACTTACCAGGATTGGAACAAAGAATGCCTCATGGAAATGACATCTGAGGGTTTTTGATGGATGGGCAGAAGCGTCAGGGAGGAGGATGCAGGGTCTATGGAAGAATATTCGGATAAAAACAACAGCTTGTGCAAAGTGATGAGTAAAAACTTGGCTTGTTTAAGAGAACTGCAAAAATAGTTTAGTATGGATGAAATATAATTAATGGAAAGCATGCATTCCCGTGACCTGTACAGACACACAGGGCCCCTTATTTACAAAGATTCTGTGCTTTTTAAATGTTCTGTTGTTACCATCTTGAAGTTACACATTTTTAGACAAGAGGCCTTGCATTTTTACTGTGCCATGGGCCCTGTCAATTATAGAGTTGGTCCTGAGGGCAGATGTGATAGTACGCTTCATCAGAAAATGTGTAAGTGTAGGATTACTCATAGACAGGGAAATACAGGTATTTATATGAGAGGAATTCATGTAAAAATTAATGTCAGTCCCAGAAAAAAATCTCGAAGAGTGTCACGCACGTTCATGTGAAGAGACCACCAAACAGACTTTGTGTGAGCAATAAAGCTGTTTATTTCACCTGGGTGCAGGCGGGCTGAGTCCGAAAAAGGAATCAGCAAAGGGAGATAGGAGTGGAGCAGTTTTGCAGGATTTGGGTAGACAGTGGAAAATTACAGTCAAAGGGGTTGTTCTCTGGCAGGCAGGGACAGGGGTCACAAGGTGCTCAGTGGGGGAGCTTCTGAGCCAGGAGAAGGAATTTCACAAGGTAATGTCATCAGTTAAGTGAGGAACCAGCCATTTTCACTTCAGTTGCTTCAGGCCATCAGGATGTATATGTGCAGGCTTGGGCTCAAAGGCCTGACATTCCTGTCTTTTTATATTAATAAGAAAAATAAAACAAAATAGTCCTTAAGTGTTGGGGCAGCGAAAATTTTGGGGAGTGGTATGGAGAGATAATGGGCAATGTTTCTCAGAGCTGCTTCGAGCGGGATTAGGGGCAGCGTGGGAAGCTAGAATGGGAGAGATGAAGCTGAAGGAAGATTTTGTGGTAAGGGGCGATATTATGGGGTTGTTAGAAGGAGCATTTGTCGTATAGAATGATTGGTGATGGCCTGGATGAGGTCTTGTATGAATTGAGAAACTAAACAGAAGACAGAAGGTCTGAATAAGAGAAGGAGAAAAACAGGTATTAAAGGACTAAGAATTGGGAGGACCCAGGACATCTAATTAGAAAGTGCCCAAGAGGGTTCAGCGTGATTATTTGCTTGGCTGGTGAGTTTTTTGGGCTCTATCCTTGAGTTTTTTTATGTTGTCATATACCGGGCCAGACTGATTTAGGTAAAAACAACACTCTTCATTTAAAAATATACAAAGTCCTCTTTTTTTAGAAGTGAGTAAGTCGAGGCCTCAGAGATTTTGGAGGAAAGAGAAATGCAAAGCCAGCAATTGTCTGTTAAAGAAGGATTAGAAATGGCTACGAGAGAGTGAGTGAGATTGATAGTGTGGTGTAGATAGCTGGGGAGAGGTAGAGGGTGGCATAAGAATGGGACCAAGAATAAGAGTGAGTATAAAAGTGAGTATAAAAGAATAGGTATAAAAGTAAAGAATAGGACTTCATCAGGGTGAAAGTATTGGAGTGTACCTTGCCACTGAAGATCTTCTATCCACTTCAAGATAGACTTACGGGTGGCGGTTTGAGGTAAAACCAGGAGCCACTGAATACCAAGAGCCTGAGAAACTGCTTGGGTGATTTGACTAATAAAGGCCAGTCCGTTATCAGACTGTATAGAGGTAGGAAGGCCAAACTGAGGAATTATGTCTGACAGAAGGGAAGAAATGACTGTGGTGGCCTTCTCAGACCATGTGGGAAAGGCCTCTATCTATCCAGTGAAAGTGTCTACCCAGACCAAGAGGTATTTTAGTTTTCTGACTCAGGGCATGTGAGTAAAGTCAATTTGCCAGTCCTGGGCAGGGGCAAATCCCTGAGCTTGATGTGTGGGGAAGGGAGGGGGCCCGAGAAATCCCTAAGGAGTAGTAGAATAGCAGATGGAACACTGAGAAGTGATTTCCTTGAGGATAGATTTCTACGATGGAAAGGAAATGAGAGGTTCTAAGAGGCAGGCTAGCGACTTGTAACCTACATGGAAGAGGTTATGAAATGACAACAGAATAGAATGGGCCTGTGAGGCTGGAAAGAGATTTTTTTTTTTGGTCTAAAAACCATCTGCCTTGAGTGGGGAGGGATTGACAGGTGGAAACTTCAGTGGGAGAGTATATAGGAATGACTGATGAGAAGGAGAAAAACTGGCCATGAGGGACAGAAGTAGGAATACTAGTTGCTTTTGTAGTTGTCTTATCAGCATAATTGTTGCCTTGAGCAATGGGGTCTGAGGCCCTTTGATGGCCTTTGCAGTGAATGACTCCAGCTTCCTTTGGAAGTAAAGCAACCTTGAGAAGAGTTTTTATTAAAGAGGCATTAATGATGGAGGACCCTTGCATAGTGAGGAAACCTCTTTCAGCCTATATAACAGCTTGGTGGTGCAGGATATGGAAGGCATATTTAAAGTCAGTATAAATATTGATGCATAGTCCCTTTGTAAGAGTGAGGGCCTGAGTTTAGGCAAAGAGTTCAGCTTGCTGAGAGGTAGTGGAGTGGGGCAGAATGGTAGCCTCTATGATAGATGTGGAAGATACTATAGCATAGCCTGCCTTTGCTGGTGAGTGGAGATTAGGCCTAGTATAACTGCCATCAATAAACTAAGTGTGATCAGGGTGAGAAACAGGAAAGAAGGAAATATGGGGAAATGGAGTGAATGCCAGGTGGATCAGAGAGATACGGTCAGGTGTGGTATCAGGAATAATGTGGGGGCCAGCCTAAAACAGTAAGGTCAAGTTGTTTGTACAGAAAGGCTACAGGGCGCACTCCTGGCTCTTGTGTAAGAATTCTGACTGCACAGCCCTGCACTTCAGCTGTGTGTAATGAAAAAGGGCTGGGATGAGTTAGGGAGAGCTAGTGTGGGAGCAGCTTCTAGGGCTGTTTTTAAGGATTTCCTTTTGTGAGTTTATATAACGGTTTAGTCAGGATGGCAAAACCAGTTATCTAAAGGTGAAAGTACCTAACAATGCCTAGGAAGGAAGGGAGTTGTTGTTTTGTAGAAGGAGTTGGGGTTTGGGAGATTAGCCAGACACGATCAGCAGGGAGAGCACGTGTGTTTTTATGAAGAATTATGCCGAGATAGGTAACGGATGAAGAAGAAATTTGGGCTTTGGAGGGAGATATGTGGTATCCCTTTGAGAATAGATGTCAGAGGAGCAGGAGGGTGTCCTGTTGGGAAGATTTGTAGGAAGCCTGGCCTTCAATACCCACAATAATTAGGGAGGCAAGGGAAACAGGCCCTTGAAAAGAAGTTAATGTGGAGTGGGTAGCCTCTGTATTAAGATGGGGATGGACTTACCCTCCACTGTAAGGGTTACCCAAAGCATCTGTGATGGTCTAGGAGGCTTTTACGGTGATTGGGCAGCGTCATTCTTCAGCTGCTAAGTTGAGAAGATCTGGGAAGGAGTCAGTCAGTGAGCCTTGGGCCAGAGTTCCAGGGGCTCTGGGAGTGGCTGCCGGGCGAGTTGGACAGTCTGATTTCCAGTGGGGTACCGCACAGATGGGACACAGCTTAGGAGGAATCCTGGGCTGTGGGCATTCCTTGGCCCAGTGGCCAGATTTCCAGCACTTGAAGCAAGCTCCTGGGGGAGGAGGTCCTGGAGGAATGCCTGGCCACTGCAGTTCAGGCGTTTTGAAGTTCTTGTGTGCTGGAGATGTGGCTGGGGTTTGTCTCACAGGGGAGGCAAGTAATTGCAACTCTTCTCTATTATTGTACACCTTGAAGGCGAGGTTAATTAAGTCCTGTTGTGGCATTTGAGGGCTGGGATCTAATTTTTGAAGCTTTTTGTAATGTCAGGAGTGGATTGGGTAATAAAATGCATATTGAGAATAAGACGGCCTTCTGGCCCCTCTGGGTCTAGGGCAGTAAGGTGTCTAAGGGTTGTTGCCAAACTGGCCATGAACGGGGCTGGGTTTTTATATTTGATTAACAAGAGCCTAAATGCTAACTGATTTAGGCGAGGTCAGATAAAGAAAAATGAGCATTAACCTTGGCTATGCCTTCAGCTCCAGCCACCTCTTTAAGAGGAAATTGTTGGGCAGGTGGGGGAGGGCTAGTCATGGAACAAAACTGTAAGCTGGACCGGGTGTGAGGAGGGGAGGTGATAGAAGCATTATAGGGTGGGGGAGCTGAGGCTGAGGAAGAATTGGGACCTGGCTCAGTCTGGCGAGGAGCAGCCTGGGGAGGAGGGGAGAGGTCAGATGGGTCTGTAGAAAAAGAGGATTCAAAGGACTCAGAGCTTGGGGTGGAAACTGAAGGAACAGCCAGGAGAGAAAGAAGAAAGATTTGGGATGAGTGGCATTGGGAGCAGAGACTAGGGAGGGACTAATGTGTAAAAGAATGCCTGGACGTCAGGCACCTCAGACCATTTGCCCATTTTTTGACAAAAATCATCCAGGTCTTTTAAGATGGAGAAATCAAAAGTGCCATTTTCTGGCTATTTAGAACCATTATTAAGTTTGTACTGGGGCCAAGCAGTGTTGCAGAAGAAAATAAGATGCTTAGGTTTTAGGTCAGGCGAGAGTTGAAGAGGTTTTAAGTTTTTGAGAACACAGACTAAGGGAGACAAAGGGAGAATGGAGGGTGGAAGGTTGCCCATAGTGAAGGAGGCAAGCCCAGATAAAAGAGAGGGTAGAGATACGGAGAAGGGGGATGGTGAGCAGCCCTGGGCTGCAAGGTAGGAGAGGAGCCAAAGCAGGCGTCCCTGCAATTGACTTGCCACCAAGGGAATGTGGGTGAATGATGAAGGCAGGCATCCCTGTGGTGATCAGACACGAATGGAGTGTGGGTGAATAATCAGGCAGGCATCCCCACAGTGATTAAACACCAAGGGAAGACTGTCTTCCTAAGTCCGTGACCGGTGCCAGAGTTTTGGCTCCACAGATAAAATGTGTCTCCTTTGTCTCTACTAGAGAGGAAAAAGAACTGGAATTGGAAGGACAGGGAGATTGAAGGGTAGGGAGAGAGGGAGATTGAAAGGTAGTCGGCTGGGCACGGTGGCTCATGCCTGTAATCCCAGCACTTTGGGAGGCTGAGGTAGGCGGATCATGAGGTCAGGAGTTCGAGACCAGCCTGGTCAACATGGTGAAACCCCATCTACTAAAAATACAAAAAATTAGCCGGGCGTGGTGGCATTCACCTGTAGTCCCAGCTACACAGGAAGCTGAGGCAGAAGAATCGCTTGAACCCAGGAGGCGGAGGTTGCAGTGAGCCGAGGTCATGCTGTTATACTCCAGCCTGGGTGACAGAGCTAGACTTTGTCTAAAAAAAAAGAAAAGAAAGAAAGGTAGCGAGAGAGGCTGGAGAAGGGAGTGAAAAGACCGCTTACCCGATTTGAAATTGGTGAGATGTTCTTTGGGCTGTTTGGTCTGAGGACCTGAGGTCATAGGTGGATCTCCTTAAGGAGTGAGGGCAAGGACAGGGGACCAGTCTCCTGAAAAAGTCCTCCTGTCCCGGGTTTCAGCACCAAATGTCATGCACTTCTGTGTGAAGAGACCACCAAACAGGCTTTGTGTGAGCAATAAAGCTGTTTATTTCACCTGGGTGCAGGGGGGCTGAGTCCGAAAAAGGAATCAGCAAAGGGAGATAGGGGTGGGGCAGTTTACCAGGATTTGGGTGGGTAGTGGAAAACTACAGTCAAACGGGTTGTTCTCTGGCGGGCAGGGATGGGGGGGGCGTCACAAGGTGCTCAGTGGGGGAGCTTCTGAGCCAGGAGAAGGAATTTCACAAGGTAATGTCATCAGTTAAAGGAGGAACCAGCCATTTTCACTTCTTTTGTGATTCTCCAGTTGCTTCAGGCCATCTGGTTGTATATGTGCAGGCTTGGGCACAGAGGCCTGACAAAGAGCTCCTTCTCTAAACTTTAGAATTCAGCAAGCAATAGTTTTTGCTTCACTTAGGTTTTTTAAGTCATCCATATGAACATACATGAACTGTATCACACATTGGCTGTCAGTGAGGAATTTATCTTATTGTAGCTAAGAAAGTGTGTGATATTTTATTCTTCTGTTGATGATTCCCCTCTGAAAGTCTCTTGTGCACCCTCCTCTGCCAGAATTAATCATTGCTTCTAGAATGTTCTTAGGGTATCTTTGTATATGGGTCTTTAATAATTATCAGAAAAATTTCTAGAAATGAAATTGCTAGGTCAAACAGGAAATACATTTTTCATTTTGATAGATATTTTTTAATTGTCCTTAGAAGAGTAATGCTAATTTACATTCTTCCTAACAGTATATAAGATGTCAGACTTGAAATACTTTTGCCAACACAACGTAGTACCAGAAATTTTTATTTGGTAACTTGATAGATAGGATTGGTATTATTGTATTATGTAATTGCATTGCTGTTATTTAAAAAGAAGTGAAGTATCTTTTCATATACATATTTAAAAGCCATCTGAATTATTATTGTATTTTTTAAGACAGAGTCTCCCTCTGTCGCCCAGGCTGGAGGGCAGTTGCCCGATCTTGGCACACTGCAACCTTCACTTCACTGGCTCAAGTGATCCTGCCTGGCCTCAGCCTCCCAAAGAGCTGGAACTATGGGTGCATGCCACCATGCCCAGCTAATTTTTGTATTTTTTGTAGAGACGGGGTCTCGCTATGTTGCCCATGCTGGCTTTGAACTCCTGAGCTCAAGTGATCCACCCACCTCGGCCTCCCAAAGTGCTGGCATTACAGGCATGAGCTACAGCACTCAGATAATTTGAATTATTTCTGTGAACTGCCTGTCCATGTTCTTTGTCGACTTTCCTGTTTATAATTGGTCTTTGTAATTGATTTGTAAGAACACTTTATATATATTAGAAATAGTACACCTTGTCCCTCATGTATTTACCAGCTTGTCATTTCCATTCTTCCAGAAAGAAAATCTTAATCTGTATGTAGACAAATTTACCAATCATTTCTTTGAAAGATTCTGAGATATTTCATTTTTAGAAAACCCTTTGTACTCTGAAAGTAGACATTCTCCTGAATTCTCTTTTTGAATTTTTATGGTTTCACTTAAACATTTTTTTTTTTAACATCTTGAAACACTTGGAACTTGCTTTGGTGTGATGTGTGAGTTAAGGAAACAAATTTTTTCCCAATTGTCTCAACACCCAATTATTCAAAAACAAATTTTCCCCACTGATTCAAATCGCCACCTTCATTATAATTTAAATTCTCATCTATTTTGCGTCTCATTTATAGTTCTGTATTTTGTTCCATTGATTTGCCTATCCATGAGCTGATGTGAAACCAGTTCAGTACTTACAGCTTTTATAATCGATTTGTTTCTTTGTTTGTTTGTTTGTTGTTTGTTTGTTTTATGACAGAGTCTCACTCTGTCACCCAGGCTGGAGTGCAATGGCATGATCATAGCTCACTGTGTCTTCGAACTCCTGGGCAAAAGTGATCCTCCCACCTCAGCCTCCAGAGTAGCTGGGACTACAGGAGCATGCCACCACACCCAGCTAATTTTTTTATTTTTAGTAGAGATGGGGTCTCACTATGTTACCCAGGCTGTTCTCAAAGTCCTGGACCCAAGTAATCTTCCTGCCTCAGCCTCCGAAAGTGCTGGGATTACAGGCATAAGCCACCGTACTTGGCCTGTAATCTATTTTGATATTTGATGGGGCTGACCCCTTCTCATTACTCTTGTTTTTCAAAAACTTCCTGAGTGTTACCTGGTTACTTTTCCATATGAACTTTATAATCATCTTGTTAGGTTCCTCCCAAAATCCTGTTGGTGACATGATCAGATCTGAATTTCAAAAAGATCATTCTGGCTACAGTGTGAAGAGAAGAGTATATGTAGGAAGACCTGCAAGATATGCAGAGGTTCACCAGAGATGAGGGGAACTTGGACAAGGATTGTGGCAGTGGAGATGGAAAGAAAACAGGATCAAGTGATATGGAGGAATAAGAATTGTCAGGACTTGATGAATGTGATTTAGCAGCTTAGGAAAATGTAAGTGTTTTTTCTAGTCTTGCTTAGAGCAGTCCTAGACTTTAGTCCAGTTCCAGAAAAGCCCCATTCTGCATCAATCCAAAAATACAGAATTAGTTTTATAGTTGCCCTAAAAATAAAGGCCCTCTTGGGGAAGGACCTGGAGCTCTTCTGTAGAGAGATATCACAGGTTCAGACAAGATACCCCAAACTGAATTGCCCTTTATGAGAGATACCAAACCAGCTCTAGAGCATTTGATAGGCTGAAGAGATGTCCTCCTGACCCCAAGCCTCATTCTAAATGGCAATGGTGTATTCTGAGATACTCTGTCGCATTACATTTGGGGCCTGGAGATACAACTTGTGGTTGGTGAAGAAAAAACTATGATACCGCAACAGTTTTCCTTTCCTCAGTTCCTCAAAAAGTTAAGCAGAATTACCATACCATCCAACAATTCCACTGCTAGGTATATATCCTAAAGAACTGAAAGCAGGGACTCAAACAGATCCTTGCATACTAATGTTCATGGCAGCGTTATTCACAATAACCAAAAGGTGGAAACAACCCAAGTGGCCCTCAACAGATGACAGATAAGCC
This sequence comes from Homo sapiens, assembly GCF_000001405.40. Classification (NCBI taxonomy): domain Eukaryota; kingdom Metazoa; phylum Chordata; class Mammalia; order Primates; family Hominidae; genus Homo; species Homo sapiens. Next base: position 58,649,399 of record NC_000018.10, read on the forward strand.
AGATGTGATACATACATACAACGGATTATTCAGCCTTAAAACCGAATGACACTCTGATCCAGGCTACAACATAAATGATCATAGGAAACATTATGCTAAGAGAAACAAGCCAGACACAAAAGGACAAATATTATTTGTCTTCACTTCTATGAGCACCTAGAGTAGTCAAATTTATAGAGACAGAAAGTAGAATGGCGGCTACCAGGGACTAGGTGGAGGAGGAAGAGGGAGTTATTGTTTAATGGGAATGGATAGTGGTGATGGTTGCACAACCTTGTGAACTTAATGCCACTGAATTATACACTTGAAAATTGTTAAAATGGGCTGGGAGCAATGGCTCACGCTTGTAATCCCAGCACTTTGGGAGGCCGAGGCGAGCGGATCACTTGAGGTCAGGAGTTTGAGACCAGCCTGGCCAACATGGTGAAACCTTGTCTCTACTAAAAATACAAAAATTAGCCGGGCATGGTGGTGGATGCCTGTAATCCCAGCTACTTGGGAGGCTGAGGCAGGAGAATCGCTTGAACCTAGGAGGCAGAGGTTGTAGTGAGCCAAGATTGTGCCACAGTACTCCAGCCTAGGCAACAAAGCAAGACTCCGTCTCAAAAAAAAAAACCAAAAAGTGGTTAAAATGGTAAATTTTATTTTATGTATATTCTACTGCAATAAAAAAAAAATTAAGTTTCTTCTTTCCTAGGAAAGAACTGGTCTTGGGAGAAGCACCTCCTCTCATCACTGGGACAAATTATGATCATGTGACTATGTTTATAAATCATATCTCTGCAGCCTAGGTATCACAGAGTAGGCAATGCACTCTCTCACACAAAATGATACAAAATATTTTGGGAAGCAAACTGTAAAGCCTGCATCTCTGGAAATCCCCTCCCAAAGTGGCTAACCACAAAGGGAGGAAACATAACAGGGTGAAACCAAAAGTTTACAGTCAAAACTTAGAGTCTATGTTACTTCATTCTGTACTAGATAGATGCAGTGCAGATGTGCATTCAGGAATGATAGGATTGGAGCATTTAAGCTGTCTTTGCTTTAGTCTTTGCTCCAAATTCTAGGGATAGTCTTATCCCCAAATGTCTTTTGAAGCAAGTAAGTTTGAAGCATTTGGCTAAACAAAAGCTGTTTAACTCAATTTTCAAACCACCTGAATATGAAGTTACCAGAATTAGTATCAATTGAAAATATCAGAAGACAGCTAAGGACAAAACTGAGTTACTGTCAGTCAATGTGGTGTTAACAAATGAACACTGAGCTAGGAAGCTGTCAAGCTGCCCATACTACTTCCATGACCCCCCCCAAAAAAAATATTCCAGAGGACAGCCTTAGTGATCTGTCATAAAATATGGGAACATATACATGCATACATGCATGAACAATCTATAGAATGAATAGTAACATGGTATCCAAAAAAATGAAAGCATAATTGATTAATATCATGCTCATTGGTGGCTATCAATTACTTATGGTGATGAATTTCTTTGGCCAAGTTCCACACAAAAAACAAATTTTTCTAAACACATAGTCGACATAGGATTGAAGAGTGTGCATCCGCTCAGCTGTTGGCTTTATGACAGGACATGAAGGGTAGGAATAAAGGGAAATGCGTCTCAAGGGAGGAAGGCAACATCCTTTCAAGAGTCATTGTTGGCCAGGCGCGGTGGCTCACGCCTGTTATCCCAGCGCTTTGGGAGGCCGAGGTGGGCAGATCACCTGAGGTCAGGAATTTGAGACCAGCCTGGCCAACATGACGAAACCCTTTCTCTACAAAAATACAAAAATTAGCCAGGCATGGTGGCGCATGCCTGTAATCCCAGCTATGTAGAAGGCTGAGGCAGGAGAATCAAGCCTCTCGGGAGGCTTGAACCCGGGAGGCAGAGGTTGCAGTGAGCCGAGATCATGCCACTGCACTCCAGTTTCTAAATTTCTAAGGATTATTTTTTCTAATTCTGTGAAAAATGGCATTGGTAATTTTATAGGGATTGTGTTGAATCTGTAGATTTCCCTGGAAAGTATGGTCATTTTAATGATATTGGTTCTTCCAATTCATGAGCATGAGATGTTTTTCCATTTGTTTGTGTCATCTATGATTTCTTTTTTTTTTTAATTATACTTTAAGTTTTAGGGTACATGTGCACAACGTGCAGGTTAGTTACGTATGTATACATGTGCCATGTTGGTGTGCTGCACCCATTAACTCGTCATTTAACATTAGGTATATCTCCTAATGCTATCCCTCCCCCCTCCCCCCACCCCACAACAGGCCCCAGTGTGTGATGTTCCCTTTCCTGTGTCCATGTGTTCTCACTGTTCGGTTCCCACCTATGAGTGAGAACATGCGGTGTCATCTATGATTTCTTTCATCAATGTATTGTAGTTCTCCTTTTAGAGATCTTTCACCTTCCTGGTTAAATATATTCCCAGGTAGCTGAGATCGTGCCACTGCACTCCCACCTGGGTGACAGAGCAAGACTCCATCTAAAAAATAAATAAATAAATAAAAATAAAAAATAATAAATGTGTAGCTATTATAAATGGGCTTGCCTTCTTGATTTGGTCCTCAGCTAGATCATTATTGATGTATACAAATGCTACCAATTTCTGTACATTAATTTTGTATCCTGAAACTTTCCTGAATTCATTTATCAAATCTAATAGTTTTTTGGTGGAATCTTTGGGGTTTTCTAGATATAAGATCATATCACAGCAAATAGTCTAATTTGACTTCTTTTCTAATTTTGATGCCTTTTTTTTTCTCTTGCCTGATTCCTCTGGTGAAAACTTTCAGTACCATGTTGAATAAGAGTGGTAAAAGTGTTCTTGTTCTAGTTCTTAGAGGGGATGCTTTCAACTTTTCCCTATGAAGTATAGTGTTGGCTGTGGGTTTGTTGTATATGGCCTTTACTCTATTGAGGCCCATTCCTTCTATGCCTAGTTTGTTGAGGATTTTTATCATGCATGAAGGGATGTCAAATGTTATCAAGCATTTTTTCTGTGTCTATTGAGATAATCTGTTTTTGTTATTAATTCTGTTTATGTGATGTATCATGTTTATTGATTTGCATATGTTAAACATTCCTTGCATCCCTGGGATAAAACCCATCTGATTATGTGTATTATGGGGTTTGTTTTTGTTTTTGTTTTTGTTTTTTTTGAGATGGAGTTTCACCCTGTCACCTGGACTGGAGTGCAGCGGCATGATCTCGGCTCACTGTAACCTCCACCTCCTGGGTTCAAGCGATTCTCCTGCCTCAGCCTCCTGAGTAGCTGGGAGTACAGGCATGCGCCACCATGCCCGGCAAATTTTTTTTTTATGTATTTTTAATAGAGACAGGGTTTCACCATGTTGGTCAGGCTGGTCTCGAACTCCTGACCTCGTTCACCATGTTGGTCAGGCTTGGTCTCAAACTCCTGACCTCGTGATCCGCCTGCCTCGGCCTCCTAAAGTGCTGGGATTACAGGTGTAAGCCACCGCGCCCGGCCATGTATTATGTTTCTGATGTGCTACTGGATTCAATTTGCTAATATTTTGTTGAGGATTTTTGTGTTTACGTTCATCGGAGATATTGGTTTGTGGTTTTGTTGTTGTTGTGTCCTTGTCCGGTTTGGGTATCAGGGTGATACACCTCCTTGATTTTTCAGAATAGTTTCCAAAGGATCAGTATTAGTTCTTGTTTGCATGTTTGGTAGAATTTGGCCATGAATCCATCTGGTCCTAGACTTTTTTTTTTTTTGCCTTGGGGTTTTTTTTTTATTACTAATTCAATTTTGCTGCCCGTTATTGATCCATCCATGTATTAATCCATTTTCACGCTGCTGATAAAGACATACCTGAGACTGGGAAATTTACAAAAGAAAGAGATTTAATGAACTCACAGTTCCACGTGGCTGGGGAGGCCTCACAATCGTGGTAGAAGATGAAAGGCACATATCACATGCCAACAGACAAGAGAAGAGAACTTATGCAGGGAAACTCCCCTTTATAAAACCATCAGATCTCATGAGACTTATTCATTATCACGAGAACAGCATGGGAAAGACCTGCCCCCATGATTCAATTACCTCCCACTGGGTCCTTCCCACAACACATGGGAATTGTCGAAGCTACAACTCAAGATGAGTTTTGGGTGAGGACACAGCCAAACTATATCAATCCAGGTGTTCTGTTTCTTCCTCGTTCAATCTTGGCAGGTTATGTTTTTCCAGGAATTTATCCATTTCCTCTAGATTTTCTAGTTGGTGAGTGTGCAGCTACCCATAATAGTCTCTAATGAGCTTTTGTATTTCTGTGGTTTCAGTTGTAATGTCTCCTTTTTCATTTCTGATTGTGTTTATTTGGATCTTCTCTCTTCTTTGTTAGTCTAGCTAGTGGTTTATCATTTTTGTTTATCTTTTCAAAGAACCACTTTTCATTTCAATAATCCTTTGTATTTTTAAATCTCTATTTCATTTAGTTCTGCTCTAATCTTTGCTATTTCTTTTCTACTACTAACTTTGGGGTTTGGTTTGTTCTGGTTTTTCTAGTTCCTTGAGGTGTAACATTAGATCATTAATTTGTGATCTTTCTACTTTTTTGATGTAACTTCTCACCTGGTGCTGCTTTTGCTGTATCTCACGTGTTTTGGTATGATGTGTTTTCATTTTCATTCTTTTCAAAAAAATTTTTAACTTCTGTCTTCATTTATTCATTGACCCAGCAATTGTTCAGGCGCATGTTGTTTAATTTGTATAGATTCCAAAGTTCCTCTTGATATTGATTTCTACCTTTATTCCACTGTGGTCTGAGAAAATACTTGATCTAATTCTGATTTTTAAAAATTTGTTAAGACTTGTTTTGTGGCCTAACATGTGGTTTATCTTGGAGAACATCCCATGTACTGATGAAAAGAATGCACCTTGTAGTTGTATGTGGTTTGGGGGCAGAATGTTCTGTAAATGTCTGTTAAGTCTATTTGGTCTAAAGTCCAATTTAAGTCCGATGTTTCTTTGTTAATGTTCTGTCTCTGTGATTTCTCTAGTGCTGTGAGTGGGGTATTAAAATCCCCTGCTATTATTGTATTGCTGTCTATCTTTCTTTAGGTCTAGTAATATTTGTTTTGTGAATTTGGGTGCTCTGATGTTGGGTGCATATATATTTAGAATTGTTATATCCTCTTGCTGAATTGATCCCTTGATTATTATATAATGGCCTTCATTTTTTTAAATTATATTATGTTTTTGGTTTAAAGTCTGTTTTATCTGATATAAGCATAGCTATTCCTGCTCACTTTTGATTTCCATTTACTTGGAATCTCATTTTCCACCTCTTTACTTTTAGTCTATGTGTTTTTATGGGTAAGGTGAACTTATTGTAGGCAGCATATAGTTGGATCATGTTTTTTAAATCCATTCTACCAAACTCTACCTTTAAAGTGGCACGTTTAATCCATTTATATTCAAGGTTAATATTGACACAGGAGGCTTTGTTCCTGTCAAATTGCTGATTGTTTTCAAGTCGTTTTTATAAATTCTTTGTTTCTTTTCTTTCCTTGTCTTTGTGGTTTGATGAAATTCTGTTGTGTTGCCATTTGATTCCTTTCTTTTCCTCCTTTGTGTTGCTGTTTTATACGAACTGTGAACTTTCTAGATTTTCTAGTTGGTGAGTGTGCAGCTACTCGTAATAGTCTCTAATGATCTTTTGTATTTCTGTGGTTTCAGTCGTAATGTTTCCTTTTTCATTTCTGATTGTGTTTATTTGGATCTTCTCTCTTCTTTGTTAGTCTAGCTAGTGGTTTATCATTTTTGTTTACCTTTTCAAAGAACCGCTTTTCATTTCAACAGTCCTTCGTATTTTTAAATCTCTATTTCATTTAGTTCTGTGTGTCTTTTATATTTCTGTGTGTTTTCATAATGGTGAAAATTAACCTTTCACTTCCATGTTTAAGACCCCTTTGAGCATTTCCTGTACAGCTGATCTAGTGGTGACAAATTCCCTCAGCATTTGCTTGTCTGGGAAGGAGTTTATTTCTCCTTGATTTATGAAGTCAGCTTCTGGCAGGACACAAAACTCTTGACTGACAGGTTCTGCTTAAGTTTAATATTTTTCTGTGGCTGCTAATTGTTCACATGTTTTCATTATGAAGTAATTTTAATGCCACTTTGGTGGGCTGTTAATCCCTTTGGGGGCCTCATGCAAGCAAGAGCTAGCACAAAGGATCAATTTAGGTCTTGTTCTGGGGGTTACCTAGAGGGGCAGCAAAACCTCAGTAGGGTAAGCCATAAATAATCTAAAGTTCCTAAGAGCTGAAGAAGAAGGAAATGGCCATCCAAAATAGAGCTGTACTTGCCCCAGCTAGGGAAATTAGGAACGAGAGATACCCAGTGATGAGGGTTGGGTCTTTGAAGAAGTGTCTATTAATATGGCCACCAGAGAGCTCTAAACATCTGCCAAGTTTCTAGAGCCCCCTGTTAGCTCAACATAACAGTACCAGCCAGGTAAGCATTCCTTGTACCCCATACCTCTTCTCCCTTCCTGCAGTTTATGCTTGCAGGGTCAGAAACCACACTTGGCAAACTGCAGAAGAAAAGGTAAAAGCAGGCCGGGCGTGGTGGCTCATGCCTGTAATCCCAGCACTTTGGGAGGCCAAGGTGGGCGGATCACGAGGTCAAGAGATCGAGACCATCCTGGCCAACATGGTGAAACCCCGTCTCTACTAAAAATACAAAAAATTAGCCGGGCGTGGTGGCAGGCACCTGTAATCCCAGCTACTTGGGAGGCTGAGGCAGGAGAATCACTTGAACCTGGGAGGTGGAGGTTGCAGTGAGCCAAGATGGCACCATTGCACTCCAGCCTGGGCAAAAAGAGTGAAACTCCGTCTCAGAAAGAAAAAAAAAAGGTAAAAGCATTAGATGGAATCACATGGAAACAGCCTACCTCCTTCCTTCCTCACTGCAGGCTTCTCATCTGAGCTCGGGAAAGGAGGAGCCTCCTAGATTTGATTATGTGATGATTACCCAAGATTGGACATTTTAATTACTAATTGCAAGACCTTTTTATTGCACATGAATAAATGGAATAGTCATATTGTCCCAAATTTAATCGAGGGTGGGACAAAGACTAATTCCACAGAATACATTTAAAGCAATAGTGGGAGTTAAAAGTAAAATTGCATTATAATTAGACCCTCCAAGTCCTGCCTGTTTAACTTAAGGTTGCTCACACTACTGAGGCGAGATAGAAAAGTAGTTGGTGAATTTCAATTGGAAAAGTGTAGCCATGGGAAGGAACCTAGGAGTCTCATCTCTCTCCTGAAGTTAATCTGCCCAATGTCTCAAAGGCCTCAAGAACTGTTCTCAGGGAAGTATTAGAATGCAAATAAAACCACCATTCTACTTTTGACTAGAAATCCTCTGGTGGTTGCCTGAGATGGGGAGGTATTGTTTAATGGGTATAGAGTTTCAGTTGGGGAAGATGAAAAAGTTCTGGAGATGAATGGTGATGTCACAACAATGTGAATGTACTTAATGCCACTAAATTGCACGCTAAAAAATGTTAAAATGGAAAATCTTATGTATTGTATATTTCATCACAATAAAAAAATAGCATAGGATGATTGTTTATCCACTGGGAAAATAAAATAAAATAATCATTATTACCTCTAAAACCAAAATAAAACCCTGATGGATGCTTTGCCAGTTAAAGCATCTTCAGAAAGATGACAAGAAGTTAGACACTGTATCCACAGGAACAATTTGGCTTAGGCAGAAAAGGGAGATTTGTAGGCTCACCCAACTGAACTGCAGGAAAGGTGGGTATGAGCTGGACCTCAGGACTGACCACACCTGGGACTGGAACACCACCCGCCCTTTCTCTGTCTCTTGTTTCTGCTTCTCTCAGTGCACCAGCCACTCTCTCCCACCACAGACTGGCTTCTTCTGCACAGCCTGTGGGACATGGCCACCGAACAGCTCAGACTCATACCTCACAGGTTTGCCACCTGAGCAAACCCAAGATCTTCCATCTGGTTGAAGGTCAGAAGTCTCAGGACTGAATTTGGGGAACATGCCTATCTGTAGCCAATCACTGAGTTAGGGAAGCAGATCAGTCAGAAACTGGGGGATCCCATTAAACCACACTGTGGAAAGCAGTATTCCTGAGAACAGAGTGCTACTCCACTCTAGGCAGACAAAGCAGTAGCCACCAGCTATCTGCACAGTCCTTCCCTTCTCTGGAACAGATCCCAAACAGTGCTGGGAAGACCTCAGCAGCACAGTTGGACCACCTATGTGCTCCTTCCGCCCTCATTACTTGTACATCCTGGATCCCTGGATTTCTTAGCTAATGCTGGGTTGGCAGAAATGAGGGGGAGGGGAGCAGTAGAATCCTGCCCTAAATTGCAGCCAGTCATCTGAGGTCATTTTTTCCTTGTCAATGCTATATCCCCAGAGGGTTGGACCCTTCTCTATTCTGTTATGCTTTATTCAGACAATTTCTAGAACAATGTTGGCCAGTATAGATGATTCCCGTCATTTTATCTCTACTACCTAGGTCCAAAGATTCCCCCCACAACCTTGTGAATCTCTGACTCAGTGTTATTAGTCTTAAAAACCCAGGTGCTGAACCAGACTATGCTGTGCTCCTCTTTGGAGTGAATCTTGGATTATCAAATAATCAAATAATGGCTAAGATCAGCCCTTGTTTCCCCATGTCCCTGCTTAGTGCCAGCTCTGTCTTCATCCCCTCCCAGGCTTGGCCACCCTTCTGCTGAGATGCACCCTAGCATGTTGCCCATAAAGGAATGTGAAAAAAGTATCTACACTTCTGAAGATAGTGTGCTCCACCCTTCAAAGCTTTAGGAAGATAAATTTAGACATAAAACAGGAAGTATTTCTCTGTGTGGCTAAGAGTGATCTAAGAGAAGTTATTTCCTCAAGATATTTTGAAGCTGTAGTGTGGGGAAACAGTTCTCAAACCCCAGTGTGGATCAGGATCACCTGGAGGGCTTACTAAGCTACATATTGTTGGGTCCACCCCAGAGTTTCGATTCAGTCGATCAGGGGATCAGAGGTGGGGCCTAAGAATTTGCATGTTTTTAACTCTTTTTTTTTTTTTTTTTTTTTGAGATGGAGTCTCGCTCTGTCACCCAGGCTGGAGTACAGTGGCAAGATCTCGACTCACTGCAACCTCTGCCTGCCGGGTTCAAGCAATTCTCCTGGCTCAGCCTCCCAAGTAGCTGGGATTACAGGTGCGTGCTGCCATACCCGGCTAATTTTTTATATTTTTGGTAGAGACAGGGTTTCGTCATGTTGGCCAGGCTGGTCTCAAACTCCTGACCTCAAGTGATCAGCCCACCTCAGCCTCCCAAAGTGCTGGGATTACAGGTGTGAGCCACCACACCCAGCCAGAATTTACATTTTTCAAAAGGTCCCTGATGTTGCTGAGGCAGGACCACACTTTAAGAACCACTATAGTAGAGGTTTAGGAAGAGACAGAGAAAAATCTCTCCAGGCTACAAGACTGTCTGATGCTGAAGGTCTTGGCCTAGGTCAGCTAAGGTGCTCTTTAGGGTTGATATTCTGTGATTGTTAAACAGGTGACTAAATATGTATCTGTGTCAAGCTACTCTTATTATCATTAAACAGTTCTTGACTGCTTACTTTATTAAAATATAAGAATTTCCAAGAGCTTCGGACCTCTGATCTATATATAACAGAACTTCATTAAGTATAACTCACTAAGTCACTTAGTGAAAAGCTTGAACTACAGAATAGTCTAACTAATTGCCCTTTCAAATAGGCATTTAACAATAATTTCAACTAGCCTCCTACAAAACTGTTTCACAGCAAAGCTTTCACTGATGTTTTTGCAAAATGAATTTAATTACTAATTATCATATAAGGATTAGCATATAGCTGATATGTAAATGTCTTAGGTATGATTTAAACTGTTGAGTCAACTGAACATGTACCTTCCTCTCCCACTTCCTCCAACAAATAAATCTTACTTGTATTTTAATTTAATACTGTGTCCATTCTTCTGAAATAGCTGTTTATTCTGAACATCTAATTTTAGACATATAACTAATATGGTACAATTTTCAACTGCCGGTTATTTAAATGCTGCCCCCTCCCTGACACAAATAAATCTTATTTACATATTATTTGCTTCATAAGTATTCCACCATCCTGCAGTCACTGTGATCATTGTCCCCAGCTAGTCTTTGATCTGTGATAATTGTCCACAGGTAGTCTTTGATCATATGTTCTCCTGTCTGGAGGAACTAATATGTCCTTCCAACTCTGCCCAGCCTTCAGGTACAATTTAGGCCCCTACTTTTCTCTTAGGCTTTCTTCAGCCACTGTAACTTTTTTAAGTTTCTCCCTTATCCAAAGTCCCTTACTACTTAGAACCTCGGAAGTAAAGGGACCTCAGAGAACATCCAGTCCACGCTGCCCTCTGTTTAAATGTGTCTACAGTGTACCACACCAAGGAACTCCCACACTCTGAATGAACAGCCCAGTGATCAGGAGCTTTGAATCAATTCTTGGCACCTAACAGTTTGTGAAGAGTCTGCTAAACTCCCTCTATCAGAAATCCCAGAGGACTGAGAACAGGTCATCCTTGGAGGTATGTAATACAGTATTTAACCACCTTTCTACCTGAGTGTGCTTACCTGCAAAGGGTAATGTCGATATTAACCGAGAATGATCATGGTTGTCACATTTAAACTAATAATAATAAAGTACACAATTTATTATGCAGAAAGAATCATGCCTTCATAATCAGTCTTCACAAAGATTCCTTTAACTCTCTGCACCCACCATTCCTAATCCTGGAAAATTATTTCTCTTTGCTCTTTGCTCATCCATAGGCTCTTTGACAAAAGTCTCCAGAAAACTACTGAACTACACACATCAACAATAAAGAAGTCCTAATGTCCAAAACCTTGCTTGTCACTTTTTTGTTTGTATAATTTATCTCCACAACTAGATCATAGGCTTCTAGAAAACATGAGTTCTGTTTTAAATTTTGTGCCCCTTGGCAGCTGTATCTGAATGGAGTCAGGATCTGGAAGCCCAAGTCTCCTTGTCAATGTCTGCTTGGTTCCCAAGGACACCTGTAAATGGAAGAGGGGCATAGTACACAGAAGACATTGCTGGCAAGTGTGGTCTCTTTACGATCAGGTGAGTCATCTGCTGAAATCTTTATAATAGACTTCTACCTTGATGGAATGGGTTGGACTAACGAGGAACCACCATTACTCCAAGGCCCAGAGCAGAGCTGGGCCATCAACTGTCTCCACACTTCCTGTCTTCTAGGTGCCACCCTGATCCCTCATTGCCTTTCAGCTGCATGTCTAAATCCCCACCCCACCCCTCATCTAGTTGGCTTTGATTCCAAGGACCTAGGACTGGAGTAGGGCTTTCACAAATAAGACAGCAGGAATGTAATGCAACCTAATGAGCAGACTAAGAAAGCATCTATACAGAAGAACAGACATACAAATACCAAGGCAGATAAGAGTGACAAAAGACAAAAAAAAAAAAAAAAAAAAGAGAGAGAGAGAGAAAAAGCTGAAGCCGGTCAGAATTCATCAGGGGATGGTGTATGTCTACCACCTCAGTGGTCCTTTAAAGGTAAACGGGCTTATTTTTCATGCACCAGCCTATGGTCCCTTCACTGGGACACTCTCAACATCCCCGGCTTTTTATAACTCTGGCTGGAAAGGTCAGCTCTGAACTCTTCCTGGGCAGGGAAAGGAGTTCACATAGGGATTGGGGATGGAGTACGGGAGCAGAGGAGCAGTGCCTATGTTAGAAACCGGTAGGAAGGCCGGGCGCGGTGGCTTGCGCCTGTAATCCCACCACTTTGAGAGGCTGAGGTGGGTGGATCAACTGAGGTCAGGAGTTTGAGACCAGCCTGACCAATATGGTGAAACCTCATCTCTACTAAAAATATAAAAATTAGCTGGGCGTGGTGGCATGTGCCTGTAGTCCCAGCAGCTGGGCAGGAGAATTGCTTGAACCCAGGAGGTGGAGGTTGCCGTGGGGCAAGATCGTGCCACTGCACTCCAGCCTGGGTGACAGAGGAAAACTCTGGTTTCAGAAAAAAATAAAATAAAATAAAATAAAATAAAAGCAGCAGCAGCAGCTGGTAGGAGCTGGATGCCTGGAAGAATAAAGAGCCTTTCTCCCTTAGGAGTGAGCCTAATAGATGGATCTTTACTCCCTTTCTCCTGGGCCCTCTACTGGTCTTTGCTTCTCCCATTTTTCACATTCTGACTGCATATACATACATGGCAATATATAGAGAATTTGGCCCCTTGACTCTCACCAGAAGCACCCCCCCAGCCCCATGACTCTGATTTCTTCAATGACATACGTTAAGTACTTTTTCTCCAAAGGTGAAATGATCCTAGGCTTTCTCAAGGGCAATGATTCTGAGCCTTACCCACATTTTAGAATCAGCTTAGGAAACACAAAAAAATCTCAATGACCAGGCAGCACCCCCAAGCCAATCAAGTAAGAATCTGGGGTGTAAGACTCAGACATGAGTATATTTTTTTAAATTGTTTATTTTTATGGGGACCTAGCAGGTATCTATATTTATGGGATATGTGAGCAATTTGGATACAGGCAAACAATATATAATAATCACATTGGGGGAAATGGGGTGTCCATCACCTCACGCATTTCTCATGTCTTTGTATTACAAACATTCCAATTATGCTTTTAGTTATTTTTAAGTGTACAATGAATTTTTTTTTACTTTAGCCACAGATCTAGGTACATTTTTAAACTCCCCAAATGATTCTAATATGCAGTCAAGGCTGAGCCAGCTGCCCTGGAGATGGTCCATCCCTTTTCAGGCCTCGCTGCACATCAGACTCATCTGAGGAACTTTTAAAACCACTGTTGCCTGTGCCCCACCCAAACCAATTAAAATCACTGTCTCTGGGGACTACAGCCAAGATATCAGTATGATTCTTTTTGTGTGTGCGATAAACTATATATAACATAAAATTTACCTTTGAACTATTTTTGAGTGTGCAAATCAGTGGCCTTAAGTCCGTTTGCAGTGTGTACAGCCATCCCCAGAACTTCTTCATCGTCTCAAACAGAAACTCTGTACCTATTAAACAATACCTCCCCATTCCCTTCTCCCACTAGCCCCTGGCAATCACTTTTCTACTTCCTGTCTCTATGAATTTGACCATGTGAAGTACCTCCTATAAGCAAAGTTGTACAATATTTGTCCTTTTGTGTCTTATTTCACTTAGCACAAACTTTCTAGGTTTATCCATGCTGAGCATGTATAAGAATATCATTCCTTTTTTATGGGCCAGACATAGTGGCTCATGCCTGTCATCCCAGGAGTGGGAGGGATCATACGCCGTTGGGAGACCGAGGTGGGAGGATGGTTTGAGCACAGGAGGGGTTCAAGACTAGCCTGGGCAACAAAGGGAGACCCTATCTCCAAAAATATAGAAGAAGCTGGGCACGGTGGTTCACGCCTGTAATCCCTGCACTTTGGAAGGCCGAAGTGGGCTGATCACTTCAGGCCACGAATTTGAGACCAGCCTGGCCAACGTGGCGAAACCCCCTCTCTACTGAAAAATACAAAAATCCTCTGGGTATGGTGGTGCACGTCTGTAATTCCAGCTGCTCTGGAGGCTGAGGCACGAGAATTGCTTGAACCTGGGAGGCGGAGGGTGCAGTCAGTCGAGGTGGCGCCACTGCACTCGAGCCTGGGAGACAGAGTGAGACCCTGTCTCAAAACAAAAATAAAACAAAAAATAAAAACAACAAACAGACACTTATTTTTGAAAAAAGAAAAGAGAATGTCGTTATTTCTATGGCTGAATATGATTCCATTGTATGGATATACTACATTTTTTTAAAGAATTTTCAATTCTTTGGGGTATGTACCTAGCAGTGGCATTGTTGGATCATATGGTAATTCTGTTTAGCTTTTTGAGGAATTCTTTATCCCTCATGTAACTCTTAGGTACAGCCAAGGGAGAGGAAGGAACGCTGATATGGCCAGCATTCCTCTTAAAACCTAAGAGTGGCCAGGCTTGGTGGCTGATGCCTGTAATCCCAGCACTTTGGGAGGCCGAGGCGGGGAATCATGAGGTCAAGGAATCGAGACCATCCTGGCCAACCAACATGGTGAAACCCTGTCTCTACTAAAAATACAAAAATTAGCTGGGCATAGTGGCGCACGCCTGTAGTCCCAGCTACTCTCGGAAGGCTGAGGCAGGAGAATTGCTTGAACCCGGGAGGCGGAGGTTGCAGTGAGCCGAGATCGCGCCACTGCACTCCAGCATGGGTGACAGAGCGAGACTCTGTCTCAAAAAAAAAAAAAAAAGAAAAAAAAACCTAAGAGTGTACTGATTGGTAGTTGGTAAATATTATTGAATGAATTTCTTCATAAATTATATGATAGTCCAATGCATTTGTTATTATCCCACATTCAAAAAACTATTCTGTGGATTAATGTAGTTATTACCCGGTTGAAAATCCCATTTTCCATTCGAAATAACATCCCAATTGAAGTTTCCACCCACAGTTGAAATGTGTCCCCTGTGATAATTTAAGTTTCAGAGTTTCTTAATGATTTGCTTTGTAGATAATAAATTAGGCCTGATTCAAGACTTTTCCTATCACAATGCCATTTTTGTAATAACGCCTGGTGTTATTCCTATTGTAATACTAATGCTCAGATAGCTTCTCTTGAATAGAAAGGAGAAGCTGTCTATATCCATATGAACAAGTACATATAAATGTCTTCCATCTCATAAAGCATTGCCAAACTATCCTTTTCTATCAGGCCTCAACATTTCTACCTGAAAATTAACTGCAAGGATGTTTTACTACATTATAATATACCCTTCCTACCCAAGTGGTGTCTGCTCTAAGATGTCAACCACCTTTTGCAATACACTATTGCCCTTTCTGCAAATTGGACAGTTTCTTCAGAATTTACAACTTCTGTTTCAATGTAGGAGCCAGGTGGGATGCTTTACGCAGAGACAGGGATGGGTGGAGACAGACAGAAATACATGCAGTCTCCCTATAAAGGTTCTTCAATCCCATACCTCAATGTATACAAATCTGTAAAAATGTATACATGGATAAACATACATCAAATAGAGAAATCCCAAAGTTCACTTTGGGGAAAAAAAAAAGAAAAAGTTGCCAACCAGTCTAAGCAATACTGAAAACCACTGTTGTCTCAAATAATTGATGAATCTCTTACCTTTTTCTTGTTGCTTTACCATTTTTAAAAAATGTGTCTGAAGTTTTACAACCATTCCTGGATGTGAAGTGGAACGATAGTGGTTTGGGGCATCAGCTGGGGTAGGTCAGGGGGATAGGAAAAGCAGAGGAGAGTCAGTGCCACCTGGAGAGTTGATTGAGCTGAGAGGAGAAGTGGCAGCACCTGTGAGTTTTGAGATCTACTAGGTATGTTCTAAGATAGCACTTTCTAAAGGAAAATCCATAGAACACTAGTTCTGGGACACACTTAGCAAAAACAGGCCCAGTAAGTAAAGAAGTTTGGAGACACTCTATATACCGGTGAAGCCACAACATATTGCAGTTTCTTAAAGGCTCTGAGACACACAGAAAAGAAACCTGAAAAACTTTAACACAGCGTTTACCAAATTAGTTTTGCCATGGAGCTCTTTTTGTAAGTAATGCACTAATAATGTGTTTCAAGGAACTGGTGTTCCCCAGGACATAACTTGGGAAATTTTGCTCTAGAGCAACTGGATACTCTTGCAACCATTGTTCTTATATCCCTGGACCTTCAAACCCTATTATTATTATTTTGAGACAGAGTTTTGCTCTTGTCACCCAGGCTGGAGTGTGATGGCGCAATCTCATCTTGGGTCGCTGCAACCTCTGCCTCCCGGGTTCAAGCGATTCTCCTGCCTCAACCTCCCAAGTAGCTGGGATTACAAGCATGCATCACCAGGCCTGGCTAATTTTTTGTATTTTTAGTAGAGATGGGGTTTCACAATGTTGGCCAGGCTGGTCTCAAACTCCTGGCCTCAAGTGATCCGCCCGCCTCGGCCTCCCAAATTGCTGGGATTACACGCATGAGCCACCGCACCCGGCCCTTCAAACCTTATTCATTCCTCCTAGTGTTCCAAGCCCTCATTCAACCACAGCTTCTCACAACTCTCATTTCCTTTTATTAGCCACTTTTCTTTCCAAGACAATGTCTATCCCATCCCTTGAATGCCACATATTAAAATCCACCTCCTGCACCTTTGCCCCTTCTCATTTCCCCCACTTGGAACATATCCATCCCTTCCTTCAAGATCCAGCCCTAAACTCTGACTATAGGAAGCCTTTTCTGAAGAAGTCCACTTACATGGAATGTTCAGTTATTTAAATTCTGCTTTATTTAATCCTAGTGTATCACAGAGAAACTGCTGGTGATACAGTTACATGAATCTTCTCTTGGGAATAATTTGTCATCTCTACCTTTCATACTTACTCATTTAACAACCAGGCTAAATCTAATACCATTGCCCTCTCTACTGCACGTTTACTATATTCCATACACCAGAAATGTTTGTTTCATTTCCTTCTGACTAAACCAAGTAGAATGTAGAATAACACATTTGAAAGTTGGCTGAGGCGGGTGGATCACCTGAGGTCAGGAGTTCGAGACCAGCCTGACCAACAGGGTGAAACCCTGTCTCTACTAAAAATACAAAAATTAGCCGGGTGTGGTGGCGCATGCCTGTAATCCCAGCTACTCAGGAGGCTGAGGCAGGAGAATTGCTTGAACCCAGGAGGCGGAGGTTGCAGTGAGCTGAGATCGTGCCATTGCACTCCAGCCTGGGCAACAAGAGCAAAACTCTGTCTCAAAAAAAAAAAAAAGTTTAAACATTCTTTAAAGTATAGTGATTCATGCAACCAGGCACAGCCACAGACTAGTAAAAAATAATCCCAAATATTTGTTCAGTTTGCCCCTCCTCTCCATGCCCAATGTTGTGGCTCTTGGTGGAGGCCTTTTTTTCCCATCTACATTACCAGAATACTTCTTGGACTTCCACTCTTTCCCCTCCCCACATTGCTGCCCGAGAGATGTTTCAAAAATCCAAAAGTGAAATCACTATCCTGCTTAAAATATTTCAATTACTCTCCATCACTTAAAGCAGTGTTTCTCAAACTGTAAACATTTAGCTTTAGGGGTTTTGACATATCCACATACCACCTGTTCTCTTGGGTATTTAATATACTTCCTTAAACAAAATCAAATTTTAACAAGTAAATTTGATATAGTCCTAATCAATACTATTAGTTGAAATGGCAATTTTGATTGGCAGCTATTTTTCTTTTCTGTATTAATGTATAACTATTAAGATAAAAATGTTCATCCATGTTATGACTTAAAAGCATCTTGTATAACACCAGTGGGGCATAGATGGCTCTGTGGTAGGTATGTATCTACAGAATAAAATCTCAGCTTTTGGCATGACATAATCTGGTCTTCACTGCCTTTTACATCGTGGTCTCTGTCCCTTTCCCATCAGTATCCCCAGCTCTCCTGGAGCAACTGCAGTTCTCCAACCTTGCTGTGATGTTTTCTGGCTCTGTGCTTTTATAGTATGGTATTCTTTTTTTTTTTTTTTTTTTTTTGGAGACGGAGTCTCGCTTTCTCACCCAGGCTGGAGTGCAGTGGCACGACCTCGGCTCACTGCAACCTCCACCTCCCGGGTTCAAGCAATTCTTACTCAGCCTCCCGAGTAGCTGGGATTACAGCTGCCTGCCACCATGCCCGGCTAATTTTTGTATTTTTAGTAGAGACAGGGTTTCACCATGTTGGTCAGGCTGGTCTTGAACTCCTGACCTCGTGATCCACCCGCCTTGGCCTCCCAAAGTGCTGAGATTACAGGTGTGAGCCACTGCGGCCAGCCTACAGTATGGTATTCTTTCTACCCTGTTTCCCAAGCCATCTCCTCTCATCTTTCCACATGGACTGAAGGGCTCTCCCCTGGATTTGTATACTTCTTGCTATCAACAGAGCACTTACTCCTCCTGTTCCTTGTCTTAAGCAGACATCGGGTTTGGTCAACATTGTATTCTGCAAACTCTAAGGGAAAACTGGTGAAGACCGAACTGTGGTGTGGGAATCCCGCCTAGCTCATCTGCCTGGGTTGTCTTTATCTTTGTCTCATGACTAGGCTACTTTACAACTCTGAGATCGCAGTGAACTTACAGAAAACTGATAGTGATGCAAGTGAATCTTGTTTATAATTAAATAAATTGTCAGGTGGAGGTTCAATTGCATTCCCTCCTCCACTGTGGAAGAAGCTAGTTTTGCATCTAGGAAGCAACTTCATTTCAGTGGGCTGACATATTTATCTGGTCTTTGGGTTCTCCTCTGAAGTAATTGTAACACCTTTCTGATTCCCTTGTTAGTTAATGAGTTAAAATCTCTGATATGTGTTCATTGCATATTTGTTGCATCATGATTTAAACTTTCTTGTAGAAACTATTCTTAAGACCGGACGCGGTGGCTCATGCCTGTAATCCCAGCACTTTGGGAGGGCCGACATGGGTGAATCACCTGAGGTCAGGAGTTCAAGAGCAGCCTGGGCAACATGGTGAAACCCGTCTCTACTAAAAATACAAAATATTAGCTGGGCGTGGTGGTGTGCACCTGTAATCCCAGCTACTCAGGAGGCTGAGACAGGAGAATCACTTGAACCTGGGAGGTGGAGGTTGCCGTGAGCCGAGATCGTGCCATTGCACTCCAGCCTGGGCAACAAGAGCATAACTCCGTCTCAAAATAAATAAATTAATCAAATAAAAACTATTCTTTAACAGTATGTATTTGATACAGAGCCTGGTGCCCCAAGAATATGTGTTCATGACGGAATGAATGATTGAGTGAATGAATCAATTTAGACAAGTAGGTGTAGACTTTCCATGGTCAGGATCAAATATTTAGGTCTGGATGATTCATCATGAAGGAAGAGTGTGGAATACTAGCATGATGCCTAGCTACTATTACAAAGTTGAAATCGAAATGAGAAAATTTCCCTAATCCTTTGGAAGATGGTGGCAAGAATGGGCTGCAGGGGATGTGCTGAGCCTGTGTCTGTGGGTCACCTGAGTGGCTCCTACAGAGGCTGAGTCAGAGAGGTCACAAAGTGGGCTGAGCATGGAATAAGGGATGGCAGACAATGAATGCCTTTTTTTTTTTTTTAGACAGAGTCTTGCCCTGTTGCCCACACTGGACTGCAGTGGCACAATCTCAGCTCACTGCAACCTCCGCCCCCTGGGTTCAAGTGATTCTCCTGCCTCAGCCTCCCAAGTAGCTGGGAATACAGGCGCGTGCCACCACGCCTGGCTAATTTTTTTTGGTGTATCTTTAGTAGAGATGGGGTTTCACCATGTTGGCCAGGCTGGTCTTGAACTCCTGACCTCGTGATCTGCCCGCCTCAGCCTCCCAAAGTGTTGGGATTACAGGTGTGAGCCACCACGCTCGGCCATGAATGCCATTTAAGCCACATAACTCCTGCTTCCTTTCCCTCCATTGTATACAGATCCAAGGACCAGCAGGTTTTCTCCTGCACTGAGTCTTTTAAACCCTGTCCAACTGTGAAATAATATATCATTCTGGCGTTTTTTTTTTTTTTAGTTGGAGTACCATCTATAGTTAAACTGTATAAAGGAAAAAAATCCTATGAGTCAGTTTCCAGACCTATGAGTGCTTTGAAGATTACATCAATGGAGTTCCATATATTGAAACCACAAGCTTCCTGCCAATTGTCTGGATTTACAAAGATCTATTTCACTTTGAACTAATGAGGAAGAACTCCCAAGGCTATTATCTATAGACATGCATGAACTTTTAAGGGACATTTAAAAGCCAGATCTTTACCCCCAATTTTTCTCCTATCTTTATATAAACATAACGGTTAATATAGAAAAGAAAGCTGAATTACTATTTACATTGTTCCCAAAATTGATGTAGCAGTTTTAAGAGTACTAATATACAATGCACATACTTCTCCCTGACGCTATATAACACTATTAGGTACTATTATTTTCCACTTTTTACAGGTGTGGAAACTGAAGCTCAGAGAGGTTAAGTAGATCACCTAAGTTCCACCACTAGACTAGTAAGTGGCAGCAACATCAAGTTTCCAATTCAGGACTAACTTTAAAGGTCACATTCTACTATACCATTATGCCCATAAGAGAACCACAGGAGTGAAATTATGTCATAGAAATATTAACATTTGATTGAGGAGAGAAAAAGACCAGTCAAAAAAGGTAATGTCAGTTTGGGTAGAGGATGGAGGGTGGCGGGTAGTGACTGGATAGGGTATAAAATTGCTAGGTGGAAAAAAAGGTTGGGAGTAGGGTAAAACGAGGGAGGCAGTCACTTGGGAAGCCAGGGTGGGGGCGTACAACTCGAGGTCAAAACAGTGCCCAGCTGAGCTATATTGGCTAAGAGTAAATAACACTGGCACCCATTTAACTCGTATGCACACGAGAGGTTGCATAAGCAACGCTTTGTACATGGCAGACTTTTCTAAGAAGTCTAAATTTAGAAGACCTCTGTTGAATTTAAATTAAAAGGCAGGATTCCAGTAAAGACTAGAAGATTTTATTTCCATAATTGGCACATGCAGGTAACAGATCCTCAGAAAATATTTGTACAGTAATTGAGGACAAAACAGGAAGGCACCTGAAGCGGTTGGGAAAGGCTTGCCAAGTCAAACTGAGTATGAAACGGCACTTGTATGTGTAAGGGTAATAGCATTTACTGAGTCATCTACGATGTGCCAGTTACCGAGTTAAGTGCTTCACATACATCAACTCCTTTAATTCTGGCAACAACTCTATATAAACTGTATTGTCAGTCCTGTGTTAATAGATGAGGCAGAGAAATTAAGAAACTTATTCAAGCTCCTAACACTTGAATCGAGCAGATCTTTCATGCTCTTAGCCATCTCACTGCAGTCTGAATTCTTAACTTATGCTAGAGTGAAGTTTAATGACTGCTTGTGCTAGAATGTGGTGGAGACTGTATGGCGCACCTACCTCGCCAACATGTATAAGAATATAGGTATCCAAATTACTGGTCAGAAAATCCTGCGGCCTTGGGTGATGAAAAGCTAATGGCAACAGAAATTGGGCCAGGAAGCCTCGTGTAGGGAACTACCTGACTGGTCACATTTCGTAAGTTACTTCCTTTTTGTCCCAAACGAAGCCATAGTTTTCAAAGGGATAATGGCCTTGGATGTTGCTAAGATTGGCAGAGAGAGCTCAGGTGTCGTCCATTCCGGATCATTCCAGGGAAAGGCATCCTCTACAGGGTTGCCTGCTTTGATGACGGAGATTGCGGGCGGCAGTCTGACGCGGTGTAAACCAGATGATTCCTGCTAAAAACAATCATTTCCAAGATCTGATTAGCCCTAAATATGCCACAGCTCAGTTTGCAAAGTAGTAATTGTTTAAAAGTCTAGGCAAAGATTTTGGCCAATTCCAACTCAAGTATCCGGATCTCCAGCACTACTTCCCTCTAGCAATGCCATACACATCTAACCCTAAAACGAGGAAGCGTCCGCTGAGGTTGCCCACTGCAGGATGCTGGTGTGTCGCCGGGCACATGAAAGTCCCTGAGTCAGGGGAGAGCGCTCGCCGGGGACTGCGGGCGGGAGCCGGCGACTGAGAACCGCTTGCCCCGCTCTCTGGCGTGAGTACGCAGGCCTCCTCCCACGGTCTCAGGAAGCCCAGACGCCGCAGGCTTCCCCGCCGTAGAGGAGCTGCCGGGGCGTAATTCCTCCACCGCTTCCTCCTCCAGCTGCACCCACCCGTCCTTTCCTGCTCGGGAGGGCTGGGTTTGAAGCGCGCGCCACGGCCAGCCCGGGACCGCGGGGGAGGGCGAGGGAGGCGCGCAGCCGCACGCACGCAGTAGGCAGCCCCGCCCCGCCCCTCGAGGCCCAAGGTCCCGCCCCTCGAGGCTCCGTGCCCCGCCCCCCGGGTGCCCCGCCCCTTTGCGCGGCTGGCGCGGCCAGCAGGCCAGGCTCCCCTCGGCAAACCTGTCTAATTGGGGCGGGGAGCGGAGCTTCCTCCTCTGAGGGCCGTGCCGCGCTGCCAGATTTGTTCTTCCGCCCCTGCCTCCGCGGCTCGGAGGCGAGCGGAAGGTGCCCCGGGGCCGAGGCCCGTGACGGGGCGGGCGGGAGCCCCGGCAGTCCGGGGTCGCCGGCGAGGGCCATGTCGCTGTTGGGGGACCCGCTACAGGCCCTGCCGCCCTCGGCCGCCCCCACGGGGCCGCTGCTCGCCCCTCCGGCCGGCGCGACCCTCAACCGCCTGCGGGAGCCGCTGCTGCGGAGGCTCAGCGAGCTCCTGGATCAGGCGCCCGAGGGCCGGGGCTGGAGGAGACTGGCGGAGCTGGCGGGGAGTCGCGGGCGCCTCCGCCTCAGGTGAGCTCAGGGCCGCGGCAGGCCGGGCGCGCGGGTCGAGCGGGGTGGGCTGCGGTGGGGAGGTGGGGGCGCTGTCGGTGGGGCTGAGCGCGGCGGGGGCCGCCGGCGTGAGTGAGCGGAGGTGGGGAGGACTTCGGTCATTGAGGCGGAGCGGAACTCAGCAGCTCCCCGGAACGCCTGGGGTTTGAGAGCGGGGCCCAGGGCTCTGGAGGGTGGAGGCAAAAGTGGCCCAGCGGCTGCCTCGCTCCCTGTTCCCACCCCCGCCCCTGGTGAAAGGGAGAAGTCGAGGTTGACCCCGGAGGATAGTGAGAGAAGGAAAGCTGTCAGGGGACCCCTAGGATGGGGCAGTCATCCAGAGGACTTAAAATGCAAAAGAAAGGGATGTGGACACTGCTCTGGGAGACCTAAGGAAGGCTGGGAAGAAGCGCAGGCGAGGTGATGAATGCAGAGGGTGGGGTGCAGGAATTCATGAACATTTTGCAAGGTATTGGGAAAGACTGACGCCGAACTCATCATCTCCCTCCATCAAACCAGGTTACCACGTTCTCTTCTTGACTTCACCATGAACATGAAACTCGAAGTAAAACTATTTTCCTTGTTAGGTTTGGAATGGCTGTATTAGGGTTCCTGAAGTTTTGGTCTCGAGACTCCTTTACCCTCTTAAGAATTATTGAGGACCCCAGAGAGCTCTTATGTGGGTTAGAGATAATACATACATGTAATACATACTGATATTTACCACCTTTGAAATTAAAGCTAAGACATTTAAAAAATATTAATTTATTTAAAAAGAATAACCCATTATATGGTAACAGAAATAATACTTTCGTGGAAAAACAAATTTTCCAAAACAAAAAAGTCTATTAGAGAAGTGGCATTGGTTTTCATTTTGAAGATCTCTTTAATGTCTTGGCTTAATCACAGAGCTGGATTCGTTTATGTGCTTCTGCATTCAGTCTGTCGCACTATTACAGGTCACAGAACGCTGGAAACTGCAGTGTCCACTCCTGAAAGAATGAATGAAAAAGCTAAATAAAGTCTTAATATTGTTATGAAAAATCTTTATGACCTTGTGGACCCCGCGAAAGGGTCTCAGGAACTGCACTAGGGGTTCCCAGACCCCACTTAGAACCATTACTTTATACCATTGTTGTAACTTTGGCCTGCCTTTGAACCCCTTAGCAGTTTTTTGAACTTCTCAAATGACAAAGATTTGTCTTACAGTATAATTATTTGTACACATCTTTATAAATGCCTTAAGAACAAAAACTGTCTCTTAATATTCTGTTATGTATAGAGGTTAGTAAATACTTGATGAGAGGAAAGTCATTCATTCAAAATGGTATTTATTAAGTGCTTATTATTTGCTAGAAATTTTAGAAGATAAAAAACTAACAAATATTCAATTCCTAATCATAAGGGTTTATCCAGGAATGGACTATTATTTGGGGACCTTTACAATAACATATTAAATGCTGTGTTGGGTATGAATGATAATGGATTTTTATCTTTTATTGAGGACATGGTATGTACCACAAAATATACTAAATGTTTACATGCTGCTGCTGCTGCTTCATTCTTCTTTATTCTTCTTATTTTTGCATTATCTTTTTTTTTTCCGAGATGGAGTCTTGCTCTTTCGCCCAGGCTGGAGTGCAGTGGTGTGATCGTGGCTCACTACAACCTCCGCCTCCCAGGTTCAAGCAATTCTCCTGCCTCAGCCTCCTGAGTAGCTGGGATTACAGGCGTGCGCCACTACAGCCCGCTAATTTTTTTGTATTTTTAGTAAAGACGGGGTTTTGCTGTGTTAGCCAGGCTGGTCTTGACCTAAGGTGATCCAGCCGCCTCAGTCTTCCAAAGTACTGGGATTACAGGCATGAGCTACCCTGCCTGGCCACATTATTTTCTTAAACCCTCCTGACAACTCTTGTTTCAGAGTTTGGGATTGAGGCAAAGGATAATAGTGACTTGGGATTATTGCTTGTGCAAAGGAGTAATGATGTGAGGAGGGAATAACTAGCAAGGCCTAGCAGAGAAGTGGCATAATTTTTTTCTGTTCTAGGAAAAACACGTTGGGCTTTTGGATATGCAAAAAAAACAAATACAAAATATTGTTATGCTAGGTACATAAAATTTTGAATTTCTGGACTTACCATAATGTAAAAAATTGTCTTTGGGGGCAGATCTCCAGAGTATTACGGTGCTAACGAGTACTCTGGTTAGGGAAGGTTCTGGGCTTCCTGAAGAAAGCCAGGTATGGAGGACTCCTACATGGCCATGAAGGAGAGAGAAGAAAGTCAGCAAGGCCCTGCCAGGGAAGAAGCGTGGCTGCTGGAATCCAAAAGCAGCGGATACTTGATGTTGGGTGTTGTGTTTTCCTCGCCTGCCTTCAGTCAGTTTTTGTTAAAGGCTACAAAATGGTCTTAGCTTTGTTTGGGGGAACTAAAGGAAATATTTGAGGCCACTTTTCTGTGGAGTCACACAGAGAGAAGGGGACAGTTGCCTAACAAGAGGTGGCAAGCACAAAGGGCATGCAGTTGTGGAATCTGAGAATTTGGGGTGGGAAGTCTGATGAGAGGCAGATGAGTTTCACCTGTCTTTCAAGATGGTAAAGATTAGTTTTGAGGAGGTTGGCTGGGGTGAGAAGGGTTGGAGAATTTGGGAACGTTAAGCTCATCCCTATGGAGATCAGAAGAATTAAACGGACTTTTTTTCAAAAAACAGCACTGGGAGCTTGGGGGCTGGACAGTGAAGCAAGGTCAGCTGGGGATGCTTACTCTATTTAAGACAAAAAAGTTATTGTAAAGTGATTTCATGCTGTTGGGAGAAGATCTGTGATACTAGAAGGTCCTAAAGGTATTTTTTCTCTGGTGCCAAAGACAGGAATTATAGTGTGAGTGTCTAGTCCGTGTGGGTGACAAGTCCCACGAGGCTGTGAAGTGCTTTCTTCAGTCACTGGATCTGCAGCCCTAGAATCTCGAAATGTTGCCCATTCTGTTTCTTTTTCTTCTCTTCACTTTTTTTTCTGACACTTTACATCTTTCCTCAAACTGGGTGAAAATTTAATAATACAAATAAGTAAACCACAAGAAAAGAGCCCGTTCAAACTGTCTACAAGAGATTAGAAATAATTGTAAATGTTTTCATTGCTGATGACTCAGAGTAAATCCTTGTTGATAGCTTAGTTCCCCACAACCATGTACATTTGGGAATGTGCTATAGTCAGACCCGGCCCTGATTCCATTCAAGACTGACCTGGACACCCTTTGCTGTTAGTGTAGATAGACACAGACTCTGAGGGTCTTGCCCAAGCTATGTAAATTCTTTGGTGGCATGGAACATCTGAGCCCTAAGGATGGCAGACCTTCCAGGAGGTTCTAAATGCTGCCTAAAATTCTGTTAAGTAGGGAGCTTAGAAATGGGGCTGTGGAACCTGGACCATGGAAAAACAGTCATTGCATACCTGCTGAGTAGAAGGTGCACTTTTAGCTGCAGAAATCCTGCTTTCATGCAGTTTATTATAGGAATGAGAACGTGTAAAAGGCTCTAACAGAAGGTTTCCTCCCAGCCTGGGAAACATACTGAGACCCTGTTTCTACAAAAAAACAAAAAATTAGCCAGGCATAGTGGCACAGGCCTGTAGTCCCAGCTACTCTGCAGGCTGAGGTGGGATTGCTTGAGCCCAGGAGTTCGAGGCTGCAGTGAGCCTCAACAATTATTATTGAAATTCATTCAGTAATCATTCATTTATGAATAATTAATATGGACAAGACAGAATTTTATTGATTTAGGTATTGTCAACCTCCAGCATGGTCGACAGAGAAGACCTTGTCTCTAAAACAAATAAACTAAAAAAGGTTTCCTTCTCGCCCTCTTGGTCTTATCCTTCAGTCCCATGACTTTACATTTATTTGGGTTGATTACTCCTAATTTCTATTTCCAGCCCATTTCTCTGCTTTGAACTCCTAGATTCACGTATGTAAACACTTGTTTGCCATCTTCTCTTGAATGACTAAGACACGTCTTAAATATAACATGTCCAAAATTTAACACGTCTTCCCTTATAAACCTCTTTCTTTCAGTTTCTGCACCCTCTGGTTGTTCAGTCCAAAAACTTCGAATTCATTCCTGACTCCACTTTTACACACAAATCGTTTTTGTCAGCCCATCCTTCCTGCTGTACCTTCACTATATATATGTAGAATCCAATGTCCACTGCTGGCACGCTGGGCCAAGCCACGTTGTCTCTCAACTAGATTATTCCAGTAGCCACTTAACTTCTCCCTGTTTTGCTTTGCTCCCACCCCAGTCTGTTACCAATATAGCAGTAAGAATTATTCTTTTAAAACATCACATCAGGTCTTATTCCTCCTCTGCTCAAAACTCTCCTATTGTGGCCAGGCGTGGTAGCCTCACACCTGTAATCCCAGCACTTTGGGAGGCCAGGGTGGGAGGATTACTTATGCCTAGGACTTCAAAACCAGCCTGAGCAACATAGATAGACCCCATTAAAAAAAAATGCCAACTCTCCTATTGTTTTTCCATCTCAGAGTAAAAACACCATTAGCTACCAGTTCACTCTTCAACCTGATATCTTCTTGTCTCCATCCCTCTCTACTCTGGTCACATGTGCTTTCTTGCCTTCCTTTGGACACAGTAGTCTTTGTACTTGCTGCCTACTCAGGCTGAGATGGTCTCCACAGGTAACCACATGACTTGTTCACCTCACTGAGCTCTTCTCTGATCATAATATTTAAAATTACCCTCTACATCTGCTCAGTGTTACCTGTCTACTTGCGTTACCTCCACAACACTTAAGACCATTGGTTAGTTGGATACATACACAAAAAGATATCTCTGTGTTTATTTAAATTTATGTCTGTACTTCTCTAGAATGAAAGATCCAGGAAGATACAGAATTTTGTTTTGTTTGCTGCTGTATCCTCAACACCTAGAAAAAACAGTGGCCTATTTTAGGTGATGGAGAAATAGATCAAATTAATGAATAAAGATTCCAAATAGTAAATGTACCAAGAGGAGAAGCAGAAGAACCTAAAAACAGCATTATGGTTTGTCCCCTAAAGGGTGTATAATACATTCTATTTGATTATATATTTTTTTAAAGATAAAAATAGAGATATTTTTAAAAAGTAAAGTACATTTGTTTCAGTCATAAAGCAGTTTTTAAATTAAATCAAAAATTCTAAATTAGGACTTTCAGAAACTACTTCAAAGCACACTCTTACAGGAATGTAACTTAAAAAGGAAAGAAAGAAAAGTTAGGTATGTATAAGCATCATCTTAGCTGAAAGCCAGTGCCCATACGGAAAATCAGTAAAAACAAAAAGAGATACAGAGTCTTCTTTTTCTCCTGTGCCTCTTGTAATGGAAGAGAAATCATCTGTACTTCAATTTGATCTTTGTTCTTTTGGGGGGGAAGGAAAGCCAAGTGTTTTTAATTTTCTCTATATCAATATAGACATTAATTAAAGCATCACTTGGTTGCATTTGATGAGATGGCTTCTTAATTTCATTTATCAGATCCTGGTAAACTTCTGAATCATAAAAATTATATTTAGCATACAGCATCCCTATTTTTACAAATCTCATTCTAATTATTTACAAAATTAGTAATCCTTGTATTGTTTCTAATACAGGTTCTTTCACTTGGGTATTTCAGAAACTAGTAAAATAAAATTTCACAAAATAAGAGCACTAACAGGCAGCTTCACCTTTTTATGTTTTCTGTCATCATAGTCACCATTGTTTCTTAAAAGAAAGAACACTTTAACACCTAAAAATGGAAAAGACAATTTTAGAATAAAAGACAGCTTTATTGTCCTTATTTTTATCATTTTACCTTGGACTGCAGATTGTGCTGCCACTGGTCTACAGTCCAGAATTTGAGACTGGTTGACTTGTGATATGATGATTCACATTTAACAAGAATGGCATATTGAATATAATAAAATTGAACTAGGATGCTTAGAAAAGAATACCTAGTAAATATAGTGATCACAGGAGGCCTTAGAGGACATTTTCAGGTTACCAAAATAATAGTTACTCAAAAAAATGTTTAAGGAAAAGCTAAAATTGTTTCAGAAATAAGCATAGTTAAGAAGTTAGCTTTAATATTCTTTTAATATCCCCATATTCTTATTGCATAATAAGAGCTAACCTTTATTGAATGTCTGTTACTTGCCAAGCACTGTGTTAAGCACTTCTTACATGGATTAGCTATTTAATTCTAACAACCCTATGAGGTAGATAATATTACTAATGAAATTAATTTGATCGTATACATTTTTTCCATATGAAATAATCAACATTATCACTGAATTTTAAATCTTGGGTAACAGTATAAATGCTATGACAGCATCTTCATAAGACTACTCAAAATGAATGAGGATTAATATTTCAAGCAATAAAATAGTTTGCTAACCTTGATTCTGTCACACCCTGGCACTATTATGTTTCACCTCTTGCATCTGTTCAGGCTTTCAGCCTTGACAATTATGATTGAAATTCATTCAGTAATCATTCATTAATGCATAATTAATATGGACAAGACAGAATTTTAGGTATTGAGGGATTTTATGTCTGCGTGTGTGTGTGTATACACACACATATATGTTTAATATGATGGGGTTTCTGTTTTCAAGGAGTTTACTATAATCTAGTTGGATAAGGCAGCTTTTCTTCATGCTCATGAAGAAAAGCTCACCGTTCTAAGGTGAAATTATGTGAGATAAAACATGAAACAAGTCTGCACATGACTGCTTAAGGCCCAAATCCAGGCTGCTACCCGTTTCATATAGCCCATGATCTAAGACTGGTTTTTGTATTTTACGAATTGTAAAACAAAAAACAACAAAGAAGAATGTGTGATAGAGACTCTATGGCCCAGAATATCTAAAATATATCCTTGCTGGCCACTTAGAAAAACAGTTGTCTATAAAATAAGTGCAGTTAGGAGACTGTGTCTATAAAGTGTGTTTGGTGGACTGGTGTGGTCTAGGAGGACCTTGTAGAGAAGCTAGAGTTAATATGGGACTGTAATTCAAATTGGCAGGAAAAGGAGCAGGATCTGCAAAGATGGATGAGGTGTGAATTCTACAGTATATCATGCAGATTATCTAAACACTTTGGTTGGCTGTTGTTGGTTATGTTTCTTTGGGAAAGTTTTTCTGTCGTTGATTGCTCGGTTTTTTCTTGATTCTTTTGTCTCCCCTTGAATGTTTAATACTTGTACTTTCCCCTTCTATAAAATGATTACAATTCATATCATTGTTCCATTCTTCATGGCCTTCTATGATCTGATCTTAACCTGTCTTTCTAATCTGGTATACCACTACTGCACACAATAACATGGAAAAGGAAATTGTATATGTATGTTAAATACTGGTATTTTTAAAAGAATAGTTTTAATAAAAGGACAATAAGACATTCTTTAAAGGAAGGGTTAGCAAACTATTTCCATAGAGGGCCCAATGGTAAATATTTTTGGCTTTGCAGCCAGGTATTCAGCTCTGCAGTTGTATCAGGAGAGCTGCCATAGACATTTGTGAATATGTGAATGAATGAGTGTAGCTGTGCTCCAGTGAAACTTTATTTACAGAAATCAGGTAGCTGAACACATTTGGCCCACAGGCCATGGTCCCTGCAATAGGATATTTCTAGGTACTTAGAAGTACTTTGGTTTTTTTCTTTCTTTTTTTTAAGACCGAGTCTCGATCTGTCGCCCAAGCTGGAGTGCAGTGGCATGATCTCAGCTCACTGCAATCTCCGCCTCCTGGGTTCAAGCGATTCTTGTGCCTCCTGAGTAGCTGGGACTACAGGCGTGCACCACCACACACCGGCTAACTTTTGTATTTTTAGTAGAGATGGGGCTTCACCATGTTGGCCAGGCTGGTCTCAAACTCCTGGCTTGATGAGATCCGCGTGCCTTGGCCTCCCACAGTGCTGGGATTACGGGTGTGAGCCACCGTGCCCAGCCTAAGTACTTTGAATGTCAATAGTACTGGTTCTCTTTCTAAATATACTTTTTAAAAATTATCAAAAGAGCCAGGAGTGGTGGCTCCAGCTCTTTGGGAGGCAGAGGCAGGATTATTGCTTGAGCCCAGGAGTTTGAAACCAGCCTGGGCAACATAGCAAGACAGCATCTCTATTAAAAAAAAATTATCAAAAAATAAATGCACATAAAAAAATCAACAGTACAAAAGGGGTTATAGTGAAAAGTAGATCATCCAGCCATGAGCTCTACTGTCTTACCCTCTGTGAGGCAACTATGGCTACGAGTTTCTTAGATACCTTTTCAGAGTTTACTCTCCATGTATAAGAACACACACAAATGATCTTGGTAATAACAAACGCTGTTCTGTATCTTCCTTTTTTCATATGAATACACACATAGACATACTACCTTGTTAATACAAATAGTAGTGTATTATACACAGTTTTTTATGTTAATTCCTTCATTTCTCAGTATGTCTTAAAGACCTATGCCTTTACCTCAGGCTCAGTTTTTTTAATGAATTAACAGTATTTCATTTGATATACATGCCATAATTTATTTAAACTAGTAATTAAGGATATTTTTAGTATTTTTCAATTGCTAACCTTGTAACACTGATTGTTCTATCCGCTTCATTTGGGGTCATTTTGTATTTCATCATCTTTGAAGAAGGAGTAAGGAAATTTTTCTGGCCTTCCTATTCCCCATTCCTAAATTAAAGGCAAAAAAACCTTTGTCAGTATCAAGGCTCAATTTCTCTCACATCCTGTTTCTGGGTTTCTCATTCTCCTGATTTAATAATCATGGGACACTTGGGGAGGCCGAGGCAGGTGGATCATGAGGTCAGGAGATCGAGACCATCCTGGCTAACAAGGTGAAACCCCGTCTCTACTAAAAATACAAAAAATTAGCCGGGCGCGGTGGCGGGCGCCTGTAGTCCCAGCTACTCGGGAGGCTGAGGCAGGAGAATGGCGTGAACCCGGGAAGCGGAGCTTGCAGTGAGCCGAGATTGCGCCACTGCAGTCCGCAGTCCGGCCTGGGCGACAGAGCGAGACTCCGTCTCAAAAAAAAAAAAAAAAAAAAAAAAAATAATCATGGGAGCTGAGTGGGAGAAGGGAATAAAGAGGAATTCCCCGTGATGAAAGAGGAGGAAAGGATACTCGCATTCATTATGTGAATAGTTTGTCACCACCCACCCACTCACTTGTGATTTATTCCATACAGCACCACCGTGGTCCAGATATATAGCAGGTGTATCATGTGGAAGAAAGCTGTTGACTTGAATTCTTTCTGTTGCTTTCAGTTGCCTAGACCTGGAGCAGTGTTCTCTTAAGGTACTGGAGCCTGAAGGAAGCCCCAGCCTGTGTCTGCTGAAGTTAATGGGTGAAAAAGGTTGCACAGTCACAGAATTGAGTGATTTCCTGCAGGCTATGGAACACACTGAAGTTCTTCAGCTTCTCAGCCCCCCAGGTAGGTTTTGTTCTTAGGATTATTCTCCAGGAGTTCATGGAGCCAAACTTAGAAGAAATTATCTCTTTTGACCAGGTGAACTGTGTTAAGTATTTTTGGAAAATGTAAATGTGTAGTGCCTTGTTTGCTTTCCCAGGTTGAAGCAAATGCAATGCATGAATATTGGTTGGATTGTGGTTGAAGAAACCAGCTACATGAGACATTTTTGAGATAGTTGGAAAAATTTGAATGTAACTACATATTTGATATATTAAGTAATTATCATATGATAATGATACTATAGGAGAATGTCCTTTTTTTAAAAGGAGATGCATTTTAAAGTATTTAGGGAGAAGATTCCTATGACATACATTGGAATAGTGCAGCCAAAAAAATGAACATATATTTATTCCTATGTATTTATATAGATGAAGTAAAGCAAGTATGACAAATGTTTAAGTTTTTTTTTGCCGCAGTGAGGCTTTTGAATGTTGATTAACTCAACCTTGTACTCTTATGAGTTTTTCCTGAATTACCGATATTGGATGAGGCTTTGTACTTCCCACATCAGGCGAGGCTTAGGAAACAGTCCCTCTTCTCCATTCAGCTGCTCTCCTCTCAGCTGCAGATAGAGTTGGTCTACAGCAGTGGTGGAGGGCAGGAGGGACATGCCATTGAAGTTGCCTGGTTGTGGCAGCACTGCAGACCTCCTTCTTTACCTGGGGATCCAGTGGGCCATTATTTGTCCCACAGGAAGCAAAGAGGCTGGTTGAGCTTGGAAAGGCAGGTTGAGCTTGGAAAGACAAAGGACCTGATGCACTCTATTTTACGTGGTTTTGATGTATACCATTTCAATATATAACCAGCTTGGTTATGATATATTTTTAAGTTAACATGAGGAACTTAAAACCATAAATGAGATGTTATTTTTTATTGTTAGTTGTGGGATAGGGAATTAGGAACACATGGTATAGTGGTATGCTGTCAGTTACATGTACCAGAAACCCCAACCCAAATAGGCATAATAAAGAGAATACATTTCTCCTTCTAATTGAAAAGCTTAGAGCAGGTTTGGCTTCAAGAGAATCAAGGAACAATCCTGTTCTCAACGCATTGGTTGGTTTTTGTCTTTGCTCTTCCTTTCTTGGCATTGGCTTCCTTCCATGACTGACTCTCCACATAGCGCAAGACGTCTGCTGGCTTTTTCTGGGCTCCTTCATTCTTGCCCCAGCAAAACCCAGAGGGTTCATCTAGTTAACTAGCTTCGGTCAAATGCCTAGCTCTTAACCTGTCACTGTGCCAAGGAGATGGAATGTGCTGACTCGCCTGGCTTGAAGCCAGGAGTGGAGTTGGGTTGAGTCTGCTTTCCTGGAACCACATGGATCACCAAACAAAATTGAAACTATTAGAAGGAAAAAGGAAGTAGCAGATACTGGGGAGGTAACCAAAAAGTTTACTACAAATGGAAAGGGCCCTGGATTATAAATAAGGAGACTTGGACTCCCAATCATCCCCTGCTTTACAAGGCCCTCTGTAGATGGTAAAATAGGCCTCTGATAAATGCCCTATGAATTTGATACACACTGTATTGGATGCTTGCTTTCTATTTCCCAGCGCCTCTTCCTACCAACAGGGCTGGGGTGGGAATAACTAGCTGCTAATGCCACCCTCCCAAATGCAACTGTTGTTTGGCACCAAACAGTAAACTTTCTTTTTTAAACCTGGCCCATTACTGATAGAAACAGTAGAGTTCCTAAAGTGGTATTTATTAATTTTTATATTGCTGGTGCTTGAAGTAGCACCCAAGAGTTGTGACATTTGAAATCTACTAGTCTAGGTTTCATACTGTTAAAGTCCAAGTTCTCATACCTAGTAAAGTCTCATACCTAGTAAAGTCTACTTTTGCTTACTTTACTAAGTTCTCATACTTTATTGAATACCAGGGCCTCTGAAAGCTTAGGAAACCTTTCTGGGAAGTAAATATAACATGTATTTCATTCTCTTTTTCAATAATTATGCTTAATTACTCTAACCGTTATTTGCCAAGTCTATAATATGAACATAAGTATTCTCTACCTCACAGAGTTATAGGAGCTGCATGAGATAATGTTGTGTTGAATTTCATCTATACAATGACAGGGGCCTCATATCTCTTTTGATTTGTGTTGTGATCACTGGCCTGAGAGCTAGGGTTTCGGAATTTTTAAGTTTCCCATATGTGAAACCGGGCTTGACTGAAATTGAGTCATATATTTACTTAGGTGTAACAATTTGCCTGAATTTTAAAAATAACACAATATTTTATATTTTTATTTTTGACAGGCCAGCAACTAATAAAGTGCCACCCTAATAAACATTAGTAATCTTCCTTTGAAAAATCCATTTTTGCTCTTTGTGTTTTTCTCCAAATAGGATTAGCACTTTTCTATCAGTGTTCCCCAGTGAAGATTATCCTGATGATATTTGGCTTACAGACTTTCTCAAGATTATCTCATAGGGCTTTTTTGCATTTGAGGAGAGAATAGGAAAGGAAAGCAGTTTATTTTTTTCTTTTTGTTTTTAATTTTCTCTTCAGTACATTTGTGAGCTGTAGGGAAATATTATTTGTTTTATTTTGTTTTTTAAATTTTTTGTGATAAAGGGTCTTGCTCTGTCTCCCAGGCTGGAATGCAGTGATATGATCTCGGCTCACTGCAACTTCTGCCTCCGGAGCCTCAAGCAATCCTCCCGCCTCAGCCTCCTGAGTAGCTGGGACTACAAGCACGCACCACCATACCCAGCTAATTTTTGTATTTTTGGTAGATACGGGGTTTTGCCATGTTGCCCAGGCTGGTCTTGAACTCCTGGGCTCTAAGCAGTCCACCTGCCCTGGCCTCCCAAAGTGCTGGGATTACAGGCGGGAGCCACCGCCCTGTTTCTGTGTTACCACTTGTGCACTGTTTCTGTGAAGTTTTATGTCATGTTAGCCGTATAATATCCTTAGGAATTGGTTGTTGCTTGAATGTTAGTTATTGATTTAACAGCAAACATTTTGAGATCTAATAAAGCTCAGTAATTTTAGGAAGAAGTAATTAATTTGTTAGCTTACTATCTGCATCTAATATGCATAATCTAAGATTTACTCTTTTTTTTTTTTTTTTTTTTTTTTGAGATGGAGTTTTGCTCTTCTTGCCCAGGCTGGAGTGCAATGTCATGATTTTGGCTCACCGCAACCTCTGCCTCCCAGGTTCAAGCGATTCTCCTGCCTCAGCCTCCCGAGTATCTGGGATTACAGGCATGTGCCACCACGCCCAGCTAATTTTGTATTTTTAGTAGAGATGGGGTTTCTCCATGTTGATCAGGCTGGTTTTGAACTTCCGACCTCAGGTCATCCACCCACCTCGGCCTCCCAAAGTGCTGGGATTACAGGCGTGAGCCACTGCGCCCAGCCAACTTACTCTATTTATAGATAGTAGAATAAAGAAATATAAGAATTACAGAGAAGAATTTTAATATTTTAATAAAGATATTGAGAATAAAAACTATTTTAATTATATTAAGAAGATAAGCTCTGATAGAATCAACTTAATTGGTGGTTTGCCTCGTGTATTCAATAAAGTTTACTGTATTGCAATGCCCTTGCTGTGCTAGGCATTATGCTAGGTACTGTGAGTTTAGAGATGAATAAAACAATCGTTTCCACCTGCTGATAGGTCATAGTTTAGTAGGGGAGACAAACATATAAAAGATCATATCCAAGACAGTTGTAAAAAATATATATATATAGTAAGTTTATCTGATCTCCAGTTTTCTCTCTTTGCTATATTCTTGAGTCTTAGTGAAAATACAAAATAGAAATATTCTAATGTTTTCTCTCTTTTTTGCATTGGTACTATTTCATAGGAGGACATTACTTCTTATTCCACAGGAAGTCTGATGATTTTCCTCTGTCCTTACAGAGAGAAGCCTGGTTTGGGTTATGCTGTGAACTGGCCTTTGAGGTCTAAATGCAGGGAGATGGGGAAACTTTAGATTTATTTTGATTAAACGAGAAACTATAGTCTTACGTTGCCATATTCTGTTCCAAGTGACGGTGGAACAACAGTCAGAGGTAGCTCTGAAAGGTAACTGTAACTGTCATGTGGAGTTTCTCTGTCTTTTGAGAAACTGACCAAGTTTCTTTTCTGGATTTGTTTTGGTGCCCAGAAATAGCTAGAGCAGTATCCATGCATCTCTAACTAGAGCAGTTTCTGTGATGAGGACCCAGCTTCAGCAGTCACTCAGCATGTAGTCTGAGTGTAAACTCACTCTGGAATTATAATTTTATATATTTTGTGAAGGAGCCTCAGAGGATCGAGGTTTTTACTCTCTGTTGCTTTCTTTCTTGTCGAGCATTTCCACTGCACATGGGTTGGCCAACTTGCCCCTCAGTGTGGTCTTACTTGAATTATATGATAGAGAAATCGCTTCTAGTTTTTATTTGTGGATGGTGTTCATCCCATTTTCCAGCGCTAGTAAATTGTTTCCCTACTTTTATTCCTTTGCTCATCTCAGTGGGAATTGTAGAAGGGGGTTAAATGGATGTGTTGAAAGGGTTTTGAACCAAAGGTCTGTAATGATTTTTTTTTTTAGATCTTATTTAAGTTTCAAAGACTGATTCCAAAGCAACCAATATTGACATCTGTATAGATAGACTTAGATGTGTAGTTCAAGGTGCTTTTGTTTCTTTTGTTGTTGTTGTTGTTTGTTTGCTTTTTGAGTCTCACTCTGTCACCCAGGCTGGAGTGCAGTGGCGCGATCTTGGCTCACTGCAACCTCATCTCCCAGGTTCAAGCGATTCTTCTGCCTCAGTCTCCTGAGTAGCTGGGATTACAGGCACGCGCCACCACACCCAGCTAATTTTTATATTTTTAGTAGCGACGAGGTTTCACCATGTTGGCCAGGCTGGTCTGAAACTCCTGACCTCAGGTAATCCGTCCGCCTCGGCCTCCCAAAGTACTGGGATTGCAGGCATGAGCCACCACACACAGCCTATTTGTTTCTTTTGTTTTAAGTGAAAACATTGTGAGTGTAGAATTATAGGCTTCATCAGTCCTAGTTACATACATCACGAAATGGTTGCCTGGAGAAGTGATGCCCTTAACCTGGAATGGGCAGAGCAGAGGCTGAACGATGGGAGCTGTTTAGAGAGAACTAGCATTGTTGATGTGGATCTCATTAAGATGAATCCCAAGTTGCTTTTCAGCTCCAGTGCTGCAATATTGCCATTTTATTTCACTCTTCATATGAAAGGTGCCTCACTGAGGGTACCTATGAGATGTCTGTGGCAGGGTCATGTGCCATCTTTTCAGTGGCACCTTTTCCATTTGCCTCTACTCCTTTTTTATTTCATACCTTTTTTTCTCAGATCCGTTGTAACATACGCATTGTTATGTTTTGGCTATTTTTATTACTTTATCTCTAAAATAAGTGCAAAGGTTGTTTAATGTTATTCTTTAGTTTCTAAAATACCTTTACTTCACATTTTATCTTCACAATTCTGTGAAGCGACAGAACAGTGCTATTGTGAACATTTAAATTTTAACCAACAAACATTTACATGGAAAATGAGATTTCCAAAAGTGATCATTTGGCCAAAGTCACAATTATTGACAAAGGTAGGATTAAAAACCAGGTCTGCTGACCCTGACCTGAACTCAATACCATTTCCATAATGCTAGGAAATTTCTGAATTAAGAAACTTAGTTCTGTATTATTACCTCAGTTGCCTCTTTGACCCATGGACTTCAATTTTTTTCTTCTTGCCAACTTAAAAAGTGCTCAAAGACTGGATCTTATTTGTAAGGGACTTTTCTTATTTCATGAATATGAGGAAATTGGCAATTATTCCTAAAAGAAAAATATCAAGAAGTGAAAAGAGAAAAAGATGGTATGGATGTGCATGAGGATAAGGAATAAGTAGAGGGAGAGAAAGGGCTGGTGAGCAAGGCCTGAAGGAATGTCTTTCTGGATGTGGAGTGTGGAGGGGAGTCTCAGGCAATGTAACAGAATAAGGGATGTGATGTGGGAAACTAGATTTAGCTATAATCTATACAGATTTCAATTGACATGTAAGAGAAACATATGTGGACATACTTTGTGTAATGCCGTAGGAGGGACACACATGGACCTACTTTGGTTATATACTGGGGGAAATTGTTAGAGGAAGAGGAATGATATTTATTTGGGCACACTGTAGGGCATGTGGGTACTCTTCTGTGATAGCATAGAAGATTGCAGAGTAACTTTGAGGACAAGTTTTAGATGGAAGTTGATAAAAATCTTTTTTTGTTTCATGGCCTCTGAAAGTAGATGGACTTCAGTGTATGGAATAGATCTGTTTTTGGAAAAAGTATTTATTGATAAACTACATCAACATTTAAATGCGTCGTGAGAGAGAATAACTTCAAGGGAAGCTATGTGTCCTTTTGTCAAAAATTATCCTAATTTATCTTTCTTATAATTTCAGCAGGGTTTTAAATTTTTGTTTTATTGCTTAATAGCATGTACTTGTTTATCGGCATATGTGTGTGTAGTTGAAAGCACGATCCTTGGTTCCATCGTACCTAGTCACATTCTCCCAGGCTTACAGGAAATCAAGTAACTTCTCTGACTTCTTTGTAGATGTTATCTGAAAAATATGCTTGTTTACCAGGAAGCTGTGTGTTCACCGTTTAAAATAGAACTTTCATTTGTATGCCTTCGTACAGCCTACGTAGCACTATACCATATTCTTTTTTTACCTTTGTTCAGCACCTTCTCACTAGTGGGTGCTGCATTGGGGTGGCTAAGGGTTGACCATGGGTCCCTGTCGCACAAGGCTTTGTGGGAGGAAGGAAATTTGTGTGGTTAAAACATGGGAGGTATTGCAACTCATTTTCTTGACTATTCACCAGGGGTGGTTTCCAAATCACATTTTGCCTTTCAATTCTCAGTCTTTGAAGCAATAAATTGTATATATATGTTACACACACACACACACACACACACACACGCTTATTAATAAAGTTGTTGGTGCAGGACAGGCTTATAAACTGTTAATTTAGATGTACATTAAAAGCTACTTTGTCTTGGCCAGGCACAGTGGCTCACACGTGTAATCCCAACACTTTGGGAGGCTAATGTAGGAGGATCTCTTGAGGCCAGCAGTTCCAGGCAACATATGAGGCCAACCTGGGCAACATAATGAGGCCCTGTTTCTACAAAAAAAAAAAAAAAAAAAAAAAAAAATACTAATTTTAAAAATCACTTAGTCTTGTGTCCCATACAAAGGAAGGATAACTTTTAGAACCTGGCCATATGATCCCTTTCCAGTAGTCACCTGCTTCTTTGTAAGATACTCTAGAGGAAAAACCCTTTCCATCCTTCTTGTCTCTTATCTCCTTGTATAATGGCAGAGAATATTTGCCATGGTATATTCATGAGCCGTGTCCTGGTGTGGGATTGCTCTTTGTGTGATACACTTTCTCAGTAAGGTAGGCTCACTGTGGCAGAAAGCGGGATTACCGTGGGAGATATATTGAGAATCACCAAGAGGCCGGTCATGGTGGCTCACTCCTATAATCCCAGTGCTTTGGGAAGCTGAGGTGAGGTGGATTGCTTGAGCCCAGGAGCTCAAGACCAGCCTGGGCAACATGGCAAAACCCTGCCTCTACAAAAAATGCAAAAATTAGCCGGGTATGGTGATGCACACCCGTAGACCCAGCTATTGGGGGTGCTGAGGTGGGAGGATGGCTTCAGCCCAGGAGGTTGACACTGCAGTGAGCCCTGATCATGCCACTGCACTCCAGCCTGGGTGACAGAGTGAGACCCTGTCTCAAAAAAACAAAAAGACAGAATCACTGAGAAAGCAAAACATAAGGTTTAAAACCTTTAAAAGGCAAGAAAACCTAGGTTTGCATCCTGGTTCTGCCATTTTACAATGTAAAAAAAAAAAAAAAGTCTCAGAGAGTTTAATTTACCCCAGGTAATTTGGGTGACCTTCTGCAAATTACGTACCTTTTTTTCATTGTAACATAGATGTAATTAGTATCTACCTTGTGTGGTTATTTCAAAGGTTAGTGATAAAAATGCCTGGTGCATGTAAAGCAGTCAGTAACTTGCTGCTGTAGTAATTTCTGTTATTATTATATATATTCAACAAACACGTGTTGAACACCCACTAACACCCACTGCAGTGCCATATGTGGGCACAATTCTAGGTGCTGAATGAACTGGTGACTAAGACCATCAAGGTCCTTGGCCTTGCCCTCATGGAGCTTCTATTTTAATACCTAAGACGGACAGTAAGAAACAGGGATTTTAGAGAGTGAAGGACACTGAACTGGGTGAATGTAATAGATAACTGGGGGGTGGGAGGGTACCTAATTTAGAGACATTTCCCAGAGAAGCTGGTGATATTTTAGTAAGAAACCTGGATGATGAGGAAAGAGCCTGCCATGAAACAGTAGAATAGTGGAAGCCAGTGGGGTGGCGGTTGCGGGGGATGGCAAAGCGGAGCTTGTGGGGAGAACCCAGCAGAGGACTGGTAAGTGGAAAGGCAGAAAAGAGCTTGGCTTATAGAAGGAAGGAGGCCCAGTATGGCTGGAGCTTGGTGAGCCTGGAGAAGAGCGGAGGGGCCAAAGGAGCAGTTCGTGGAGGACTTTGTAGCCATGGTAAGGAATCTGGATTTTTTATTCTAAGTACAGGCACACTTTGTTTTATTATGCTTCACTTTATTGCACTTTGCAGATACTTCACTTTCTGCAAGTTGAAAGCTTGCGGCACCCATGTGTCTAGCAAGTCTGTCAGTGCCATTTTTCCAATAGCATGTGCCTACTTCATATCTCTGTGTCACACCTTGGTAACTCTTACAATATTTCGAACTTTTTCATTATATCTGTCGTGGTGATCTGTGATCGGTGATCTTTGGTGTTACTACTGTGATTGTTGGTGCCTGGTAAGATGGTGGCATCCAGGTGGCGGTCTTAAGACCAGATCAGTATGGTGTTGGTGGTCTTAAGACCAGATCAGTATGGTGTTGGCAGATCAGTATGGTGCCGCTAGGCAGGCACTGACTAGCTCCAGGCAGCTCAACCTTGGGAGCTTCGGGGCCCCGAGAGGTGGAGCCTGTGAGTGGGGCATGCACTCCATGTGGAAGCCAGAGCCTCCTCCCCTGGATGGAGTGTACGAGATCCCTGGACCGGAGCCCATCCCCTCTGTGAGAGAGATGTACTTCACGCCCGGGCTGCCACCGCTGATCTTCCTGCCCTGGGACCCTGGGTAGAAACACCCAAAATTCTGTTCACCCCGTTCACGACCCTGGGACCCTGGCTCGAAGCACCCAAAGTTCTGCTGCTCAAGCTCCATTCACGAGCAGCCACCATACAAAGACCAGGCCTGCTATGTCTTTCACCAGCGTTGCCGCCTTCTCAGGGGTGTCAAGCAGGCCCTCTGGCTTACCGAGGCCAAGTTAATAAAATGCCTTCCTGAGAAAGTACTTGGCCTTGTTGATGATACAAGGAACCACATAGAGAACCAAGATGAGCGTCTTCTGAATTTGATCTCTCATGCCTGTCTCTGGCACTGTACTGAGTACGGCCCCAGGAGAGAGGCCTGCTGTCTGGTCATTGTGGACAGTCTGATAAAGTTGTGTAAGTCTCAGATTCTCAGGCATCCTTCTCTGGCCAGGCAGATTTGTGCCCAAAACTCCACGTTATCCACCACCTGGAATTGTGTCTGTTCTTCAGGGTCATGGTTCTAGTGGAGCCGGCTGAGTGCCAAGGATCCTCTGCCCCCGCCATCTCCTCCAGAGAAGAGGTTGAAGCTACTAAAAATCATGTTCTCGAGGCCTTCTGTCCCCTCTCCCCACTACTGATCTTCAGGAATGCAATGTTTCTGATGTGAAAGATGACACAGGATTCTGGGAGGGCTATCCTTACCCCTATCTCCATATCCTGCACTTCCTGGAGAAAGCCGATTTGCAACCACATAGCCTTCAACCAGATCAGCTGTGGGCCAAGATGATCCTGTTTGCTTTTGGCATTGCCCTGGCTCAGGCCCAGCTCCTCTGTGGCAATGACACCAAGATCTCGGAGCAGCCCGTGGTTGTGCAGAGTACATGCACAGACGGACGTGCATTCCATTTCCTGGTGTTACAGTAGAACACCACAGACCTGGCCTCTTAACAAGTGTGGCAAGAGTTTGGTCTGGGTGGAATCATGCCAGCTACTCTCTCAGCATTTTTGGTGTCTCCCAGTGATAAAAAAGAAGGTGGGACCGGGCCCAGTGGCTCGCACCTGTAATCCCAACACTGGGAGTCTGAGGTGGGTGGATCACGAGGTCAGGAGATCGAGACCATCCTGGCTAACGTGGTGAAACCCCGTCTTTACTAAAAATACAAAAAATTAGCTGGGCGTAGTGGCGGGCGCCTGTAGTCCCAGCTACTCTACTCAGGAGGCTGAGGCAGGAGAATGGCATGAACCCGGGAGGCGGAGCTTGCCGTGAGCCGAGATTGCGCCACTGCACTCCAGCCTGGGTGACAGAGCGAGACTCCGTCTCAAAAAAAAAAAACAACAAAAAATTAGCCAGGCATGGTGGCACGTGCCTGTAATCCCAGCTACTCAGGAGATGGAGGCAGGAGAATTGCTTGAACCTGGGAGATAGAGGTTGCAGTGAGCCAAGATCGCGCCACTGCACTCCAGTCTGGGCGACGGAGCGAGACTCCGTCTCAAAAAAAAAAAAAAAAAAAAAAAAAGAGGGTGGTTGTGGAATGCGTTGGGCTGACTGGTTTCCAGTGGGAGACATCCAGGAAGTTTTTAGCTCTGTATTTACATGGTGCTACGTGAGCCAAGGACCATTCTGAGGCCCGAAACCCACCTTTGCCTTCTCCCACTGAAGAGGGCCTGGGGTCCCCCTGGAGCCTCAGTGCTCATCTAGCCTGGTGGTCTCACTGACAATAAAGAGCCCTTGCATTGCAAAGGAAAAAAAAACTATTATAATTGTTTTGGGGTGCCACAAATTATGCCACTATAAGAAGTTGAGCTTAATTGATAAATGTCATGTGTATTCCAACTGCTCCACCGACTGGCCATTCCTCTCTCTCTCTCTCTCTCTCTCTCTCTCACTCTCTCCCTCCCTCCCTCCCTCCCTCCCTGTCCCTCTTCCTCTCCCACCTCCCCACTCCCTCTTTGGGCCTCCCTATTCCCTGAGACACAACAATATTGAAATTAAGCTGATTAATAACCCTACAATCGTCTCTAAGTGTTCAAGTGAAAGAACAGTGACACACAACAATATTGAAATTAGGCTGATTAATAACCCTACAGTGATCTCTAAGTGTTCAGGTGAAAGGAAGAGTCACATGTCTCTCACTTTAAATCAAAAGCTAGAATTGATTTTACTTAATGAGGAAGGCATATCAAAAGCTGAGATAGGCTGAAAAGCTAGGCCTCTTGTGCCAGTTAACCAAGTTGCGAATGCAGAAGAAAAGTTCTTGAAGGTAATTAAAAATGCTACTTCAGTGAACACACGAATGATAAGAAAGCAAAACAGCCTTATTGCTGAGATGGAGAAAGTTATAGTAGTCTGGATAGATCAAACCAGCCACAGCATGCCCCTAAGCCAAAGCCTAATCCAGAGTGAGGCCCTAACTCGCCTCATTTCTGTGAAGACAGAGAGGTGAGGAAGCTGCGGAAGAAAAGTTGGTTCATGAGGTTTAAGGAAATAAGCTGTCTCTGTAACATAAAAGTGCAAAGTGAAGCAGCAAGTACTAGTGGAGAAGCTGCAGCAAGTCATCCAGAAGATCTAGCTAATGCCAGGCATGGTGGCTCGTAATTGATCATGGTGTCTATAATCCCACCACTCTGGGAGGCCAGGGCAGGAGGATTGCTTGAGCTTAGGAGTTTGATACCAGCCTGGGCAACATGGTGAAACCCCGTCTTTGCAAAAAATACAAAAAATTAGCCAGGCACAGTGGCACCTGCCTGTAGTCCCAGCCACTCGGGAGGCTGAGGTGGGAGAATTGCTTACACCTGGAAGGCGGAGGTTGCAGTGAGCGAGATCATGACACTGCACTCCAGCCTAGGTAACAGAGACAGACCTTGTCTCAAAACAAAAAAGCAATAAAAGATCTAGCTAAGATAATTAAAGAAAATGGCTATAATAAACAGATTTTTCAGTGTAGATGAAACAGCCTTCTATTGGAAGAAGATGTCATCTAGAACTTTGATAGCTAGAGAGAAGTCAGTGCCTGGCTGACTCTTGTTAGGGGCCAATGCAGCTGACAACTTTACGTTGAAG
Source organism: Homo sapiens (assembly GCF_000001405.40). Classification (NCBI taxonomy): domain Eukaryota; kingdom Metazoa; phylum Chordata; class Mammalia; order Primates; family Hominidae; genus Homo; species Homo sapiens. The sequence goes on from NC_000018.10 coordinate 58,693,613, forward strand.
CCAGTGCCCATTTACCATTCTGAAAATCCTAGGGCCCTTAAGAATGATGCTAAGAAACTGCAAAGTTTTTGTCCTGAGTAACCAGATGGATGGTGGTAGGCAGTAAGACTGGTTTACCATCTTTGAGATGGGGAAACTGTGGGGACTGGCAGAGGAGTAGATTTTGTGTCAGAAGGGATTTGGGACATATAAAATTGGTGGTGGCTATAGGACATTCAAATTTAAAGCCAGGATAGCCAAAACTCCTATATTTTTTAGATTTATTACTTGTTCTCTTTTGTCATTGTTGCAACTTTTTCCTGTCACATCGAAACTTGGGAAATCAGAATCTTTGTATTTTAAAGTTGTGATGTAAAACTCTCCTGGCAGATGAATGGTAAATGTGGGGACATTAAAATACAGTGTTATGAATTTGCTGGCTTCAGCAAGAGTGCTTATCCCATTTTCCACCTTTCCTACCAACATGTATCACAGATTTCAGAAAAATTCTGAACTTCATCCGTCCTGTACTAACTTGGCCTCGACATAAAGGATTAATGAATATGAATGTCCTCCCTTGGCAAGAGTTTAAAATTCTGAGAGGCTCTACTATATTTACTAAAGATTTTCTAGGGCTTCTCGAGGCCCTCAAATGTGCTAGGTATACAATAAATATTTACTCATTTTTAATTTTGCTTTTATTTAGTATCTTTGTGCTGTGACTTTCATGAACATTATTTTTTTTCCTAGAAAGTTTAGTACCTTTGATGTATTAAGATTACTGTTATTTACACTGTTTCCTTTTTACTTGTAATCTTGTTTTGTTTCTTTGCATTGGTGGGTGGTAGAAGAAAAAGACACTGTTATGAGGTCACATTCAGTATAGACAAGGAAAGAAAATAAAAGTAGGTGCAGGAAATTAAGTTTTATAAGTTTTAATTATCTTTTTCTTTACTTCCTAAAAGCCAGCTAACCCAGTTTTATTAATTACAACTTTTGCAAATGTAAGCTTTTCTAGCTTTGGTTTCTTTTATGTCAGTTATCTATTGCTGCATTAATAAATTACCCCCAAGTCAGAAGTGAAAAACAACAACTGTTTATTATCTCACACAGTTTCTGAGGCTAGTAGTCCAGAAGTGGCTTAGCTGGGTAGTCCTGGCTGAGGGTCTCTCGTGAGGCAGCAGTCAGACTGTCAGCCAGGTCTGCAGTCATCTGAAGGTTTCCCCAGGGTTGGAGGATCTTCTCAGATGGCTCTCTCACAGGTGTTGTCAAGAGACCTCATTTCCTCACTGGCTGTGGCGGGAGATCTGTTTCTTTCTGTAGAGATATGGTTTGGCTGTATTCCCACCCAAATCTTATCTTGAATTCCCATGTGTTGTGGGAGGGACCTGGTGGGAGGTAATTGAATCATGGGGGCAGGTCTTTCTCTGCTGTTCTTGTGATAGTGAATAAGTCTTATGAGATCTGATGGTTTTATAAAGGGGAGGTTCCCTGCCCGCACCTTCTTCTCGTTTGTCTGCCGCCATGTGAGACATGCCTTTCACCTTCCACCATGATTGTGAGTCCTCCCTAGCCACGTAGAACTGTAAGTCTATTAAACCTCTTTCTTTTGTAAATTGCCCAGTCGTGGGTATGCCTTTATCAGGAGTGTGAAACAGACTAATACTCTTACCACTTGAGCCTCTCTGCAGGGCTACCTGAATGGCCTCCTGCCACAGTCATGTGCTTCCCTGGGGCGAGTGAGTGAGAGAGAGGCAAGAGAAGGAGTTGGGGGTGTTCCATTATTGACTAGGATTTTCTTCCAAATTCCTGTCAAAAGTCTTCCAAGCTTAGATGTTGGCAGTTATTCCTCAAATGAGGAATGTTTGTGTCACAGGTATATCAAATATATATCTCACTGCTCTGTTTCTGTGTCTTTCTCTTCCAAAATCATTTTCATTTCAATACTAAATAATAATGCAGTCATTTGAAGACGTTTTCAATGGTGTTGTCTTTGTCCATTGCATGCTTCCATAATACAGTACCACAGACTGGGTAATTTTTAAAGAACAGACATTTATTTCTCACAGTTTTGGAGCCTGGGAAGTCCGTGATCAAAGAACCAGCTTCTGATGAAGGTTTTCTTGCTGTGTCCTCACATGGCAAAAGAGAGAGAACCTACCTGCAAACCCCGTTATTACAGCGGCATTAATTCATTCGTGAGGGTAGAGCCTCCCGCTAGGCCCTACCTCCCAACATTGTTACATTGGGGATTCAGTTTCCAGCACATGAATTTGGGGGCACATATTCAGACAATAGCAGACATTGCAACTTAACACGTCTGTTACTAACAGTGCACGTAACTTGACTGAAGTGGCAGCCATATGAGCATTTATGACCAAACATTTCCATGAGCTAACACTGAGAACTACCCTGTGGCTGTGCCTGACAGGCATCTGTTATAAGGTGCATCCTGATTTCAGAAGTGTTAGAATATGGGGGAAAAAAGCTTCTAGAAATTGAAGAAATATGGTAAATAATTTTCTCCCCCACCCAATCATGGGGAAGTACAATAGATCAAAGTCTTCTGCAAGTAAGTTTCTTTCCTCTGATTTTACAAAAGCTGCAACTCACAAAGTGTAAATTGATTGAGAAGGAGATGTGAATGAGTGATTTATGACAAAGATAAATATGCAAGTTATTTCTAAAATGTTTCAATTTTTGGTTTCAGATGTATAAACAAGGAAAATCCCTCTTGTGACTTTAATTTTTTTTTTTTTTTTTTTTTTTTTTAGGAATAAAGATTACTGTAAACCCAGAGTCAAAGGCAGTCTTGGCTGGACAGTTTGTGAAACTGTGTTGCCGGGCAACTGGACATCCTTTTGTTCAATATCAGTGGTTCAAAATGAATAAAGAGGTAATTTTTTAAATATATCTTTTAATTCTTCCAAGGAGAGAGAATGATAGAGAATTAATTAACATTATCGTCCTAAATGTAGTTTTAACAGTTTGGTAAAAGAGTCTGATAGACATTGCTAGGTTATTACTGAAGTAGTCAATAGTCATTATTTTGGTAAGACAGTTCCAGAATTGTCTCATGAAAACATTGTAAACAATAATGAAATTAGTTCTCCACTCTAAAAATTGTGGAAAATAGGGATTACTTAGGGCAGCAGTGTTAGCGAGTATAAAACATCACCAGTACATTCTTGTGTATACAAACTCTTCACAACAGATTATGTTCCAACCAAAATCTTTAAAAGATTTTCAAGGCTATATGGAAAGTTAATGTGCTATTCTTTTTAAGAATTCCACATCACTGTTTTATCTGTATCAGAAGATTTAGGACCTTGTGGTAGATTCTGAAGTAAAATTCAGATGGGCAGAATGGGCCATTTATTCCTTTTGTGAAATGATTGGATCCCTGCAGCACCCAACAAATAATTTAAATTCACATTTTAGAATTCTCTTTTCTTCAGAGTTCCTTGAGCCATCTTGCACTGGGGATTTCTCAGTGGGCTGGCTGCCTGCATTGTGTCCCACTTCTGTGGGCTTTTATCTTCGATCCCCCCATCCCTCTCTATCCTCCTCCCACTTCCACAGTACCTTGAAAGTCCATATTCTTTTCACTCTGTTAGTCCCAGTAATTCAGCTTTCTTCCAAACTTGATGTCACGTCTCCCTTTGCAAATCTGAAACTAAATAAAAGCTGTTCTGAGAATGACTTTTCCTTTAATTGGATTGCCTCATACTGTAGGTGAATTCTGTGGTTTTATACGATTTTGTTTCCGTCTGTTACACAGAGGTAAGACAGAGCAACTGTGGAATGTAGTAAAAAGATTGCATGTAGCTTTGGCACTAGATAGGTCTGTGTTGGAACTCTGACTGCCATTATTAGCCATGTGAATTCCTATCATCAGAGGTTGTGAGAATTAAGTAGACAGGATGTTTTACGTGCCTAGGCTCTTGAAAGATTGCACCTAAAGGTATTTTTTTATCATATTTTCTCAATTGCAAAGTTACTTTCATTTTATTAAATGCCCTTTGAGGAGAAATAGTGGAAAAACCCTACTACATTAAGTATATCATTTGTAAGCTATGTCCTGATTGGAAAAAGGTAGAAATGTAGGGGATGGAAAATGCATCTTAGAGTTGAAGAGTTGTAATGGATTTTAAAACTCTTAAGTTTTGTAAAACCACATGATCATAGGAGTATTGTAGGAGATGTTTACTTAACAAGTGCTTGTTGAGCACCTGTTTTGTGCCGGGCCATGTTCTAGGTGTGATGATACAGCACTGACCAGAAGGTCTCTGCCCTCAAAGAGCTTACACGCCAGTGGGGACAGAGCAAGTACTGTTAATTCCTGTGAGTTAAGAGCTATGAGGAAAATCAACAGGGTGGCAACATAATATGAGAAGCTACTAAGGTTTTAAGCAAGGGAAGTAACATGGTAGGATTCGTGGGGTTTTTTGTTGTTGTTGTTGTTGTTTTGTTTTGTTTTTTTGTTTTTTTTTTGAGATGGAGTCTCGCTCTGTCGCCAGGCTGGAGTGCAGTGGCGCGATCTTGGCTCACTGCAACCTCCACCTCCCCGGTTCAAACGATTACCCTGCCTCAGCCTTCTGAGTAGCTGGGATTACAGGCGCGCATCACCACGCCCAGCTCATTTTTTGTGTTTTAGGAGAGACGGGGTTTCACCATGTTGGCCAGGGTGGTTTCAATCTCCTGATCTCGTGATCCGCCTGCCTCAGCCTCCCAAAGTGCTGGGATTACAGGCGTGAGCTGTCGCACCCGACTAGGATTCATGTTTTTAAAACATAAACTTGCGGCTTGAAGGAAGCAGAGAACAGCAAGGTGAGCAGTTGTCTTAATACCTGTGCTTGACTGGAAGTAGCAGTAGCGTGGAGAAGAGAAGGTGGATCACAGTGCATAATTCAGTGTATATTTTAGAGAGAGTCAACTAAGCTGACAGATTAGATGTAGAGCATGGGGAGAAGGAAGAGAAATCAAGGATGACCCCTTAGGCTTTCCACCTGAGCATCTGAGATGTGTTATATACTGAGGTGTTGAAGATTGGAAAATTAATTGACAGAAGACAGATTAACGGAGAAAAAGCTTATTTGTGTGCATGCAAGAGCTTTCAGAAGGAGTAGCTTGCTAACTGGTTAAGTTATGTAGCTAATTTAGTAGGGAAAGGCAGGGGCCCTGTGAGCATAATGGATGGGTTTCTTCAGGAAAGACAAAGGGGAGAAGAACAAGGGAAGATAGCAAAGTTTGTGGTAATGTTGTTCATGCAGGCACCAGTGGTATCTCCTCTTCATTGTGACCGTAAAGTCCCCAAAGAGAGATTTATGGTACTTTTACTCTTGGTCTGTTGCCTGGGGGTAAAAGCTGCCCCACGAGGGAATTTATGGCAGCCTCATTTCCCAGAACTTTCTGTTTTGGGTCAGATAAAGGAAGACTGAGAAGACTTCTTTCTGTATCTGTTGAGTCCCAGATGTCTTCAGTTTAATATAATCTTCATACCAACTCAGGGGTTCTGAGTGGGTCTCCACAGATCTTCAGCCCAAGTAGCCTTTGTTAAGAGGATACATCTTCCATTTTAACAGGAGGGAACAGAGCAGTTATAAATAAGTACAGACATGGATAGGTTTGTGATTTGTTGGCAGAAAAAGGAGGTAATTTCTGTCTGAAGTCAGTGCCTAAGAGAACTAGGATTACAGGAAGTTTGAGGAAAGAGTATACATCAATAGTCTAGAAGGAAAACACACTTAGGACGATATAGTAGGATTGTCAGGCAGTTGTAAGTGCAGCCTGTCATCCCAGTTGTCACATCCTGAGCAAAATACTCTTGCTTTGGTGTAGGTACTGAAAGGGGAGAGAGTAGAGTTCAGTAACTTGGGGTTTGGAGAGGGAGGAGGTGAGCTTGTTAAAGTACAGGTTGAATATCCCTTGTCTGAAATGCTTGAGACCAGAAGTATTTCAGATTTTGGATTTTTTTTAGGTGCTGAAATATTTGCATTGTATACTTAAAAGTTCAGCATCCCAAATCTGAAATGTTCCAGTGAGCATGATGGAGGTGCTCAAAGAGTTTTGAATTTGGGAGTATTTCAGATTTTAAATCATCAGATTAACCTGTTCTTTGCAAGGGAGTTATTGTAATGAGGCACTTGAGTAAGCCCCTTGGCAATGTGCCAAAGTTGGGTGTAGCTGATCAATTGCTGGGAGCAGAAAAAGCATTAATAAAAGAAACCTTACTATTGGAGGTGGGGACTGTGGATGGCCATCCCGTCTTACTGTCTCATTGATATGCTTTCCATAGCTCTTCTCTGTCTAGACCTTGAAGGAGATTGGATATTGTTTGGTTAAGGAGTTTATCCTCTTACAGAATTTTGCAGATCAGAAGGTCCGGGGTCTCAAGGTGAAATAACTTGCCCACGTCTTCCCAGCTAATGTGGTCAGAGCTGAAAGCAATAGCCAAGCCCAATTCTCTGTGTTTTCTCTATGCCGCTGTGGTGTTTGTATGTTGTATGGCTGCTAAACTCATAAATGTTGCAGTTGTAGATTCTTTCAATACTCAGTGATTGATCTCTTAAATGCCAGAGCAAATAGTTTTCTGTTAGTGAGCCTTTGGAAGATGTTTGGGGGCCAGCTTAACTCTCTGGTTTATGGATTTGTAAAAGACTGGATTTTTAATACTTCAGTCCTAAATAACTCAAAGCGTTACTGTTTTTAACTCAGAAATGTTTTAGAACTTGGGGGAAAAATGTTGCACTTTCAAAGCTTCATACTGAAATCATAGATTTTGTACAGCATATTTTATAAGGTGTGTTTTTGATGAGTCATCCACTTCTCTTATTGATTCTTTCACAGATTCCAAATGGAAATACATCAGAGCTTATTTTTAATGCAGTGCATGTAAAAGATGCAGGCTTTTATGTCTGTCGAGTTAATAACAATTTCACCTTTGAATTCAGCCAGTGGTCACAGCTGGATGTTTGCGACATCCCAGAGAGCTTCCAGAGTAAGTAACGAAAGAAGCTGAATGTTGGGATGGGGATTCCCCATATTTTATTTTATTTTAAATGTTTACTTTTAAACAATTTCAAAGTATCAAAAAACATAGCAAAATTTCACATAGGTACTTCATCCATTATAATGTCAACCATTGTTAAGATTTGATCCATGTGTTTTGTCTTTCTTTTTTTTTTAATTTAGTTTTTGGTTTTGTTGTTTTTTAAGACAAAGTCTTTTTGTTGCCCAGGCTGGAGTGCAGTGGTGCCATCTGATCTCAGCTCACTGCAACTTCCGCCTCCCAGGTTCAAGTGATTCCTCTTGCCTTATCCTCCTGAGTAGCTGGGATTACAGGCACATGCTATCACACCTGGGTAATTTTTGTATTTTTAGTAGAAGTGGGGTTTCACCATGTTGGCCAGGCTGGTCTTGAACTCCCGACCTCAGGTGACCCACCCGCCTCAGCCTCCTGAAGTGCTGGGATTACAGGTGTGAGCCAGCATGCCCGGCCTGCTTTAATTGTCCTTCTGTGTGTGTGCGCGCACGTTCACACATGCACACACACATATATGTGTGTGTGCAGATACTTTAGGATGACATAGACAGGCCTCAGTCTGGTCGCTGCCACTGACCTCTTCAAGTTTGCCTTCCTTCATGTTCCATTACTCTGCCCTCACACACGGCACCTATATTCAACTTCGTTTCTCCCTGCTGCTTCCATGGTCTCGAAATGTCTTGCATATTCACACTCCACATCTTTGCGTCACTTCTTCCTTCCATCTTGAATACCTTTTCTGTCTGTCATACTTTTATGACTCTTTCAAGCCTCAGCTCCCTCTGCTGCCTTGGCATTCTGATTTTACCTCTATTATAGAACTCGTTGCATTGATTTTGAAATTATTTGTTTGCTAGCTGTCTGAGCAGTGTAGGGATAAGGAGTTCCCTTTTCTCTTTCTAGTTCTTAGAACAAAGCCTGGCAGGTAGTAGTCGCTTACCAGTTATGCAATTCATTGACCACCCTCATGAGGCACAGCCTTGGGCTTCGATGTTACAGCTATTTTAAACTAAGCATGAGAGAGAGCCCCTGACCCCAAACTACTTACACAACTATCAGGAAAGATTATCTGCTACAACAGAAAGCAGGAAGACTTTCTTGCTACCACCTCTTTCTCCCAAAAGTTAATCTTTTGAACGTATTTCTATATTTTGGTTGTTTGTGTTGTCAGGCTTGTCTCCCTATCTAACTGAACTCCTGAAGGGAAAGTCTCGGTCTTAATAATCTTTCGTAAAAACAAACACTCAATAACCAATAGCACTCAGTAGATGTTTGTTGACAGAATGAAGAACCAGGGTGAATTCTGTTTAACAAAGTAGAGACGGAAATATTTCCATCAAAAACATTTAATATTCTTACATTTAAAGCACAAATTCAAAGCTACCTAAAAATCTCTGAAGGATTCTTGATATCTAGAACACTTCCTTATTTAAGAAACAGATTGTGGATCTGGCATGGTAGCTCACACCTGTAATCCCAGTACTTTGGGAAGCTGGGGTGCTGGGGCGGGTGAATCACTTGAGGCCAGGGGTTCAAGACCATGCTGGGCAACATGGCAAAACCCTATCTCTACAAAAAAAATGCAAAAAAAAAAAAAAAAAATGGGGCCTGATGGTGCACACCTGTAGTCGCAGCAACTCAGGAGGCTGAGGTGTGAGGATCACTCAAGCCCGGGAGGCGGAGGTTGCAGTGAGCTGGGATCACACCAGTGCACTCCAGCCTAGGTGACATAGCAAGACCCTATCTCAAAAAATAAGAAAAAGAAACATTGTGAAACTAACATCATGGAAAAATGCTATTTCCTGAAGTTACTCTTACTCATGAATACTAAATATGATCATTATAAAAAGTAGATCAGTAGATAAGCACATAGCATTTGAGACCTGATAGTCTTGAGTTCTATAATTAGGATATGAATCAAGAAGAGGTCAGTTTGTTATGAATTTGAATGTTGTGGTCTTCAGTTTTGTAGGAGAAAAAACTCTCATATAGTAGTCTTGCTGCTCACTTTTCAATTCTTTTCCATAATGCGTATTTTTCTCCCAAACTATTGTATTGCTCCTAAAAAATGATCTTGTGGAAAAAAACTCTAGCGTTGATGTCAGCACTAAAGGCCATGTAGTGAGTGTATCATTCACTGCAAGGAAACATTCATCAGACTGCTTTGCTACTCACTCTGCTCCATCTTTTTAGTGCAATAACTAGCATTGATCAAGACAAAAAACCAGTCTCCTCTAAAGAGTAGTTGTCAGATATTATTTTGTTTATTTGGTGCACAGTCAAGAACCATGTTCTTTGTTGTATTTGCTGGACAAAAAGAAGGATAGGGAGGAAAACACTTTTTGTTAAAAGAGTTAAAATGCTGCTGTCTCATTCTTTTCTCTCACTTTAGTCTTCCGTAAACTCAAATGACGTTAAGGTTGTTGAGAAATAAAATATCGGTCAGGCGCAATGGCTCACACCAGTACTCCCAGCACTTTGGGAGGCCGAGGCAGGCAGATCACGAGGTCGGGAGTTTGAGACCAGCCTGACCAACATGGTGAAACCCTGTCTCTACTAAAAATACAAAAATTAGCTGGGTGTGGTGGCCCGTGACTGTAATCCCAGCTACTCAGGAGGCTGAGGCAGTAGAATCGCTTGAACCCAGGGGGCGGAGGTTGCAGTGAGCCAAGATTGCACCATGGCACTCCAGCCTGGGTGACAGAGTGAGACTCCATCTCAAAAAAAAAGAAAATATCACCATTTTCTTTAAATAAAAAATACCTCATGCACCTCTGCATTAGCCCATTCTCACACTGCTATAGAGGTACTATCTGAGACTGGGTAATTTATAAACAGAAGAGTTTTAATTGACTCACAGTTCTGCATGGCTGGGGAGGCCTCAGGAAACTTACAATCATGGTGGAAGGTGAAAGGAAAGCAAGGCATGTCTTACATGGTGGCAGGAGGGAGAGAGAGCAAACAGGGGAAATGCCAGACATGTAAATAACCAGATCTGTGAGAACTCACTGTCACGAGAACAGCATGGGGGAAACTGCCCCCATGATCCAATCGCTTCCCACCAGGTCCCTCCCTCAACATGTGGGGATTACAGTTCGAGATGAAATTTGGGTGGGGACACAGCCAACTCATATCAACCTTTCTCAATTTTATTTAACTTTTTTATCCCATTTTTTATTAAGGGGTAATTTATATACAGTACAATGTACAGATACGTGTACAGTCCAGTGAGTTTTAACATATATATAACATGGGTATATGTACCCATTTAACATATATATAGTCATTGACCAGTCTAGATATTTTATATTCAGCTTCTTCCACTCAGCATAATGTTTTTAAAATTTACTCATGTTGTTCAGTGTATCATTAGGCAGTCCCATCTTTTTGCTGAGTAACATTCCATTGTATGGATTGACTAGTTTGTTTATTCATTCTCCTGTTGATAGACATTTAGTTTGTGTCCAGTTTTGGAATATTATGAATAAAGCTACGATGAATATTCTCATACAAGACCTTTTCTGGACATATGTTTTATTTCTTCTGGATAGTTACATAGAAGTGGAATTGCTGAATCCTAGAGTAGATATATGTTTAATTTTTCTTAACTGCCAAAGTTTCCAAAATAGTTTACCATTTTGCATTACCACCAACAGCGTATAAGATTTCAGGTTACTCGCCCCATATCTTGGCCAACATTGGTTGTTAGCTCTTATTGATGAATTAAGCTTTTGGTCATTATGAAATGCTCCTTTATCTCTGGTAATCCTCTTTGTCTTGAAGTTTACTTTGTGTGATACTAATATAGCCATGGAAGCTTTCTTTTTTGTTTTGTTTTGAGAAGGGGTCTCACTCTGTCACCGAGGTTGGAGTGCAGTGGCACGATCATGGCTCACTGCAACCTCTGCCTCCCAGGCTCAAATCATCCTCCTACCTCAGCCTCCTGAGTAACTGGGACCACACACATGCACCACTGCACCTGGCTAATTTTTTGTATTTTTGGTAGAGATGGGATTTCATCATGTTGCCCAGGCTGGTCTCAAGCGATCCGCCCACCTCGGCCTCCCAAAGTGCTGGGATTACTGGCATGAGCCACCGCGCCTGGCCAGAACCATGGCATTTCTTTCATAAGCTTTTTTGTATAGTATATGTTTTTCATTCTTTTAGTTTGGAATGTCTTTGTTTAAAGTTTCATTTTAGATGACAGAATACAGGTAAGTGTTGCTTTTTGCTCTAGTCTAGAAAAAAGTCTCTTTCAAGGTGTTTAGTCCATTTACATATAATGTGATTATGTTTAAGTCTGACATCTTGATGTTCGTTTTCAGTTAGTCTCATCTGTTCTCTTTTGATCCTCCTTTCCTGACCTCTTTTGGACTGGGATTACAGGTGTGAGCCACCGCGCCCGGCCAAAAAAGCATTTTTTAATATTCCATTTTATCTCCTTTATTGACTTTAGCTGTGTCTTAGTGTTATTTTTTAGTGGCTGTTTTAGAGATTACAGTATGCCTCTAACTTATTGTAGTAAACCTTCTACATATTCTACCTTAAAATATAAGAACCTTATATAGTATACTTTCATTGTGCCCCCCATTGTATATTTGTTGTCATATATTTTACTTCGACATTTACTTTTGAGCAATCTTGTAAAAGTACGTGTGTGTGTGTGTGTGTGTGTGTGTGTGTGTGTATTTATTTTTATTATTATACTTTAAGTTTTAGGGTACATGTGCACATTGCGCAGGTTAGTTACATATGTATACATGTGCCATGCTGGTGCACTGCACCCACTATCTCGTCATCTAGCATTAGGTATATCTCCCAATGCTATCCCTCCCCCCTCCCCCCACCCCACAACAGTCCCCAGAGTGTGATATTCCCCTTCCTGTGTCCATGTGATCTCATTGTTCAATTCCCACCTATGAGTGAGAATATGCGGTGTTTGGTTTTTTGTTCTTGCGATAGTTTACTGAGAATGATGATTTCCAATTTCATCCATGTCCCTACAAAGGACATGAACTCATCATTTTTTATGGCTGCATAGTATTCCATGGTGTATATGTGCCACATTTTCTTAATCCAGTCTATCATTGTTGGACATTTGGGTTGGTTCCAAGTCTTTGTTATCATGAATAATGCCGCAGTAAACATACGTGTGCATGTGTCTTCATAGCAGCATGATTTATAGTCCTTTGGGTATATACCCAGTAATGGGATGGCTGGGTCAAATGGTATTTCCAGTTCTAGATCACTGAGGAATCGCCACACTGACTTCCACAATGGTTGAACTAGTTTACAGTCCCACCAACAGTGTAAAAGTGTTCCTATTTCTCCACATCCTCTCCAGCACCTGTTGTTTCCTGACTTTTTGAGATGGAGTCTCTCTCTGTCGCCCAGGCTGGAGTGCAGTGGCACGATCTCGGCTCACTGCAAGCTCTGCCTCCTGAGTTCACGCCATTCTCCTGCCTCAGGCTCCCGAGTAGGTGGGACTACAGGCGCCCGCCACCACGCCTGGCTAATTTTTTGTATTTTTTAGTAGAGACGGGGTGAGTCACTCTTATCACCCACGCTGGAGTGCAGTGGCGTGATCTCGGCTCACTGAAACCTCTGCCGCCCAGATTCAACTGATTCTCCTGCCTCAGCCTCCTGAGTAGCTGGGATAACAGGCTCTTACCACTGTGCCCGGGTAATTTTTGTATTTTTAGTAGAGATGGCTTTTCACCATCTTGGCCAGGCTGGTCTTGAACTCCTGACCTAATGATCCACCTGCCTCGGCCTCCCAAACTTCTGGGATTACAGGCGTGAGCCACCGCGCCCAGCCCACGTGTGTATAATTTTTAAAGATTTTGTTTAAAATATTCACTGACATAGTTACCTGTTGTGGCACTCTTGAGTCTTTCCTTCTGACCCAGGTTGCTATCAAGTAAAATTTCCCTTCTGGCTGAAGAATTCCTCTTAATACTTCTTATGGTTACAGTCTGCTGTTTTTCTGTAATAATTTGTAAAAATTATTTGTGTAATAATTTGTAGACAAATTATCTCAGCATTTGAATTCTGTTAATCTGTTGTCTTCATTTTTGAAGGATATTTTCGTCGTGTATAGAATTTTAGAGGTGTGTTGGTTTGTTTTCACCACTTTAAAGATGCCATTCCATTGTCTTTTGGCCTCCATTGTTTATCATGGAAATTTATTTATTCCTTTTATAATTGCTCCCTTGAATTTTTCCTGCTTGGAATTCTCTGATTCTTGGACCTGTAAGTTATCTTTCATCGATTTTGAATCATTTTTAGCCATAATCTCCAAATATTTTTCTTCTACTTTCTTTCTGGGACTCTTAATTATATGTATGTTAGACTATTTGATATTGTCCCACAGATCTTGTAAGCTCTTTTTTTTTCTTTCCTTCACTTTATCTCTTTTGTTTCCAGTTAGATTTCTTCTAACCTGTTTTCAAGATTACTGATTTTTTGGTGTGACCAGTTTGCTGGTAAGCCCATCGAATGCACTGATGAGTGGAAATCTTGATATTTTAAATTTCTGTTATTTCCATTTGGCTCTTTTTTTTTTCTTCAATTTCTCACTGCTGAAATTGTAAGTTGGCCACCATCTTCTGTGCAAGTTGATTAACTGCCTTTTTCTCCAGATCCTTTAAGATGTTTATCTTCGAATTAATGTGAGTCTCTATCTGATAATTCCAGAATGTAGGTCAGCTCTGCTTTTCTTTTTCTTTTTTTTTTTTTAACAAGTAAACATGGTTTATTTTAGAAATGTGAGGCTATTTCAACATTAGAAAATTTTTTTTTAATTATACTCTAAGTTTTGGGATACGTGTACAGAACGTGCAGGTTTGTTACATAGGTATACACATGCCATGGTGGTTTGCTGCACCCGTTAACCTGTCATCTACATTAGGTATTTCTCCTAATGCTGTCCCTACCCTAACTCCCCAGCCCCTGACAGGGTTACATTTTCTTTCTTCTTCGTAAGTCTCATAATTATTTATTCAATGCTGAACATTGAGTATAAAAGAAAAATAGCATTAACATATGAGATTAACATATTACACATTAACATATAGAGATTGAAATTAATATTTTTATGCTCAGGAACTAGACACACCCCTCGTAATGGCTACTAGAATAGGGGTATGAGTCCATCCAGTTTGTAGTTGTTAGGTCTGTGCTTTAGATGTATTCAGTTTACTACTGACGGAATTGAGGGTAGAATGAGGATTTCCCTTTGGCAGGACTGAAATTGACATATCGAGAAGACTAGAAATCTCTGTTTTACAGCTCTAGTGCCAAACTGCAAGAGATCTCTCTCCACTTTACATCCAGAGTCTCAGCTTATTGGACCACTGAAGCATTTTTGTTCACCAACCCCACCCTTGTCTCTTCTATGTCTCAGGGGGTCTGAGACCCCCCTGCCTAGCTGCCTTGCCCCCAGCCAGCCTTGGAAAGCAAAGGCACTGCATTCACTGAGGGCCTCGTGGGCCTCCAAGGGTTTCCCTCAGGCCTCTGTTGTGCCGTCAGCCTTCAACAGGCCCTGTGGACCTGCACTTCACAGGTGATCTTTTAGCTCTCCTCTCCTCCTTCGCCTTCTGCAAGAGCACTTGAGAAGGGCCGAAGACAGGGAGTTGGTGAGTGAGGCAGAATCTTTTGCAGCTGGGGTTCCTTGAGGATCTAATTGGTCATGCCCACTAGGGGTGACCAGCCATCTGGTTTTCCCAGGACTTTCCTAGTCTTAGCACTTTTAAGTGCTGCATTCTGGGAAACCTTTCTGTCCTAGGCAAACTGAGACCACTGGTTACCCTAATGCCAGCTCACAGTCTGCCTTTAAAATTTTGTAAAACATTCAGCTGGCTTACCCTTCCTTGTCAACTCAGTTCTAAAGGCATTAGGTGGCACCAAACATGGTAGACATTTGTGTGGGGTGGGAGGCAGTGGGAAGGGACTGGGATGACCCAGAGCAGGATATCAAAGCCCCGGTAAGGTGTCCATGTGGGAGTGGAGCAGTCTCCAGAAATAATCCTGATGAATTAAGAGAGCAATGCATATCTTTCTAGACTATTTTTGTGCATGTAATAATATATCTATAAGTGGAATCATATTCATTCAATGAATATTACTGATCACCTGTAATGTGTTAGACACTGAGTTTCATAATGGAGACTTGTTGCATAAAATTGACAAGCTCTTTGCCTTCAGGAAACTTAAAGAGTATTAAATGAGTGTTAAGTAAATGATGTCTAATATCTGCCTGGGGTAGAAATGTTAGTGATAACTCACCAATATTTATTCAGTGCGGGTTACAAAACTTATTTCAGTATGTCAAAGAACGGAACTTAGAGCTTTCCATGTTAAATGCCAATATCGTTCAAGATGTTAATAAGTTGTTTGCCTCGATCAAAAAGATTCTGCAGCCAAACACATTTAGAAGACACTTGAACTATATTCCTCTCCTTAATTGACAATTCATACTAACACTTTTAAAGCTTTGAGAAGTCCTGCAATCGAGAAATGTGTTTAACCCAGAATTTTCTAAGTTTATTTGTCCACAGCATTCTTTTGGCCACAGAATATCTCGTAAT
The DNA here is from genome assembly GCF_000001405.40 of Homo sapiens. Taxonomy (NCBI): domain Eukaryota; kingdom Metazoa; phylum Chordata; class Mammalia; order Primates; family Hominidae; genus Homo; species Homo sapiens. The sequence goes on from NC_000018.10 coordinate 58,709,225, forward strand.
ATTTCTATGAGTGCTATAGTTTTTTTAAACAGTTTGGGAAATGTTATTAAAAATTGTAACAAATGAAGGGGGAACTTGACACATCTCTTTAATTATAGGGAAATTTTATTTTTATTTTTAACCTAGAGATTTTATTTTTTCTTTTAATTTAAGGAAGTGTTGATGGCGTCTCTGAATCCAAGTTGCAAATCTGTGTTGAACCAACTTCCCAAAAGCTGATGCCAGGCAGCACATTGGTTTTACAGTGTGTTGCTGTTGGAAGCCCTATTCCTCACTACCAGTGGTTCAAAAATGAATTACCATTAACACATGAGACCAAAAAGCTATACATGGTAGGAAGTTGATTTTGGGGTCTTTTGGGGGAGTTAACATGTAAAACAAATGGTACAATTGAAATATAAGGTGAACATTAAAACTCATATCCTTTCAGATGTTTTAATGTTTTCAGTATTTTTATTTAAAGTCCCTTATGATTTCATATTAACTAGCTCTTATATTTGCTAAAGTGCTAGAATTCAACTCAGGCTTATATGTAAAATGTCAAATAGTATTGCATGAAACTCAGCACTGTTGGAATCATTACAACATTTACTTGCTGGTATTTAACCTGATGAATGGAGCTAATGTAACAAATGTCTAAAGCCTTCTAAGATGTTATGTTTTGGAGCGTATTTTTAAAACACAAAATGATTTTTTCTCCAAGCCATTAAAATAGAAGAGGAAGCATTTACATGTTCTAATATTGATATAGGTGCCTTATGTGGATTTGGAACACCAAGGAACCTACTGGTGTCATGTATATAATGATCGAGACAGTCAAGATAGCAAGAAGGTAGAAATCATCATAGGTAAGAAGTATTTCCCCAGTGTTCTGACAAGTGGACTATAATATAAGCTATATAAACTGCAACGTTTAATTAAGCAAAGGAAATTATACTTTTTACCCCATACTATTTAATGATGTGTTAAGCATTAGAAGTTATATTGTTTATATTGAAATTTGAAAGAATGCATACTAAAATCATAATCTAGGTTCACAGAAAGCAAAAAGAATCAGGAAAAAAAGCCATTTTGTTTAAATTATTTTAGTTACAGTTTATTTTCAACACTTATGATAAAATATGTATTCTTTAAAGCTTTAGCTACAAAAAACTTGATTCAGTGGGAAAAGATTTTTGGCCAGGTGCAGTGGCTCACACCTGTAATCCCATCACTTTTGGAGGCCAAAGGTTGGTGGTTCAGTTGAGCCCAGGAGTTTGAGACCAGCCCGGGCAACATAGTGAGATTCCATCTCTAATACAAATAAATAAATAAATTAGCTAGGCATGGTGGCATGCACTTGGTCCCAGCTACTTGGGAGGCTAAGGTGGGAGGATTGCTTCAGGCTGGGAGGTTGAATTAAAAATAATAATAATAAAAGAAAAAGATTTTTAATAAAACATTTTTAAAAACAAACATTATACACATATAAAGGAAAGAAAGGTTATTAACAATCCCATTCTTAACTGCGTAATTTGGGAATTTGTTATATTTCAGCTTAATATATTTATAGTTATATTGTTCATAGTTGGAGGTATTGATGCATGTGTTGGTTTGCCAACATTATCTCTATGATATTGATCTCTATTTGCTTGACGGCTGCCCTTCTTAAGATCATGAATTACAATATATTCAAATTTGTTTTTTCTGAAACAAGGAAGAACAGATGAGGCAGTGGAGTGCACTGAAGGTAGTGTAAGTCTTTGGTTTGAAACCAAATCTCCTGCATGCTAGTTACTCTTGGGATTGGTGGAGTGCTTTTAGCCTACTGAGTGCAGTGATGGAAAAAATACTAGCTGTAAGAAATGATTTTGATTGAAGAATATTGTATTTTAATCTTTGAAGTTTTATAAATGGACAGACATGATTAAATTGACACAGTATTACAATAACTAATCTTCAGTTGACTTTCTTTTAATATTACATATAAGAACAAAGTTCCTGCATTGTATCTTTTGAGTAGTGAACATTTGCAATTAATTCTTAATGTTAATTTTTATCTACATAAAATTTGTAAGAAAGATAGGTGGCTACGTGATCATGGATATTTGTTTTAGATTATTTTGTCTGTCCTTTAGCCATGATTAGATGCTCTCAAATGAAATTTAGTTTTTATAAAAGTTTCAGGAGAGGAGATTTATTGTTTAACATATGTTCTATGAAATATTAAATATTCTGTATTAATATAAAATTGATCAGGATTTTTTGAAGCTACAGGACTCTAGATAATCTACCATGTCACCTTTACCATAATATGTAAAGGGAACTGAAAATCTATTTCAACATAAACTTCTAATTTGTTTTAATTAGCCAAAGCATTGTACTTAAATTGTAATGAGTAAATATTAAAATTTGGATCATCTTTCCTTAGTGTGATGTCACATTGTTTTGCAAAATTAGATTTGTGGATGGCAAAGTATTTTTTTCAATTTCTGCCTCTATTACATAAGCTTAGGCTCTACTTGGGTAAAGTAAGGAAATAATGTTAAATTTTATATTTTCTGATTTTCCTGTCCTTCATGTCTCTATAGTATCACTCTGAAATACTATAATTACTGTTTTCATCCTAATATGTAGTTGCAAACAAGAATTCTCTCTTGTAAGAGAGTTCTAATCCCATGATCTGTTAACCCTGTTTGAGGGAAGCCATGTGAAGAAATCCTAATCGAACTCCTCTTCCTCTCCTAATCCTTTTTGCCTAATTGCATGGTTTTTAAGTCTTCCTAATGTTGGAAACCTCTTAAGAATAAATATAAGCTAGCCCCGCTGTTTGGCTCCAAGGTGATGCATGTGAATTATCACCTTGCTGTGCTGCTTCTGTACCTGCAGTATTCTCTATAATTTTTGCAGTAGCAAGCACACTATTAAATAATAATTTTCAAATAACTCTATTTAGAACATATAGAGATGAAAATCCAGTTACGAAGTTTCTCCAGAAGTCTCAGATGAAAAAATTAGATCCAAATTTTTTTCAATGAAAGTCCACAAAATTGAGAATTGCATATGAACAGTGTCCTTTATTATATATATATTTTTACCTATTTAGCATGGTGTCCTCTATTTCATTTTGTGTATTTTATTCAAGAGACTTGATCAGACTATTCAGCCATAAAAAAGGAATGAAATGATGTCACTTGCAGCCACATGGATGGAACAGTCATTATGTTAAGTGAAATAAGCCAGGCACAGAAAGACAAATATCATATGTTCTTACTTATCTATGGGAGCTAAAAAAGTTGATCTCATGGAGGTAGAGAGTAGATTGAGACTGGCAAGAGGCTTGGGGGTGGATGAAGAGAGGTTGGTTGATAAGTACAGACCTGCAGTTAGAAGGAATCAGTTCTAGTGTTTGATAGCACAGTAGGGTGACAATAGGTAACAGCTATTTACCATGTCTCTCAAAATAGCTAGAAGTGAAATGTTCCCCACACAAAGAAATAAGTGTCTGAGATGATGGATATCCTAAATACCCTGATTTGATCATTATATATCATATGCATGTGTCAAAATATCATATGTATCCCATAAATATGTACGATTATTATGTATGAATGAAAAAAAGATACTTGATCAGGATGAGGGGTGCGGGTTGAATAGGTGGATTTTTTTAGGGCAGTGGAACTATTCTGTATGATTAATGATGAATACATGTATACAAATTTTAATCATTTAGGAGGTCAGAGGAGGGGGATTCCAAGATGGAATACAGACTATAAGAAAAGAACCTAACTGTATTGCAAATGTATGGTACAGCCTCACTGAAGAGGGGTGAAAGAGTACAGTGCTACTGACCTAAATAACTAAGTAACTGGGAATGAGTTGAGCCTAATACTGAAGGCAAAAAAAATTGCACATAACACATGTGCTGACTCAGACCTTCTTCAATTGATTTTATGTAACATATAAGAATAAAGTTTCTACATTAAAAAAGTATGAATAGTATATAACATTTGTAATTTATTGTTAATGTTAATTTTTATCTTCATAAAACTTGAAAAAATAGATAGCTATAATGTCATTACTTATTTTACCTATCCATTGGCCATGATAAGATGTCCCATGGGGTACAGGTTAATTCTGAAACCACTATTTCTCCCAAAAACACCTTACACCTTGAGAAACTATGAATCTAACCATGAGAAAAACATCAAATCTCAGTTGAGTGACATTCTGCAAAATACCTGACAGTTACTCCTCAAAACCGTCAGTGTCATCACAGACAAGGAACACCTGAGCAGGTGTCAGAACCAAGAAGATACAAGCCTGAGGAGACACAAGCAGTTGTAATGTGAGATCCTGAATGGAGTCCCTGAGCAAAAAAGACCATTAATGGTTCATTAGTTGTGACAAATATACTATTCTAGCATAAGACGTGACAAATACACTAGGCTAACATAAGATGTTAATAATAGAGAAATTAGGTATGGGGTATATAGGAACTCTCTCTGCACTACCTTCACAGTAGTTCTGTAAACCTTAAAATGTTCTAAAATTAAAAGTTGACTTAAAAAGATCATTTGAGATTACTGTTTTTAATTAGCCAGAATATCTAAAACTATGAATAAATTATGAAAGAGCCTAGTTTTTGTCACTTAATGAAAACAGTGATGGCTTAGAAGTCCTAAATGATAAGCACAGCAATATTCACTATTCTTTGCTATTCAGTATTTGCATGGCTTCTTCATTTAATTTGAAAAGTTGTAAACTGATAAAACACTATAACATGATTCACTGGCTCAAAACTACTTGGATTAGTCTTACTATTTGTGCTAAATTGGTGTTTAGATTACTTAATCTATTTTCTCTTACTTTGTTTTAGATGAATTAAATAATCTTGGTCATCCTGGTGAGTAATACAAACATAAAACTTTAGTTTTAGATTTTTAAGTTGTTGAATGCAGCAAAGTTACCGTAGGTACTCTTTTGCTACAGTAATACTAGTAACTTTTTTCTCTTTATTGAAATAATATAATTTAAGGTTGAAATTAACTACATGAAGTACAATTTTATACAAGTGATACATTAAAAATATTTTAGGTTATAAAACTGTAAGGGTAGAAAAGAAGTGTTTGAGGTAACATAAAACCTCAAGGTATTATCATTGTGTATTACTCCTTATATCATAACAAGGAAGTTAATGGGGGAAGTACGTGACCTTTAATCTGAAAGCAGGAAGCAGTGTTTGACAGAGTGACAGGGGTAACATTTCTGAACTGATCAGACCCCTGGGACCTTTTTCTTGGTGCCTCAGTCATACAGCATATCTGAACTAGTTGGGTGGGTGCCTATATCTGGAGTAAGAAGTGTGTTTGTGGGGATCATTGGCATCGTACAGGTCGGTTGGTCAGTGACCATTTCTTAATGAGTGACAGTTGTCAAGAGTATGTAGAACTCTGTAGGCTAATTTTAATTAGAACAGATTTCTAATAAGTTAAGCCTTCACCTGAGATAAAAGGCATATCAACAGTGAGAACTACATGAAGACACAGGATATCAACCTCGTGTAGGCTTTCTGAAAGACAATGATGGAACCTGTGGATAGATCTGAAAATAAAACCTTTCAGGAATAGTTTAAGAAGGTGGTTATGTCATTTAATATTTGTAGAAAACCCTATTACTTCTCCACTTATTTCTCATTATTTTAGCATCATTACTAGTTTGCTTAGTGTCATACTCATATTGCATTAGCAAACATCTATTATTGTGAATGCCATTGGGCTGTGCTGACTGTATATAAGCAAACTAGACACAGCAGAAAGTCCCCATTACCTGTGCGTCATTCTCCTTGCTGTAGTGTCCTCAAATTCACATAAAGCCTCAATGAGACCTGCCTCAAGTAGGTCTTGAACTGTCAAAAACCATCCTAGTAATTGTTTCTCTTACTGGGGGAGAATAGGGGGTCTGGATAGAATCCCCTTTCCTAAATTAGTCTGTTAATTCTTGCTTTTCTTTAATGAACATTATGAAAAGTTATTTCAGAAAAACTTTTGTAAATAGCCACCACTAAGATTCTAAAATTTTCCTGGCCCTTTGAGTTTTTCCTCATTTCCCACAATTCAGGGAGTACCAAAAATTTAGGTTTAAAAGAAGAATGTTGTATAGGGAAAGCTTTTAATAGGCTTCAGTGGCATGTATTTGACCAGTAGTACAAAGTTATCTCCCGACAGTAGTGGACACACAACTGATGAACTACATCTTTCCCTACATGGTGCTTCAGGTGCGGGGCGGGATTTTATTTTATGTATACTAGAGGGTGAAAGCATAGAATCCAGAAGGAGACTCCCTAAGTTAGTATCCAGATTTGCTACTTACTAGCTTCATAACTTTGGGCAAGTGACTTTAATCTCTCTCTGCCTTAATTTCCTTATCTATATAATGGGGTTAATAATAGTAGGCACCTCATAGGGTAGAGTGAGGTTTCATTAGATCTGTTATATATAAAGCATATAGAACGGTGCCAGCTGAGGCATCAGGAAATGGTAACTACTGCTACTTCCTATTGTGAACACCACCATCGTTTTTTTCCATTCAAGAGTGTTTTTATTAAAAATCTGAAGAGTAGAAACTATATTCTGTAAGTGATGCTGCTGATGTTATATACTTTTCATGTATCTTTAACTCTGGAAATATACCATGGATCTTACATGTTTTGCTTTTTTATCTTTGTATAGATAATAAAGAGCAAACAACTGACCAGCCTTTGGGTGAGTAGAACTTTAAAATGCATTATCAAAGTATAATTATTGTGTATAACTCCAGAAGGAATTTAAGACATTTTAATTTGGTTTTTTAAAGAAATGTGAATAACATTGGGACCAAATGTTTTATTTTTTTGTATCTGTAAAAGAAGGTTTAGAAGAGGAGGCTTAAAAATGATTACAAATTCAGTTTCTAGGGTCAAGTCAACTTCTGTGGAGTGATTTGTGTGTTTCTCACGATATGCAAACAGACATGCGTACAAAAAGAAACATGTACATGCTGCATAGTTAGCATAGAGGAGGAAGTGGTTAGTGCTGTCTCTTGGTGAGGGATAGAAATCACAAAGGCTGCAGTAGCTTTAGCGTTTGCTCCCCTGTCTTCTCCAATGGAAAGAGAAAAGAATTTAGGATAAAATGTAAACGAACAGTTGCATTTGAAGAATGCCTGGGACAAGAAAATGTAAGGGAGAAAACTTTAGCAGATAAAAGTTTAGCAGATTAACATTTAAAGATGGTAAAAATAGCTAACAGCTTGATGCTGGCAGAAGCCAGATAAAATATGTCTAAAATTTGTCCATTGGATTCAGCTACTGAAGATGTGATTGGTGGCTTTGAGTGGAATGTTGAAAGTGCCTAATATGTGTCAGTTACTGAGTTATGCTGGGAATTTAAACATGGATACAATGTATAAAATAGTGGAAAAAGAAAGATTCAGAAGTGAACAAATGAAGACAGTACATATTAATTTGTTGGAAAGAAAGAGTGGTTTGAAATTAACTAGATAGGGCATATATTCAAAGTGTTTTGGTAGGAGGGGAAAATGTGAGGATATTTACATTTGGAAAGGAAGTATCTGTTGAGACTGTGTAGATTAGAGTGATCCATCAAAGAGAGGACAATTTATAGAGCAAGTTCCTAGAAGAGATGATAGGGATTTGGGCCAAGGTGAAAACAAGAGAAATTGGCTTTAATCAGAATGTTGAAACCTCTTTTGAGATTAAAAAGAAGGAGAGATTGGTGAACAGATAGATTTATTGGGAAGCTGAGGACATTTTTAGTTTATGTTTTTTGTTTCTAAGTAATTAGGCGTAGTAATATGCTTAAAAGATTGAGGAAAAGGCTGGGCATGGTGGCTCACACCTGTAGTCCCAGCACTTTGTGAGGCCGAGGCAGGCAGGATCACCTGGGGTCAGAAGATTGAGATCAGCCTAACCAACATGGAGAAACCCCGTCTCTACTAAAAATACAAAAATTAGCTGGGCATTGTGGTGCATGCCTGTAATCCCAGCTACGTAGGAGGCTGAGGCAGAAGAATCTCTTGAACCCGAGAGGTGGAGGTTGTGGTGAGCTGAGATCGTGCCATTGCACTTCAGCTGGGCAACGAGAGTGAAACTCTGTCTCAAAAAAAAAAAAAAAGATTGAGGGAAAAAGAGTAAAGTAAGGCTGAATATAGATCTTATTCTATGGCAGAGGCTTAGAGGCTAAAGAAAATGGAAGCAAGGTCTTACAAGTCTGATCTACAAGTGAATGTGTATTGAGAGTCCAACTAAGACTTTTAAAGAGTAAGAATTTATAATGGTTCAGATCAGTTGTGTGCTTTTTCTGTAGCAGATCTCAGCTTTAAAATAGAGAAGATAGGCTGGGTGTGGTGGTACACGCCTGTAATCCCAGCTACTCGGGAAGCTGAGGCACGAGAATCACTTGAACCCAGGAGGCGGAGGTTGCAGTGAGTGGAGATTGTGCCACTGCACTCCAGCCTGGGCGACAGAGTAAGACTCTTGTCTCAAAAAAAAAAAAAAAAAAAAAGAAACCTGCTATGTTTCATTCATAGTGGTAAGTTTTCATGTATTCCAGCTCCATGATCTTTTCTTTAGATCCTCCAGACAGACCTCACTGATTAAGAAATACCTATTAAAATAGTGTTCTGAACAAAGGCATAGCCATCATATTCTGTAGAGAGGAGCATACATATGTCTTAGGTACACAAAATGACAAGATCCAAATGTAACTGGGTTAGTTGCTGAAGATGGTTTAATCACAAATATGCATTTAATAGTAATGCTAATAAACTAAGTGTTTTCACCTAGTGAAATGTTTAATTTAACCCTGAGATGTAGGTATTTTTCCTCATTTTTAGTAGATGAAAATTTAAAACTGTAAGTGTTTAATAAAACTTGCTCAGGATTATACAATGTAGTAGTTGAGACAGGATTGAAACCCATCTATCTCTCATTCCATAGCCTCCGTTAGCTCCATTATGCCAGGTATTCTTTCTCAAACATGTCCCAATTGAAAGAATAACAAGATAAATGGAATATCAGGTCAACTTCTATCATTGAAGTTCACTAAACATTTATCTAATGTTTCATCTGTGCTTTATGACAGGCATCCCCCACCCCCAGGCTGTGGACCAGAACTGGTCTGTGGCCTGTTAGGAACTGAGACACACAGCAGGAGGCGAGTGAGCGAGCATTACCACCTGAGCTCTGCCTCCTGTCAGATCAGCAGCGGCATTTGATTCTCATAGGAGTGTGAACCCTATTGTGCACTCCTTAGGAGAATCTAACTAATGCCTGATGATCTGAGATGGAACAATTTCATCTCAAAACCACCCCTCCCCTGACACCGTCCATGGAAAAATTGTCTTCCACAAAACTGGTCCCTGGTGCCAGAAAGGTTGGGGACCGCTGCTTAATGAAACAAGAGAACAAGCCTTGGTTTGTGAATTCAAGGCTTTGGATACTAATAGGAGGCAGACATTAAATGAATAATATAGTACATGCTACATGCCTAGTAGAAATATGTAAAGAATCTAGAAATTGTTCATAGAAGATGGTGATCAGATTAGTCGAGGAGAGTTAGAGAGGGCTTTACCTAAGAGGCAAAGCCAAGGTGAGGATTTTCAAGGACGAATTGGGAGCTCTCAAGGGGATAAAATGAAAATATATGGGATGAGAGTTCATTCAGAAATGAAGGAGAGGGAAAAAAGGGTGAAGACATGGTAAGAATGGAGGCATGAAATAGATGGTGTGGGTGAGGAACAAAGTTCAGTATTGCTAGAAGGTAGAAAACTAGGGAAGGAGTGGCTGGAGGCTATACTGGTAATGTAGTTATTTATTGCTGAATAACACTGCAAAATTTACTAGCTTAAGAACAGCATCAGTTTTATTATCTCTCATTGTTCTGTGGGTTGGACTGGGTTTAGCAGGTGGTTCTGCTGGTCTTTCTTGGGGTCTCTCATGCAACTGCAGTCAGATGAGGCTGGGACTGCCACATTCAAGATGGCTTTGCTTACATACCTGGCACCTTAGTGGGGGTTGGTGAAAGACTGTGAAGACTGAAAAAATCTCCCTCCCTCTCTCTCTCTCTTTCTCTTCCTCTTACTCTGTCTCTCTGTCTCTCCCTCTCCTTGTCTGTCTCTCTCTGTCCTCCCCTCCTCTTCCCGCCCCCAACTTCTTTCTCTTCGTTTCCCTCTCCCTCTTTCCTTTGGTTCCTTCTCCCTCCCTGAGTGGTCTCTCCATGTAGCTGTTTTCTTTATGTCGGGCTGGATCTCCAAAGTGGAAACTGTCAGAGCTTTTAAGGGCTTAGACCCTGAACTGGCAGAGGGGTCACACATATTATGTTGCTCAAAGAAAGTCGTGATACAGCCCAGATTCACAGGTGGGGGTGACTGTACTACACAAGGGCAAGGATACTGTGGTTTGCTGGGGGCTACCTGCTACCACATCTGGAAAGATAGGCATGGACTAGAATGCAAATGGCCTTGAATGCCAAACTACATCACCAGTCTAACCCCCAGCCACTCCTTCCCTAGTCCTCTACCTTCCAGCAATACTGAGCTGCCTGTTCCTCACCCACACCATCAAACTGGGACTTTATTTTGTAGGACATGGAGAGTCATTAAAAGATTTAATACATGTGATTTTTAAATAAATACTTAATAGCATTTACTATATGCCAGCTCCTTTTCTAGGTGCTTCTGAATATTAACTCTATTTAGAAAAGTAACATAATAATCAGAATTATTAGACATGGGATTAATGATATAACACCAGTTTTTGAAGAATATATTACATTAAACTTTGGAAGACGTTTAGGATCATGAGTTAAAATGTCTTTCTGAAGTGGCTTCATTATTCTTTTGCTGAATCCACTGGCATTTTTGTTTCACTTTTCCAATAAATTGTTTGTGTTCAAGAAGTTGTGGGTAGCTCTTACAGTAAATATTTTTCTACAGAAAAACTCTTTCATTTATGTTATCACTTGAAAACCATTATAAATTGCTTTATATTTGCCGTCTTGAAGTTTTCTTTATTCCTCACTCTTACCTCCTCAAATTCAAGTTTTATTGTTCGTTTCTCTGTCGTGTCCTTTTTCCTCTCCCTTTCTACTACTTCTCGATCTTCCATCCACCCCAGTTCACCTGTCACCCAGGAACTGTTTTACAAGTAGATTGGACAGGTAAGATTTACTTACCCACCATCTTTTTCACCAGTAAAGTCAAGGAAATGCTGTAAGACATCTTAGGAACTAGCTATTAAAAATTATCATTGGAGGAAAATTTTAGAAGTGTTATAGACAATTATCGATACATATGTTTTAAGACCTGTAGTTCTCACACTGTTGAACCCGTGCATTCTGTAAACTGTACCAAGTATTCTTTCCCAAATAGAGAACAAAACCAGTGAATAATGATTTGATATCAGCAAAAACATCCCATGATGCTTAGTTTGACAGTTAATTTTATTTCCCCAAAGACCCAGTGATTTTTTTATTATATACTTATAATTGTTTTCTACCAATAAAAATCTATGATGTGTATAATTAAATGATGGTATTCCATGGAAAAATGGAATTATTTACAAGCATTTTACTACCCCAGTAACTTTTTAACCTCTTGCTGTAAACCTATGATTTGGACTATAATGATGTAAAGCAGAGACAATGCATTCTCACATTTCCCCTCACCTTAGAAGAAGACTGATTTGAGTCTGTCACTCTGTTGAGGTTGGATCCTTATTCTAATAGCATTGATGGACTCAAAAAAATGTGCTGTGGATCAGCCAGCTAAGAGTCTTGCTGTAGCAGGTACTTTAGTGTAAGAATACTAGTTTATTTTAAAAGAAATTTTAAAAAGGCCAGGCGTGGTGGCTCACACCTGTAATCCCAGCACTTTGGAAGGCCGAGGTGGGCAGATCACCTGAGGTCAGGAGTTCGAGACCACCCCGACCTAAGTGGAGAAACCCCATCTCTACTAAAAATACAAAATTAGCTGGGCGTGGTGGCGCATGCCTGTAATCCCAGCTACTCGGGAGGCTGAGGTGGGAGAATCGCTTGAACCCGGGAGGCAGAAGGTTGCAGTGAGCTGAGATCATGCCATTGCACTCCAGCCTGGGCAACAAGAGCGAAACTCCGTCTCAAAAAAAAGGAAATACAAGTGATGTTAAGTTTTATGCTGCCTCCTATTGAAATCCATGCTGAGTATTCTCCGCTTTTTCATTGAATTAATAATGCGGCTTAAGTATCATTTCACTGTTATGTATATTCATAACACTGGGCAGTTGGCTAGAAATCTCTGAACATGTACATATAGAATAGAGATGACATGATATAAAATTACTGAGGCTTTTCACAAAGTAGAGTTTTTTTTATCCTTTGAGAGAGTCACAGTCTTTTAAATTGATGCTAGTTTTAACACTAGGTTTAAGTGTTCCATGGAAAGAAAAGCAATTTCACCAGAGAGATTTTTGGTGAAATAATCATCTCAATTATTTGAAACATCTGAAATTACATATTGTAGACGTCGAGTCAGCAATGTGATTATTCATGCCTGTTTCAACTTCATAAGAGTAGTATTCATAATAACTTACAAATAAACTACTTAGCAGCACTTTGTGGCAGGGGTTGGTTACCAAGTCCTGGCCTGCGTCAGAGGGGGTGGCCTGCAGTTCTACCCAGGCGGCTCTTCAGCCAGTTGGCTGGGGCTGCAGGTGCTCTTGTCACCCTGTCTCTCTGCTCCCTGGCATTTCTGTCACTGCTGCTACTATTACGGGTGCTGCACACGCCCCACTGTCAGCCCTCAAGAAGAAAGCCGTCAGAGGCTATTATTGTCACGGGATGGTCTTGAGGTTTTGGTGTGTTCTTTATTTTTTTTTTTTTATTTTTTTCTTCCCTTTGATACCAGTGGGTCTTGAGTTTTTAACCATTGACCCCATTCCAGGCTATCAAAGAAAGGTACCGTGTTGAAGACCTCATAAGCACTAAGCTAGGTCTGGCTTTCCACACTGTTTTAGATGGGCTGCACACCTGGTTAAGCTAGCTGCTACTTTTTAAGGCATAGATACAGATCTTTTTTTCTCTTATGAACAAAAAAACTGTTTCTATCAGAATACATTATCTTTGAGCAAAGTCTCAGTGCACTAAGTTCAAAAAATGAACTTTTAAGGTACTCATACACAAAATCTTCACATACCCCTGAAATAGCCTCATCTGAGTCAAATGGGGGAGTATTTTTAAAAGATGCTAAGAGGAGACGGTAGTACATCCACATGGCTACTGCAGAAACCAAGAATACAGTACCCGTGAAGTTCTCTCTCTCTTTGATATTTCCCCTCATTCACTCTGATGGGATTCTTCCTGTCCCTTTTTTAGTTATCTTGTTTTTAGCCTCTTCCATTCTCAGCAAAACAGAACCTAATTTGATGGGAACCCAATTTCAAATATTCCTTGTTTAAATTTTCTCCAAAAGTCTAGTTGAATATTATATCCCTTTTGTTATAATTTAATAAAAGTAAACTTTAATATTAATTACTGTTATGTTTCATATACAGCTAATAAATATCCTTTGCCTGGCTCTCAAAAGTGTGAATATGCTTAATTTCAGTTTGATGATTTTAGCATCTGTGTTCCTCAGAGAATATTGATCTGCTTACATAAATAGTTCTAAAATGAAATTAAATAATGAAATCTTATTTGAAATGAAATAATGCAATCTTAAAGCATACTTTTTATTATAATACCATCTCCATAGGTTTTGTTTTAATCTTTATATCTTCTTTAAACACCCCCTTTCTTTTTTTTTCAAAGCGAAGGACAAGGTTGCCCTTTTGATAGGAAATATGAATTACCGGGAGCACCCCAAGCTCAAAGCTCCTTTGGTGGATGTGTACGAATTGACTAACTTACTGAGACAGCTGGACTTCAAAGTGGTTTCACTGTTGGATCTTACTGAATATGAGATGCGTAATGCTGTGGATGAGTTTTTACTCCTTTTAGACAAGGGAGTATATGGTAAGATATTTATAATGTTTGTTTTTACAATTATCCATTATTCTTTTCATTATACAAGTTAGGTTAAGAATTGAAAATCAGATAAAGATAAGGTAAACATGTTGTTGAATGGAAGAGTTTTATTTTTCTTATTAAGATGATACATTTGATCTTCATTCCATCTGAATAACTAATTAGCTTCATGTCTTTACTTTTATGTTTCCTGTTTTGTCAAAACATATTTTTCTTACTAGAATTCTTACCTGTCTTTTGTGATTTTTTTTTAATTGATAGAGCCACAGTATAATAAAACTTGATAACCACACAGCAAAATTTACATTCATATGCGTAAAATATTACAGTATGTGGGGTTTTCTTTGAGGGGGGTAGCATAAAAGGTTCTAGTAGAATGTATATTTTGTATGTTTCCTTTTCCTAACTATTGCATGGTCTTTTCTAGTCTTTTAGTGAGAACTAGATTTTAACAAGGAAATGTTGGTGGATGGGGCATATAATAGTAATTTGTAAATTAAAGTTCTATACAGATATGCTTAGAAATGTACCTCTACAAAAATTCTTACAGTAAATATTTAATGTTTTTTCCCCATTCTTTCACCTAAATATATTAACACTGCATATATGGTAAAGAATTTCAAAGGAGACAGAATGTGCTGTCACTAGCTAATCATTTATTTGGTGATTTATTTCTTTCAATATGGGAAGGCCAGCTGTTGAGCTCATCTGAACCGTGTTTTGCAGGATTGTGCTTCCATGACATTGTGCAATAACATCAGATTGCCAGGGAAGTGACATTTCCAGGCCTGTTGTTAGGCATGCAATGATAAACAAAAAGTACCGGTTTGGCTCCTGTATCTTTCCAGTTATTTTATTTTAATAATTTCTGAATTTACTCTTGTTATTTATAATTAGATTGATATGATAAGGCAAGTTTGGTCAGAATTTTTAATGGTGCTCAAAGTAGAATTTTTAATGGAACAAAAGCTTTTTTTTTCCCCCCAAGATTTACCACACTGTTGTGTAAGGGATGGGGAAAAGTCTCAAAATCTTACTTAAATGAGTTTCCCTCTCTAAATAGTGAGGATTTAGAGAAAGACAAATGAAGTTAACAAGGTAAACACCTCAAATGTGAGATTTCAGCTATTATGCTGATGTGTTAATAAAACTTTATTTATAACTCTTATGGACTGATGACTAATGGGTGAATCCATCCATTTTTTTCTTATGAAAATATGAAAGAATATACAATGCAAATATGCCACCTTGGTAATTGGCTTATACAGGTTGAGCATTCCTAATCTGAAAATCCAAAGTCTAAAACTTCGTGAGTGCCAACATGATGCCACAAGTGGAAAATTTTACACCTTACGTCATGAGGGGTCGCAGTTAAAACTTTGTATCATGCACAAAATTATTTAAAATATTGTATAAAATTACCTTCAGGCTATGTGTATAATATGTATATGAAACATAAATGAGGCTGGGCATGGTGGCTCATGCCTGTAATCTCAGCACTTTGGGAGGCCGAGGTGGGTGGATCACTTGAGCCCAGGAGTTTGAGACCAGCCTGGGCAACATGGCGAAACCCCATCTCTACTAAAAATACAAAAATTGGGCCGGACGCAGTGGCTTACGTCTGTAATCCCAGCACTTTGGGAGGCCAAGGCAGGCAGATCACCTGAGGTCAGGAGTTCGAGACCCTCCTGTCCAACATGGTGAAATCCCATCTCTACTAAAAATGTATGGTGGCAGTCATCTGTAATCCCAGCTACTCAAGAGGCTGAGGCAGGAGAATGGTTTAAACCCGGGAGGTGAAGGTTGCAGTAAGCCGAGATCACACCACTGCACTTCAGCCTGGGTGACAGAGCAAGACTCCGTCTCAAAAAAAAAAAAAATAGAATAAAATAAAATAAAAACACGAAAATTAGCTGGGCGTGGTGGTGCATGCCTGTAATCCCAGCTACTCAAGAGGCTGAGACACAAGAATCGCTTGAACCCAGGAGGCAGAGGTTGCAGTGAACCAAGATCACACCACTGTACTGCAGCCTAGGCGACAGAATGAGACTTGGAATCTTGGTCTCAAAAAAGAAAAGAAAAACATAAATGAGTTTCATGTTTAGACTTGGGTGGCATCCCCAAGATAACCTCATTATGTATACGTAAATATTCCAAAATCTGGAAAAAAAAAATCTGAAACACTTCTGGTCCCAAGTCTTTCGGATAAAGGATACTCAACCTGTATTTTCAATCTGGCATCAGGGGTGTTGTTTGTTTTTATATTATACAATTGATCTCAGCTTTTAAGGTGCCTACGTGACATAAAAAGGAAAAGGCTTCCAAAACTTCACTAGAAGTGATGAGGTGTAAGGAAAAAATATTGATCAGTTTAGGTTTCTGTATTGGTGAAGTATTTAAAGATTGAGGGAATCATATGAAGAATTACTACCTTGGTTGTTTATTCTCATTTCTTATTGATATTTTCACCTTGGCTTTTAAGCCCTTTGTTTGACTTTTAAAACCAAATCCTGTGGCCAGGGCATGGCGGCTCACACCTGTAATCCCAGCACTTTGGGAGGCCAAGGCGGGCAGATCACCTAAGGTCAGGAGTTCGAGACCAGCCTGGCCAACATGGTGAAACCCCGTCTCTACTAAAAGTACAAAAATTAGCCCAGCGTGATGGTGGGCACCTGTAATCCCAGCTACTTGGGAAGCTGAGGCAGGAGAATCACTTGAACTTGGGAGGGGGAGGTTGCAGTGAGCCAAGATCATGCCACTGCACTCCAGCCTGGGCAACAAAGCGAGACTCCATCTCAAAATAACAAAAACAGATCCTTTAGTTGCCCCTGTGAAGTAGAGAACCAGAAATATTAAAAATTGTGACAAGACTGCAGTTTAGGCTGAAGCTTTGCCCCAATATAAAAACGTCATCTTGGAGTACAAAATAAAGAGGCATGTTAAAGCAAAATGTCAGCTTAAGAAAGCTAGAAAACTTTTAAATCCTACTGATTCGTGTCTTAACAGGGTGGCTGCATTATATTTTGAAGTATTGTGAATATTCCAAACATCAGACACATCTACACTAAATGTAAGTGTGGTAGAGGCTTGAGGGTTTAGGGCATATCATAAAGAAACCTTTAGTTTTTCTTTTGGACTATGCCTTTACCGCTAGTTGATATTACCAGGGGACTCAGTGCTTGAGGGCTGTGGGGGAAGATGGAAGGCAGAGTCACAGGAATTTCAGCATGAACAGCTAGATACGGAGAACAGAGGAACTCGAGTTCATGCCCTTTTATATTATATTGCACGCAGGTTTGTAGAAGAAATAAAAGTTGCAACAGAACAGACAATAATTCAGTTTTAAACATATGTAAACATAAAAAACAGAAACCAAAACCAGAAATAACTGTCCTTAAAAATACAAAAATACATGTCCTTAAAGATAAATAAGGAGAAAGATTTCTAGTTATGTTGTATAGATGGCCAGGATAAAAAGTAACCCTTTGGCCTGAGATCTATCCCTGCATAGCCTTTCTGTGTTCATCGCTTGCTGCAGCTTAGTTGTGCTTTCGTGTAGAAGAACGGTAAAGGAGTCTTGTCGGAATATGGCAAAAGTGTTATTCGGCCTGCAGCGGAGCAGCTGTTCAGTTCACATAGCTCAGTGGTTAAGCAGTGGGCCTTAGCATAGCTAGCCTGGGTTCAAAGCTTTGGCTTTCTGCTGACTTAGCTGTGTGACTGTGGTTCTTTAACTTTTCTAAGCCAAAAGGAATCTACAAAATGGATAGAACTAAATTAATGAGGTTTACAGGATAAGATAAAATAATTATCCCTGTGCCTGGCACACTAAAAATGCTCAAAATATTGTACCTATTATTGTTGTCGTTTCCTGTCAATTTATTAAAGACATTCAAGCACTTTTTCATCTTTAGATTGGGGATTTGGACTAGGTAGCATTCTATTTCAGGCCTCAATGAGAGAAACCCAGCTTTAATCAGTTTCTGTGTATTAAGGGTCTACCTAAGGTTTTTTGGGTTTTTTTTTTGGTTTTGGGTTTTTGTTTGTTTTGTTTTTTGATACGGATGGAGTCTTGCTCTGTCGCCCAGGCTGGAGTGCGGTGGCGCAATCTCGGCTCACGGCAACCTCTGCCTCCTGGGTTCAAGCAGTTCTCCTGCCTGAGCCCCCAGAGTAGCTGGGATTACAGGCACATGCCACCAACGCCTGGCTAATTTTTTGTATTTTTAGTAGAGACAGGCTTCACTGTGTTAGCCAGGATGGTCTCGCTCTATCTCCTGACCTTGTGATCCACCCACCTTGGCCTCCCAAAAGGCCAGGCGTGAGCCACTGCACCCAGCCTGCCAAAGGTTTTTTGTGTTTTTTTTTTTGTTTTTTTTTTTTTTGAGGAAAAAAAGTCAGGGGGTTTAAAGCTGTAGTGTAGTAAAACAGTGAAAAGCCAGTGCACTGACATTTTACGTTGTCTGAGAGTCGAGTTACCTAAAAAGCCAGCAGTAGATTATAGAGACAGTATCATATAGCACAGTAGCGAGGCTGGCCTGCATCTGTATTTTGGTTCTGTCACTTACTAGGCATTTCAGTTTGGGTGAGCTTTTAAACCTCTTCATGTCTCAGTTTTCCCATCTGTAAAAGAGGGATGTTAATATTACCTACTTTGTTGTGAGGATTGTGTGAGGCAATGTAACTAGTGACCTTTCTTGGAACCGTGCCTGGCACATAGTAAGTGCCGTGTAAGCCTGCTGGGGTGGCGGGTGTTGTGCTCATCAGCCACTCACTGTGCTAAGTGGAGTGCATATTCAGTTGAGTGGAAAAGTTTTTCATTTAAATGATTATTTTCTCTGTAGACAAAAATAAATATCTGTGACTATATTCTTGAATCATCCTCCCAAGAAATAAAACTCCCTAAAGATCTAATTTGCAGAATTGTATTTCTAAGTACAGTAAGTTCTTTGACATTTGTTTAAAAAATACCTATTTTCTTCTCTATCCTTGAGTAATGGGATGGTTAACTAAATAAATAAGCAGTACTAGAGATGGAATTTAAAAACAACAACAACAACGATTTGGGCCACACACGGTGGCTCACACCTATAATCCTAACAGTGGGAAGCTAAGGTGGGAGGGTTGCTTGAGCCCAGGAGTTTGAGACCAGCCTTGGACAATATAGTGAGACCTCATCTCTACAAAAAATTTAAAAATTAGCCAGGCATGGTGGCACATGCCTGTGGTCCCAGCTACTTGGGAGGCTAAGGTGGGAGGATAGCTTGAGCCTGTGAGGTCGAAGCTGCAGTGAGCTGTGATCACACTGCTGCACTCCAGTATGGGCAACAGAGCAAGACCCTGTCTCAAATAAATAAATAAATAAATTTTTTAAAAAAATGATTTGGACTAGTTCATTTTACACAAAAGTACTTAATTCCCCTCAATATAATTTGGTTGCAGACTTTGATACAGAATAGTTACACTTTTCGTAAGACATTTTGGGAAAGAGAAAAAATATTTTGGTGTTAAGTGCCTTAATTCCATTCAGCAGTTGCAGGGCTGGGCATGTGGCATTAATGTAACAGAACAACATTCAGCTTTTCCCTGGATGAATGGAAGCTAAGCCTTCCCTCAGAGTTGTATCTTCACCCCAATCAAGTCTTGCTGGAGCCAGACGTATTACCTGACATGAGGGAGGCAGCACCCAGGCCTGCTGTCAGTCGTCTCTGAGTAATACCAGTTGTTGAAATGGTACCATTTCTACTAAAAGTCAGACCCTTGAAAAGAGACCTCCAGATCTGACCCTGTCTTGATTGGTTTGCATTGTTAATTTAATGCAATTCAGTAAGTATTTACTGAGTTATTTTTGTTACATCTATAGTCCAGATGAAGGAGTATGCTATGTGCTGAGAGAAATAATAGTGAATAAAGATCATGATCTGTCCTCCTAAGAAAATTACAGTCCTGGGCCGGGCACGGTGGCTCAACGCCTGTAATCCCAGCACTTTGGGAGGCCGAGGCAGGCAGATCACCTGAGGTCTGGAGTTTGAGACCAGCCTGACCAACATGGAGAAACCCTGTCTCTACTAAAAATACAAAATTGGCTGGGCATGGTGGCGTATGCCTGTAATCCCAGCTACCCGGGAGGCTGAGGCAGGAGAATCACTTGAACCCGGGAGGCGGAGGTTGCAGTGAGCTGAGATCACACCATTGCACTCCAGCCTGGGCAACAAGAGTGAAACTCCGTCTCAAAAAAAAAAAAAAAAGAAAAAAAAAATTATAGTCCTTTAATACAAGGAGAAAAAAACACTATGGAGTCAAAACATCAACTCTGTGATTTTAAGCAAATCATTTAATCTTTGTAATTTAATTTTCTCATCTATAAAATAAGGGCAGAAATCACTTAAAGTTGTTATATGGATTAAAATTAGATTGTGTATATGAAAGTCCTTTGAAAACCAAGAAAATGTTATACAGGTTGAATATCTCTAATCTGAAAATCCCAAATCCAAAACACTCCTGGTCCCAAACATTTCAGATAAGAGCTACTCAGAGTGTGTAAATGTAAAAGATTAGTGTCATTATGATTTCTTATCAGAAAAACTAAGTAGACATAGGACTATAGAATGTCAGGAAAAGCCAGTATGTGATTGTCAGAAAGTGCTGCTACAGCATTTCAAAGTAGGGAGAATTTGAAGTGTGTTAGAAAGCCACAAACCAGTTACCAGGTAGTAGTTACCAGGTGAGTAACTTGCTAAGGATTCTGAACTTTGGAAATAACCCTTGAGGACTGGTTATGGTTTGGGTAGATAGAACGGAGATAGAGTAACTTGAGCAAAGTTGTGGACGTTAAAAATAAGTTTATCTTGCTCTTGAAGCAGTAAAGAGACTGATGGAAAATAAAGTTATATTTTGAATACTTGATGGAGGTGTATAAGTTGTACCCTTTTTAAAGTGTATAATTTGGTGATTTCAGTATCTTCACAAAGTGGGCATCAGTCACCACTACCTAACTTCAGAACATTTCCATCACCCCAAAAAGAAACCCCATATCCATTAACAGTCACTCCCATTCCTCCTTACCCCAGCCCCTGGCAACCACCAATCTATTTTCTGTTTCTGTGGATTTGCCTATTCTGGACATTTCATATAAATGGAATCACCCAATATGTGGCCTTTTATGTCTGCCTTCTTTCACTTCACATGTTTTCAAAGTTCATTCATATTGTAGCATGTACTAGAACTTCATTATTTTAGGGCTAGATAATATTCTATTATATGATTATATTTTGTTTATCCATTTATCATCTCATGGACATTTTTGGACATGATTAATAATACTGCTGTGAGCATTTGTGTACACATTCTTGTGTGGACGTAGTTTCCATTTCTCTTCGGTATGTACCTGGAAGTGAAATTCCTGGGTCATATGGTAATCTATATTTAACTTTTTGAGGAACTGCAAAACTCTTTCCAAAGTTCTTACACCATTTTACATTTGTGCCACCAGAAATGAATGAGGGTTCCAATTTCTCTGCATCCTTGCCAACACTTGTTCTTGTCTGTCTTTTTTATTGTAGCCATCCTGGTGAGTTTAAAATGACTTGGAACTAGTGGCTAATGATGTTGAGCATCTTTTCATGTGCATATTTGCCACTCATATATCCTCTTTGGAGAAGCATCAGATCCTTTGCCTATTTTTAAATCAAGTCATTAGTCTTTTTTTTTTGAGATGGAGTCTTGCCCTGTTGCCCAGGCTGGAGTGCTAGTGGCACGATCTCAGCTTACTGCAACCTCTGCCTCCCAGGTTCAAGCGATTCTCCTGCCTTAGCCTCCCAAGTAGCTGGGATTACAGGCTCCCACCACCACACTTAGCTGGATTTTTGTATTTTTAGTAGAAACGGGGTTTCACCATGTTGGCCAGGCTGGTCTTGAACTCCTGACCTCAGGTGATCCACCCACCTTGGCCTCCCAAAGTGCTGGGATTACAGGCTTGAGCCTCCGCGCCTGGCCGTCATTAGTCTTTTTATTGATGAGTGGAAGAGTTCTTTATTCTGGATACAAGCTGTCCTTATCAGATAAATGATTTGCAAATATTTTCTCCCATTGTGTGGGTTGTCTTTTCACTTTACCTGATCTTCGTGGTTTATTGAATTAAATCCATTCTTTTGGTCATTATTTTTAAAACCCTATCTGTGCACTCCTTTTTAAAATTCCCTGTGTGTGCAGTCTTATTTTCATTCACAACAGTAATTTAGTTTTTTGCTAGGCTAGTCTCTTTTCTGTTAGCTTTCATTCCAGGTCCAATCCGTGTTTATTTCTGTTCTCCTGCCCATAATCTACCTCGCTCTCTCTCTGCCTTTGCAAATTTCTAGCCATTCCCTCTCTTAAGACCATCCCCTGTTGTTTCACTTCATACTGATATTCCTCTCTACTTTACTCATTTCATACGTACATGGTGGTTGTCCCACTAACATGATTTATGGCATTTAATTATGTGATGACTTTCATTGTTGCTTGATAACATAAACGTGTGAATCGTGTGAATTCATGTATGGAGATACATGAATCTCCTGATCTCCTGCTTAGAGGTCAGGAACTTTGTCCTTCTTTTTTGTTTCTCTCAGTGCCTACATGATAACTTCCAGTGCACACATGAGCTGTAATATAAACCCACACTTGAAAATGGGTATATCCATTTTCTCATTTTAGCTGAAACGTATTTGAAAGAACCATTTTTCTCATTTTAATCGAAATTCAGAAAAAGCAGACGACCTGGATTTTGTCCTGTAGGACCACATGAAGCAAATTGTCTTTAATTCTCAAAGCCGCATTCTCTGCTAGGAGTCGGGGCCATAATTACAATGGATTAGCTACTTTTGGTTCCCTGTCTAAATGGCTTTTACTATTTGCTTTAAAATACCCTGTAAAGAAATCATTAAATCCAGAATATTGAGAGAGCAAAATCAGTGGGCTCCAGATATTGCAAGCAGAGGGGAGGATATCTTCAAAAGTGTTTTGTCCAGTACTTTTATGAAGAAGTTCAGACTGATATTTTTGTTGTTTTTTACAGCCAAAACAAATTTCAAGAAAACATTGAGTTGTTTGGGTTAGTTTTTATAGTATCACTTCTCAGTAAGGAAATATGATTCATCTGTTGAGTCCTAAAACTATCCCAAATTTTAGATTATTGAGTCAAAAGACTCTAGATGGAAGATTGATATTTATATCTCATAGCAAAAAGAAAAAATAGCAATCTGCGAAGTCAGATTTCCCATCTCTGATTATAAAACTATATATTTTAATAACCCTTAACTGTTTATGGTAATACCTGCAGTTTCTTGACTTCATATTGCAGTTGCTATTCATCTGAATTGTGTTTGTTCATCCGTTAAATACTTACTAAGCTCCTGCTCTCTATGCCAGGAACACACAAATAAATAAATGTAAGACTATCTCTGCCCTAACAGAACTCCTAGCTTCATGGAGGAGACAAATGAGTCAGGAGAGAAATCCTAGCTGCATTCTTTTTTATATATCATAACATAAAATTGTATTTTATATTATACTATTGGTTACAAATATATTTTATAAATTAGGATATACTTCAGACAGCATTTTGATATTGTCTTGAAATGCAAATTTTAAGTGCAGACTGTTGGTAATTTATTTATTTATTTATTTATTTTGAGACAGAGTTTTGCTCTGTCGCCCAGGGTGGAGTACAGTGGCATGATCTCAGCTTACAGCAATCTCCACCTCCAAGGTTCAAGTGATTCTCCTGCCTCAGTCTCCCAAGTAGCTGGGATTACAGGTGCCCACCACCACGCCCAGCCAATTTTTGTATTTTTAGGAGAGATGGGGTTTCACCACGTTGGCCAGGCTGGTTTCGAACCCCTGACCTCAAGTGATCTGCCTGCCTCGGCCTCCCAAAGTGCTGGGATTATAGGTGTGAGCCGTCATGCCTGGCCTGTTGCCAATAATTTTAAATGCAAAATAACATTGTCTATATTTATAATTGGGTATTTCTTACATATGCTCACATCAACCTGAAGAAAATTAAAGTCAAGGTTTTTCTACAAAAAGTTATGCAGTCTGTATGTTCAGAGTGCATTTAGAATTGACATCTATCTCTCTCTTATTTTTCCTCTTTTCAGGGTTATTATATTATGCAGGACATGGTTATGAAAATTTTGGGAACAGCTTCATGGTCCCCGTTGATGCTCCAAATCCATATAGGTCTGAAAATTGTCTGTGTGTACAAAATATACTGAAATTGATGCAAGAAAAAGAAACTGGACTTAATGTGTTCTTATTGGATATGTGTAGGAAAAGGTAAGTTTTCTAATCTTTATTAAAGAATTGTTGGAGTTAAATATCGACCATGACAAACTAGAGAAACCTGTGAAATGCTAAAAGCCATTTGCGTTTGTGAATTTTAGTTTATACATTGAAACTGGAAGAACAAAACTAGAGGAAAATACATTTACTCCATGTATATCTAATTATTTTAACTCTTCATATTTGCTATAGAACACAAATGAAGAACTAAAGGGCATGGGCATTTACTCACACTACAGGGGATTCAACTCTCCAGAATGCCTTTAGATGACTTTAATAATCACTATAGTTATTCCCTCAGGAATTAACAAAACCAACACCCATGGAGTTGGGATCTCTGCTCACTAGTCAGTCCTGGTCTTCCAGACATGGAATGAGTAGCCGAAGCAGATGTTTGGAGGTTTGGATCCCATTTGTCTGCCATTGCCTTTCTAAGGAGTAGAACCAATGACTGTTCCTCTAGATTTACTATTTTTTTGCTTGCTCAGCATTTACCAATCAAAATCCAATGCCAGAGTTCAAATGCAACTCTAGTTTTAAAGCTAACAAGGAGTTAGTGGGTTATTTTGGGTAGATATGTAGCTACCTAGATGAAAAATTTTGAATCTATAATTTTAAATTATGTATTCTAAAAAACTGTTGTATTTTCTCATTATTTATACCCTTTTAAGAATGCTCTTTAACTTTTCATATTTCTATCTGCCCTCCTCCGCCTCCCTTAAATAGAAATGACTACGATGATACCATTCCAATCTTGGATGCACTAAAAGTCACCGCCAATATTGTGTTTGGATATGCCACGTAAGAACATTTGATGTTTACGTTGAAGTTTCCTTTATTGTTTGATGTCTTTTTGTTTTTGCTTTTTAGGAGCAGGGGTCTTAACTCTGTCACCCAGGCTGGAGTGCAGAGGCGCCATCATAGCTCACTGCTCCTGGGCTCAAGCGATCCTCCTGCCTCAGCCTTCTGAGTCGCTGGGATTACAGGCATGTGCCACTGTGCCTGGCCCCTGAGGGTTTTTTGATTATAGATTAGAGGCCTAGAAAATACCTATAGACATGTAGGCATAAATTTACCTCCTTGATATTCTGCGTAGAAAATTTTAAATGATCGACTTTAGCATTCCATATCATGGTATCTTAATTATTAAGCCCAAATTGGGCATGTAATTCCTGCTTAAAGATTAACTCTTTAATTATCAATGTCATGTGAGAGGCAGAAGAGAAAATGAAGCTTATTGGTGTATACAGAAGTCCCATGTGGCAAGTGTTTGCTTTTCTAACATTTTCTTTTTAAAAAATTATTTTTATTGGATATTGACAAGTTATAATTGTATGTATTTATGGGATACAAAGATATGCTATGATGTACGTATTCAATGTGGAATGATTGAATCAAGATAATTCACATATCACCTCAAATACTTATCTTTTTTCCTAACTGAAACATTGTACCCTGTGACTAACAGTCCCCACGCTGTCCCCACCCCCCCCCAGCCTCTGGTAACCACCATTCTGCTGGGTGCTTCTCTGAGTTCATTTTTATTAGCATCCACATATAAGTGAGAACATACAGTATTTGCCTTTCTGTGCCTGGCTTAACTTCTTTTTCTATTTTTAAGGTGTCAAGGAGCAGAAGCTTTTGAAATCCAGCATTCTGGATTGGCAAATGGAATCTTTATGAAATTTTTAAAAGACAGATTATTAGAAGATAAGAAAATCACTGTGTTACTGGATGAAGTTGCAGAAGGTAAAATAAAAAATAAAGAGAAAAGTACTCAGAAAAAGGAGAGCAGGGGAGACACACCTATTCAGGGTTCCCTCTCTGGTGATTGTTTTATTCTTATTATGTGGGTTTGGAATTAGTACCTACTTTATAAAACAATTTTTATATTAATATAACGTTCAGCAACACTTCTGCTATTTAATGTCATCTTTCCTTCCCTTTTGACCTAGCTCTCCACCATCTGTGCAGCATTACTCAGACTACAAGGCTAAGCCTCGGCACAGTCATTAATAAAGTTGAATTCTCAGAGCTCTACTTTGCTTCTATGCCCAGTGCCTTGGTACTGGCAAATCTCCCTATTTGAGGGTGGGTGGGTGGCATGGAGGGGTGGTGGGGAATTGTCCAGTGAGCAGTCTCTCCCAGGATGGGAGAGAGAAAACTTTACAGAAATTTTTAGACACTGCTGGGAAAAGCTGAGTTCATTTTTTTCCCTGATGAACTTAGTAGTTTTTAAATCCTGATTTAAGGATGTGATCCTAGGGGGTCTAATGCCACATCTTCCATTTCTATCTGTTCTCCCTGCCTGCTGGTATAATGCTGTGCATATGTCAGATGCTGAACAAGTACCTATTATTTCAGTAGATTGCACTGTGTTTTTTGAAAAAACATTTTATAAGCCATAGCAAAAAGAAGGTAACTTGGCCAGGTATGGTGGCTCAAGCCTGTAATCCCAGCACTTTGGGAAGCTGAGGCAGGAGGATCACTTAAGGCCAAGAGTTCAAGACCAGCCTAGGCAACATAGCGAGACCCTGTCTTCAAAATAAAAAATAAAAATAAAAAAGAAGAAATTATTTTACAAACTAGCACCACTAGAAAATGGAGTTTCATGGATGTTCCAGTGATGGCAGTTTGGGTATAAGGTGTTTGACCAACTGTCAGCCATATTTATTTTCATGTTTTTATCTGTGTAGCTATTTTAGATCACTTGACTTAGCCACTTTTCCATTTAACATAACCAGCCAGGGCTTTGGACTTCCTGCCACCCTCCCGCTTCATCCAGAGAAGTTCCACTTTTATTTGTTTTCTACATTAGGCTTCTTCTGAAGCTTACATTTGAAGGAAAGGCTCTGCTGCTTTAAAAAAAAAAAAAGAAAGAAAGAAAACCTTTGGATTATGTCAGTTATATTCAAACTGAGATCCAGTAAGGTGCTCCAGAAACTCTACAGTGTTTTATTTCAATTTCGTTTTTAAGTCCATTTTAACTATTTTAAAACTTAATAAAAAGCACCATGCTCACTCACATATGATATTTACCAAATTGTCATAGCAATGAATGGCATCCCGATATGTGCTGTGAGGATATTTGAACTTCTTATAAACATCTTAGACAGTTTTGCTTTTCGCTGATCTTTTTCAGTCCTACCATGTCTGCTTAACCAGAATTGCCCAGGCAGGAAGACCCTGTAGTGTACATGGAGCACACTCAGCTCAGTGCCGTGCACATTGTGCCCTTCGTGGGTAACGGCCCACTCATTGTACAAAATAAGTAAAGGCCTAATAGTATCATGATAAATAATACAGTTAAATCTAGCCCTTATTTTGAGTTTTGGATGCTTTGTGTCTGACCCCTGTCTTAGTAGTAAAGAGCAAAAGTAGTTGTATGAAATTTTTCACAAGTCATCCAATTTTGAAACAAAACTTTGCTGTTTCTCCCTTTGGATCTTCCAGATTACTTAATTGAAACTCATTCCATGGCTGGGCATGGTGGCTCACACCTGTAATCCCAGCACTTTGGGAGGCTGAGGTAGGAGGATTGCTTGAGCCCAGGAATTCAAGACCAGTCTGGGCAACACAGCAAGACCCCATCTCAATTTAAAAAAAAAATTATTTGGGGCCAGGTACAGTGGCTCATGCCTGTAATCCCAGCATTTGGGGAGGCTGAGGCAGGAGAATCACTTGAACACAGAAGTTTGAGACCAACCTAGGCAACATTGTCAGACCCCCCATCTCTATAAAAATTTAAAAAATTAGCCAGGCATTATGGTGTGCACCTGCAGTGCCAGCTACTCGCGAGACTTAGGTGGGAGGATTGCTCGAGCCTGGCAGTTTGAGACTGTAGTAAGTATGACCACACCACTGCTCTCCAGCATGTGTGACAGAGCAAGCCCCATCTCAAAAAAAAAAAAAAAGAAAATTCCAGAGGGAGAAAAGTATTCACAGATTATAAGCCAAGCAGTTGAAGGGGAAAATAAACATGTTACCAATTTCTTTTTTTAATTTTTTGGTTTCTTTGTGTGAGACTACAGAGTCTCTGTCGCGCAGGCTAGAGTGCAGTGGCATGATCTTGGCTTACTGCAACGTCCACCTCCCAGGTTCAAGTGATCC
The DNA here is from genome assembly GCF_000001405.40 of Homo sapiens. Classification (NCBI taxonomy): domain Eukaryota; kingdom Metazoa; phylum Chordata; class Mammalia; order Primates; family Hominidae; genus Homo; species Homo sapiens. The sequence goes on from NC_000018.10 coordinate 58,737,691, forward strand.
TCTTGCCGCAGCCTCCCAAGTAGCTGGGACTAAAGGCACACACCACCACGTCCGGCTAATTTTTGTATTTTTGGTAGAGATAGGGTTTCGCCATGTTGGCCAGGCCTGTCTCGAACTCCTGGCCTCAAGTGATCCACCGGCCTCAGCCTCCCAAAGTTCTGGGATTACAGACGTGAGCCACCACGCCCGGCCCACCTTACCAATTTCAACTGTGTGCAAGGAAAACAAAATATGAGGTAAATTGGTTGTTATAATGCTACAGCCATCAATCTGTAACGTGACTTTTATTTTTGTACTATTCAGGACAGCATTATTATTAGAAGTGTTGAACATACTACTGAAGGTTTTCATTGTGAGTAGATGTTCGATATGAATATAGGACCTTGAAGTAACCTACATCTAATTATAGGACCCCTCTTCTCCCTTCCCCCACTCCATGATAACTACCATTCTAAACTTATTCCTTTTTCGTTTTACATAGTTTTATTGAGTTTATATATACCCAAAAAAGTATGCGTAGTTTTGTTTTTAACTTCATAAAAAGGTATTATGCTCTATGTAGTCTTTTGGGACTAGATTTTTTTGGTTAATATTATGTTGCTAAGATTGATCCCTATTGTTGCATGACTGTAGTTTTTAACTGCTACGTAATATTCTGTTATGCAAACATACTACAGTTTTTTTCAACTACTCTCCTGTGTTGGTGAGCATTTGAGTTAGTTGTAGGTTTTTGCTATGTTAACAGTGCTATCATTAACAGTCTTGTGTATGTCTCCTGGAATATGTATGCATGAATTTCTTTGCAGTATAATTCTACAACTTGGAATTGCTGGGTCATAGGGTGTGACAGTATTCCATTTTGAGAGAGAATGCCAGACAGTTTTGTAAAGTGGTTGCCGAGTCTACACTTAACCCTACTCCCCACGGCCAGCAAGGGATAATGTGAATCTGTACTCTCTCCATCACTTGATAGTCAGACTTTTTTATTTTTGCCAAATGTTAAATAGTATCTCATGTGATATTGAACATTGTTCATATTTTTAATAGCTATATGTATATCTTATGTGAAACATCTTTTTATGTCATTTGTGCATTCTTCTGTGTGTGTGTGTGTGTGTGTGTTTTGGCTTATTGATTTAGAGGAATGTTGTATGTGTTCTTGATATAATACTAGCGAGGACCGCTAAGACACAATTGAATAGGTAGTTGTGGGCATCCTTGTCTTGTTTCTGACTTTAAAGGAAATACTGCTAATGTCTTCACATTTAGAATAATATTGTAAGTTTTTTTATTAACACTTTATCAGGTTAAGGAAGTTCTCTTAATTTTTTTGAAAATTTTTATTATGAATAAATGAACAAGATTAAATGGTTTTTCTGCAGCTATGAAGAAGAAAATAGGATGTTTCTTTTCTTTCAATTTCTTAATATGGTGAGTTAAATTTATAGATAGTCTAACATTAATCCAACTTGAGATAAATCACTTTCATTGGGATGTATATTTTTAATACACTACTAGATTTAATTTGCCATCATTCTGTTTAGAATTTTCATATCTATATTCATATGGGAAATGGGCCTGTAATTTTACTTTCTTATAGTATTTGGTTTAATTTTATGAGAAAATAAAATTAGTATTTAGTGGTATCAGTGTTATCAGTATCAGTGGCATACAGAGTATCAGTGTTATCTGATAGAATGTAGCGTAGGCCTTGTGGAATGAGATGGAGGACAACCAAGATGGTTGATTTTATGTCAACTTTTGCCAGGCCTCAGTGCCAAGATATTTAGTCCAGCATTATTCAAGATGTTTCTAGGTGATGGATCCAACATTATTCTGGATAAGATTAAAGTTTAAATTGATGGACTTTCAGTAAAGTAGATTGCTCTCCATAATGTGAATGGGCCTCATTCAGTTAGCTGAAGGCCTTAATGGAGCAAAGACTGACCTCCCACAAGCATGGAGTTTGCTAGCAGCCCGCCTCTGGGGCTCAAACTACAACTCTCCTCTGCATCCCCAGCCTGCCTGCCTGCAGGTTTCAGACTTGCACCGCCACAATTCATAAACCAATACCTTAAGTCAGTCCCTTCTTCTCACTGTCCCTCTATGTACACACATACACACACACACACACACACACGTGTACGTGTACACATGCGCCCATCTTGTTGGTACTGCTTCTCTGGAGAACTCTAATACAGAAGAAGTACACCCTGTTGTTTACTGGGAACTTTTGTATAAATTATGATCTGTTCCCTAATGTTTATGGTAGAACTTGCCTATAAACCAACCTGGGATTGGTATTTTTTTGGTAGAAGATTTTTAACCACTGGTTCAGTATCTTGAATATTTCTTGTACCATATAGGCTTTTCATTTCTTGAGTCAATTTTGATAAGTTATATTTTCCTAGGAATTTGGGCAGTTTTCAAATTCGTTGTCATTTAGTTGCTCATATTTCTAATAGTATTCTTTAATCTCTGCCTTATCCATAGTTATATATCCGTTTTCATCAGTATTACTTGTACTTACTTTCCTTTTTTATTTATTGCCAGCTTTTGCCAATTGTGCTATTTCATTTTGAAGAACCAATCTTTGACTCTGTTGATTTCTTCTACTTTTTCATTGTTTTCTACATCATTAACTTCTGCTGTTTATTTATGTCTTGCCTTGCATTTATTATTTCTTTTTCTAACATCATCGTAGTTATTCACTTTTAGCCTATTTTTTCCAATTTAAGTTTCTAAGGCTTTACATTTCTCTTAAAACATCACTTTCATCACACATCCTATAAGTTTAGGGATTTTTTTTAGTTGACTTTTTTTTTCTTTGACCTTTAAGTTATATAATATTATCTTTAATTTTCAAATATGGCAGGAATTTTCATTTCACTTTTTGCTTTTTATTTCTACCTTAATTGCTTTGTGATCGAATAATAGTCTGTCTAATTGCTATGCTTTGAAATTTGTGGAGGTTTTCATTATGGCCAAGTAAAAGATGAAATTTTGTAAATTTTGCATGTGTACTTGAGAAAAATGGATATTTTTGTAGTAACTGGTTGCAGAACTCTATGTATGCCCATTAGGTTTGGCGTATTAATTTTTATTGTTTTGTTCAGTTCTATATTTCTGCTGATTGTCTCTTTGATCAATAATTGAGATGTTGAAATCTCTCAATTTACCAAATTTTCTTGTAGTTCTAGCACTTTTTACTTCATATATAGTGACTATTTTCGTGTTTTAAATGTTTATATTTTCTTATTGAACCTTTATCATTATGTAGTGATGCCTCCATTTCAAATGCTTCTTCTCTTTTTGTATCATACTAACAGAGCCACACCAACTTCCTTTTTGTTGACCTAATATGCTATTTTTTACACTTTTACTTTCCTACTCTTAACCCCTAGGCTAGCCTGCTTCTCTACACTTTTACTTTCAAACATTTCATGTCATTCTGCTTTGCTGTAGCTTTTGGAGGCACCATATAACAGATTGTTTAAAATCCAATCTGATAATCTTGGTCTTTTAATGAGAAAATTTAGTTAATTTACATTTGTTATTTTTTGTACCTGTTTTAACCATCTAATTTTTTGATTTGGCTCATTTTCTTATCTTTTTTAAAAAAATTGTATTTATATCTTTTCTTCTCTAACAAATAATAATTTTAATGTACTCCTACAATACTTGGTATCTCCTTTTAACTCCCAACATGTTGATTTAACTTAGACTTAGTTCTGGATCACTATATAATTTTGTCTCTTTTTTTAAAAAAAAGAACCTTACTATTGTTAATTTATAACATAGTAGACAGAAGTAGGATAAACTATAACTTAAATAATATACTTCTAAATTTAAATTGATGTGTATCCATATACATTAGTCTATCTAAAACATGTTGAATGAAAATGGTACATTACAAAGACATACATAGAACATTTTTGTTGAATTCAAAAACCTAAAACATTGGCATATACTATTTATGAACACTTACACACATGAGTAAAAATTAAAACATGCCTGATATGTCTGGCACATAATAGGTGCTCAGGAAATATTTGTTGAGTGAATAAATGATACTGAGAATATAACCTGATAATGTAGGATAGTTCTTAGCCTAAATATTTAAAACATAAGAATTGGTGGTCTTAAAAATAATATTTATTTTCATATCTTTTAGATATGGGTAAGTGTCACCTTACCAAAGGCAAACAGGCTCTAGAGATTCGAAGTAGTTTATCTGAGAAGAGAGCACTTACTGATCCAATACAGGGAACAGAATATTCTGCTGAATCTCTTGTGCGGAATCTACAGTGGGCCAAGGCTCATGGTACGGTAAAGCCCATTTTTTGTTAGATCTACAATATACTTAACGTTAAATCATAAAGTTTCTTCTGAATAAATAACTTTCCTCCCAGTTTTACAGTGAAAATATTTTGGCCTACTAGGCAAATCTCAAACCAAACAAATATTTCAATTATGGATATTACACTGGCTTATTTGATTTAGAAATATCAAATTATTTAGCCCATTATTGTCACTATTGGTAAAATTTAAATGACCATTTAAAAATTTTTCTATTTTTAAAATAGGTTAAGTTTCCATTTGTCTAATACACAATCCTTTAGATTCTCCTATATTGTGACCTGTCGAAAATCATGGATTGGGTTCTGATCCAGTCTCTACCACTCTATGAACATGTTATCTATAACATGTAAATAAGAAATGGTACCTGCTTCAGGCTGGGTGTGGTCGCTCACGCCTGTAATCCTAGCACTTTGGGAGGCCAAGGCAGGTGGATCACCTGAGGTCAGGAGTTAGACACCAGCCTGGACAACATGGCAAAACCTCGTCTCTACTAAAAATACAAAAAGTTAGCGGGGTGTGGTGGCACGTGCCTGTAATCCCAACTACTAGGGTGGCTGAGGCAAGAGAATCTCTTGAACCTGAGAGGTGGAGGTTGCAGTGCAGTGAGCAGAGATTGTCCCACTGCACTCCAGTCTGGGCGACAGAGCGAGACTCTGTCTCGAAAAGAAAAAGAAATAGTACCTGCCTCATAGGTTATTGGGATTGAATGAGTGCATAGGTAGAAATGAGCATGGCACTCGACAAGTCCTCTGTACTTTTGATTATTCGTATAACTGAGCATCCTCTCTTGGACACTTGATCAGTAAGTTGAGTGATCAGCAGAGAAGATGACGTGAAAATCAATCTGTAGCTTAATTACCTTTTGGTAATTGTGTATGGTTTAATGAAAAAATAAGTTTAAATTACCAATTGAAATAATTTTGGATTTTCTGAGTCCAAGTATCTAGTCTGTGAGTCTCTTATAGATAATTGAAAAATAATTGTATTTAATGAACTTCTATAAAATATCTTTATTTTCATAAATAATAATTTTTGTTCTTGGCCAGGTGTGGTGGCTCACACCTGTAATCCCAGCACTTTGGGAGGCCAAGGTGGGTAGATCACCTGAGGTCAGGGGTTCAAGACCAGCCTGGCCAACATGGTGAAACTCCATCTCTACTAAAAATACAAAAAATTAGCTGGTCATGGTGGCAGGTGCCTGTAATCCCAGCTACTCTGGAGGCTGAGCCAGGAGAATCACTTGAACCTGGGAGTCGGAGTTTGCAGTAAGCTGAGGTCACGCCATTGCACTCCAGCCTGGGCAACAAGAGCAAAACTCAGTCTCAAAAAAAGAATTTATTCTCTAATACATATTTTTAGTAAATTAACATATTAAAGCACATTAAAATGTAAAATGCTATAAATATCTCACCATTCCAGATAACTGGATAAGTAATTGAATGTCTTTTCTCTAAAAAAGATCTAAACAACAAATAGCAAAATTACGGTGGTAAAGATCAACAATAAACGAAACTTCATAAAACAAAATGAAAAGGTCATATAGAAAATATTTGTAACAAATAAGAGAAAAAAAATTAAGACCCTCCTCAGTAAACAAGCAAATGATACAAATTCAACAATCCACACTGCTGGAAGTATAGAGAAAAATTTTTTAAATGGCTAATGTAAGTAATTAAGGAATAATTAAAACTGATGGTATCTTTCTGCTTTTTAATACCATCAAGTAGACAAATGTTTTAAAAATTAATACTCTGTTTTGGACATGTTATGCTGAAACTTTATATTCCATGCAAATTGAAAATAATTTGTCCCATATGTAAAGGAACAATCACATAGCTTTATCTATCTTAAAGCATTACGTATATATAAATATTAACTATGATAGAAAAACAATAAAACCCAGAGGTATTATAAATATTCAAGAGTTAACAGAATGGTTAAAGGTAACAAACTATAATGTGGCTGTTCAGTGACATTGTGCTTTATTAAAAATTCTGGTCATATAAATTGAGGCAACAGTGAAAATTTATCTACAATTGTATGCATATTTTTGATTGCCACAATAAAAATTATATATACAGTTGGATAAGAACTATAAACAAATGGTAAATGAAAGACTTTGTTTGGCCAGCAGAATAGTGAGCATTATTTTTTAAATTGTATGTGTTTAAACAATGTAAATCATGTTTTTAAGCAAAAGAAATGCTAACTATATTCTCCTCCATAAATATTTGCCTCTTATCATCAGAAAACCTACCAAAGTTGTTCTTATTGTTCTTTTTCAGAACTTCCAGAAAGTATGTGTCTTAAGTTTGACTGTGGTGTTCAGATTCAATTAGGATTTGCAGCTGAGTTTTCCAATGTCATGATCATCTATACAAGTATAGTTTACAAACCACCGGAGATAATAATGTGTGATGCCTACGTTACTGATTTTCCACTTGTGAGTCTCTTCTTTTATTTAAAATACAGTGATATATTCTCACTTATTAAAGACTAAATTTTTTAAAACTTAAAGTTGATGGTAAATATAAAGGAAATATATATATTTATATATGTGTATATATTTATAGTTTAGTAACACTGATCATAATATTTACTAATTGCCAAAATACCTTAAGTTTATGAGATTTAGAAATGTCTAAAGTTCACTCAGGAAGGATGCCTCTAATTTCTTATATCCTAAACACGAGAGCCAATGTGAAGGAATAAAATGTGCTATAAATATGTCAAGAATAATTTCCTTTTAAACAGTTATAACTTATATTGGAAACAGTAGTTTTTAAGTCTTGTTAAGGTATGGTCATATGCTGGAATAATAGAAATCTAGTTCTGCTCTTTTCAAACATTTAGGTTTGATAGTTATTTTACGTTGGTCTAAAGAAGCCAGTAAATAGTACCCCTCTTTCCTACATGAGTGTGACAAACTGAGAAGCAAGCAAGGAGTAAGACAAGCAGAAACCCAAAATATCACTTTGATTACTGATAGAGGCTTTGTGGAGGATATTGCTTCATGTCAGAGTAAATGGTCTAGCACCAAACCCCAGAATTGAGTGGCCACCCCACACCTCCAGTCTCAGCAGTACGGAGCCCAGATAGGCTTCCTGAGGTACTGAGCAAGCTGGGGGCCTGTGGGCTTCTCACTGGAGCAGCAGAACCCTTACTCTTGGCCATTGGGTTGGCTCTAAAAGAAGAAAAAGGAAAAGGCTGTTTATTTATCCTTCTTAAATATTCTAATCATATAAATTTCCCTGCACCTTCCCAAAAGTGATGATTAAGAGGAGAGAATCCAGGAGTCAAACACTAATGGGGCTCTCTCTGCTTAAGAGGAAACTTGAGTAGCTCAAGAAGCATTTCTAGGAATCATTTGAAAGGAAGCTCTTTCAGAGCTCACTTTACTTTTTAGATGGCTTAGTACAGAATTGAGAATTCCTATTATAACCATAGATTGTTGTTTTCATTGTTTAGTCCTGGATAATTTTGGGATTACCAAAATTCACGAGAGGCCAGAATTCACGAGAGGATAGTATCAGTTAAGATGTCTTATGTACTAGATTATATTGTGGCTTTCATTGATTTCATTATTAACAGTCCCTAATTTTTTTTTTTACAGGATCTAGATATTGATCCAAAAGATGCAAATAAAGGCACACCTGAAGAAACTGGCAGCTACTTGGTATCAAAGGATCTTCCCAAGCATTGCCTCTATACCAGACTCAGTTCACTGCAAAAATTAAAGGTTACTACCTTTTCTGTTTATAGCTACTAATGGAAAACTTTATGAAACTGGAAACTTATTTTGGCATAGACCATAGATATGCTGCCTTATTATTAAAGTAGAGATAACCAGTCTACAGAAGGTCCTATCAGTGACCCTTTTTATATTCTGTTTCCGATGGTGACCAGAGGACTTTATGTGTGCTTACCCTCCAGAATGCTAAAAAATTAGTAACATTAGAGTATATTCTTTTTTCTTTTTTTAGAGACAGAGTCTTAACTCTGTCACCCAGGCTGGAGTGCAGTGGCATGAACATGACCTACTATAACCTCAAACTCCTCAGTGCATATGATCCTGCCACCTCAGCTTCCCAAGTATCTGAGTCTACAGGCACATGCCACTACACCCAGCTAATTTTTTAAAACTTTTTGTGGAGAAGGGATCTCACTATATTGCCCAGGCCAATCTCAAACTCCTGGCCTCAAGAATCCTCCCTTCTTGGTCTCCCAAAGCACTCGGAGTACAGGTGTGAGCTTCCACTCCCAGCTCCATATTCTACTTTTAAATATGTTCAGATTTTCAAGTAATCATTTCCTAGTTCTATGACTAGACATATAGCAAATTAGAATTTTTTTTCCATTTTTTTATTTCTAGTTGACTTACAAATGAGAAGCTAGTTCTGCACATTGAGTGTTCTAATGAAAGCTTTTAATTTGTTCACAACTACATGACCATAGAATGTATCAGCTAAAACTCAGGGAATGGAATGGGCATGATTGAGAATTACACACATAAACCTGTTGTCATCCTGTTCGGAGCTCATCTACTTAAAATCCTTTCTTCTCTTAAAAAGTTAGCCCATTATCTGATTCAGTTATATTTTCCACCTACGATTATGGATTACTATAATATTTTAAAAACAGCTTAAGCTTTTTTTATAAAACTGGTATAAAACCAGGTTTTTTTTTTTGTTTTGAGATGGTGTCTCTCTCTGTCGCCTAGGTTGGAATGCAGTGGCGCGATCTCAGCTCACTGCAACCTCCACCTCCCAGACTCAAGTGATTCTTGTGCCTCAGCCTCCCGAGTAGCCAGGACTACAGGCGCACACCACCATGCCCAGTTAATTTTTTGTATTTTTAGTAGAGACAGGTTTCACCACGTTGGCCAGACTGGTCTTGAACTCCTAACTTCAAGTGATCCATCTGCGTCATCCTCCCAAAGTGCTGGGATTATAGGCGTGAGCCACCACGCCGGGCCCAGATCATTTTTTAATTAAAAGTTAATACCCCATCTCTAATAATAGGGAAGGGTAAGTTTCCTAAGCTGCACTGCTTGGAAAATGTTTTCCCTGTTCATCTAGAGTGTAAGAAAGATCTCTTTGACTTTGACTACTAACAGTAGTAAGAACTAGAAATTCTAAATGGGTTGTAAGTATTGCATGAAGGAAAAGGAAGATAATGATAGCTGGCGTTTCTCAGTTTCAGGGAGATATAAAGGATGCCTTGAGGATTTGGAACCTGGGAAAGGAGAGTGAGTGGATTTTTGGGGGTGGGGGTGTGTATGTGTGAATATTTTCAGATTGATATATATTCACTGTTGATGCCAATAATAAACCAGATTTTTTTCCTTTTCAGGAACATCTAGTCTTCACAGTATGTTTATCATATCAGTACTCAGGATTGGAAGATACTGTAGAGGACAAGCAGGAAGTGAATGTTGGGAAACCTCTCATTGCTAAATTAGACATGCATCGAGGTTTGGGAAGGAAGACTTGCTTTCAAACTTGTCTTATGTCTAATGGTCCTTACCAGAGTTCTGCAGCCACCTCAGGAGGAGCAGGGCATTATCACTCATTGCAAGACCCATTCCATGGTGTTTACCATTCACATCCTGGTAATCCAAGTAATGTTACACCAGCAGATAGCTGTCATTGCAGCCGGACTCCAGATGCATTTATTTCAAGTTTCGCTCACCATGCTTCATGTCATTTTAGTAGAAGTAATGTGCCAGTAGAGACAACTGATGAAATACCATTTAGTTTCTCTGACAGGCTCAGAATTTCTGAAAAATGACCTCCTTGTTTTTGAAAGTTAGCATAATTTTAGATGCCTGTGAAATAGTACTGCACTTACATAAAGTGAGACATTGTGAAAAGGCAAATTTGTATATGTAGAGAAAGAATAGTAGTAACTGTTTCATAGCAAACTTCAGGACTTTGAGATGTTGAAATTACATTATTTAATTACAGACTTCCTCTTTCTAAGATTTTGTGAATTGGTTGAATAGTTCTATACAAATGAAGTATGGAGGTGTGTATGTTTATATGTATATAACAAAATATTTTCATTGTGACCACTCTGAAGTAAGAGCAATGGGAATGGCATTATTGTAGAATAAGTCATTGTATTTTTAACACCAGAAAGAACCTTGCCGATCACCAGGCATAACCTAATTTTATCCATGGAAGAAACACAGAAAGGCATCTAAGTTAGAGCTGGCACCAGAACTGAGACCTCCAGAAATCTATTCCAGTATTTTTTCCACTACACAACTGCCTTCCTGACAGGTTCTGAGATAAGTGTTATGTTTGTAGATAGAGTGAAATATATTTATATATATATAAATATATACAGATACATATCTGTGTATTATCTCAAGGAATGTACAAACTTTAGTTTTTGATTATAAGGACTTCACTGCAAGTTTTAGTTAAGAGGTTTGTATATAAATCTGTTATAGAACAGGCTGAAATTTCTTGTTCATAAGATTATGAAACCACATGAGAAGTGATAAAATGTTTGTTAAAGCTAGATAGAGGTTAAGAATCAAGATATAATGGATAATTTTCATAGCTGCCTATCAGAATTTCCCAAATATTTAGCATCTTCCTTGATAATATGTATTTTCTTCTTGAATTTCACTGGCCTAATGAGATAATACTCTTATCTTTGGCTCTACCTAAAAGTTGGTTAAAAATGCAATTGGCATTAACAAGGAAAAATACTGAATTAGTAATTTTAAAAGTCTCACAAAGAAAATCCCAGGCCTAGATGGCTGCATTGTTGAATTCTGCCAAACATTAAAATTAGCACTAATTTTTTGCACACTGTTTCTAAAAGTAGGAGAGGAAAGAACACTTCCCAACTTACTCTAGGTCAGTATTACCCTGATACTAGACTAGACATCACAAGAAAACTATAAGCCAATATTCCTTATTAATACAAACACAAAAATCATTAACAAAAATATTAGCAAACTGAATCCAGCAACCTATAAAAAGGATTCTATATCATGACCAAGTGGAATTTATCCCAGGAATTCAAGGTTGGTTCAACATCTAAAAATCAAATAAGCTAATATACAGTCAGTTCTCATTATTCACAGTAATTATGTTCTACAGAATATTCTCCCATAAACACTGAATTAAATATGGAACAACTGCTTTTAGGAGAAAGTGTATTTGTGTATATGTGTGTATACATATGTTTATCTCACACACATTATGAGCTTGAATTCTTAATTCATCCTAGCAAATTCTACCTTATTTTACAGAAGTGAAAGTGAGGTATCAGAAGTGTTAAGTGACATGCCTGAGGCACCCCCCTAACAGGTGTCAGAGCTGAAATTCAAACCCCATCCAGCTGGCCCCGGAGCCAGAGCTTCTTGTACTACACAGAATTGCCCCTGCCATTTCCACCCTCCAGTCATTTCTCTATGAGACTGAAGCAGGAAGGCAGAGCATCATCTTGTTCAGCCTCAGCTGGGAACATGTGTACTGGGTGACTCAAATTTTTCACCCATTTACACATATCCACAAATGACTGCAAAAGTGCCACGGATATCAATTTGAGGGTTATAAATTTTAGCAAGTTGGTAAATTCACAAATACATAACCTTGAATAATGAGGATCAACTGTACCATATTTAATAAAGCACAAAACCCACACAGATTGTCTTATTACAGCATTTGATAAAATCCAAAACTCTTTCATAAAAACACTCAACAAACTTAGGAATAAAAGGAATCTTCCTAGATATGATAAATATAACATCTATGAAAAGCCCACACCTAACATTATACTTCATGGTGATAGACTGAAGGCTGAATGTTTTCCCCTTAAGATTGGGAAGAAGGACAAGGATGTTCACTCGGCACTACTTCTATTCAGCATTGTACTTGAAGTTCTAGCCACAGCAGTTAGGTTAGGAATTCAAGGTTTGTTCAACATCTAAAAATCAAATAAGCTAATAAAGAAAAGAGGTTTATACTGCAAAAGAAGTGAAACTATATGTATTCACAGTTGATACATAGTTGTATATAGAAAATGCTAAAGAATCCATAAAAAGTAATAAATGAGTTCAACAGGTTGCAGGATACAAGATCAGTTTTATTTCTCTACTAACAGCAAACATTCTGAAAATGAGAATAAAGAAATCCTATATACAGTAGCATCAAGAATAAAACTCCAACACGTTTAAAGAAATTAAGATCCAGATAAATGGAAAGACATCCATGTTCATGGATTGGAAGACTGAATATTGGTAAGATGGCAATGCTGCCCAAATTAGTCTACATATTCAACAATTCCTATCAAAATCCTAGCTGTATTTTTTGCAGAAATTGACAAACTGGTAAAATTGGTAGGGAAACGCAGGGGACCCAGAATAGCCAAAAAACCTTGGAAAAGAACAAAGTTGGAAGACGTACCAATTTCAAAAAGTGCTACCAAGCTACAATAAGACAGTGTAGGCATATGGATAGACATATCGATCAGAGGAATGGAACTGAACATCCAGAAATAAACCCATACATTTCTGGTCAACTTGTTTTCAACAAGGATGCCAATACCATCAATAGAGAAGGAGTGGTCTTTTCAACAAACGGTGCTGGGACAACTAACTGGTAGCTACGTGCACAGCAAAAGGATCCCTACCTTCCTACCACATTACAAATTCTAACTCAAAATGGATCATAGACCTCAATATAAGAGTTTAAACTCTTAGAAGAAAACAGAAGTAAATCTTTGTGATGTTGGGCTTAGGAATGGTTTCTTAGACATAATACCAAAAGCACAAGCAACAAAGGCAAACAGTAGATAAATGGGACTTCATCAAAATTAACTTTAGCGCCTTAAAGGACACCATTAAGAAAGTGAAGTTAACCCTCAGAATGGGAGAAAAATTTTTGAAAAATCATGTATCTGATAAAAAAACAAACAAACATGCAGGTGCTCAGCTGTGGTTACCACCGAGCAGCACTGTCCAGTGAACTTGCTGTGATGATGGGATGCTTGGTATCCGCACTCCCAGTGTGATAGCCTTTAGCCTCATGGGGTTGTTGAGCAGTTGAAATAATAGCTAGTGTGAGGAACTGAACATAAAATTTTAGTTTTAGGATGGGTGTGGTGGCTCACGCCTATAATCTCAGCACTTTGGGAGGCCAATGAAGGCGGATCACTTGAGCCCAGGAGTTCAAGACCAGCTTGACCAAGATGGCAAAACCCTGTCTCTATTAAAAATACAAAAAAATTAGCTGGGCATGGTGGCACACACCTGTAATCCCAGCTACTAGGGAGGCTGAGGCAGGAGAATCGTACTTCCCCTTTATACTCTTCTGTATATTTGATTTTTTTTTTTTTAAGACAGAGTCCTGGCTCTGTCGCCCAGGCTGGAGTGCAGCGACATAGTCTCAGCTCACTGCAGCATCCGTGGAGGCTGAAACAGGAGAATCGCATGAATTTTTTAAAAAATCTAAACATGTAATTTTAAAACGGGCTTAAGAAGAATGATAACAGTTTTGGTCTTCTTTTTTATCAACCATGCTTTTATTTTACTTGAATCTCGTGCCAATTGCTTTGTAATATTAAAGTAGGATTTACACAAGTGGAATTTAGAAAAGATGATAATCTATCAAATCTGTCAATACCAATTAGAATGTAATAAAGAAATTAGGATAGTGGAGGTTTGAGCAAGTAAAGGCTCACCCAAATTCAAAGCCAATACTTGATGCTGAGAGGGGATATTTTCTGGAAGGTAATTTTTAAAAATTAAAGTCACAATTATAAATTGTATATTTCCTAATAAAAGAAATCTCAACTCATGGGACAATTTGAATTTAAAACACTATTGTTCCTCATTCAGTGATGAACAAGTCAAAACGTTTCAGAAAAGAAAGCCTTTAAAGAAGAATCCTGGCACAGAAAAGGTCCATTTAGACATTGCCTTCTTCCCCCATCTCTAATGCCTCTTTTCAAATCTCTGACTTGCACATGAAGTAACAGTGAGGTGTCCTGTGCAGCAGTCGCAATTTTTTGACTTGTCAAATTGAAGAAATTCAATTATGTAGCCAGAGCTTAGATCACTGACATGTATACTGGCATAAGCTTTTTTTTGTTTGTTTTTAATTTTATTAGAAGTGGGATCTCATTTTGTTGCCCATGCTGGTCTCAAACACCTGTCTTCAAGTGATCCTCCTGCCTCAGCAGCATCAGTTTAATATCTAGATAAAATCTGATGTATGTAATTTTACTTTTAAGGGTTTTTTTCCAAACAGACGTCCTGACAATGTTGTTTCCTATTCCTTGAACATTCACCTGACGCTTATATACTGTCATTACTTTTATCTGTCAACTGATGTCAGCTACTCAATTTACACATTACTTTTGTGCATTTCATCCTGTTTCTCAGTTTGACATTGTCATTCAAATTCAGAGTTTGACACTGAAACCCTGGGCATGGTGGCTCACACCTGTAATCCCAGCACTTCGGGAGACTGCGGTAAGCAGATCATTTGAACCCAGGAGTTTGAGACTAGCCTTGGCAACATGGTGAAACCCCATCTCTACCAAAAAAAAAAAAAAAAAAAAAGCAAAAACAAAAATTAACTGGGCATAGTTGCACACACCTGTAGTCCCAGCTACTCAGGAGGCTGAAGTGGGACGATCGCTTGAGCCCAGAAGGCAGAGGTTACGGTGAGTAGAGATTGTGCCACTGCACTCCAGCCTGGACGACAGGGCAAGACGCTGTCTCAAAAATAAAATATTAGTAAAGAAGAGTACAATCAGAATATGAAAATGTGTAAATGTGCATATTCTCTTTTTTTCTAATTTGGTAGCATTAAAAATACTTAAGCATCAAAGTTTGGCTTTATGAAGAAGGAGTCTGAGACACCTCAGGTTTCAGCCCTTACTAATAGCGTGGCTCAAAGAGCGTTAACTTGCCTGTGCTTCTGTTTCCTTATCTGTAAAATGGGGATGATGCTGTAACATCAAAGAGCTTATAATACTTTCCAGAGCTGGCAGTACTAAATAAGACCATTCCTCTAAAGTGCCAGCATTTTGAAAAGCATCAACCCATCAACCTTGTGCTTTAAATCTGGCATTCTTAAAGCTATACCTGTAGGCAGTATAGAGTGTTTTTTTTTATTTGTTTTTTTGTTGTTGTCTTTTGAGTCTCACTCTGTCTCCCAGGCTGTAGTGCAGTGGCACGTCTTGGTTCGCCGCAACCTCCGCCTCCCAGGTTCAAGCGATTCTCGTGCCTCAGCCCCCCGCATAGCTGGCATTACAGGCACACACCACCACGCCCAGCTAATTTTTGTAGTTTTAGTAGTATCTACTAAAATAAACAGGGTTTCACCATGTTGGCCAGGCTGGTCTCAAACTCCTGACCTCAAGTGATCTGCCTGCCTCGGCCTCCCAAAGTGCTGGGATTACAGGCGTGAGTCACCATGCCCGGCCGGCAGTGTATATCTTCTAAAGTTGCAATTTTTGTTCACTCCAGAATCACTTTTCAAAAAGCATGCAGATTTAATGCCACCAGTTTGTGTTATGTATCTATCCCGCAAAACAGCTCTAAAGGTGATTTACTAAAAGATTAACAGCATTTATCTCTGGTGGGATAATTTTTCTTTGCTTGTTTACCTGTGTCTTGCAGATTTTACACAGTGAACAATGACTGTATAATTTTAAAATACAGATATGCACAATTGTGTAATGTAAATATGCTCAGCTTCAATACATTTAAGAACACATTTTTAACTTTTCGTAAGGAGTCTTCAGTTTAAAAGTACAGTGTCATTACAGAGTGCTTATTCTGTTACAAAATTAGTAAAGCTGATTCTGCCTCTAAATCTGAAGTAATTCCCACTTTTTTTCATGCTTGAGTTTAGTTGATAAATAGCATTTTAGATACTAAAAATGATTGGATGAGTATTTCTACATTAATAAGTTGCTAATTAGGCACCAGGGTAGCAGATAGAATGCCTTTCTGTGTGCTAGGTTTAAACATTTTACACACAGTCTTATTTAAAACAGCCTTGCAGTTTATAGATGAACTGATTGTTAGGCTAACCAGAGGTGTTACTATACCCTCCAGGATAACCCAGCTAGTAAGGGCAGAGCCAGGATGATTCAGACCCAGACCAGAGCCGGGTGTTTTGTCCACAGTACTGCTGCTGCTTATACCGTAACGGGAAAAGTACACAACAGTGTCTTAATATTTCATTCTTCCATGAAAAACACTTTTAAAATATTGAAACATTATAGGAGCAGAAGTACATCTCTAAATATACTTTTAGGTCACATTGAAAACATTTCCAAAGGATTTGACCTGAAGTTAATGTTGCTACATTATGCTCAATACAGCAGGCTGTTCTGCTAGGGAAATTGTTAATATTTTAAAAATATTTTCCTAAGCTTTAGCTTTACCACTTCCAAGTCTGTACAGACTGGTTATTTCTACATTACAAAGACAGTGACTCCCTCAAAGGCTGACAGTTTTTATAGTCTGTGTTTATAACATACACATCTATTCTTGCCAGATGTGGGTTCCTACATTGCCATCTAACCTCAGCATCCTTTATGTTATGCTCCAACTTGGGTAAGCGGCTTTGTTTCCTTCCCAATCTCCTGGTCAGACAGTTGACCTCACATCTTTGTCTAGTGGTTTTCAAACGTCAGAGTAGCCCCTTGTTGGAGCGGCAGCCTTGGGGTTCCCCACTGTTTTCCACATTGCCTTTCCAAGTAAGCTTTGGTCTGCGTTAAACCCCGCTGTTTGCTTTGATATTCTCCCCCCACACAGCCGTACCCCACACCAGCTGGGCGCCTTTGGGAGACCGCAGCCCTTAGAAAAGGGGAAGAAAAGCCTCCTGACTGCACAGTGAGGGCTGGAGGCGTCTGGCCTGGAGGGAGTCCAGGCCACTGGACTCCACACTGTCAGCCAGTGTGAGCTGCTGGTGACAGGGAAAGGCCATGTGAGCAGGTCCTGACCTGCAGTTCGGGCCCCTGGAGCAAACAGCACCAAACTTGGCCCCCAGATCAGCTTTGTCATTCAAGATGTGGCTTGCTAGCAGGTGTTATTAACAAGGCGAAGCACCATGTGGTATCTTCCCATTGGAATCAGTTGTTATTGCTAACTAGGTATTAAGTGTCTGAAAACCTGATTTTGTACTTTGGCATCACCTGGCCCAGTTATAGCTTTGTGGGGGATACAGTTTCAAGGTGTGCAGTGGCACTCTCACCTGCAAGGGAGAAGTGTGCTTGTTGGGGGAAGGTCAGATAGGGGGTACACAGGGCTGGCATGCTAAGACACGCTCTTCCTGGAAGTATACGTGCAGAAAGCCACATCATAGTCCAAGGCTTTATGAGCACAAAAGGAACACGGGGTGGGGCGGGGAGGGGATCGTCTAGATGAACCTGATGGTTAATGACAGCAGGCTAAGATGAGCCAAATGTCCCTCTCATTGGCCAGCCTTGCCAGTGAGGCTGAATGCTTCCAAGCTAAGAGTCTCTCTGTCCTGGACAGCACTTACAGGACCCTGCCAATGTCTGCTGCCCGAGGTGCTTTCTGACAGTTTGCTGTAGCTACAATAATCCATTTACTCAGCTCGCAGACTTGCCTTGGAGCCATTCTAGCTGTGTAAGCTGACTTCACACCCAGGCCTGACCCACGATGTGACTCGCAAAATTACCTTTTCCGGCATTTTCGTGTCCTGGCCCCTTGTTAGCAGCACGTGACCAACACTGGCCACCAAGGCCCAAGCTAGACTGGCCAACAGAGAGTGGAGGGCTGAGGGCTGAGGAGACCACAACCATTATTAGATAGGATTGATTCTGCCTGTAGACTGAAAAGAACATCACCAAATGATGTCGAGAAGGAGGATAAGGAAGACCATTCCATGATGCTCTGCTCGGCCGAGCTACCCTGGAGGCAGGCCCCTGCTGAGGAGAGGCAGGAGAAGGGATGTCTTCAGGTGAGCCAATGGGAGCAGCTGGCTTTCAAAATGCCACTTAAAAGGGAGGCTGGCTATTGGCCTACACTGCACAGAAGCTTCCTGACCAGATGCCACAGGGCCTGGGGTCACCAGTAAGCCTAGAGCTGAGACTCCCTGAGCCCATCTCCAAATACATAATCCGAGTGGGGCTGTGAGAGGACAGTGGGGCAGTGCGGGACCTACTCCTGGAGGACTCACCCGCTCCCCAAAGGGTATGTGATCCATGCCCCAGGCCAGTGCTGCTGGCTGAATGTGAGGAAGCTTGGACTCCATTCCTCAGGAGCCCAGGCACTTCAGCAGGAAGGCTGGGGACCTCTGGGGCCAGCACTAGGGGCAGAGCAACAGACGAGACTAGAGGGCAGAGGGCACGTGGGAGCTAAGCCTGGGGAGATGGACACCAATGCTCAGGTGAGCGGCCCTAGCTGGCAGCACTTTGTGTGTTTCGGCACGCATCGTTGCTGGGAGGAGTAAGCACTGGCCGTGCAACTCCACCAGGGGAGGATGATGGAGGGGGTGCCTGGTCTCTCCTGGCCTCTGTGCACGTGGCTCTTCCCTTGCTGATTGGAGTCAATGCCTTTCACTGTGATAAACCATAACCATGAGTGTTATGGCTTCTCTGAGTTCTGAGTTGTTCTCGTGAATTAATGAACCTGATCTTCCAGTGGAATGGGGTGGGCGGGAACCAGATTGGCTCGTGATGGCCTGTGATGTCCTAGAATAGCCAGGTCACAGGTGGGACTTCTCATTCAGGGAAGGTGATGAGCCCACAAAGCTGGGTCCAACCCAAAGGCTTCAGGGGCAAGTCTGCCACCCCAGCCAGCATTGGGTTTCTCCAAGTCCCTCTCCTTTCGGGGCTGTGTTATTTACCAATTCCTAAAGGGGACCTCAGAGACTAGCTCACAGGCCATCTCTCTCACTGCATCCTCCCTGGTCCCCTCAACAGGAAGCCACCTAGAGACAGAGAACAGTGCTTTCTGTGTGCATTTCACCCAAAAACGCACACAGAACGGAGACTAAACCATGTGTTGGCATGAATGACTCCTGACAATGACCCCGGATTGCACCAGCCAGACTGGGCTCATCACCTTCCCTGAATGAGAAGGCCCACCTCTGACCTGGCTACTCTAGGACATCACAGGCCATCATGAGCCAATCTGGTTCCCGCCCACCCCATTCCACTGGAAGATCAGGTTCATTAATTCACGAGAACAACTCAGAACTTAGAGAAGCCATAACACTCATGGTTATGGTTTATCACAGTGAAAGGCATAAACTCCAATCAGCAAGGGAAGAGCCACGTGCACAGAGGCCAGGAGAGACCAGGCACCCCCTCCATCATCCTCCCCTGGTGGAGTTGCACGGCCAGTGCTTACTCCTCCCAGCAACGATGCGTGCCGAAACACACAAAGTGCTGCCAGCTAGGGCCGCTCACCTGAGCATTGGTGTCCAAGGTTTCTACTAGGGGCTGGTCACCCAGACATGGCTGGCCGCCCAGTTGGCTGATCCTGGTTTCCAGCCCCTGCAGAGGTCAAGCTGATACCACTTGGTCCAAGGGCCCCCCATAGGTCACATTGTTAGCAGAGACTATCTGGTGGGGCCCAAGGCCCCCAGGTAAATAAACGCACTCTTATCAGGGAGGCAATTCCAAGGGCTTAGAGGTTGCCTCCTGGGAGCTGGGGATAAGGGCCAAACCTCTCCTTGTTGAAGGTTAATCATGACTGCACCCCAGGACACTTGAGTTTCTCTCACTCTGGAGTATCATGCCTGCTGTTGACTGCCTGGAATGCCTTCCTCACTTTGTCAGAGGCATTTGAACCAGAGTGACTCCATCTTGAATAGGGGCTGCATTCAGGAGGTTAGGCCTTCTCAGTCACAGGATGAGATAGGAGGTTGGCAGGACTGGCATCACAAGATACAGGTCACAAAGACCATGCCAATAAAACAGGATGCAGTAAAGAGGCCAGCCAAAACCCACCAAGACCAAGATGGTGATGAAAGTCACCTCTGATCATCCTCACTGCTACTTATTTGCTAATTATAATGCATTAGTATGCTAAAAGGCACTCCCACCAGCATCATGACAGTTTACAGATGCCATGCGATGTCCAGAAGTTACCCTATGTAGTCTAAAAAGGGGAGGGACCCTCAGTTCCAGGAAATCACTTTCCCAGAAAACTCATGAACAACCCCCCCCGGTTTTGCATATGATCAATAAGTAACCATGAATATACTCCGTCCAGCAGCCCATGCCACACCTCTGCCTATGGAGTAACTACTCTCATTCCTTTACTTTCTTAATAAACTCCTTTGATAAACTTTATGGACTCACCCTGAATTCTTTTGTGCACAAGATCCAAGAACACTCTCTTGGGGTCTGGATCAAGACCTCCTTCCAGTAAAAACTTTGCCAGGCTCACCCCTCTTCTTTCTTCAAATTGTACCTTAAGTGACACATCCTTCAGAAAAACTTACTGCTCAGCCTCCAAATTGGATAAAATTCCCCTTTGCACATTCCCAGGGAGCCTCGGCTTGCCCCATCAGGGGCCCTATCCCTCAGCACTGCACCACCTCTCCTTGTCCTCCTTTCCAGCATCAGGCAGACTCTGCAGGGCACGCCCAAGAGCTGGAGCTTAAGCTCTCTCCTTGGAGTCCCAGTCTCTTTCCCACTACACTCATCTCAGCAGACGACCACTCAGCTCACTCCATGGAGACACAGAGGCCATAGGAGCCCACGCCCCGTTCCCGTCCCCAGCCTCCATGCTCTCTCGTTCCCACCCCACTCTGCGCCCCCACCAAGCTCAGAGTTCCAGATACTTCTCCAGGGCTGAGCTTCACATGAGATCCCATCTCCTCTGTCAGCCTCTGGGTTTTTACCCATCTGTTGCCAAATTCACCCAGGATGCCAAATTCATAGAAGCACTCCCTAAGGACCTGCCCCTGCTCGCTCATCCGTGGGGCTCACATTGTCCTCCCTTTCTGATATATACAGCCTCTCCCTGGACACTGGCTTCTTGACCAGAGGCTACAACATCACCCCACAAGGCATTTCTCAATCCCGGGTGCCCTCTTCAACTCTCCCTCATTCTCTCCCACACTACTCAATAACACCACCTACACCCACATCTCCATTCCTTCACATCCTGTTCATGCCTCAGTCTCCCAATCCAACCTCAATTATGAGATGAATGAAAAATGGAGAATGCTTTTTTTTGAGATGGAGTCTCGCTCTGTTGCGAGGCTGGAGTGCAGTGGCATGATCTCAGCTCACTGCAACCTCCACCTTCCAGGTTCAAGCGACTCTCCTGCCTCAGCCTCCCAAGTAGCTGGGATTACAGGCGTGCGCCACCATGCCCAGCTAATTTTTGTATTTTTAGTAGAGACGGGGTTTCACCACATTGGCCAGGCTGATCTCAAACTCCTGGGTTCAGGTGATCCACCTGCCTTGGCCTCCCAAAGTGCTGGGATTACAGGCATGAGCCACCATGCCCGGCTGAAGAATGCCTTTTTGTTTGTTCAGTGTATGGCGGCTACAATCTACTTTGAGATACTTCAGACCTTTTTAAAGAATGAATTCCTGGCTGGGCGCAGTGGCTCATGCCTGTAATCCCAGCACTTTGGGAGGCCAAGGCGGGTGGATCACCTGATGCCAGGGGTTCGAGACCAGCCTGGCCAATGTGGTGAAACCCCATCTCTACTAAAAATACAAAAATTAGCTAGGCATGATGACAGGTGCCTGTAATCCCAGCTACTTGGGAGGCTGAAGCAGGAGAATCACTTGAACCTGGGAGGCGGAGGTTGCAGTGAGCTGAGATCACGCCATTGCACTCCAGTCTGGGTGACAGAGTGAGACTGTCTCCCAAAAAAAAAAAAAAAAAAAGAATGACTGATGAAACCTTAGTGAGGGAGGCACACGTGCATCCTAACCTAAGCAGGCGGTCCAGGGAGAGGGCACTGGCTCTCGCTTCAGCCAACCTTGCGAAGCCAACCTGAGATTCCCCATCCCTGGAAAAATGCTTCCTTTAAGATCTCCCAGATCATCTTTACATGGCTGTGCTGTCAATGAGCATTTTTGAATGTTCTCATTTGCTTTCAGAATTCTTCCTGGGCATTATCTGATCCCCTCAGATCTCACAGATGCCACATGCCCAAAAAACCTTGCTGCCGTTTATTTCTTCCTGAGGTGGAGTCTTCCCTTCAGTGGAAACAGCCCACCGTTGCTGCCACCCCTTCTGCTGGGACACCCTGGGGACTCGATGTCAACACTGCAAATCCCTAGAATTTACTGCAGTTCTTTTTGCTATGGGGAAGAGATGGGGTGAGCAGAAGTGCAAAAAGATGCCTTCTTGCCACCTAGTTTCTAGTCACTGCCTTCCTCTCCCAAATGATGCCTCCACTCATCCACTCTAAAGTCCCAATTCCTCAGCTTTCAGGCAGAGAGCCCACTACTACACCACTGTAAGTTGTGACTGACTAGCCCTCCCAGGAACATTGGAAAATTTTGAGGGAGAGAAAGAAAAAAGGAAGAGAAGGAATGAGACAGAAATCTCTCCTAGAAACAGCCACACATGGCCAGCGCAGTGGCTCACGCCTGTAATCCCAGTACTTTGGGAGGCCAAGATGGGCGGATCACGAGGTCAAGAGAACAAGACAATCCTGGCCAACATGGTGAAACCCCGTCTCTACTAAAATACAAAAAAATTAGCTGGGCATGGTGGCGCGTGCCTGTAGTCCCAGCTACTCTGGAGGCTGAGGCAGGGGAATCACTTGAACCTATGAGGCGGAGGTTGCAGTGAGCCAAGATCGTGCCAGCCTGGTGACAGAGCAAGTCTCCATCACAAAAAATAAATAAATAAAATACAAAAATAAATAGAAAAAGAAACAGCCACACATGGACCAGAAAGTTGAGCCTCTGGTGACTTGACTTCAGGTGCTGCGGCAGGCAGGTGGCCCAGGGAGTAACTGGGGAGTGAAAATGAGAATGCAGCACATGGACCAACTCCTGTTGAGCCTCTTAGCAAAAGCCAGCCCTGTCCAGTAGAGCATTTTCCAACTGTTGCAAAAATTACCCTATGAACACCTCTCTCCCCAGAGTTCAAACTCGCACCTTTGATGATACTGCTTCCTGCTGCCATTGCCTATTCTGATGTCAGAGCAGCCATTCCCATGGAAAATGGAATGGAAAGCTAAATGGAGAGTGAGTAGGGGTTAAGACTTCTCTAAAATACCGCGGCTGCCAGGCAATTTCATTAAGGAGAAACAGAGATGGACAATGTCATAAACATTCTCCAGCCATCAGAAGAAACCACTTCCAGGAAAAGTAAATTTTGTGGTCGTAAACACTCACAGCAAGGGCCAGGCCACAGGCAGCGTGGCACTGGCAGAGAGCAGTGGTTGAGGTGAAAGTCACCCTGGGGCCCAGGTCTCAAACTTACCCTGGCTAGACTGAACCAGAACATTTTTCCGTTTCTTTTCCGTAAATTAATGTTTAAAAGTTCCCCTCCCCACATAATCCCAATCTCACTTTCAAGAGATAATGCTATCTCTTCAGTGTATATTTCTTCCGGTTGTATTATGCATATAAATCTCCAGACCATATGGACACACACACACATATGCACACACACGTATGAGTATTATACACATACATGTGTACAGATATCTTTTATACATGTATACACACAGGTGTACACATATGTGCATATGTGAGATCATGCTGAGCTCACCGTTTTCCAGTTCCTACTTTCACTTCACAATAGCTCTTGGCCATCTTCCACCACAGTGTATTTAGAGTGACTCTATAAATAGAACGATTTCTAATGCACCTTTCAGATTTCAACTCTTTAAATAAATGCGACAAGGGCACATCTCGTGGTCCAAGGTCGTGACTGCTAAGGCCCAGAGAACACAACAAATTTGCTGGCTTCAGCCGTGCTGACCTGCTGGAAGATGGGTACAGGCTCCTAAGTGGATGCTGCCATTTGTGCGCCTCCCAGCCACGCACCCCACCCTCATATACACACTATCCCTTGAGGAACATTTACCTTCCTTCCCGCCCCAGGTGTTTGTGACTTGGTGGGTAGTGGGTGACAGAGATGCACCTGTGTCTTCAGAACACAGGCCACTGAAGGACAGCAGGCCCGGGGCTGGTGGGGGCCTGAGCATGCCCTCCCTCACCAGGCTGACCAGGCTTGCATGCAGTGGGGCAGAGGCAGTGGAACTATCCAGAAAACATGCCCATCCCCCCGCCCAAGCCATCACAATGGGAGCTGAGTACAGGGTCACTAGGACAAAGAGTGAATGGAACCATCTTGAAAACAGCGGTGATGTTTCCTGTCTCCGCTGGCACAGGCCTCCGTGGAGCCCACGTTCTTTTCACAGAGTTCAAGTTGCTCAAAGAAATAAGGAGAGGCCACTTGTGAGCAGTGGTCCTCCAGGTGAAACCCAGAGGGCGTCGGGATGCCCACAGGTTCCTCAGGAAACTCATGCGGGGAGACATGGGGGTGCCAGGGACACGCCTCCACCCCACCATGGCTGCCCATAGCAGGGTCCGTGGCAAAGGGACCAGGTGGCCCATGGGTTAGTGGGAGCAGATGCCCAACCACCTCCTCCAGGCCCCACTGCCCCCTTGGGCCACCACAGAGACCTCCAACTTCTCCATCCTCTCTGTCTCTCCCTCTCTCTCCCCACTTGCTCTCTTCCTCAAGGGCCCTTTCCCTGTCAACTACCACTGGCACCCGGCTGGAGGAACAGGGCAGGTTTGCCTGTTAGTACCTGCGGCAACTCATCCCCCAGCCCCTAACTTTGAGGCGATCCCATTTTCCTCCTGTATTCCCTGAGCTTGACACAGCTGAATGTGGAAGACCCCAGGGCAACAAGAGGCTTGGGAAGGAAGGTCACACTGGAGTCGCGGGGGAAGGGTCACCCAGGCACAGGTACTCAGCATAGACTGCAGATGCTGGCCAGCCAGTCCTACACCCAGCTTACTGCAGAGGCACGACCACACTTCTGCTGCAAGGCTGGGGGAGACTCTGTGGTTTCGGTGAGGAAGAGGACAAGGAGGTGAGCGAGCCAGGAACAGCCCCCGCATGTCTCTTATCACGCCTTCATTCCCCTCTCCCCGCAGCACTGAGCTTCTGTGTTTTCTTTCCCCCAAGACTGTTCTCTCGGCTGCTGGTGGCAAAGGAGAGGGCTGCGGGGGAAGGAGAGAGAAAGGGGGGACCCCAGATGATCCTCCTATTCCCTAAGCTCTCAAAGTCTTCAGATATCTACAGCTTTGCTGCTCTAACCGCTCATTGTGAAAAGAATGAGTCTTATACTTGAATACAACCCTAAAATCAAAAGAATGACATCTAACCCGCTGTTCACCATAAATCTTTTTTTTTTTTAATTTTTGAGACAGAATCTCACTCTATCACCCAGGCTGGAGTGCAGTGGCATGATCTCGGCTCACTCCAACTTCTGCCTCCTGGGTTCAATTGATTCTCCTACCTCAGCTTCCTCAGTAGCTGGGATTAGGGGTGTGCACCACCATGCCCAGCTGATTTTTGCATTTTTAGTAGCAACGGGATTTCACCATGTTGGCCAGGCTGGTCTCAAACTCCTAACCTCAAGTAATCTGTCTACCTTGGCGTCCTAAATTGCTGGGATTACAGGCGTGAGCCACAGCGCCCAGCTCGGCCCATAAATAATTTAAAAGACTGCATTTCTACTGTCTGACTCCATTTCTGTGAAGAGTCCAGGAAAGGCAAATCTCTAGTGATAGGGTAGGCTACCAGGGACTGGGGGCCCGGGAAGGTGGGAGAAACCGGAAGGGACTGCCAATGGGTATGGGGACTCTTTTAGGGTGATAAAAAAATGTTCTAAAATTGATTGTGATGATCAATGATCTACAAATATACTAAATTGGTGAATGTCTGGCATGTGAATTATTTCTCAATAAAGCTGGTTTCTTTTAGAGAAAGTAGTTCAAAATTTCTGAGGCTGTTTGGTTTTTGTTTTTTTAAAAAAGCAAATCATTGGCCCCGGCGTGGTAGCTCACGCCTGTAATCCCAGCACTTTAGGAAGCTGAGGTAGGCAGATCACTTGAGGGTCAGGAGTTCGAGACCAGCCTGGCTAACATGGTGAAACCCCATCTCTACTAAAAATACAAAAATTAGCCAGGTGCAGTGGCACACACCTGTAGTCCCAGCTACTTGGGAGGCTAAAGCAGGAGAACTGCTGGAACCCAGGAGGTGGAGCCACTGCACTCCAGCTATGAGAGGATAAATGCCCACTATTGTAAGGCCCAAGCTAGTGGTAATTTATTAGAACAACCCTAGGAAACTAATGCAGAAAGGCGGAGGGGAACCGCAAGCTCCTTTGTGATCCACCCCTTTGTCTTCCGAAAGGCTTCGTTTAGATTCAGAGCCTTCTGTTGCAGTCTCTTGCTCCCCCTCCTGGCTCAAAGGAAGAACTGTGCCCCCTTCAGTCCCACGGAGATTTGATCTCTCTAATGAAGTGGGAGGAGAGAGGAGTTCGCAAAACTTAGAAATGCTGTTGCAAGAAAAAAAAATTTTTTTTTAGACAGGGTGTCTGTCACCCAGGCTGGAGTGCAGTGGCTTGATCACGGCTCACTGCAGCCTCGACCGCCAGGGCTCAAGTGATTCTCCACTATGCCCCGCTAATTTTGTTTATTTTTTGTAGGGATGGGTCTTGCTATATTGCCCAGGCTGGTCTTAAACTCCTGGGCTCAAGCAATTCTCCCACCTCAGCCTCTCAAAGTGCTGGGATTATAGGTGTAAGCCACCGTGCCTAGCAGAAAAAATAATTTTAATGGTGCATTATTTTCCCATCTTGAGAGAAGAGTGAAGACTTAGCACTTGACCTGAAAGCTTAGCTCCATCCTATGCCCTCATCATTCCTGGTAATTTCAACTCCACGTTGATGACCCACACAATTCTTCTCTTGGCTCTTTGGCTTCCTCATCCACAGAGACTTCTTGTAACCCAACCATACACCACCCAAGAGATATCCTGGACCTTGTCATCACAAAAATTACACTCTTCCAAAATCATGGATTTAAATTTTGTCCTCTCTGATTACAAAGCCCTATCTTTCAGCCCACTTTCTCAAGTGCCCCTTCAATATCACAAGTCACCAGAATCAAGATGCTAACACTTGACCCCTCTTATTTCACTCAAATCTCGACTTATTTTCTTGTCTAACCAGATTCTTTGTTTCGTCTATTCGCTCTCACAAACACCAACTCCCCTGATCCATTCTTTTACTTTCAACTGGCAAAACTCCAACCCCCACCAACTTCCACACACTTCTCTCTACTTAAGCCCCTCATTCTCCTTCTCCTCCTACCCTCCCACTCCTGAGAGCCTTGCTTCACCCGTCACTGAAAAACTGAAGCCATCACAGCGTATTATTAACCCTCTTGCATCGATAGTTTTCTTTCTTCCTGTTACAATGGAGGACTTGTCACTCCTGTCTAACCCCTCCACGTAGACTCTGGGTTGCATCCCCTTTTATTTATTTTCTTTTAGAGACAGGTTCTCACTCTCTAGCCCAGGCTAGAGTACAGTGGTATAATCATAGCTCACTGCAGCCTCAACCTCCTGGGCTCAAGCAATCCTCCCACCTCAGCCTCCCGAGTAGCTGGACTATAAGCACATGTCACCATGCCCAGCTAATTTATTTTTATTTTTGTAGACAGGGTCTTGCTATGTCACCCAGGCTGGTCTCAACCTCCTGGGCTCAAGTGATCCTCCCATCTCAGCCTCCCAAAGTGCTCGGATTACAGGTGTGAGCCACCATGCCCAGCCTCTCCATCTCCTTTTTGTCTTTCCTAAATTTCATTTCTTTGGTTATCTCCCCTCTAATATGATCAATATGCCTCATTTTGACCAATTATTCTCACTGGCACACAGGCATGCTGTCAGAGCCAGCTTCGTGGGCATGAGACCTCTACAGACACACAGCACCCTGTGCCTGGTTTAATATTCTGCCGTCACTGTTTTTAAATTCTTAATAATTTTTTAACAAGGAGCCAGTCCTGCCTGCTCTAGTATCTGCCATTTTCTCTGCTTCCCCTCTCTAAACTGCCAAAACAGAGCCTAGGTGAGCCATCTCTATTTCTACTTGTATCTCTACTTTGTCACTTTTACTAATTCTGTTTTTTTAGACAGAGTCTTATTCTGTCATCCAGGTTGAAGTGCGGTGGCGCAATCAC
The DNA here is from genome assembly GCF_000001405.40 of Homo sapiens. Lineage (NCBI taxonomy): Eukaryota > Metazoa > Chordata > Mammalia > Primates > Hominidae > Homo > Homo sapiens. Next base: position 58,766,257 of record NC_000018.10, read on the forward strand.
AGTGAGCTCAAGAGATCCTCCCACCTCAGCCTCCCAATTAGCTGGGACCACAAGCATGTGCCACTATGCCTGGCTAATTTTTAAATTTTTGTAGACATGGGGTCTCACTGTGTTGCCCAGGCTGGTCTCCAAATCCTAGAATCAAGGGATCCACCCACCTTGGCCTCCCAAAGTGCTGGGATTACAGGCATCAGAGCCACTGCACCCAGTCCACTTTTACTAACTCTGAAAGTGTTTCAATCCCAACACTTTTCTCCTAAAAACAAAAAACCATCCTCGTCAATGTTTCCATATGGCCTCAATTTGGTGACATTCAAAGAACCTTTTCTGAAGCCATCCCTGAAGACTCTCCTCTTGCAGTTCTCCACTTTATTCTCCAACCTGGCAGCCTGTTGCTTTCATTCCCAGCATTTTTCTCATGCAAAGTTGTATAATTGTGAACGTGTTTTTTGCCTTCTTTCACTCTAAGCTCTGTGGGCAGACATCATGTGTCCTCGTCCCTGACACAGTCCCTGACGCTCAGTGGATGTTTACTGAGTGAATAAATGAGGGAATGGATGTGCAAGAGAGTTCAAGAACTTGAAAAAAGTTCAAGGGATCAGTAATGTATACACTCAGGAAAATTTTTAAAAGCTAGAAAGATCTGATAGTAAAAGGAGAGGCAAAAAAACTGGATAACCTGGAAAGAAAATGAGCAAATAAAAAATCATTTACATTACGATACCTGGAAGGATAGGTGGGCGTTGTCAGAAGGTGGAATACTGAAGTGTAAGATTTCGAAAACACTTCTGCTAGTGTAAGTGCTGGCCAGTTCTGGGGTGGTCATGAGTGGGGGTGGATTGAGTAAATTGGAAGTGAAGGTCACTGGGATTCAGATCGAGGAACTGATCTGAGGTTGCTGGATAGGTTGCTCAAATGGCTATTCAAGTCATCAGATGAACAGGAGAAGTTGAAGTCAAAGGGAAGACGTTGCAGTGAGTACAGTGGCACGTGCCTGTAGTCCCAGCTACTAGGGAGGCTGAGGCAGGAGGATCCCTTGAGGCCAGGAGTTCGAGGCTGCAGTGAGCCATGACCACTCCTGTGAACAGCCACTGCACTCCAGCCTGGGCAACATACTGAGATACCCCACATTTTCAGTGAATAATCTTGACTAACACTTATAAAGTGCCTACTATGTGCCAGATACTATTCTAAGTGCTTTGCATATATTTATATATTCTATATACAAATAATATTAACAACAACCCTATGAAGCATATTACTGTTATCATCCCCAGTTTATAGATGAAAAATTGAGGCAAGAGAGGAAACTCTGGGGCTTGGCGAGGTGGCTCACGCCTGTAATCCCAGCACTGTGAGAGGCCAAGACAGGCAGATCATCTGAGGTCAAGAGTTCAAGACCAGTCTGGCCAACATGGTGAAACCCCATCTCTACTAAAAATACAAAAAAATTAGCCAGGCGTGGTAGTGTGCAGCTGTAATCCCAGCTACTTGGGAGGCTGAGGCAGGAGAACTGCTTGAACCTGGGAGGCGGAGGTTACAACCAGCAGAGATCGCACCACTGTACTCCAGCCTGGGCGACAGAGCAAGACTCCATCTTAAAAAAAAAAAAAAAGAGAGAGAGAGAGAGAGAGGAAACTCGGCCAAGGTCAGACAGCTAGCAAATAGTAGAGCTGGGAAAGGACTCCGGCTGTGTGGCTCCAGAGCGCAAGGCCTCTGGTCTCGACAGGAAGATGACAGACATAAGAGACCATAATGCTGGGGGTTAAAAGGTGGAAGAGAAGCAGGAACCAGATCTGAAGTCCTTTGTATTTCATGCTGAGTTTTGTAATGACCCTCTTGGCAATTGGCAGACTTTGAAGGAGGTCAGGCCAGGGCATGACAGAATCAGATTAATGTTCTGGAAAGATCTGTCTGGCTGCAGAGTCAGACGGGAATGAATGGTCTGGAGGCGGGAGGGCCCTTCAGAGCCTCTTGCAACAAAGAGGGACTGATAGTGGGCAGGCGCCTACACCTCTGCTTTGGAAAGGAAATGGGGCAGGTGGCAATGTCGGAAAAGGAGCCCAGGACGGCACAGCCTGCAGGAGCCGCAGCCGCCCCATGGGGACAGTTCGAGCTCACCCGGTCCCTAGGCAAGAGAGCACAGTCCTGGCCACCTAGCCCAGAGGGCATGATGGGCCCAGCGAGAAACCCTGGGGCCCCCGCGCGGGGACTGCTCGAAGTCCGCCCGGGGGCCTTGGGAGCTGGGTGCACCCCTTAGAGGAGCCCGGCTTCGTGGGCCCCAGCCTGGCCTTGGGTCTCCCTTCGCCTTCTGAGCTCGGGGCCGGCCGGGAGCTGGGTACCCAGCAGAGGGCAGCACAGGCTTGCGTTCGTCCCGGTCTGAGCGCCGTCTGCACCTGCCCGGGGCCCTGCAGCTGCGCAGCGCACGGAGCAGTGGTGCGCTCTCACCCACCCGCGAGCTCCCACGCACATCCAGGTCCTCCCCGTCCAGCTCGTGGCTCAATACAATACCTAGAAGGCCTGGGGGCCCTCAGGAAGACCGAGGGACAGCAGCCAGCGCGGCTGGGATGACAGCCAGACTCGGGCATGCATCAACAGGCCAGGACAAGTGGCCGGCTCCCTCCTCTCCCATGCCCATGCCTGTGATGCTGCCAAAGGGCAGAGAAATATCAAAAAGCTCCACCGAATCTCCTGGGAGGGAGGCCCCTGCCTTGAGAACAGTCAACCAGATACCCATCTGGGGCCCCTGGGGCAGGGGGCAGGGCACGGAAGCAAAAGCGTTTAGATTCTAGCGGAGTTTTGAAAACTACCCACCCAGCAGGGAAAAACAAAAAGGACTGAAATCCTGGCAGGGAGCTTCCCTGACTCTGGCCTCTCCAAACTGGATGTCAAATCATGAATAGAGGTCCCTAGGTCCCTCCTACTCTAGTTTTTTGTTTTTATAATTGCGGCTTTTTTAACTATTATTTTTAATTCTTGTAAAACATAACATTTGCCATGTTAACCATTTTTAAGTATACAGTTCTATTTTGCATTGTTCCCACTCTCGATTTTTACTGGGATTTCTCACGTACAGAATGAGACACTGAGAAACACTATAAGGAAAAGACAGACCTGGAGACTGAGGAAAGTACATTGGGAATTCTAAGGTGGGCGTGAGAGGTTTTGCAGCCGCTGTGCCTTACGAACTTTCCAGGGCACCTCTGTCCTGAGGGCTTCCACTCTGTACATCCGTCATGCCACCCTCCACGCCCTCCCCATACACAGCCCAGACAGAACCCATGGCTCATCTGGGAGTGGTCAGTGAGCACCCCAAAGGGATCCCTGCCCATATTCAGAAACGGGAACAAGGCTATTTGAAAACTTTGCAATGTTATGGCAGAAATAATCTTTGCAGGATGTAAATGAAAAGTTCCAAGCAATTACGACAAATTTTTGAGCAATTAATGCACTGGGTCTTTAGCCTTCAATGAGCTGGAAAGCTGAGCAAGACAGAACTTGAACCCCTAATAATTATAACAGCTAATACTTACAGAGCGCTATGAGCCTGGCACAGTGCTAACCATTTTACTCATTCAGGTCTTTGCAGTGGAAATGCTGCTATTATCCCTGTTTTACAGAGGAGAAAATCAAAGCCCTGAGGGCTAGCTGGCTTGCTCAAGGTCACAGGGGAAGTAAATGGTGGGGCCTGGATTTGGACCCAGGCAGACTGGCTCCAATAACATGGCTTATGATGGCACCCTTGCCTGATGCTGTGCTGGGAGCTGTATAGACTGAGCCAGTTCCCACTCTGGGAGGCTCAGAAGCTTGTGGAAGGGTGAGTCTGCTAATTTTTTTCTTGGTTTTGGTTTGAGATGGGGTCTCACACTGTCACCCAGGCTGGAGCACAGTGGTGCAATCATGGCTCACTGCAGCCTCAAACTCCCAGGGTCAAGCCATCCTCCCACCTCAGCCTCCAGAGTAGCTGGGACTACAGGTGCATGCCACCATGCTCTAGCTAATTTTAACATTTTTTGTAGAGACAGGGTTTTGCCATGTTGCCCAGGCTGGTCTCAAAATCCTGGCTTCAAGCAATCCTCCTGCCTCGACCTCCCAAAGTGCTAGGATTACAGGTGGGAGTCACTGCACCTAGCCCAGTCCGTCAACTTTGAATAATGTCAGAGTCACTGGTCTTGGGGACCTAGAATTGCCCTAAATCTCTCCATTTTGACAGTAAAATTTCACATGAATACTTTAACAAGGCTTATCAATGCAACCACAGGCTGTCTACGTGCATTCACCAACAATCCTCTTTCCACCAGTCCTTCTGTTTCAGCCTTAGTACACACACACAAAAAATTTAATGTTGCCAAAGGACTTGAGAAAATCCAGAATGTTTTCATACACACATGTCTTGGGATGTGCTGCCTATGGAAGACCTTCCTTTGCCTGTCCCTTCTCCTTCATCCTTGACTTTGCTGTCCAGCTCTTTAAGGGACTTGAGCCTGAGAGCACATGGCCAGAGAGAGGACAGCCCAGGGAGGTGGTGTTATCTCTTGATAACACCAGAAGAGCAGAGAGCAAAAGTAGAACCGGAAGTGTGGTCTGGTTTTCCTTTTTCCTGTACTTGGATTTTAAAGAAGCATATGAGCTCTTATATTTCAAGCTAGTGGTAGGTAGAAAAGAAAAAGTTTTGAAAACAATGTTATTTCAGGTGCACCCAGCAGCTGTGCACACCATGACTTTAACCTCTCCTTTCTTTCACTCCATAGCTGACCTTCTCCCTCAACCTATACCTACTGCATTTTCACTGGGGAAGCAGCGTGAGAAGGAAACAAGTAGCCATGCTAATTGGTGACAACCCACTTCTATTTATTTATCATCACTTAGCTATACTTATCAGAGAACAAAAAATATAGTCTTTCATGCCCAGCACTGGATCAATTTGCAGCTGAGGCATTTATGCTTATACACTTTCCTTTTTCCCTTTGTTATCTGTTCATTATTTTCATTTGTATATACAAGTTGGTGATATTTGATTGCACTTTGAGGCCGAAGCATTTCAACAGATGTTGGATAATAAGGAAGAAAGAACACAGAGGCCGCCCTGCCTGCTGCTCAGGTGGGCTGTGTTTGTATCTGGTTCTTTCAGGATCTGTTTCATTTTTCAGAATATTGTCAAGGTTCACATGGCCCAGTGCAGCTGCATTTGGTGGCTTTTAGAAGTTTCGCAGTCCCAGCCGGGTGCGGTGGCTCACACCTGTAATCCCAGCACTTTGGGAGGCTGAGGTGGGCAGATCACTGGAGGTCAGGAGTTCTGACTGACATGGTGAAACCCCCTCTCTACTAAAAATACAAAAAATTAGCCAGGCATGGTGGCGTGCACCTGTAATCCTAGCTACTCAGGAGGCTGAGGCACAAAGAATCACTTGAACCCAGGAAGTGGAGGTTGCAGTGAGCCGAGATTGCACCACTGCATTCCAACCTGGGTGACAGAGTGAGACTTGATCTCAAAAAAAAAAATGCAATCCCTTTTTTCAGGGAGTAGGCCAGTGAGGAATCTTATCCCAGCACTCATCAGTTAAAACCAACTATTTTTGGCTTTCTCAGCAATGGGTCAGATTTTGCAGAGGGAATAGGATATGAATTCTGTGTTTGGGGGGGTGTCACTCTTCTGGGGGTTTTCTCCTCGCATCCTATTGGATCAACGTCAATGTCCATTTCCATTCCCTCAGACCCGGTTTTTCTACGTTGGCATGACTGGCATCCGGAGGCCCGATAATTTCTTGTTGCTGGGAGCTCTCCTGAGAATCGCGGGATATTTTAGCAGTATCCCTGGCCTCTGCCCCCTAGCTGCTAGTAACACCAACTTCCACCCCTCACCTCCAGTTGTGACAGCCAAAAATATCTCCAGACATTGCCAAACGCTCCCTGGGGGAACACAATTGCCCCTGTTTGAGAATCACTAAGGTAATGGGTAGAAGCCAGGGATTCTGCAAAGCATCCTCCAATACACAGGACAGCCCCCCATAACACAGAGCATCAACCCAAAACGACAATAACTCTGAGGTTGAGAAACCTTGCCCTGTTTAACTTGGCAGAAGTCGAGTTTTTTGGATTTTGCAACCTAACAGATTCCTAATACATCCCTCAATAAGATTTTTTTGCCCTGATACAATCAAGGAGATTGAAAGAATTCTGTTAAAGATAAACACTTTGAAGAGGGAACATGTGCTTATCCTAAACCTGGGGCCATCTGACACTTTGTAGAGATGTAGCAAACCCCTTCGAAGGGAAAGGGGAACTGACCAGTGGGATGCTGAGGTTGTGATAGGCGATGTGACAATCTCAGTGGTGACCCAAGAGGCCACCTTTCCCCTTCCACGGTTTCTGTAAAGAGTCTCCCACTGGGGACTTCACAGCCACAATATTAGGAGAGGGGGCAGCAATAAATCCAACAATTCATGCTGTGAGGAGGAAGAGTCCAGCTGCTCAGTGTCCTTGGGTCAGATCTGGTTCTAGAATCTACCACAAGAGCTAACAACAGGACAGAAGATTTGCAATCAGCACCATCTCAGAGGTTCTGGGACACGTGGATGCCACCTCCTCTCTCAGAAGGGAGAGACTCCACTCCTTTCCAGTGGTGCCGATTCTGGGATGTTGGAAACTCGGAGGCATTCTGAAGCAGCTGCCTCTGCTGAGAATTTTTTTTTTTTTTTTTTTTTTTTTTTTTTTTTTTGAGATGGAGTCTCGCTCTGTCGCCAGGCTGGAGTGCAGTGGCGCCATCTTGGCTCACTGCAAGCTCCGACTCCCTGGTTCAAGCGATTCTCCTGCCTCAGCCTCCCGAGTAGCTAGGATTATAGGCATGTGCCACCACACCCAGCTAATTTTTGTATTTTTAGTAGAGATGAGGTTTCACCACATTGGCCAGGACAGTCTCGATCTCCTGACCTTGTGATCCACCCACCTCAGCCTCCCACAGTGCTGGGATTACAGGCATGAGCCACTGCGCCCGGCCCAAGAACTCTTATCTTGTCCTTGTTCTCACCTTACAAAACCCACTATTCTGCTATTTCCCAGTGGGTTACAAGACAGAATAAGAACACTTAAGATAGTGATACCAATGCTGGAGGTTTCGGTCAATCTCTCAAAATCAAGAGGATGATCAAAAGTGGGGAACTGTTAAATCAAGTTTAGCCTAAATCTGCCTCCTTACATATTTAAGTTCAGCCTACAGGTTTCTCTGTACATAATGAACTATAACCTAAATGGAGGTGTCAACAGACTGTAGCCTACTCTTGTGCCAACCACCTAGTTTCGGTCAAAGGGGGCTAACTGTTCAAACTACTCAAATAAGGTAAACACGAGCTGTAACCAATCCGGATGTTTCTTACCTCACTTCCATCTCACTTCCATCTCCTGTAAGTCCATTTCCATTTTCTGTCTATAAATCTTCTACCACACAGCTGCGCTGAAGTCTCTCTAAACCTACTCTAGCTCAAGAGGCTGCCCGATTTGTGAATTGTTCCTTGCTCAATTAAACTCTGTTACATTAAAAATAAAAAGGCTGGGCGCAGTGGCTCATGCCTGTAATCCCAGCACTTTGGGAGGCCAAGGTGGGCTGATCACCTGAGGTCAGGAGTTCAAGACCAGCCTGGCCAACATGGTGAAACCCCATCTCCACTAAACAGAATACAAAAATTAGCCAGGCGTGGTGGTGGGTACTGTAATCCCAGCTACTCAGGAGGCTGAGGCAGGAGAATCGCTTGAACCTGGGAGGCAGAGGTTGCAGTGAGCCAAGATCCCACGATTACACTCCAGCCTGGGTGACAGAGCAAGACTCCATCTCAAAAAAAAAAAAACAAAAAAAAAAACTGATTTACTTGAGAAGCAGGAGAGACTTCCACTTGGTGTATGCAGCTCCCAGCAGGATTGCTCTTACTAAACCAACACGAGAAACAGTTTCACCAGAGGCAGCCAAAAAGAACTAATTCGATGCACTTTGGTTGTTTTGAAATCCATTTTCCATTCTCAGTGATTGCCATAGCCAAGGGTAGCTCCCAGTGGCCCTGCATGGCCCACCCAGTTGGTAGCTGAATGGATTTCAAAGGGCTTCCGCTGCTTTCTAGAGAAAGAAACCTGTGCGGCTCCCAGGCCTCAAACTGTCCATAGCTCAGGAAAGTCCTGGGAATGCCCTCCTCGCCCCCAAGGTGGGGAACACATCAAGATACACAGCTCCCATTCGCACATGCAAACTCCCATGGCTGAAAGAGTCCTTAGTCCTTGGCCTTATAGGGATTGATGTTATGGAAGGATTCCATATTACAGAGAATTTCCTCTGCTTGATGTCGTTCAGTCTCCTTGCTTCAATTTCCCAGGGACAGAGGTTGAAAACAGCCCCCAAATATGTCCACATTCTGATCCTCAGAACCTGTGAATGTTACCTTATATGGCAAAAGGGATTTCTGCAGCTGATTAATCTTAAGATGGGGAAATTGTCCTGGATCATCTGGATAGGCCAATGGCATCACAAGCATCCTTATAGCAGGAATGTGGGAAGAACCAGACACAAAGAAGGCAGCCGGGCACGGTGACTCATGCCTGTAATCCCAGCACTTTGGGAGGCCAAGCCGAGCAGATCACTTGAGGCCGGAAGTTCAAAACCAGCCTGGGCAACATGGTGAAACCCCATCTCTACTAAAAATACAAAAATTAACTGGGCGTGGTGGTGGGCGGCTATAGGCCCAGCTACTCAGGAGGCTGAGGCAGAAGAATCACTTGAACCCGGGAGGTGGAGGGTGCAGTGAGCCGAGATCGCGCCACTGCACTCCAGCCTGGCAACAGAGTGAGACTGTCTCAAAAAAAAAAAAAAAAGAAAGAAGGCAGGCCAGGTGCGGCGGCTCACACCTGTAATCCCAGCACTTTGGGAGGCTGAGGCAGGCAGATCACGAGGTCAGGAGATCGAGACCATCCTGGCTAACACAGTGAAACACTGTCTCTACTAAAAATACAAAAAATTAGCCAGGTGTGGTGGCACGTGCCTGTAATCCCAGCTACTTGGGAGGCTGAGACACAAGAATCACTTGAACTCGGGAGGCAGAGGTTGCAGTGAGCCGAGATCAGGTCACTGCACTCCAGCCTGGGCGACACAGCAAGACTCCATCTCATAACAAAAAAAAAAAAAAGGCAATGTGACGGCAGAGGAGAGACTGCAGTGATGCTCTTTGAAGACGGAGGAAGAGACCATGAGCTGAGGAACCCAGGCAGCTAATGAAAGCTGGAAGCTGCCAAGAAGCGTCTCCCCTCAGAGCCTGCAGAAAAAAACAGCCCTGCCAATACCTTGACTTTAGCCCAGTGAAACTGACTTCAGATTTCTGTTCTCCAGAACTATCTAAGAATTTTTTTTTTTGAGACAGAGTCTTGCTCTGTCGCCCAGGCTGGAGTGCAATGGTGTGATCTCGGCTCACTGCAACCTCTGCCTCCCGGGTTCAAGTGATTCTCTTGCCTCAACCTCCCAAGTAGCTGGGATTACAGGTGCGTACCACTACACCCAGCTAATTTTTGTATTTTTAGAAGAGACAAGGTTTCATCAGGTTAGCCAGGCTGGTCTCAAACTTCTGACCTCAGATGATCCACCCACCTCGGCCTCCTGAAGTGCTGGGATTATAGGCCTGAACCACCGTGCCTGGCGGCTGCAGTCTTTTCTATGCACAGCTCTTGCTGCTTCCTGACATGAGACCTTCTCAGCACTTTCTGCCCTTTCCTGAGAAACTTTTTCCCCTCAACAATGAAATATGTATACTGAATACCCACTCCATGCCAGGCACTGTGCTAGCTGGTAGGGGACTAAGATGAATAACTTCAGGAAGCTGAACAGGACACATACCCCTTTTGGGGTTTAAATGTTTATATGGTTTGGATGTGTCCGCTCAAAATCTCATGTTGAAATGTGATCCCCAATGTGGTAGGTGGGGCCTAGTGGGAAGTGTTTGGGTGATGGGGGCGGATCCCTTATGAATGGCTTGGTGTTGTCCTCACAGGAATGAGCAAGTTCTCACTCTATGAGTTCACATGAGATCTGATTGTTTGAAAGAGGCTGGCACCTCCTCCTCCTCTTGCCATGTGACAGACTGGCTTCCTTTGGCCTTCCGCCATGATAAGCTTCCTGAGGACTCCCCAGAAGCAAATGTCAGCCCTATACTATCTGTACAGCCTGCAGAACTGTGAGCCAAATAAACTTCTTTTCTTTAAACAATCTAGCCTCAGGTATTTCTTCATAGCAACACAAAAAGACTAACACAAATATATAACTTATGTAATTTTTGGCCAGGTACGGTGGCTCACACCTGTAATCCTAGCACTTTGGGAGGCTGAGGCAGGCAGATCACTTAAGGTCAGGAGTTCAAAACCAGTCTGGCCAACATGGTAAAACCCTGTCTCTACTAAAAATACAAAAAAATTAGCCAGGCATGTAATCCCAGCTACTTGGGAAGCTGAGACAAGAGAATTGCTTCATCCCGGAAGGCGGAGGGTGCAGTGAGCCAAGATCACACCACTGCACTCCAGCCTGGGCAACAGAACGAGACTTTCTAAAAAAAAAAAAAAAACACAAAAAACAACAACAACAACAACAACACTTACATAATTTCTCTTTCTTTCCTATAGCAGATGTTGGTACTCTGCCCATATCTTGCAGGGCTCACCACTTCAATGTGCTCTTCCAAATGCCAATATCTGCATCTGTTTCCTAAGGGTTTTCTCCAGAGGTGGTTCTGCCTATGTACCCAGCAGCCTGGAGGTACCCAGGGATTCACACCAACTCCCGCCTCTTCAACCAGTGACTGATATGAGTTAGAGCATAAATCCATCAGCTCCTTCATCTCTTAGGTGGGATCACTGTTTTTGATACAGGGTCTCCCTCTGTCCCCCAGTCCAGAGCGCAGTGGTGCAATCACGGTTCACTGCAGCCTCAACCTCCTGTGCTCAAGCAATTTTCTTGCCTCAGCCTCCCGAGTAGCTGAAACTACAGGTGTGCCACCTCACCTGGCTAATTTTTAATTTTTTGTAGAGACGGAGCTCACTATGTTGCCCAGGTGGTCTCAAATTCCTGGCCTCAGGTGATCCTCTCACCTCAGCCTTCTAAAGTGCTGGGATTACAAGTGTGAACCACCTCACCTGGCTTATTTTCATGTAATCATCAGCTTGAACCTCAATTGAAATAATCAATTCTATCAAATTAGAAACGTGCAGGTTTACAGAGCACCCACTTGGGCCCTAGCTCAGCTCTGAGCAGCCTATTTTCGACTCTAAGAGCTGCAGGTGAAGATGAACTTCCCAGAAGCGTCCTTCTGGCTGGGGTTGGGGCTGTCCTGGAGCTGTGAGGGGCCATGCTGTCTTCAAAGACAGGCTGGAGGAGAGACCAGCAGACATCACCTTAGTCATATGGCTAAAGTAACATCACCAGTAATGAGACATGTCAACATCACATGCCCCTGATGTGGCCTGCTAAAGAGAGCACAACCTCACTTCTGAGATATTCTTGCAAAAAGGCATAACCTCCATCTAATCATGTGAAAACATCAAACTCAAACTGAAAGACGGTCTGCAGAATAAGTGTCAGGGGTCAAGGTCAGGAAAGAGAGGAACTGTCACAGGTAGGAGGAGGCTAAGCAGACAAGACAAGCGACTACACGCGCCATGTGTAGTTGAGATCTGGGAACACAAAAGGGACATTCATGGAAAGACTGGTAAAACCCGAATAAAGTCTGCAGTTTAGTAAAGAGGGCTGTCCTGATGTTAAGATGCTAACTTTAGGGGAATTTAGGTGGAGGGTAGATGGGAACTCTTTTGTAAGCTTTAAATCATCTTAAGATAAAAAGGCTTTTTAAAAAAAGCTTCAGCTGGGGTCCGGGCATGGTGGCTCGTGCCTGTAATCCCAGCACTTTGGGAAGCTGAGGCAGATGGATCACCTGAGGTCAGGAGTTCGAGACCAGCCTGACCAACTTAGTGAAACCCCATCCCTACTAAAAGTACAAAATTAGCCAGGCATGGTGGCACATGCCTGTAATCCCAGCTACTCAGGAGGCTGAGGGCAGGAGAATTGCTTGAACCCAGGAGGTGGAGGTTGCAGTGAGCCAAGATCAAGCCATCACGCTCCAGCGTGGGCAACAAGAGTGAAACTCTATCTCAAAAAAAAGAAAAAAATAAAAGGAAAAAAAAAAGCTTCAGCTGGGCACAGTGGCTCATGCCTGTAATCCCAACACTCTGGGAGGCTGAGGTGGGAGGATCACTTGAGCCCAGGAGTTTGAGACCAACCTGGGCAACATAGTGAGACCCTGTTTCTAAATTTAAAAAAAATAATAATTAATTAGCTGGACGTGGTGACACGCACCTCTGGTCCCAGCTACTCCAGAGGCTAAGGCAGGAAGATCGCTTGAGCCCATGAGTTCAAGGCTGCAGTAAGCCATGATCACGCCACTACACTCCAGCAGTGGCAACTGAGGGAGACCCTGCCTCCAAAGGAAAAAAAAAGCTTAAAGACAGGTAAAAGGAGACAAAGAACAAGCTGGAATTAGACTCTGTGGCAAGGAATGTGGCCTTAAGCTCTACTCCTAACAGTCACATGCATAGATGATAGACTTACTCTAAACTTTTTCACTCTTCTTTTTTTGCCTTTCTTCTGGACACTTAGAAATGTCTCCAACAGGCCAGGCACAGTGGCTCACACCTGTAATCCCAGCACTTTGGGAGGCCGAGGCGGATGGATCACGAGGTCAAGAGATCGAGACCATCCTGGCCAACAAGGTGAAACCCTGTCTCTACTAAAAATACAAAAAATTAGCCAGGCATGGTAGCGGGTGCCTGTAGTCCCAGCTACTAGGGAGGCTGAGGCAGAAGAATGGTGTGAACCCGGGAGGCTGAGCTTGCAGTAAGCCGAGATTGCGCCACTGCACTCCAGCCTGGGCAACAGAGTGAGACTCCATCTCAAAAAAAAAAAAAAAAAAAAAAAAAAAGAAATGTCTCCAACAGAAAGTGCTTAGAGTTCTGACCCAGGAGAAATAAGAGGTAAACAGCCTAGTTTCCAGCTTCACAGGCAGCTTAGGGGGAAGCAACTCAGCTTCAGAGAGCTGCACTTAACTCTTCACCACCACGACTGACACAGGCACAAGAACCCACCTGCCTCTCCAAGGCCCTGAAAGCCCACCCGATGTCGCTTTCCACACTCCTATCCTACATCCTCCTCTAATCCTCACATTGACTTGATTTCACCTATATTCAAATACTGGGGAGGAAAAGAAGGGACGATGTGAGCCCTCCAGTCCTCCCTGTCACCCTGCTCGTGGACTAATCCTGAGTCATTTTTCACAACTGTATTCCTTGCCGGTGTTGAGGCAAATAAGTCCGCCTTTACCTAGAACATACAGTTCAATACCAAATTGTTTACAACAGTTTTATTGCTCCAGACTTTGAGGGAGGCTTTGAAGAACTGCCTGTACCTTGTCCTAACTCTATTACTCAGATTAATGGTCGGCCAGCGTTCCCTTTCTGGTCAGTCACTTCCAGGGGATTTTGCAAAGACTCATGGGTTAGTATTTGGAAAGAACTTAAACTTCCTCATAAATAAAAATTCTTATAGCTGAAAATTCTGATGCCTTATAATGAGTCCTTATAAAATTCCAAGGCACTTGAAAATGTACATTGCTCCCAAGCATCGTTATTACTTATATGCATAAGCAGCTACCATTAGGAACACATATGATGTGATAGGCAGTGAGTTATGCTCAGTATGTGCGTTAGTCCGTTCTCACACTGCTATGAAGAACTACCTGACACTGGGTAATTTATGAACAAAAGAGGTTTAATAGACTTACAGTTCCACAGGCTGTACAGGAAGCATGGCTGAGAGGCCTCAGGAAACTTACAATTATGGCAGAAGGCGAAGGAGACGCAAGCACGCCCTCACAATGGCGGAGCAGTAGAAAGAAGAAAGGGAGAGGTGCCACACCCTTTTAAACCGTCAGATCTCGTGAGAATTCACTCACTATCACGAGAACAGCAAGGGGGAAATCCGTTCTCATGATCCAATCGCCTCCCACCAGGCCCCTCCTCCAACTCAACATGAGATTTGGGTGGAGACACAAATCTAAACCATATCCTTATGCATAGGATCTCATTCAGCTGAACCCTGTTGCTGCATCGATGTAGGGAGATAAAGATCACCTGTGCCCTGGACTTCCTGAGTCACTGGTTGAAAAAGAAAGCAGGCGAGGCACAGTGGCCCACACCCATAATCCCAGCACTTTGGGAGGCCAAGGCAGGAGGATTGCTTGAACCCAGAAGTTCGAGACCAGCCTGGGCAGTATAAGGAGACCTCCCTCCAACCCCAGTCTCTACAAAACTTTTTTTGTTTTTTTTGAGACAGAGTCTTGCTCTGTTGCCCAGGCTGGGGTGCAGTGGCACGATCTTGGCTCACTGCAACCTCCACCTCCCAGGTTCAAGCAATTATCCTCCCTCAGCCTCCTAAGTAGCTGGGATTACAGATATGTGCCACCATGCCCGGCTAATTTTTTGTATTTTTAGTAGAGAAGGGGTTTCACCATGTTGGCCAGCCTAGTCTCGAACTCCTGACCTCAGGCAATCCAACTGCCTCAGCCTCCCAAAGTGCTGGGATTACAGGTGTGAGCCACCGCGCCCGGCCTCTACAAAACATTTAAAAATTAGCCAGATGTGGTGGCTCACACCTGTAGTCCTAGCTCTGAGGCAACAGGATCACTTGGGCACAAAAGGTCAAGGCTGCAGTGAGCCATGATTGTGCCACTGCACTCCAGCCTGGGTGACAGAGAGAGAGCCTGTCTCAAAAAAAGAAAAAGCAAGGAGCACACTTGTTTTTGCACCTTCTGGGAGGACTGAGGCCACCAGCAGTGGATGGAGCGGACAGAACTCCCAGGCACTGTGCCTGGCCCAGGGCAGGAACTCAAAATGCAAATGGATGGCATTTCTTTTAATTATCGCAAAGTGAAATGAGCCGTTACTGGAGATACCAAGCATGGGTCAGGGAAGCAGAAATTGATATTGATAATGCAGGGTTCTCTGCTCTTCCGTCGTTGTAGCTAAAACATGCACAGTATTGACAGAGGCTGGAATCAGCTCCTGAAATCAAGCCCTTTCTTTGGCTATTCTCTGCCTCCTCAAGTCCACAGCTTCTTTCCGAAAGAAGCCCAGTTGTCTGGGTTTGAAGGCCCTGAGCACCAGGAGCGCGTTTGGGAGATGTTATCGGAGTGCTCTCTGTCTCACCCAGAGTTTCCCGGGAACACTGTCGAACACTCCTCAGAAGTACATTTATGGTTTGGCTCATTTTCAGAGAAAAGGACATGAGGGAGCAGAGTCAAAGAGTCAAAAGAGCAGACTTTCGACTGTGGGAACCAGAGTCACTAAGTACAGAGTAACACAACTTGTGTTACTGATGCTCGAGACTCAGCGGGGCCTTTGCACGTGAATAGCCACCAGGTGGCAGTGTTATTCTCTCGAAAGGCTAAAGGCTGTGTGTGGCATGTGCCTGTGTGTGTGTATGCCTTGGTGGTGGTGTGTGTATAATGTGCAGTGTAGTGTGTGTGGTGTGTATGTGCGTGGTGTGTGATTATGTGCATGATGTGTGCGTGTGATGTTGTATGTGTGTGGCATGGGGTAAGGGGTGTGTATATGGTGTGTGTGATTCAGTGTGCGTGTGTGAGGTGGTGTGCATGGTATATGGTGTGGCATGTGGCCTCTTGTGTGCACAACCCTGTGTCGAAGCTGGGAGACAGCTTCCTTCTCATCCACCCACTACCACTCAGCCCAACAACCAGCTCACTCTCCTTCACCCTCTGCCACTCACGCACACACCCTCCTCTTGCCACCATCCCTCTTCTCCATTTCTAGCCAAAAATTAGCAGGGAGGAGCCAGAAAGCCCAACAGAGACCGTGAAACAAATATCAAATTAAAAGTATTTTACTGGCTGGGCACAGTGGCTCCCTCCTGTAATCCCAGCACTTTGGGAGGCCGAGGCCGGTGGATCACTTGAGTCCAGGAGTTCGAGACCAGCCTGGGCAACATGGCAAAACCTCATCTCTACAAAAAAAATATTTAAAAAATTAGCCAGGTATGGTGGCATGCACCTGTGGTCCCAGCTATATGGGAGGCTGAGGTGGAAAAATCACTTGAGCCCAGGAGGTCAAGGCTGCAGTGAGCCAAGGTCACACCACTGTACTCCAGCCTGGGCAACAGAGTGAGACCTTGCCTTAAAAAAAAAAAAAAGAAACACACCTTGGGAAGGACAATGGGACCTCAGTTATCCTCTCCTTGTTGCCCCATTCTCTCTCCCACTTGTTCTCGCCCCGACACCCGAGTTGCTCTTCCTAGGAGCCCACTCCCTCTGACTCCCCAAGCCCAGCTAGGCAGCGGTTAATGCTTTCCAGAAAGAGGTCCCCAAATTTCCTTCATTGGCATGTGCGTTTGGAAAGAGGACCCTAGACAGAGCAAAGACCTCAGAAGAAGCATCCTCCGACACTGGCACTTCAGGCCCAGTTCATGTTAGACTACCTGGATCTAGAGGACACTTCATGGGGAAGCTTCCCATTGCCCTGAGATCACAGCAGTGCAGGAAAGCCCACCTCCTCTGTGTTTGTGGAAAGCTGGGTCCTGGGTATTGTTCCTCTATGTGGGTGATGCATTCAATAATGAAAAGGGCCATCATGAAATGGGTGACTGAGTCTCCCCAGTGTGTATTTAAGAGCATTGCAGGCCGGGCACGCAGCTCACCACAGAGGCCGAGGCTGGGTGGATGGCTTGAGCCCAGGAGTTCGAGACCAGCCTGGGCAACATGGCAAAATCCTGTCTCTACGAAAAATGCAAAAATTAGCCAGGCACGGTGGTGCATACCTGTAGTCCTAGCTACTCAGGAGGCTAAGGCTGGCGGATCAACTGATCCCAGGAGGTGGAGGCTGCAGTGAGCTGAGATTGTGCCACTGCACTCCAGCCTAGACAACAGAGCCAGACCCTATCTCAAAAAAAAAAAAAAAAAAAAAAAAGATATTTTCTAGGTCGAAATAATGATCTCTAAGAAAGTGGCAATATGAGAATTACTAAAAACATCAATATATCCCTCCAGAAGACATTTATGTTCTTTTTAAGACACTTAATGGCGTTTAGAATATATGCTAACATCTTTTTCATCGGGCATGGTCAGAAAAGTGGTCACTTTTACAATAATCGTGATCTCCATTTGGAAGCTCAAACCTTTACATATCAAGGCATTTAAATATCACTACTGGGGCCAGATGCAGTGGCTCACACCTGTAATCCCAGCACTTTGGGAAGCTGAGGCAGGATGATCACTTGAGGTCAGACATTCAAGACCAGCCTAGCCAACATGGTGAAACCCTGTCTCTACTATTAAAAAAAGAAATACAAAAATTAGCCAGGTGTGGTGGCACACACCTGTAGTCCCAGCTACTCAGGAGGCTAAGGAATGAATCGCTGAGAATCGCTTGAACCCAGGAGGCAGAGGTTGCAGTGAGCTGAGGTCACCCCACTGCACTCCAGCCTGGGCAACAGAGCGAAACTCCATCTCTAAATAAATAAATAAATAAATAAATAAATAAATAAATAAATATATGCCAGGCGCGGAGGCTCACGCCTGTAATCCCAGCACTTTGGGAAGCTGAGACAGACGGATCGCCTGAGGTCAGGAGTTCGAGACCAGCCTGACCAACATGGAGAAACCCCATCTCTACTAAAAATACAAAATTAGCCAGGCATGGTGGCACATGCCTGTAATCCCAGCTACTCAGGGGGCTGAGGCAGGAGAATTGCTTGAACCCAGGAGGCGGAGGTTGCAGTGAGCAAAGATTGCGCCACTACATTTCAGCCTGGGCAACAGAGCGAAACTCTGTCTCAAAATAAATGAATAAATAAATTAAATAAATAAAAATAAATATCACTATTGGCAAAAGCTTTCTAACATGCATTGCCTATCTAGGTCACAGTTTGCTAATGTCTTGTAGCCTGGATGGTTTTATTGATCCCCGAGAGAACTTTTATTATCCTGAGGGAAAACAGACTGGAAAGAGGACGGGAAATTTGTTTGGCTTTGGAATAGTGGTGGGGGAGGAATAAATGGGAAGAAGGAACGTGGGGAGAGATGGACGCTAAGCAGGAGAGATGGGGCGAGGGAGAGGGGACCACAGCCACGCAGAATGGAAGAGCAAGAAGAGCAGGGAGAGCGTGAAGGCGTGAGAACCGAGGCAGGGCAGGGGACTTCAGAGGCAGAAGCCCTTCAGAAGCTCTGCAAATCCAAATGCTAAGAAGAACATGCAGTCATTTTGACAAGGGCAGGTCAGAAAATGCCACGCGTGCGCACAGAGGATGGAAGGCCAGGACCCGCCGCCAAGCAGGGCTGTCGGGGACTGGTCGCCTCCTCTGGGCAGCGTCAAAGGGCAAGATTGGTCTGGTCCTCTTTCTAACACCTCCCACCCGGGATGCAGCCAAGAGTGGCTGCAGCCTAATTTTCTACATGTAAACAATGACCTCAGTGATGCCCACGGGGCCCCTCTCTGGCCTTCTCCCCCTGGGAAAAGACTGAGTTCTCGACGGGCATCCCCTCCCCCTCCGGAACCAAGGGCTCTGGGATGTTGACAGCCCCCGCCACCTCTGAGAAGGGCAGGCCGTGGAAAACCATCTCCTCCCTTCCTTCCCCCTCTGCCTTTCCTAGCTGGGGCCTCTGCACAATGCAGCTGGGCCAGGCCCTGTTGCTAAGGGAACCAGCAGAGGGCCCAGCCCCCTCCCCATAGAAATAACCCCAAGAGAGGAGTGAAGGATTCACTTGCCCTCATCTCCAGGCTTTGGAGGAGGGTAGGTGCCTGGCCAGCAGAGTGGCCACTGCTCACTGGCCCAGAGGAAGCAAGGCCACCAGCCTGATCCCACTTCTCCCTCCGGCCCATCTTCACTCCCCTCTCCTCAACCACAAGCCCCGCCAAAATAGAGACCCCCGGCTTTGCTCCCCTGCTGCAGGAAGGGAGAGCCACCGCCAGACACTGCCTGCCTGGTCCTCCTGTTCTGATCTCACCCGGTGCTTGGAATCAAAGAGGACCTGGCTTCCCTCTCGGGATACGTGATTTTCTTTGGTTGTGACTCATTGTCTGTAAATGTTGCTGGAGATGAATCAGACCCCACCTGCTACCTGCGGCTGAGATGCTGCCAACAGACACAGAAAGGTGTGCCGCAGCCACCACCCGCCTCCTCTCTCCCAGCTCTGAAGGAGCCCACAGCTCCCATGGGATGAGGTCTTCATCGTGGCTTTCAAGGCCTTCCTTAGAGCCTTTGGATCAGGGAAGCCTGCCCTAAACTGCACATTAGTGTCCATGACTCACCTTTGAAAAATTCCCATAACCAGGCCTCACCCGACCCTGCAAATACAGATGCAGTTACTCTGGGCAGGGACTCAGAGCAAGGAGTTTTTTAAGTGCCCCAGGTCCTGGGCTGAGAGCACCTAGTGGCTGTCTCAGATGCTCTAGCTCAGCCGAGATCCAGTGGCTTGTCCAAGTTCACATTGTCGGCTGGAGAGCTGGAGCAACAACACAGGATTCATGCCTTGAGCACAGTGTTCTATCATAGGATTTTCCTACTTAAAAAAGTAATTTGATAAAATTATTTTGGAAATGTATACAATATAGAAAGGTAAAAAGAAGTCCATTAAATCACCCCTAAACCTCAACACCCGGAGGTAAGCACTGTTAACATTGTGGGTTGTGTTTTTATTTATTTTCAAATATTTAATGTGTAAAACAGGTCATACAGAACACACAGCTGTGCGTCCTGCCCAGCCAAACTGACCATGTTTTTAGCAGGCTGTTGGCAAAGAGTGTCAAGAATATCTTAGAGCTGGGCATGGTGGCACGTACCTATAATCCCAGCTATTCAGATGGCCGAGGTGGGAGGATAGCTTGAGCCCAGGAGGTCAAGGCTGCAGTGAACTATAATTGCATCACTGCCCTCCAGCCTGGGCAACAGAGTGAGACCCTGTCTCTAAAATATATACATATATATTTTTTAATTGACATTTTTCAGCCCACTAATTCCATTTCTAAGAATCTATTCTGGCTGGGCACAGTAGCTCACGCCTGTAATCCCAGCACTTTGGGAGGCCGAGGCAAGTGGGTCACCTGAGGTCAGGAGTTCAAGACCAGCCTGGCCAACATGGTGAAACCCTGTCTCTACTAAAAATACAAAAAAATTAGCTGGTCATGGTGGCGGACACCTGTAATCCCAGATACTTGGGAGGCTGAGGCAGGAGAATCACTTGAACCCAGGAGGCAGAGGTTAGAGTAAGCGAAGATCACACCATTGCACTCCAGCCTGGGCAACAAGAGTGAAACTCCATCTCAAAAAACAAAGAATCTGTCTTCCAAGAATGGTCAGATGTAAGCGAAAAATTATTTACAGAGACTTTATTTTATTTTATTTTATTTATTTTCTGAGACAGGGTCTTGCTTTGTCACCCAAGCTAGAGTGCAGTGGTGTGATCATAGCTCACTGGAACCTCGACTTCTTGGGCTCAAGCCATCCTCCCCATTCCTCCCAAAGCACGGGATTACAGGTGTGAGCCACTGTACCCAGCCAGCTTTCATTTTAATGTAATTTATAATAGCCAAAATTGCCAACCTCATAAATGTAAAAAGTTAGAGGAATCGTCTAATAAATTGTAGTTTTGCATGGAATACTTTGAGGTCATTAAAACCACATTTTCAAAAAATGTGTGATGCCTATGATAATTGTCCTCTCCCACTATCCCTCCCTCCATGTTTGCCTCGATGCTCAATGCCTGTAAGCACGTGTTCCAGGAATACCCCTCCTCTGATCCTACTGTAACCCCTTTGAATGCTACGAGGCCAATTGATCTTTCTCTTTCAGATCACTCGTAGCATATATTGTCAGTACCAAGTGTTTTGGACGGTTTTTTCATTTTACTATTATTTACTATATACTACTTCTATTTGCTTCTCTGGCATGTATGTAAGAATGTGTGTGTGAGGCTGGGCACAGTGACTCATGCCTGTAATCCCAGCACTTTGGGAGGCCAAGGCGGGCAGATCATCTGAGGTCAAGAGTTCAAGATCAGCCTGGCCAACATGGCGAAACCTCGTCTCTACTAAAAATACAAAAATTAGCCAGGTGTAGTGGCGTGCGCCTGTAGTCCTAGCTACTCGGGAGGCTAAGGCAGAAGAATCGGTTGAACCAGGGAGGCAGAGGTTGCAGTGAGCTGAAATCTTGCCACTGCACTCCAGCCTGGGCGACAGAGTGAGATTCCGTCTCAAAAAATAAATAAATATATAAATAATGTGTGTGTGCGTACATTTGTGTCCATGTGTGATTGTGTATGTATTTGTAAGAGAGAAAAGGAACTCAGAATTACCAACGGCTCGAGGGCTGGAAGTGTGACTTACACATCTTCATTCTTTGCCAGCTCTTCAGTTTCAGCATATCTTAAACTAAATTCATCTCCCTCAAATCTGTGCCAATGCCACAAAAACCTTTTTTTTCCGTGCGCAAGACTTTCTAAACTGGCTCTTCCTCCTGCATTGCCAGTTCATTCGGTGATATCACCCCTTCTCCTTTGGGCCACCCAGATTTAAATATTTTGGAATTCCTGACCGTGGAATCCTACCATTGTGTTTTTTTTAAGTCTTGTCATGTGTCTTTTTCTGTTCCGTTGCCACCATCGCAGGCAGCAATTTTCCATCACTTCAACTCTGTCTCCGCTGAGCCATCTGCTGGCAGACTCTTGGCCCTTCAGACTATCTCGTGTTCAACCACTTGTTTCAGATATTTTTACCCCATCACTTCTCTGGCTAAAAAGCCACCGATGGCCACTTATAAACGGTCATTATTGAATGAAGTGCTAACTTCTTATCCTGGCACATGGGTCCCTCCTTAATTTGATCCCAACCCATCCATCTTCCTGGTTTTATTTTATTTATTTATTTAGAGATGGGGTCTCGCTATGTCGCCCAGGCTGGCCTCAAACTGCTGGGCTCAAGTGATCCTCCTGCCTCAGCCTCCCAAACTACTGAGATTACAGGCGTGGGCCACCACACCTGGCCCTTCTTCCTATTTTATATCACACCACTTCCTGACTAATATCCCAAGCTCCTGCCACGCTGGTGTAAGCACCAACCCCAGAACACACCCTGTGTCCTTGGGCCTCCTCCGCTTACTACTGACTGGTGAGATCTTGGATAATTTGCTTAACCACTTCCACCTTAACCCCTCATCTATAAAATGGGGATAATGCTAATGACACCTTCTTGAACTCCTGGCCTCAAGCAATCCTCCCATCTAGGCTTCCCAATGTGCTGGGATTACAGGCATGAGCCACCACGCCTGGAAACACCTTCTTTACAGGGATTGTGGTGAAAGCAAAGCAGATGCAAGAATGCAACAACCATCATTTATTTGCTCACAGTTTTGCAACTGGGGCTAAGCAGGCAGGGACTGCTTGGCAGCTGAGGTGGATCAACAGGGCTGGAGGATCTACCTCCATGTGGATCACTCGGAGTTGGTGACTTGGTGCTATTGGCTGGGAGTTCAGCTGGTACCATGGTCCTGGAGCCTCAATTGTACTCCACTTGGACTTTCCAGGTGGCTTAGGGACTTCCCATAGCATGTCAGCTGGGTCTTTCTAAGAGAGGGGAAGCAGAAATTGCCAGGCCTCTTAAGGATTAGACCTAACTGGCAGAGCATAACTTCCATCACATCCTATTTGTCAAAGCCGTCATAGGCCAGCCCAGATCCCAGCGGGTGGAGAGATAGGCTCCACCTCTCCAAAAGGGAGTGGTAGGTGCATGGGAGGAAAGAAAAAATAATGACAGCTATCTTTGAGATAAGTCCCCACCTTAGGGTTTCTGCAGCCTTGTCTAGTAGAAGAGATGCTCAACAGTTTGCATTTACTGAACTCTTAAAGCTTGTTACTTTTGTCCCAAGATTGCTTGGATTGCTGCCACAAATCATGATTTGACTTTTTCCTCTTGCTGTGATTAGTCATGATATTCCAAGTAAATATTAAGCTCTTTGAGGGCAAGACTCTTATCTACAGTAAACAATTTTTATTCCCCCCACAGAGATGTACACATTGTTAACTGTGAATATGCAGCATTTGACTTATTTTCAGCCCTAGCACTTGATTTATTGACAGCCGTAGTACACGGAAGGGAACACAAGAGTTGCTTTTATTGAATTTTTGTTGGGTCAGGAGGCTTTCTGGGCTCTGAGGAAGACTCAGAGAAACGGCTCCTTTGTTCTCCAGCCCTGCCCAGCCCAGAGCCTTCCAGAAGGGAAAACTCAGTGAGGAGGCTGCAGACTGCCGAGGGCGTGTTGAGGAAATTCCATTCAAGACCCTCATTTCCGAAAGTGCTCTGTGATTAGCCCGGCTTTGTGCCAGCCCCAGTCCAGAGGCAGAGAGGCCAGCCCTTAGGTCACCAAAAGCATCAGGAAAATACAAATGCGGGCCCCTTTACAGCCCGGCACAGGAGGTTAAAGGATTTGCTTTGTAGTTTGTTTATCTCACAGACTGAAGCC
Organism: Homo sapiens; assembly: GCF_000001405.40. Lineage (NCBI taxonomy): Eukaryota > Metazoa > Chordata > Mammalia > Primates > Hominidae > Homo > Homo sapiens. The sequence goes on from NC_000018.10 coordinate 58,789,847, forward strand.
AATTATCCCAATTACTAAAAAAATAAAATAAAGTTTACTACAGATTGTATTTTTAAGTTCATTTAATCTCCAAAACAGGCTGCTACACACAGTTTTCCTTTGGTTCCAACAACTCACGCCCAGTCTCTGTGGCAGGGAAGACAGCCCCTAAGGGTCACATGTCCAAGGGCCAGGGGAGGTCAGAGGTCACTTAATGGTTCCCAAATGCGCTAGCAAGTAGTCATAGATTTGAACTTTGCATTGTTGCTGCGGACCCAGGGCCTTCTTGGGAGGGGAGAGCTGGGGGAGCTATCTCTGCAGTTCAAAGGCGGGCGCTGTGGTTTCACTTGGCTTAAGGTTTCAGTCCTTGAATCCTAAACACTATCCCCACTGGCCTCCTGTGCATGGGAGGTGGGGGGTTGGGACTTGGGATGGACATTCTGTGTAACCCCAAACTGCAAGCCCTGCAGCTTCACGGTGGCCTCGGAGCTGGGAGACCCTCAGGATCAGCATCAGAGGCTGAAAATACTGGTGACTATTTTCAGAAGCCCATGAGTATTGATGCAGAATGCAGAAGGCCCAGACCAGCCAAGAGCTCCTCACCTCCAAGCCCAGTCAGGACTCTGGGATTCAGAAATGCACCCCAAGTTCTAGCCTTAACCACCAGCAGAGTGGGTGTTTGCTAGACAGTGTGAGTTGAAAAGGAAGTCAAAGGTCCCAGATGGTATGGTCCCCTCAAATAAGCATCTCCACATATACCTGAAAATCTACCATAAGTATGATGTATATTTATATCTATTGACATGGAAAGATGTGTTAAGATACAGAAAGTGCAAAATGCAAGCCACAGATCTGCCAAGGCGGGCAGATCACCAGAGTTCAGGAGTTCGAGACCAGCCTTGACCAACATGGTGAAACCCCATCTCTACTAAAAATACAAAAATTAACTGGGCATCATGGCATCCACCTGTAATCCCAGCTACTAGAGAGACTGAGGCAGGAGAATTGCTTGAACCCGGGAGGTGGAGGTTGCAGTGAGCCAAAATTTCACCATTGCACTCCAGCCTGGGCAACAAGAAGGAAACTCCATCTCAAAAAAAAAAAAAAAAAAAAGGAAAGAAAAGAAAAGAAAAAGAAAAAAGAAAACACTAGCCTCGGGCTTAGAAAGTTTGCTGAAAATGAAGAATGAAGATTTTCTAGGCACTACTCAGACCTGTTAAATGAGAATCTTGGAGGCTTCGGGAGAGCTGAGGAAGGGTGTTTTTGTTTTGTTTTGTTTTTTTCTTAATTGAGACTGAATCTGGCTGTGACGCCCAGGCTGGAGTGCAATGGCACAATCTCAGCTCACTGCAACCTCCACTTCCCAGATTCAAGCAATTCTTCTGCCTCAGCCTCCCAAGTAGCTGGAATATAAGCACGTGCCACTATGCCCAGCTAATTTTTGTATTTTTAGTAGAGACGGGGTTTCACCATGTTGGCCAGGCTGGTCTTGAACTCCTGACCTCAAATGATCCGCCTGCCTCGGCATCCCAAAGTGCTGAGATTACAGGCGTGAGCCACCACACCTGGCCCAAGGAAGGTATTTTCAACACCCTCTTCAGGCAGTTCTAAAGTAATGCGATCCACCTGTTAGGGACTAAATGTTTGTGCCCCTCCCCCGCAAATTCATAGGTTGAAATCCCTACCCCCAAGGTAATGGTATTAGAAGGTAGAGCCTTTGGGAGGTGATTATGTCATAAGTGGAGCTTTGGGAATGGGATTAGTTCACTTATAAGAGGAACATCCCAGAGAAGTCAGCATCTGCAACCTGGAAGAGAGACCTCACGAGAACCTGATCACGCTGGTACCCTAATCTCAGACTTCCAGCCTCCAGACCTGTGAGAAACAAAATTCTGTTGTTTTATAAGGCATGCCATCTATGGTAATTGCTTATAGCAGCCTGCACCATCTGAGTGGATGTTTGCTTTCTTTAAAGTTTCTTTGACCAGGCGCGGTGGCTCACGCCTGTAATCTCAGCACTCTGGGAGGCCAAGGGTGGTGGTGGATCACTTGAGGTCAGGAGTTCAAGACCAGCCTGGGCAAAATGGTGAAACCCTGTCTCTACTAAAAATACAAAAATTAGGCGGGCGTGGTGGTGCACACCTGTAATCCCAGCTACTCGGGAGGCTGAGGCAGGAGAATCACTTGAACCCAGGAGACAGGTTGCAGTGAACCAAGATTGTGCTGCCACTCTCCAGCCTGGGTGACAGAGCAAAACTCCATCTCAAAAAAAAAATGTGACCACTCAACCCCTCTGTCCCGGCCTTGCTGTCCCTGCTGGTCCTTCCCCCCTCCCTCCTTCTTATATGTGCCCAGGAACCAGAAATAGCCTATCAACCCTGAAGGAGTCTAACAGGCCTTGCCACTTACCACCAGTCCCCAGCAGAGCTTCCCGGAATCATTGTCCTCTCCCTTCCCCTTGTTCGGTTTTCTCTTTCACTTTCCTAGGCTCTTTGGCTAGGACTGGCTGCAGAAGTTGATTTGCATAATTATTTAACCCTGGTAAGAACGAAAGCTGTAAACCAAATTAGGTATGCCAGCAGGTAGCAGGTATAGAAGAAGAATCACGGGGTACATCTGACCCTCGTCCTTGCTTCTCGTGATCCTAGGTAAGTTATTTAACCTCTCTAAGCCTCTGTGTACTCAGCTGTGAAATGGGGATAGTCACACCTGTTCATGGAGTTGTTGTTAAGAAGTTTAAAAATAAAATCAGCTTTGGGAGGCCGAGGCAGGCAGATCACGAGGTCAGGGGTTCAAGACCAGCCTGGCCAACATGGTGAAATCCCATCTCTACTAAAAATACAAAAATTAGCTGGACGTGGTGGCAGGCACCTGTAATCCCAGCTACTCGGGAGGCTGAGCCAGGAGAATTGCTTGAACCCGGGAGGCGGAGGTTGCAGTGAGCCGAGATCGTGCCGCTGCCCTCCAGCCTGGGCAACAGAGCGAGACTCCATCTCAAAAATAAATAAATAAAATAAAATCAGGCTAGGCATGGTGGCTCATGCCTGTAATCCCAGCACTTTGGGAGGCCAAAGCAGGTGAATCACTTGACCAGGAGTTCAAGACCAGCCTGGCCAACATGGTGAAACCCCGTCTCTACTAAAAGTACAAAAAAATTAGCTGGGCGTGGTGGTGCACGCCTGTAATCCCAGCACTCGGGAGGCTGAGGCATGAGAATCGCTTGAACCTGGCAGGCGGAGGTTGCAGTGAGCCGAGATTGTGCCACTGCCCTCCAGCCTGGGCAAAAGAACGAGACTCAATCTCAAAAAATAAATAAAATTAAAAATAAAAATAAAATCCATATCTATGCAAAGCACCTGGTGCCTGCATGGTAGGCACCATGGATCACATGGTTGCTAAAGTAGCTATTACCAACCTGAATCAAATAACTCTTAGAAAAAAAGATCTGAGGCACATTCTCAAACTCCCCCATTAGTAATAATAAACTTTATTAAGTCTTCTCCCCAGATTTTCCAAGTTAGTCCCTCTCAGGTTAAGGCCCAGGAAAGTGACATTTGGCAGCCACTTGAGATAACTGATCACACTTTGAGAAACTCTAGTCTAAGGCTTTGATGAGCAAGACAGAAATAACTGCAGTTACTGAGTTCTCCTGCTTAGTTTATTACTAAGCAGTCAGCCATTTGTATTGCACAACATCACAGTTGGCTAAGGTTTGGTGGATCTAAGCTGGGCCCAGCCAGGCTTGGTTCCAAGCTGGAGTTTGCATCCAGGTGTGTTTCATATGTCCCTCATCCTTCCTGGACTGGCAAGTCCCCAAAGCACGTTCCTCTCATGTCACCATTGCTAACATTCCACCAGCCAAGCAAGTACAAGCCATGTCCAACATCCAAGGAATGACTACTGTAACATACCTCAGAAGCATAAAGAAAAATTGGCCAGGAATGGTGGCTCATGACTAATCCCAACACTTTGGAAGGCCGAGGTGGACGAATCACTTGAGGCCAGGAGTTCGAGACCAGCCTGGCCAACATGGTAAAACCCCGCCTCTACTAAAAATACAAAAATTAGCCAGGCATGGTGGTGTGTGCCTGTAGTCCTAGCTACTCGGGAGGCTGAGGCAGAAGAATTGCTTGAACCCGGAGGCGGAGATTGCAGTGAGCCGGGATCACTGCACTGCACTCCAGCCTGGGCGACAGAGTGAGACTCTGCCTCAAATAAATAAATGCTTGCTTCTGCAAACGAGGAATCAGCACGCTATAGCCTGCAGGCAAATCTGGCCTGCAGCCTGTTTTTGTACTATCCACAAGTTAGGAATGGCTTTTCCATTTTTTACAGCTTGTAAAGAAAAAATGAAAATGCAACAGAGACCATATGTGGCCCACAAAGCCTAAAAGATTTATTACCTGGCACTTTAAGGAAAAAGTTTGTTTATCTCTGCTATTTGCCATCAAAAAGTCAAGGGTTTTTTCTGTCCTTTGCCTTCCTGCACAAATAGAGGTGGGTGGTTTCATATTTTTGTTTGTTTTTAAGTTAAAGGGGATTTAAAGATGTTTCTAAGCATGGAACAGAAGCCAGTGGCGATAAAGGACGGGAGCAGTTGGAAAAACAGAAGAGAGGGATGTTAATTAAAGGAGCATGGTCTTGAAAAGAATGGTTTGAAGAAGCAAGTGGAGGGGAGGAAAAATGTATTTTCCTCTACCATCTTACATTCATGGCAGCAGCCCCTATAACAAAAGAGAAAAGCATACAAATGTATTTAATGTAACTTTACCATGGCATGAAGCCTTCAAAAGAAAACAAAAATCCAGGCCAGGCGCAGTGGCTCACGCCTGTAATCCCAACACTTTGGGTGGCCAAGGTGGGGGGATCATGAGGTCAGGAGTTCGAGACCAGCCTGGCCAACATGGTGAAACCCCATCTCTACTAAAAATACAAAAAGTAGCCGGGTGTGGTGGCACGCGCCTGTAGTCCCAGCTACTCGGGAGGCTGAGGCAGGAGAATCGCTTGAACCCGAGAGGCAGAGGTTGCAGTGAGTCGAGATCGTGCCACTGCACTCCAGCCTGGCAACAGCGAGACTCCGTCTCAAAAAAAAGAAAATGAAAACCCAACGAAACAGTTAAACCTGAGTATTTTAATGCTAGATTTGATGAAGGGTATACTAGTGGAGAAATATGAGGTAGCAAAAAACTGTGATCTAATGGCAATAAACTGGGGGAGGCTTGGCAAGCTTGTTCAGATTCTCTGCCTCCCTGGGTCTTCAGAGATGAAGACGCTCTTGTTCTCTGGGTAGAAGGAGGGTATCTGTTACATGAGGATTTCATGACCTGCTTCAGGGAAAGGTTAGAAAATCCTTCCTAAGTGTTATAACCTGCTTCAGGGAAAAAGCAGAGAAAGTCAGATCTTCCTGCACAAACTCTTTTTTTAAAATTAACTTATTTTTTTTAGAGATAAGGTCTTACTCTGTTGCCCAGGCTGGAGTGCAGTGGCACCATCATGGCTCTCTGCTGTCCCAAGCTCCTGGGCTCAACCCATCCTCCCACTGCAGCTTCCCGGGCAGCTGGAGCTACAGATGCACCACTGTGCCCAGCTAATTTTTAAATTTTTTGTAAAGATGGGCATCTCACTATGTTGCCCAGGCTAGTCTTAAACTCCTGGCCTCAAGCAATTCTCCCACCTTAGCCTCCCAAAGCACAGGGATTACAGGCACACACCACCGCAACCGGCCCACACATTATTTCAGCTTAAAATATTTGAGGGTAGAATGTCCTGAATCCCAACAAAGGGTCACCTCTTTCTCTAAGGCTGGTGGAAATGGCTTAGGATCTCGTCCAATGGAGAAGACGCTGGGATGGGAGGAGTGGGATAAAGGTGCGATGGGCCTGTCAAGAAGAAAAGGAAGGCTGGGCGTGGTGGCTCACGCCTGTAATCCCAGCAGTTAGGGAGGCCAAGGCGGGCAGATCACCTGAGGTCAGGAGTTTGAGACCAGCCTGGACAACATGGTGAAACCCCATCTCTATTAAAAATACAAAATTAGACCAGCCTGCCCAACATCGTGAAACCCCCAACTCTACTAAAAATATAAAACATTAGCCGGGCGTGGTGGCGAGTGCCTGTAATCCTAGCTGCTCGGGAGGCTGAGGCAGAAGAATCACTTGAACCTGGGAGGCAGAGGTTGCAGTGAGCCGAGATCGTGCCATTGCACTCCAGCCTGGGCAACAAAAGCGAAACTCCATCTCAAAAAAAAAAAAAAAAATTAGCTGGGCATAGTGGCATATGACTGTAGTCCCAGCTACTTGGGAGGCTGAGGCAGGAGAGTTGCTTGAACCCAGGAGGCAGAGGTTGCAGTGAGCTGACATCACGCCATTGCACTCCAGCCTGGGCAAGAAGAGCAAAACTGTCTCAAGAAAGAAGAAAAGGAGAGGAGGCCAACAAAGGCAGGCAAAGACAGGACTGTCCATGGGGCAGTGGTACCCACCTACTGGTCAGGAAAACCTGCCAAAGACTTGCAAATGGGCAAGAGAATCCTGGTGACCTTGTGGTAGTAGAGTGCTGGGTGTTTCTAGAGGGCCTTCCAGGAATGATCTGACTCCAGAGGCATGTGTCTTGGGTTGTTTGTGATTGGCTAAGCTATTTAACAATTCTGTAGGGATAAAGTTGTAGAAAACTGACAACATAAATTTTCCTTGTCCATCGGAATGCACAGATTCCTGATCATAGCAATGCAAAAGAATCATGTCTTTACAGAAAAAAAACTCTGTAAATTAAATTCTCATTTGAACCAATTTTAGCAGCTTACTGGTTTCCACATTCACCAATGAATTAAAATCTTTGATACATGTTCATTTTATATTTCCATGAGTCAGGATTTTACTTTCTTGAAAACTAGAATTTAGCATAGGTCTTTTAAAAACAACAATAGGCCAGTTGCAGTGACTCACACCTGTAATCCCAGCACTTTGGGAGGCTGAGGCAGGTGGATCACCTGAGGTCACGAGTTTGAGACCAGCCTGGCCAACATGGTGAAACCCCGTCTCTACTAAAAATACAAAACTTAGCCGGGCGTGGTGGTACGCACCTGTAATCCCAGCTACTCGGGAGGCTGAGGCAGGAGAATTGCTTGAACCTGGGAGGCCAACGTTGCAGTGAGCTGAGATCACACCACTGCACTCCAGCCTGGGCAACAGAGCGAGACTACATCTCAAAATAAAAAATAAAGAGAAAACAGAAAAAAAAAAAAAAAGAAAAAAAGACAATAAACAGTCTTGGAGATTAAAAACAAAACACAAAAGATAAGATGGGGCCAGGTGTGATAGCTCATGCCTGTAATCCCAACACTTTGGGAGGCCGAGGCAGGAAGATCACTTGAGGCCAGGAGTTCAAGAGCAGCCTGAGCAGCATAGTGAGACCCCATCTCGGCTAAAAATTTAAAAATTAGCCAGATGTGGTGGCACGTGCCTATTGTACCAACTACTTAGGAGGCTGAGGCAAGAGGATTGCTTGAGCACAGGAGGTCGAGGCTGCAGTGAGCCCTGATGGTGCCACTGCACTCCAGCCTGGGTAACAGAGTGAGACCCTGTCTCAAAAACAAAAAGGTGGCCGGGCACGGTGGCTCACGCCTGTAATCCCAGCACCTTGGGAGGCCGAGGTGGGCAGGTCACGAGGTCAGGAGATCGAGACCACGGTGAAACCCCGTCTCTACTAAAAATACAAAAAAATTAGCTGGGCGCGGTGGCGGGCTCCTGTAGTCCCAGCTACTCGGGAGGCTGAGGCAGGAGAATGGCGTGAACCCAGGAGGCAGAGCTTGCAGTGAGCCGAGATCGCGCCACTGCACTCCAGCCTGAGCGACAGACCGAGACTCCGTCTCAAAAAAAAAAAAAAAAAAAAAAGTGATTTTTAAGGTTTAATAGGCCGGGCAGCCTCCTTCCACGAGCACTGTGTGTGCCACACATTGCCTAGGAATTAAGAAAACTACAATTTGCACATTGCTTTCTCAGCTGTAGGAGCTGTTTTTCAACCCTGTGAGTTTACAAAACTGATAGTAATGATTCCTGCACAGACATGCAAATGAATTTTGTCCAGTTGAGGTGCAATTGATCCCAACCTGCTACCACCACCACCTCTGAAGCCAGTTTTGCCTCTATTAATAAAGGTACTCACTCAGCGTTCCTAACTGACTATATATTTATGTGTCTTGCTGTTTAGCGTCTCCTTCAAATTGGTTTTTAAAGCTTTACTGGCTCCCCCATTAATTAATGAGTTAAATAAAATCCTTGACACATATCTATTTTATAGCTGTATGAAACTCATTTCATTTTTTAAATGATTTTACAATGTTTTTAAACAAATAATCTGTCAGGATTCTCTCTGAACCTATTCTGGTTCTGGAGGCTGCCTGATTCGCAAATTAAAAAAAAAAAAAATTATCTGTCGGCCGGGCGCAGTGGCTCATGCCTGTAATCCCAGCACTTTGGGAGGCCGAGGTGGGCGGATCATGAGGTCAGGAGTTCGAGACCAGCTTGGCCAACATGGTGAAACCCCGTCTCTACTAAAAATACAAAAATTAGCCGGGCGTAGTGGCGGGCACCTGTAGTCCCAGCTACTCGGGAGGCTGAGGCAGGAGAATCGCTTGAACTCGGGAGGCAGTGGTTGCAGTGAGCCGAGGTTGTGCCACTGCACTCTAGCCTGGGTGACAAAGAGAGACTCTATCTCAAAAAAAAAAAAAAAAATCTGTCAACTACATCTAAGGTATCTCATTAATGAGTCACTACAGCCTCGTGAGGAGATCTCGACTGCCATTGTTATACCCCCATTTTGAGGATGACATAATTGAGGCACCAAGATCTTAAGGTCACATTAGCAGAGAGTGGCAGAGTCAAGGCTGGGACTTGGGAGTTTCTGACTCCAAGTCTCCTGTCCTTTCCACTGTTAAGTTAAAAAAAAAAAAAAAAAACCACCCCAGGGATGTAACTTCTTGGCCTGCCAAAAGTAGACTGCATTGGAAATTAATAAGACTGCAGGTGAGGACCAGTGCCAACAAGAAACTGGTATCTACTTATTTTTTCTTCTCTAATAGGTTCACCAAACCCAAATTCTCAAAACCTGAATGTCTCACAAGTACTTTCCAAAGTCTTTTTTTTTTTTTTTGAGACAGGATCTCACTCTGTCACCCAGCCTGAAGTGCAGTGGCACATCACAGCTCACTGCAGCCTCGACCTCTCAGGCTCAAGCGATCCTCCCACCTCAGCCTCCCTAGTAGCAGGGACTATAGGAGGATGCCACCACTGCCAGCTAATTTTTTTTATTTTTGTAGAGACAAGGTTATGCCATGTTGCCCAGGCTGGTCTCGAACTCCTGGACTCAAGTGATCCCCCTTGCCTCAGCTTCCTAAAGTGCTGGGATTACGGGTGGGAGCCACTGCACCTGGCCTTCAAAGTCTTACTGTTTTGTTTCCACTACAAATAAACCCTCTTCAGACGTATGTTAGCATTTTGGGTGGCTTCACTCAGAAGGACTCTGCATTTTTCTCTGTGTGTTCACTCCTTTTACATGAGAAGCCCAAGATTTAATGGGCACCTTAGGAGGATAAGCCAGACATTGTGCAGGACAAACACTTCACACATCTCATCTACAGGACATAATCTCTACTGCCCATAATCTCTACTGCCCTTCAGTCAGCAAATATTAATTACAGAAGGGTAATAATGTTAGCAACCCAAATATGAAAACGGGCTGGGTGCAGTGGCTCACATCTGTAATCCCAGCACTTTGGGAGGGCAAGGCTGGTGGATCACTTGAGGTCAGGAGCTCGAGACCAGCCTGGCCAACATGGTGAAATACTGTCTCTACTAAAAATACAAAAATTAGCCAGTCATGGTGGTGGGCGCCTGTAGTCCCAGCTACTCAGGAGGCTGAGGCAGGAGAATCGTTTGAGCCTGGGAGGCGGAAGTTTCAGTGACCCAAGATCGCACCACTGCACTCCAGCCTGGACGAAAAAGCAAGACTCCATCTACAAAAAACAAACATGTAAATGAACAAAGCAACAGAGGAGCTCTCCGTCAACTCGCGGGGTTTAACAGAGAGCCTCACAGATGATTGCAGTCCACTAAGCCAACCAAGGGTTGGTGGGAGCATGAGGGATCTCATCATTGAAAAGAATCATTGAAAGCTTAATAGAGCTAGAGTTTATGTTGAGACTTGAAGAATAGGTAGAAATTTGCCTAGTAAATAAGGAGATGTCAGGTCGGGTGTGGTGGCTCATGCCTATAATCCCAGCACTTTGGGAGGCTGAGGCAGGCAGATTACCTGAGGTCAGGTGTTCGAGACCAGCCTAGCCAACATGATGAAACCTCGTCTCTACTAAAAATACAAAAATTAGGCCGGGCATGGTGGCTCATGCCTGTAATCCCAGCACTTTGGGAGGCCGAGGCGGGTGGATCACAAGGTCAGAAGTTCAAGACCAGCCTGGCCAACATGGTGAAACCCTGTCTTTACTAAAAATACAAAAATTAGCTAGGCCTGGTGGCACACACCTATAATCCCAGCTACTGGGGAGGCTGAGGCAGGAGAACTGCTTGAACCAGGACCCGGGAGGTGGAGGTTGCAGTGAGCCGAGATTGCACCACTGCACTCCAGCCTGGGAGACAGAGCGAGACTCCGTCTAAAAAAAAAAAAAAAGCCAGGTGTGGTGGCGCATGCCTGTAATCCCAGCTACTCGGGAGGCTGACGCAGAAGAATCATTTGAACCCAGGAAGCAGAGGTTACAGTGAGCTGAGATCACACCATTGCACTCCAGCCTGGGCAAGAAGAGCAAAACTCAGTCTCAAAAAAATAAAAATAAAAAAAAGAAAGAGGAAGAGAGAGCACAGGGTATTTAGGAGGCAGAAACAGTCCAGAGTGGCTGCAACAATTGATAGGTAGGGGAGATTCTGAATGTGAAACTAGACAGACGTTCAGGAACAGGTCATGGCAGGCCAAGAGGAGGAAGCGTCTCTGCAGACAAACATAAAGTCATGAAGTAAGGCTGAAGCAAGGGCTGAGCATACGTCCTGCACAAAGGGTCACACAGGATACCTGCCAAGGAGGGAAAGGCACCTTCAAGAACACAGTCATACCCTGTAATTGAATCAACACCAGGCCCATCTCAACTTCGCACCCACACCCAAACCCAAGATAGGTTCCACGGTACTCAGGGTAGATATGCAGGTGAATGGAAGCTAAGAAATTGATTTGTACAGTTGTAAACATTTTCTGTCACTGGATTATTTCTTTGTGATCTGAGGTCTCCAATCTTTTTTTTTTTTTTTTTTGAGAGGGAGTCTTGCTCTGTCACCCAGGCTGGAGTGCAGTGGTGTGATCTCGGCTCACTGCAAGCTCCGCCTCCCGGGTTCACGCCATTCTCCTGCCTCAGCCTCCTGAGTAGCTGGGACTACAGGCACCCACCACCACGCCCGGCCAATTTTTTGTATTTTAGTAGAGACGGGGTTTCACCGTGTTAGCCAGGATGGTGAGGTCTCCAATCTTTTGCTATGATATTTTAGGTTGGGAAAGAAGAGGGAACATGTTCTGTGAACCTAAAGGAGAGACATTGTCCTAACAAAGCAAACTGGTAAATGTAGCAACATTAGGCTGGGCAAAGTGGCTCACACCTGTAATCCTAACACTTTAGGAGGCCAAGGCAGGAAGATCGCTTAAAACCAGGAGCTAAAGACCAGCCTGGGCATGTAGCATGACCCTGTCTCTATAATTTTTTTTTTCTTTAATTAACTGGGTGTGGTGGTGCACGCCTGTAGTCCCAGCTACTCGGGAGACTGAGGTAGGATTGTTGCTTGAGCCCGGGAGGGCAAGGCTGCAGTGAGCTGTGATCATACCACTGCACTCCAGCCTGGGTGACAGGAAAAAAAAAAAAAATTAAGGGGAATGGATGTTTTTGCCATCCATTTATCAAGGTCTTTGGGATGCTAATTGGCAGGATGCAGACGGCCCCCTTCTGAGCAGTGTTTCTGGGGACCTCTCAGGCCATAGTTCAGTGAGCAGTGCTTCTTTGCTTCTTTTCCCTCTGCCCATCTGCCATTGCCCAACCTCCCTGCCACCCCTCCCCACCTCTCACCCTTCAGAGAGCGGAAAAGTTGGTAGTTGGAATATTTTCTTCACTGACATCCTCATCTTTTGGGGGTCCTGGGGAAGCATGTGCAGAGATAAAAAGAAGAAATTAATCTGTTCTCAAGAGAGGGTCTGCCTCAGCTGCCTGACAGCTTAATCTCCCCAGGGTTCTTAAACATTCCTTTTATTTTAATGTGCTGGCTTTTTATAAAATACTGTTGAAAAGAAACAGAATTTTGGATAATTGGGCAGTAGCAACATCTTTTAAAGGAAAATGGATACAGTCTATTAATGGTATCTGTAATAAACACCTTAGGGAACAGCTCATTAATTTTTAGCAACAGGAGCCATTTAGTCCTATATCCTCTCCTTAACCAAATTCTCGCTTCTTGATTTTTTTTTCTCCCATTGATTTTGATGTAAAAAGGAAAGGGAGGACTCGCTCCTCTATACGTGCCCATCTCTCTATAGAGCATCTTTGGGGCCCCAGGACCACCTAAATGTTGGGGGTTATGTTATCATTGGAGCCACCAAGCTCATCCCTGATGCCATCCTTATCACCACATCCCATTGCCCCCTGTCTCTTTTTTTTTTTTAAGATGGAGTCTCACTCCGTTGCCCAGGCTGGAGTGCAGTGGTGTGATCTCGGCTCACTGCAACCTCTGCCTCCCGGGTTCAAGCGATTCTCCTGCCTCAGCCTCCCGAGTAGCTGGGATCACGGGCGCCTGCCACCACACCCAGCTAATTTTTGTATTCTTCATACAGGTGGGTTTTCACCATGTTGGCCAGGCTGGTCTCAGACTCCTGACCTCAGATGATCCACCCGCCTTGGCCTCCCAAAGTGCTAGGCGTGAGCCACTGCACCCAGCCGCCCCATGTCTCTTCTCAGAACATCTCTGAAGTGATTTTTCAGTGATTTTCCATGCCCCACTCATCTGAACTTTAATCCTGCATTTCTCTGTGCCAGCCTACATTTGTTGTCCTCACAACATTAAAGGTTCTTGACTGCACCCACTGTGTCTCTATTCCATCCAGCCCAATGTCTGACTCTCAGAAGGTTGTGTTAATTTTCCATTGCGCATGACAAATTATCACTGCGGGGCATGGTGGTGTGCACCTGTAGCCCCAGCTACTCAGGGTCTGAGGCCAGAGGATGCCTTGAGTCCAGGAGTTCTGGGCCTTAGTGCACTATGCCAAGTGTCTGCACTTATCAGGTGTCTGCACTAAGTTTGGCATCAATATGGTGACCTCTCGGAAGTGAGGGACCATTAGGTTGCCTAAGAAGGGGTGAATCAGCCCCGGCCAGAAATGGAGCAGGTCAGAACTCCCATGCTGATCAGTAGTGGGAACGTGCCTGAAAATAGCCACCACACTCCAGCCTGGGTAACATAGTGAGACCCCTTCTCTAAAACAAAATAAACATAACATAGTGAGACCCCTTCTCTAAACTCATAACATAGTGAGACCCCTTCTCTAAAACAAAATAAAAATAAACAAATTACCACAAACACCGAATAGGTGTTGAAACCAGCACCTATTTTAAACTCACAGTTTTGCAGGTCAGAAGTCTGGGCAGGCCCATCTGGGTTCCCTGCTCTGGTATCACAAGGCTAAAACCAAGACGTTGGCTAGGCTGGACTCTAGGGAAGAAGCTGCTTCCAAGTTCATTCAGCTTGTTGGCAAAATTTAGTTCTGTGCAGCTATGAGACTGAGGTCCCTGCTACCTTGTGGGCTGTCAGCCATGGGTCACTCTCATCTCCTAGAAGCTGCTCTTTGGTCCTTACCTGTGACCTCCTCCATCTTCAAGGTGCATCAAATTCTTATGCTTTCAATCTCTCTGACCTCCCTTTTTGCCATCAACTGGATAAAACTCTCTGCTTGTAATGGATTTGTGATTAGATTAGAGCCCCTGGAAAATCCCCCTTTGATTAACTCTGAATCAACTGATTAGTGACCTTAATGACATCTGCAAAACCACATTTTGCCAGGTAATGGAGCCTAATCAGGGTATTCCTAGACCATGGGATGAGAACAGGAAATTTCATGAATGGGGTCACTTTAGGATTTTTCCTACCACAAGTGTCTCGGAATATACGCAAGAGCAAGAATTATTGGGGTAGGATGATCTCCACCCAAGCAATTTCTGTCTACTGTCCTTGCTATGACAAATCCTGACCTGGCCCATGACCGGCTAACAACTGTGTAGACCTAACTGGATGCCATGATCCCAACTGGGTACCTCATGTACACAGTAGAGGGAGCCGAGTGACACCAACACTCACATCTGGTTCCCTCTGGCAAGTCCAAGGGTTATCTAATGCACTAGCCCCTCAGCCACACTCAGAGACTGCTTTCCTAAATTGGGACAGAGATCATTCTTGATCCTTTAGCTTTAAAAGACACCATTTCACATTCCCTAAACTCATCCCCTAGAGCCTAGACTCTAGACTGGTCTAGGGTCCTTTGCTTGAGAGTAAATCTTTTCCATTCACCCCTCAATCCTTGGTTTCTTAGTCTTTTAATTTGTATTTTGTAGCCAGGTGCAGTGGCTCACATCTGTAATCCCAGCACTTTGGGAGGCCGAGGCTGGCAGGATCACCTGAGGTTGGGAGTTCGAGACTATCCTGAACAACATGGAGAAACCCCATCTCTACAAAATATAAAATTAGCTGGGCCTGGTGGTGCACGCCTGTAATCCCAACTACTCAGGAGGCTGAGGCAGGAGAATTGCTTGAACCCGAGAGGTGGAGGTTGCGGTGAGACGAGATCACACCACTGCACTCCAGCCTGGGCAACAACAGCGAAACTCCGACTCAAAAAAAAAAAATTATATTTTGTTTGTTGGACCAGAGATCTCCCTGCTCTTGGATCTGGTGTCCTTACCCATTAGTGCATACCCTCCCCTGTACCCACAGCTTCCTTCCTTCTCTCTGCAGCTCCCAAAAGCCTTTCTTCTTCTCTAACTACAGGTGTGAGAACCTCCACTCCCCACCCCAGATGCCCCTATTTCAGTGTCTTGCCACAGGTCTCTCTTGCTAACTCTGTATGTCAAATGCCTGGCACATGGCAGCCATCAGTTTCTATCCTCAAATTGACTAAATGATTGAATGTATGAATGAATTGGTGAGTTGAGTCATCTATTACTCTATCAGCACCATGGGACTGCCTCTCTGTTTATAGGATCGTTCATTCATGTATCCCTAGGAATACAAAGATAAATGTGAATAGGATAAACATTTTTCCTAGACTGTTGAAGAATTTGTGCTCAGTATAAGATCTGGGGCATTTCATACCTTTGGGTTAAGTTTTCTGAGCCCAAAAATGTCTTTAAAAATCAACTTCTGTGCTTACTTTGGCAGCACATATACCAAAATTGGAACAATATGGAGAAGATTCACATGGCCCCTTTGTAAGGATGACATGCAAATTCATGAAGCATCCCATAGTTTAAAATAGTAAAATAAATCAACTTCTAGAAGCACAAGCTACTGTCAAATTTAATCATTATGACTCCAGGTCTGCCAATCCAAAGAGTGATCGAATTTCTTTCTTTTGTGAAATACAGCATTCTCTTTGTTTTTCACTAAAAGAGACACTTAAATTTGCTTCCCACCAGGTCTGAAGCTGGTGCCTAATGTGGCTGAAAATGTTATTGAGCCCAGTGAGGAAATCCAATGCCCTCGGGCTGCCGGGCTGAATGGCAGCCCTGTTTCCAAGGGCATCCTCCTTTGTCTGCCTGGAGTCTCAAATGACATGTTTGGACACAAAGCCTCTTAGGTAGAAATTACTACATTAGCAGACATTCCTAATTTGCAGCTAGGTTTATTATTTCAAAGTCTTTTATCACGATTAGACTTCAATGAGGTTTTACAGCTGTGCAGCAACCCTCATTTGGAAATATGTTTTATTATGCTGTTTATTAGTTTTTCTCGTTTATCTTTCTTTTTTAAGGTCTCCTCTTTGAAAGACAGCCATCTGCGTTGAAATTTTCCAGGGAGGATTTTACTCTCTTCCCATCAAGGTCATTTTGTAACCTCTCTGAGATACTTATCGTTATGAGTTTAAAACCTTTCTATGTGAAGACAGCAGAGAGGAGATTGCTGACGGGGCCTAGGAAAGTCAGAGTCCTTGTGGAACTGGGGGAAAGAGAGGCCATTTTCCTAACGACTATTATTCTGAGGCTGGAGATTAAGTAGCTCCTTATACAGGCTGCTTTAGGCCAAGGAACTCTGGAGCATAGGAATCATAGGAGAGCAGGTGTGTTTCCCCCACTCACTAACTGCATTGATTATATTTTATAATGATTATGATTGTGGTTATGATTTGTTTTTAAACTGAGTTTCGCTCTTGTTGCCTGGGCTGGAGTGCAATGGCACAGTCTCGGCTCACTGCAACCTCCGCCCCCTGGGTTCAAGCAATTCTCCTGCCTCTGCCTCTTGAGTAGCTGGGATTACAGGCGTGCGCCACCACGCCCAGCTAAACCCCACATAGAGACGGGATTTCTCCATGTTGGTCAGGCTGGTCTCGAACTCCCAACCTCAGGTGTTCCACCCGCCTCGGCCTCCCAAAGTGCTGGGATCACAGGCATACCTGGCCAATTTTATTATTTTCTTTTTTTTCTCTCTCTCTATTTTCTCTTTCTCTCTTTCTCTCTCTCTTTCTTTTTTTTTTTTTTTTTTTTTGACAGAGTCTTGCTTTGTCACCCAGGCTGGAGTGCAGCGGCCCAATCTCAGCTCACTGCAAGCTCTGCCTCCTGGGTTCACGCCATTCTCCTGCCTCAGCCTCCCGAGTAGCTGGGACTACAGGCACCTGCCACCATGCCTGGCTAATTTTTTCGTATTTTTAGTAGAGACGGGGTTTCACCGTGTTAGCCAGGATGGTCTCGATCTCCTGACCTTGTGATCCGCCCACCTCGGCCTCCCAAAATGCTGGGATTACAGGCGTGAGCCACCGCACCCGGCCTCTCTATTTTCTATATTCTTGATGCTCTGGTATCTGGGGGCTCGCTGACTTGGAAGAGACTGCCCTTCCCAGGGTTAGCCAATTTTTAGAGAGAGCAAACTCGTCCCCTGGTAGTGGGCCTTTCGTATGCAAACTAACGGATCCAGATCCCATACTCCAAGCCACCTTCTTTACCTGGCTCTTACACTCCAGGAGGCAAAATTCTTTTGCCCCAATCATCCCACGGCCAGATACTAGATGACTCGAGACACCCTCTAAGCCCCAGAGCCTGCAGAAATTATTCCAACTGGCCAATCCTAAACCTGCCTACTCTGTTGACCCTGCCGTGCCCAACCCCTCCTGTGAAAACCACAGTAAAGTTTCTCACCCTCGCTTTCCCCTGGCCCTTTCTGCCTCCTGACCCACCTGGTGTTACCCGATAGGATCCTGAATGCTGGGCCGAGGCTCCTGTTTCTAAGGAACTCTGAGTATAAAAGCTATCTTTTCAATGGTGGTCACCTCCTGATCTGTTGGCCTCACCATACCTGAATAATAACAAAACCAACATCTTAAAACACAGCTCCAATCTCACACTCCCAGAAAGTGAGAAACAGAAGAGAAACCAAAACCTATGATTACCAGTTCAATCCAGAACACTGAGAGACAGAGGAGGCTCTGACGGAGAAGGGCTGCGACCAACATCTTCTGACTGTGAACACTGTCCAAGTCAGCTTCATCAAGAGCTTGGAAAGTGGACGTTTTGTCAGGCTCATTTTGCCGATGGGCAACTACTGTTATGGGTGGTGAGTCCCTACGGGTCTGTAGCATCCTCACTTCTTGCCTCCTCAGATAAAAGAATTCGACCGAGAGGCATAAGGCAGAGGAGAGACCCAGGCAAGTTTTAGAGCAGGAGAGAAAGTTTATTAAAAAGCTTTAGAGCAGGAACGAAAGGAAGGAAAGTACACTTGGAAGAAAGCCAAGTGGGCAACTTCAGAGATCAAGTGTGCGGTTTGACCTTTTGACTTGGAGTTCTATACATTGGCATACTTCCGGGGTCTTCCATCCCTGCTCCTGTGATTCTTCCCTTGGGTGGGCTGTCCACATGCGCAGTGGCCAGCAAGCGCTTGGGAGGGGAGCATGCGCAGTGTGTTTACTAGAGTTGTACGCATGCTCACTTGAGGCGTTCTTCTCTTAACCAGTGAAATAGTGAAATGTCCCTAGAAGGTCATATACAAGTTAAACTCTGTCATTTTGCTTCTTCTTTTTTTTTTTTTTTTTCTTTTTCTGAGACGGAGTCTCGTTCTGTTGCCCAGGCTGGAGTGCAGTGGCACGATCTCGGCTCACTGCAACCTCCGACTCCCAGGTTCAAGTGATTCACTGCCTCAGCCTCCCAAGTAGCTGGGATTACAGGCACCCGCCACCGCGCCAGGCTAATTTTTGTATTTTTAGTAGAGACAGAATTTCACCATGTTGGCCAGACTGGTCTCAAACTCCTGACCTCAGGCGATCCGCCCACCTCGGCTTCCCAAAGTGCTGGGATTTCAGGGCTGAGTAACCAAGCCCGGCCTACCGTTTTGCTTCTTAATGCGCATGCTCGGGCCCACTCGCCCACCTCCTGAGATCTTATCCGGAAGCTGCTGATCACCAGCTTTAGGTATTTCTGTTTATTGGGAGATTGCCTTTCCCTGGTGCTGGCTGGGACCAATTATTATTTAGAGAGACGGCTAACAACCACCTGCCCATCACCTGATGGTTGCCTGACATTCCTGGTGTGTGGGTGGGTGGGCAGCACTCTCTGCCCTGCTCATGCCTGAGTAGCTACCTACAGTAACACTATGACTTCAGGAAGTTAAATAGTTTGTCCAGGGCCACAAAGCCACACTAGTAGGCACTACAGCCAAGATGAAAACTCAGTGTTATTTAATTGGTACTCAGTGCTAGCCCAACTCCAATCTTTATCTCAACTCCTACCCTCTGCACCTCCTACTTCATATGGGAGCTTCTCCTGGTTTCTATTCCTGAATAGTTTTGCTGTCTGTCAAACGCCTTAAAATGGAAGACATGACTACTTATGGTCTTGCGCCTTCTGCTAATTGTATTTCAGACAATCAGTGGTTTTTCCTGATATCTGATGTCCTGCAGTGTAGACTTCTTTGAGCTACATGCAGCAGGGGAAGAGGAGTCCTGGGCATGACTTATCTGCATAGAGGCAGTTTACAATTGAATCAAGGACACACAATGAACACAACAGAAGCAGGACTAGATAATACAGGGGAGCAGGCCAGGTGCGGTGGCTCATGCCTGTAATCCCAGTACTTTGGGAGGCGGAGGTGGGCAGATCACCTGAAGTCAGGAGTTCAAGACCAGCCTGGCCAACATAGTGAAACCCTGTCTCTACTAAAAATACAAAAAAATTAGCTGGGCGTGTTGGGCACCTGTAATCCCAGCTACTTGGGAGGCTGAGGCAGGAGAATCTCTTGAACCTGGGAGGCAGAGGTTGCAGTGAGCCGAGATTGCGCCATTGCACTCCAGCCTGGGCAACAAGAGCGGGACTCTGTCTCAAAAAAAAAAAGATAATACAGGGGAGCATTTAGTCAGCTGCCAGATTGCGAGGTACAAAATATACAAGTAGAAAGAGTAGAGGAGACCATTGAGGACTTCCTGGACTAGATCAGGACTTTAAAGGATGGAAAACAGTTGGGTAAAGAAAAGATAGAAGGATTGTTTTCGGATGATATGGTGGTTCTTCAAAAATTGAATTACCATACTATATGGTTTGGCTGTGTCCAAAACCATATATTTTCGGTACCTCATGTAAGTGGAATCATACAGTATTTGTCTTTTTGCGACTGGCCGATTTCACTTAGTATAATGTCCTCAAGGTTCATCTATGTTGCAGCATTTGGCAGAATTTTCTTTTTTTCAGGAAGAATAATATCCCATCATATGGAATAGTGTTCCATAATATTCCAAAATATGTACGCCACATTTTGTTGATCTGTTCATCTGTCAGTGGATGCTTGGGTCGCTTCCACCTTTTGGCAATTTTTAATAGTACTGCTATGAACATGCATGTACACGAATCTGTTTGAGTTCCTGCTTTCATTTCTTTTGGATTATATACCTGGAAGTAACATTGCTCGATATATGGTGTATTAGTCCATTCTCATGCTACTAATGAAGACATACCTGAGACTGTGTAATTTATAAAGGAAAGAGGTTTACTTTATTTATTTATTTACTTCTTTTTGAGACAGAGTTTCACTCTGTTGCCCAGGCTAGTATGCAGTGGCCCCATCTCAGCTCACTGCAACCTCCGCCTCCCGGGTTCAAGTGATTCTCCCACCTCAGCCTTTGAGTAGCTAGGATTACAGGCACCCGCCACCACACCCGGCTAATTTTTGTATTTTTAGTAGAGACAGGGTTTCACCATGTTGGCCAGGCTGGTCTCCAACTCCTGACTTCAAGTGATCCACCTGCCTCAGCCTCCCAAAGTGTTGGGATTACAGGCATGAGCCACCACTCCCGGCACTAGGGGCCTGTTGAAGGCCAAAAATAGTTCAAGGCCTGCTCAGAGAAGCAGTTTCCTAATTGCCATGAGGCAAGTACCTCCAGGCAGAGAAAGGATTTTAGAACTGGAATTAAAATCAAATCCTGGCCTGGGGTGGTGGCACTCACCTACAATCCCAGCTCAGGAAGCTGAGGTAGGAGGATCCCTTGAGCCCAGGGGTTTGAGTTCAGCCTGGGCAACATAGTGAGACCTGCATCTCTAGAAACAAATAAAACAGGTGGGGCGTGGTGGCTAGCTCCTGTAATCCCAGCACTTTGGGAGGCCGAGGCAGGTGGATCACTTGAGGTCAGGAGTTTGAGACCAGCCTGGTCAACATGGTGAAATCCCGCCTGTATTTTTTTTAATATAAAAAACATATTCAATTAAAAAAAACAAAAACAAAACAAATCCCAGTGTGATTATTTGGATGTACTGTTTCTTGAGCTAGATTGCTTAATTCTCTTTTTTTTTCTTTTTTTTTGAGACAGTCTCACTCTGTCACCCAGGCTGGCGTGTAATGGCATGATCTCAGCTCACTGCAACCTCCGCCTTCTGGGTTCAAGCGATTCTCCTGCCTCAGCCTCCTGAGTAGCTGGAATTACAGGTGCCTGCCATCATGCCCAACTAATTTTTGTATTTTTAGTAGAGATGGGGTTCCACCAGGTTGGTGAGGCTGGTCTTGAACTCCTGACCTCGTGATCCACCCGCCTCGGCCTCCCAAAGTGCTGGGATTACAGGCGTGAGTCATGGCGCCCGGCACTTAGTTCTGTTTATTATTATTATACCCTTGTCTCAACACCCATTGCTGGGCTCATTAAAACCCACGGGTCATCCTAAGACCACTTTTCAAAATTTCTTGACCAGTTCTTTCTCAAAACCCCCTAGCAAGAAGCTAAAATAGACTTTCTGGTCTTCCCTTGTTTCCTTACCATTCCCTGAAAATCCAGCGACAGAGGCCAGTAGCAAAAATGAGGAAAAGTCAGGATGCAAGCAGAGAACTCATGTGGGATTTTAAATTAATTGAGAGTTATTTATATCAGTTTTTATTCCAGAGATTTCCTGGTGTCTTGTTAGCCGAAGATGATGAGTATGCAGTTTGACAATTTTTTTTTTAATGAGCCTGTTTTTTTTCTTTTTTTCTTTTTTAAAGATAGGAGTCTCATTATGTTGCCCAAGGTGGCTTCGAACTCCTGTGCTCAAAGGATCCTCCTGCCTCATCTTGCTAAGTAGCTGGGAAAATGGGCCTATTTTGAAAACAGTTAATTGTACTAATGAAGCTTGATAACCTTATAATAGATTTTCTTTTGAAGTTCTTCTGCCAAAACATGGTGAAATAATAGGCACATTTCTCTGTTAGTCATATTTATAATCCGGGATTCTTTCTGAGCAAATGTCACTCTCCATTCAGGCTGCTGTGGAATATCATCTATCTTTGCAAATATTTACTTTCACACCTCCCATTTCAAGTGAGTTTTCTAACAATTTAAGCCCTTGTCCACCCTTCTTTGGATGATCCACCACACCTGGCCCCACTGCAGATTTCATAATTTTATTTTATATATTTATATATTTATTTATTTATTTATTTTTGAGACAGAGTCTCGCTCTGTTGCCCAGGCTTGAGTGCAGTGGCGGGGTCTTGGCTCACCGCCAGCTCTGCCTCCCAGGTTCACGGCATTCTCCTGCCTCAGCCTCCCGGGTAGCTGGGACTACAGGCGCCCGCCACCACGCCTGGCTATTTTTTTGTATTTTTAGTAGAGACAGGGTTTCGCCATGTTAGCCAGGATGGTTTCGATCTCCTGACCTCGTGATCCATCCGCCTCGGCCTCCCAAAGTGCTGGGATTACAGGCGTGAGCCACCACGCCCGGCTATTTATTTATTTTTTTTCAGAGACAGTCTCGCTCTGTCGCCTAGGCTGGAGTGCAGTGGTGTGATCTCGGCTCATTGCAACCTCCACCTTCCAGGTTCAAGCAATTCTCCTGCCTCAGCCTCCCGCAAAGCTAGGATTACAGGCGCATGCCACCATGCCTGGCTAATTTTTTTGTTTTGTTTTGTTTTGACACAGAGTCTCGCTCTATCGCCCGGGCTGGAGTGCAGTGGCACGATCTCAGCTCACAGCAACCTCTGCCTTCTGGGCTCAAGGGATTCTCCTACCTCAGCCTCCCAAATAGCTGGGATTACAGGTATGCACCACCATCCCTGGCTAATTTTTCTATTTTTAGTAGAGATGGGATTTCACCACGTTGGCCAGGCTTGTCTTGAACTCCTGTCCTCAGGTGATCCACCCACCTCGGCCTCCCAGAGTTCTGGGATTACAGGTGTGAGCCACTACGCCCGGTCAGCATCAGTATTCTTGCGCTATGGGGCCATCATGAAGTGAAATAAGAATGACTTGAACCCAAGCACTGCAATACAGAGACAGCCGATGTGGTAACTGAGAGGGCTCCGATGTGACTCATGAGTGGGGACATCTATGGCATGGAGATGCTGGACAAAGGGAGGAATCCCACCGCAGGTGCAAGGCTTCATCACACTACTCAGAATGGCAGGTGCAACTTAAAGCTTATGAATTGCTTATTTCTGGAATTTTCCATTTAATATTTTTGGACCTTAGTTAACGGAAGGTAACTGAAACCATGGAAAGTGAAATCATGGTTAAGTGGGGCTATGATAAATTGTGACCACCAAAAACAACAGAATTCATAACTGGCACGATGCAGCTATTTCTCCACTAAGGGCCCTGAGTGTTCTTTGAGTGTAAAATTTGTGTTTCTATTTTGGTGGTTATCTAAAAAAAAGCTAGCATCTGTGTGTTGCAGATCATCTGGCTGATTACCGCACAGCTCGAATTCTGCTTCATGATGCCTGCATTCACATTTTGTCTTGGATTCCAGATGTACTGGCACTACTGAGATGCTGAAAGCTCGGGATCCCCTATAACTGTCTTCTTCATCACCAACCCAAGAGTACAGCTGCAGAATTGCAAAGCCAGTTCTTCAGTGTAACATGCATATTTGATGATCGGTGTCCACCAAATTACAGGCTTTTATCTTTTTAATCTTTGGGAGTGAGAGTAGTTGACTTTTAATTTATGAATTTGTATTAAAAGCAAAAATGTCTGGAGAAAAGCGGTAAACTGGAAATTATGATTGGTGTAATTTACAATAGAAATAGGCAATTTCGAATAAAGAGCAGAAAACCATACCTAATTTATGCATGAGGACAGAATGCATGCTGAAATTAAGACAAGATTGACACTGAAAGACTAGGCAGAAAAAAAAAACAGAACAGAAAAAGAAGAGAAGAGTGGTGGAAATGTCAACAGATTCCTAGTGGAAATATTTGCTCACAGCCATCAAGCTGTACAAGTTTGAAAAAGTAAGATCAACAAAATATATTACAAGGATCTTTCTGAACTGGCTCTCAACCTTTTCTTTTTCCCTCATCCCATTCTATTTATACACATCACAGTCCCAAGAATAACACAAGAAATTCTCCAAGTTTCCAAGAAGGGAAGATGGAGTGGAGGGCGCCCACCCTATCTCCAGTGGACATCCCCTGGGCTACTCCTCTCCTGATGAGAAAATGCTCACTTCAGCCAAGTGCAGAATGGTCCCCTTTGTTTTCGTGGGTATCAGTGGAGAATGAGATCCTTCATGTAAGTAAAATTTCACTGTCACTCATTAGGATGGCTAATATCCAAATAAACAGAACAGAAAATAACAACTGGTGAGGATGTTGGGAAATTGGAATCCTTGTACATTGCTGGTGGGAATGTAAAATGGCGCCATTGTTGTAGAAAACAGTAATGACGTTCCTCAAAAACTTAACCCTAAAATTACCATATGATCTAGCAATTATGCTTCAGAGTATGTTCCCAAAAGAAATGAAAGCAGGCACTGATATGGCATGGCTCTGGGTCCCCACCCAAATCTCACCTTGAATTGTAATCCCCACAAGTCCAGGGAGGGACCTGGTAGGAGGTGATTGGATCATGGAACTGGTTTCCCCCATGTTGCTCTCATGACAGTAAGTTCTCACAAGATTCGATGGTATTATAAGGGGCTTTCCCTTCACTCACACTCTCTCCTGCCGCCTTGTGAAGAAGGTGCCTGCTTCCCCTTTGCCTTCCACTATGACCATAAGTTTCCTGAGGCTTCCCCAGCCATGGGGAACTGCGAGTCAATTAAGCCTCTTTTGTTTATAGATTGCCCAGTCTCAGGTAATATATCAGGCAGTATCTTTATAGCAGTGTGAAAACGGACTAATACAGGGACTCAAACAGATACTTGTACTTCCACATTTCTAACAACTAAACTGTGGAAGCAACTTAAGTGTCCACTGATAGACGAATGGAGAAACACAATGTGGAACATACATACAATGGAATAGAGTTCAGCCTTAAAAGAGAAGGTCATTCTTTTTTTTTCTTTCTTTCTTTTTTTTTTTTTTTTTTTGAGACAGGGTCTCGCTCTGTCATCCAGGCTGGAGTGCAGTGGCGTGATCTCGGCTCACTGCAACCTCTGCCTCCCAGGCTCAAGTGGTCCTCCCACCTCAGCCTCCCGAGTAGCTAGGACTATAGGTGTGCACCACTATGCCTAGCTGATTTTTGTATGTTTTTAGTAGAGACAGGGTTTCACAATGTTGCCCAGGCTAATTTTGAACTCCAGAACTCAAGCACTCTGACCACCTCAGCCTCCTGAAGTGCTGGGATTACAGGCATGAGCCACCGCGACTGGCCTAAATTGTCTAGCTTTTAATCTGCCTCATTGCATCTGACAGCTACAAACTACAACCCTTCCCTGTTCCTGAATTTTCTTCCAAAACACATCTGTAATGCCACTGCCATGCCTGCGAAGCACTGATGACTCTTCATCAGAATAGGCAGAAATTCACCTCCCAATCCGACCCCAATCTACCTCCAATTTACCTCATCTCCTGCACCCCCATCCCTAACCCCATGCATGATAATCATAGTCTTTTTTTTTTTTTTTTGAAACAGAGTTTCGCTCTTGTTGCCCAGGCTGGAGTGCAATGGCGCAATCTCTGCTCACTGCAACCTCTGCCTCCCGGATTCAAAGGATTCTTCTGTCTCAGCCTCCCAAGTAGCTGGGATTACAGGCGCATTCCACCATGCTGGCTATTTTTTTGTGTGTTTTTAGTAGAGACAGGATTTCATCATATTGGTCGGGCTGGTCTCGAACTTCTGACCTTGTGATCGCCTTGGTCTCCCAAAGTACTGGGATTACAGGCGTGAGCCACTGCGCCCAGCCTTTTTTTCATGACTTTAATACTCTAAGGAATGGCACAGCTCCAAATCCTCACAAATATACCTCATTCTTTGTAGTATATGTTTCTCTGCCTTATGAAACTGTACGCTCCTCAAGTCCAAATTAATTCCAACGTCACCTTGATTGGTCCCACACTGACCTCTAGCCTAAATTAATCACTGTCTCCTCAGGAGATTCAGCATATTTGTTTCTACGTTGGATGACCTTTGCATAAGGAACCAACCGGCTGTTTGCTCAGAAGGAGGCTGTGGCAGCATAGGCACTTACACTGTCATATTCAACACACTGAATTCTAGATACCTGCCTGGCTGTCTCTTCTGCTGCAGGATCAAGTCTTATTTAGTTTTCTGTCCCAGTGTCTAACACAGTGCCTTGAATGGGGAGACACTCAGCCATCATTTACTAAATTGAAATGAATTGTGAGAATGCATTGCAGATGCACCTGAATTGGGAGTTACCAAAAAGAGAGAAAAGAGGAAATTGTACTGGAGTCAAAGATAAATTTAATCTAATTCATATTTATGATCACAGAGATCATGTCAGCATATGAAACTCTAGTGCATGAATTAGGGCAGCAGACCCCAACCTTTCTGGGACCAGGGACCGGTTTCATGGTTTCATGGAAGACAATTTTTCCACGGACCAGGGGTGGGGAAGATGAAACTGTTCCACCTCACATGATCAGGCATTAGATTCCCATACAGAGCACGCAACCTAGATCCCTCACATGCGCAGTTCACGATAGGATTCCTGCTCCTATGAGAATCTAATGCTGCCGCTGATCTGACAGGAGGCGGAGCTCAGGCAATAATGGCTCACCAGCCGCTCACCTCCTGCTGTGCTGCCGGTTCCTAACAGGCCACAGACCGGTACCTTCACAGAAGAAACAACCTGGGCCCCTTGCCTATTGTTAGTGTGTCCCTTCCCACAGTCACACCCTCTTGTACCTGTCCCTGGGAGGAAAACACAAGGTATCAGTAAGTTTGAAATTCCCCGGCCGGGCGCGGTGGCTCACGCCTGTAATCCCAGCACTTTGGGAGGCCGAGGCGGGCGGATCACGAGGCAAGGAGATCGAGACCATCTTGGCTAACATGGTGAAACCTCGTCTCCACTAAAAATACAAAAAATTCTCGGGCGTGGTGGCGGGCGCCTGTAGTCCCAGCTACTCCGGAGCCTGAGGCAGGAGAATGGCGTGAGCCCGGGAGGCGGAGCTTGCAGTGAGCAGAGACTCCGTCTCAAAAAAAAAACAAAAAACAAAAAGAAATTTCCCATCCATGAGTTTTTCACTTTTTCATCTTCTTGGTGCAGGGAATTCCAAGTATTTAAGAAAGCAAAATGAGGCCAGGTGCAGTGGCTCACGCCTGGAATCAATCCCAGCATGTTGGGAGGCCGAGGCTGTTGTATCACTTGAGGCCAGGAGTTCAAGATCAGCCTGGCCAAAATGGCGAAACCCTGTCTCTAATAAAAAATACAAAAATTAGCTGGGCATGGTGGTACGTGCCTGTAGTCCCAGCTACTGAGGAAGCTGAGGCAGGAGAATGGCTTAAACCCAGGAGACGGAGGCTGCAGTAAGCCTAGATGGTGCCACTGCACTCCCGCCTGGCGACAGAGCGAGACCGTCTCAACACAAAACAACACACAAAAAATTCTGTACACATCTCTTTTGTATTGCATGCATACGGATGGATGGATGGATGGACGCACAAGTATTTTACTTTGAATAAAAAGAAGTATTACCTTTCTTGCTGAGCACGGTGGCTCACACCTGTAATCCCAGCACTTTGGAAGGCCGAGGTGGGCAGATCAGAAGGTCAGGAGTTTGAGACCAGCCTGGCCAATATGGTGAAAGCCCATCTCTACTAAAAATACAAAAATTAGCTGGGTGTGGTGGCGGGCGCCTGTAGTCCCAGCTACTCGGGAGTCTGTGGCAGAATTGCTTGAACCCGGGAGGCGGAAGTTGTAGTGAGCAGAGATCATGCCACTGCACTCCAGCCTGGGCAACAGAGCGAGACTCTGTCTCAACCAAAAAAAAAAAAAAAAAAAAGAAGTATTGCCTTTCTTACATCTCCCACAGTCCAGAATGATGTAGCTCCATTTCTAGGCTAAACAGAAAGATGGATCTTCCTGAAAACATGATTTAAACATAATTTCTTTTTAGGGCTGAGCATGGTGGCTCACACCTGTAATGTCAGCATTCTGGCAGGCAGACCAGCCTGGGCAACAAAGCAAGACCCCTTCTCTACAAAGTAAATACATAAATAAATTAGCTGAGCATGGTGGTACACACCTGTAGTTCCAGCTACTCCAGAGGCTAAGGTGGGAGGATCGCTTGAGTCCTGGAGTTTGACACTGCAGTGAACTATGATCACACCACTGCACTCCAGCCTGACAGCTTGGCTCCTCCCTAGTGATTTCTAATGTGCATCCAAAGTCAAGAACCACTGCATATAAACAGTTCTGCAGCTTGTATTTTTGTTTTGTTTTTGTTTTTTTAACAATATGTCTTATAGATCCTTGCATAGGAATACGTAAGAGTGCTCTCTTTTTAATAGCTGCATAGTATTCCACCAGGTGATAGAGTATGAAGGCATTTATGGACATCAGATAGTTCTCTTCTTTTTCTGAGATGAAGTCTCACTCTGTTGCCCAAGCTGGAGTGCAGTGGCACAATCTCGGCTCACTGGAACCCCCACCTCCCAAGTTCAAGCAATTCTCCTGCCTCAGCCTCCCGAGTAGCTGGGACTACAGGCACGCACCACCATGCCTGGCTAATTTTTTTTTTTTTTTTAGTAGAGACGGGGTTTCACTATGTTGGCCAGGCTGATCTTGAACTCCTGACCTCGTGATCTGCCTGCCTC
This sequence comes from Homo sapiens, assembly GCF_000001405.40. Classification (NCBI taxonomy): domain Eukaryota; kingdom Metazoa; phylum Chordata; class Mammalia; order Primates; family Hominidae; genus Homo; species Homo sapiens. The sequence continues at coordinate 58,818,566 of NC_000018.10, forward strand.
GGCCTCCCAAAGTTCTGGGATTACAGGCGTGAGCCACCACACCTGGCCTGATAGTTTCCAATATTTTGCTCTCACAAGAAATGCTGAAACAAATCACCTTTTATATCTATTGTTTTGCACATATGTATATACAGCTGTTGGATAAAGTCCTACAAATACCATTGCTGAGTGAAATAATAAGATCACTTGTAATTTTGCTAAATATTTGTAAGTTCGCTATTTAGTTAACTACTTGTAATTTTGCTAAATCTTCCATGATAAACATTTGATAGACATTATTAAATTGTCCTATGAGGTTTAATTTTTTTTCACAACAAATCAGATATGAACAATCAGAGTTTGCAAGTCCTGATTACACAGAGACATTAATCATGGATCATGCAAACTCCAATTATCCTGTTCTATCTGCCCTCCAAAACGAGGAACAGGTAAGGATTATCCCACCTGATGATAGGATTACATTATTAATCCAGGTTTATAAAAAGTTTTCAGAGTGACAAAGTGTGATTTTATTTTAGAGACACATATGCGAGAATATGATTACTGTGTTTGGTTTAAATTTCAAAAAGTGACAAGAGATTGTAGAAGTGGATCATTTGTCATTGTTAGGGTTACAGTGTCTTTCCTGATAGGGCTGGTTGGCGGCTCAGTTTCTTGTTCTTTCTTGTCATTAAAGAGTTTTGTTCTCAGAAAGGAAATAATCTGTGCTCTTTGATGTGGTTCAGAAAAAAGAGACCAACACCACATTTTAAAACTCTTTGTGGCAGATCGTCCACGAGCAGCTCTTTAAGAGAAGCAGCTCACAGAGCTCTGGCTCAAACAAGAGAAGTTTTTAGAGAACATAGAGAATGTCTGACTCTGGAAGAATTTCCTCAAGAAAACACAAAAGCAAAGAATGGAAAATGCAAACACAATTATTCTTCCTCTGATGGGAATAACTTTCCAGCTCAAATGAATATTTATTTGTTTGTGTGTGTGTGTGTGAGACAGGGTCTCGCTCTGTCACCCAGGCTGGAGACCAGTGGCACGATCTCGGCTCATTGCAAACTCCACCTCCCGGGTTCAAGCAATTCTGCCACAGCCTCCCGAGTAGCTGGGACTACAGGCACCCGCCACCATGCCCAGCTAATTTTTGTATTTTTAGTATAGACAGAGTTTCACCGTGTTGGCCAGGCTGGTCTCAAACTCCTGGCCTCAAGTCACGTGCTTGCCTTGGCCTCCCTAAGTGCTGGGATTACAAGCATGAGCCATCTCCCCCGGCCTCAAGTGAATCTTAACTTTGAGGCTATGCCAGAAGCTGAAGACAGTAAATCAAGCACTAAATTAGAAACACACTCTTCAGATGGGCACAGTTGCTCATGCCTGTAATCCTAATGCTTTGGGAGGCCAAGGCTGGAGGATCGCTTGAGCCCAGGAGTTCAAGACCAGCCTGGGTGACATAGAGTGTAGAGACCCCATCTCTACAAAATAAATAAATAAATAAAAAGTAAAAAAAAAAAAATCAGCTGGATGTGGTGGTTCACTCCTGTAGTCTCAACTACTTGGGAGGATTGCTTGAGCCCAGAAGTTTGAGTCTGCAGTGAGTTATGATCGCACCACAGCACTCCAGCCTGGGTGACAGAGCCAGACCTTGTCTCTGAAAAAATATATAAATAAAATAAAAAGAAACATGCTCTTGCACAAAAAAGTATTTTGCTTTAGGAGCAAAAATAGACACCTTTTGGACATTTCCACATTTTTATACGATTGAGGATTCCACTCTATAACATGTCTCTCTTCTCCTTCCTTCTTGAATTCTCCTTTCTCCTTCTCCTCTGAGAGAGAGACAACAGACAGACGCAAAGACAGATACATGGAGATACAGAGGGAAACAGAACAGATCTTCTGGCATGACATGTTTTTAAAATAGCTGTCAGGATGTGCTGAGAGAAATGGACCATCATAAAATAGATCATTTTTATGTCAAATGAGTGTTACCATATGTTTATGTTTCTTTTCTTTTCTTTTCTTTTCTTTTTTTGAGGCAGAGTTTCACTCTTTCACCCAGGCTAGAATGAACTGGCATGATCTCGGCTCAGTGCAACTTCTGCTACCTGGGTTCAAGCGGGTAGCAGAGGTTGCCTCCTGAGTAGACTCAGCCTCAGCCTCAGCCTCCCAAGTATCTGGGACTACAGGCATGTGCCACCATGCCTGACAAATTTTGGTATTTTTAGTAGAGCTGGGGTTTCGCCATGTTGGCCAGGCTGGTCTCGACCTCCTGACCTCAGGTGATCCACCTGCCTCGGCCTCCCAAAGTGCTAGGATTACAGGCATGAGACACCATGCCTGGCCAGATATTCATATATATATACACACATATATATATATACACACACACACATATATATGCACATATATATACACACACACATATATATACATATATATATATACACATACACATCTCTCTCTCTCTCTATATATATATATTTTTTTTTTTTTTGAGATGAAGTTTTGCTCTGTCACCCAGGCTAGAGTGCAGTGGTGTGATCTTGGCTCACTGCAACCTCCACCTCCCGGGTTCAAGCAATTCTCCTGCCTCAGCCTGCCGAGTAGCTAGAATTACAGACGCGTGCCACCCTACCAAGCTAATTTTTGTATTTTTAGTAGAGGCGGTGTTTCACCATGTTGGCCAGCCTGGTCTTGAACTCCTGACATCAAGTGATCCACCTGCCTCGGCCTCCCAAAGTGTTCGGATTACAGGCGTGAGCCACCGTGCCCGGCCTCCTATATTTCTTGAAGAAATTCGAGCATCAGCTTTTGAATTGTATCAGTTGAAGTTCTGTGATAGAAAGCAATAGAAATTGACTCATGAATGTAAGCCAAAAAAGGTTGTTTCAATGACACTGAGAAGCTCACAAAATTAAAAGCAGGAACCAGGACAGGTCTGAGAATCACAGTGGCAGAGGCCTGTAAGAAACTTCTGTTGGGGATCTTGCTATCCAATGATTTATTCAAATTCCCAGGAAAAGTAATCTGATTGCATTAGCTTCACCACGTGCCTACCTCTTGTGATCAGGGGCTGAGTCTGACACTGGCAAGGGGAGAGGGAAGTTGAGAAATATCATGGCCATACTGCAAATGCTGCCCCCCAAATCACTCAGTAATTTTTAACCATGCATATTGGATCTGGGTAAATAAAAGTGCTATATTGAGATGCTAATCACAGCTATATAACTTTGCTCTTCATGAAAATGGGTAGAGGCTGGGTGCAATAGTTCATGCCTGTAATCCCAGCTCTTTGGGAGGCCAAGGTGGGGGGATCGCATGAGGCCAGGAGTTCAAAACCAACCTGGCCAACCTGGCGAAAGCCCGTCTCTAATAAGAATACAAAAAATTAGCCAGGCCTGGTTGCACACGCCTATAATCCCAGCTACTAGAGAGGCTGACTCACGAGAATCACTTGAACCCAGGAGGCAGAGGTTGCAGTGAGCCAAGATCGTGCCTCTGCACTCCAGCCTGGATGATGGATTGAGACTCTCTCTCAATAAAAGAAAATGGGCCTGGCGCGGTGGCTCATGCCTGTAATCCCTACACTTTGGGAGGCTGAAGTGAGTGGATCACGAGATCAGGAAATCGAGACCATCCTGGGTAACATGGTGAAACCCTGTCTCTACTAAAAATACAAAAAATTTGGCCGGGCATGGTAGCACGTGCCTGTAATTCCAGCTACTCGGGAGGCTGAGGCAAGAGAATTGCTTGAACCTGGGAGGCAGGGGTTGCAGTGAGCCAAGATTGTGCTACTACACTCCAGCCTGGGCGACAGAGCAAGACTTTATCTCAAAAAATAAAAAGAAAAAGAAAATGGGTAGAAATCTTGATTAGGATTAGACCTGGACAAAGATATTTCCAAAAGTCCCTTGTGAAACTGAAAAGTAATGAACATGTTTCAGTCTTCAGACAGCGTCTATCATTTTTTTTAAGTGTTTAAAAAGTAATGTGCCAATCTTTGTACTCCTATGTTCATAGTAGTACTACTCACAATAGCCAAAGGATAGAAGCAACTCAAGCGCCCCTTGTTTCTTCCATTCATGAATGAATAAACAAAATGTAGTGCGTACATACAATGGAACATTCAGCCTTAAAAAGGAAGGAAATTCCGACACATGCTCCAACATTGATGAACCTGGAAGACACGATGCTAAGTGAAATAAGCCAGACACAGAAAGGCAAAGAGTACACGATTCCACTTGTATGCGGTATCTATGACAAAATAGTCAAATTCATAGAATCAAAGAGTGGAATGGTGGTTGCCAGGGACTTGAGTAGGAGGCAGGGGGGAATTATTGTTTGATGGGTACAGAGTTTCATTTCAGTTGTTGTTGTTCTTTTGTTTTTTTGGGTTTTTTTTGGAGACAGAGTCTTGCTCTGTTGTCCAGGCTGGAGTTCAGTAGCGAGATCTCGGCTCACTGAACTCCGCCTCCCAGGTTCAAGCGATTATTTTTGCCTCAGCCTCCAGAGTAGCTGGGATGACAAGCGTGCGCCACCACACCCAGCTAATTCTTGCACTTTTAGTAGAGACGGGAGTTTCGCCATGTTGGCCAGGCTGGTCAAACTTCTGACCTCAGGTGATCTGCGCACCTCGGCCTCTCAAAGTGCTGGGATTATAGGCGTGAGCCACCGGGCCTGGCCGCATTTTTTTTTTTAAGGCTGTGGGCAATAGTAGAGATGCCTGCAGCACAACTAAGGAGGGTGAAAAAGGAGGTGGGAGGACTATTGTCAGACAGCCTTCCTATACCACAGATTTCTGCAATGGATTAGTTTGGCTGATTCCAAGTATCATAGTTGGTCATTCTTTAATTTATAGAATAAAAAAATCCATGAGTTCTAAAGGAACATTTCAAAGCCAGGAAAAGACTTTTTAAAATGTATGTTACAAGTCTAGCTGGTAATCCGAAGCCCTCCTGCATTGACACGGGCTTTCCTCTCTGAGTTGCTCTGCAGAGCCCAGGAAAATAATAAAACCTTTATGACCAAGAGTACTATTTCATTTCCTTTCTAAACGAAACCCATGAAAGGCCACCCATGCTGGCTGGTGTGGATGCAAGCGAAACTTAACTGTAAATTGAAGCAACTATATTTCTTCTGCCTCTATGTTGAAAAAACAAACAAAAAAAGAATAAAACAAAAATGATATAATTTAAATATACAGCAACTGCTGGTTTTCATCTTAATAATTTACAGTTGATGAAGCTGGGAGGTTATCTGTTGGTTTTTCATGTGGTTAGTTTCAAAATATGACTTATCCTCTCCAGGCCATGGCTTTCTGGCTTGTTCAATTTACTTCCCCCAGTTCTTTGGCCCCTCTTCTGCACAAATGCCCTCCCAGCCCTCAAAGGCCCTCCCCGCTTCTGAAACTATCTCCCACAACCATCAAGATTCTTTCTAGGCTGGGCGCAGTGGCTCACACCTGTATTCCCAGCACTGTGGGAGGCCGAGGTGGGTGGATCACCTGAGGTCGGGAGTTCAAGACCAGCCTGACCCACATGGAGAAACCCCATCTCTACTAAAAATACAAAATTAGCCGGGCTTGGTGGCGCATGCCTATAATCCCAGCTACTTGGGAAGGCTAAGGCAGGAGAATCGCTTGAACCTGGGAGGTGGAGGTTGCAGTGAGCCGAGATCGCGCCATTGCACTCCAGCCTGGACAACAAGAGCAAAACTCCGTCTCAAAAAAAAAAAAAAAAAAAAAGATTCTTTCTAGAAAGACTTCTATAGAAAATTTTTTCTAGGCTGGGCACAGTGGCTCATGCCTGTAATCCCAGCACTTTAGGAGGCCAAGGTGGGCAGATCACTTGAGCCCAGGAGTTTGAAACCAGCCTGGGCAACATGGCAAAACCCTGTCTCTTCAAAAAATCCAAAAATATTAGCCAGGCATGGTGGTGCTCACCTATGGTCCTAGCTTCTTGGGAGGCTGAGGCAGGAGTATTACCTGAGCCCAGGAGGTCGAGGCTGCAGTGACCTCCGGTGATTGCACCACTGCACTCCAGCCTGGGTGACAGAGTGAGATCCTGTCTCAAAACAAAAACAAAAACAGAAAAAAAACACACACGAAAATCTTTTCTGGAAAGTCTTCTTGGACCTCTTCAGATCTCTTCCTCCAGTGAATTCTGTGACACTAATTACTTTTTTCCCCCCATGATACATAGGGCTTTGGGCTATGAAAGTATAATTTTCAAAAAGATAAAAGCCTGACTCTCATACAAATGTAGAATGAACACATGTCAATTATGTATGTAACTAATTCACAAGGGTGCCAGGAGGATGTAAAACTAGTTCAAAGGAGAATTCAAAGAACAGAGGTCTATGTAGTCAGACAGGAAAGGCAGCCAAAAATAAGCTTTTTTTTTTTTTTTTGAGACAGAGTCTCGCTCTGTCATCCAGAATGGAATGCAGTGGCACAATCTCGGCTCACTGCAACCTCCACCTCCTGGGTTCAAGTGATTCTCCTGCCTCAGCCTCCTGAGTAGCTGGGACTACAGGTGTGTGCCCCCACACCCAGCTAATTTTTGTATTTTTAGTAGAGACGGGGTTTCACCATATTGTCCAGGCTGGTCTCGAACTCCTGGGCTCAGGTGATTCGCCTGCCTCAGCCTCTCAAAGTGCTGGGATTACAGGCATAAGCCACCACGCCCAGCCAAGAATAAATTTTCTAAATCACAGGCAAAATTGGTTAATGTCCTAACGGGCAATAGAACGGTAACCTTCCGAGTTATCTCGGATACTCTTGGAAATCTACTAGTTAACATGTAACTTGAGAGAATCTGAGCCTTCGTCATTAGTAAATAGCAAGAAGACAAAAGTGTATCTCCCAGTATTAAATAATCCTTGGGTGGGCTCTGGGCTAGATATGCTCCAGTATGATATTGAAATCTCCCAGTATTAAATAATCCTTGGGCGGGCTCTGGGCTAGCTATGCTCTGGCATGATATTGAAAGATATGCAGGAGTCCTTTCAGCTTATATCCAAGTTTTTGGCTAATTTGCCTTCACTGGGTCAACCACCCCATTTCATAAGAGGAAATACAAGTCTGGAGAGATTAGTTTACTTGTCTGAAATCACACAATTGGTAGGAGCTGAGCTAGAACATGAAACTAAGTCGGTGTGGCTATAGATTATACATCTCCAAATGCATACTAAAGGGTTAGAGATCCGCAGCCAGTGGAGTTAGCAGAGAACACGTCTCACTTGTGTGTGCACGTGGGAATCCAGGGGATATGGAATTTTTTTTAACCAGGGGATAAAAAACTGTTTTTTTGAGACAAGGTCTTGCTCTGTCACCCAGGCTGGAGTACAGTGGTGTAATCACGGCTTGCTGCAGCCTAGACTTCTGCGGCTCAAGCAATCCTCCCACCTCAGCCTCCTGAGTAGCTGGTACTACAGGCATGCACCACCATGCCCAGCTAATTTTTTTACTTCTTGTGGAGATGGGGTCTCAGTATGTTGCCCACGCTGGTCCCAAACTCTTGGGCTCCAGCCATCTTCCCGCCTCAGCCTCCAAAAAGCTGGGATTACAGGTGTGAGCCACCACGCCTGACCAACAAATGCTTATTGATTGTCGTGAAAGTCCAGTGGCCTAGCTAGACTACCTTTCAATACCACTGGTGAGAAACAACAGCTTAGTAGTATATAACTAGCTGATCTTAGGTGCCATTTAGCGAAAGAGTTAAATGACTGTATGTTTTATTTTATTGGCTAGATTGTAATTTTGAGGCCAGGTGTTTGAGACCAGGTGTTTGAGACCAGGTATTTGGAATTCACACTTACCCAGTAAGTATTTGTTGAGTACTATCTGTGGCAGATTACCTTGCCTCTATTTTTTTTTTTTTTTTTTTTTTGAGACGAAGTTTTGCTCTTCTTACCCAGGCTGGAGTGCAATGGCACAATCTCGGCTCACTGCAACCTCTGCCTCCTGGGTTCAAGCGATTCTCCTGCCTCAGCCTCCCAAGTAGCTGGGATTACAGGCATGCACCGCCACGCCTGGCTAATTTTGTAGTTTTAGTAGAGATGGGATTTCCCCATGTTGGTCAGGCTGGTCTCGAACTCCCAACCTCAGGTGATCTGCCCGCCTTGGCCTCCCAAAGTGCTGGAATGATTACAAGTGTGAGCCACCTCACCCAGCAGATTACATTTTTTAAAGGTAGCCACACCTACATATTTATCCCACCTCACATGCCCTTCCTACACCCTTTCCAGGGAAAGGAAACCCAGGTTCCCCCACTGCTTGTATCTGAGCAATGACTGCTCTAAGGGAACACAGCAGAAGTGATGCAGTGATGCTCCCTGGTTTCTGAGGCTAGGTAGTAACCATGAGGGAGGAAAATAGGGTTTAGACAAAGGGAATCTAAAGCAGATTCACACTGGCTTCCTAGAACTAAATCAAAAGGAAAACCCCAACTTTCCACACCTAAGCAATGAAAGGACAGGAGGCTACTCCCTTTGCAAACCCTGCCCCCTTTTTTCTGTGTGACAGATGGAAAATCAAAAGTACCTCTGATTGGTTGCTTTCTGCAACCAATCAGACTGACTGTGGGCCACTACTTCATTTACATAGGGTGTAACCAAGTGTGTGCGGAATAATCCGTGAGTTCTTGGTCTTGCTGACTTCAAGAATGAAGCCGTGGACCCTCGCGGTGAGTGTACAGTTCTTAAAGATGGTGTGTCCGGAGTTTGTTCCTTCAGATGTTCAGATGTGTCCAGAGTTTCCTCCTTCTGGTGGGTTCGTGGTCTCACTGACTTCAGGAATGAAGCTGCAAACCTTCACAGTGGGCCTTACAGCTCTTAAAAGCAGTACATCTGGAGTTGTTCATTCCTTCCAGTGGGTGGTCTTGCTGGCTTCAGGAGTGAAGCTGCAGACCTTCACAGTGTTACAGTTCACAAAGGCAGCAAGGACTCAAAGAGTGAGCAGCGGCAAGATTTATCACAAAGAGCAAAAGAACAAAACTCACACACTGCAGAAGCGGACCCAAGCCAGTTGCCACCGCTGGTTCCGGCAGCTTGCTTTTATTCCCTCATCTGGCCCCACCCACATACTGCTGATTGGTCCACTTTACAGAGAGCTGATTGGTCCATTTTACAGAGAGCTGATTGGCCTGTTTTGACGGGGTGCTGATTGGTGCATTTACAATCCCTAAGCTAGACACAGAGTGCTGATTGGTGTATTTAAAATCCTCTAGCTAGACAAAAAAGTTTTGCAAGTCCCCACTAGATTAGCTAGACACAGAGCACTGCCCCCCGGAAGGCAGGTGAGGCCCTTGGAGAATTCCAGCGCGGTGTGGTAGGGCCGGCAGTGCTGAGGGACCCGGCGCACCCTCTGCAGCTGCTGGCCCTGGTGCTAAGCCCCTCACTGCCTGAGGCCGGCAGGGCCGGCTTGCAGGGCCCGCGGAACCCACGCCCACCCGGAACTCATGCTGGCCCGCGAGCGCCACGCGCAGGCCCGGTTCCCGCCTGTGCTTCTACTTCCCACACCTCCCCTCAAGCAGAGGGAGCCGGCTCCGGCCTCAGCCAGGCCAGAGAGGGGTTCCCACAGTGCAGTGTCGGGCTGAAGGGCTCCTAGAGCATGGCCAGAGCGGATGCTGAGGCCGAGGAGGCGCCGAGAACAAGCAAGGCTGCTGGCACGTTGTCACCTTTCACAAGGAACCAATGGGAAACCTTTAGAGGGTATTTAAACCCCAGAAAATTCTGTAAAGGGGCTCCTGAGCCCCTATGCTGAGCCGGTTCCCACCTTGTGGAGTGTACTTTTGTTTTCAGTTCCTTTTGTTGCTTCATTCTCTCCTTGCTTTGTTTTTGCGTTTTGTCCAATTCTCTGTTCAAAACGCCAAGAACCTGGACATCCTCCACCAGTAACCAAACGGTTATAGTATCACCTGGTTCTCTATCTTTTCCTCTGTCCGGATGCTTGCCCTTTGAACCTAACCACCACATTGTGAGAAAGCCCACTTGGAGAGACTCTGTGTGGATGTTCTGACCAACGTCCTTGGGCCACCAGCCAGCAGCTCCATGTGATGAACCCCAGACATGGGAGTGAACAGGGCTTCAGATGATTTCAGCCCACACTCTTCAAGTCTTCCCACGGAGGCCCAGACATCGTGGAGCAGAGGTCAGTTACCCCTGCTGTACCCTCTCTGAATTCCTAACCCACAGAAACTAAGAGAGATAATAAATGACTTTTGTTTTGTTTTAAGCTACAATGTTTTGGAGTCACTTCTTCCGCAGCAATAGGTAATTAATACACCAGCTATGTTCTTGGCAGGTTGGCATTGCTGGTTTAACTTTTCATCCGCAGTTCAAATGTAAGCGTCACGAGGTTTTTTAATTCCAGCTTCGCCAAGCCATGAATTTGACCCTTGCCAGGAGCAGGGGCTCACATCTGTAATCCCAGCACTTTGGCAGGCTGAGGCGTGAGGATAGCTTGAGCTCAGAAGTTCAAGACCAGCCTGGGCAACATAGCAAGGCCCCTACCTACAAAAAAAAAAAAAATTAGCCTGGCCTGGTGGCATGTACCTGTAATCCCAGCTACTTGGGAGACTGAGGTGGGTGGTTTGTTTGAGCCAGGAAGCTGTGTTCATGCCACTGCACTCCAGCCTGAATGACAAAGAGAGACCTTGTCCAAAAAAAAAAAAACAACAACAACAACAAAAAAGAACTCTGCTAAATGACATTTCAGCAACTGTTCCAGCCAACGCATAATGACATTTTATAGGGAACTGCTTTGCTAGAGGGGAGATGTGCACACTTGTAGCATTATGAAGGTCTCCGGAGGTATCCCTTTAAGCTCTCAATGGCCAACCGTGCTTCTTTATGTTTTCCCAAGGCTCTGAGCTCAGAAGTTCCCAGCCTGTGAGGTATGAGAGTTTCCCAAGTCTTCTGCCAAAAAACCTCAGTTCAGGAGAAAAATAAACTCAAGAGTCCTCTGATTAAACCAGTCTTTATTGCAGTCTGACTTGGAGCTTTTGGCCTTAGTGGCAAAGAAGGTGATTAAGTAGTTTTCCCAGGAATAGGCCTAATTCAGCTAAAGTGGACTTTCAGGAATATTCTGTTTAAGAGCATGAGCACATGCTACTACAAAGAGCAGCTTTTGTTTTGTTTTGTTTTTGTTTTTGAGACGGGTGTCTCACTATGTTGCCCAGGATGGCTTCAAACTCCTAGGCTCAAGAGATTTTCCGAGTAGCTGGGACTACAGGTGTGCACCACTGCACACGGCGCTAATCCCATTTTACTTATCCATGTGTTTATTTACTGTCTCCCCCACTAGGATGTTGTATTTGTCTGTTTTCACGCTGCTGATAAAGGCATACCTGAGACTGGGCAATTTACAAAACAAAGAGGTTTAATGGACTTACAGTTCCACGTGGCTGGGGAATCATGTCGGAAGGCAAGGAGGAGCAAGTCACGCCTTACATGGATGACAGCAGGAAAAGAGAGCTTGTGCAGGGGAACTCCTCTTTATACAACCATCAGATCTCATGAGACTTACTCACTATCACAAGAACAGCAGGGAAAGACTTGCCCCCATGATTCAATTACCTCCCACCAGGTCCCTCCCACAACATGTGGGAATTCAAGATGAGATTAGGGTGGGGAAACAGCCAAACCATATCAGATGTGAACTCCATGCCAGCAGGAACCTCTGTTTTTTCACTTATATATCTCTGGTGCCAAGAGGCTATCAAATAATAAGGGCTGAATAAATAAATGATCCATTTTCACATACTTTTAGGTCATTGTGTAAACATGGTACTGCTACTACTACTAATAATAATATCAATAATACCAACCTGGGCAACATAGCAAGACTTCGCCCCTACAAAAAAAATCAAAAACATTAGCCAGGTGTGGTGGCACATGCCTGTGGTCCCAGTTATGTGGGAGGCTGAGGTGAGAGGATTGCTTGAGTCCAGGAGGTTGAGGCTGCAGGGAGCTGTGATCACACCAGTGTACTCCAGCCTGCATGACAGAGCAAGACCCTGTCTCAAAATTAATAATAATATCAACAGTAACAACAACTGTTTCATATGGTTAAAATAAAGAGATGGTCAAAAGTATGATTTCATGAATCACACAGCTTATTGCCATACAAAGTTTTTTTCTTTATCAAAATGCTAAACGGGGAAGAATAAAAATCTCACAGAGGCCGGATGCAGTTCACACCTGTAATCCCAGTACTTTGGGAGGCTGAAGCGGGCAGATCACCTGAGGTCAGGAGTTCGAGACCAGCCTGGCCAACATGGTGAAACCCTATCTCTACTAAAAATACAAAAATTAGCCAGGCATGGTGGCGGGCACCTGTAATCCCAACTACTCAGGAGGCTGAGGCAGGAGAATCACTTGAACCTGGTAGGTGGAGGTTGCAGTGAGCCGAGATCACACCATTGCACTCCAGCCTGGGTAATAAGAGTGAGACTCTGTCTAAAAAAAAAAAAAAATTACACTTGATAGATGAAGTACATTAAAAAAAATTACACTTGATAGACGAAGTCACATAGTGAGTAAGCTCCAACTTCGAGTCCAGTTGTTAAAATGGAGTTGCCCAATTAGGATGGAGGCAGTCTTCTGTGGATGCAAAGTCTAATCAATGTTTCTAGGAGAGGTTCTAGGAAGAGATGGCTTGACCAATGCAGCAGAGATCCATGACAACACACAGGCCCCTCAATGCCGGGGGCGGGGACAAAAATTATCTCATCTAATTCTCACAGTTGTTCTATGTAGATATTACTACTCTGCCCATTCTACAGTAAAGAAGTCGAGCTTTAGAGATAGTACAAGTTGGATATTCCTAATCTGAAGATCAGAAATTTGAAATGCTCTAAAATTTGAAACTTTTTGAGACTGACAATGCTCAAAGGAAATGTTCATTGGAGCATTTTGTATTTTGGATTAGTGATGCTCAAGTGGTATAATGGAAATATTCTAAAATCCAAAAAAATCTCTAAAATCTGAGACACTTCTGGTTTCAAGCATTTCAGATAAGGGATGCTCAATCTGTATTTTTCCTCAAGTCACATGATTGCAAGCAAAACTAAGCTCAGGCCTGACTCCAAAGCCAGTTTTCTTTTCTTTTAATTTCTTTCTTTTCTTTTAGATGGAATCTCCCTGTGTTGCTCAGGCTGATCTCGAACTCCTGAGCCCAAGCATGCATCAGCCTCTCAGTAGCTGTGATTACAGGCATTGAGTCACCACTCCTGGTAAAGCCTATTTTCTTAAAGTCATACAATGCTGTCTCCCTGCCTAAAAAACAGTTTGGAAATCACTGCTCTAGACAGAGAAGCCACTAATCTTTGTTGGTTGATGATGAAGCACTGTACTTGGCAATGGAAATACCACATGACCTAGCTCTGGTTGTATCCTATATTTTTTTTTTTGAGACAGAAGTCTCTTGTCCCCCAGGCTAGAGTGCAATGGCACGATCTCGGCTCACTGCAACCTCTGCCTCCCGGGTTCAAGCGATTCTCCTGCCTCAGCCTCCTGAGTAGCTGGGATTACAGGCGCCTGCCACCACGCCCAGCTAATTTTTGTGTTTTTAGTAGAGACAGGGTTTCACCATGTTGGCCAGGCTGGTCTCCAACTCCTGACCTCAGGTGATCTGCCTGCCTCGGCCTCCCAAAATGCTGGGATTACAGGCGTGAGCTCCAGGCCACTTCTGATACTTTGAATTTTCCATCTGCCCAGCAGGAAAGGGGGAGGGGTTTGCAGTAGCCTCTGGTCCTTTTGTTACTTAGGTGTGGAAAGTTGGGGTTTTCCTTTTGATTTAGTTCTAGGCAGTCAGCATTAATCGGCCTTGGGTTCCCTGACTCCAGACCCTATTCTCCTGCCTCAGGACCAGGCAACTAGAGGCCACTGCTACAGACCCAAACCCTCTGGAATTATTTAAGATATCCAACCCTAAACTGTTGACTCTGCCTGGCCTGGCCTTTCCCGAGGAAACTCCAGTACACGCCCTGGCTTCAGCTTTCCCCTTGCTCCCACTTCCATCTCCAGACCAAAACCTGGAGCTTCTCCTGTGGCCCTGTGTGGCAGGGTATGCCCCCTTCTCTCAGGAAATCTCTCAGATAAAAGCCATCTGTTAATGACGTTGGCCTCTCTGTGCCATCACTCAACCATGTCCACAAATTCGAATCCCACAGGTACAAATTTCAAAACACGGGACACCCTGAGTTAATCAGGGGAGAAACTGATTTAGGAGGCTTCCTGCAGAACTGAGTTGATGGTTTCCAAAACTCCTTTTATTCTATCACAATAATACCTTCATAGTCATATGCACTCGTTTATTTATTTCAGCTCAACTTGGAACCTGCAAACTCTGAAACAAGTTATTAAAATCAGTTTTTTAAATATGGAACTATACCCATCAAAGTATTTCCTACTCTATTTCTTGCCTCATTCAACATCTTCTTGTCGATTGATTCATGTAACTGCCAAAGCCCAGAGTATTTCAGGAGCAGAGACTCCTTAGTTTCCAGAAATATTTTTCTCATGGTTCCCATTAATAAATTTTAGTGGCGGCTGGGCATGGTGGCTCACGCCTGTAATCCCAGAAATTTGGGAAGCTGAGGAAGGCAGATCACTTTAGGTCAGGAGTTCAGGACCAGCCTGGCCAACATGGCGAAACCCCATCTCTGCTAAAAATACAAAAAATTAACCGGGCATGGTGGCGCATGCTTGTAATCCCAGTTACTCGGGAGTCTGAGGCAGGTGAATCACTTGAACCCAGGAGAGGCAGAGGTTGCAGTGAGCTGAGATCACACCACTGCACTTCAGCCCGGGCAACAGAGTGAAACACTGTCTCAAAAAAAAAAAAAAAAAAAAAAAATATATATATATATATATATATATATATATATATATTTATTTATTTATTTATTTATTGGAGCACACAGGCACCCAGAGTAAACATTATATTCGCTGACCTCCCTGGCAGCCATGTGTGGCCATATGGCTGAGTTCTGACCAATAGGATGGATGGGTGCAAAGTCCATGTGGCTCACAACCCATCTCTTCTCTCTTCCTCATTGTCCCTTCTTTTTTTTATTATTTTTTTTTTTTTGGAGATGGAGTCTCACTCTGCCACCCAGGCTGGAGTGCAGTGGCGTGATCTCGGCTCACTGCAGGCTCCACCTCCCGGGTTCACGCCATTCTCCTGCCTCAGCCTCTGGAGTAGCTGGGACTACAGGTGCCTGCCACCACACCCGGCTAATTTCATTGTCCCTTCTTGCATCCTGGATGCTGGGAATGCTGATGCCATCACATTGGACCATAAGGACTGGTTCCTGAAAACTTCTGGGAGCAGATTGCTTATGCTTCAATTTGTCATCTTGTTAAACAACTGTTAGCTGGGGTTTTCTGCCACTCGCAGAAAAGCCAAATCATTACTAATTCAGTGGCAAATGGTGTAAGTGAAGCAAGCACTCAAGGAGGTGGCAGTGAGTGACAAAATTAATAACTACATGGCTTAGCTGAGATTGCATCCTAAGGACAAGAAAAGCAATAGTAATAATGGCTTGCTTTTTATAGTGCTTTATAATTTTAACATACTTGCAAATGTTTTTTCTCTTTTGATCCTCATAATAACCTCCTTGGCCAGAGAAATAACAGGACTTTGGTGCTATTCTCCAAGCTGAAAGCCATCCTCTTCGGCCCTGAGGACACAGCTTTTTCTGCCATAACTCACTGTCTCCACTGGCTCAATTAGCCAATTAGTGGCATTGTAGAGGGCTGAGATGTTACTTTTTAGTTTCCAATAAAATTCTCAAGTTGGTTTCAATTCTCCTTATAATGATGATAAAGTCAAAGCTCAGAGGAACTGAACGATGGCCCCTTAAAATTTATATTTTGAAGCCCTAACTCCCAATGTGAATGTATTTGGAGATTGGCCCTCTTTAAAGAGGTAATTATGGTTAAATCAGGTTACAAGGGTGGGGCTTAAGGCAATAAGACTGGTGTGCTGAAAAAACGGGGAAGAGGCTGGCCGCAGTGCCTCATGGCTGTAATCTCAGCACTTTGGGAATCTAAGGCAGGGGTTTGAGACCAGACTGGGCAACATGGTGAAACCCTGTCTCTACAAAAAATTTAAAAATTAGTGTAGGGGGGTGCCAGGCGTGGTGGCTCATGCCTGTAATCCCAGCACTTTGGGAATCCAAGGCGGGTGGATCACCTGAGGTCAGGAGTTCGAGACCGACATGGCAAAACCCCGTCTCCACTAAAAATACAAAAATAAGCAGGGCACAGTGGCACACGCTTGTAATCCCAGCTACTTGGGAGGCTGAGGTGGGAAGATTGCTTGAGTCCAGGAGTTTGAGGTTACAGTGAGCCATGATTGGGCCACAACAGTCTAGTCTGGCAACAGAGTGAGACACCATTTATAAAAAAGAATAATAAAATTTTGAAAATAATATAAGAACAAAATATTAATAATTCCACCAGTGTCAGAAGATAGAGGCCTAGGCCTCTCAACTTCCAACCCAAGATCTTTCCAGCAGCCCAATCTGCTTCCTTGAAGGTGTAAAGATAGGCCTCCCACCGTCCCAAATCCGTATCCTGTCATTTAGATGTTTAGGGGCTTATGATAGCACTCCTATGTGTAGGCATGAACACAAACACATGCTTAATTTTGGACTATTATTCATCAGAAAAATAGTTTTTTCACATAAATAATTGTAATCAAGGTGTGTTTGAAAGTCAAAAAAATTTGTCAAAATAAATGGAAAAGAAACCATGGGGGAAATCACAAGAAGATACCACTTCATACCCACTAGGGTGACTATAATTTTTTAAAATGGGAAATAAGTGTTATTGAGCATGTGGAAAAATCAGAGCCCTCAGACATTGCTGGTAGGAATGAAAAATGCTGCAGCCACTGTGGAAAACAGTATGGCAGTTCCTCAAAAAGTTAAACATAGAGTTGCCATGAACCAGTGGTTCCACTCCCAGGTATATACCCCAAAGAACTGATAACAGAAACTCAAACAATTATTTTACATGAATGTTCACAGCGTTATTTACAGTGGCCAAAAGGCAAAAACAACCCAAATATCCATCAACTGTTGACTTACTGGATAATCACAATGTGATATATCCATACAATGGAATATTACTTACCTACAAAAAGCTACAAAGCGCCGGGCGCAGTGGCTCACACCTGTAATCCTAGCATTTTGGGAGGCTGAAGCGAGCAGATCACAAGGTCAGGAGTTCGAGACCAGCCTGACCAACATAGTGAAACCCTGTCTCTACTAAAAATAAAAAAATTAGTTGGGCATGGTAGCGCGCCTGTAGTCCCAGCTACTCGGGAGGCTGAGGCAGGAGATTTGCTTGAACCCGGGAGGTGGAGGTTGTGGTAAGCCAAGATCGTACCACTGCACTCCAGCCTGGGCAAAAGAGTGAGACTCCATCTCAAAAAAAAAAAAAAAAAAGATACAAAGAGGCCAGCATGTTGGCTTACGCCTGTAATCCCAGCACTTTGGTAGGCCAAGGTGGGTGGATAACTTGAGGTCAGGAGTTCGAGACCAGCCTGGCCAATGTGGTAAAACCCCGTCTCCACTAAAAATATAAAAATTAGCCGGGCGTGGTGGCACATGCCTGTAATCCCAGCTACTCCGGTGGCTGAGGCAGGAGAATTGCTTGAGCCAGGGAGGTGGTGGTTGCAGTGAGCCAAGAGCGTGCCACTGCACTCCAGTCTGGGCGACAGAGTGAGACTTCATCTAAAAACAAACAAACAAACAAAAAAAAAAAAACAAGTAAAAAAAAAACCTACAAACTGATTCATGTTACAATGTGGATCAACCTTGAAAATATACTAAATGAAAGAATACAGGTACAAAGGTCACATGTCATATGATTCCATTTATATGAAATGTCTAGAATAGGCAAATCCCTAGAGATAAAAAGAAGATTGATGATACAGAGTTTCAGTTTTGCAAGATGAAAAAGTTCTGGAGATTTTGGGCCAAGTGAGGTGGCTCCTGCCTGTAATTCCAGCACTTTGGGAGGCCAAGGAGAGCAGATTGCTTGAGCTCAGGCATTCAAGACCAGCCTGGGCATCATAGCAAGACCCCATTTCTATTAAAAATAATAATTTTAAACAAGTCCTGGAGATCTGTTTGACAACAATATGAACATACTTAATATATTTAACACTTGGTTAAGATGGTAAATTTTGTTGTGTTTTTTCATCACAATGTTTTTAAAAGGTATGAGACCTAGACTTTGCCCTCTGTGTGGCCCTAATTTCTTGGGGGTAAATGGCAAGTAATTTAGTACTATTTACAAACTATTTTCATATACATGATATATCAGGTGCTCCAGGCAGTCCATGAGATAGATAGAATAATCCCTCTATATCCATGGGGGTTGGTTCCAGGACCCCCTGAGGATACCAAAATTCACAGAGGCTCAAGTCCTTTAAATAAAATGGCATAGGACGGGTGTGGTAGCTCATGCCTGTAATCCCAGCATTTTGGGAGGCCGAGGCGGGCAAATCACCTGAGGTCAGGAGTTTGAGACCAGCATGGCCAACATAGTGAAACCCTGTCTCTACAAAAAATACAAAAAAATTAGCTGGGCCTGGTGGCACGTGCCTGTAGTCCCAGCTATTCGGGAGGCTGAGGCAGGAGAATTGCTTGAAACTGGGAGGCAGAGATTGCAGTGAGCCGAGATCGTGTCACTGCACTCCAGCCTGAGTGACAGAATGAGACTCCATCTCAAAAAAAAAAAAAAAAAGCATAGTACTTTGTATATAACATATGCATATCCTCCCCTATACTTTAAATCATCTCTAGATTACTTATAATATTTAATACAATGTAAATGCTATATAAATAGTCATTATATTGCATTGTTTAGAGAATGAGGACAAGGAAAAAAAGTCTCTGTTCAGTACAGACACAACCATCCTTTTCTTTTTTTCTGAAAAAAAAATTTTTTTTTTTTGAGACAGAGTTTCACTCTTGTTGCCCAGGCTGGAGTGCAGTGGCGTGATCTTAGCTTACTGTAACCTCTGCCTCCCAGGTTCAAGGGATTCTTCCACCTCAGCCTCCTGACTAGCTGGGATTACAGGCACCTGCCACCACGCCTGGCTAGTTTTTGTATTTTTAATAGAGATGGGGTTTCACCATGTTGGCCAGGCTGGTTTCAAACTCCTGACCTCAGGTGATCCACCCACCTCGGCCTCCCAAAGTGCTAGGATTACAGGCGTGAGCCTCTGTGCCCGGCCTTCTGAATATTTTTAATCCACAGTTGGTTAAATTCGCAGATAAGGAACCCATAGTTACAGAGGGTTAATATCATCAAACACTTGTTTTTTTTTTTTTTTTTTTTGAGACTGAGTCTCCCTCTGTCGCCCAGGCTAAAGTGCAGTGGCATGATCTTGGTTCACTGCAAGCTTCGCCTCCCAGGTTCAAGCCATTCTCCTGCCTCAGCCTCCTGAGTAGCTGGGACTACAGGCGAGCACCGCCACACCCAGCTAATTTTTGTATTTTTAGTAGAGATACAGTTTCACCATGTTGGTCAGGCTGGTCTCAAAATCCTGACCTCAGGTGATCTGCCTGCCTTGGCCTCCCAAAGTGCTGGGATTACAGATGGAGCCACCGTGCCTGGCCTCATCACACACATTTGCATGAACTGAGGCTGGGATTCAAAGCTGGATCTTCCTGGTGCTCTGTACAATCCAGAATGTGACCTTGCCCTCCTGGACAGGGCTGTGTACATTCCATGTGTTCTGATGGGCTTTGGTCCCAGAGGGGTGACTTTATTTCCATATGACTGACAGTCTCAGGAGGACTCCCAGAATTGGCCACAAGCTGCTGCCCTGGGACATACCTCTCCTGAGACTGGGGCGGCCCTGAGGGAGTCCACAGCTTCTGAAAGCTTCCCCTTTCCCAGACAGCCTTTGGGCTAGCACTGTGCCCAGGGGCTAACTGCGCTGTCTTTGTGGCACCCCTCTCTCCTGCCCGGTGTAGGCAAGGACCTAGCAAAAAGAGCTCTTCCAGGCAAGAATCAGCCAACACCATTGGATGGCCCAGTAGCAGTTGTCCCAGTAGCAATTCTTGGCAGCAAGAGATGGGGAAAGAAAGGAGTCCAGGGACAATACGTTAAATAAAGATATCACTTCTGCATTTAAATAGGATGCTAATGAAGCCCATGGGCCAGACTCCAATTTCTGCAGTTTGGAGGATCTTTGTTCTGAGTGCTTAAATGGTGGTGTTTGTGGGCTATTAATGTAAACTGGTTCAGAGTTGAATGTCTACATGTTTTGAGAGAGAGGCCTCAGCTTGGGCACCAGAGCTCCAAGACCCCCATTTCTCAACTAACCACTGCCTCTTCCTCACTGCTGCTGCCCCCAAGCTGAAAAGGGTCCTTTCCCTTTAGCTTATATTGGAGAAATGCAGGTGGGCCAACCATTCAGAGTACTTAGATCAGCAGTCCCATCAGAACCACACAGGGCCAGGGGAGAGTGTTTCCCAACAAAAGGAGGGGCTGTTGAGACAATAGCACCGTCTTCTTCCAGACCATCCCCCCTCCACCTGAGTCCTCATGGAGACTACGCTCCAGCCACGATACCTACAGTAAACCTTTTATTCAAGAGTCTGAACTCAGAAGCATCCAAACAATGGATCTATTCTTTTTTTTTTTTTTTTTTTTGAGACTGAGTCTCAGTCTGTCACCCAGGCTGGAGTGCAGTGGCATGATCTCGGCTCACTGCAACCTCCGCCTCCCGGGTTCATTGGATTCTTCTGCCTCAGCCTCCTGAGTAGCTGAGTAGCTGGTACTACAGGCGTGCACCACCATGCCCTGCTAATTTTGTATCGAGCTCACTGTAGCCTTGACCTCCTGGGCTCAGGGGATCCTTCCACTTCAGTCTCATGATTAGCTAGGACTGTAGGAGTGCACTGCCATCCCCTGCTGATGTTTTCTTTTTTGTAGAGACAGGGTCCCACTATGTTGCTCAAACTGGTCTTTAACTCCTGGGCTCAAGAGATCCTCTAGCCTTAGCCTCCCAAAGTGCTGGGACTGTGGGCGTGAGTCACTGTGCCCAGCCATGATTCATTTTCTAAATAATACATGAGCATTCCAGTTGCTCCACATCCTCTCCAATATTTGGTGTTGTCAGCCTTTTAAATGTTAGCCATCTCTGGCCGGGCGCAGTGGCTCACGCCTGTAATCCCAGCACTTTGGGAGGCTGAGGCGGGTGGATCACGAGGTCAGGAGATTGAGACCATCCTAGCTAACACAGTGACACCCTGTCTCTACTAAAAATACAAAAAAAAAAAAGTGTTAGCCATCTGGTGGATGTAAAATGGTATCTTCTATGATTTTAATTCGCATCTCCCTGATGACGTATCATGATGGACACTTTTTCATGCGCTTATCAGCCATTTGGGTTTCGTTTACTGTCTGTGTGGGAACAGCCAGTATATGCAGTCAGTGTTTGGAGAACCATCTCATCAGCAAAGCCTGTGATGTGAAGAAGAAAAAAACTTTTTTTTTCTTTGAGACAGAGTCTTGCTCTGTCGCCCAGGCTGGCGTGCAATGGCATGCTCTCAGCTCACTGTAACCTCTGCCTCCTGGGTTCAAGCGATTCTCCTGCCTCAGCCTCCCGAGTAGCTGGGACTACAGGTGTGCACCATGATGCTGGCTAAGTTTTGCATTTTTAGTAGAGACAGGGTTTCACAAGGTTGGCCAGGCTGGTCTCTAACTCTTGACCTCAAGTGATCCACCCGCCTCGGCCTCCCAAAGTGCCGGGATTACAGGCGTGAGCCACCGCACCCGGCCAAACTACTTTGTTAATCCACTGAAATGTGGTCCTGTTTCAAGAGTTAGAGCATTAAGTACCCTGATTAAATATAATCCCCTCAACTCTTTCTTTTCTCAGCATTTAGTTTGCCTTTGCACATCACTAGTAGGCCTTTTGTTTTCACCTCTTAGATCCAATGCACTTTCTTTCTCCCAAATCTGGGGAGAAAATGTGTTTTAAAAAAACTCATAAGAGGCCAGGCGCAGTGGCCCACACCTGTTATCCTAGCACTTTGGGAGGCCAAGGCAGACGGATCACCTGTGGTCAGGATTTTGAGACCAGCCTGGACAACATGGCAAAACCCCGTCTCTGCTAAAAATACAAAAAAAATTAGCTGGGTGTGGTGACAGAGTGAGACCCTATAAGAAAACAAAAAACAAAAACAACCAACCAAACAAAAAAATCCTCTACTGCTCAGGTCATTGGAACATTTATTCTGTTTTATGGAATGAAGTGTTACCCGATTCTAGAATTGTAAATAAAGCCAATTAAGATCTTTCAAACTAAGTTTGTTGTAATTTTGTCATTTGACAAATGTAATGGTTATATCCTCAAAAGACAGACAGGAGTCAGGGACTGGCCAGGAAACTAAAAGTTTAAGCCTGGATTCAGATTATAGGGACCAAGGGAAACTTCCCTTTCACCCTCTGAAGGCTCGCTGAAAAATCAGCTCCCAAGAGGCAGATTAATTGGAGAAAAGGCATACACATTTTATGAACTATACACGAGGAGAAGCACAGAGTGACTGCCCAGGCCCCAGAGTGGTTCGGAAGCTTATACTCTATCCTGGCAAAACAGTTTATGGGAAGGGGGAGGAAGACGAATTCTGTTGAGGGGTTACTAGGAAGGATGAATGGATCAGGGAACAGAGATTAATTTGTACAGTATTTTGTGAAAGTTTCTGTTGGTGTGGCTGGATTCTTGGTCTTACAAGAAGGGGAAGAAAAAGCAATTGTTTATTTTGATGGGTCTGGTTCTTAGGCAGATAAAGGTTTTGGGAGAGATGTTGAGGGGGGATATCAGAAAGACCTTGAGGCTTCTTCAGTTCAGCATGTCAAAGCACCACATTTGGGTGTATTGGTCTCTTTCTTTTCTTTCTTATTTTTTTTTTTTAGACAGCCTGGCTGTCTCGTATTTTTAAAGTACTTTTAAAAAAGGAATTTTTTGGTGGGGTGAGATGTTTTGCTGGAGTGCAGTGGCATGATCACAGCTCACTGTAGGTTGGAACTCCTGGGCTCAAGTGATCCTCAGCCTCCAGAGTAGCTGGGTCTATGGGCTTGCGCCACTGCACCTGGCTACATTTTTGTATTTTTAATAGAGATAGGGTTTCTCCATGTTGGCAAGGCTGGTCTAGAACTCCTGGCCTCAAGTGATCTGCCCACCTCAGCCTCCCAAAGTGCTGGGACTACAGGCATGCGGCGCCACACCCAGCTAATTAAAAAAAAAATTTGTAGAGACGAGGCCTCATTATGTTTCCCAGGCTTTAGGTTCAAGAGATCCTCCCACCTCAGCTTCCCAGTTAGTTAAGACTACAGGTGCGCACCACCACGCCTGGCTAAGTTTTTATTTTTGTAGAGATGGGGTCTCACTATCTTGCTCAGGCTGGTCTCAAACTCCTGGCTTCAAGCAATCCTCCCTCCTTGGCTTCCTAAAGTACTGGAATTGCAGGCATGAGCCACTGTGCCCAGCCGGGTCTTGGTTTCTGAGCCTCATCAAGATGATAATCGTGAACAACTAAGACTTCATGAAGGCAAAGTCAACAGGACTTAGAGATTAAGCTAATGTAGAGAATGAGGAAAAATAAAGACAAAAATGACACCGAGGTTTTGAACTCAATGATTAGGTGAAGTTAACAGCCCTTCCTTCCAAAGGAAGATCTGATTTGAGGGAAGGTAATTTATGGGTTGGACATGCTGGTGGGATATCCAAATGAAAATTGCCAGCAGACAACTAGAAATGTGGGACTGACGTGTGCTGTGTCTCATCTTCCATTTCTTCATTCCTGCTTTTGAATAAAACTAATCTGACTAATCAGTTTGAACTAAGTATATTAAGAAATGATAAGCCCGGCGCGGTGGCAGCTCACACCTGTGATCTCAGCACTTTGGGAGGCCGAGGCGGGTGGATCACCTGAGGTCAGGAGTTTGAGACCAGCTGGCCAAAATAGTGAAACCCTGTCTCTACTAAACATACAAAAATTAGCCGGGCATGGTGGTGGGCACCTGTAATCCCAGCTACTTGGGAAGCTGAGGCAGGAGAATTGCTTGAACCAGGGAGGCGGAGGTCGCAGTGAGCTGGGGTCACGCCACTGCACTCCAGCCTGGGCGACAGAGTGAGACTCTATCTAAAAAATAAAAAAAGCTCTATGTCCAAATATAATCACATTGAGGGCTAGGTCTTCAAGAAGATATGAATTTGGGAGGCAGATACAGTTCATCTCACAGCATAACATTTGTTTGTCAAAACTCATAGAACTATACACCAAAAAAGGGTGAATTTTTAAGCTGTATATAAATTATACCTCAATAAACATAATTTGAAAAGTAAAAAGAGGCCTGGTGCAGTGGTTCATGCCTATGATCCCAGCATTTTGGGAGGCCGAGGCGGAAGGATCACTTGAGCCCAGGAGTTCAAGACCAGCCTGGGCAACCTAAGGAGACCTCATCTGTATTGCAATAAAAATAATCAGAAAAAAAATGGAAAGTGACAAAAATGGTGAAGGGGGAGTAAATCCTGAGAAGACAAGAAGCCAGACAGTGCTGAGCTGACCCTGGACTTCCAAGCATGCCTTCCACATGGAGCGGGCTCTGGCCCTGCCCTTTTGTGTAGGGATTTCATCCTATACAGTTCACTGGTAAAATTAACTAGATTGGGCTTCTTTCTAGAATGAGTTGCATGGATGTTTTTAGGCTTGAGGTGAGAAATCGAAATAGAGAAATTCAGATGGGTGGAATTACCTAACACTATCAAAAATCCTAGCTCCCACGCTGTTAATCCGGGTGACAGTCATAGGCTTTAGTGTCACCAGCTTCAAAATAGCTCGGGTCAGCGTTGCCTGGGAGCTGCTGATTCAGGGCTGCCTGCGCAACTGTCGAGGTCTCCAGGAGCTCTGTTGTGCAGAGGTATTCCAAACCCTCGGAACTGTCCTTGGCTGAACTGCCTACTCCCCCAGGCCTTCTGAGCTCTATTTGAAGAGCTTGCAATTTAAAGAAGTGAAGAACCAGCAAATACATAGGGGTGAAAATGAAAAACATTTTCTCCAGGGTTAAGCTAAGTCCTGGGGTTAAGACTTGTTAGTGGAGCCCACCTGCTATCCTTTTAAATAGATAAAAGACTTTTCAGTCTCTTACCGTGAAAAACTACATCCACTCCCCCGCCCCTGCCACTCTCCCACACCCTGCTTCCCCCACCCCCAAAACCCTATAATTAAAAAGGCTCTTTTCAGACTGGAACACAATTCAAGCACAATCATTATGAAAACCCTGCCCTGTTTCAGTGGTTACTGACAACTCCCTTTGTGTAAATCTCATTAAATCAAACCAGGGACTCTTATGTTTTTGTGTGTGACAATTTCTAGGAAGAGAAAGCTATGTGGATTTAAGAAATAATGTTGCAAATCTTAGGTATGAGACTTCTTTGGATTAGAAAGTAATATTATTTATCTCTCTGAAGCCACTAACAAATCAACCATTAAAAATGGGTTATTGTCACCCAGCATCCTTTCTCTACCCTGGTCGTGTTCTCTATGTTTAATAGGAAGGGGAAACAGAGTGCTTTCCTTGATGGGCTATTTTATTTTCAGGCCTTTAAGAAGACAAATGAATGTACTAAAAATATTGCCTTAGAAAGTATTTTCAATTCATTTTCATGCTATACATGTTTGGTACTTACGAGCTATTTGCTTCTATTTGATAAGAAAAATGATTCTTCTTCAAAACATACACAACAATGGGTTTTCTTTACACCCTGAAAAGCTTGAAAAGTAAAATGATTCTTATATCAAATTAAAGACAACAGTGAGATTCCCCTGAACCTTACAGAATAGCCTACAACATAGACTACTTACACATTTTTTCTGGGCATTGAAGTTGTGGTAGCTGTTAATTATCTTTTCTTTTCCTTTTAATATTGTTATTTCTTTTTTCTTTTTTCTCTTTTCTTTTTTTTTGAGACAGAGTCTTGCTCTGCAACCTCTGCATCCCAGGTTCAAGCGATTCTCCTGCCTCAGCCTCTCGAGTAGCTGGGATTACAGGTGTGTGCCAACACACCCGGATAATTTTTGTATTTTTAGTAAAGACAGGGTTTCGCCATGTTGGCCAGGCTGGTCTCGAACTCCTGACCTCAAATGATCTGCCCACCTCAGCCTCTCAAAGTGCTGGGATTACAGGAGTGAGCTACTGTGCCTGGGCAAATTTTGTTATTTCTATTCCCATTCCAGAATTTGCAAAGTTCTTAACTGTAAAAAGGTTCCTCTTCTTTTGTATCTTTTTCCATCAGTGGATATAAATGGCTTTGACACTTCCTTACCATCAAATGTCTAAATAGACTCCACTGGGCGTAACTGGGTACTACCAAAAAAGGGCACTTGTATGACCCCGTGTTCTGGTTTCTTGAGCTTATAAATGCATGTGCCTTTCTTTGTTTTCTTTGGCTTTTTCTTGCCACTGTGCTAAGTCCTAGTGACTGGAACAAGCTCCTAGAGGGGTTCATTTAAAGGATTAATGTCTGCTTACTCACACGTCTTATGGGGATCTTCCTCATACCTTGCCTCACCCAAATGCATGCTGATTTTCTAACTTTCCACATGGTTCTGCCGTCAATAACAAATCTTCAAGTTAAAAAAGAGGGGTACAACCAGGATGAGAAGAGGTGCATAGCTAGAATGGAGCATCTGAATGCCACACAGCCCAGAGGTGCTCCCCTCTCCACATCTCCAGGCTTCTCCTGGTGCCTGCTCTCCAACCCCCCATGTTCTCCCAGGGCTTCTGCCTTGTACTTCTATTTGCGTGGATTTCATTCCGCTATTGATTTTTTTTTTTTTTTTTGAGGCAGAGTCTCGCTCTGTCGCCCAGACTGGACTACAATGGTGTGATCGCTGCTCTCTGCAACCACTGCCTCTGGGGTTCAAGCGATTCTCCTGCTTCAGCCTCCCAAGTAGCTGGGACTACAGGCATGTGCCACCATGCCCAGCTAATTTTTGTATTTTCAGTAGAGACAGGGGTTTCACCATGTTGGCCAGGCTGGTCTTGAACTGCTGACCTCAAGTGATCTGCTCATCTCAGCCTCGCAAAGTGTTGGGATTACAGGCGTGAGCCACCGCGCCTGGCCTTATTCCACATATTGTTGCAGAGCGTATCTCCCTTGTCTTTATCCTGCACCAGACTATAAGGTGTCATCCTTCTGGGTGCTCCCCCGGCCCCAGCACACTGCTCTGGCCACAATGCCCATGCGATGAAGAGAATCTTTTAGTATCAAGGAAGTATTGATGCCGGAGAATCTGCAGCTGTTGAGCCATGGTCAGATACACTTTGCAGAAAAAAAAAAAT
The DNA here is from genome assembly GCF_000001405.40 of Homo sapiens. Taxonomy (NCBI): domain Eukaryota; kingdom Metazoa; phylum Chordata; class Mammalia; order Primates; family Hominidae; genus Homo; species Homo sapiens. The sequence goes on from NC_000018.10 coordinate 58,845,938, forward strand.
CACCTTCTGGTAGAATAATCTTCCAAGAGAGATAAATACATCAAGCATTAGATCAGAACCAGAAATATCTTTACCCTGAATGAGATCTTGAAGACCTAGGAAAACCTTAGGAGGCTTAGGAGTGGAGAAAAAAAGAGTCTCAGACAAAGGGAGGAGGAAGGAGAGGGCAAAAGGGTGCAGGATTACAGGGCCACACCCTCGTGAGATTGCGTAGTGATTAGCCCAGTGATGATGAATATTTATGCAGACAATACTGATTATTTTACAAGGATTCATTTGAATAATCATGAATATGTTTCCATGCATTTGCACCTAATGGGATGGTTTGCAGTCTTTAATGAGGCATTGGCGCGTGTTTGAAGAGCAAGGGAGGGCAGAGAGATGGGAAAGAACAATGCAGGTCACAACGTTCATGCAGCATTTTCTTACTGTACTGACCTCTTGTCCCTGAAGTCCTGTCTGTAAAGAACGAGGTGGGAAATGTCTAAAGCATGCCTCGGGGTGCCTATCCGTGCATAGGCTAAAATGCTTTGCTGTTTCTTCTAAGCCTACTCTGCTCTTGAAGAGAGGGAAAACCTTGACGCTTTCTTTGACCTCTCAGGCCCTCCAGTTTCAGGAATTTTGCAAGGTCACATGGCTATACAATGGCAAAACCTTTTCCGCTGGGCGCGGTGGCTCAGGCCTGTAATCCCAGCACTTTGGGAGGCCGAAGCAGGCGGATCACGAGGTGAGGAGATCGAGACCATCCTGGCTAACAGTGAAACTCCGTCTCTACTAAAAATACAAAAAAAAATTAGCTGGGCGTGGTGGCAGGCGCCTGTAGTCCCAGCTACTCGGGAGGCTGAGGCAGGAGAATGGCGTGAACCCGGGAGGCGGAGCTTTCAGTGAGCCGAGATCGCACCACTGCACTCCAGCCTGGGCGACAGAGCAAGATTCCGTCTCAAAAAACAAACAAACAAACAAAACTTTTTCCAAGGTCACATGGCTATACATTGGCAGATCCATGCCTTCAGATCCCTGTCTCTTCCAAGCACCTGGGGTGAAGTGCCACCTTTGCCAGGGTCAGTGCTGGGTTGCGGGATTGTCCTACCCTAATTACTAATGGGCTGCTCCTTTCACTGGCAAAATTGTAACAGGGTTTTAAGTAATCTGTTTTGTTCAATGGTTTGAGGAGAGCAACCGTTTGTTTCTTTTCCCTTCAGTCCCTTGCAAGATGTTAGTTTTTAAGGGAGAACTGGCAGGACGGCAGGGTTGGGGGAGCAGGAAAGGCCTGGAGGGACAGGAGCATCTCTGTGACTTGCGGAGTAGCTCAGCGGGCGGGAGGAGCTGGGGCCGCAGGAGGACTCCCGAAGTGGATTAGTTTCAACCTTCACATACTGAGATGACTTGCATCGCAAGGAAGGCGGACCTGAAATCAGCCCGCAAAAGGCAGGGGCCTACACCGCAAGGCCCATTTAGTTAATTTCTACCAAGAGTCCCAAGCATGCTCGTATGGGCGGGACAGGCAAGGGGTGGCCAGCTGATCCCGCACCTGGAGCTGGGCCATTCCAGCTCTTCCCTTTCCGGTCTGCAATTTGACCTTGGACGTGCCTTCTAGCTCTGCAAGCTTCCCCAGTTGGAGACTGGGCTGTGTGAGGCCGAAATGCAACTTAGGCTGTAGGCAAGTGCCTAGCCGGGGTGCAGACAAACACAAGGGAGCTATTATTAGGCAGTTTCTGTCGGCGGAAGCGGAATTGCAATCGGGTCGCCAGCTCCGCGGGAGAGGGAGCGGGGGCGGTAGGCGGCGGTTCAGCTGGCGGCTGCGTCCTTCCCCACGCGGGGATACACCTGCCACATCAGCTGGCACCTCCCGCGGGGAAAGGTTCTGGGTTCCTCACGGTCAAAGCAGGATTCCGACTGTAGTGTATTTTCCCAGGTTCTAAACTCACCGACCCCCCCTTGTGATTGACACATTCTTTCTTTAGATATGCTAATACCTTCAATTAGATTACTGTCTAGGCTTGCCTTGGCCGGCAGGCTTTGTCTCCTAAGGGGACTTTGCCCATCTCAGGCCTTTTACATTAGATTTTTTAATAGTTCACCTCTAAGGAGGCACATAACCTTAATTCTTCAGTGGTATCTTAATCCGGATATTCCCAACCCCGACCTCGGTGCATCCATTCGCGTGTTCATTCAACAAAGGCTTCCTACTGTGACCTTAGGCTTTTTTTTTTTTTTTTTTTTTTTGAGACGGAGTATCAGTCTGTCACCCAGGCTGGAGGGCAACCTCCGCCTCCTGGATTCAAGCAATTCTGTCTCAGCCTCCTGAGTAGCTGGAACTTCAGACACACGCCACCACGCCTGGCTAATTTTGTATTTTTGGTAGAGACAGGGTTTCACCATGATGGCCAGGCTGGTCTCAAACTCCTAACCCTGGGTGATCCACCCGCCTTGGCCTCCCAAAGTGATGGGATTACAGTTGTGAGCCACCGCGCCTGGCCCAGCTAATTTTTTTACACAGAAGAACCTCCATCTAATTTTCCGAATCTATGAACTGGGTTTTTCGGTGTCTCGTTATGAAGATGAAATAAAGTAATCCTTGAAGAAGGATTAAATGAGAAAAGCTTGAGTACCATAGTGTATGGTGTCTAGCAGGCACTCGATAAATGTGTTCAGTGGGTGAATGAATAAACTTTACCTGTGATTCCTGTCACTCCTGCAGGGTGCCTCCGGCACTGTGCTACTCTTTGGGGAAGTAATGGTGAACCAGACACAGGAGGTCCTGCCCTCAGGGAGCCTGTAATCTACTCTGTGAGGGATAGAGACAAATAAAGCAATCCCAGGGCTGGGGGATAAATGCCAACAACTTGCGAAATTCTGAGCTGACTGGAGCTCCCATCAGGAGGACCTAACCAGTGTAGAGGTCTCCACAGCTCCCAGGAGGAAGTGGGCTCTAAGCTATAACGCAAATGGTGAGTAAGAGTTAGCCAGGCAGAGGGGGAGGATCTGAGTGATAGTTAAGGGACCGCCCTGATGCAAAGGCCTCCAGGCAAGAAAGTCTTTCTTCCAACCAAAGAGACACTGAGGAACTATAGGAATGTTGCTTGCCAGGGGATTTGGGCCAAAGAGGCTGGGGAGGTAAGCCAGGGCTGGACTTTGGAGGGCTGAGTAAATCCTAAAGTCTTAGGATTTTATCCTAAGAGCTATGGAGTGTTTAGGAGATAGGGGTCCACAGGCTCAATAAAAATTGGAATATGGGGCCAGGCATGGTGGCTCACACCTGTAATCCTAGCACTTTGGGAGGCTGAGGCGGGCGGATCACCTGAGGTCAAGAGTTCAAGACCAGCCTGGCCAACATGTTGAAATCCCGTCTCTACTAAAAATACATAAAATTCGCTGGGCGTGGTGGCGGGCGCCTGTAATCCCAGCTATTCAGGAGGCTGAGGCAGGAGAATCACTTGAACCTGGGAGGCGGAGGTGGCAGTGAGCCGAGATCATGCCATTGTATTCCAACCTGGGCAACAAGAGCAAAACTCTGTTTCAAAAAAAAAAAAAAAATTGGAATATGGTAATCCCAGCTATTCAGGTAGCTGAAGAGGGAGAATCGTTTGAGCCCAGGAGTTTGAGAGTTTGAGTCTGGCCTGGGCAACATAGTGGGACTCTAAAAAATATATATTTAAAAAAACAAAATAAAACTGGCGCCTGGAGGAAGAGGTAAAGGACTGCGATGACTCAGGGCTTTCAAGTTCAAACTCCAAATCCAGGAGTATGCAACACATCAGGGCGCCAGACTGCCTGGGATTGAGAGTGACTCCTTGCTTGAAAAAGTGACCTAACCTCATTTGCAAACTTGGCTCATCACAAGCCCCAAGTCGTAGGTTTGTGAGAGACAGTGGGTGAAATAATTACAGAATGAACTACTTACAACAGTACCTGGCATAGAGTAAGTGCTCCATAGTGTTGGCTATTATCCATTCTACTCAGTTCCCAGAAGTCACAGGTCCTGCAGACCCAGCTATTTTTATTTATTTATTTATTTGAAATGGAGTCTTGCTCTGTCACGCAAGCTGGAGTGCAGTGGCATGATCTCAGCACATTGCAACCTCTGCCTACCAGGTTCAAGTGATTCTCGAGCCTCAGCCTGCCAAGTAGCTGGGACTACAGGCGCCTGCCACCACGCCTGGCTAATTTTGGGGTTTTTTGTTTTGTTTTGTTTTGAGACGGAATCTTGCTTTTGTCGCCCAGATGGAGTGCAATGGCACAATCTTGGCTCACTGCAACCGCCGCCTCCCAGGTTCAAGCAATTCTCCTGCTTCAGCCTCCCAAGCAGCTGAGATTACAGGTGCCCACCACCACAACTGGCTAATTTTTGTATTTTTAGAGAGATGGGGTTTCACCATGTTGGCCAGGCTGGTTTCAAACTCCTGACCTCAGGTGATCCGCCTGGCCTCGGCCTCCCAAAGTGCTGGGATTACAGGCATGAGCTACCATACCTGTACCCAGCAGAGCTAGCTGTTTAAAACACCGGGGAGGAATGCAGGGGGAGGGGGAAATTTACAAACCGCAGGATGATGTAAACTCCAGGAACTGCGAACTCCTCCTTTTATAATAGTTTAGTCATGGTCCTTGCAAATTTGGTTGATTGATTTCAGTAGCTGATTAGAAAGCAGAAGCTGCCAAGCAGGTCCACTAGGAATGGCAGAAGCAGTAATTCCTTCTTCCAGGAGTACAGCTCGAGGAAAACTGTGGAAGTACCATAAGGAACAGAGGCAAGACCCCAGAAGTATAGCAAACTAGCAGATGGTGGCCATTTAGAACAGAGGGCAAGGGTCTTATGCATCCAAAGTACACTAAAGACTTCACTGTATTGTAGTACAATTATTGAGCACTTAAAGGCTCTGTTCAGATTCCAGCTTGCCCATTACAGTAGGAGGATGTTTCAGGAACTTGAGAAATAACATTATGTCGGACAATGGAATCAGACCAGGCACGGTGGCTCAAGTCTGTAATCCCAGCACTTTGGGAGGCCAAGGGGAGTGGATCGCTTGAGGCCAGGAGTTAGAGACCAGCCTGGCCAACATGACGAAACTCTGCTTCTATGAATAATACAAAAAAAAATTAGCCAGCCTTGGTGGTGTGGGCCTAGAGTCCCAGCTACTCGGGAGGCTAAGCCAGAAGAATCGCTTGAACCCAGGAGGCGGAGGTTGCAGTGAGCCAAGATCGCCTCACTGCACTCCAGCCTGGGCGACGGAGTGAAACTGTCTCAAAAAGAAAAGAAAAAAAGGCATACCTGACAATTTATTTGTATGAAGGCAGATGTTTTCTAGTGTGTTCCCTCCCTTAGTCCCCCGGGGAGTGGGGGGTGAGATTTGGGACAGGCAAAAGAAAAAGGAAATTTGGCTTCCCTCTGCATGAAAACTCTTAAAATTCAAACCTTAGCAAGAAGCATTTACTTTCTGCTGCTGGATAGAAAAGGGGTGCTTTTGGGGCTTTAACCTCCTTTCTGGCTTCCTGCCTCTGTAAAATGCCCATGAGAGGAATGCCGGGGGTCACAAGAGTTACTTAGCGAGTAAATATACATGAGTGATTGAGAGAGAATTACAAAGTCTCCTCTAAGTAATGGAGTCAAAACTAACAATACTCAGTTGTCAGAACATCTGATGGAGCTGCCCATACTATCACCCCAGACACAGCCAACTATTTTAAAGACGAGCCTTTGAGGACAATATCTGATGGATATAATTTGGTTTTCTAGCTTATGGGAACTGAGCTCAATGGACAGTAACAGTGAATGAAGTTGGAGGAAGGAAATGCAGTGATTATGGGTGGGGGATACTTGGCAAGGCAAGGAATGAATAGGGGTATGTTTAAAAAATTATTTTTACTTCCAAATTTATGGCTTAATTTTGATTTGTGTTAGGATTTGTTAGCTGTTATTTGCCCGGGGTTTGGCAGTTTGGTATGTACTGGTGGTCTTAATCTGGTATCTGGACCAGAAAACAAATGTTTGCATCCTTGGAATCCCCGTTACAATTGAAAAATTTCCGAGGAGACAGCCAAGGCCAGATGGGAATGCGGCATGGATTGCCCCGTTAGCACTTAAATCCTCTGTTGGTGCAGTCTTGCTTTGTGTTTTCTTTCTTCATTCCTTAACACTTAGCAGTGCCCAGCCTTATAAGGACCCAGAACACTAGATGTTGGGGATTAGAGCAGTGAATCCAATAGACCACACCTTTGCCACATCTGCTGAGGGCTGTTTGCATTATAATATGTAGGAAGGCATCACAGAGCAAGAGACTGACTGCCTGTGAGAGTGCAAGAGGGGACCAAACTCAGTTTGTTTTTCTTTCTTTTTTTTTTTGGAGATGGGGTTTCACTCTTGTTGCACAGGCTGGAGTGCAGTGCTGAGATCTCGGCTCACTACAACCTCCACCTCCCGGGTTCAAGCCATTCTCCTGCCTCAGCCTCCCTAGTAGCTGGGATTACAGGCATGCGTCATCACGCCTGGCTAATTTTGTATTTTTAGTAGAGACGGGGTTTCTCCATGTTGGTCAGGCTGGTCTTGAACTCCCTACCTCAGGTGATCCACCCACCTCGGCCTCCCAAAGTGCTGGGATTACAGGCATGAGCCACCGCGCCCGGTCTGTTTTTTCTTTTGAGATAGTCTCTGTTGCCCAGGCTGCAGTGCAGTGGCACGATCTCAGCTCACTGCAATCTCCACCTCCCAAGTTCCAGCGATCCTCCCACCTCAGTCTCCCAAGTAGTTGGGACTACAGGCATGCACCACCATGTCCAGCTAATTTTTGTATTTTTTTTTCTGTAGAGATGGGGTTTTACCATGTTGCCTAGGTTGGTCTCGAACTCCTGGGCTCCCCTGAAGCGGGAGAACTGCTTGAGCCCAGGAATTCAGAACCAGCCTGGGCAACATAGCAAGACCCCATCTCTACAAAAAAAATGTAAAAATCAGCTGGGCACAGTGGTGTGTGCATATAGTCCTGGTTACCCAGAAGGCTGAGGTGGGAGGATCACTTGAGCCCAGGAGTTCCAGGCTACAAAAATAAAAGAAGCCTCGCTGTGGTGGCTCACACCTGTAATCCCAACATTTTGGGAGGCCAAGGCAGGAGGATCGCCTGAGCCCAGGAGTTTGAGACAAACCTGGGCAACACAGTGAGACCCTGTCTCTCCAAAAAATTGGTTTAAATTAGCAAGGTGAAGTGATACATGCCTGTACTCCTGGCTACTCAGAAGGATGGCTTGAATCTGGGAGGTCAAGGCTACAGTGAGCTGTGATCACGCCACCCACCACACTGCTATCTGGGTGACAGAGTGAGACCCCGTCTCAGAAAGAAAGAGAGAGAGAGAGGGAGGGAGGGAGGAAGGAAGGAAGGACAGACGGAAGGAAGGAAGGAAGGAAGGCAGGCAGGCAAAAAGGAAGAAAAAAGAAGGAGGAAGGAAGAAAGGGAGGGAAGGGAAAAAGTGCATATTTGCTATTTAAAGGACAATAATAAAAAGGTGTTTTTTTTGTTTGTTTTTTGTTTTTTCTTCTGTGACGGGTTTCCTACAACAGAGACAGGGACAAACCAAGAAGTGTGGTGCCATTGAGTAACAGGCTGGTGGTGGAGGACAGAAGAGGAGGACCTACATTTTTGGACCTCCTGAGTTGGGAGTTGTGGGACACAATGCAATTCATTATGATCTGGAATTAGAGGAGAGATCCGATCTGGAAACATAGATGTGGAATCATCAGAATAGACCTGAGGCCCTGAGAGCAAATGTGTTTCTCCAAGAAATGCAGTTTTCGGAAAGATGAGGGCCAAAGATAGACCCTGGAGAACAGTCCATATTTCACAAAGGAATGCAGGAAAATTAGCCAAGGAGGAAGACTGAGAAGGAACGGCTTTATGGAAAGAGAGAAAGTTGTCTTGGAAGCTAAGGGAAGAGAATTTTAAGAATGGGCTGGTGTGCAGTGCTCCCTGCAGAATTTCCTAAGTAGGGGGAGTCTTTCAGTCTATAGAGTTATGTAGTTTCCCTGAGGGAGATAGCCAAAAAAGGGGCCAGGGGGTTATCCTATGCCCCAAGAGAAAGGGCCTCTATTCCTTTTAACTTAATTTGTATTTAAAGGATAGGTGTAGGATGGCCTAGGTAAAAGAATGGACAGACACCAGGCGTGGTGGCTTACGCTTGTAATCCCAGCACTTTGGGAGGCCGAAGCAGATGGATCACTTGAGGTTGGGAGTTTGAGACCAGCCTGACCAACATGGAAAAACCCCATCTCTACTAAAAATACAAAAATTAGCCTGGCGTGGTGGCATGCACCTGTAATCCCAGCTACTTGGGAGGCTGAAGCAGGAGAATTGCTTGAACCCGGGAGGCAGAGGTTGCAGTGAGCCGAGATCACGCCACTGCACTCCAGCCTGGGTGACAGAGTGAGACTCCATCTCAAAAAAATAAAAAATAAAAAACCCAAAAATCCCAGCTACTCGGGAGGCTGAGGTGGGAGAATCTCTTTAACCCGGAAGGCAGAGGTTGCGGTGAGCCAAGATCACGCCATTGCACTCCAGCCTGGGCAGCAAGAGCGAAACTCCATCTCAAAAAAAAAAAAAAAAAAAAAAAGGAATGGACAGATGGACAGCACCTGCAAGGGCTTATTTAATGCTTCCTTCTCAAAGTTACTTAGTATTACTATTATTATTTTTTGAAATGAAGTCTCTCTCTGTCGCCCAGGCTGGAGTGCAGTGGCGTGATCTTGGCTCACTGTAACCTCTGCCTCCCCGGTTCAAGTGATTCTCCTGCCTCAGCCTCCCAAGTAGTTGGGATTACAGGTGTGTGCCACCATGCCCGGCTAATTTTTGTATTTTTAGTAGAGACAGGGTTTTACCATGTTGGCCAGGCTGGTCTCGAACTCCTGACCTCGTGATCCACCCGCCTCGGCCTCCCAAAGTGCTGGGGTTACAGACGTGAGCCACCACACCCAGCTCAAAGTTACTAAGTTTTTTGTTTTGTTTTGAGATAGGGTCTCATTCCATAGCCCAGGTGGGTGTGCAGTGGTATGATCACAGCTCACTGCAGCCTCGACCTCCTGGGCTCAAGCGATCTTCCCACCTCGGCCTTCCGAGTAGCTGGGACCACAGGTGCACACCACCACGCCCAGCTAATTTATTTTTATTTTCTGTAGATACGGGGTCTCCCTGTGTTGCCCAGGCTGGTCTTGAACTCCTGGGCAAACGGTCCTCCCACCCACCTTGGCCTCCGAAAATGTTGGGGTTACAGGCATGAGCCACTGCACCTGGCACTACCTAGTTATATGCACAGTGCAGGGTGCCTAAGGCCTGAGGTAGCTTAATTGGTTGTAGTTTATGCTCTGATTTTTTCACAGGCTACAGTCAAGTTGACTGACTGTTATGTAGGATGCCTCGGTTGGACAAGATGGTAAAAGAGGCTCTGCCAGAAGGGGGTACCCAGGAACTCTTTTTTTTTTTGAGACAGAGTCTTGCTCTGTCGCCCAGGCTAGACTGTAGTGGCACTATCTTGGCTCACTGCAATCTCTGCTTCCCAAGTTCAGGTGATTCTCCTGCCTCAGCCTCCCCGGTAGCTGGAACTACAGGCTCCTGCCACCAAGCCCAGCTAATTTTTGTATTTTTAGTAGAGATGGAGTTTCACTATATTGGCCAGGCTGGTCTTGAACTCCTGACCTGGTGATCCGCCCGCCTCCACCCCCCAAGGTGCTGGGATTACAGGCATGAGCCACCGTGCCTGGCCCAGGAACTCTTTTTCAATGGTGCAATGTAGACTCTTGAACATTTGGTCAGAGGTTGAGACGGAAATTCCAAAAGGGTGTGGTGAGAATATACTACTTGTGCTGTTCATGTGGCCTTGTCAAACATAGCACGGGTATGATATATTTCCTTTTTTATTTTTCTTTTTTGAGATGGAATCTCGCTCTGTCACCCAGGCTGGAGTGCAGTGGCACGATCTCAGCTCACTGCAACCTCTGCCTCCTGGGTTCAAGCAATTCTCCTGCCTCAGCCTTCCAAGTAGCCGGGATTACAGTTGTGCGCCACCACACCCGGCTAATTTTTTATATTTTTAGTAGAGACGGGGTTTTACCATGTTGGCCAGGCTGGACTCGAACTCCTGACCTGAAGTGATCCACCCGCCTCGACCTCCCAAAGTGCTTGGATTACAGGCATGAGCCACTGTGCCCAGCCGATATATTTTGTTGAGTTATCTATCTGATACTTGGAATGGGTTTATTCAGGGACACATATGTTTTATTTCCCCAAGTCTAGACTGTTGGTGAAGTGACACCATAGAGTAGACGTATTTTTACAGTGCAGAGCAAATCTGAGCTTGTCCACTTACACAATTTTTCTAACCCAGTGACCTTTGTAGTCTTTGGATCACACCTCAAAATTTTTTGAGTATTCATCTCAATTATTCACTTATAATTTATAAAAACTAACTTACAGCTTAAATATAGTTAGTACTATCCTAATATGTACATTACAAAAGATATACAAAAATAGAAATTAAAAAATATTGAAATGATGGACTAAACAATACCATTAACATTTAATTTTATTTACTAGCAGTAGAAAATAATTTGCTCTTACTACAATGCTTAATATTTGAGGTATGATTGAATATGCTTCTCTTTTTTTTTTTGAAATATTGGCATAATAGTGTGATAAAATGATTTGAGGATTTTACTCTGTTTAGTTTTTTTCAAACTTGGTTGTTTAAAGGGCTGTCCTAGTGGGAGAGGATGCCTTGCAAAGTTTTCTGCCAGTAGGAAGAGACAGATTATTTTTACCATTTACTTTTTTATTTTTATTTTTTGAGACGGAGTTTTGCTCTTGTTGCCCAGGGTGGAGTGCAATGGTGCTATCTCGGCTCACTGCAACCTCTGCCTCGCTGGTCCAAGCGATTCTCCTGCCTCAGCCTCCCGAGTAGCTGGGATTACAGGCGTTGGCCACCACACCCGGGTAATTTTTGTATTTTTAGTAGAGAAAGGGTTTCACAATGTTGGCCAGGCTGGTCTTGAACTCCTGACCGCAGATGATCCACCTGCCTTGGCCTCCCAAAGTGCTAAAATTACAGGCGTGAGCCACCTCGCCCAGCCGTTTTTACTGTTTACTTAATCATAATGCTCATTGCTCAATCTCATCCTTCAGCTATGCAAAAGATTTTAGTTGACATTTGGGTGGTGAGTCGCTCTTTGCCAGTATCACTCAATTGTTTCTGCAACATAAATTGGAAAGTGTTGAATTTGCATTTTGATATTTTAACTGAATCGGTGATACATTTTGTGTGTGTTGGAATTTTCGTAATTTAACCCCAGAATTTTAAATTCCTGTATAGAAGCTACTCCATTCGTGGTTACTGTTCCTGTTCTAAATAAAATGATATAATGTTTTGATTAAAGAGATCATTTATTGTTGATAATATACCTTCTCTGCTAAACACTTTTTTTAGTGGTTCATAAAAAATAAGTGTTTTCAGGTGTGTCATCACGAGAACAGGGGCAAGCAGATACCTTAAGCAGAGGCATTCAACAGTTGCACAAACCTCCCACACTGTGTAATCTATTCTAATGTGTGTTTCTTTAAATCTACAGCAATATTTTCTTGCTTTTTTTTTTTTGAGACAGAGTCTCACTCTATTGCCCAGGCTGGAGTGCAATGGCGCAATCTCGGCTCAGTGCAAGCTCCACCTCCTGGGTTCAAGCGATTCTCCTGCCTCAGCCTCCCAAGTAGCTGGGACTACAGTCGCCTGCCACCACGCCCGGCTAATTTTTTGTATTTTTAGTAGCCAGGATGGTCTCGATCTCCTGACCTCGTGATCCGCCCTCCTCAGCCTCCCAAAGTGCTGGGATTACAAGCATGAGCCACCACACTTGGCCTACAGCAATATTTTCTAAGCATCTTCCAACTGTTTGCTGACGAATGTATTTTATGTTGCAGCCGTATTTTCTGGTTATTATTTTCATATTTTAGCATTTGTTTTTTGTTTATATATGTCAATTATTATTATTCATTTTTAAACTTTTCCAGAAATAACCAAGTTTTTCCAGAAACTTTTCCCAGTGACATGTGACTTCTAGTCTTTTGGTATTAAATAAGAAACCTCAAAAGAGACTTCAAAATAGTCATCGTTAAGTTTAGCAGAAAATGTTAAAGTATTTGATCATCTTTTATCTTTGTCATTGGAAAAAAAACCCCAAACCTTATAGGTGTTAATCCTGGTGTTCTGAGCACTTAACTTTTAGATTTTTTTTTTTTTTTGAGACAGAGTCTTGCTCTGTCGCCCAGGCTGGAGTCAAGTGGCGTGATCTCAGCTCACTGCAACCTCCACCTCCCGGGTTCAAGCAATTCTCCTGCCTCAGCCTCCTGAGTAGCTGGGATTACGGGTGCCCGCCCTCACACCCAGCGAATTTTTGTATTTTTAGTAGAGACGGGGTTTCATCATGTTGGCCAGGCTGGTCTTGAACTCCTGACTTCAAGTGATCCACCTGACCTGGCCTCCCAGGATGCTGGGATTACAGGTGTGAGCCACTACACCTGGCCAATACACAGGACTTAGATGAGGAGGTTGTGAAGGGTAAGGAGAGTCTTCCAGAAAGCGGGGCCGGCATGTGCGAAAGCCTGACAGTGACAGGAAGTAGGTGATATTCAAAGAACAAAAAGGCAAGCCTGGATCTTGAAATGTGAGGATGGAGGGGCAGGGACATGGGCAGGCAAATGGGTCGAATCGTGAAGAAACTTCTAAGTCACAGTTATAATCTGGACCTCATTCTAAGGACAATTGAGTCATCTGGAAACATTTGAGCAGAGGAGTGACAAGATGGTATCGTTGGAGAGATTCCTCAAGGTTTAGTGTGCAGAATGCATTGAACGTTGGCCAGGTTGGAGGCAAGGACTCAGTGACCAGTTCCACACTGGGATGATGGGCCTGAGGTTGTGTGTGCGTGATGTCAGCCGAGAGAAGGGATTGGGATCAATAGACACTTGAGAGGTGGAACCCTCCCAGCCTGTGGTGATGGAGCAGATGAGAGGGAATGAGGGTCGTTTTCTGAGAGGGCAGGTACTGTGGAGATGAATCTGGTGTGGGTGGGTGTCTCGGGCTGCGGTGCTGGAAACAGACCCTGAATAATCTTTGGAGATATAATTGTGAAGGACTGAGGAAGGCAGGATTAGAAAGGAGGAGTTGACCCACAGTGCTATGGTGATTGAGGCCTCAGCCAATTTACAGGGAGCTCTGGGGCTGGGATGGCCCTTCAGAGTTGGCCCAAATAAAGGCAAGAGGGCCAAGTTTTTCTATCTCTACATCAGCCAGATGTTGGCTGCTTCTTGGAAGTGGGTGTAGCCTTGGGCAAGACAGTTTCCAAGAACTGTCACAAGACGGTGGCCAAAGCAATTTGCAGTGAGGGAGTCAGCTGTGAGTAGTCGGCAGCCAATATTCTTAGCAGCTAGGGGATGAGGGTGTATACTCTGAAGAGAGAACCTAGACAAAACACTACTGTATCCACTACAATAGCAAAAGAGCTTAGGTTTAATTGGGGACATATTTACTTTTAGGTGCCTCTGGGTTCATTATCCATTCCTTAGTTCACTGATAATTAATGTCAGTTATGGGATGTACAAAGCATTGTGCCAAGTGGTGGTGATGGCAGGGATGATGAGGGCAGGATGGGAAGATGAAGTCAATATTAGCGCATGCATAGTGCTCAGGGTAGTGTCTGCACTGCAGGAGACCAGTGAGATTCCTTCTCAGGAGGAACTGGGTCCCCATTTCCTGTGTGTTCCCTTCTCCTTCAGGTAGGCCCTCAAAGGATTAAGCCTTTTCCTTTCTCAGATACCTCCCTAGGTTCTTCTTCTTTCTCTTCCCCTCCTCTAGGACTTAGAGAGCAGAGAACAAACCCAAACACAAGTTTCTTTTAAGGAAGCCCAGATGTAATATAAAAAAGTTACAAAGGGTTAGGAAATCTTATAAAGTTCTCTACAGATTTCTCCTTTGGCCCAGTTTCTGCAGATGAATCTTTACCAGGATCCCAATCCCCGTACTTCTGGCTCTCCTTTGACTCCTGAAGGGAGGGCTCATAGAAACTACCCACTTTTCTCTGTCCCTACCCTTCTCAACTCTTTCCTTGGACAAGGCCAGCTTTCCAGCATTTAGGCCTTCAGAGACAGCAGGAGGTAAGGATTAGTGGATTCATCCAGTAGCCAGGACCTAGGAGGTCATTCAAATATCGAGGGGCCTCCTAAATAATGCCCAATGCTGAGCCCAACCCCCACCCGCTTCGGGTCTCTCGGTTAAAGGCCTTTGCAGGCATTTCCAAACTGAGGTTCAGAAAAGGAGAGGTGGTTTTGCCACAGAAATCTATGAAATCACGAACAAAGGATAAGGGGAATCCTCTACAGTCTATTTCTGGCAGGCTAATAATAATTTAAACTTGGTTATGATTTCTTTCAAGCGTATGTTTTTGAATATAAAAAAACCTGATTCTATCCATATTTTGATGTTCTTAAAAAGAAAAGGTAGACTTTTGTTTTTTCCTTTTTCTTTGCTGGCTACCCTGCTACAAATCTTTAAATTATGGTGCTAGGATTGAAAGGTGTAATAATTTCTTTAAAAAGAAGCTAACACATTTAATATATTAATCTCTCTATAAACCCCTAGGCTTAGCTTGGTTTCAAGCTAAAAATGTGTAGTTCAAGGCATGAGACTGCTCGGTTTAGTAGTTAGTTCCACAGGGCCTCTGGATGGTGAGATAAAGAAAAGGTGTTTCCTTTTTTCCTTCCACTGTCCCTCCAGGAACACACCTTTTGTGCGCTCTACCTAACACACGAATTTCCTAATTTCATAAGGGCATTTGGAGGGAAAGTATGATGATATTTACAGGCTTCTGCAAAGCCGGCTTCCAGCCACAAAAGATTAAAGAAAAAAGCTAGGATTTTGCAATACACTGATTGGAGGAAAAGCCAAGACATTGAGAGTTAGCAATAAAAACAGCAACAACAAAATCGCAAAGGGTTTGGAATTCCTTTAGTTTCTATTTGGCATAAGAATCATATGATTTCTTTGTTCTGCCCTTCCTTATCGACTGCACTCAAATGATAGTTTTATTTCATTCTTGCAGTCGAGTGACTGATTCTATTGTTGCTCAAAGCAGAGAGGTGCACAAGAGAGCCTTACATATGTAGAATAATAGAATGAACCTTTTTGTATTGTGTTTTTGGAAGAGGGGTAGTGTCCGCTTAAAAAAAAAACAACCCAGAATAAATGCTGTCTTTTCAGCTGTGAAATTTAGTGATTTTGCAAAATGGACTAAGACGGGTGCTTTGCTTTTAACTACTGGTCTACCTGGCAAAGGGGTTTCTCTGAAATCCTCTTTACAAAAATAGAACTGAGATAACTTGCAATAAAATATCTTTTACTTTTTGTTTATGATATTTAAAAGCAGATGCAATGTTATTTGTTGCCATTTGTGCAAATGATCAATTGTGCTTCTAGACCAAATTTCTTCCAGCCGAGGCTCCGGCTAAATCACTGGGCTTTGTACAAAGCCCTGCTCAAAAAAGTGTTTGGCATGATGAAGCCACGAGGCAGTTGTATAGCTGAAGGCTCTTTATGATAAGCATTTCAGACTTTAGTTTTGGTAGTACAACTCTTGTAACCATTCAAGTGCTGCTTTGCTGTCATTTCAACTCTTAAAAGAAGGGAATGGGGGAGGGGCAAGAGAGTCTTCTAAGTAAACAAAGATCCCAAATCCATGAAACCTAGGATTTATCATGGTATGTACATTATGAAATTCCATATATTGTAAACTGTGTAGCATGTCAAGATTTCACATTAGCAGGTCCTAGTGTACTCTTCAATGCACATACGGTTTTTATATGCATATTAATAAAGGCCCATCTTTGGGAGAAGAAAAAAGGCTCCCTTTCAAATGAAATCAAGCCCAGGTAAAGCTGAAACCCAACCCACAGAGTACTGGCACCGTTTTCAGGCCAAAAGAAGACAAGGGTTTCAATTTCATCATCTTGTAATGCTGATAAATGCGATGCTGTGACTGGCAAAATTTGCAGATTACATAGGTCTTTCTAAACGTGTGTAAATATGCAAATATGTATTCCAATTTATGTGCAATTCCAAACAATTTGCTGTTTGAAATTAAAGACCAACAACTCTTCTGTGAGACAATAATTCGGGTCATTTACATGAAAAGTCTTAAACAGCAAAAATGCTACTTGCAATTTACATCATACAGTGCTCCCATCACAGAGAACAATGGCTTCCTCAATGGAAGTTAACGCAGTAGAGAGGTATACTGAGATTTTTTTTTTAACTTTTCAGCACAGTTTGCAAATACTAACCAATGAATCAAATTTAAAATAAAATAGAAATGTTTCTTATGCTTGGTCATCACTGCTACTTGAGTGTTATTTTTGTGTCTTCAGATTCCTATCAAACAGGAGTGAACCTTTTTAACAGGTTATGGTGACATTTTTTCAGCTCCTTCCATTTTGTCCTATTTCCAGTGTCAGCACAATTAGCTTGACTTGGGGGTTTCTGTCTGGTTTTAAAAACCTTTCAATGGAGTGCACGTCTGTGAACAATAAAGGAACGAGGACACGGGGCTGGGAAAACAGCATACCTCATCTGGAATGGAAATCTATCGTCTCTCGCCCTTGCACGGGTCACGATTATACACCTTCGTGACCTTTAGCGGGCTTACATATGTATCTTTTTGTGTTCCGCAGGCTATGACCACCTGCTGTATGTACAATATGTGCTTGTTACATTTGTACACCATCTCCCTTCTAGAATTTAAAGACCTAGCTATTACATCTTGTTTACTCAATATCATTCCCCCATTAAGGAAAAAAAAAAACCTACATGAACTGAACATGCCATGTTTCAATCTGGCCCCAGTGGCTTTTTCTCTGAAAGCAAACGTGTGTCTTTTACACCAGGGCTTTCTCCCCACCCCAGGGGGTGTCTTCCATCCTTTTGTGGCTCAGTTGAAGGCGAAAAGGGCTCCAAACCACTAACTAACCAGAGGAGAGCCCCTTCTTCCACCTCCAGGGAGAATTTCAGATTTAATTTGTCCGAAGATAGCGTGCTCTCTTCTTACTCATTTGCCATCATTACGAGGAAAACAAACCACCACCTTGGCTTCAAGATCCTGGGTAGAGGCTCACGGTCTTTTCAACCATCTTTGGCGAGGCCTTGCTTCCTTCCACTCGAGTAAGTCGCGGCTTGGGGCCACGGAAAGGACTGGGTGAGAGCCCGCAATGTCGTTGGAAAAAAGCAGCCCTCCCTGCGCCCCCTCACCAGCCCCACCACCCCGCTCCACTCCCGGGGCGAAGCCGCGAGCCAGCGGCCCCGTATGGGCGAGACTTGGCAGGTCCGCGGGGCGCCTTCTCGCCGCCGCCGGACTCGGGGCTCCGCAGCGGCCGGGCGTCGGCGCCCGCCGGCCGCGGGGCTTCGCGCTGCCGCCGCCCGGTCCCGGAGCTCCCTTCCCCCACCGGCCGCCCCCTCCCCCTCGCCCGCGCTCCCTTTTGTTCGCTCGCCGCCCGGGCCGAGCCGCCGCCGCCGCCGCCGCCCGGCCCGGCGGCGAGGCCGCTCCACCGCACACGCACACACAGACCCCGGCAGCGGGAACGCAGATGACACGCCCGTAACATGGAAGCCGCCGCCGCCGCCGCTCCGACGACAGCAGCAGCAGCCACAGCAGCAGCCGCCGGCGGCGCCGCGCTGAACAAAGGTCATCCGAGCTGCGGCCCAGACGCCCGGGCTTGACCGCCGCGAAGGCCAACCCCGGGAAGGGGGTGGGTGTGCGCCTCTGGGGGTGCGGGGCGGCGGGAGGCGGCCGGGGCGAACGAGGGGCGCAGGGCAGCCGGACCCAGGGGCGCGGGTGGGCGCCGGGCAGAGGCGGGGTGCGGCCCCTCGTGCCCACTCCTGCGGGCCGGGGTGAGCGCGTGAGGCTCAGGCCCCTGGGCCTGCCCGCAGTGGCCTGTCCCACCCTGGCCTTGGGGACAGCCGGCCTTCGCGCCCCGCCAGCTGGCTTGGGGGGCCGAGGAGGAACCGCCCGGGCTAGGCCCCGCAGGTTACGAGACGGGGGCCACGTGAGCGCGGCTCTCCTACTCCCCCCGCCGGCGCCGGCCGGGCACAGATGCGTTTCCAGAGGCCTCCGTGCCCCCTCTCCCACTGGCCCTGCCTTCGCCCCCCGCCCCCTCCCCAGACAGCCCCAGTTTTCTTCCCCCGAGGTGAAGGGATTTGGACTTCTCCCCCCAGGTGCTTGAAAGAAGAGAAGGTTGGAGGAGGAGGAGGAGACTGGGGGGCTGCTGGTGGTGGTGACAGGGCTGGGAGAGAGAGGAGAGGGACGGAAGGGAGGAGGGGGCTGGGTGGGGTGGGGGTGACAGCAGAGAGGAGCCTGGTCAACAAGCCAGCACCACTGTGCTAGGAGGCCAGGCCGGCTCTGCAGCCGACGCATCCCGTGTGAGCAGACACACATAGCTCGCTTTCTTGGGGGCTCTTTGTCAGCCACCAACACAGAGAGCACACACTGACACACACGTACACAAAGATCTGAGCCAGGTTGTGGGAGGTAAGTGGGGGAAGGAGAAGGAGGGGGAAACAGTGTCTGCGGTGGGCTGTGGGGTGGAGGGGAGGGGGGATGGGCCCTGAGGGGCTCTGGGGTGCTTGCGAGGTGAGCATTTCCAAGGCTGTGTGCTCGTGGGGTGGGGGGACACACGATGACCTTCTCCTCCTCAGGAAGACCTAAGAGGGAAGAGCAAACCCCAGCGAGATCCCCCCTGTGCTGATGATTTTCAGGGACTTGTTGGCAACTCAGCGAGGGTTGCCATAGCTTTTTTATGTAGGGTGACCAGAACCGGCTGAAACTGGTTTGAGGCAGATCAGCTCCTGAACACAATGCAGTCACTGAGCTACTACAGTAGGATAGCAGCTTCCTCCCTTCATGGCAGCCAAAAGCAGAGGAGCTTGCAGGAAGGTACCATCCCTACACAGTATGTGAATGCACACTTAGACACCACACAGCACTGGTACGTGACTAATGGAGCCCTAAAAGATTCTGGGTAGAGAAGATGGAAAAAAAGGTGCAGGTTTGCAGGGTCTGAGATTACTTGGGCTTTTCCTGCCTTTTTCTTTTGCTTAAGGGATGGACAAGGAGCTGAGATTTATGACCCTTATTAGAGAAAAAAATGTGCCTTGCTAGGGTGGGGACACTTGGTTGATGCAGTCTCTCTCTCTCTTTCTCGGTGTTTATAACAAAACAAAACCAAAATGAACTGAGGGGTTTGTAATGGTAGTTTGTTTGTTGCTGGAGAATGCTACTTTGCATGCTTTTTTTCTCTTGCAGGGTATGTTCTGTCTTGTGCTTTTTCTTTTAGAAGCTACTAAAGGGTGTTGGGGATGCTTCTGACTATTATGAAGGCCAAAAGGTAACAATATCGTTCTAGGAAATGAACATAAATGCATTCCAGTGATGCTGTTAGCCATACATGCTGTCTTTTTTTTCCTTGTAGGCCTGTTGACTGGGGCTGCTTTTAACCCTTTCCTATTTGCTGAGAATGCAGCCGTGTGACAGTAACTGAACATTGGTCTAAAGTCTTTCCAAAAGGTCAAGGTTCACAAGGTGAGATACGCTGTTTTGAGCATGAATTTAAATATTTATTTGCAGATCCATTTAGACACAGACGGACCGTGGATTGCTACCCAGGAGATAAAATTGGGTTCAGAGTGGAGAAGAAATGCTCTTAATGTTATCCCAGTTTAATGGGATTAGAGTGACTTTATGATGGTATTGCGATCAAGGCGAAATCTGAATGCCTTCATTAAATCGCATGTGTCTGGGCAATTGGGAGAGTCAGGCCTGGAAGGAAGCGAGTGTGGAGAATGGTAGGCGTCAGGGCCTTGTGGAGAATGTGCTGTTTTGCATAAGACGAAAGCAGTACACATGTGGCATTTTCCCGATGATTATAAGAAAAGGAAGGGCTTCACCAAATCGAGGCAGCCTAGCCACCTTTTTAGGATTTGAGGAGTCTGAAGGTAGATTTGCCTTTTGTTCATTCATCACCTTTCTTTTACCTTGCTCTCTTGTGTTAACCTGAAAGGTTTTTCACTCCGACTCAAGTGGTGGAATGTCTTTTATTGATTTTGGGGGCTGTTGACGGTGAGTTCGCCATTGGATTCTTTGTGGCATATGTTTAATGTGGAATACTAATGCAATACCAGGGGGAAGCCGGGTAGTCTGGCTTCATCTGTGAAAAGATGCCTGTTAACTCAAAGCTGTACTGGAATGGGTGGTAGAAAATGTCTGATGCCTTTAAAGATCGCAGTTAGGTTTGAGCAGGCATTTTAATGCACCTTCCAAAACCAGAGGTTGGAGAGGAGAGGAGAGAAGGAAGGAGTGAGGAGAGTAGCAAAGTGAAGAACAAAGGCTGAGGGGGCTTGCAGGAGAACACTCAACATTTTGCCTTGGGTTCCTTGTGAAAAGAACTGCAACTTCCCCAAACAGGAAACCAGCAGCTCCAGAATGGGATCCAGTGTGATCTCAACAACAGATAGAACTGGTCCTGCCTTTCTGCTGGTTTTTGGTAAAAGTACAGTCAAGAGGAGCCCATAGAAGACATGACTGAAAATAAAATTTTCCCCTACTTCGAAGTGGGCATTTTGTTCCTCTCCGTGTTCAGCAGAATAGGGGCTTTTCAGCAGTGCCGAGGATCTTGGAATTGGTTAAGTTGTGTGCTGGCAGTTGGTGGGCAGGATATCTGCAGTGAAGGACGTCAAGTATGCAAGGGTTTTATTGTTAAAATGTTTTTCATTTGGCTACAGAACATCCACTATGTGATAAAACTGGCAAAAGGGAAACAAGAGTGCATGGTTAGCTCAGGATACTTTATGGAGTATTTAATAGAGATAAATGTAATCTTGGACGGATATACCAGTAAATAGCTTACATGATGGAACAAAATTCTTTACAAATCACTGTGCTAAAATTGGTTTTCAATTCTCCATCATTTCTGACTGCCAGAGGTTCTGTGTATGAGTGTGGCAGGAATATGCTTGCAAAGCAGATCCGAATCCACGCTGCGCGTGGTGTGCTGCTTCTGCGTTTCTGATGTCAACTAAAACTCAGATGGCTAATATGATAAACCTTAATTAGCTTAATACAATAAGCTGTTTTATTATTTAGTCCTTCATTCTTGTCTTTTGAGAGTCAGTGATTTTTGTTTAACTTTGACAGCTAACCCCTTGCCACGGCTATACAGTGCGAATATGTTTTAAAAAACCTCTTCGTAGGGCATTGCATGTCATGGAATGTTCTGGTTTTCTGTCTTGGTGGTTTTTAGCTTTGTTCCTCTCCCTCCCCCTTGAAGTCTCCTGAAGATAGCATTTGTTTTGCATTTAGACCAATCTTTCCAGCTGCAAATGCTGCTGAGGGTTGGAGAGCTGGTTCTCTGGGGCGGGAGTCATGAGCTCATCTTGGATTGGAGCTTGTCTCAGGTGTTGATCTCATGCTGAGGTATAACAATGTAGCAGGCCCAGGCCTCCCTGGAGTGGGGAGAGTCTTCTGGGCTGGGGAATGTGGATGTGAGTGTGCAGGATGAGCTAGGGCATGTTCCTTCCTGGGAGAGCCAGGGGGGACCCGGTGCCTGCAGTTCCTGTCACCGTGGAGCCCAGAGCCCAGCCCCTGGTCGGCAGTGCCTGTAGCAGGCTCTAAAGACGACCTGCGGTCCATCCCCTCCGGAGCAGGAATGTGTGGGTTTGGCTGAGGAGAGCACACTGGAAAGAAAGTGTAACTGGGTGTTGAACCCTTCTTGTTTTTATCCTTTGCCTATTCAATCATTTTTTCCATGTTAAAGAACACTGGAGCCAGGGTGTTTGGAACTCTCAGCGCAACCTGGTTCAGGAGCACACACGCTCTCTTTTTCTTCTGTTCTTTTCTCTCAGCGATTCCCTGCCCCCACCCACCTTGACTCATTTTAAGGAAGGTCTAGGAAGGAGGTTGCCAACTTGTCAGTAGAATCTTCTGATGCCTTTGACTGTGAGTTAGAATTTTAGGGTTTGTGTTCTCCCATCTCCCATTTATTTCTTCTCTTGAAATGTTCTCTTGGACTTTTCCGTGCAATACAGTCGCTCTCCAGTTGGCTTTGAACAACCTTTACCGTATCCTTGGTAGAACTCCAGCTGGCTGTTAACAGGTGAAGCAGAGGTTGCCAACACAAGGGAAACTGACTCCATTCCCCATCATGTACTCCTAATCCCAGGACCATCAGAACAAGAACTACAGACTTGATAAACATTATGGAAACACACACCTTCGTGTTCATTTTATTTTAGGGCTGATCTTTAACTAAGTCATGGTTAAAGAATTAGCTTAAAAAAATTTAAAATTTGTGTACAGGAAAATTTACTCTGTGGTGTACCGTTCTGTGGGTTTTGGCATATGTGTAGAGTCACTTATCCACCACCACGGGCGAAGCAGAACAGGCCCATCACACCAGAGCATTTCCTCTTGCCGCCCCTCTGTAGTCAGCCTCTCCTACCCCTGGCATCCACTGTCTCACTATAGGGACATGGTTCTCTCGTCCTAGAGTTTGGGCTTTCTAGAATGTCAGATAGCAAGATGCGTTTCAGATTCATCCATGTTTCTCTGTGTTTCGATACTTGGTTCTTTGTCATTGCTGAGTAGTATTCTGCTGTATGGATGTACCACAGTTTATTCATTTGCTGGGTGAAGGACATTAGGGTTGTTTCCAGTTTTTGCTAATTGTGAGTAAAGTTGCTGTAAGCATTTGTGTGAAACAGGTTTTTGTGTGAACATAAGTTTTTATTTCTTTTTGCTAAATGCAGTCACGTGTCGATTAATGCAGGGGTACATTCTGAGAAATGTATCATTAGACAGTCTTGTCATTGTGCAAAGATAGAATGTACTTACACAAACCTAGATGGTGTAGCCTACTATAGCCTACTATATACCTAGGCTATATGGTGTAGCCCATTGCTCCTAGGTTGTAAACCTATACAGCATCTTACTGTACTGCATACTGTAGGCAGTTTTAATACAGTGGTAACTATTTGTGTTTCTGACCAATCTAAACACATAAAAGGTACGGGAAAAATATGGTATTATAATCTTATGGGATCACTGTGTGTACGTGGGCCATTGTTGACCAAAATGTTGGTTTGCGTTGCATGACTGTTCCTAGAATTGGGGTGGCTGGATCACATGGTACATACATAAGAGTTAGAAGTTTGAATGAAAATAAATCCAACTTGTAACTCACAAAAAAGATCTAGCGTTGACAGCTGCAGTTAAGACTCGCCGAGAAAGAGATCGTAGTGAACATTGTCTGAAGACACACGAGAGATGATCATGATAATAGAACACTCTCTAATGGGATGACATGCTTTGTAACCCTGAACTAATCAGAATTAGCCAAAAGTGGAAACAGAAAACTGCAAGTGGTAAAATATCCTTTATTTCCTGCAGCAATTATTTTTAATCTCTTCGGAAACATTTGGCAGTCTAATTTTTACATTCAGGTTCAATAAAACACAAAACAACAATAGAATAGAAATTTTGGAAAGTGATACCACAGATCATTGTTGAAATCTTAGTTGTGTGTTATTAACTTCTGAATTATAATTTGATTTATGGACTGCCAAAGTATTGGGGTCATTTTATTAATAATATTTGAAGTTATTCAGCTTTTATGTATTTTTAGGAACTGAAAATGTTTAAGCAATATTCAGTGAAAGCAGTGAAGAGGGGAGATTTTGGAAGATTTGTTTGGAAGATTTTGGAAGATCT
Organism: Homo sapiens; assembly: GCF_000001405.40. Lineage (NCBI taxonomy): Eukaryota > Metazoa > Chordata > Mammalia > Primates > Hominidae > Homo > Homo sapiens. Next base: position 58,869,762 of record NC_000018.10, read on the forward strand.
GTTTTTTTTTTTTTTTTTTTTTGGAGTTGGAGTCTCGCTTTGTTGTCCAGGCTGGAGTTCAGTGGCGTGATCTCGGCTCACTGCAACCTCTGTCTCCCAGGTTCAAGCGATTCTCCTGCCTCAGCCTCCTGAGTAGCTGGGATTACAGGTGCGTGCCACCATGCCTGGCTAATTTTTTGTATTTTTAGTAGAGATGGGGCTTCACCATGTTGGTCAGGCTGGTCTCGAACTCCTGACCTTGTGATCCGCCCGCCTCAACCTCCCAGAGTGCTGGGATTACAGGTGTGAGCCACTGTGCCCAGCCCAGGTTGTTTTTTTTTTTTTTTTTTTTTTAAGGATAAAATAGCTTTCAGGATTGGGAAGAACAGACAAAGGTAATGGTGGTACAGATGGAGGGGAGCCCAAGAAGTGGGACATGATGTTAACCTGGGGATTGCCTTGTCATTTAACAGATGCTTACTGAGTGTTTAAGCACTGGGCATTGTGCTAAGCACAGGAGTGCAGAGGGAAAAGGGCCCCAGGGAGAAAAATCTAGTGGAAGGAGCCCCCAGAAGCTATGATAGGAATGTGAATAGGCCGCCTCATGCCAAGCGTCCACAGAGGAGCTGTGAAAGACTGGTAAGAATATGTGAGGCAGTCAGAGCCTGGGAGAGCATCTAAGTCCATGCAGCACACGTGGAAAGGTCTGGGGAGAGCTTGGTGTTTCGAGTGGGGTGTGGGTGTGCGAGGGGATGGAGCTGGAAGGCAGTTGAGGGTCACCTGATGAGGCCTTTTGGTGCAGTGCCTTGAGGATGGACTTCTGTGTAGGCAGAAAAGACGGACCTTTCGTTACAAAGGTCCTGTGGCAGCCCCATGGAGGTTGGAATAGAGGCTGTACAGGCTGGAGGTAGGGAGGCCAAAGAGGGAACCGGCAATCCAGGAGAGAAAGGATGAGGGTCTTTCATCCCAGGTGTTGTTTGTGGGGATGGAGTGGTAGGTGGGGGCTGCTTCAGGGGCCAGGTAGTGCCTGATTGGAGGAGTAAGGCTGCTTCTTAGGTGGCTGTCTGGGGGTTGCTTGGAGACTGGGTGTTCTGTCTTTGAGATAGCAAATTCCGAAGGCAGAATAGATTTGGAAGAGTGGAGGTGGAGGGACTTGATACAGTGAGTTCAGTTTTGGGCTCCAATTGCCTCTGGCTCTGTGAGTCTGGAATTTAGGAGGGTTGCTTGGGCTGGAGGTCAAGATTGGTAGTAATGAACATAAAACAGAGAGGATAGAAGAAAGGTGTTTTAAAAGGGGTTGGGTTTGGGTCCCCTAAGATAGTGGCTTACGTAGTAAAAACCATAAACGAAGCGGCAGGGGTGGCTGAAGAACTTAGAACCTGTGCTTTAGCAAGTTGGAGGGCAGAAGATTCCCAGGAAGGTAGAAAATGTAGCTAAAACCTGCAGATGCTGCAGTAGGTGATGGCACTTTACGTCTGTTATCCCATTTTTCTGATTTTTAAACCTTTTCTTAGAGGTGGGGTCCTGCTATGTTGCCCAGACTGGACTCAAACTAGCTGGACTTGAACTCCTTGGCTCAAGGGATCCTCCTGCCTCGGCTTCCCAAGCAGCCAAGTAGCTGGCACTATAGGCATGCACCACCGCAGCAGCTATTATGTTACCTCATTTGATACCGAAATGATGAGAGGAGCTGTACATGTTTTTCCCTGTGGTACCAGTGGGGAAACAGACAGAGACCCTCCCAGCTCGTAAGTGGAAGTGGAAACAGGATTTGAAACATGCTCCTTCTCACTGTGCTGTTCTGCCTTGGGGGAGCACAGTTGGTGGACTGAGGGGTGAGCATGGAAGCTGTTTCAGGGTGTGGAGGTGCCCAGAGAGGGCACAGCAGGTGCTAAACAGCAAAGACACTGGCGCCGTTCACGTTGGAGGTGATAGCTGATGACTGCCAGCGTGAGAATATGCAGTGGAGAAGTTTGAGGTACACTCAGGGCCTTTGTATTTAGCCAGATTTTCCTGATTGTAGTCAGCACAGAGAGCAGGGCATCTGTATTTGCACCAGAGACATCTCTAGAAATAGCATGTTGAAAAGACTTATTTTATTGGGCACTGGGGTGAGGATACAGATTGGAGGGGAGAAGGGCTAGAAAGATGTATTTGTTTTATGTATTCTTTGAAAAGGCTGAGAAAATCAAAGCAAATTGAAAGTGGTGCCGAGAAGAATCTTTTGTTCCAACAATAAATAAACACAGTTTAAAGAATTCTTTGAATCATCTTCTACGGCAGGAAGTTCTATATTCTGGCTGTTTTATAATGAGGGAGAGCAAATTCTGTTTAATCTAAATCTGGAGACTGAAATAAGTAATTTTTAGACAGACGCAGAGCGGCTTTTTTAGCTGTCTCACATATTCCTTATGAAGGATCACTCTTTAAGGATGGTCTTCAGGGGCCCCAAATGCAGATTTTGTATTCTTCTGTTTTCAGTCAGTTATTATTACAGCTTTACATAATTAGAGCTTTTAGACATCTTGAGTGATCCGTAGAGACCTAAAGATAAAATCAGGGTGTTGTGGTTCTTGAACTGTTTTCTTACCATCAGCCTTTGCATTTTGGGACACAAACTCCTCCTTTCCCCAAGGCTGACTCCCGGGGCTAGTAATGGGTATTGATTTTATCATTTTCTTTTGTGAGGAACAAATTCTTTCTAGGGATTTCAATAGTAAGAATTAGATAGTTGAAAAACCTAAAAAGGTTAGAAAATTCAAAGCCCTCTGTTTTAAAGGACCCCATAGCTGGAAGTACTTCACACATTTGTAGTTATCTCATTTTCTACAGTGAGCCCACATTGGAGGGTGGGGCCATCAGGTAACCAATAGCAGGTTTAGAACTGGAACCCAGCACTATAGTCCTAGCCCAAGACCGCATTCATCATTACCTTCTCTCTGCCTTCCAACATTTATCTTTTTTTTTTTTTTTTTTTGAGACCGAGTTTTGCTGTGTCGCTCAGGCTGGAGTACAGTGGCGTGATCTCGGCTCACTGCAACCTCCGCCTTCCGGGTTCAAGCGATCCTCCTGCCTCAGCCTCCTGAGTAGCTGGGATTACAGGCATGTGCCACCACGCCCGGCTAATTTTTGTATTTTTAGTAGAGATGGGGTTTCACCATGTTAGCCAGGATGGTCTCAATCTCCTGACCCTGTGGTCTGCCCACCTTGGCCTCCCAAAGTGTTGGGATTACAGGCGTGAGCCAACACACCCGGCCTAAAATTTATCTTATGTTTTATTTTTTTGAGGCAGGGTCTCACTGTGTCACCCAGACTGGAGTGCAGTGCTGCGATCTTTGCTCACTGCAGCCTTAACCCCCAGGGCTCAAGTGATCCTCCTACCTTGGCCTCCCACCTCAGCCTCCTGAGTAGGTGGGACCACAGGCACATGCCACCACGCCCGGCTAATTTTGTTTATTTTTTGTAGAGAAGGGATCTCTCTATGTTGCCCAGGCTGGTCTCAAACACCTGTGCTCAAGTGATCTGCCTTCCTTGACCTCCCAAAGTGCTGAGATCAGAGGCATGAGCCACTGCACCCAACTATGTTTTGATGGTATTTAATCCTCCTCCTATTTATAATCTTTATGTGAACCTGAAAACACGATTTGATTAAGTTAAGCTTTACCGAGGTACTTGTTGAGAAGCTGGTCTTTGATGATTTTGCTGATTTTTTTTTTTGTTTTTTCTGGGATGAAGTCTTGCTCTGTCGCCCATACTGGAGTGCAATGGCGCAATCTTGGCTCACTGCAACCTCTGCCTCCTGGGTTCAAGCAGTTCTCCTGCCTCAGCCTCCCAAATAGCTGGTATTAAAGGCGCCTGCCACCATGCCTGGCTCATTAATTTTTTGTAGTTTTAGTAGAGACGGGGTAACACCATGTCTCTATCTCCTGACCTCAGGTGATCCACCCACCTCGGCCTCCTAAATTACAGGGGTGAGCCACTGCACCTGGCCAGTTTTGCTGATTTAACCTAGCAAGAATGGGAGAGGTAATTTGAAAACTGATTTTACTTTGTGTTCTGGTGAAATCTGAGTGATAAAGGCCACGGAGATTTTCACTTGCCTTTGCCCAGCTCTCAATGATATAAACCTGATTGCCTGTCAGTGATGTAAACCTGTGTTTTGCCACTTACTAGCTGCGGGACCTTGAACAGGTTATGTAAATTCTAAACCATACGTTTCCTGAGGGTTGTTAGGAGGATTAAATGCATATATAAAGTGTTTAGCAGAATATGTGGTGAGCCCTTCCTACAATCTTAGCTGTTGTTTTGTGGTCTTTGGTCTCTGTTTTGGGAGAGTAGCCTTAGTCCCAGGACTTTTTTTTTCTTTCTTGGAGGGTATTGTCTCCTGTCCTGCCTTACCTCATTGGCAAGTATATTTGTTTTTGACCATGAAAACAGACTGTGTGTCTCCTCCTTGTCGCTAGAGTTTTAGTTACAGCTGCCCTATATCAGGTTAAAAGTGGGTGAAGTAGACACAAGGGTAGTGTATTTGTTCCTACTTGGCTCTACTTTCATTTGTGGTTGGAGAATCTTGTCTGAATTTTGTATTTATTTATTTATATTTTATTCTATTATTTTTTTTGAGAGATAGTTTTGCTCTTGTTGCCCAGGTTGGAGTGCAATGGCGCGATCTCGCCTCATCGCAACCCCTGCCTCCCAGGTTCAAGCGATTCTTCTGCCTCAGCCTCCTGTGTAGCTGGGGTTACAGGCGCCCACCACCATGCACAACTAATTTTTGTTTTTTTAGTAGAGACTGGGTTTCACCATGTCAGGCTGGTCTTGAACTCCTGACCTCAGGCGATCCACCCGCCTTGGCCTCCTACAGTGCTGGGATTACAGGCGTGAGCCACTGCGTCTGGCCTGAATTTTGTATTTGTAATCTAGTACTTGAACATTTTTTTGCTTCTGGAAAAATTTTCCACTGAGTGGCTGTACTTTAGGTTGTCTGTGGGTGCAATTTACGTTGACCAAAGTTTAAAACAAAACAAAACTTGATGGTGAAAATATGCCAGGTTAGCAAAAGCCTATATTCTGACCCTTTCCCCCGGCACTTCGCTTCCCATGTTTGTTTGACCATGCCTAGATACTTATATTCTGCACACTGGGATTTGGGGGTGATAGAAGGGTGAGTGGAGAAGGATCTATGAATAATTATTTTATTTCTGGAACTACTCTGTTCAGTAGTGTGGTAGCCACTAGCCACATATGACTACTGAGCACTTGAAATATGGCAAATCCTAATTGAAATAAGCTGTAAGTATAAGATACATATCAGGTTTTGAAGATGTAATGAAAAAAAACAGAATATCTTGTTTTTTATATTGATTACATGTTGAATTCATAACATTTTGGCTATTTCACCTTTCCCCCCCCTTTTTTTCTCTTTTTCAAAAAATTAAAACTTTTTTTTCCTGGAGATGAGTGTCTTGCTGTGTTGCCCAGGCTGGTCTCAAACTTCTGGACTCAAGTGATCTTTCCCACTCAGGCTCCCAAAGTGTTGGGATTATGGGCATGAGCCACTGTGCCAAGTCCTTTTTTTCCTATTTTTAAAATATGACTGCTAGAAAATGTAAAACTAGATATGTGGCTTTTGTTATACTTCCCTTGGACAATGCTGTTCTGGAATGGTGGGTGGACATTCAAATAAATTTAGCAATGAAATTTTTCTGGTGCCCTGCAGTATTCATATTTGTTGATAACATTGAGTCTCTCCTTCTGTTAACAAAGATAGTGCTAGTTTGGCCCCTTTTTCTCTCTCAGGTGTTCCTAATTCACCTGTCTCCATCACAGGTCTACACAGCCACACTGGGTTGGTGTTTGCTTCATTATGGAAAGGGAACCAGTATTAATCACAGGTTTGCTGTGTGCTGGATGCCTTATACTTACTGTCCCCTGTAAGGTTATACTTCACATTCCTGTTGAGACTCACAGCTTGAGTGACCAGCTGAAGAATGCTCCACTAGTAGGTGATCGACCCTAGATTTGAACCAGGGTCTGGCCAGCTTTGAAATTCTTTTCTGTTTCTACCACTTTGTACATCTTTTCCGTGTAAAAGCTCCAGTTTGCTGCTGGTGTTCCGTACCTCTCGGGAGCCCTTGTCGTCTAGAGTGTATTTCTCACACTTTAGTTTGCATACAAATCACTTGGGGATCTTTTTTTTTTTTTTTTTTTGAGACAGAGTCTCGCTCTGTCGCCCAGGCTGGAGTGCAGTGGCGCGATCTCGACTCACTGCAAGCTCTGCCTCCCGGGTTCATGCCATTCTCCTGCCTCAGCCTCCCGAGTAGCTGGGACTACAGGCCCCCGCCACCATGCCCGGCTATTTTTTTTGTATTTTTTAGTAGAGACGGGGTTTCACCGTGTTAGCCAGGATGGTCTCGATCTCCTGACCTCGTGATCCGCCTGCCTCGGCCTCCCAAAGTGCTGGGATTACAGGCGTGAGCCACCGCGCCCAGCCTCACTTGGGGATCTTGTTAAAATACAGATAATGATTCTGTAGGGCTGGGATGGGCCCAAGACTGCATTTCTAAGTAGCCTCCTGGTGCCATTGACCCTGCTGGTTCATGGCCTGTCACGCTCTGAGTAGCAAGGCTCTCTGCTCCTCCCTTGGTCTCGGACCTGCTTCCTCTCTGCTTCCAAAGCGATAAGATTCTCCAGGCCTTCCCTGACACCACAGGGACTTACCCTCTAGCTTGGCATGTGATGCTAGCAGGGAGCAGACATGGGGGCCAGGACTGTTTTTTTTGATCACAGATGCCCAGTTCTGGCATGAATGCTAATTTCTGAGTACTCAGGATCTGAATGGATCCGGGGTTTATTCCTCTCCCTACATTTCTGCATTACTCCACCTTTGATATTGTGATCCCTTTGACACTTGTAGTCGGATCAGATGGAAAAGAATTTTAATATTGTGATTGCATCCAGGAGATGGGGCAAAGGTGCCTGTTATGACTTCATGAAGACTGTCAGGCCTTAGGTCAGCACAGACAAGTGACTTTGGGCCTAGTGCAATGGCTCACGCCTGTAATCCCAGCACTTCGGGAGGCTGAGGCTGAGGTGGGAAGATCACTTGAGGCCAAGAGTTTGAGACCAGCCTGGGCAACATGGTAAACCCCGTCTCTACAAGAAATAAAATTAGCTGGCTGTGGTGGTGTGCACCCGTAGTCCTAGCTACTTAGGAGACTGAGGCAAGAGGATCACTTGAGCCCAGGAGTTAGAGGCTGCAGTGAGCTAGGATCACACTACTGCACTTCAGCCTGGGCAACAGAGTGAGACCTTGTCTCGAGAAAAAAAAAAAGCAGAAAAGAAAAGTGACTGTGTTTGGTTCACGGATTCAGTATCCAGTGAGAGATGCGGACTGAAGGCAGTTAGCTTGCCACCGTTTCTGCCCCCTTGCCTGATGAGGAATAGAGGTGACTTGGGAGTTTTCCTTAGAATGGGGGTTAGAAGAGCCACTTCATGTAGCAGTGTTGGAAAACGGCTAGTCACATCACCTCTCCAGCACGTGATGGAGACAGCCTCCATTGGGTCCTTGGGTGAAGCTGTCCTGGGGAAGGTTGCCTTGGGGCCTGGACCAAACAGGAGATTGAGTTGCAGGAAGGAGTTCACTGTGTTATATGTTTAAACTCTTATGTAAGAGACTGGAGAATTTTACTTAGTGGGTTTATTTTACTTTGGGAAGGCACATTGATTAAATCAGCTATAGCAATAAATAAATGTCTGTTGCATGAGTTCAGTTTTAACTTCCCCATCTCTCTACAAGAAAGTCTGCCATTTCACAGAAATTCTAGTTGAAATTTAGATCTTACTGGACATCTGGGCACTGAGAGTTCTGTGTTATATGAATCTGGCACATTGAATTGGATTTATTAATCGTTGGCTAAGTCTGTCAACTCCCTGTGCTGTGCAGAATCCTGTGCCTGGCATGGTGACAGTATCGGCTCTGGGCCTGTGAGTGTGGCCCTTATGGAATCACAGATTGTTGGAAGGGGAGTGGAGTGGGGTTTGGAAGAATAGGGACAAGGTTGGGTGTGTCCTAAGGATGGTCAAGGCTGTGGGGCCAGCCCTGGATTAAGGAAGTGGAACTATGGAAGTTAGTCACAGTTGGGGGGTGAGTTTAGAATGTAGCTAGGGCAGAATGTTGCCATAGCATGCCAAGAGTCAGGGTAAGTTAAAGAGTCAGAGACTGGGCAGGTTGGCTGGGCATGGTGGCTCACACCTGTAATCCCAGCACTTTGGGAGGCTGAGGTGGGCAGATCAATAGAGGTCAGGAGTTCGAGACCAGTCTGGCCAACATGGTGAAACCCAGTCTCTACTAAAATGACAAAAAGTAGCTAGGTGTGGTGGCATGCACCTGTATTCCCAGCTACTCGGGAGGCTGAGTCAGGAGAATCACTTGAACCTGGGAGGCAGGAGTTGCAGTGAGCTGAGATTGAGCCACTGCACTCCAGCCTGGGCGACAGAGCAAGACTCCATCTCAAAAAACAAAAAAAACAAAACGAAAAAAAACCACTGGGCAGGTAGACCTTCAGAGGACATCAGAAGGCCAAAGATGATGGGCACAAGTCCGGTGAAATAGGCAAGGACGGGAACACATACAGATGCAGGACAGATGGCCATGCACAAGTGCATGATGGCAGGAGTCGGCAGTCCGAAAGATCTGTGATCTGTGGTGCTGATAGGAGAGGCCCCCCTGAAGGACTACCATGGAATGAATGAGTGAGTTGGTGAATGAATGAAGACCATATGAGCTACCAGTTCCAGTGATCACTGGATAACTGCAGCCTGAAGTGGAGCCAACTTCACCCAGCCTTCACGTGGAGTGGTGACTAAGGGCCCCCGTGGCCCAGGTGGCTGAGGTGAGGGGTGTGCATTGGGAGAGGCAGTAGCTCCTTGCCTGGCAAAGTTCATACGAGAAGGCTCTGAAAGACTAGATTGTTTAGAGTTTGCATGATTTGTAGGACATGATCAAGCTATGCAGTAAGAAAGGCAGCTCATTCTGAGGCCCAGGGTTAGCAGCTGTCAGGAGGACCTGACATCAAGAACTCAAGCGTCATCTTGCACTAAGCTTACTCCGCATTCTTTTGAGGACCACATGCCCTTGGTTGTCTCTTTTGCTTCCCCCTTAGTAGAACTTCTTTCCTATACACATGGGCAAACAATGCTGTTCCACAGCTCCTGTGTCTCCATGTCCTCATTTTAAATACTAGTGGACATCACCTGTAGTCCTCTGTCCTACTTGCAGTTCTCAAGGCCAAAAATCTCACTGGGCCTGGTCTAATCAGCTGTGGAGGGCAGGTTGTTCTTGTTCTTAGCCCTAAATAGGTGACAGTAGCCTTTAGTGAAGGTGGCCAGTGGGGTTGTGAGGCACGCCCGGCGGGGCCTGCTACAGTAGGAGCCATAGAGGCAAATCTGATACATTAGCGTCTCTTGTGTCTGGCCAAGGCGTTCCTCATTGTAAAATGCGATGCTTTCTAGAGAATGTCATTGTGAGAAAAAAATCTTTGTTCAGACATTGGCAAAACAATTAATTAAATGAGTAGAGTCAATGAGAAGTGAGCTATGCATGTTTATTGGGTAAGTGTAAAAGCTGGCGGCAAAAAGACAATGCAAGTGGCGACTGCCTTTTTCATTTTTTTTGAGAGGGAGTCTCGCTCTGTTGCCCAGGCTGGAGTGCAGTGGCACAGTCTCGGCTCGCTGCAGCCTCCGCCTCCCGGATTCTCTTGCCTCAGCCTCCCAAGTAGCTGAGATTACAGGTGCTTGCCACCACGCCCGGCTAATATTTTTGTATTTTTAGTAGAGACAGGGTTTCATCATGTTGGCTGGGCTGGTCTCGAACTCCTGACATTGTGAGCCACCTGCCCCAGCCTCCCAAAGCGCTGGGATTACAGGAGTGAGCCACCATGCCCGGCTGTTGGCAGCTGCCTTTTTCTATAGCATGTACTCTTGTTCATACATTAAAAACAACACTGTTGGCCAACGATTGTTTTTTTCAGTGGTAGGGGTGGATTTTCCTTCGTTCATTCCGTCTTTCGTCTGTTCTCCTTACAGCCTTGAGCACAGAGTTGTTACTTGACTGTACTGTTTTGGGGGTGTAGTTTGTAGCTTTGCCTTAATTCATTATTGTGAGAAAGGAACTTACCTGTAAGTAAATTGGATTTGTGTCCTTAACTTTTAACACTGTTTTCTGACATGCTTACGTGGATTCTAGGGGCAAGGACAGGATGAATACAAAAAAGGGAAGGATTGGATCCAAATAGAGGTTCTGAAAAAGATGTTTTGGTGGAAGTGTGAAAAAAGAGAGGGATGGAGTTGGACAAAAAAGAAAGGTGATCCAGAGAGGGAATGGTGGGAACACTTACCAGGAGAAGAAAGTGTGCAGAGGCCGCTGAGCATAGCTGTCTGGCTCGATAGACACTTGTTTGTTAAGAAATGATGAAAAGCAAGAGTTGCAGTGAAGATGAGCTAACGGGTGACTTGGTCACCTTGGTAGAATGCAGCTAGGGAAACTCTGTTTATTTGGAGCCATTTTGAGATCTAAGTCGTTAGGCCTCAGAGCAGTGCCGAAAAGTGGGTCATCTTATTATCCCACTTTATTCCTGAGGAACTTGAGGCTCAGAGAGGTTAATGGATATGCCAAGGCTAAGTTGGAGTTGGCATTTGTACCCGGATCTTTCTCACCCTGAAGTCTGTAACCTTTACCGTTCTTTAATACAATTGCCAGAGTGGATGAGCTCTTTTGAGTGTGGAAAGTGAATCTTTTTTCTGTTTTCTCTTTACTCAGAAATTGCAAAAACAGTATGTCTAGCTTGCAGTATTAGCTCCATAAATGCATAGCAAATGCTTGTTGTCTGAATAATTGTTGGACTGAGACACTGAAGGTAGGAAATTTGGCCAAATGACTGGTGGAATTGTTCAAACCTAAAGTTCAGGGTCTTTTATAGGTACATAGATGTATATTTGAGCCCTCTCATAGGCGCGCGCGCACGCGCGCGCGTCTGTGTGTGTGTGTGTATGTTTGGGGCCCCTCAGAGGTATATATCTGGCAAAATGCAAGTCTGGTTTATCTGGCCAATGTTAATTTTGGAAAAGATTAAGCACATAGTTTAGCACTTGATGTAATACTGTGATTAGGCTTTACTGCTTTTGATTTAGATGGCTCAGAATTTTAAAAAAATTCTCTTCTAATCTTGAATGTTAGGATATTACTGACTTCACTTGAAGTTTCAAATTGAGCTATAACATATTTGGTTACACAGTGGTCTAATTTCAGGTCACTGAAGATAGGAAGAATCTGTTCTGCATCTGTTTTGCTTCTTTTTTCTTTTTTTCTTTTTTTTTTTTGAGACAGAGTCTCGCTCTGTCGCCCGGGCTGGAGTGCAGTGGCGTGATCTCGGTTCACTGCAGCCTCTGCCTCCTTCAAGTGATTCACTGCAACCTCTGCCTCCTGGGTTCAAGTGATTCTCCTGCCTCAGCCTTCCAAGTAGCTGGGATTACAGGGGCCTGCCACCAAGCCCAGCTAATTTTTTGTATTTTTAGTAGAGACGACGGGGTTTCACCATGTTGGCCAGGCTGGTCTTGAACTCCTGACCTCAGCTGATCCTGCCTCGGCCTCCCAAAGTGCTGGGATTACACGCATGAGCCACTGCACCCAGCCTGTTTTACTTCTTAAAAGACCTTGCTGGGTTGTGTGTCTGCAAGGGGCACGCAAGTTGAGGATGCTGTTTATCATATTGCATGTGGTTGTTGTAAGTTTTGAGGACATCTGTCTTGTTATCACCTATGGAAGTTAAGTCACTTGGTTAGAATTTTGTAACTTCTAAAAGGCAGAGCTCACCTCAGTTTGTCTTATAGAAAGCCCATGCTTTAAATCACCTACAGTGTCCTGTGGTTTATAGGTGTCATTTTTATAGCTAATTGGTGTCAGGCTCAGATATCTTTGACGTTCAAAGCCACTGCTAGGTCAACCAGTATTTCTCCTATTGTCAAGAGCCATGAGGCATTTCTTGCTTCAGGAGACTGATGTGGCTGTAGCTACTCAATGTCCATAAACATTAAGAGATCTTGTGCTGCTTTTATTCATTGTTTTTCCTTTACAGTATCTATGTGTGCCTACTTGTGTGCATTTTACAATACAAATAGCTTCTTTTTGGAAATACTTCCAGAACCATCAAACAAGGTTTTTTATTTTTTATTTTTTGAGACAGGGTCTTGCTCCGTCTCTTAGGCTGGGGTACAGTGGTGCAATCTCAGCTTACTGCAACCTCTGCCTCCCGGGCTCAGGTGATCCTCCCACCTCAGCCTCCTGCGTAGCTTGGGACTATTAGGTGCACGCTGCCATGTGTGGCTGATTTTTCAGTTTTTAGTAGAGACGGGGTTTCACAATGTTGCCCAAGCTGGGAACATAGTTTTTATAATCATTTCTATGGCATGAAACTTTAGGTGGAGTCTCTTTAGAAATACTTCATTCTTGCTCTCCCTCCATATTTGGAGATTTGTTAACTTGTTCTTTCCTTAAGTCATCTTGGGTTGATGCAGAGGTGTGTCTGGAGAGGAAGTACTGCCAAGAAAAGCATGGAGTTAGAGTTGTCAGGAAAATGGGCTGGAAGCACCTCCCTCACATGATAACTATAGGATGCATGCCTGTTTCCTAAAACCAGTTCCTAAAGAGAATATATTTTTAAGAGGCAGGGTCTTGCTCTGTTGCCTAGGCTGGAGTGCAGTGATCTGATCTCCGCTCATGGCAGCCTTGAACCTGTAGGCTCAAGCAATCCTCCTGTCTCAACCTCCCAAGTAGCTGAGACTGCAGGTGTGCAACACCATTCCTGGCTAATTATTATTTTTATTTTTTGTAGAGATGGGGTCTTGCTTTGTTGCTTGGGCTGGTCTCAAACTCCTGGCCTCAAGTGATCCTCCCATCTTGACCTCTTAAAGTGTTGTGATTAGAGGTGTGAGACACCATCCCCAGTCTCCAAAGAGAATAATTTCTTAAACCCAGCTTTACGTTTGTCCCAGAGATATCTCATCCTGAAAGATTCCAGCATCAGATAAGCTTGGGTAATGCTAAAGCCCTGGATTCCCACTTTGAAGATTCACATTGGAGGTTCATGTTAGCTCTGGAAAGTTCTGAGAAGCCTTGAGAAAAGAAATCAGGCTGTGTGTGTGTGTATTTAATCTAACATTTCTCAAATTCCTAGACTGTAGAACCCCTTCTTCCCCTTTCTTGGGTGGAAAGTTTAGTAACAGGAGGAACATTCCTGGGTAAATATTCTTCCAAGCTGTTGGTGTCTTTGATGAAATTAATGAAAACTGAGAGAGGGCCTTGTGAGGAAGACTCAGAGGGTTTCATCCATCCTCTTCTCAATATAACATAATGATTGATATACTGATGTAATTAATTCTCTTTCTCTGTGTTTTTTTCCTGTTTTCTGTTTACTCCAGGAAGAGAACTTTTAAATGAATTGATTTTTAAAGTCAATGATGGTGGGCATTCTGTGAGTGATCACTGTGGGGGATACTTTCAGACATATTTTTTAGATAAAAGGACTGTGTTTCAGAATTCCAAAAGTGTTTTAAGTGAATTTGGTATCTAGTGAGAATTGTTTCATGATTAGCCAGTGGCATCATTTTGGAGGATGAGAACAGCTGTGATACCTGTGCAGGGAGCCTATTTGTCCACTCCCTCAATTAATGGGAGAGGGCCAGGGTCAGGGTCGGCTGGAACAGAGAATTGCTACTGTCTGTATACTAGGACATGGCTCTGGCATGGATGACCTAAGCAAGCAGGTTTATTATGATTCCAGTAGGATTAAGTATTGGTGGGAGGAGGATAGGGTGATATAGGGAAGGCATCCCTGCTCACATAAAGCAGAGTTTTTTAACCTCAGCACCGTTAGCATTTGGGGCTGGATAATTCTTGGTTGTGGGGAGGGCTGTCCTGTGCGTCTTAGGATGTTTAGCAGCATCCTTGACCTCTACCCACTATATGCCAATAGCATGCCTCCTCCCCCAAGTTAGAACAACCAAAATGTCTCTGGACATTGCTAAATATAATTGGTGATAGGTCATCCCAGTGGAGAGCCACTGACTTGAAGCCTTGTAGTAAGAACAATACTTCAAAACTTCAGGGGATGAAAATTGCAAAAGAAAGACCTCTGTTGAGGGAAGCAAGCCAGTCAGCCTCGTGGACCTGTGAAATCCCCAGAGAAGTAGGTTACCTTCAGCTACTAGTTTTCTCTTCCATGTTTTCTAATGCTGGAAGTCTCAAAAAGTGTTTGCAAATATTAATATTTTAAATTTAGTGCTTAAAATTTAAAAACTTGGCCGGGCACAGTGGCTTACGCCTGTAATCCCAGCACTTTGGGAGGCCAAGGCAGGCAGATCACCTGAGGTCAGGAGTTCAAGACCAGCCTGGCCAATATGGTGAAACCCTGTCTCTACTAAAAAATACAAAAATTAGCTGGGTGCGCTGGGCGCGCTCCTGTAATCCCAGCTACTTGGAGGGCTGAGGCAGGAGAAGCGCTTGAACCTGGAAGGTGGAGGTTGCAGTGAGCCAAGATTGTACCACTGTACTCTAGCCTGGGTGACAAAGTGAGACTCCGTCTCAAAATTTTTTTTAATTGACAAAGTAAATGAGAAGAAGCAGCGACTATTGCTGATAGTTCGGAGCATTTCAGGGACAAAAGCTTCTGTGCAGGATTTAGGACCTAACGCACAAAAATGTGGAAGGCTTATTCAGGTGACAAAGGAAAATTGCTTTGAAGTTATTCTTTTTCTATACTCAAAACATCACTTCTAATGTAGGAAATCAATATTTTGAAGCTACAGTTTTTAGAGATGCTACTAAAAAGCATGGTACTTACAAAATGCCAAAGGAATGCTTCTAAAGTTGGTATGAGTTTTCCTCCCAAACCAGGAATCCCTTGTTACTAGTATTCACACAGATAAGTAACTTCTTAGTTTTGAAATATTAAAATTCATCAAACATGCTTCATTAAGGGAAAAAAAGGCAGTTTGTATCTAAACAGTAAAGAAATTTATAAATTTTTTCTTGTTTTCTCATTGTGAAGCTATTTGAATAACCCGTTTCAAGCAAAAGTTATCATGGATTTTCCTGAGGTTTATTAAAAGTGACAGGTTTAGCCTAGACCGTTTCAGTATTTCTATAAACTCACTGATGAATCAGTAAGCTACCAGTACAAGGGTTTTTTTTTTTTTTTCTTTTTTTTTTGAGATGGAGTTTCACTCTTGTTACCTAGGTTAGAGTTCAGTGGCATGATCACGGCTCACCGCAGCCTCCGCCTCCTGGGTTCAAGCGATTCTCTTGCCTCAGCCTTCCGAGTAGCTGGGATTGCAGGCATGTGCCACCACGCCTGGCTAATTTTTATATTTTTAGTAGAGACGGAGTTTCTGCATGTTGGTCAGGCTGGTCTCGAACTCCCGACCTCAGGTGATCTGCCCGCTTCAGCCTCCCAAAGTGCTGGAATTACAGGCATGAGCCACAGCGCTCAGCTGGGTGTTTTTTTGTTTTTGTTTTTTTTAGTTAAAAGAACGTATAGCCAGTGGAAAACAGAGCTTGTACAAAAGTACCTTTGACAGAATTGCCAGGATTGATGATTGTAGGAAATTTATTATTATCTTCATTTACAGATATACATTATGACCTTCAAAGTTTGTAGGAAATTTAAATTTCCACCTCCTGCCTTTTGTGCACATAATGAGATTTTGAAAATGCAAACCTACACTTATGTGGATGAATTTTGAAAAAATTCTTTTTAGTGTTAGAAGAATACAGTTGGACTGGGCATGGTGGCTCATGCCTGTAATCCCAGCATTTTGGGAGGCCGAGGAGGGTGAATTACTTGAGGTCAGTAGATTGAGAGCAGCCTGGCCAACATGGTGAAACTCCGTTTCTACAAAAACACAAAAATTAGCTGGGTGTGGTGGCAGGCACCTGTAATCCCAGCTACTCAGGAGGCTGAGGCAGGAGAATCACTGGAACCCGGGAGGCGGAGGTTGCAGTGAGCCGAAATCGCATCATCGTACTCCAGCCTGGGTCGAGACAATGTCTCAAAAAAAAAAAAAAGTTGGAAGTAGAGAGTAAAAGCTCAAAATTTCCCTCACCCCGTTTCATAGCCTTTTAAAGCTGGGGGTCAGGATCTGTGGTGGCATCCTTCTGAGCCTTTCTATGAATTTTACTTTATTTCTTTATTTTTTTTTGAGACGGAGTCTCGTTCTGTCATCGCAGCTGGTGTGTAGTGGCGCCATCTCAGCTCTCTGCAGCCTCCGCCTCCCAGGTTCAAGCAATTCTCCTGCCTCAGCCTCCTGAGTAGCTGGGACTACAGGTGTGTGCCACCATGCCCAGCTAATTTTTGTATTTTTTTTTAGTAGAGACAGGGTTTCACCACATTGGCCAGGCTGGTCTCGAACTCCTGGCCTCAAGTGATCCTCCTGCCTTGGCCTCCCAAAGTGCTGAGATTACAGGCGTGAGCCACTGCACCTGGTCCTTTCATTCAATTTTATGTATCTAGGAATTTTACGTGTCTATATGCTTAAATATAAAAACGTATGCTTATTTTATTTTAAGGTAGTGTATGTATTGTTTTGTGACCTGATTTTTTTTTTTAACTTAATGTTCAATCTTGATTGTTCCACTTCAGTACTTACAGTGACTCTAACCTCACTTTTAATCAGGGCATGGTACTCCATAAAAAAGGAATGTGCCAAAAACGATGTGAATGCACTTAACACTGTTGAACTGTGCATTTAGATATGGTTACCATGGTAAATTTTATGCTATGTGTATTTTTACCACAATCTGAAAAATAAAGGATGTACCATGATTGTTACATAATCGTTTATGTACCATTGTCATGGATATGTACATGATTTCTAGTGCTTTGCTATGTTACAAATAACTGTGCACCAAACGTTTTTGTACATGTGATCCTCAATTTGGGAGATTTTATTTCTGTGGTTTAAAACATTGCCTCTATGCCCTGAGATCAATGACATGTCATCCAGATATAGCACATAGAGGCCTTGCCCATTTTTCTTCAGGAATAACTAGGGGAAGAGTAGGTTTTTTTCTATATGGATTTTTAGAATTTATTGGTTGTGGGTATGCTATTAGAGAGAGACTATCCTGTAGTAATCTCCTTAGTTGGAGATGTTCTTTCATTAGCTTGTAATCTCAGTAGGTTCCTGGGCAAGCCCTGCCCAGAGCTCATTTTCACTTGTCCTTTACCAGATACCTGCAGGGATGGTCAGCTCTGGTAAATTACCTGGTTCCTAAGGCTTTTCTGGCGGTGAAATGAAGAACACCCTGAGGGAACACAGGCAGATGATGGAGTTCTGATAGCTTTGTTAGGTGGCTTATTCCGCAACACAGTTGCGTAGGGGCCCGAGGGGCCCTGGGCAGAACCCAGGCCTTCTGGTCTCCTGCAGTGGTTTGGTATTTAGTAAACTCTTCTGTGTTTGAATTTTTCTGTGCAGAACCACGGTTTTGAAATGCTAACCTGAGGGCAGTCTTGCCCTTTAAATGTACATTTTGTTTTCTGAAGAGAAACATGGGGCAGGTATTTTTGGAGGCTTTATATATTCAGTAAGTAGATATTCCACTGTTCAAGAACCTTCACGCTCACAGCAAGTCAGCACAATTCTGTTTTTGACTTTTGAGCAAGAAAAGGAAAACACTGGTCATGTGAATTGGCTGGAGTTGCTTAATTTGGTTATTGTTCGATGCATATTTATTTCCGGGGTGATGCAGCCCTCTGCCTCTCATGTGTTTGGGGTCAGTTGGGTGGTCTGGTGGGAGAAGAGGGGAAGAAAGAAAATGGGTAGTCTGCTGCATCATTGTGTGACCTGTCATCTTCCACCTGGGCTTAACACAAAACCACAAACCAAAACAGAACCCCCACGCTCACAGGAGGGACCGTCATGCAGGACTAGGCAGTATTGCTGGTTGTGGTTAGTGTCCTCTTCCCAATCCTAGGGCCTATCTGAAGGCTGGAGACCACACCGAGTCGGGGCGAGCTGCGGTCAGTGCCACTTCCTGAGGAAGTGACTGAGGCAGCCGGGCTTTGTGAAAGCTGCTTTATCCCTGCGTCCCCCGGGGCAGAGGGGAGCAGAAATAATATGCCAATGGCTTTTCCTGCGGAATTAAAGGAGCCCTCCCCAAACATCTTTTTATTAGATTAGAGCTTTGCGTTCATAAATTATTTCTAACTACTCTCCTATTCTAGTTCTCAGAAAATGGAAGGAGCAGAACTTCATATCTTTAAGGATTTTCTGGGATTATGCTCTAATCTAAATTATGAAAACTTGATATATTTTAAAGGAATTTACTCAGTTGAATAATAAACCACAATCATCATGAGTATTTTATTTTATATAGGCAGACAGTATAAAACTTTTAGATAGTTCATTAATAAAGGAAAATTGAACATTTTGGAACTTTCATGTGATTTTAGCAAACTGCAAATCAGTCAAATATTAAATCCGTTAACTCCATGTGAAAGTAAAGAATCACTTAGAATGTACAATGTCACGTTTTCTAATTTTATAAATATAAAATCAGATATTTTTCTTGTAAGTTTTCTTTTCAGAAATGAAAATATGGCCGGGTGCAGTGGCTCACGCCTGTAATCCCAACATTTTGGGAGGCCAAGGTGGGTGGATCACCTGAGGTCAGGAGGTCAAGAGCAGCCTGGCCAACATGGTGAAACCCTGTCTCTACAAAAATACAAAAAATTAGCTGGGTGTGGTGACGCACGCCTGTAACCCCAGCTACTTGGGAGGCTGAGGCAGGAGAATCGCTTCAACCTGGGAGGCGGAGGTTGCAGTGAGCCAAGATCACACCATTGCACTCCAGCCTGAGCGACAAGAGCGAAACTCTGTCTCCAAGGAAGGCAAAAAAAAAATTATATATATATATATATATATATATATAAATTATATATATATATTTTATATATATATAAAATTAATATATATAATTTATATATATATAAAATATATATAATTTATATATATAAAAAATTATATATATAAATTATATATATAATTTATATATATATAATTTATATATATATAATATATATTATATATATATATTTTATATATATATATATATATATAATTCATACAGGCTGAGTATCCCTTATCCGTAATGCTTGGGACCAGCATTTAGGTTTTTTTGTTCCAGATTTTGGAATATTTACATTATACTCACCAGTTGAACATCTCAAATCTAAAAATCCAAAATTTGAAAGTTCCAAATGAGCATTTGAGTGTTAATTTGGCACTCAAAAAGTTTAGGATTTTGGAGCATTTCAGATTTAGAATATTCAGTGTACTTCTCCCCCAGACCTCTTACAAATCATGTTTTCTCTTTCCGTGATTTTCTTTCTCTCTCTTTTCCAAGCATTTTAGATATATATGCCTAAGTAGTTAACACATAGAGTTAAAAAGCTCTGAAGTTAGCTAGATAGAGGTGAATAAACCCTCCCTGGGCACTTCCTGTTTCCAGGTAACTGCCACAAATAAAGAGGGATGCTTGTTCCAGGTGTACCTGAAATTTATCAGGTTGTCTTTCTTGAGCCATATAACACATATCCATGTACTTGTACTTTTTCTGTAAAATACAGTTAGTAAGAAAACAGCACTTATATTAACTTGTACTTTCTACTTAAAAGGATATTTTTCCAGAAGTGGAGTGGGTGTTTAAGAAATACAAACTCTTGGCCGGGTGTGGTGGCTCATGCCTGTAATCCCAGCACTTTGGGAGGCTGAGACAGGCGGATCACTTGATGTCAGGAGTTTGAGACCAGCCTGGCCAATATGGTGAAACCCCCTCTCTACTAAAAATACAAAAATTATCCCAGCTACTCGGGAGGCTGAGGCAGAAGACTCTCTTGAACCCAGGGGGTGGAGGTTGCGGTGAGCCGAGGTCACGCCACTGCACTCCAGCCTGGGTGACAGACTGTGATTCCATCTCAAAACAAAAAACAAAAAAACCCCAAAATTTGGCTAGGCGCGGTGGCTCACGCCTGTAATCCCAGCACTTTGGGAGGCCAAGGCAGGATCACCTGAGGTCAGGAGTTTGAGACCAACCTGGCCAACATGGTGAAACCCTGCCTCTACTAAAAATAAAAAATTAGCCAGGTGTGGTGGCATGCACCTGTATAGTCCCAGCTACTCAGGAGGCTGAGGCAGGAGAATCGTTTGAACCCGGGAGGTGGAGGTTGTGGTAAGCCAAGATCGCGCCACTGCACTCCAGCCTAGGAGATGGTGAGACTGTGTTTAAAAAAGAAAAAAAAAAATTAGCTGGGCATGGTGGCACACACTTGTAATCCCAGCTACTTGGGAGGCTGAGGCAGGAGAATCACTTGAACTCAGGAGGTGGGGGTTGCAGTGAGCCGAGATTTTGACACTGCACTCCAGCCTGGGGAGGAAAAATATATATATATATGAGTTATATATATATACACACACATACATATATATATATACACGTATATATATAACTCTTAAGTAAAATTAAGTACCCTGGTTAGTACTTAACTGTTACAACTGGGTTTATCTAAATATTTGCTCTTCTTCTACCCAGAGGGCCATTATTGTGTCTTTGACTCCAGTTTGATCCTTATTCTTTTTTTGATATAAAGGTGGTTCCATCATTATCTCCTTAATGACTTCTGGGTTTCTTTTTTTTAAACCTTAAACTGTACCTGGTATCTCCTTGCCAAAATCCCAATGACCCCGCATTGCTCTGTTACAGGAATTCTTTTCCCTCTGTCCTTGCACTAACTGCCGCCCATTTTTTTTTTTTTTTGAGAAATTTAAAAAGTAAGGAAGGATATGTGAATTACTTATTAAGTACTACCTGTATTCTCACCAGTCACTGTAATATGACTGTATGCCCAGTCTGTTCCCTCTCCCCTTCTTTTTCTCCATCCTGCCCTCTAGCTTCTTCTTCCTCCTCCCCCACTCCACCTCTTCCTCTTCCTCAGACCTCTTTACCTCTTCTTCCCGGTAGGTAAATGGTTCCTCTCCTTCCTTTTTTTTTTTCCTTCTTAAACTATTTTTTTAGATATGGGGCCTCTGTCATCCAGGCTGGGGTGCAGTGATGCTATCATAGCTCACTGCAGCCTTGACCTCCCGGGTTCAAGTGATCCTCCCACCTCAGCCTCCTGAGTAGCAGGAACTACACGCATGCCACCGTATCGGGCTAACTGGGTTCAAGCGATTCTCCTGCCTCAGCCTCCCGAGTAGCTAGGACTACACACGTGCGCCACCATGCCTGGCTAATTTTTTGTAATTTTTAGTAGAGACGGGATTTCACCATGTTAGCCAGGATGGTCTCGATCCCTTGATCTTGTGATCTGCCTGCCTCGGCCTCCCAAAGTGCTGGGATCACAGGCATGAGCCACTGCGCCCGGCCTCTCTCTTTCCTCTTAAAAGGAACCTGGAGGCCTGGCCTGGTGGCTCACGCCTGTAATCCCAGCACTTTCGGAGGCTGAGGTGGGTAGATCACTTGAGGCCAGGAGTTTGAGACAAGCTTGGCCAACATGGCGAAACCCTATCTCTACTAAAAATACAAAAATTAGCTGGGCATCATGGCGCATGCCTGTCATCCCAGCTACTTGGGTGGCTGAGGCATGAGAATCACCTGAACCCAGGAGGCAGAGGTTGCAGTGAGCCGAGATCATGTCACTGCACTCCAGTCTGGGTGACACAGAGAAACTGTCTCAAAAATGAATGAATGAAACCTGGGACGCTTGTACTTACGAACATTTAAAAAAATCAGGTAAAATGGATCATGCTTTGTAAGTGTGATTAAAAAGACTTTTTACTGTTAGTGTTGGTCTGTGTTCTTGCATGTGTTTTAAGCTTTTTACCTAAAATAGGAATTTATTTATAATGAGTTTGACTGAGGATCTCTTAGAAAGTTGGTTAACCTTCTCTGTTCTGACCAGTCCTCGTTTTGTTGTTGAACGTGCCATCCTCTTTCCCACCCTGGTGTGATACTAAGTGCCAGCCTATGCCAGTCTGCCCTCCCTCCTAAAGCTGGATAAACTCCTGGGTTCACATTTACCTTGAGTTGGGGGAAGTAGTTTATTATTTGGAATAGAACATTTCCTTCAGGCCAAGATCCTTTAGGAAAATGAAAGTAAAAGTGCTAAAATACCAGCCCCCACTCACCCATAAGCAAGGCTGGTTTACTGTGAAATCAAGAATATATAGTATCTTGATGGATAGAGTGACAGAAGGTATTCTTGGAGACATTTTAAACATAAAAATTATGATTTAAGCGCATGAGTAAATTATTTTAATGTCTCCATTTCTCTCATCTTTCATTTTATCGTGAGTTAAACATATATCTTCAGGATTTTAAAGCAAAAGAGTGAAACACAACACTGTGTCTCAAAGGGTTTTTTCTTTTTTGTTTAAGAGTTATTTTTGTAAGAATTTATGAAGAAAGGTTGTTCTTGTGGTTACTTGCTTTGGCTTTAAACTCTCTTTGGAGAATATCACAATCTAAATTTAAAGGGTACTCTTGAAAACACTGTTGAATTGACATGGAGTGTCTGATTTGATGGAAGCCCCGTAGACCTGGAACGGTATCTGGGATATGTTACTGAGTGTGAAAATGCCTATATATGTGTATGTATATTTATGCTTATGTATGCATTTAGAAATCTGTATCCCAAATGTTACCAGTTGATCTCTGGTGAGGAGGCCTCCCAGAGGCCTTTGGTTTCTGTTGCTTATACTTCTGGGTGTTAGAGCATTGGCAAAGAGCACGTAATACCCATAATAAATTCCAGGAATGAAAGAGGTACATTTGAACAAAGGGCAGCCTGTCGTCTAAATAAAGCGCTTCACAACGATGCTACTTTGGCATTCAAGTTTGAGCAATTGTGATGCAGAAGCAATGTTCGTGTAGAGATTTTGAATCTAAGAGGTTCTGTTGGCTGAAGGTTCCCCAAGTGGGGGCGTGGCAGAGACAGGAGGGGAACATTACTGCAGTAGAACTCATACAAGAGAATTCAGTTTTCTGCTGCTGGTGGGTGAAATGATGAGATCTGTGACTGCTGTTTCTGTAGTACTCTGCAAAGAAAGTCCCAAGGAATGCTTGTCAATTAACTGAGAGCAAGTCAGTTACTCCAGATTATCAACTCAGCAATTTCTGATTTGTACTTTCTTTTTTTTTTTTTTTTTGAGATGGAGTCTTGCTCTGTCACCCAGGCTGGAGTGCAATGGCGCGATTTCAGCTCACTGCAGCCTCACCCTCCCAGGACCAAGCGATTCTGCCTCAGCCTCCCGAGTAGCTGGGATTACAGGCGTGTGCCACCGCACCCAGCTAATTTTTGCATTTTTAGCAGAGGCGGGGTTTCATGTGTTGGCCAGGCTGGTCTTGAACTCCTGACCTCAGGTGATCTGCCTGCCTCGGCCTGCCAAAGTGCTGGGATTAAGGGCGTTATGTACTTTAAAGAATAAAAAAAGAATAATTAGAAGTGTCTGTGAGTTGATTTAGAAATCAATGAATCTCTTGCTATTATTATGTTAATAGTTTGCTTTAGAAATGAGATAACTAGTTGCCTGGTGCCTGGCGTGGCGGCTCACACCTGTAATCCCAGCACTTTGGGAGGCTGAGATGGGTGGATCGCTTGCCCAGCCTGGGCAACATGGCTGTGGCGAAACCCTGTCACTACAAAATACCAAATATTAGCCGGGTGTGGTGGCTCGTGCCTGTAATCCCAGCTCTTGGGAAGGCTGAGGTGGGGAGGATCGCTTGAGCCTGGGAGGTTGAGACCACAGTGACTCGTTATCATGTCACTGCACTTCAATCTGGGCGACAAAGCAAGACTCTGTCTCAAAAAAAAAAAAAAAGAAAGAAATGAGATAATTGGGAAGCTATGTGAATTTTGGACCCACATGCTTATTATATTGATCTGTTAGGACTGCTTAAGAGCTAACTTGTCACCTGTGAAATGGTTGGCTTGATATTTTGATATTTAAAGGTTTGCCTTTTGCTTCTCGTGGGTACAAGCCAGAGAGAGCAGTGGTTACATGGGGGTAGAATGGTGACTCGTTTTTACCTGACTGTGGATCAGCTGGGTGGTTCCTGAATCTCACTGGGCTCATTGTGGCTCTTTGCTTGTCCTGTATTTACTGTCTGTGGTAGTGAGATAGAAGAACCACCATGTTCTTCTGGTTCTAGACTCAAACTACAGGGAGAAGGAAGAGATGTGTCTGGCATCATTTCCGTGTTGGAGTAACTTTGTGGTAGATTGCTGTGGCCTTTCTTTGTGGCCTGCCACTTGTCTTACATTCTTCAGAGCATTTATGCACAGGAGCATAAATATATGATTTTCATCTTGCCATTGAAAGTAGACTTTCCGGCCGGGCGTGGTGGCTCATGCCTGTAATCCTAGCACTTTGGGAGGCCAAGGTGAGCAGATAACTTGAGGTCAGGAGTTTGAGACCAGCCCGGCTAACATGGTGAAACCCCATCTCTACTGAAAATACAAAAAAGTTAGCCGGGTGTGGTGGTATGCACCTGCAATCCCAGCTACTCAGTAAGCTGAGGCAGGAGAATCGCTTGAACCTGAGGGGTGGAGGTTGCTGTGAGCTGAGATTGCACCACTGCACTCCAGCCTGGGTGATAACAGCGAGACTCCATCTCAAAAAAAAAAAAAAAAAAGAAAATAGACTTTCCTTGGTCTAGGAAGAGTTTAAATAATGGAATAAGTGAAAAGGATGTTCTTACTAATCAAATCCAGTAAACCATGGCTCGTTGTGGGTATTAATTTGCTAGGCTTTATGAATATTGACCTCCTTATTCTTCCCTAAGGAAGTAATTAATCATTTGCCTTTTGTGTGGTCTTGATCTTCCTTTTATGCACCTTGTTTTCATTAGACTTGAAGCCATCCTCGATTTTCAGGCACTACTTGGCATTTTACGAACAAACTACCCTGTCAATTTTTCTAGATATTTTAGCATATTTTCTAGGTTAATGTTGTTGTCTACTTGGAATATTTAGAGATTAATGTACATGAACATTTTGGGAGCTGGACATGGTGGCCTGTAGTCCCAGCACATGGGAGGCTAAGGCAGGAGGATCATGTGAGCCCAGGAGTTTAAGACCAGCCTGGGCAACATAGGCCTTGTCTCTGTAGTTTAGAAGAAAAAGCATTGTGGAACTCAGAGAAAAGTTACTATCCCACAGGAAGAGCCAAAAGAAATTGTGCCTGAGCCATTCTCCTTCTTTTCCCCTTATCCCTGTGGCACAGAGCCATTGGCAGAGGCTCTAATTGGGCTTTTCTGTGTAAATTGTTGCTAAAGTTTGACCTAAATCGGCTTGCCCAACTTCAATTTTCTGCCAGGGTGCCAGTCACAGATGGTATTGGTGGCCCTCCACTGAGCAGTAGCTGCGTCGTCTTCTAGATGCTTGCAGCCTCTGTCTCACGTTTGGCTGCAAAGGAACAGACGCATGTCTTTAAGGCAGTATTTCCCAAAAGGGCACGTACACCTCCCAGATGCTGTTAGGGAAAAGAGAGTCCAGAGGTCAGATAGATTTGATAAGTATTTTATGCTCTAGCCCTTCTTGGCGATTCAAAATGTGCTTTAATATATTAAAGCTCTCAAAATGGGTTGGGGATAAAGATTTGGGGAACTCTTGTGGCAAAGAAACCAGTTTAAACTTTGTTTAACCATTTGACCCTAAGATCTCCTTTGTTCCTAATGTCTACAAACATTCTGGGAGACAGTGACGGACGGGCCTGCCTGTTGGAGCTGGCTGAGGCTGGCTGCCAGTCTATATCGTACGTGTCTCTTCCCAGCTCCACCAGGACATCTTGTTAGTAGCTTGAAATGTATCCCAGTGGGAGGATCTAAGTCACAGAAATGGGCAAAGGCTAAAAATCGGGGCTCCCCACCCCTCACACTCCTTGTTGCTAAAGGTTGCTAGCCTGTTGCTGGTATTTATCAGCCCATTTCCCTAAAGGTGTCATAAGGGGTGCCAGACATTAGAATACAGTGCATTTCTCAAATCTTCACTTTCTTTCTTTCTTTCTTTTTTTTTTTTTGAGATGGTCTCACTCTGTCGACGAGGCTGTACTGCAGTGGCATGATCATAGCTCACTGGCAGCCTTGAGCTCCTGGCCTCAAACGGTCCTCCTACCTTAGCCTCCCAAGTAGCTGAGACCACAGGTACATGCCACCACACCTCACTAACTTTAAATTTTTAAAATAGAAATGAGGTCTCACTCTGTTGCCCAGGCTGGTCTTAAACTCTTGGCCTCAAGCGATCTTCCCACCTCAGCCTCCCAAAGTGTTGAAATTATGGGCGTCACCCAGCCAGATCCTTGCTTTTCAGTGCAGTGTAACTTTCTTCCCTGTTAAATCTAGCAGTGTTTGTTTTTTGTTGTTGTTGTTTGTTTTTTAAGTAAAATATACATAATATTTGTCATCTTAACCATAAGTGTACAGTTCAGTGAGATGAAATATGTTACCCATGGTAAAAGTTTTCCATCACCTTCAAAAAAAGCTCTGAACCAAATAAATAACTCTCCCTTCTCACCTTCCTCCTGCTTGTGGTAACTTCTCTTCTACTTCCTGTCTCTTAATTTGCCTATTCTAGGCACTTCAAGTAAGTGCAGCAGTTTTTATCTGGCCAATCTACTGTGACCCAGTCAAGCCACCACCCATGTCTGGGCTGGGAAGGTGGGGAAAGAGGCTGCTGCACATGCTTGGGATGTCTTCAGCCATATGCATCTGTCCATCTGTTCATCCACCCATCCGTCTGTCCATCCGCCCACTCAGCTATCTGTTTATCAAGGTATAACAATACAGCTTTTTTATTCCTCTCCCTCTGTAACCTATTTGGGCCTTATTTATGTTTCTCTTCTTATAAACCACCTCAGATCTTTCTGTAGAGGTATTTATTAAGTAAAACAACACCACCACATGACGGACATAAATATTGAAAAGACCAATCGATTGGAAGGATTAATCAGTAGAGGGAGGTGTTTTCAGGGGATTTAGACAGGAGGAAGATAGCCTAGGCTGACAAATGGAGCAGATGAAGATAAATCGGCAAAATAAGTAGGGAGACAAGATCCCTGTCCCATGTGACCATGCATTTGAAAGCAGGCAGCCCAGCGAGGTAGAGGCATGAAAGGCTGTATGGACTGCGCTCTTCAAAGGGCTGTGGTTTTGTTCTGGGGTCTAGTCTTAGGTTGTAAGCTTTTTTCTCTTCTCTTTCTGTTTTTTCCCCCGGGGCTTGAACAGACTCAAAATACTCTTAGGGTTGGAATTTCTCTTTGATTCTGGTCTTGGTTAGCAGGGGTGGGGGGGATTGTTATGAACATTTCATTAGATGTGTGTGCTCTTAGATATGGTCAGTTTGACTGAACAGTTGCTCTGTTTCTGCATTAAGCACGTAATTTTGTAAGTTTTGTAGCTTTTTGGAATATAAAGTAGTTGAATACTTAAAGCTCCCCCTGCTGCCTTCCCTTTATTTTTAACTTGGACTGAGCAAGGTTCTTCTAAATGCATTGAGGTTGGGGGGAAAAAGACCTAAAAAAGAAAAATACACTGAATAATACTTTCACATATACACGAAACCTGATTTTGCAATCTAAAATGACTGTTTTTGGGTTTTCAATTATGGAACATTTTCTGACAAATAATAGAATTTGCTGTATTTCACTGTAAACAGTTTTGAGAATGCACTAAATGCAACAACAACCTTAGGATTAGTTATCATGACAGATTGGCATTAGGAAAAATGATGAGTATATTTTATGTTCTGGAGGAATGAGACTTGAAGAGCAGAGCAATTTTTAAGTTGTTTACATCGAGGGAAGAGATGTAAAGTTAAGATTGGCTGGGCGCGGTGGCTCACACCTGTAATCCCAGCACTTAGGGAGCCCGAGGCAGGCAGATCACCTGAGATCAGGAGTTTGAGACCAGCCTGGCCAACATGGCGAATCCCCATCTTTACTAAAAATATGAAAATTAGCCAGGAGTAGTGGCAGGTGCCTGTAATCCCAGCTACTTAGGAGGCTGAGGCAGGAGAATTGCTTGAATTCAGAGGCGGAGGTTGCAGTGAGCCGAGACCATGCTACTGCACTCCACCCTGGGTGACAAAGCAGTGGGACTCTGTCTCAAAAATAAATAAGTAAGTAAATAAATAAATGAATAAAGATTATTACTTAACTCCTTTCAACAATTTAAAATTTTTTGTCAAAGTAATACATGTACATAGATCAAAAAAATAGTACTTTACATCATAATTCCCTTAGGCAGTGAATTTGAATTTTTTGGTTTGTTCTGTTATTTCTAAATAATGTGCTTACATTGCTAAACTTGGACTTGTTCATTTGAGATAGTACCTGCTGACTGTGTGTGGTCAGAGAGAAGGTGACAGACCTGGACTGTGGAGGCAGAATCCTCTTGCTCACTAGCCACGTGTCCTTGAGCAAGACACTTAAACTTCTCTGTCTTATAGAATAGGAATAATCACCACCATCATCATAATGGCTCCGAGGCCTACCTTTAATGTATGTAGGGCCTGGGGCAAGAGTACTAATGGAGACCAGAT
The DNA here is from genome assembly GCF_000001405.40 of Homo sapiens. Classification (NCBI taxonomy): domain Eukaryota; kingdom Metazoa; phylum Chordata; class Mammalia; order Primates; family Hominidae; genus Homo; species Homo sapiens. The sequence continues at coordinate 58,898,390 of NC_000018.10, forward strand.
GGCTAAATATTTAAAAGGTATATTTAAATATTTACAAGGTATATATGATATGCCTAAATATTTAAAGGGTTCAAATCTACCTCTGTCTATGGCCTGGCCCCTGTGTTCACCCAGGTCCTTGCAGCCTACTCTCCCTGAAGACCAGAGTCTAACAGACAGCCTCACACTTGGACCAGCCCTGAGCCAGGCCCCGGAGTCTGCCCCGGCAGCCCAGCGTGAATGCCGCGCTAGACCCGCTGATCCCAGGTGTAGTCTTGGCAGCTCAAGCTTCCCAGGAGCCTGTCTCCATCTAGGGTGATTTTATCGTATTCCCTCACACCTTGATTCTCTGATTTCCAGGCACTTCTAAGCACCTCCCCAAAACTGTACCATCTGTGCTGGGGAAATCAGGGAGCCTGTCCTGCCTAGACACCCACTTTTTCTCTGGTACCCCAGGGCAGGGGCTGTGACCTGCACATACATGCCCCCTGCTTCCCCACTGACCTGTCTTTCCCAGAATTCCTCCTTGTTTGGCCAGTTTCCAAAATTAAAAGGGAATGAAACAAAAGTTTCCCATGAGACTGAGAAGCATAGTCTCTGGCTTTCAGCGCTGGAGAGAAATGGGTTGTCTACCACGCAGGCCGGGGCAGAGCCCCCTTTGTCTGGAAGCACAGGTGCTGAGTGCGCGTAGATTGCTGTGGGGATCCATGCGTTCACAGCGGCAAGCCTCTTAAAATAGAGTCCGGACACAGCGAGTCCGTGTGATTGTTGGTTCTGCTGCTTCGCTTTTTGGAGCTCTGTAATTTCACTCCAGCGTGGACTTCTTTCCACCTCTTGTATTGGGCCAGCAGAGGTAGAGAGTTGTCAGACTTAGCAAATAAAAAATACAAGATGCTCAGATAAACAGTGGAACATCCTTACACTACAAGATGATTTGTTTATCTGAAATTCAGATTTAACTTGGCATCCTTTATTTTTCTGGCAGCCTAATGAGGCCCTTTCAATTGGATTGTCTCCTTTTGTCTTGGGAGATGTTCCTGTATTATTTCTGTAATAATGTCCTCTCTGCATTTCCTCTTTCTGAAACACTTAATTTTATTTATTTATTTATTTTTTTTGAGATGGAGTCTTGCTCTGTCACCCAGGCTGGAGTGCAGTGGCGCGATCTTGACTCACTGCAACCTCTGCCTCCCGGGTTCAAGCGATTCTCCTGCCTCAGCCTCCTGAGTAGCTGAGACTACAGGTGCGAGCCACCACGCCCAGCTTATTTTTGTATTTTTAGTAGAGACAGGGTTCCACCATGTTGACCAGGGTGGTCTCAATCTCTCGACTTCATGATCTGCCTGCCTCGGCCTCCCAATATGCTGGGATGACAGGCGTGAGCCACTGTGCCCAGCCTGAAACACTCTTTTTAGTCAGATGTTGGACCAGCTGTATTGAACTTTTAATTTTCATACCTTTTCTCTTCTATCGTCTGTCTTTATTTTCTAGTTATACTCTTGGGGAGAGATCTTGATTTCCTTGACTCTGTTGTTTCACCTATTTTATCTTTTATTTCAGTTATTAATATTTATAATTTCCAAAAGTTCCTTCATAACTTCCTGTCCATTTTTCTCTGAGGATACTAATTGTACATATATTCTTTTCTTCCTCTCCTTGTAGCATCTCTGTCCTCTTTATTTTTGATTTTTGTTTTGATTCAGATCTCTTTGTCTAGAGGCTTTCCCATGCATCTGGTGATTGTTTAGGGATGAGGCTGTGGAGAGCTGCCCGGGAGGTCTGTCTGCGCAGCTGCGGCCTGTCCTCCAGGGGCTTCTCTGTGATTCCTCGTGGAGCTGGACTCATCGGAGGATCGCAGCAGTCAGCATCCGGAATCTTTTCACTGGTGCTTTTGTTTTCCTAGGAGACTTGTCCATGCTTCTGCCTGGGGGATAAACTTGGCTTTAGGCTGTAGGGCTGGAGGAAATGGAGGTCAGGCTCTCTGTTCTGGTTTCTGTCTCATGCTCACCCTGTGGCCCTGAACCCTGAGCTTCCACGGCTTTGATAGCCCAGAGATTCTCCTCTCCCTCCTCCCTAGCTTCCCCAGCTGATGAAGGGTCGGGGGCTCCCTGTTTCTAGCCCTGCCCTGCTCCCTGCTTTCTTTGCTGGCTCCAGGGCCTGGCTGTCTCTGCAGCTGTAGGACTGACCGTCCCCACCTCCATGGCAGCCTCCTACCAGACCTTAGGACGGAGCTTCATGATCTGGTGGTCACCTGCCCCTCCCTGTCCTCCTCCTCTTCCCCAAACTTTGTTGATGCCTCACCTTGGCTTTGACTCCATTCTCACAGCATATTGTTTTTGGCAACCGTTATTGACATACAATTCACATACCATGCCACCTGCCTCTTTAAAGCACACAGGTCAGTCATTTTTAACATGTTCACAGAGTTGTACAGTCACCACCAGTCAATTTTAGGACATTTTCATCACCTCAGAAAGAAACCCTGTATCCTTTAGCCATGATGCCCAGTTCCCAACCCCCAAGCTCTAAGCAACCACTTACTTCCTGTCTCTATTTGCCTATTTAAATTAAAAAAAAAATACTTTTAATGCCATCTTTGTAGGGTTTCAGGAGGGAAGGGAAAGAAACTCGTGAATTCACTCAGCCTTGTTTCATGGGCAGTCCTTGCCATGTATAAAATATTAAAATTCAAAAACCATCTGCCTGTTTCTATTTCTACCTTCATAGTATTGACCCATGGCCGAGATGGGACCTTTCCTCTGGGTCTCTTTCTTTTCCTTCTTATGCCCTTGTTTAATGTCTCTGTTTGACCTGAACTTCTCTTTTCTGGAGCTGGGCGTTGTGAAGCCCACATCAGTGGCCTTCGTCTCCTCTTGGCTTCTAGCACTTTTCTTTTTTTCTTTTTTAGAGATGGAGTCTAGCTATGTTGGCCAGGTTGGTCCTGAACGGCTGACCTCAGTCCTCCCGCCTCAGCCTTCCAAAGTGGGATTACAGGCGTGAGCCACTGCGCTCGGCCTCTGGCAGTTTTCAAGTGTCTGTAGAGCCATTGTGCAGAGGAGTCGCCTTGGGGAGCTGAGTCCACGCCCCTCCGATATCTTCTTGGTTCAGAAGTAGAGGCTGTGGGCTGTGTGAAAATACATAGGACTTTTAGGCGCTTAATATATTTTACTATGATGCATTTGCTCTTTAGCCAGCACCTGCTCTTTGGAGAGCACTGGTGTGGGTAATTTTGCAAAGTGGAATCTGGAACTTTAAACCAGTGAGGGAGAGAAGACAAATACACAAGCAGACAACAGTACCTATTACAAGTGACGATGAGTCCACCTGCAGGGGTGGAGTCACCAGTTAGCATGGCCTAAGGATTGCCCTGAATGGGTACTGGCCTCTTATCATCCTGGCTGCTTCTGGAGAACCCTGTCCCCATCTCCTCTGGAGCTCCAGGATTTCTCTGTTGGCTTCGCACCCCACCCTGCTCTCACAGCCTGCCTGGCTAGTGCTGACTTGCTGGTCGCCTGGCCAGTGGGTGCCCACTGGCTTCCCTCCCTGAGGCTGCCTCCCTTCCAGAGAACTGGACAGCTAGGAGTAGACACCTTAACAGCATGGTGAGGACTTCTTAGCCCACTTCCTCTTTGTCTTCTCTCTAACAGCGGTTTCTCCATGCCTGTTCTCCTCCAGCTTCTCTTAGAGTGTTTGTTTCGGGGCATGGGTACCACTGCTATGGTTTGGGGTTCCTGGCCCATGTCACATTGTGGCTGCGCATCCCAGTGCTCTGCTCTCTGTGGGGCCTGGTCTGTGAGCCCGGCCCTGTGCAGCGGTGTTGTCTGTGTCAGCATGGTGTGGAGGTGTGGGGTGGGCAGGGTTAGACGGGGGCGGTTAAGATCATAGCCCATCTTTGGTTAGTGCTTGATGGGGAAGACACAAGTCTCAAAGTCAAAAGCAAGAGTCACAGGGGACCCAGAAATGCTGAGATGTTTTGTGGATTGATGAAATTTTGTTGCCCTTTTTTTGAGATAGGGTCTCCCTCTGTTGCCCCAGACTGGCGTGCAGTGGCGTGATCATTTTGCTGCCTTTTAAGAGAAACCTGTGTATTCTTTTTCGTTTCTGACTCCAGGTGACCCTTCTCCTTCTTTTTTTTTTTTTTGAGATGGAGTTTTGCTCTTGTTGCCCAGGCTGGAGTGCAATGGTGTGATCTCGACTCACTGCAGCCTCCACCTCCCGGGTTCAAGCGATTCTCCTGCCTCAGCCTCTCGAGTAGCTGGGATTACAGTCATGTGCCACCACACCCAGCTAATTTTGTATTTTTAGTAGAGACAGGGTTTCTCCATGTTGGTCAGGGTGGTCTCGAACTCCCAACCTCAGGTGATCCACCTGCCTCGGCTTCCCAAAGTGCTGGGATTATAGGGGTGAGCCACCACACCTGGCCCCAGGTGATCCTTCTAGTGGCCGATACCTAGAGTAGGACTGGAGGCACATCCACATTAGGAGAAAGGCTGTGCTTTTGAAAGTGAATGAAATGCAGTAGGGAACCGGTGCCAGCACTCTGCGAAGTACCCAAGAATCCCCTCGTTTTTCTTTTTCCTCTGATCATACCATCATCACCTCACAACTTCTTCACTTTCTCTTCTCAAGAATATTAATTTAGTTTTTCCCATTTAATTTTTAGAAAAAATAAAGGAAGAAAATAGCCTTTTAATGTCTGTGTGCTTGGCACTTTCCATGTTACTTGTTTCCATTTGTAGAATAACCCTGTGATACGGCTGTTAACTATTAGTTCCCCTTTTGGAAGATGAGGAAATTGAGGCTCTTCCTTCAGTAGAACCTGAAGAATGAGTTCTTCATACTTGGCTAATGGAGATAAGTGTGTGTTGGGGGAGGCATTCCAGGTCAGAGGCTATCCAGAAGGGCAAACTAAGAAGGAAAGCTGGGCCTGCGAAAAACACACGCGGAACCGCAGCAGCTCATGGTTGGGGGCAGATTGTATTGGGAATTTGGTGTGAGGCCAAGAAGTTTGGACTTAATTTGGAAGGTGATTCCAGGATTTTTAATAGGAGGAGTGATAGCTATAATTAAAAGGAATTTTAGAAAAATTTATCTGGAAATTCTGAACAAGAGGCTGGAGACAGGGAGAACAGAGCATTGGTCTCGGTGTGAGGTGAGATGGTCAAAATAGAGGACCGACAGCGATTATAAAGAGAATGAGGGCGCATCTGCAAAATAGCGCCAGGGAAGTGGGCAGGGCCCAGGGAGAAGAATTGGAGGTGAAATTCTTAGTTTGAGAAAATAATGGTATTGAAAGAGAGGAGTCTGATATTGAGTAAGAGATGACGAAGTTAGTTTAAGAAAGCTGAAATGGTTGTGGGATATCTGATTGTACATACCCGCAAGGCACTTGAACTAGATATCTCAAGAAAAACAAAAACCAGATTTGAACCTCTCTGAAGTGAAGTGACTGTGGTTTGATGTGGGGGTGTTTAGTGAATACAGTTTTAAAAAATCAGAAGTCTGAAGTTTAAACCGTGGACAATGTGTGCATTTATAGATTGCCCTTTAGAGATTTAAGAAATTTAAGAAAATTTCAGCATACATTGGGAACAGTTGAACTAATTTTTTAAAACTTCCCCTGCATGCTCTCCCTTAGTAATAATAGGTGGCCTTTTTGCTTTTATCGTTCAATATGTTCTTCATATAAAAATTAAATGCAGCTGGCCATGGTGGTTCATGCCTGTAATCACGGCACTTTGGGAGGCCGAGGCAGGCGAATTGCTTCAGCTCAGGGGTTTGGGACCAGCCTGGGCAACATAGTGAGACCTTGTATCTACAAAAAATATAAAAATTAGTCAGGTGTGGTGGTGTGCACCTGTAGTCCCAGCTACTTGGGAGTCTGAGGTGAGAGGAATGGTTTGAGCCTGGGAGGGGGAGGCTGCAGTGAGCCGAGATCACGCCACTGCATGCCAGCCTAGGCAACCTAGTGAGACCTTGTCTCAAAAAAAAAAAAAATAATGTATATGGTTAAGATGGTAAATTTTATGTTTTGTGTGTTTTACCATGATTAAAAAAAGCTAAATGTACACCTGGCTATATTTTAAAGGGAAACGGTAGTTCCTATTTATCGGTGTTAATTTTTAGAATTGAAACCCCAGTTATATTGCTGTTGTGGAAGGAAAGGCTGGCATTGTTAGACGATACCTGAAGGATGGAGAGAGAGAGAGAAATAATTTCTTTCCTTGTGATCCCTATAACCAAATTCTTAGGAGGGACCTATTGTTTTTTAATAAGCTGTTATTTCATATATTAAGTGATCAGTGATCCAGTTGTTGTGTTGCGTACCATTGGCCAAAAAGATAAACCAAATAAATCATTTATCATCTCCGGCCACAGACTGGGGCTGGCTGTAGTCGTGGAAGATAATCTGAATGATTTTGTGTGCAGAAATCATAGAGAATGCAAACTTTTGAAATTCTATTTCTTTCTTTTTTTTTTTTTTTTGGTTGAGACTGGGTCTCACTCTTGTCACCCAGGCTGGAGTGTAGTGGCACGATCTTCGCTCACTGCAACCTCCGACTCCAGAGTTCTAGCAGTTCTCGTGCCTCAGCCTCCCGAGTAGCTGAGACTACAGGTGCGTGACACCATGGCCGGCCAATTTTTGTATTTTTAGTATAGACAGGGTTTCACCATGTTGGCCAGTGTGGTCTTGAACTCCTGGCCTCAAGTGGTCTACCTGCCTCGGCCTCTGGAAGTGCTGGGACTACAGGTGTGAGCTGCCAAACCCGGCCTGAAAATTGTGTTTCTAATAACCTATGGTTTAAAAGTTGCTACATCATTTTGATTAGTCGCTGACCTTGAGGCAGTTTACTGGTGAGAGGAGAAAATGGAAAGCCAATATCCAGAGCTGTTAAACACTGTACGAATTACTTCTTTTTTTAGGTTGCTTTTCGCCAATATTCTTTGGAAGTAAAAGGATTATAGTATACAACGTCTCATCCCGGCTCTCCCCTGCATTTTCACATTCCCAGGTTCTCCATTTTTTTTTCTTTCTTTTTTTTTTTTTTTAAGACAAGGTCTGGCTCTGTTGCCCAGGCTGAAGTGCAATGGCACAAACATACTCACTGCAGCCTCTGCCTCCAGGGCTCAAGCTATCCTTCCACTCCAGCATCTGGAGTAGCTGGGACTATAGGTGTGCTCCACCACGCCCATCTAAATTTTGTATTTTTTGTAGAGATGGAGTTTTGCCATGTTGTCCAGGCTGGTCTCAAACTTGTGAGCTCTTGGCCTCCCAACATGCTGGGATTATAGGTGTGAGCCACCATGCTTGGCCGGTTCTCTTTAACTATTCACTATTTCTATCTTACTTTAAAAGCAACCAACCACCAACAACTAAAGTCTGTGCCTTATTTGGATTTCCTTAGTTTTTACCTATTGTCCTTTTTCTGTTCCAGGAGTCCGTCTAGGATATCACATTACATTTAGTCTTCAGACTTTACTTGGCCATGACCATTTCTCAGACTTCCCTTGTTTTCGATGACCTTGACAGTTGTAAGGAATACTGGTCAGGGATGTTGTAGGAGGTCCCACCATTGGGATTTGTCTGATGTGTCTCCTGTGGTCAGGCTGGGGTAGTGTGTCTCTGGGAAGAAGGTCTCGGAGGCAGTGTGCCATTCTCATCACAGCCCGGGGACATACTGTCCGTGTAACTTACCACAGTTGATGCTGACCTTGACCACCTGGCTGAGGTTGTGTTCATCAGGTTTCTTTCTCCGTGGTAAAGTTGCTTTTTTCTCCCCTTTCCGTACTGTCCTCGGAAGAAAGTCATTGAAGGGGCAGGGAGTTCTTCACTGCATAAGGGTGGGGCATCTACATAAATTACTTTGGAACTTCTGCACAGGGGATGGTTTGCATATCCTGTTTAGTTATTCCATCATTTATATCAGTATGCATTCATGGATATTTATTTAATATTTTGGGTTGTAACACAACACTACTTTATTTTGTTGCTCGGATTGTTCCAGTTTTCCATGGGCTTCTATGTCCCTTTGACACGCCCCATCAGTGTAGTTTTTTTGTTTTTTTTGGAGGCAGGGGGACATTCAGCTCTTTCTTACCTTCTGACACTATAAGATTCATTGGTAGGTGCATTTCCTGCCCATTCCTAGATCGGTCATTTCTCCGAGGAGCCCTGGCTTCGTTCAGTGGAGAATGGTGTGGGAAATGCAGCTCCGGGCAGGTTGTCTTCCTCACTTTTGGTTGTTGTCAGGCACCTGCACCGGTGCTGGGTTCACCTTCTCCCATGACCTCACTTTCTTCTTTTTCCTATCTAATTTTGCCATAGATTGCCCAGCTCTGATTTTTACAGCTGTCAGATTTTTAGAAGACCAAGCTAATACAAAATTATTATTACTTGAAAGAGAAATTGGCTGCTTCTTTATGTGATCTGAATTCCAGTATTAATACTATGTAGGAATCTGGCTGTAAAGATTGAATTTGGATTGATAGTGTTTTTGGACTGTGATTTGTCTTTTATTACAGCATCCAGGAACTTTACAGATTTATGAACCATAGTGAAATAGTTAAAAACTTATTAATGTTAAATTTTAACAAAGACCCAAATGTCAGAGTTTTGCATTTCTGTATAATTCTTGGGGTTCCCTTGAGAAAACTCACTTGCGAGGTTCCTGAGGACCTGGAAAAGATGGCTCACAGGTCTCACCTCCTCCTCCACCTATCTACAGAGGAGACAGCCTCATGTTTTGCAGGGTGCAGAGAAGCAGGGGTCCTTTCAGATATGACCATTAAGGCTGCTGCTGCTGCTTATGAGTTTTTTGTTTGTTTGTTTTTTTAAAGACGGAGTCTCGCTCTGTTGCCCAGGCTAGGGTGCAGTGGCATGATCTCGGCTCACTGCAACCTCCGCCTCCTGGGCTCAAGCGATTCTCTTGCCTGAGCCTCCTGAGTAGCTGGGATTACAGACGCGTGCCACCACGCCTGGCTAATTTTTGTATTTTTAGTAGAGATGGGGTTTTACCATGTCAGCCAGGCTGGTCTTGAACTCCTGACCTCGTGATCCCCCCTGCCCACCTTGGCCTCCCAAAGTGCTGGGATTAGAGGTGTGAGCCACTGCACCCAGCCGAGAAGTTTTTTGTTTTTTTTTTGAGATGGAGTTTCACTCTTGTTGCCCCAGGCTGGAGTGCAGTGGTGCGATCCCGGCGGAGAAGTTTTATACCCAGTGAAGTGTTGTGTCTGTGTATATTCATAATTTTGTGGTCATTTGGGGGTTGCAAAGATCAGGAGGGTTCAGGAGAGGATGGTCAGGTAGCTGTGCTTCCGGTCAGCATGTCTTCCGTCTGCCTCCCAGGTCCTGACGTGGTAGATTTCTCATTTGTGCCTCATCCTCTAATTCTGATCTCTCCCAAGGCTCACTCCCAGCCAGTGAGTTCTGTTTTTGACAAGGTGAGCCCCTGAGCTTCCCACAAGACTTCTAGCACCAGTCCTTCCCCATAAAGATGATGCCCACTTACCTTCTTTCCTTCTTTTGCTGAAAGCCGCAGTCTGACTAGGAAGGTTAATAAATGAGATGACCACAGACTGTTTTCCTGAATGTGATACTGGCCAAATAGGTCTCCTGCCTGGTTGTAGGTCTCTTTTCTGTGATTCTTAAATGAAAAGGGTAGGAGTATTCTTTGACATTCTCTAACCACTGGTCACTCATTGTTTGAATGTTATGCTGTTTTGTGCTGTGTGTTTAATTATGACAAGGCTCCCTCTAAATATCAGTAGCCCCTTTCCATATCCCTGGGGTTGAGTGTATGCTGTTATCCTCATTTTTTAGGTGGAAAATTTTTGGACACAAGCCAGGAACAAAGGGAATGCTGGTGCTGGAATGGAATCATGTTGCCACGGGTGTTGTGCTCTCCCACTTATTGTTTGTGTGTTGTGTAGCTGGGATGTTAAATGCTCTTTTTCTTCATGAAAGTTTGTCCATAGACAATTTATTTCAGGGAACTGTATGGATAGGCTTTGTATGTCCTTGCTTATTAATAAATGACGAGAGTGTAGATCGGTAAGTTGTTTCATAGAGCTGAAGAAAGAAATAAACAGGAAATTCATCAGCTCCCTGCATCCATTCATTCATCATTCATTGATTTATAACTAGCAAAAACATAAGAGAAAAAAATAAACATTCAAATAATAGGAAAAGTGAAATACAGTAAGGCATCTTTTTGTTGCCTTTGATATTAGCTAATAATGACATTAGCTTATGAAGTTGAGGGACAAGATGCAGTAAAAGTAACTCTAATGCATAATTTGCAACAATAAAAGTTTCTGCAGCCTTTTGGGAAATCATTTTGGCATTTGTATTCATGGATCAGAAAAAATGACCTGCAGTTAGATCAAAATTTGGTGACTACTGACATCCGTGTTTTTGGAGATTTGTAATACTCATTAGCATAATAGTGGCTCTTGCCTGAAAGAAATCTGTTTAACTTCAGAAAATCCAGCATTTGCTATGTGCATTTCAGTCTTGTCTTTGTGAAAGACCTAATAACATCCTACAGAACTAGTATCTGTGTTTTATGGTTTGTGAAATGCTGCCTGAAGATGTTTTTTTTGGAGATGGAGTTTCGCTCTTGTCCCCCAGGCTGGAGTGCAGTGGTGCGATCTCGGCTCACTGCAACCTCTGCCTCCTGGGTTCAAGCAATTCTCCTGCATCAGCCTCCTGAGTAGCTGGGATTACAGGCATGCACTACCACGCCTGGCTAATTTTGTATTTTTAGTAGAGACAGGGTTTCTCCATGTTGGTCAGGCTGGTCTCAAACTCCCAACCTCAGGTGATCCGCCCACCTCAGCCTCCCAAAGTGTTGGGATTATAGGCGTGAGCCACCGCGCCCAGCCTGCCTGAAGATTTTTAATGTTTTCCTAGAGCAGGTGAAGGTCATTGACAAAACATAGGATTTAGAGGAACATGTTGGGAGGGAATATGAGGGCTTTAGTTTTAAGTTTGACCTCGTGTAGGGAGAGCCAAGCAGAATATCATCCCAGCAATGGAAAGACGACTCTTAAGGCAGAATTAGGACTAAAGATAGAAACCCGTTTGTTCTGACTGTTGTGACCATGGGAGTTGCTGAGGTTGCCTTTCAACAAAGGTAGATAACAAAAGAGAATCTGAAGGGACTCATGAAAGGAGAGAAGAGGAAGAGCCAGTGAGTCAGGAAAAGCCAGGTGAGCTTGAGGCAGTGCTGTGGGGTCCACGAGAGGAAAGGATGACCAGAAAATGAAATTCTGCAGAGGTCACAGGCAACATGAAAGATGATTAGCAGCAAAAACAGGCACGCGGGAACACGGATTGGGAATGGATCGTTGCTGGAGTGTTTTCTGGCTGTGAGACTACACTATTCAGCGACGGCATGCACTTTCATTTGGACCCAGGAGGAAGGGCCACTCAGGGAGGCGCTATGGCCACCTCAGGTCACTAGCTAATAGTAGTAAATAGGGCAGCAAGGATTTCATCTCCAAAGCTGTCTCCTTTGTATTATGTCACATAGCCTGGGTTTTCCCTTTTTAACTTTTAGGTTGAAATAATTTTAACTTAAAGTTTTGGCTGGGTACAGTGGCTCACATGTTTGTAATCCCTGTGTTTTGGGAGGCCAAGGTGGAAGGATCACTGGAGCCCAGGAGTAACCAGCCTAGACAACATAGCAAGACCCTGTCTCTACAAAAAAAAGAAAAAATAAATGTTGCAAAAATAGGACAGAGAATTTCTGTGTACTCATTTACCCAACTTTACTTAAAGGTCACATCTTGTAATTCTAACACACTTGTGAAAACTAAAAAATTATCATTCGTACAATACTACTAACTAGATTTCAGCAGTTTTTTACTAGAGGATGGTGTTTGTGCACGGTCCTTTTTCATTAGCCTTACAATGTACAGTCATAATTTTGTTTTCTGAGTTGTTTAGGTTAGTTTTTTGTTCCCTGAACCCTTCAGTGTAGTCATGTTATTCATTTGTATGAATGACCAAAATTACAGTTGGTCTTAATTTTGGACGCCCCCTCCCATTCCTGGTTTTTATTTTTAAATTTAATATTTACACACAGTGAAATTCTCTAGTTTATTTTTTTTTTGAGAAAGAGTCTCGCTTCATCACTCAGGCTGGAGTACAGTGGCGTGATCTCAGCTCAGTGCAACCTCTGCCTTCCAGGTTCAAACGATTTTGCCGCTTCAGCCTCCCGAGTAGCTGGGATTACAGGCATGCACCACCAAGCCCAGCTAATTTTTGTATTTGTAGTAGAGAGAGAGAGAGGGGGTTTCATCATGTTGGCCAGGCTGGTCTCAAACTCCTGGTCTCAAGTGATCCACCCGCCTCAGCCTCCCAAAGTGCTGGGATTACGAGCATGAGCCGCCGCACCTGGCCTGAAATTCTCAAGGGTTTGACAGATGCACAGAAACATGTCTCCACTACCACATTTGTGATACAGAACTATTCCATGAGCCCTAAAATTCTCTCCTTCAGCCTGGTTTGTTTTTTTTTTTTAAGAGACAGGGTCTTACTCTGTTGCCTAAGCTAGATTGCAGTGGCGTGATTGTAGCTCACTGTAGCCTCGACTTACTGGGCTCAACCAATCATCCTGCCTTGGCCTCCCAAAGTGTTGGAATCACAGTCATGAGCTACCACGCCCAGCCCTGCCTGGATTTCAATGGTGGTTTTGAGAGAGTGGATTGTCAGAGTGCTGGGGAGATACTGGGAGGAGCAGGATATGTCCCAGTACTGGAGAACTTGAGCCATGAAGGCTGCGTGGCAAGAGGACAGAGCACCAAGGGTTCCAGGGTAAGGCTGGAGGAGATCTCTCTATGCCACTAGGCAAATGGGATAGGAATTACCCAAAATAGAAGGGACAGACCAAGCTCACTGTGGAGGATCGGCTTGGCAAAGCCAGCATGAAGGTACAGGCAAGATTTGAAGGAATGAAGCTGTGGGAGACCTCTTGACTGGTGACTATGATTTTTTAAGTTAACCTCAGAAAGAAAAGGGGGGATGGAGTTTAGAAGAGGGAGAGATTAGTAACATCTGCAGGCCACAGCCTTAGGCCAGGCAGGGTTGCTCAAGCCTTTAATCCCAGCACTTGGGAGGGGAGGCTGGAGGATCACTCGAGGCCAGTTTGAGACCAGTCTGGGTGAGAGCAAGACCCCATTTCTACAGCAAATAAGAATTAGCTGAGTGTGGCGGTGCTTGTAAGGATCACTTGAGCCCAGAAGTTCGAGGCTGCAGTGAGCTATGATCATGGCACTGCACTCCAGCCTGGACAGCAGAGCCAGGTCCTGTGTCAAAGGAAAGAAAAGAAGCAGCCCTTGTCTCTTGGCAGGATGGGAGTTAATAAGGAAAAACAAAATTGCAGTGCTAAATGACGCTGAGGACCTGCTGTGGAGGGCTACAGGCACGCCCTCAATTTCCCTGGAGCTTCTCTCCTGGAAAAAGCAAAGGAGCTCTCACTGTAGCTGAGCTTTCGTTTTGACCCAGAAGAGTTTGGAGTTGGGGAGTGAGCTTTCTTAGAGAGCTGTGATGTGAGAAGTAGGCCGAGTGGGGGAGGTTGAGCTTTCAGAGAAGGCTGAGGTTTGTAGGGACAGGGACTTTCCCTTAGTTGCTCCTGATGTGCGAGGTGGGGAATGGATGGGGGCGGGGAGCCTACTTTTATAACCTTGAGGGAGGAGTGTGGAATAACTGCAGCAAAGGGCTGGGGCTGGCTTCACTCCTCTATTTCCCAAGGTCGTGACCTGGTTCGTGGCATTAGTATGTGACTCCTGTGTTGATATTTCCAGAAGCAGTTTGAATTTCAGATCAGGAAATCTGTTATATTTCAGATCAGGAATATCAAGTGTTAGCTGAAGAAGAAAACATACTACCTTGAGCAAAGTATTTGTATATCCATGATTGGTATCATCAGGTTTAAGGAAACCAGTAAATAACTATTTTGGATAGTAGCAACTATATTTGCTAATTTCTTGTTAACTCATACAGAATTAACAAAACATACATTTGTTCTTTGACTGTGCGTATAAACTGTATTTGTACGCTATGTGTTACCCTGGTGTAGGCTGCTTAGAAAATGAAGCTCTTGTGCTGAGAGGGGGCAGAGTGTGATCAGGGTGCCCAGCAGTGCTGACAGGTCAGAGGGTCCAGGCGACTTGTTGGTGTCCCATTGTGTCAGCTTTCTTCCCTGTGGCCGGGGAGGAACCTTTAGACCTGCAAGGTGCTCTGGGCTGGCTGTCTCGACTTAATCAGGGTCTGATTAGTGTGAAGGCTAAAGGTAAAATGAAACTTTTCTGTGGCATTTGTCACTGGCATGGGACCTTCAGATGGCAAGTAATTAAGAGATTCCATAGCTTTTTTCATAACTGCTTATTTTTCTTTTCCACATTTTTTCATGTGTGTGTCTGCGTGTATGCTATTTTTTTGAAATCTGAGAATCTGCCATTTTTGGGGCCCAGTCTCTCCCACCCCTGCCTGCACTTCCTAGAGAGAGGCAGTGAACCATGGCAGCTGCTCCAGAGGCGCGGCTGATCAAATTTTTTAAAAAAACTTGGCCCCCAAACTGACCCATGTCCCCAGCTGGTTTAGGAAGAGTGAAGAAGCATGAGGTCGACCTGCGTAGCTGAACCGATTTGGTGTTTGGAATGGAAATGCAGTGAGAAAATAGGTTTCCCTGATATGCAGTCGAGATTGAAGTGGGATAAAAGCGGCAGAAGATCAGTTGGAAGAGAAGAGAGAAGGTTTTTTTTCTTTTCTTTGGTGGAAGAGATACAATGTGCAGAGCCTTGGAAATTCTAAAGATGTAAGAGATTGGTGATGGAGGCAGAGCTAAGGTTTGCATAATGATAATGGGAAGAGCAAGAATTTGAATGTAGGCAGCCAAGAGAAGTCAATCCCTGTGTTTCTTGAAGATGTATAAAAACTGGGGATGCTAGCTAGATTCATTTTCTAAGAGGAGGAAATTAAATTTGAAACATTACGTAATATAAACATAAGTTATAAGAACATTTTATATTTGAAGGAAAGATAGGAAAGATGAAAACATGCTAGATCCATTCATTTATTGAATTATTTTTTTGGGGCCAGGCACAGTGGCTCACACCTGTAATCCTGGCACTTTGGGAGGCTGAGGCAGGAGGATTGTTTGAGCTCAGGAGTTCGAGACCAGCTTGGACAACATAGTGAGACCCCATCCTAAAAGAAAGGGAAAGGAAAAAATATATATATATAAAAGAATTATTTTTTTAAAAATTCAGCGGAATAAAAAAGATACAATGAAGGGTCTCAGTGGCCAGATAGTGCTAGAAAATAAGACTGGGAATCCCAAAGCAGACCTTGTATTATTACAGTTGTTTTATGGGAAGCCTTTATAATACTGCCAAGATGGTCAGTAGACTTTGATTTGTTTTTCTCTAAGTAGGACTGTTATGATTTAGAGGGTATTGATTTTCATTAAGGGAAATGTTAGTTTCTGTATTAAATAGGGAACCAGCGTTTTCACAGGTCAGAGGAGGCAGACCTTGGCTGGATTTAGGCGTGCATCTTTCTGTTTCAGGATTAAAGTTGGGATTTAATGGTTAGGCTGTGCCTATGCCTTTAATACTGACATTCTCTAATTGGAAATTGGGAAACCAACAATTTTTTTATTGCAAAGGAAGAAGAATTTTGTTACAAAGTATGAGAAGTATGATTAAGGGGTGAATAGGTTTTTCTTACGTTTTTCTTTTGACTTCATAACTTTTGACTTCTGCCAACAAAGATGAAATAGCTTTTCATAATTCTCAGAGGCTTTGAGTAGGAAAGGAAATGTTTTGTCTCTGTGTCATACGAGAAAATAAAGTGATCATGTGACAGACCTGAGTTCTTTCAATTTCCTTTTTTGTAAACAGGTCTGATTCCCTCAGATATTGTTGATGTCTTTGGGTGAAAGAACATTATACATTAAGCACAAATGCTATTAGTGAATTATAGGTCATTTATATAGGGTTTACTTTTAAATTAAAAGACCATTGGCCAGGCGTGGTGGCTCACATCTGTAATCCCAGCACTCTGGGAGGCCGCGGCGGGCGGATCACGAGGTCAGGAGCTTGAGACCAGCCTGGCCAACATGGTGAAACCCCGTCTCTACTAAAAATACAAAAATTAGCCAGATGTGGTGGCAGGTGCCTGTAATCCCGGCTACTCGGGAGGCTGAGGCAGGAGAATTGCTTGAACCCAGGAGGCGGAGGTTGCAGTGAGCCGAGATCACACTGCTGTACTCCAGCCTGGGTGACAGAGCAAGACTCCGTCTCGGAAAAAATAAATAAATAAAATAAAAGACTATTATTGCCTTTGAAGGGAGATGTATTTTATAGGGCATAAGTGAAAGACATTGTTAAAATAACTAAAGCTAATTCTGTTTGAAAATCAAACTGTTGAGGGAAAGGGAAGCTAAAATGAGATCGTTCTATTTTATCTTTTAAAAGAGAGGACTGAGATTTATTTTTGTAATGTTTTTAAGCAAAAGAATCTATTTTTAAGACAGTAGTACTTAGGAATTGGGGTGGAAAGCGAAGAAAACTTTCAGACATAAACATTCCTCTTTGTATTCAGTATAACTGAGAAATGAAGTGGGAGTTATACATTTTTTTCCCCTCCAAGTGGAATGGAACACTTGCTCTTGCCTTCCAGAATGTGGGAAGGGAAAGGGTAATAGGACAATGTGATTGTGGGTATGAAAAACATTCCTATAAACCAAAAAAGAAGTGTGAAGTTACAGAGTGGTATCCATTCCATTAGTTATACAACCCCAGAGAGGGGAGTCCAGGCACCACAGTGATCTCGGGTTTCAGACGACACGATGCGCTTTCGGTTGGCCACTGCACTCAGAAATGCCCATTATGCATTTTCAGCTTCTAGTCGGCCTTCCTGCAGGTGAACTAGGATGACTGACTCACTTTTTAAAACTACCATCAGTTCACTCTGACCTCTTACCACGTCCCACTGCTTCACGCTGGACTCCCCCACGTCCCCCATGAGAAGAGTATAAACCTTAGGTGGAGTAGAGGGATGGGGACAGGGTGAGGCTGGATCACTGTGGAGAAAGAGTTGCTTCTCAACCCCTTGAGGGGTTTGCAGGCATGGGAGTTCCTCTCTGGGGCCTTCTAGATCCTAACTCTGCTTTAGCTGGGCAGGTAGGAAAAGATGGGGTGATGTGGAGGTCAACAAGTTTAGCATTAACTCAGTGATTCAGTACGGCTGCTGTGCATGCGTTTATAAATCAGGAGGTTCCTGTACGTGCAACAGCAGAAAAAGGTGAGAAGAGCCATATTAACCTTCCCAGGGTTCATAAGAATGTCAGACAGTCGCACTGCCGACCACTCAAGTTTGGTTTCATGGGGTGACCTTTCCTCATTCATGTGGTTGTATGTTCTGGGCCTCCCACCCACTGAGTATTTGAATTATCTCTTATCTTCTTTTTGTTCCTGAACTGACTGCCCTCTGGGATGAACAGTGTGAAACTGTATAAAGTCTTTTGCTCACCAAAGTCATAAAGAGAGGGCAAATGACATTAAAATCCTGTGAAGCTCGAAAGAAAGAGTTGGGGGACTAGGGCAGAGCCCCACTACCATGGGGACTTCCAGAGCCTGAGCCCAAGCTTTGCATCAGTTAAAAATCTACTTTTCAGTCCCTTTCAACCCTGGTGGGGCAGGGGGTGGTGTCTTGAGTTTTCTAATCACAGTGACCTCCAACTTTAGATCAACATGGTTGGTAAGGATAGATCACAGGGATACTCTGCTAATGGCAGCTTTATTGTGAGTATTCCATTTACAACACCAGGATGATGAATAGAAAGAAGAGTGGTGACATTCAGGGATTATTTGTAAGTGGGTGGATTCTTTTGTGGATATAGTGCCTGACAGATGGCTTTTTCATTCCCCACGTTTTGCAGTTTAAATGTTCAATTTCATTTAAAAAACAAAACCATAATCACAGACTTTCCACTGAATCTGACTTCTCATAGATATTTGTACGTCAGTATCCCTTTAGAGATGTTAATGTTTTATTTCCTGTGTACTTTTTGCATCGGTGGTAGCTTGGTGCTGGGGGTATGTTATTCCCCCTCTGTTTCCGCAGGCGCCCCTCTGAGAGAAGAGTGGTCACAGAATGTTTTCTCTATGCTGAGTAAGCCATCGAAAGAAAAGCACATGTGACTTCTTCAGCTCGGTATTAACCGAGACAGGTGTGAATAGAAGCGGATTTATTCTTCAGCTCCCATCGAACCCTAAGTGTTGATTTCGCCTTCAACAGTAGTTTTTTCTAACCAAATTCTTCAGTGTGTTTGGATGTGTCCCCAGAGTGAGTTAATATACTGAGGGTCTTAGCAGCTGTTGATAGATTTGTGGTGTATATGAGTTTTCTCAGGCATGTGTATTCTCACTGAGTAGAAATTCTCTCTTGACCCTGGAATAGTTACTTTTATTAGGAATGTGTGATGTTTTCTAGATTGTACAAGAAAAAAAAAATCAAGTGCTTCAGTAAGATGTGGAAGGAGGCAACGTGTCAGGGACCACTAAAGCAGATTCGAAGGAAGGATAATGACACAGCAAATACCGAAGGGCAGAGTCTGTCTAGGAACACGCATCTAAATTGGCTAGGTGAATTCTTCCACTGAAAGTTGCCTGAAGTCAGCTGCTACCCTCTTCCCTTCCGACTGACTGCTGCTTGCTTCATTCCCCTTTCTCTTCTCTCACTCTCTTCTCTTCCCTCTTTCCTTTCCTTCTCTTCCTGGCTGTTTGCCTCCACTGCAGAAGGAACAGATCCAAGAGATCCCCTCACTTGCTGAGGGCCCCAGAGCTAGTGAGTGACAGAGCTGGGTCCAGCCCTGTTCTTCTGTTATAAACCCAGTGCCTGTCTTGGTGTTGCGTTATTTGACATTTATGCTAGAAAGATGAGTGACACTTTGCCTGTCCTCAGGCAGCTTACAGGCCAGTATGTAAGAGGAGACAAGTACACACAGACTGGAGTAGAGACCAGGAAACAGTAGAGTCTCAGGATGGAAGGCTGGGGTTCCAGGGAGCAGAACATGCCCCCTGCAGTGGAGGCTTTATCTCCCCTGACAATCACTTGTCCTCTGCGGGTCGGGGGAAGAGCCCCTTTTAAAGATCCCTCAAGCACTGCATGTATTCATATATCCTTCATGTTTAGTAATGGCTGTGACCATCCATTTTTCTAAAACTCTCCATCCTCCTATCATCTGGGAATGTTTCTTTTTTAACAAACATAATAGGGAAAATTAGGGTTAAATAAAAATGGACAGAATCAGCTCCTTAGGGTTTTTTTTTTTTAAAAAGTCCCAAATGGAATTTATTAGCAGATATCCTGCAGTAGCTGTGGATGCTGATTTCTTTCTTCTGTGGATGAATATTGAAATCTGTACTTGCCTTTTTTGATTGTGGTATGTTTCTTTTAATAAGGTATCCCAAATCTGATGGTGACGATGATAGTGATAATTTTGCCAGCAGAATTAAATACTGTCAAGATCAAAATATGTTGGAAGTAGCTTTTTATGAAAGGGACACATTTTCTAGTTGCTACACCAGAACCTGTTTTTCTAGGCTACAGCAGTTTCAATCAACTTCATTCTTGTTAGCTGGGAGCCACGCTGGTAACACCGTATAGCAGTGTGGAGGGCTTACTTTTGAAGCTAAAATTATCTAGGTCTTACATGTATTTTCTCGATGTTTGTCCACTTGGACTCAGAGTTTCGTAGTTACCGTAAATGCAGTTACCTCCTTGCTCTTTCTTAGTAATCGTTATGTTAGTGTGAATTGTATAGGGGTTTTATCTCATCGTGAGGAAATACCAATTACTGATGGAACTATTTTCTGCTCATTTAACAGAACATCTGCTCAAATTAATGACCATGGGGGATATGAAGACCCCAGACTTTGATGACCTCCTGGCAGCATTTGACATCCCAGATATGGTCGATCCTAAAGCAGCTATTGAGTCTGGACACGATGACCATGAAAGCCACATGAAGCAGAATGCTCACGGAGAGGATGACTCCCACGCACCATCATCTTCTGATGTGGGTGTCAGCGTTATCGTCAAGAATGTTCGGAACATTGACTCTTCCGAGGGCGGGGAGAAAGACGGCCACAACCCCACTGGCAATGGCTTACATAATGGGTTTCTCACAGCATCCTCCCTTGACAGTTACAGTAAAGATGGAGCAAAGTCCTTGAAAGGAGATGTGCCTGCCTCTGAGGTGACACTGAAAGACTCGACATTCAGCCAGTTTAGCCCGATCTCCAGTGCTGAAGAGTTTGATGACGACGAGAAGATTGAGGTGGATGACCCCCCTGACAAGGAGGACATGCGATCAAGCTTCAGGTCGAATGTGTTGACGGGGTCGGCTCCCCAGCAGGACTACGATAAGCTGAAGGCACTCGGAGGGGAAAACTCCAGCAAAACTGGACTCTCTACGTCAGGCAATGTGGAGAAAAACAAAGCTGTTAAGAGAGAAACAGAAGCCAGTTCTATAAACCTGAGTGTTTATGAACCTTTTAAAGTCAGAAAAGCAGAGGATAAATTGAAGGAAAGCTCTGACAAGGTGCTGGAAAACAGAGTCCTAGATGGGAAGCTGAGCTCCGAGAAGAATGACACCAGCCTCCCCAGCGTTGCGCCATCAAAGACAAAGTCGTCCTCCAAGCTCTCGTCCTGCATCGCTGCCATCGCGGCTCTCAGCGCTAAAAAGGCGGCTTCAGACTCCTGCAAAGAACCAGTGGCCAATTCGAGGGAATCCTCCCCGTTACCAAAAGAAGTAAATGACAGTCCGAGAGCCGCTGACAAGTCTCCTGAATCCCAGAATCTCATCGACGGGACCAAAAAACCATCCCTGAAGCAACCGGATAGTCCCAGAAGCATCTCAAGTGAGAACAGCAGCAAAGGATCCCCGTCCTCTCCCGCAGGGTCCACACCAGCAATCCCCAAAGTCCGCATAAAAACCATTAAGACATCTTCTGGGGAAATCAAGAGAACAGTGACCAGGGTATTGCCAGAAGTGGATCTTGACTCTGGAAAGAAACCTTCCGAGCAGACAGCGTCCGTGATGGCCTCTGTGACATCCCTTCTGTCGTCTCCAGCATCAGCCGCCGTCCTTTCCTCTCCCCCCAGGGCGCCTCTCCAGTCTGCGGTCGTGACCAATGCAGTTTCCCCTGCAGAGCTCACCCCCAAACAGGTCACAATCAAGCCTGTGGCTACTGCTTTCCTCCCAGTGTCTGCTGTGAAGACGGCAGGATCCCAAGTCATTAATTTGAAGCTCGCTAACAACACCACGGTGAAAGCCACGGTCATATCTGCTGCCTCTGTCCAGAGTGCCAGCAGCGCCATCATTAAAGCTGCCAACGCCATCCAGCAGCAAACTGTCGTGGTGCCGGCATCCAGCCTGGCCAATGCCAAACTCGTGCCAAAGACTGTGCACCTTGCCAACCTTAACCTTTTGCCTCAGGGTGCCCAGGCCACCTCTGAACTCCGCCAAGTGCTAACCAAACCTCAGCAACAAATAAAGCAGGCAATAATCAATGCAGCAGCCTCGCAACCCCCCAAAAAGGTGTCTCGAGTCCAGGTGGTGTCGTCCTTGCAGAGTTCTGTGGTGGAAGCTTTCAACAAGGTGCTGAGCAGTGTCAATCCAGTCCCTGTTTACATCCCAAACCTCAGTCCTCCCGCCAATGCAGGGATCACGTTACCGACGCGTGGGTACAAGTGCTTGGAGTGTGGGGACTCCTTTGCACTTGAAAAGAGTCTGACCCAGCACTACGACAGACGGAGCGTGCGCATCGAAGTAACGTGCAACCATTGTACAAAGAACCTCGTTTTTTACAACAAATGCAGCCTCCTTTCCCATGCCCGTGGGCATAAGGAGAAAGGGGTGGTAATGCAATGCTCCCACTTAATTTTAAAGCCAGTCCCAGCAGATCAAATGATAGTTTCTCCGTCAAGCAATACTTCCACTTCAACTTCCACTCTTCAGAGCCCTGTGGGAGCTGGCACACACACTGTCACAAAAATTCAGTCTGGCATAACTGGGACAGTCATATCGGCTCCTTCAAGCACTCCCATCACCCCAGCCATGCCCCTAGATGAAGACCCCTCCAAACTGTGTAGACATAGTCTAAAATGTTTGGAGTGTAATGAAGTCTTCCAGGACGAGACATCACTGGCTACACATTTCCAGCAGGCTGCAGATACGAGTGGACAAGTAGAGTATCATTTAAATTTTTGTGTTTCAGTGATGAGTCTGTAGGCATGAGTGCTTGATAAGATGCCCTTGATTTTAGGGTGGGAATGCAGTGAAATGGACGTGTGTGTGTGTGTGTGTGTGTGTGTGTGTGTGTGTGTGTGTGTGTGTGTGTGTGTTTGGGGAGGGGAGGGGGAATGCCTGTGCAGCCGGGCACATGATCCAGTAAGGATTGTTTTCATAGAATAGAAACAATTAGCTGGGGATGTGGTGGTGGCAGTGGTGTTGGAGGTGGTAGCAGGAGTGGTAGTGGCAGTGGTGGTTGTGGTTGTGGCAGCAGTGGCGTGTGCCTGTTGCGCCAGCTATATTCGGGAGGCTGAGGTGGGAAGATTGCTTGAGCCCAGGAGTTTGAAGCTGCAGTGAGCTGTGATTGAGCCACTGCACTGTAGCCTAGCATTGGGGCGAGATCATATCTCTTTAAAAAAAAAAGAACAGAAACAATGTTGAAACATGAATCTTATTTTAGTAAAACGAGTTTTTTGAGGGGAGGATAATATATATATACTAGTTGAGTTGTGGAACTTTAGATTTTGGTAATCGTTTGGTCATTGGAATGTATATTGAAAGTCTGAGATTTAGCGGATTATAGTGTCATCCCATTGTATTAAGTATTTGAGCCCGGCTTCATCATCAGAGCTCCTGAGTTAGTGACAATTTTGATATTTAGAAAAATACTTACTGTTATTTATTTATCTATCTGCTGGCAGCTCTACTGAGCTTACTGTTGTTATTTATAATGCTGATCTTACTTTTACAGTTAAATGCATTTATCAGTACCCATTTCTGTGGCATGTCTGCTTACTTAAGATGGTGGTCCAGAAGTGTGTTCAGTAATATCCTTCACTGCAATGAATTTAAGCCACAAATGGCAAACCCATCTCCAATTAAACAGAATACCTTTGTGTGTGTTTGCAGCTTTTGTTTTGTAGTGAAGTGCAGGTCAATGTTGGTGAATTACATTTCACAGTGGGCATCAATCAGCCTTTTATCTCCATCATTTGCTACTTCATGAGGCAACTTTTAGCTAATAGATAAATGTGTTTATCATAAATATATAATCTATTATTTGGAAGTAATTAGACATGTTGAATGAAATAAATTCGAGTTAGACCATGTGACATATTGTCCAAACTAGAAAGCTTGTGAAATTTCACTGGGCACAGTGGCTTATGCCTGTAATCCCAGCACTTTAGGAGGCCGAGACAGGTGAATTGCCTGAGCTCAGGAGTTCGAGACCAGCCTGGGCAACATGGTGAAACCTCATCTCTAACAAAAATACCAAACATTAGCCGGGCTTGGTGGTGCATGCTGTTGGTCCCAGCTACTTGGGAGGCTGAGGTGGGAAGATCAGTTGAGCCTGAGAGGTGGAGGTTGCAGTGAGCTGAGATCATACCACGGCACTCCAGCCTCAGGTGACAGAGCAAGACCCTGTCTCCAAAAAAAAAAAGGAAAAAACTTGTGAAATTCAAAGGGAGCACTAGTTTGAGCTAATATACTCTGCTCCTCAAACATCTCTATAAAGATTTAACAGTAAACTGGGCTTTCCTTTTTTTCTCCCTCCAATATTTTGTTAATTAATTAGGATGTTTATGCCGCAATTCAGAAGTTTGGTGCTATCTTGGTGATTAGTTCCTCAGGGTAATTACTGGTTTAAGTTCTTTGTAGCATTTTCAGTTTGGGGAACAAAAGATCAAGAATACCCCGGTAATTTTTTTATCTGGTTTTTCAGTTCAGTGGAAATGGAAGCAATAAAGAGTTTTGACAGCATTCTTGCAGGTTTGAATGTTAAATGTTTCATTGGCTCTGGCAGTAAAATGCTCAAAAAATAGGAAAGCAGCAACTTAGTTCAAGAAGGCTATGATGGCTCCAGCTGTTAACCTAGCCCGGTGACAATGCCTGGGTTCTGTCTACATGGATGTCCTCCCATCTTGACACCGCTTCATCAAAGGATAATATTTCTTTTCATCCTAACAGGATGCAGTAAAAAAGGGGAAAAAGCCAAAAAGCTCTTTCTTCATTTCTGTTGTCTTCGTGTCTGTGTCTGCTGGTGGGCTGTGTAGAGCGGTCGACTGTGTCCTGGCTTAGGAGGGTTCTCACTATGAGCTGTGTGCTCTGTATCTGGCCTTTGGAGCTACCCTCAGATGTGTCTGTCTGAGACCTCCTTCTCTGAGAGCAAGGAAGGGCATGAGCAGGCGGGTAGGAATGTCCTTATTCCCTGCGTTTCCCTAGTTTTTGTTCTTTATTAACCTTTTAGGCTCAACAGCCAAACTAGGGTGAAACGGGTGAAACTCTGTCCCCAGGAGGAGAGATGAACATCTTTTCTTTTGTGTGTGGTTGCTTTGGCATCACTTTTGTATCTTGCTGGGACGAGTACGCAGGTCACCCGTTTGACGCGGAATCCCAAGGAGTGAATCAGGGCAGAATGTATATTTAACTCTCAGACCAGATACACACAAGCAAAACACTCACCTCCTGATCTGTTTCCGTTTTGCAGCCATCCACTCACCTATGTAGGCCACTCAGCTCACCAGCGAAGGGCGTTGGTTTGTAGTGAGCTTCAACCCACTGCATAGCCAAGCACTGCAGGACCAGCAGTGTGAAAAGGCCCCATAGCACGCTCTCCTCCTGTTCCTCGTCTCCCCTTTCTCACTGGATCTAGAATGCTTCTTCACAGCTTCCCATTTTCCCAGACTCAGCCAGACTGTGTCACTCAGACCCAAGAGGGGAGTGTGGCTTCTGCCTCAGTAGGAATAGCTGCTGTGTCTTCAGCATTCATGGTTTAACCCAACCTGGAGTCTCTTCCTTGGTTCTAGGGGCTCAGTAGGATGCCTGTGGCTGTTGCCATCCTAGCCTCCACATGTGGCCATGGGGGTTCTCGACCATTACTGTTGCCTGGGGTGCTATCCAGCAGCCATGGGAG
This sequence comes from Homo sapiens, assembly GCF_000001405.40. Taxonomy (NCBI): domain Eukaryota; kingdom Metazoa; phylum Chordata; class Mammalia; order Primates; family Hominidae; genus Homo; species Homo sapiens. The sequence goes on from NC_000018.10 coordinate 58,923,593, forward strand.
TGGGAGGTGGGGGCTGCAGTAAGACAGGGAGAAAAGAAAAGAGAAAATAGCCTTTGTTTCATCCTTCTCGTTTGCCAGTCACATGACTGTTGGCCAGTTTACAGTTTGTTCAACTGGAATGGGAAAAAATTACACAGAACTTGGTTTCTGTCTGAGGATGGCACTTAAAACACACATGACTGCTTACAAATCTAGAAATGGACACGGGAGCCTGAAGTACCGGCAACTGTGCCAAGCCCCTCCTTTCCTCTGTTGTACAACATATTCCATATTTTTTTTTTTGAGATGGAGTCTCACTCTGTCGCCCAGGCTGGAGTGCAGTGGCATGATCTCGGCTCATGGCAACCTCTGCCTCCTGGGTTCAAGTGATTCCCCTGCCTCAGCCTCCAGAGCAGCTGGGATTACAGGCACACATCACCGCATCCAGCTAATTTTTGTATTTTTAGTAGAGACGGGGTTTCACCATGTTGGCCGGGCTGGTCTTGAACTCCTAACCTCAAGTGATCCACCCGCCTTGGCCTCCCAAAGTGCTGGGATTATAGGTGTGATCCACCCCCGCCCGGCTAGCATTCCATGTATTTTAACACTTTAACTCCATTTCCCCATTGACCTCCACATTCTTGGTAGCTCATGGGTGAATTGGAAGAGTATACCAGTCTACACTGTAACTTTTTTCTGGTGCTCACACCCTGACCTGTGCTTTCTGGGGTAGGAACCCAGTGCAGTTTAAGCCTGTGCCTGTGGCTCTGGGGCAGGATGCCCTGGGTCTGCACATTAGTGTCTAGTTAGTCTAGTCTCATCACCCGAAGTGGATTCCTGAACCAACCTTGCTGCCACTGTTCATGGTTCAGAAGGTGTAAAGGGTATGGCCTCTGGGGTCCTTGCTAGACTGGCAGGTCCATCGCCCTTTACTCAGTGCCTTTCAGCTCCTTGGTTTACTGGGTCTGGAGAAAGGTATGACTTCATTAGCGGAGGGACCTCCTTCCCTTTTTCTTTTGAGATAATTGTAGATTCATGTAACAAATAATACAGAGAGAACTTGTATACCCTTCATCCAGTTCCCCACAATGGTAACATCTCACAAAACTATAGAACAGTATCACAGCTGGGACATGAGCGTTGACTCAGTCAAGATACAGAGCTTTTCCAGCACTACAAAGATCTCATATTGCTCATTTATAGCCACCCACAGCCTCTCCTCACTCCTTAACCCCTGGCAACCACTAAGCTGTTTTTCATTTCTATAATTTTTTCATTTCAGGAATGTTACATAGATGGAATCATATAGTGTATAACTCCTTAGGATTGGCTTTTTTTCACTCAGCATAATTCCCTGGTTGTTGCGTATATCAATAGTATATTCCTTTTTATTGCTGAGTAGATTCCATTGTATGGTTATACTATAGTTCATTTAACCATTCACTTGTTGAAAGACATCTGCATTGGATCCAGTTGGGGGCTATGATGGATAAAGCTATTATTAACATTGTGTATAGGTTTTTTTGTGGACATAAGTTTTTATTTCTCTGGGATAAATGCCTATTTATCATCAGAGTATAACTGCTGTTTTACATGGTATTTGCACGTTTAGACTCTTAAACTGTTTTTCAGAGTGGCTGTATCATTCTATATTCCCAGGAGCAACACACGAGGGATCCAGTTTCTCTGCATCCTCCAGCATTTGGTGCTGTTACCATATTTTATTTTAGCCATTTTGATAGATGTGTGGTATTATTTTATTGTGGTTTCAATTCATGTTTCCCTAGTGGCTAATGATGTTGAACACCTTTTCATGGGTTTAATTTGCCATCTGTTTTTCCTTTTTGGTGAAATGTCTCTTCATATCTTTTGCCCATTTCTAATTAGGTTGTTTGCTTTTACAACAGATCAATTGGGTTTCACAAGTTCTTGATAGAGCCTAGATACTAGTCTTTTGTTGGCTATGTGGCTGCAAGTGTTTTCGCCCAGTCTATAGCTTGTCTTTTCATCCTCTTCTTTAGCAGAGCAAAAGTTTGTAATTTTCGTGAAGTCAAGTATATCAGTTTTCCATCTTATGACCTCTGCTTTTGGTGTCAAGTCTAAGGCATAGCTCTAGATCCTAAACATTTTCTTCTGTGTTTTTTTCCTCAACGTTTTATAATTCTGTGATTTACATTTAAGTCTGTGACTCATTTTGAGTTGATGTTTGTATCAGGTGTGAGATTTAGGTGGAGGGTCATTTTTTCCCCCAATACTTGGCCATTTGTTGAAGATGCTGTCATCCTCCAATGAACTGCTTTTGCCCCTTTGTCAAGTATCAGTTAGGCATTTGTGTGGGGCTATTTCTGGATTCTTTATTCTGTTCCATTGATCTGTGTGTCTGTCCCTCTACCAGTATCTACAGTCTGAGTACTGTAATTAGGTAGTCTTCAAGTCTGGTAGATGGATGCTTCCAATTTATTTTTCTTTTCCAAAATTGTTTTCACTCATCTAGTTCTTTTGCCTTTTCATATAAATTTTAGAATAATGTTGTGTGTTTCTGTAAAACAACTTGCTGGGATTTTGATAGGAATTGCATTAAACCTGCATATCAGTTTGGGGGAGAATTGACATCTTTACTATATTGAGCGTTTCAGTCCATGAACATGGGCATAGATTCATCATTTATTTATACTGATAAGAACAGATACTACACTTGTTCTTAGCCAAAAGGCCGATAAATGATTCTTCATTTATTTATATCTTTGATTCTTTGTTTTGTAGTTTTCTTTTCTTTTTGTTTTGAGATGGCGTTTCGCTCTTGTTGCCCAGGCTGGAGTGCAATGGCGCGATCTCAGGTCACGGCAACCTCCATCTCCTGGGTTCAAGAGATTCTCCTGCCTTAGCCTCCCGAGTAGCTGGGATTACAGGCATGCGCCACCATGCCCGGCTAATTTTATATTTTTAGTAGAGACAGGGTTGAGATGGGGTTTCTCCATGTTGGTCAGGCTGGTCTCGAACTCCTGAGCTCAGGTGATCCGCCTGCCTCAGCCTCCCAAAGTGCTGGGATTATAGGCGTGAGCCACTGTACCCGGCCTTGTAGTTTTCATCATATAAGTCCTGTGCATGTTTTGTTAGATTTCTTTTTTCAAACAATCATAAGTGGTATATATTTTTGGTGAGGACACGTTCATCACTAATAATTTTTATATATTTTTTGTGTATCCTTTGACTCTGTTGAACTCAGTTATTGGTTTCAGGGCTTTTTTTTGGATAGATTATACTGATTTTTCAGATATCAAAATAGCCTTGCATTTCTGGAATGAATCCCACTTGGTCAAGCTGCATATTTCTTTTTATATGTTTTGAATTATAATTGCTGCTATTTTGTTAAGGAGTTTTGCATCTATATGCATGTAGATATCCTTTTTTGTTCTGTTCTTGTTTGGTTTGAGATAGGTTGATACTCACTTTTTAAAGAATTGAGAAGTATTCCCTCCTTCAATTTTTCTGGAAGAGAGTGTGTATAATTGGTGTTAGTTTTTCTTTGGTAGAATTCTCCAATGAAACCATCTGGGCCTAGAGATTTCTTTTCTAGGGTTTAAAAAAATACCTGTTGGGCTGGTGGTGGGGGAATTGGCAGAGATCAAAATTTACCTTTGCTACTGGGCTTCTCTGACACCCACCATCTGGGTAGGGACGTTGGGACAGACAGCTCATTACAGTCTCAAGAGGGCTGAAGTCTTGGCTGCACCTCTACTTTGCACAGGTTGGGGTGGGGCCGTAGTGTTTTCTGTGGGATTTGGCTGGAGTAGACAGTGTTCCTTTAAAAGTTTTCTGTTTTCCTAGGCACTCGTTTCTTGGTGGTCGGCTACAGAGCACAGGCTTTTCTTGGGAATTTTTTTTTGTCTCTACCCATTGGCATTTTGGGTTGCTAGCTTCTTCAGCTCCAAATCTGGGATATATGAGGCGAAGAGAAACCCAGGGAACTGACTACCCTGTCATTCCTAGGGTCTTGAGATCCCTAGCTAACCTTTCACTCCACCTTTCAGAGTCCTTTTATGTTTGTTTTATATATAATGTTCAGGGTTTTGACTTGTACTTAATGGGAAGAATAGGGAAAGTTACTCTTATTCCATTTTCCTCAAAGTGGACGTTTTACTCCATGTTTAAAAAAGATCCTAATATACCTGTCCTGTCTTCAAGGAGAGATTGTGTAATTGCATTATTGTGCTCTGCCGGAGACTTTCAGACCCCAATCTCTGTTTTTGCAATTAGGCTTCCTGGGAGGGTCACTTTCCATTTGACTTCCTGGGATTTCTGTTGTCTCTGAATGGAAGACATTTTCTCCACCCAGTGTAAACTTCCTTTCTTAGCCCCGTCTTTAAAAGCAGTTAGGAGTGAGAATTGCGTCTTTTACCTTTCACATCTGGTGGGCTGAGCCTCTTTTAAGACCTTAAGAACGTACTTTTCTTGATTTAGCTCAGTCACTATCCCCTTTTTTATCTTTCTTTTTATATTTTATTTTTCCCTTGTTATCATTTTCTATTTTGACCTCTGTTTATGTTTTGAACAGAGCCTGTCTCAGTTTCCCCAGGGTGCTTCTCTGCACCCAGCAGAGGGTCTGTCTGCCTGTGAGCACCAGCTGGGGCTGTTCCTCCCACGCCTCTCACCACCTCCCCTTACGCATGCCTTTAGCCTTCTGAGACTGCCAGTATGCCATGGGTTAAAGGAAGGTTTGGGTGGCATTTGGTGCATTCTCTCTGCCAGTTGCTGCTGCCCCTCCAAGTGTTCTGTAGACAATCTATGCAGAAGTAACAATTGCCAGAGAGACTCAGAAGCACCACTTCCTTATGAACTGGTCTATGCTCAGTGACCCCCAAGAGCAGGTCTCTGGTAAGAGCTGTGTTGGAATATATGGTTTTAGCTCGAGGCTCTCTGCCATACATTCCCAAAGCTGTCTTGGGATTTGATCACACTCTGGTACACGATCTGGGCCAGGAACCGAAAGCCTGCTAGGCTGAGGTTAGACTGCCTGCGTGCATCTGCTTACCCCTTGGAGGAGACAGTGGCAGAGGGAGAGAGCCTAGAGGACTGAGGACCTTGTGGGGATCACTACCTTCCAGGGAGCATGGAATCAAGCAGTAAATAAAAACAGTTCTGAGCAGTTGACTCTTTAGCCATTAAATCTGCCCCAGTTAGGGGTTTGTATTCTGATCTATCTGCTTAATAATCTCTGCTTTGGGTTACGTTGAGAAAAGGGAGTGGGCAAGAGACCAGAGGAGCTTTCCTTTTCTCCATGAAGTATTTAAGAGCTGAGGACTGTCGTTTGAATAATTGATATTTTAATGTGTTGGGATGTCATTGCTTCACCTCCTCTTAAAACCATGTCTAAATTTAACCAACTACAGACTGGAAATGCTTTCTGTAACCCCTTAATTTTAAAAACCTGTTTTCTTCTTGTGGCATTTATATCAGCTGTAGAATCACAGAATGCTATAGGTCTTTTGGCCAGCCCTTTTATTTTACAATTGAAAAAACAAATGCCCAATTGGTGGCAGAGCTGGGACTCAAGGCAAAATTTCTGTATTGCTGGTTCATTCTTTCTGCTTCTCTAAGATGTTGAAGCATAGGCTCTTACAGCCGGAGGGACCTTAGGAATCACATAAGGATGGATTCTTGGGGTTACTTCCGAGTCACCTTCAAGAGTGTGGATAAAGGTGACATTTGCAGTGGTCCTCATTTTTGGGGATTGCTGGTTCACTTTAGTTTCAGGAACTTTCTGGGCATCGTTAATACAACATACTAACTGTATTCTCGTGAGCAGCCTCTGCTGGTTCTCATTTCTAGATCCCGCTCTGCTCAGACAGCTTCCTCTGGAAACCAGGGAGCTCATCTGAATTCCTCCCCTCCGCCGTCTCCCAAAATACCCTTATTAGCTGAAGACTTGTGACCCTTGGCTTTTGGTCCTGCTCTTCTAAGTGTTTAATTTAAATTTTGGTCAAGACTAGTCCTGTCCTAGTTTATATTTTAGTGTTACCAACCTTCAGTTTACCCGTATTCTTCAGTAATAAGCATGTAAGTAGATGATATGTGTTGGCCATATAGCTTTCTGTAAATTTGTTCATTTAACTGTCAACTCTTATTAGGGATTTTTTTGCGTAGCAGAATGATTTGAGGACAAAACCAGCACAACCAACTAGCTCTGTGAGCAAAAGGCATATAAAGCCATTTCTGCTGTATTTGCTTGGTATGACTTCCATTTAAGTGAGATCTGAAATGAAATGCTTTCTTTGTGTTCTCAGTGTGAAATTGGACAAAAGTGAAAGCCACAAAACAAACTGGTATACTTTATTATTTTTGTATAATTATACTTTAGGCAGAAGATTGTGGAACTTCTTTTAATGAGGTGAGAGTAATTTGCTTAGCATCTGGGCTGACTGTTAAGCTGGTATTGTTTCTGCCTTTAGCTCCAATGTTTCATGTTGGTGTAGGCTTTTGGTCTGTTTGAAATTTAAACATAAATATACAGCCATACGTTTCTCTAGCCTCTCTCACTCTCATGTACCTCTCCCAGGCTACTTTTCTGCCTAAAATATGAGCAAAAACACGTAGAATTATTTTTCTTATTACTCAGCTAATTCCTCATCTATAGAAAGAGGATGTCAAGCTTGAACACTCTCTGATTCCTTAACTGGCCAGAATGTACCTGGTTCCCCCTTCCCTGTAGCCTGCATTTGCATGCTATTGATCAATTTCAGTGACAGGATTGGATAGAAAAGGCTCAGTAAGAGTACCGGGCGCAGTGGCTCACGCCTCTAATCCTAGCACTTTGGGAGGCCAAAGTGGGCGGATTGCCTGAGCTCAGGAGTTCGAGACCAGCCTGGGCAACATAGTGAAACCCTGTCTCTACTAAAATACAAAAAAATTAGCCAGGCATGGCGGTGCGTGCCTGCAGTCCCAGCTACTTGGGAGGCTGAGGCAGGAGAATTGCTTGAACCTGGGAGGCAGAGGTTGCAGTGAGCTGAGATTATGCTGTTACACTCCAGTCTGGGCAACAGAGTGAGACTCCATCTCAAAAAAAAAAAAAAAAAAAAAGTACAGTCATCTTTTAGTTTCCTCAGGTGTTGGTTCTAGGACCCCCTTCAGATACCAACATCTGAGAATGCTCAAGCCCCTGTTATAAAATGGCATAGTATTTGCATATAACCTAAGCATATAACCTGCCTGTGTCCTTTAAATCATCTCAAGATTACTTATAATACCTAATAGTGTAAATATAAATAGTTGTTATACTGGATTTTTTATTGTTGTATTGTTATTTTTTATTTTTTTCCCAAATATTTTTGATCTGTGGTTGATTGAATACATAGATGCAGAACCTCAGGATACAGAGAGTTGATTGTAATTGCAAAGCGTGGAATGTGGGTACTTTTCGGCTTTATTTTCCTATAGCTTTCTAGTATTACCTATTGAAAAGTAATGTTTACTTTAAAAAGTAACAGTTTAACCGAGCAAATAAGGCTGCCCTAGAATAGAAATTAACTTTATTACCTAAGTACCGAAAACATTTATCCATTTTTAGATGACATAAGTAAAATGTCAAGACACACATAAAACCACTTAGGTGCCCTTTATTATGCTTTTTTCTATTGAAAAGGCAGTTACTGTCACATTAAACTGCTTTATCCTCTACTAAGTAGCTTCAGCTTGTGTAGTAGAGTGTTAGAATTTTAAGATATATTTTAATTTACTTGATTAAAAAAAGTAAGGAAAGTCAGTCATTACAGGCCACAAAGAGATCCTTGTGTGCCCTCATGCTCAAATACATCCCCCAAACCCAGAGGATGTTCATTATTTTCATGAATTCAAAGCATTAGAAAAGCTAATGGAAGATACTCCTTTGTGCTGTGAAAATGCATCACCACTATCATGGGAAACAGGGGATGACAAGTTTTCTGTAACAGGAACAGTGAATACAACTTGAGGGAGTACAGCTAAGCAAATGATGTCATGTGAGTTTAAAACTATTGATACCATGCAAGCATCAAGGAGGAGGATGTCTCCAACCAAAACAGCGTGTTTTTTTTCTCAGAATGGAATGGAGCCAGCACGGTGGCTCACACCTGTAGTCCCAGCACTTTGAGAGGCCAAGGCAGGAGGATGGCTTGAGGCCAGGAGTTTGAGAGCAGCCTTGACAATATGGTGAGACCCTGTCTGTACAAAAAAAAAAAAGAACATTGGCTGAGTGTGGTGGCGTGTGCCTGTGGTCTCAGTTATTGGGGAGGCTGAGGAGTGAGGATTGCTTGAGGCCAGGAGGTGGAGTCTGCAGTGAGCTGTGATCACGCCACTGTACTCCAGCCTGGGCAACAAAGTGAGACACTATCTCAAAACAACAACAATAATAAAAAACCCAAACCAAATGGAGTCAAGGAGTAGAGGAGGCAGGTGAATAAAGATAGAAATGTGGGAGTAACTAAGTGTCTGTACGTGGATATGCATGCATCTACAGAAACTAAAGGCAAGGTCTCTAGTGTCCAGCGTGATTCCCCAGTGACCATTTTCTCCCACTTCAGGAATTGCAAAGTATGAAAGCATTTTGATTTGAGGCTGTAGTCCCTATGCCTCCCTCTTTCTCCTTGTGCTTCTGTATCGAAAGTGGGTGAGGAGCCTCAGCTGATGGGAACGAGTGAGTGCAGAGTCCTACAGTTGGGGTGGGGAGACATGATGATGATACATTCCAATGAATTTAAGTAATTCCTTGTGCATCTTATATGTATTGTGAAGGATAACCATTTGTAGTATATCTTGATGAAAATGTGCAAATTTTTTTCAGGAACACTGTCTGCTTTTTAGATTTTCTTTCCATTTTCTACCGTTCTAAAGTAGTGCAATCACATTACTTTAGATAAAAGAGAAGCAGCAGGGGAGGGGACTCACCTCTACTCTGACATGCCGTGGTCATTGTTGGCATTCAGGTATATTTGCTAATGGTTTTCCCTGTGTGTTTTTGTTTATTCATTCATTATATCCCCACCCCACTCCTCGATTCCAGTTCAAATCCTGGTTCTTCCACTTAATAGGTATGGAGCCTTGGGCGAGTTTCTTAACTTTACTGAGCCTTCGTTTCCTTATCTGTAAAGTGGAGATGTTATCTGCTTCATAGGTTATGAGAATTAAATGAGATGATGTACTTCAATTTACTTAATGTATTTAAAATACCTAGCTTACCATTTGACTCATGGTAGGATGGGACCAATCTATATATTTTAATATAATATGTATATACACACACATGCATGTACGTGTGTATGTATATATGTATGTATGTATATAAATGTGTGTGTGTATATATATATATAAATGTTTTTTGACTTCTTTTAGTATAGAAAATGCTAACTTTATTCCCAAGTAAGTGCAAGACATTTTAAGATGCCTGTGGAAGTTCAGACATCATAATTCCCTGCCTGGGACTGTGTGAAGGTAGATAGAAGACTTTAGTTCACAGAAACAAATGGTTACCTGTGGTAATGTAGATGTTAACAGGATCTGTTATTAATGAATCTGTTGACTGGTTTTCCTTGCTGTGGCTTGTTCTAACCTTTGAAATATGTGTTATGAGAAAAGGGGTGCTATTTTTTTAATGATGCTAACTTCATTAAAGCTACCTGTAATGTTCTTATTTTGTGATTATAATAAACATTTTTTGGGATAAAATTTGTATTTTAGTCCTTTCAGGAGAAAATCAAGAAAGAATTTTCAAGTGAGTTTCCTATTTTTCTTAGTCTAAGTCACTCGGAAGTTTAAACCTTAATTTTTGGGCGTGCTTCAAAAACAAGAAGAATAAAAAAAGTCTTTTTAAAATTTCTTAACTGTTGTCAATATAAACAAATGCTTTAAATCTTAGCAAGAATCTATATTTTGAGACTTTCTTTGGCTTTAATACAAATTGTACATTTTAGAAGATGGTAGATAATTTGTGTTTGCACGAATGTCTGAAAGTATTTAAACACAGTTTATGTCATATGCTATGTGAGGTTTATTTTTGGGGTGGAAGTAATAAGTCCTCAGTTTATGTTTACTTTAAGTTTTTTTGGTTTTGTGTTTTTAAAAATATACCATGTTTAGTGCCTATATCTTAAGAGGATGAAAAACAGTGTTTTGGGTTTTCCTGGATAGTTACTGATATAGAGCCTTTTCCAAAGAGGATTTCACCCTTAATTTTATTTTATACATAATCAGATTTTAAGCTCTATAAAATTTTAATTTAATGTCTAAATTTGTATACTTGAACTTGAGTTCCTTGGTTTTAATTATAAATTATATCATGGCCAGATCATCCATTTAAAGGCCAATTTTAGTGCAAAAAGAACAAATAATTGCTGTAGCCATTCTTTTGCACTCCTGTATTTCAGATTTCAAATAACTGGTTGGTGAACAATTGGATTAGCTTCTAATTAATTTTTATTATTTTGGAGAAAGCTTTTTATGAATTGTGAGGACTGTGACTACTGTCAAGATGTGTATGCCTATAAACTTGTTACTATATATTAAAGTCTTTTGCTCACATAAATTTGTAAGAATACCTCTTTGCCCTAAGCAAAATGCAAAAGTAATGGAATTGGAACTCTGCTGAAACAGGTGTTTTTAGCTCATACTTTGAGACGAGCCTGACTAGATAGCACATACTGTGATTTTACAGGATAGAGAATTGTACGCTGGACATGTAACTTTCAAGTTGGCTTTTCCCTTGGGCTTAGAATCAATTACTGTAGTGTTTGAAATGAAGGATGTATAATTATCTGGAGGTTTAACCAAGGTTCTTTGCATATTAGAAAGTACTTAGTAGGACCAACCCTGTTTCCCCCTTTGGTTTGTTTAGAAGACTTGCACTATCTGCCAGATGCTGCTTCCTAACCAGTGCAGTTATGCATCACACCAGAGAATCCATCAGCACAAATCTCCCTACACCTGCCCTGAGTGTGGGGCCATCTGCAGGTCGGTGCACTTCCAGACCCACGTCACCAAGAACTGTCTGCACTACACGAGGAGAGTTGGTTTTCGGTCAGTATATCATTCACTTATGTGCAAGTAAAACTCGTTCACTTACAACCGCACAGCATTTTGAGTGGTTTGCACACACAGTTTTCTGGGTCATACGGTGATACCTCGATTAACAGATCCTCTGGGAACCTAGCTCGTTTGTAGAGTCCATCTGTTTGAATCCTCTTAATGTAATATTGGCCCTGCTGGTCCGCACAAAGTGGAGGGTCATGGGGCCTGTCCTTTTAGGCACACTCTTGCATGTGTGCAGGTGTGGCTTTGACTGTCAGCTTTGACTGTACCCTTTGTAGCAGACTTTTGTTATCATACTCTTTGCATTTTAACCCCTGCAAGAAAACTATACATTCCGCACCTCTTAATATTTCCCCTTCTCTAATGAAAACAGAAATAGTGCGATGGTCTTTTACTTTTATTTGGTCCACATTGAAAGATGGGGTGTATGTTCCAGCCTTGCACTCCAAATAACCTTCTCCTCCTCCCCACTCCTCCTCCTCCCCACTCCTCCTCCTCCCCACTCCTCCTCCTCCCCACTCCTCCTCCTCCCCACTCCTCCTCCTCCCCACTCCTCCTCCTCCCCTCTCCTCCTCCTCCCCTCTCCTTCTCCTCCCCTCTCCTTCTCTCCCTCCTCCCTTTCTCCTCCTCCCTCTCCCCCTCCCTTCTCTCCCCTTCTCCTTCCCTCTCCCTCCTCCCCCTTACTCCTCCTCCCTTCCTCCTCCCTCTCCCTCCTCTCCCCTCTCCCTCCTCTCCCTCTCCCTCCTCTCCCCTCTCCCTCCTCTCCCCTCTCCCTCCTCCCCCCTCTCCCTCCTCCCCCACTCCTCCTCCCTCTCCCCTTCTCCCTCCTCCCCATTTCCTCCTTCTCCCTTCTCCCCCCTCTTCCCCCCTTCCTCCTCCTCCCTCTCCCCCTTCGAGTTCTCTCATTCCTCCCTTGTCTCTTCTGCATATCTTCACTGTAGTCCCTTTTACTGTCCCTCAGGATTCTCAGATGTGCATTGTACAACATCTGGCAAATCTAATGTTAGCTAGTGTTGAATGATTATATATATGAACTTTTCTCTCCATCTTATGACCTTCCTGTGCCTTTTATATTTTCACTAAGAAGATTCCACCAAGGAAAACATGTCACTGATACACAGTGTCTTTGTTAATAGAGGTATTACTGTATTATATGTTTATCTTAACATTAAGTATTTGCTTACCTGGTAACTTTGTTAGATTGTTAATATGCAGTGATTTTTTTTTTCACCTGTAATAAATTATGTTGAATAAAAATGAAGTCCAGTTGGCATGATTTGATGGTTTTATTTAAGTTTAGGTTCTGGTATCATCAGTTCCTAGGTGGTTCTGCCCAGTTTTGCATTAAACAACACTAAGCTATGAGACTTAACTTCACATTTTATCTCATGCCTCCAAACTTGTAATGCACAAATGTTTTATGGATTGAGATCTAGCCTGGTGGAAACCTTTGGCTTGGAAATCAAGAAACCAGTTTTCTTGTACGACTTCTGCCAGTAACTAATTATGTGGTAATTCACGTATTCTTTCTGTGCCATGGTGCCTCTGTCAGTAAAATTGGTGCATTGTCTGCCTCCAGCTCCACTGGGATGTTACTGAGCAAAACAGGATAATCAAAGGTGCCCCAGATCTGCAAAGTCCATGCAGAATAATACTTTCGTTCTTGCCATCACGTTTTGAAACTATTATTAATGGATTATGTGTTTAATAATAGAAAGCAGCTCTGCAGCACTTCCCAAGTGCTCTTCTTTGCACTAATGTCAAATTTTTCTCAAATGTTTAGTTTTTCTAATAGAATGAAAGTTGATATGATTAAAGGAAATATGACTTCTTCAATTTTAGCTATTGCTGATATCTTTCCTAAATTAAAACAGAAGCTCCACATGCAGGCTGAAAGTAATCAACTCACTTGGGAAAAGACCATCCTTGCTCTTCTGTTCTTTTGCCCTACTCACAGAGTTGTTCAAATTCGGTATTTCAAATTGTAGATTTCAAGTTGTTAACCAAAAATTTTGTGTTAAGTGTAGATTTTTTTCTCCCTGGACTTGAGGCTATATGGGGCTGGTAAACAACGATGTGTTGTGAAGTTTAGTTCATGTTGACTGCTCCTTTAGAAGAGAGGAGCAATTTTAAACGTAATTCTTTTCCTCTGCTGCTTCATATGAGGGTCCAGGTTCATGTTTAAGTGGGGCTTAGTAGCCCCGTGGCCTTGTCATGTTTTTTGCTCCCTTTGGCTCTATAGTTACTCATTTTCAATGTGTCTTTTCTTTAGCCAGATGAGTCTAATGTAGCAGCATGGTTCCCACGCCTTACTTTGTCTCGTCTTGGTGCAGTGTGCCTTGCTGTCTCTCCTCTTGCTCATATTACATCTCCCAAATACTGATGGGTCATCCCTGGCTCCTGGTTAACTTGGTAAAAGTTATATATTGATAAAAGTCAAATATTTTTTCTGAATTTTCCTGCCTCTTGATACACTGGACTGTATATCTAGAAAGGGGAATGGTTATAGGATTTTATACTGTAAATATTTTTTTTAATTCAAAAAATAAAGAAACTTTATTGCTATCCAGAATAGGACTTCAGGATATTACGTATTTCTTAGTAGACAGGATTTTTCATAGCATTAAGATACTGCATGAGCCGTTTGAAGTCTGCCTTTCTTTGTCTTATTTACATCCCCCATTGGCCTCTGTTGCCCCCTGAAATGCCTCTTCTTCCTGTAAGCAGATGTTTTATGACTTTTTAAAATACCCTGCTTTCGTTTCTTACATTAAGGAGGGTTTCCCTTGGTCTCCATGGTGTTCTCTGGATTGAGTCATAGCCACTTCCTCTTGCTTCAAAAAATTCCATCTTTATTTTAGATACTTCCTTTTTATTTGCTGTACATTAAACCTTCCTCTCACTCCAAGTGACTTTAGGTAATTATTGCTTTTCTCTGTATTCCTTTTTGTCCTTCCTGGTTCTTTTGCTCTTTAAACACCATCTTTCTATCCTTCATGGGAAAATCTTCTGTTTATAGTTTATGGTGTGGTAGGTCCTTCAGTTTCATTAATTACCCATCTACTTTTGTTTTACATAATCTTCCTCTTTCATGGGAGTTGTAGGCTTCTAGGTTTGGGAAGAGCTAAAAATGATCTATTTTAATTCTTCTCATTTTACAAATGAGTAACTGGCCCAGAGAGGAGCATTAACCTGTTCAAGACAACTCAGTAAGTTAACCCAAAATAGTTTCAATATGCTTAGGTGGCTCTATTGCCTGAAATACCAGTTCAAGTAGATAGGCTAGAGAGGCTGTCCTTTTATTCTCTATTGTTATTTAGTGTTTAAACATAGCTGTTGCTGAACATAATGCCTTCAGTCACTGGAAATGCTAATGCGTTAGTTATGATTTTAACAGAATGCTTGCAAAGCTTAAATAGAATGCATACAATCCAGAACATGCCACTCCTGTGTAACTTCGGAAGCATCTCCATGATTCAGAAGGGAGGTTCTAAGAATAGAAGCATCTTAGATTGTCATAGAAGTCTTTGGACACTGCCCCCCGGAAACCAGGCCCTGTCTGCAGTCTTCCTTCCCTGGGTAGCTCACATCTGGGAGCACATATGTTCAGTTGTATTAGAGGTAAATTTCTGGAGACTTTTGTACCTGCAGAGAGACCACTCTTAAATAGTTTTCAGGTGTGAACAAGGAAGACTTGGTCATCAAGTGGAGGTGTAAGTGTTGCTTAGAGTCTTTGTGTGAAAAAGATGAGATAGAGGAGAAATGTATCTTAGATTTAAAGTTTGTCTTTGTTGGATTATATTTGAGCAGGGAATGAGCTAATTGTGAGATTACTAGAAATTCATAAAGTAAGGAGGTTAGCTAGACAATTTTTTTTAGAGATGCTGAATTTTCAGAGGTTTGTAATTCATGCAATTTCTTAAACAAATGCAAGTGTACTTAAATTTATTTTCTAGGAGACAAAACACCTAGGTGGTTGACCTTCTCTATCCTGTGGACCACCATGAACCCCACATACATTGACCACATCAGTGTGTACCAGGAAACAGTGGGCCGAGGCCTTGGAGCCAGAACTTCTTTGTTCCTCTCTGCCCCTCTGTTCTTGGCATGCAGGTTTAGACACTGAAGATTTCTTCCATTAGAAATGCTATTTGGGTCCTGGAGATGGGTAGGAAACTCAGGGCCCTGGTGCCAGAATCCAGCATATGTAACCTCTCCAAAAACAGTGGTCTGGAGATTTGACATCCATTCTTAAAAATGTTAAAGATGCTCCAAAAATAGACCATTTGAGTTTTATTTTTCTTCTTCATGATCTTTTCTCTTAAACATATAAAAATAGGCTGGGCATGGTGGTTTACACCTATAATCCCAGCATTTTGGGAAGCTGAGGTGGGCGAATCACTTGAGGCTAGGAGTTTGAGACCAGCTTGGCCAACATGGCGAAACCCCATCTCTACTAAAAATACAAAAAGTAATTGGGCATGGTGGTACACACCTGTAATCCCAGCTACTTGGGAGGCTGAGGCACGAGAATTGCTTGAACCTGGGAGGTGGAGGTTGCAATGAGCCGGGATCACACCACTGCACTCCAGCCTGGGCGACAGAGCGAGACGTTGTCTCAAAAAAAAAAAAAAAAAAAAAAAAAAAAACCCATAAACAATTAAGTTGATTTATAATAGGAAAAAAACTAAAATATACTTCCGAAGGGCCATTAAAAACCTAAAAGGGCTATGAAAGTGTGTTCATCTCACCCAGTTTTTGCAGTTACACGTGTGTTATGGTCTTGTGCTAATGACCGTGTGTTTATTTTTCTAACAGATGTGTGCATTGCAATGTTGTGTACTCTGATGTGGCTGCTCTGAAGTCTCACATTCAAGGTTCTCACTGTGAAGTCTTCTACAAGTGTCCTATTTGTCCAATGGCGTTTAAGTCTGCCCCAAGCACACATTCCCACGCCTACACACAGCATCCTGGCATCAAGATAGGAGAACCAAAGTAAGTCATACCGACTTTCAAGTTTTACTCCACTGCTTTATTAGCAATTTAGAAGCAAGGTAGTAGTCGTTCTATTGAATAACATTTACCAAGATCTGAAAAATTATGCAGCTATGCCAATTTTGATGCTTTATGAAATACAGCTCATAGCTCATCCAAATCTTTCTGTTCTTTCCAGGTAAAGACCTTGTCCAAAAACGTTACCTATTATTTATGCTCTTGTCACGAATTTTTGCTCAACAAGTAAATATTTATATTTTTTTCTTAAGATGAATTTTTTTTTTTTTTTGAGACAAGAGTCTCGCTCTGTCGCCCAGGCTAGAGTGCAGTGGTGCGATCTTGGCTCACTGCAACCTCCGTCTCCTGGGTTCAAGCGATTCTCCTGCTTCAGCCTCCTGAGTAGCTGGGACTACAGGTGCATGCCACCACTCCTGGCTAATTTTTTGTATTGTTAATAGAGATGGGGTTTCAAGGTGTTAGCCAGGATGGTGTCGATCTCCTGACCTCGTGATCCACCTGCCTTGGCCTCCCAAAGTGCTAGGATTACAGGCGTGAGCCACGGCACCCAGCCTCTTAAGATGATTTTTGACAACTCCTAGGAAAACTATTTTTTAGAAACCCTGTCATCTTTAAATTTTTCCATAGTTCCTTTTTTATAGGGTACACTTTTGCTTAAAAAGTAATATTTTTAAGATGAAGGCAACTTAAGACACTGGTTACTGAATTTAACTTCATAGCCAGTATAAGTCCCTGATTAGTAAATTTTTTTTTGCCTTAATCTTGCTCTTAATTTGATTGATTTTTGCTTTGTGGAGTCTTTAATAATGAAGCGGTTCTTTAGCAAAAAGGGGCTGCCTGCCTGCAGTAGGGGCAGCTTAACAAAGAGGAGGGAGTGTGGGCACTGGAGCCGGTCGGAATCCTGCCACCCACCGGCTGGGTGACCTGGGACCTGCACTGTCTCAGCGGCCATCTTCTCCCCCATGAAGTGAGGGTCCTGCTTAAGTGAGGATGAGATGAGATGATGTATTTAAAATGTGTAGCACAACAGTGCCTGTGTCTGGAGCATGGAGGGCTCTGTCAGCATTAGTTCCTTCCTGTGTGTCTTCGCTCCCTCCTTGTGCACACAGCACTGGATTAATGCTCCTGGTTGTGCTCCTTTTATTCCTGGATTAGTTATCGCAACATAGAGTTTGATCATTACAAGAAGCTAGATTTGCTGTCCAAATCTGTTGCTGTGTTTTTGCCCATAACTCCATAATTAAGGAAGTATTAGGGGGAAGATACACAGCTATGCCATATTTTACACACACACACACACACACACACACACACACACACTCTTTCTCTCTCTCTCTCTCTCTCTCTCTCTCCTGGCTTTTGTTGAAACATTTAGTTTTGGGGAAATGTGATTGAATACTACAGAAGTGACTGTTTTATCAAAAAAAAAAACATGTTGAAGTTAAATTTTATTTTAGTAGGACCTTCATTCTGATCTTTGTAGGTTGATCCCAAAATGAAACACATTACAAATTAAGGAATCCATACATGTCTTGATGTCTTGACTCTGAAGATGGGGATTAGTGAATTTTAGTGTCTTCAGTTTTCAGGACTGTTAGACTTGTGGGTACTAATGTAGCCTTTCCCCCTGGGATGAATACAGTTTTTATTTGGTTCTTTATTAAAATAAATAAAATTTGATTGTCAGAAATGTGTGTGACATCTGGAACAGTAGTTGTTACCTCAGAATGTAAGGAAGCAAATGATTAAAATAGGCTAAAACAGTTTTCTTCAAATTTGGGTATTGTATAGAAAACAATTATTCCAGTGGTTTCTTTTCTCTCTCTCTCTTTTTTTTTTTTTTTTTTTTATGAGACAGAGTCTCATTCTGATCCAAACTGGAGTGTGATCACACCTCACTGCAGCCTTGACCTCCTGGGCTCAGGTGATCCTCCTGCCTCAGCCTTTCTAGTAGCTGGGACCACAGGTGCACACGCATACCACCACGCCTGGCTGATTTTTAAGTTTTCTGTAAAGATGGGATTTTGCCGTGTTGCCAAGGCTTGTCTTGAATTCTTGGGCTCAAGCAGTCCTCTCAAAGTGCTGGGATTGCAGGTGCGAGCCACTGCACCCAGCCCCAGTATTTTCTTTTCTTTTCTTTTTTCTTCTTTTTTTCTTTTCTCTTTTCTTTGTTTCTTTTCTTTTTTCTTTTCTCTCTTCCCCTCACCTCCCTTCCTCTTTCTTTCTTTTCTTTCTTTCCATCTTTCTTCCTTCCTTTTCCTTCCTTCCTTCCTTCCCTCCTTCCTTCCTTTTCTCTTTTCTTCTTTCCTTTCCTCCCTCCCTCTCTCCCTCCCTCCCTCCTTCCCTCCTTCCCTTCCTTCCTTCCTTCTTTCTTTTCTTTTCTTTTTTTCTACCCCCGCCCCCCCCTCAGTCTCGCTGTGTCGCCCAGGCTGGAGTGCAGTGGCACGATCTCAGCTCACTGCAAGCTCCACCTCCCGAGTTCAAGCCATTCTCCTGCCTCAGCCTCCTGAGTAGCTGGGACTACAGGCGCCCACCACCACGCCTGGCTAATTTTTTGTATTTTTAGTAGAGATGGGGTTTCACCGTGTTAGCCAGGATGGTCTCGAACTCCTGACCTCGTGATCCGCCCACCTTGGCCTCCCAAAGTGCTGGGATTACAGGCGTGAGCCACCGCGCCTGGCCCCTCCCTCCCTCCCTCCCTCCCTCCCTCCCTTCCTTCCTTCCTTCCTTCCTTCCTTCCTTCCTTCCTTCCTTCCTTCCTTCCTTCCTAAGTGCAAGCCTAAAAATAGGTACTGTATTTTAAATTATAAAAATGAAACAAATTTGTAGAAGAAGTGGTTAACAAAACTCCAAAGCCAGTGAAAGATAAGTTAATCGCATGGATTCAGTGTGAGGGCTGGTCTGGCTGCCTGGAGCCCTCACCCGCAGCCTGACTGTGGCAATGACGGCTGCTGCACCAGCTCTGTTGGGCCCAGTAGGCCTGTACTGCAGTGTTCCCGGAGATAACCCTCCCTCACCCCCTTTTCCAATTAAAACTAAGGTAAAAGCTTTCATCCTGTGGCTGTTTGGCCTACATTTGACCCAAAGGTTTCTTTTGGCATTAAATCCATCTCTATTCTGTTTACATAAGTCCAAAATGACTAAATAGTCCCAGCTCAGGCAGTGAAATTCCCCAGCAGTATTTGTTTAACAGGTGGTTATACAAATAACATAAATGTATGCAAATGATTTGCATTACTTTTTTAAATGATCAGTGTTAAAATAACCTCTCACCCGTTTTTCTTAGAGAACATATGGATGTATGAAAAAATACCCAGCATCCCAGTTCAAAAAGCATGGCACACGATTGTTGTTTAATTTACTGCATTTACTCTGTGCTGGGTACTGTTGTAAGCACTTTGTTTCTTGTTTTCCAGTGTGTGGGCAGGCATAGTACCCTGCTGTTTAAAAGGAAACTCTGAGTACCCCTTAATCTTTTCTGGATAATTTGAGATCATTTTGACTGTCCATTACTATATCTTTTTTTTTTTTTTTTTTTGAGATGGAGTCTCGCTCTGTCACCCAGGCTGGAGTGCAGTGGCGCGATCTCTGCTCACTGCAACCTCCGCCTCCCGGGTTCTCGCCATTCTTCTGCCTCAGCCTCCTGAGTACCTGGGACTACAGGCGCCCACCATCACGCCTGGCTAATTTTTTTGTATTTTTAGTAGAGCCGGGGTTTCACCATGTTAGCCAGGATGGTTTTGATTTCCTGACCTCGTGATCCACCCACCTCGGCTTCCCAAAGTGCTGGGATTACAGGCATAAGCCACCGCGCCCAGCCTTTTTTTTTTTTTCCTTTTTTTGAGATGGAGTCTCGCTCTGTTGCCAGGCTGTAGTGCAGTGGCGCAATCTTGGCTCACTGCAACCTCCAACTCCCTGGTTCAAGCGATTCTCCTGCCTCAGCCTCCTGAGTAGCTGGAATTACAGGCACGCGCCACCATGTCCAGCTAATTTTTGTATTTTTAGTAGAGATGAGGTTTCTCCATGTTGGCCAGGAGGGTCTCGATCTCTTTACCTTGTGATCCGCCTGCCTCAGCCTCCCAGATTGCTGGGATTATAGGTGTGAGCCACCATGCCTGGCCTATATCTTATGGTAATGAAGTTTTGTGTCTGCTTCTATTTTTTCCTTGACTGCTGATTAACAGCAGTTTCTTTTGCTGTGCCTTCCTTTTATTTGCAATTTCTAAATGTATGTAAGTGGAGAAATGAGAACTTCAAAATAAGAATTGTATAAGAGACAAGAGTTTTTGAACATGTTCCTGAGAAGTAAAACACGCAAAATTAGAATAGCAGCATGAGAGAGGAGTATGGAGTCAGAGGAAGCTGAATTTGAACTTTAGCCCTAGAATCTGTTTAACACCAAGCAGATTATCTAGTCTGCTAAGTCCTGGTGTCCCATCTGTGAAATGGCAGCAGTGTCATCTACCTCACTGTGGCTGTGGGGATTAGGTGTATGACGCGGAGGGTGGTGCTTTGCCCCTAGTTGGATTCAGTTGATGGTAATGTAGGAGGTTTATGGCAGCAATTTCAAAGCTTGGAGTCTTTTATTTATTTGTTGTGACACCTGTTTGAAGTATTCTGGAGAGTTTGTTGCTGTAAATTTGACCTGAGTATGGGTATTTGGTTTTAGCTTTTTATTCTTTTCTCTTTCTCCTTCCTTTCCCGCTCCCCCTCTCCTCCTCTCTCTCTTCCTTCTTCTCCTTCCCGTACTGGCTTTGTTGTGGTGTAGTCACCCTGCTACTCATCCGATCTTGCATTTAGGATTAGGTCCAGACTTCCAGGTTTGGCTTTCAAAGCCCTGCACAACTCTAAAGCACCCTCTCTGGCCACTCCCACACCCCTGGGAGTCCAGCTACACTGGGGTTCTCACTGTTTCCTAGCACACGGTGCCCAGTAGACCCCTGCCTTTGTGCAGAGTGGTCTCTCCATCTTGAATGCTGCCCCTCCTCTCTGCCTGGTAGCCGGTCTCCCTGGGGATTTTCCATTTTCATTGGAGAGTTTGCTCCATCCTCAGATTCTGCTCCTAAAAGACATGTCTGTGAGGTTTGTCGTATTTGGACTTTAAAAAAAAAATCAGCTGCAGTTTGTAATGGATTTTATCCTACAAAAAAGCTGGAAGAACATGGAGAGAACGCATGCATCTTTGCATCTTTTTCCCCCAGATTCCTCGGTTGTTAGCGTTGCAGTCATTGGTCTGTCTCCCTCCCTGCTTTGTATTTAGGAGGAAAGGGGGACCATGATGTAAATGCTTTGGTGTGTTCTGCTCTCTTCCACAAAAGGAACTTGTGTAAGTAACCTCCGTGCAGCCCCCCAGTCAGGAAGTCATTGTTGATTACAATACCATCCAATTCATTGACTTCATCCAGATTCCTCCCAGTTGTTATGCGTGTCTTTCTCCTCTCTGGTCCGAGATCTTATCTGGGTGTACATTTTGGATTTACTTGTGCTGCCTTATCAGTGTCCTTCCGTCTGAAGCAGTTGCTCAGTGTCCCCTGTTCTCATGTCTTTGGCCGTCCAAAAGGGGACCCAGGCCTCTCCTGTGGCTGACCCTCACTTGGTCTGTCACTGCACTGTCATTGCTGGACTCAGGCATGTGCTCTTGGTGGCAATGCCTGGGCCGTGATGCCATGCTTTTCTCAAAGGATCACTCTGGGGGCAAGGGCGACATCCACCTGTCTTACAAGGTAGTGGTGATGCCACCCTTCATCATCGAGGCGAGGCAGTTTCTCCATTATAAAGTCACCATTTTCCCTTTTATATCTGTTAGTATTTTGTGGGGAGGGATTCTAATATTACACCAACAACCTGCTCAGCCTCCTCAGAATGATAGCTACGTAAATAGATGGTCTCCTGTTTTACACTTCCTGTTGTTAAGACAGCACGTCCAAACAACAGAATCCCTCCCCAAAGGAATGTAGCATGAACAAAATGAGCTGTGGCATAGCTGTGAAATAGTGATTTCTCAAAATGTGAAAATTGAGTTCTCAGCAATTTCTTAGCCTAGCTAGTAAATCTCAGTTCTTTTCTTGAGGCTATCCTTATTTATTTATTTATTTTTTTTTTTTTTTGAGACGGAGTCTCCCTCTGTCACCAGGCTAGAGTGCAGCAGCGTGGTCTCAGCTCACTGTAACCTCTGCCTCCTGGGTTCAAGCGATTCCCCTGCCTCAGCCTGCCAAGTAGCTGGGACTACAGGTGCACGCCACCATGCCCTGCTAATTCTTTTTTGTATTTTAGTAGAGACGGGGTTTGACCATGTTGGCCAGGTTGGTCTCAATCTCCTGACCTTGTGATCCGCCTGCCTCGGCCTCCCAAAATTCTGGGATTACAGATGTGAGCCACTGCGCCCGGCCAAGTCTATCCTTTTTAAAACAATTGTCCTATGCCAATTACAGAAAAAACAGGAAGTAGAGACAAACAAAGCAATAAAAATACATATACTATCATCCAGCAGAGATGCTGACAATCCTATGCCTTCTCTTTCTTTTCTATGCCCTTTAAAAAATGTGATCATACCATACATTCTATCTTGTTATCTTCTGTTTTAATTTGCATGAAAATCTTTCCATGCCATTGGTATAGGTCTGTGACATCATTTTAAAAAATCTTCATATAGTTTTTTTTTTTTTTTTTTTGAGACACAGTCTTGCTCTGTTGCCCAGGCTGGCGTACAGTGGCGTGATCTCAGCTCACTGCAACCTCTGCCTCCTGGGCCCAAGCGATTCTTGTGCCTCAGCCACCTGTAGCTCCCACACCCAGCTAATTTTTTGTATTTTTAGTAGAGATAGGGTTTCGCCCTGTTGCCCAAGCTAGTCTCAAACCCCTGAGCTCAGGCAATCCACCTGCCTCAGCTTCCCAAAGTGCTGGGATTACAGGCATGAGCCACCATGCTGGCCTAGTTTTCTATTTAACCACTTATTTATACTCTTGGACATTTGGGCCGTTCACAACACTAAGCAGTTTCAAACAGGGAGGAAGTGAACATCTTTGTCACACCTGCTACGGTTAATGATGACAAATGATTAGTATACAACATTGTGCTGCATTGTACGGCCCCGAAAACCTTGTCTGCTTCTCAACACCCCCTCCCCCAAGGGTACTTGTGCTCTGCAGTAAAGTAACTAACATCTCAAGACCTTGTAAAAACAGGCCAATCCAGTTAAACTTATAAATCTTACGGGGAAAAAGAGAAAAAAGTTACATCTGTAACTTTGGACAGAGAATTGCACAGTGAGGTTTGAAGCTACATGGGAAGTCCTCTCTCAGGGCCCTGAGAGAGGGAAGGCAGGTGGTTTTAGGAGGCATTCCGTTCTTCAACTTTGCCGTAGGAATGCCAGGTAAAACCTCAACTTCTCTCTTTTCATTTCTGACCCTCACATCCAGTCAGCTTTTCTCTGACCTTTTCCTAAGCGGCTCCTTAGAATTCTTTGTGCCCATTCTCACAGTTCTCCAGAGGAAATACAGATGCCCATAGGCCCTCTCCTATGTGCCAGGGTGACCCAGAGCAGTGACTAAAAAATGGTGACCTGCTGCCATCAGAGCTGTTCTCAAATGACCGAACACACATCCATTGGAGGCAGAGGCCGGCAGCAGGGTAGACGCAGCCCTTTACCCTCTCAAGACATCTCGTGCCCTCGTTTCAGTAGAGAGTGTGGATGGGCAGGAGGGATTATGTTCAGAAGGTTCAGGTCTGCTGAATTCATTTGAGGAGGCTGCTTGTTAGTAACATATTAGTCATGGAAATAGTTTGTAGGAGACAAGTGAATATTTTAAGTCATTTAAAGCGTAAGAAACATTCAAGCATTGTTGAAATAACAGTGGTATCGATTTTATTTTCTGTTTCTTGATTTTACTGTATATTTGTTTACTGGTGTAGGGCTTCCTGTGTTAAGAACAGGTATAGAAATATTGACATTCAAATGTAAAATTGCTACTGACTCTAAATGAAAACTTTGGAGTTGAGTAGGCCTATTTAGTTTATTAATCAGATTAACATTCTTTTCCAAGTTAGGGTATCATCATTGCCTTGTCTGATCTTAAAAAAAAAAATCTTTAAAAAAAAAGGATGCTTTTGCTCTGTGTTAAAGTAACATGAAGACTTTGTACAAACATGTGCCAGTTATAGATTTGTGAATAGTAAAATGGTCATTAATTTAGATTTCTAAGTAAATGTAGCTGAATGCATCTTTACTGAAAATGTTAAGGTTGATCTATGGTTGAGTAATGCCAGTTGTCTTCAAAAGTTTGTTTCAGAGCTAATCGTTGTTCTATTTATTGTGTTTGTGTGTTCTCAATGTGCCTCTGCCTCCCAAGTTCTTCAGCTATAAAGTAGCAGATCCTTTGACTTAAAGAGGCTGACTGACATGATCTCGCTGCACTCTTCTATTTTAGAATAATATATAAGTGTTCCATGTGCGACACTGTGTTCACCCTGCAAACCTTGCTGTATCGCCACTTTGACCAACACATTGAAAACCAGAAGGTGTCTGTTTTCAAGTGTCCAGACTGTTCTCTTTTATATGCACAGAAGCAACTTATGATGGACCATATCAAGGTGTGTGTGCATCTATCCTCTACTTTAAATGAATTGCAGATCCATTCATTGGTCATAAATCAAGGCTGAGCTGCAGGTGACTCTAAAGCATGCCTCACTGTCGAGGGAAGGGATGGATGCTGGTCGTTGTCAGTGAGCAACTTACATGCTGTCATCATGTGTTCACTTGACTGTGGTGCTTTTCATTCAGGAGTCCTGATCTGCCTACTAAAGATTAGTGAAAAGGAACCAATGTCTGCCCTGATTTTAAAAGAGTAAAAAAGTACTAAGTTTTTTGTTTTTTGTTTTTTTTAATATGTGAAAATGATGACTGTGAAGTTTTCCTTTCCTTTCCTTTTTTTTTTTTTTTTCTTTTTGAGACAGAGTCTCCCTCTGTCTCCCAGGCTAGAATGCAGTGGCACGATCTCAGCTCACTGCAACCTCCGCCTCCCAGGTTCAAGTGATTCTCCTGCCTCAGCCTCCCGAGTAGCTGGGATTACAGGCGTGTACCACCACACCCGGCTAATTTTTATATTTTTAGTTTCACCATGTTGGCCAGGCTGATCTTGAACTCCTGACCTCAGGTGATCCGCCTGCCTTGTCCTCCCAAAGTGCTGGGATTATAGGCATGAGCCACCGCGCCTGGCCGAAGTTTTTCTTTTCTTGAGAATTCTGTAAGACTTAGAAACAGACAAGGGCTCTGAGGAATTATGCTAATTCACACAAATATTGGTATATTTAGAAAAATGAAGGTTTTTTCCCTTGAAATTATTTAAGCAGTTAGGTTTGCATTGTAATTAATGCCCCTAAACCTTTTAGTTTCTTTTTTTTTTTTCTGTAAAGATTGCATTGTAAATGGACTGTTAAATATCTAGGATATAGTATGGTACCTGGCACCTGGTGGTGTTCAGTTAATGAAATGAATAAATATCCAGTGTGGACTGTTTTACTCTCCAACCCCCAAAAGGGGCACAGAAATCTATTTATAGCCTTTTAAGCTTACTAAGGCCAGTGCTTAGTTCTAGCTGCTTAACTGTCCACTGTAATATGTTAAGCATTTTTTTTTCCTTGTGTGATTAGGAGATAATATCCATTGGCTTTCAGAGATTAAAATGACTTACTTTTTAAACAGAGAAACAAGAGACCCCATATTATCAGGAACTCAATCTCTTTCTTTTAGTTTTGCTCTTTTAAAAATACATTATACAGGCTGGGCACGGTGGCTTACACCTGTAATCCCAGCACTTTGGGAGGCCAAGGTAGGCGGATCACTTGAGACCAACATGGTGAAACCCCGTCTCTACTAAAAATACAAAAATCAGCTGGGCGTGGTGGTACATGCCTGTAATCCTAGCTACTTGGGAGGCTGAGGCAGGAGAATCACTTGAACTCAGGAGGCAGAGATCTCAGTGAGCTGAGATTGTGCCACTGCACTCCAGCCTGGGCGACAGAGCAAGACTCCGTCTCAGAAACAAACAAACAAAAAGTTACACAAAAAAGGTCAGTTTAAAGCGCAAAGTCCCTGAATTATTCTAGTCTCATGTCAGCTAAGTGCCTGGATTATGAATCCTTGACATTTCCTGTATTAAACATGTGTGAGTTCATATAGAGTAATTGCTTAATGCAAATGAACATCTTGGAGATTCTCTCCTTCCAGGCAAGGTAAAGATAGTGGTGGTGATGGCATTACTTGGGTGAATAAAAGCATGGGAGATGCATTTCATCATTCTCATTTGAAGTACAGTAAAACCCTCTTAAGATACTTTAACTATTTTAGCTAAAATTACATAATTATTTTGACAATAAATATCTATTTAATGAAACACCAGGAAGAATTTAAAACTGCTAATAAAAATTTAGGGATGTTGGAATTAAACCAAAATATTTTAACATACTACATGTGTGCCAACAACAAAGAAAAGAACAGTTGCTTCTTAAGAGGCTTTTAAGGTATTTGGTTTCTAGAACTCATCTTTGCATCTGGAAGTCGGGTCATCGACTTTGTGGTTAGGGTCTTCCTTGTGTTAATAGTGAATTTGGAGGAATACAAGGTTCCAAGAAATAGAAACTGAAGAGGGGTGGTAAAATCCTGTGGCCACAAGGAGGAAAGAATTGTTATTCATCTTAACCTATGCAAGACTACATGATACGAAAACAGTGGGAATAATCACTTATGTTCTCATTTCATGTATGTTCTATGCGTTTAAAAATATTATCCTGCATTTATATGTTTGGGGTTGGGTAAGCATAGTTTTAGGGGCATACTGTTTTTTTTTTAATTTTTAAGATAATCTATTTAGCTCTTGTTATTTATTTACATTGCCTGTGCTATGCAGTTTTTCATGAGGAAGGAAGAGGAAGTGGAACAGGCACAAGTTTTCTCCACATACATATTCACTTAAAGATGGGCTCTTATTTGCCCAGTTTAATCCAATTTGTGTCATTTTCTTCTCCTACCAAAATATAAACTTGTAGGACCTCCATGTTGACATTTATATTTAAACTTTTGAGTTACAGACACTCATTCAAATTAATTATTGTTATAGGAGCTAAGGAAAAATCAATTTGAAAAGAAATAAGTTGTTTCTTTATTTAAAAATGACAGTATGAATGAATGAATGAGGCATGTCTTGCCATGTTGCCCAGGCTGAACCTCTGGTCTCAAGTGGTTTTCTCACCTTGACCTTCCAGAGCGCTGAAATTATAGGTGTGAGCCACCATTCCCAGCTGACATTTGCTTTTCAGAGTCTTTTTTTTTTTTCTTTTGAGATAAGGTCTCACTCTGTTGCCCCGGTTGGAGTACAGTGGCATATCAGGGCTCAAGGCAGCCTCCATGTCCTGGGCTCAGGTGATCCTCCAACCTCAGCCCCCCGAATAGCTGAGACTACAGGCATGCGCCACCACGCCTGGCCGATTTTTGTATTTTGTATTTTTTGTAGAGACAGGGTTTCACTAGTTGTCCAGGTTGGTCTTGAACTCCTGGGCTCAAGTGATTCTCCTGCCTTGGCCTTCTGAAGTGCTGGGATTTACAGGCCTGAGCCACTGCACCTGGACTTAGTAGTCTTAATTTTACTTGCAGTGTAACTTGTTGCTTCTTTTCTGTAATTTCTGTAGCACTTTAAGGTTATCTTACAGAAGAATATTTTAATATTTTATCCTTTCTTCAGCTTATCAGTTAGTAAAAATGCATTTGCCTAGAAACTTATGAAAAGTTGCTAGAGGGTTTTAGGTTTTGTTTTCTTTAGGTTTTAAATAGTTAAAAATGGAAAAACTTAGCTTCTCTTTTGACAAAGAGCAATGAAACACAGAAGCCTTCTGCCCTGAGTGGTGGGCATGAAGCAAGGCATAGTTTTTGGCTATCAAGAAATCATGTCTTGCTCCAGATTTTCTCTTTGCAAAGAACATGGTTAGACAATCACCTCAGCCCTCGCCCTGTTGTTTTTTTTTTTTTTTTTTTTTGAGATGGAGTTTTGCTCCGTCGCCCAAGCTGGAGTGCAGTGGGGAGATCTCTGCTCACTGCAAGCTCCGCCTCCCGGGTTCATGCCATTCTCCTGCCTCTGCCTCCCAAGTAGATGGGACTACAGGCACCTGCCACCATGCACGGCTAATTTTTTGTATTTTTAGTAGAGACGGGGTTTCACCGTGTTAGCCAGGTTGGTCTCGATCTCCTGACCTCGTGATCCACCTGCCTCGGCCTCCCAAAGTGCTGGGATTACAGGCGTGAGCCACTGCGCGTGGCCCACCTCAGCCCCCTTTTATGGGCCACTTTCACTGTTGCCTGTTTGGGTAGACCTTGTGACTTCAGCTGGTGAGAAAATGATAGAACCCCTGTTTCCCTCTGGTGAAAAATGATGTTGAGGAAGGTTAGCTAGTTCTTGGCACTGTTTAGAGAAGACCTTGCCTTGAGAAAATGTGATGGAGAGTGTCCTGAAGGAATGGCTTCTTTCTTAAACATCCAAGAAGGAATGTGGAGCTGAGGTCTATCAGTGTGAGTCTCTGTGACCCAGGGGAACTCGGATGTGTGAAAGCCTCTTAGGAAAGATTTTTAATGTTGTCTTTCTGTAGATTCAGGAATTCATGGTTTAACTGCAAGCCTGACTGCTAGTAAGAAGAGACGGCCCTATTCAAAAATAAATTGTATATTGTATACAGAGGCAAAGATTTTATTTTTTGCTCTCCTCCACCCTCTTTTTTTGTTTTTGTTTTTATTTTTTGAGACAGGGTCTTGCTCTGTTGCCCAGGCTAGAGTGCAGTGGTGTGATTGTAGCTCACTGTAACCTTGAACTCCTGGGCTCAAGCAATCTTCTTACCTCAGCCTTCTAAGTAACTGGGACTTCAGGCATGCACCACTATGCCCGAGTAATTTATTAATCTTTTTGTAGAGATGGGGTCTCTCTGTGTTGCCCAGACTGGTCTCAAACTCCAGGCTTCAAGTGATCCTCCTGCCTTGGCCTCCTGAAGTGTTGGAATTATAGGCGTGAGCCACTGCATACACCCCACCCCGCTGTTTTTATTCCATGCTTTTACAATACAAAACAAAAACCAAAGTGAGCTGGTCTTTAGAATCAAATTGCACTAATTTTGCCCTTTTCAAATTTGAAATCCAGTGAGTTTAAGTTGAAGATGGCTGTTGTGGCCATTATGTTAATGATGATAGTTAGCTAAGCAATTTAAAAAGACATGAGTATCTAATGTGTGTAGTTCTCAAGCCTGGCTGCCATCAGTAAGAAAGGATGGGTCGGGATAGGATGTAAGGAGATGAAAATTCCTGACAAAACCCAGCAAAAACCCAGACTGTTACTAGTATTCCAAGAATGTGAAAGGCATGAAGAGAAAAAGGCTTGCTATTTACTAACGTATTGATCTTAGATGTTTGCTCAAGTCAGTTTGTTCTAGTTGAATTCCTAATAATGTATTAGCCTATTTAAACATTTCCAGGCTGATGGGAAAGGAGAGAGTTGTTCCGAAATGGTTTGTTGTAGAGAGGCCTCCCTCTGGGATGTTACAGGAAGATAAAGTACCAGGATTAATTTGTGTTCAATACAGAGGTCTTTCTTTAAAGAATTTTAAAATGGTACAAATATATAGGCCTTTAAAAAGCATTTGGAAAGAGAAATGCATAACGTATAGCAGACTTTTATCTCTTTTGAAATGTATATTTAGCTTAGGTTTTTTTCTTTATATATTAAATATTTCTGAATGAATATAAACTGGTGTTGAAATGTGTACCACATGTTAAGATAGCATACTTGTGCTTTCTTTTAGTGTTGTGATTTGTGATAGATATTTCTTTTCTTTTTATAATGTAGTCTATGCATGGAACATTGAAAAGTATTGAAGGGCCTCCAAACTTGGGTATAAACTTGCCTTTGAGCATTAAGCCTGCAACTCAAAATTCAGCAAATCAGAACAAAGAGGACACCAAATCCATGAATGGGAAAGAGAAATTGGAAAAGAAATCTCCATCTCCTGTGAAAAAATCAATGGAAACCAAGAAAGTGGCCAGTCCTGGGTGGACGTGTTGGGAGTGTGACTGCCTGTTCATGCAGAGAGATGTGTACATATCCCACGTGAGGAAGGAGCACGGGAAGGTCAGTAAAGAATGAAAGCTGCTCTGGGTGAGTGCAAGAGAGGGCACTGGACTGGCAAGCTTCCAAGATGTGGGCTCTTGGCTTGGCTCTATCAGTAATTAGTGCTGTGACCTTAAAAATCACTTGGTGTCTCTCTGCCTCACTTCTTTATCTGTGAAATAGACCTTTTCAAATCCTTCAGTCTTCAGTTTTCCTGGTCATTGCCTTCACATGCACTCCTCCAGACTGGTGTGCATGAATGTGGTAAGTTACCTATCACATTCATATTTATAGCTTAGGAAAGAGAAAAATAGTAAACCAAGGTTAAAGACATTTGAATTTACCTCTATCCTTGTGCCAGCTAAGGAAGAAAGGAGCAGAGAAAGACAGTGGAAATGTTGAACATTGCCAGTAGCATTTGTGTGACTTACATGATTCTTCCTTGAGTTTGGTAGTGGGAAGAGGAACCACATCCTTTAACTTCCAGTAGAAGCTCTGTAACTCCAAGTCACTGAAAAATCTGAGTCACATATGTATATCCTTTCTCTTTTAAATAGTAAGTATATGTCTCCAACTGATAAGGAATTTAAAAAATACTTATTAGACCTAATAATATTAGCAAAATTATTTTTCAGTATTATCTAATACTGTATTAAATACAATATTAGGCTGTATTCACATTTCCTGATTGTCTCAAAGTTGGTTTGTTATGGTCAGGACCCAAAAAGTCCATATATTACATTTGGTTGTTGTGTAATTCTTTATTTTACGTAGTCCTCCTTTCATTTTATTTTTTAATGTATGGTTGATTTCTTAGAAAAATTGGATTGTTTGTCCTATATATAGGTTGTCCCTCACTTTACTAGATTTAGGTAATTGATACTTTTTTTTTTTTAACTTGTTGACACTAGGAACCAACATGGAATTTGCTACTTTTTTTTTTTTTTTTTTTGAGAAAGAGTCTCACTCTGTTGTCCAGGCTGAAATGCAGTGGCATGATCTCGGCTTGCTGCAATCTCTACCTCCTGGGTTCAAGCAATTCTCATGCGTCAGTCTCCCAAGTAGCTGGGATTACAGATGTGCACCACCACGCTCAGCTAATTTTTAAATATTTTTAGTAAAGATGGGATTTTACCAGGTTGGCCAGGCTGGTCTCGAACTCCTGGCCTCAGGCAGTCCACCCACTTTGGCCTCCCAAAGTGCTGGATTACAGGCGTGAGCCACTGTGCCCAGCTGGAATTTGATACTTTTTGACACCGTTTAACTTGTTCCTCTTTATCTCATATTCCTGGAATATTGATTAGATTTGAATTTTTTAGGTAAGCCTTGTCAGCTGGGCATGGTGGCTCATGCCTATAATCCCAGCACATTGGGAGGCGGAGGCAGGAGGATTACTTGAGCCCAGGAGTTCCAGGGTGCAGTGAACCATGATCATGCCACTGCACTCTACCCTGGGCGATAGAGCGAGGCCCTGTCTCAGAACTAAAAAACAACAAAAGAATATGTCATAGGTGCTGTATTCTTTTTGTATTTCATCATGAGGAACATAATACCAGCTACCAGCTTGTCTCATTTGTAATCCTAATACTGAGATTGATTAGTGGGTTCAAATACGTGACGTTTTCAAAGAAAGTCATCTTACTGCTTTAACTTAAGCCAATAGAACAAAATAGTCATCCGTAGTGAGACTATATAGAGAGTACATAGAAATTGTTTTGTAATTAGTATACACTACATCTTTGAGCAGTTTGCTCTATTAAATGTGCTAAGAACTATTCTGTAATCTCATTTATTTGTACTATTTGTTTGAGCTGCTCATGAAACTGACATGTTTTACTTTGTGATTATCCCAAATGGCCTGTGAACATGGCTGGATCACAATATTCACAAATTGCAAAAAGATGTTTTTATTGTATTTGGTCTCACTACAGTGTGTCTTGATATAAAAAGTAGTTACTTACAGAATATATTTGGCTTTAGTGGCACATTGCTTATTTAATCATCTTAGTCTCAGGCTTTCCTACTAGCATTGTACAGTGTTCATTGTAAATACTGGGTAGTTTTTAAGGAGCAATACTTCAATAATCTACGGTATAAGTACACTGCCAGGGTGCTGTCAGAGTCTGATGTGGTGGTTCTAGGGAGTCTTCACTTGGCACCCCTACCAGATTGCATAAGAGTCAAACAGGAGCTGGCCTTCGTCATCATCCGGTAGTCCAGTCCTTTCATTTCGTGAGATTTCTGTAACTATCTTGTAACATATCAGAACTCTTTTCCTTTTTTAAAAAACTATCTTTATCTTACATTTGAGATAATGATTAGATCTAGGATATGAGAGGAGGAGATGGTTTCAAAAAGGTTGGTGGGATGAAATGTACCACTGATTGAAAGCCTTTGCTCTGGACCTGCAGCAGAGAGCCCACTCTGAATTGGATGTGTGTGCACGCATGTGCCCTTGGTTTTGATGGAGATGTTCATCAGAATGGAAATGTCTGGCTTAGCATAATTTTAGGATTGGCTTTGAAGGAGTTGAGGCCCTGCCTTTGGAATGAGGCACATCGTATTAGATTGTAGTTTCAATCCTGTTCCCTCAGCCTCCTGAGAGAATGAAGGAGATGAGTGGGTGAGGAGAGGGGAGGAGCATCTTCATAAGCTAGTGAAATGAATGGTGTTGAGTGTGAGAGTTCCACCATGCCAAGTCTCACTGGAGCACCCACTTCCAAACACCCCTCTACAAGCATCTTATATCTATCTCCATTCATTTCTCCTTTCCTAGAATACTTAAGTCACCCAAACTTCAAAGCCCCTGTGCTGTCTTTTCTCCGTCTTCCTTCAGACAACCAGGCGAGCACCTTGCTGTCTATATCTTTCCTTCCCATTTACCCTGGGCTTGCCACCTTATCACTGAACCCAGTTCTCTGGTGACCCCTTTGTTGTTAAGTCGTTGGATGTGTTCCTGTCTTTACCTCCACTCACCCCACAGCGGTGTTTCACATGATTAGCAGTTCTTTCTAAAAGCATTTTCTACCCTTATTGTGGAATACCACTCTCTCCTGGGTTCTCTCACCATTACCGGAACACCCATCAGGTTTCTGTCCTAGAAACATTTAACTTTCTCTTGGGAAAATTCAACCACTCTTATAACTTTGCTTCTCGTGTACAGTATATATACAGATAGCACCCAAATCTGTGTCTCCAGTTAGTTGAAAAGTATTTCTTGAATTAATAGACCAAGAATGAGTTCTGATTTGGAAGACATCTAACTCCTCTTAGACTTAACCTCCTCTTCTTTAAAATGGGTACATATTTAGTGATCTTCCAGTGTCCTGTGTTGTAAATACCTAGAGAACTGTATATGAAGTGATAAGTATTCTCTAATTCCTATGGGTTTAAGATGAGATATCAATATGAAATACGCTATACACATATAAGGGTTCAAAAATTGTATTTGGCTAAAGGTCTCAGGAGAGAATACAGTTTAACTTCCACCAGCCCAGAAGTCATTGGAAAGATCCAAATTTATTGGATTACCCAATGAAATATTATGCATTAGGATAAATATGTCAGCGTTCTGAACCAGTGAACTTTGTATACTTGATTTTAGTATCATAATTATGACTTAAAATACATATATATATATATATATATATATATATAGAAATAAAATAACTTGGGGAATAATCTAAACGTATTCTGCCAACCACAGTACAGTCATTACCTTAGTGTTACTGCTTCTAGTATGATTATTATTTTGATAAGATTTGGAGTAAATATTTCAGGTTAGGAGTAAATTTAACTGGCATAAGTTAAAAATTTATGTCAAAACATTAGAATTCACTGCTACTCATTTTAGATGGCCATTTTGGTTTCATTAATTGTTTTTGACCTTTCTTCCCCTTCTCAGTTCCCATCCAGAAGAACTTTACTAAAAAGAAATATTCTGTATACAGTTCAATTTATTGAGTAAAGATATTCAGTAGCTTTGTTTTTAAGATTCAGAACTGGCCGGGCATGGTGGCTCATGCCTGTAATCCCAGCACTTTGGGAGGCCAATGCAGGTGGATCACTTGAGGTCAGGAGTTCGAGACCCCCCCTGGCCAACATGACGAAACCCCATCTCTACTAAAAGTACAAAAATGAGCTGGGCATAGTGGCAGGTGCCTTGTAATCCCAGCTATTTGGGAGGCTGAGGCACGAGAATTGCTTAAATCCAGGAGGCGGAGGTTGCAGTGAGCCAAGATTGTGCCACTGCATTCCAGCCTAGGCAACAGAGCAAGACAATGTGTCAAAAAAAAAAAAAAAAAATACAAAAACCTAATTCTGGCTCTGCTAGTTATTCAGTAGCTTTTCTGTGTCTCTGATGCTCTTTTTAAAAAATGAATTGTCAGTATCTACTTTCAGTGGTTTTTAACTTTTTTCCAGTTATTTGTCGTAATCTGATATCAAGTCAAATACTTTAAAAAAATATTGACAGATATTCAGTGCATATTTATTAAAGGCGTAATCATCTTAAAACCTACAATTTGCTGAATTACTGCTTTAGCTATTTAAAAAAGAAAAACAGTTAAAGCAGCAGCATTTTAAGAAGTTCTTGTTACAAATTCTATATACAGAAAGCAGTAAAAAACTTACCAATTTCTCTTTTTAAAGTTTTTTCTCAAATGCTTATGTATTATCTAATTTTTATTGTGCTTTCTAAAGTTGGTATTATTGTTTTGTTATGGCCAAATTTTAGCTGTCCTTGTAAATGGTAAAGTCTTTGAGGGCAAGTTGTATGTCCATTTTATTATTACAGTCTTCTATGGTTTACAGCATTGTGCCTTGCAGAGTATCTCTGGAGTCCCTGATTGAAGCAGTTCTCTTTGGATTGTTACTTGCACATATGGGAAGGGGCTTTGTGTTAGTCACAGATACACACAAGTTGCAGTCTAGGTTCAGGTACCTAACTAGCTTTCTAACCACAGAAATCCCACCACCTTTGTAGTCTCTATATTCTCAACTATAAAATCAGGAGGACGGGCGTGTCAGTGTCACATTAACCTGATGATCTCATCCCAGCCGTGAGCCTTTCCTCAGATCCATGTACAAATGCACAGAGTTTTACATACAATTTTAGGTGGGTTGTGGATCTCCTGCTCTTCTTTTTTGTTGTTCTAGAAGGCCTTTTAGGAACCAAACTAAGATCCTTTGAATGAGATAATATCTGAGGTCATTCTTAGAGATCAAACATTCTGTAATTATGTGAGCCAGTATTAAAATTAAAAAGAAGTTACATGTTATATGTACCTGTTCAAATCTAGAAAATTACAACACAATCTGTGATAATTGTAATCATTCTCTCATTTGCTGCCTGGTTCTCCTACACATCAAGGAACCTTAACTTATTAATTGAAATATCCTAAAGCAGAGGCATATGTGCTGAATTACGGAACTCTGGTGCCATCAAAATGAACCTTAGATCTTTTCAGTTTTTTGTTTTTTGTTTTTTTTTGTTTTTTTTTGGTTTTTTTTTTTGACAAGGTCTCACTCTGTTGCCCAAGCTAAAGTGCAGTAGGGTAATCTTGGCTCACTGCAACCTCCGCCTCCCAGGCTTAAGCAGTCCTCCCGAGTAGCTAGGACTACAGGTGTGTACCACCACACCCAGCTAATTTTTGTGTTTTTATAGAGACGGTGTTTCACTGTGTCACCCAGTTGAACTCCTGGGCTCAAGTGACCTGTCTACCTCGGCCTCCCAAAGTGCTGGGATTATAGGCATGAGCCAGTGCACTCGGCCTCAAGATTCTTCATGATGTAGATAGATGTGGTCCAGTACTGTGTCTGTAACTTGGGAAGAGCCTGGGAGACTTGGGTATATATTCTGGCACCACAACTACCAGTGTGACTTTGTGAAAAAATAATTAACAACCACCATCTTCCAGCGTCAGCTTCAGTTTGCATAGGTCTAAAATGGAAATATTTACCACCTAAGAGTCTTTTTAAATTAAATAAAATGAAAGCATGTAGCACAATACATAATAGATGTTTTTCTCTCTATACTGTATTTCCTCTCTGAACACTATAGATTTTTTTAAAATTAAATTTTGCTAGAAAGCAGCTCACCAAAATGGAAGGTTCTGCATACAGAGACGTTATACATTTACCACTTCTAAGTAGATTTTTCTTCTTTTTTTATTTTTTTGAGATAGGGTCTCACTCTGTCACCCAAACTGGAGTGCAGTGGCACGATCTTGGCTCACTGCAACCTCCACCTCCCAGGTTCAAGCGATTCTCCTGCCTCAGCCTCCTAAGTAGCTGGGATTACAGGTGCGTGCCACCACGCCCAGCTAATTTTTGTATCTTTAGTAGAGACAGGGTTTCACCCTGTTGCCCAGGCTGGTCTTGAACTCCTGACCTCAAGTGGGATTACAGGCATGAGCCACTGCGCCTGGCCTGCTTGACTAATTTAAAAAAATTTTTTGGTAGAGATGCCTTCTGATGCCCAGGCTGGTCTTGAATTCCTGAGCTCAAGTGATCGTCTCATCTTGGCCTTCCAAAGTGTCGGGATTACAGGTGTGAGCCATTGTACTGGGCCAATTTTCCATCTTTACATGGGGTGAAAGGAGATTGCAAATATATGCATGTCATGGAGAATGAGCTGTGGCCAGATACCCTGCTTGTGTGAAAGGAGAAGGTTGGATAGATTCGGAAGATTTCAGATAAAGTCTATCTGACCTTACTTGAGCACAGCCATTTCAGAGAACAGATGGTGAAGTAGCTGGTTCCTGCCTGAGCACTGGGCAAAAGAACTAGGCGAAGACTAAGAACATGTGATTGCAGATCAATCTCCTTTTCTTTACAGAGGGACCAGTTGGTAGGTAGAATAACCCTCTAGACAGAAACTGGGTTTCAGCAAAACTGTTGACAGATTCTGTCTGTTTTGATACTGTTCTGTACAGTGTAGTGCAGGAGGGCCTGGGTGAAATATTGCATGGATAGCTGACTCATGGCTCACTGCCTTGTTGGAGAGAAAGCTTCCATCTTGGATCAGATTTTCCTCAGTCTTTCTATCAATGACTTAATTATAGGAAGAGAAGCTAGGAGGGATTTTGCAAGGCAGATCTTAAATGCAGAGCTTTTCACTTAAAAAAAAAATAAAAGTACACAGATATTATGTGAGGTAGATATGGCTTAGCTAAGTTCTATGAAAAAGTATTCTGTCTTTATTTGACTATCTTGCTATAACCCATCCTTCTTTGTGGCTGCTGATGTAGCATTCATATCAAGGAAAGCTAACACCCTTCCTTTGACTTGGCACCATAATCTAGCTGGCGGTTCCCAAGATTGGAGTGTGCGTCAGAATTAACTGGAAGGCTTGTTCAGCTAGTTGCTGGCCTCTACCCCACAGCTTCTGATTCAGCAGGTCTGGGATGGAACCCGATCATTTGCATTTCTCACAAGCCCTAGCTGATGCTGATGCTGATGCTGCTCATCTTGGGACCATGCTTTGCGAACTACTGGCTTAGTCTGAGTGGCAGTACAATCCCCCAAAGCCCATTGATTTATCCAATAAAAGTTCATTTCTTGCACATACAGAGTTTGCTATGCAGAGTTTGCATTTCTCCGGGGCAGTCATCCCTTCCACTGGTAACTCAGTGATCAAGGCTGTTTCTTTCAGCCCCATTGTCTCAACGTAGGTGTTACTGAAAAAAAGACTGGCGAGTCCTGCCTGGTCTTTACACGCTCGTTATTCTGGATATGATGCACAACACGAGTCATTGCCCAGAATGAATTATGTGAGCAGCCCCAAGTATATTCCCGCGTGTACCGCAAAGGGGAGGGAATGACAAGTAGTATTTGTCACCTGCAGTAAGGTGGCCACAGTGAATCTAAACAGGGAAAGGTTCCATTGCATCGATTTAAGATGGATGCTGACAACTAGCAGAGGAGGGTAAGCAGAATGCTGAGTCTAGAAACAGTGGCAGGAGGAAGAGAGAAGTTGGGGTTAAGGGGAGCTTTGATAGCTGTCTTCAGATAGATGTCCTCCATGTGAGGACCAGCATGTGATAATTCCAGACCAGCTGGGGCCATGCATGAGTGAAATGTCTGCCTATCTGTTGCTGGAAGTATTCAGGTAGTGGCCAGATGCTCATCTGTAAAATAATGGAATAGAAGGGATTCTAGGGTCGGCTGGGCATGGTGGGTCATGCCTGTAATCCCAGCACTTTTGGGAGTCCGAGGTGGATGTATCATTTGAGGTCAGGAGTTTGAGACCAGCCTGGCCAATATGGTGAAACCCCACCTCTACCAAAAATACAAAAATTAGCTGGGCATGGTGGCGGGCATCTGTAGTCCCAGCTACTCAGGAGGCTGAGGCAGGAGAATTGTTTAAACCCGGGAGGTGAAGGTTGCGGTGAGCCGAGATTACGCCACTGCGCTCCAGCCTGGATGACAGAGCGAGACTCTGTCTAAAAAAAAAAAAAATGGATTCTAGGGCCAATGTGACCTTTCTCCTCGGACACTGGAATGAAAGGAAACTACCAGTGGTAATCTATGTAGTAGCCATTGCTAGTGTGAGGTGGATATTTTAAACCAGTCACAGTCTAAAAGTCATTCCATGGACTAACCAAGTCTCTGTGGAAAGCATTTGGTTTCACAGTTAATCTAATTTGTGGATCGAAACAGAACTTCTAGGAAGAAGTCCTTGTCAGCAGGAAGGCTACAGGGGGAGCAGTGAGTCTGACTTGGTAGCTGCACACGAGAATCACCCGGAGAGCCTACGGCCCAGCACACTTGGTGCTCACCAGACCAGCTAATTGGCATCACTAGGGGTGGGACCTGGCCCTGGCATTCTTTTTTTTTTTTTGAGATGGAGTCTTTCTCTGTCGCCCAGGCTGGAGTACAGTGACGCCATCTCGACTCACTGCAAGCTCCCACCCTGGGTTCAAGCGATTCTCCTGCCTCAGCCTCCTGAATAGCTGGGACTACAGGCGCCCACCACCACGCCCGGCTAATTTTTTGTATTTTTAGTAGAGACGGGGTTTCACCATGTTAGCCAGGATGGTCTCGATCTTCTGACCTCGTGATCTGCCCGCCTCGGCCTCCCAAAGTGCTGGGATTACAGGCGTGAGCCACCGCACCCAGCCGGCCCTGGCATTCTTAAAGCTTCCAGGTGATTCCAGTGTTGTGGCAGGGCTGGGAACACTCATACCACCTGGGATCTGCCGCACACCTGCCCTTGCTGCTGATGCTCATTGCTGTGGCCCTCACTGTGTGACTGCTATAGCACCAACACACCTTTGTTGAGTTTATGTTTTGGGGAAGGTTGATCTCAAGTGTATTTGTTTAAAGACTCCACCCAACGTTCACTCTTGGTGGTGAAGGCAGGGGACACAACTCTCTGGATGTTGGATTTACAGCATTAGTAAGTCTGTTCAATATAATTTAAAGCCTGATTATAAATGATTTTAGGATGTCTTAATGTTTCTGTTCCTAAAGCCTTTAAGAAAAGTCCATAGATTTCATCTGCATTTTCCATACAGGGTGCAGGTGATAGGTGATTTGAATACTTGCTATTTTGTAGCCTTTCCCATTCTGAAATTCACTTTCAGTTCACTCAGAGATGTAGGTGAAAGACAGCAGTGGCAGTGAAGGAAAGTGGGAGAATGAAAGGATCAGAGTGTGGAGAGATGACCACAGCCACTGAGGCAGGTGTGCTGTTGTTACTTTTGAAAAGAATGGCAAGGCAATCAGCTTGCATTTCCTAGTTTGGGACCACCATGCTTAGAATCAGATTGACTGAGGAGCTTTACAGAGACTCTCACTTGCACAGTATTTAAAAGAAAAAAATGTGTGTGTGTGTGTGTGTGTGTGTGTGTGTGTGTGTGTGTGTATGTATATAAATTTTTAAAGTGCCCACTTGGCCGGGTGCAGTGGCTCACGCCTGTAATCCTAACACTTTCAGAGGCTGAGGCAGGAGGATTGCTAGAGCCCAGAGCTTGAGGCTGCAGTGAGCCGCAGTCGTGTCACTGCACTCCAGTGTGGGCAACAGAGTGAGACCCTGTCTCAAAAAAAAAAAAAAAAAAAAATTTAAAAGGTGCTCACCCACACAACCTGGAACCTAGCCATGTGTATGAAATGTGTGGTAGGGCATAATTGCCCCCCTTAATCTCCCTGAAACTTGTTTAGATAACTTTGTGAAATAAAACGTTACATCTCCATGTTGTTTCTGTCTTCGTGCTGTACTGTGGTGATGGCCATTAGTTAAGGGGATAAAAATACTGAAATACTGTCTAGTTTGCATAGTTCATTGCCAGATGGTTTCATTTTCATTCTTTTACTGTTAGAGTTCATCCTGTTGTCATTAGGCATGCCTTACTACAAAGTCTCTTATTTAATCTAAATGTAGGGATATAATAGATTTTTATCCTTTTAAAACTCATCTTTTAGCTATGGCGACTTTGACTTCCTGCCAAAATCCTGTTACCCTAGCAACAGGTAAAAAATTTTTTAAAAAACCAGTTTCTCCTATCTTTTTTGGCTTAGAACTTATTTGTGATCTCAAGGTTTTAGGAGAAATATCTTTAAATCAGTTGCATGTTCTCTTCTATCTCTGGTTGACTGTTAGAGAGTGATGGCTTCTCACTTGATTCTGCATTTGTGTCAGATGTGATTAAAAGGCACATTAAGAGTTTGTATATTCATGCTAGAAATGTATATCACTGCTGGCTTTATGAAACTTATTTTTCATTAGTTTTGGCCACTGGAATTGATATTTTGTTTGTGTGTGTGTGTGTGTGTGTGTGTGTGTGTGTGTGTGTGTGTGTATACACAGTTTTTCTTTTTTTTTTTAGACAGAGTCTCGCTCTGTCGCTCAGGCTGGAGTGCAGTGGCGTGATCATAGCTCAGTGCTACCTCACACTCTTGGTCACGAGCAATCTGCCAGCCTCAGCCTCCTGAGTAGCAGGGACTACAGGTGAACACCACCATGCCTGGCTAATTTTTATTGATTTTCATTTTTTTGTAGGGAGTTCGGGGTAGAGGGAGTTGTCTTTGTTGCCCAGGCTTGTCTCAAACTCCTGGCCTCAAGTGATCCTCCAGCCTTGGCCTCCCAAAGTGCCAGGATTACAGATGTGCGCCATCACACCTGGCCTATAATTTTATTATATTCTAAATATTTTTACTTCATATATTTCTTATATATTTATATACTATAGATCATATATAATACATATTTCTTATACTATATAAATCTATAATTTTTAATACTAACTTTTATTATAATTTATATTTTATTAGTTTATTTGATATTTTATTAGTATGGTTTACTATATGTAGTTTTCTGAAGTCCTCCACTTGATTTAATAAGAACTTTTTTTAATGTAAGGCTATAAATGTGTTGTAAAAAGGATGTTGAAAATTTTTGGTTCAGAGCATATTAAAGTACATATTGAACTATTGGTGATTTTGGTAGCTTGTGGCTAAATTGGAAGGCGGGGTGTTAAGGATACTGGGGCTAACACTGTCTGAGGGCTTACCCTACTTACTATCTCATTGCAGCAGGCTCCTGAGGGGAGACAGTTACGAATCCCACTTTTAGGTGAGGAAATGAAGCCTGAGAAAGGTTCAATAACTTACCCCAGGGTTTTGCAGCCTGCCAGAGGCAGGTTTCTAGCCCAGACTCTGCAGTTTGCACAGAATGAAAGCTGACATTTCAAAAGCTGCTTAATTTTAGTCTCCTTGAATCTTTCAATATAGATGTGGGACAGTTAGCAGATATGTCTTTCCATCCAGTTTTTACTTCTGCTTTTGATGTAGTCATTTTCATTTCATTTAGGTGTTCAATCTTGGTTAAAGTTGGTTATGCCATCATTAACTGGACGTGTGTGTAGTTTTGGAAGACTGTGAATGTCCTGGTTTTATATTCCTTAGCTGGGGTCTGATGCTTTCTGGAATTACTTGCAGTTGCTGTTAACAGCATCATGGTGTCGTTAATTAATTGGGCAAATCTTCCTGCAGAATTATGAAATGTTTTAGAGTGGCTTGAATTTAGCAGTTGCCTGGGATGTATCTGGGGGCTGCATGGATTGTAGCAGGGCCTGAGCCTTATGAGGGACAGAGCCTCTTCCTGCAGTGTCTCGGAAATCTGGAGAAATGCACAAGAGAGAGGCCCTTTCTTGACTCCAGGAGTTATCTTAAAGCAGAGGCTCTCGAGGCAGAGAGCACAGTTAGAATCAGGGTTTTTTTGAGTCTGGTTATGGGGGTTTGGGATGTGGAGAAGTGGGTAGGACCTGGGTAGGAGTGAAGTCTATTTTTAAATTTCTCTAGATAATTGTGTTACCTTCACACTTACATACGTTCCCTCCTACTCTCCTACCCTCTCTCTTCTCCTTGAGTAGTTCTGCTGTAAAGGGATTAAGCTGAGAGATAAGCTATTTAGAGGATTTTGCTCTTAATGCTGGAGAGTTTATAAAAGCTGCCTAACAGGAAGATGAGATTGGAGAATAATTTCAGTTTAGGAGTTATATATTTTTAAGAATAGCTAGAAAAACCATGAGTTTTTACTTTGGGAATTATCTTTCATTTAAAATGTTTATCTAAAATTACTTGCCTTGGTGTTTATAATTTGTTTCTAAATTATATTTTATAACTATTATGTGTTTTAGCAAACCTGTTTATTTTTGGATCATGAACAAGAATCTGGAAAGCCCCAAGCTTGCCCCAGTACCAGGCAATTTCACTGAACTGAAACAAAGTGAAAGATACAAAGAAGGAACCATAAGGTTTGCCCTCTAAATTGAAAGAAAATGAAATGACAAACGACCAGATTCCATTTCTAAAATTTACTGATTATTTTTCCATTAGGGACAGAAAAATAAATCCTTTCAAGAAAGACTAACACGTTATTTTGAAAATGTGACACAAATAAGACTGTAAAATATTAGTCCACATCTTGTGTATAGCCAGAAAAGGCATTTTTTTGTGTTTTTTTTTTTTTTTTTTTTTTCTTTCAGGTTCTTAGGAAGATATGCTCTTTACTGTGACATGTTGCTGCTTGGTCAGATGTCTGTCTGTTGGAGGCATTTTTCTGTAAACTCACCCGAGGTTGCTATAAACAAGGTTGAAGGGCTATAAATGTGTATTTATGTATGTCCTGTTATGTGGTCTAAGGGAAAAGCTGTGGCTTTATTAACTCTTGTTATTGTTATGGTGTGCACGTTTTCTCATGACACTGCATGAGAGTATATTAATGTACATCCCACTGGATATTAAGTATAAAAACCCCACATCGAAGGATGTGCAATGAAATTATTAAAGTAATAGCAAGACAAAGGTGTTGAATCTGGTAACCAGGTCAGTGGGCTTCTTTCTGAAAGTCTGCTAGGATTTAGGGGCTGGTAGGCCTAGAGGTAGAATAGCTGGTGGTCCCAGTGGAGGGTCCCCAACAGAACCAATCCCCCTATCATTAGAACCCATTGCCAGATAACAAAGCTTTCCCCGATAGACCCTACACAGCTGCCAGAGCATCTCTTGGAAGTGTGACTGTCATAGGTGGCCCTGGAGCCCTCCATGATCTTACCCTGCCTCCTTTTCCACCTCTCCTCCCCCTGGACCCTTGCCTATTCTTGTTCCAGCAATACAGAGCTGCTCGCAGTTTCCTGACATGTGCCACATTCTTCCTTGTCTTTGTTGCTTTCTGTTCCTTTTGCCTGGACATACCTTTCCTTGCTGCATTGCCTGCCTGTGAGCTAGTTATCACCAGTAGGTCTCTTCATCCCCACCCTGCCCCCCCGTGCACCCTTCCGTGCACCTGTGGCCGCCTCCACCATACTTTTTTTTTCTGCTGTTGTTCAACAGATTATAATCTCCTCAAGGGCATGGAGAGCCTGGCAAGTTAGAGTCGGAGCTCGGTAAATACCGTGGAAGGAATTAATCGAAACGCACGGCATTCGGTCTCCCACGGCCTGCTGGGTTGCTGAGGCTGCTTCAGACCTCAGTTTGGCTGAGGACTGGCTGTGGCTACTTAACTCTCACCACGTTTTATTACTATAGATTTGCACCTTCTACCTTGCCGCATGGCAGTTGCAAGCCTTTGGCCAGAATTGCCGGCCGAAAGGGAGTGGTTCAGTGCAGGCTCATT
Source organism: Homo sapiens (assembly GCF_000001405.40). NCBI lineage: Eukaryota > Metazoa > Chordata > Mammalia > Primates > Hominidae > Homo > Homo sapiens. Next base: position 58,967,895 of record NC_000018.10, read on the forward strand.
AAACATGTGTTAGAAAAAATCATTTACAGCACTTGAGCTGTGGATACCAAGCTGTATCTTTGCACATGAAGTACAGCACATATGGTACTCGTCTCTGAAAAGTCAGTACCCTACAAGGCATGCAGGCAATAATGGGTTAGAACATGGTGCTTAAGAACACCACAGTGACTAAGATGTTTACAGACACTTAAGACATTTGTAGTTCATTGCCTACCAGGGCTGCTGTTATTTTGGAGACCAAGGAAGATATTTCCTCCCCTGGCTTTTCCTGTTTATCTCTAAGGGGCCCAGAAGGTAGAGGCTCCCTTGACACTGGGCTGGTGCTGTTGCTGAGACAGGAAAAATAGGAGACTTGGTGCCTGTCTTTGTCTGCTTTGGGAGAATATACCAGGACTTCCTGGCCAAAAATATTTCAGATTAAAAACATTCCCATAGCCAGAGACTAAGCTCCCTCACTGTCACAAACAAGCACTTTTCCTTCCAGCTCGGCTTCCAGTGCCCATGGCTGCAGCGAGTCTAGCTCCTTACCCCTCTCTTCCTTTTGGCTTGGAGATTGGGTTCTGCTGTCTCATCATGGTGCTCCCATACCTGGAAGCTTACAGATGGCAAAGCCTTGGCTTCTGGCAGACCCAGGCCAGTGCCTCCCTGAACCTTCTCCCTTGTCCTCTCTCAATCTCAAGTCCCTTCTTGTGACCCACGGTTCCCTCCCTGTCCCTGGAATCCATGGCAGGTAGAGCGTAGACATAGATCCCTTGGGGTGGTGGGAGTGGGAGGAGTGTCGTATCTCTCATGCCTTGAAGAGCCCAGATTTGCGCTGGGATTAGGTTTCTTCATTGAATCAGTGCTGAAAAGGGTGATTTGTCTCTGTTGCATTGGTTCAGTGTTGTGATTCTACTGCAGTGCCTGGTGAGGCTGTTATGGACTTGGCCTAGAATATAACTGTCATTTGTAATTTCTTTAGGAAAATGTGTTCCTCAATCCAATTGGCAGACCAGATTTTCAGATTTTAAGAATTTAGGACATGATTCCGTCTGTAAATTGACATTACCTTGAAACCTAAAACAACTAGAAAATAACTTAGCCACAGGTGGGGACATCAAAGAAAATAAGAGGCCATTCCCGGGCATGGTTGAATGAATAAGGACTTGTAAGATAGACAGCACCAGAAGGTAACTGGGAGGTAGGAGATGCTTGCTCGCTTTAGTTTTAAGTTGGGAAAACTTCAGACCCAGAGGGATTGTAGGACTTTTTGCAGAGCACTTTAGCTCTTGTGCCTGAGCCTCGGGGTGTGAGCTTTTCCACAGCCACCTCGAGTTGTGAGTGAGAACACAGTCTTACTGCTTGGCAGGAGGAGAGCTGGGGCCTAGGGTGAGACCAGCACAGAGGAAAGTTCTGTCCAGTCTGCCAAATCCAGCAAGTCCATGTTAATGTCCAGTTGGAAGGGTGGTTCAGGGAGGAAGATGGGCTCCACTCTCATACCCTTTCTTCATGTCTCCTCAAAACCAGTCATTGCAACACCACAATCAACACCGACACGGAGCACAGAGGGGCGTCTTCATCGCTGCCCGGCAGCTTGGTCTCTCACCTGGGTACACAGCACCTTCCTGGGACACTCTAAGGGGTCACTTGTGCACTGCCCTTTTTCTGTTACACCTTCAGATATGATGGTTGATTATACCTACTGGTGGGACCTTATTAAAGTGGTCATTCAGGCAGTTGGAAAGTTCCTATATGATGTGGGGCTGGGACTGGAGAAAGTGACATGTCATCATTAGGTTAGCTTTTTTGACATTTGTGTTTGCTTGTTTACTTTTTAATGTTGTTAACACATTTTTTATTGATCTGATAAAAACAGCAATTATCTTTAAAAGGAATGATTAGTTTCTTTTGTCTTTTGATTTGTGGAAATAAATACTAGAAAGATTCTATGTAAGTCTTCAAGCGGTATTTAATTTTTATTATGTAGCAATATTTGTCCCTTTTTTTTTTTTTTTTTTTTTTTTGCCCCGAGATGGAGTCTCGTTTTGTCGCCTAGGCTGGAGGGCAGTGGCGTGATCTCAGCTCACTGCAACCTCCCACTCTGGGTTCAAGCGATTCTCCTGCCTCAGCCTCCTGAGTAGCTGGGATTACAGATGCATGCCACCACTCCCGGCTAATTTTTTTGTGTTTTTAATAGAGATGGGGTTTCACTATGTTGGTCAGGCTGGTCTCAAACTCCTGACCTCGTGATCCACCTGCCTCGGCCTCCCAAAGTCCTGGGATTACAGGCGTGAGCCGCTGTGCCCAACCATATTTGTCCTTTTATAAAATACTAGCTATTATACGGGGAAAAAAATCTTTCACAGTGACCTTTTTCTGTTTCAATTGCTTTATGATTAAAAAGGGCCAAAAGATTCTATAACTACTGTACTAGGAGAAAATATTCTGTGTATTCCTGCCAGTGGTCCCTTTTTGAAGACTGGATTCTCTGAGAACAGGAATAATAAGAGAAATAACATGTCACCCATCTGTAGATGGACATCTTGGGAACCAGGGAGGCTTCAAAGGTAGGACAGATGCCTGCAAGTAGAAGGGGAATGAAGTTGAGCCAGATCTAGACAAATAGGGCAGCAAAGATTTTTTTCATAGTCAGGTGGTCTCTGGTGAATGTTTCAGAGTTTATGATCATGGCAATGGATGCCTCAAGGCACCTGTCAGCCCTCTTTCCAGGGCGTCAGTCATTGTGAAGGAGAGGCAGTAAAGATTAGTCAGGATTTATTTTGTCGGCTTTCTAATGAGGATTAATAAAGATGTACCCAGTGGATGGCACGAGGGTATTGACCCAAGAGTCCCCTGACAGAGAAGAGATGTGAGGTTTGTTTAGGGTCTGCAGTGAGAGTCCCAAACCTCTGCTGCACATCCCCACTGGCCAGTGGAGGTGGACACAGAGGCCCCTGGCAGGCATGTACCCCTGGTAGCCCCACCGTGCCCTGGCAGGCATTTCTGGGTTTCATTGGCATGATGCTGGCAGCTTGTTAGAAAGTTAGGTAGCCTTCCTTCAGCCCTTTCTTTTTTTCTCTGCCCAAGTGTCTGACATTGCCCTAAGCTCAGAAACTACGGTGCGACACGTTTCTTTGCCATCTGCTCCGGATTTGGCCTTCTGTTCTTGTGCATTTGTTACTGTTCTGCGTCATTACTTTTTCAGTTGTACAGTGTCATCAGCAGACCAGACAGTCTTATAACCAGAAACTTCGGAGACTTGGTTTTGTTTTTGTTGTTTTAAATAAGCATAGTGGTAAGCACACGTTGGTTTAACCCTCTTTATTTCAAAGTTGTCACCTCGGTAATCTAGGCACGTGACAGTGATAGTGCTGGTTCTCAGAACCTGTTTAGAGCATGGCATATGAAAAAAAAGCATTCTTTTCACTTTATAGTTATGACTGGCTTTAGATTATCTACATAAATTTACATAAATTTGGTTCTGAATGATTGAGACTTGTCTCTATTTTCTATTGAATGTGAAACAGTGGTCTCAATCAGGGATCAGCAAACTGCGTTTCATGGGCCTGCCACCTGTTTTTGTAAATAATTTATGAGAACACAGCCACGCCCATTCATTTAATTATTATCGTCTATTCTTGGTTTTAAGGTACAAGGGCAGAGTTGAGTAGTTGCAACAGAAACCTTATGGTTTCTGGCCTAACATACTGTCTGGCCATTTAGAGAAAAAGTTGGTCGACTGTTTTACCTATCACTTTGGTAGAGTTGAAGACTAGAGCTGGTGTGGGAAACTCCCTTGGTGAACGTGCTAGTGGTGGTAGAATGAATCTTTTTTAGGGCAGTTTGGCATTTAAAGAGGCTTATTTTTCACAACCTTTATATTGGAAAGACTGCCTTCAATAGTTTATACAAAGGAAATAATTGATTATGGAAATTTGTGTCTGTAGTTACTAAGAAGTTGAGACAACCTGAATCTTTAATAGAAGATAAACAATTCATGGTTCATTTGTGCAACAGAATACAATACACTTGTTAAGAATGCAGAACTAGCTGGGCATGGTGGCTCACGCCTGTAATTCCAGCACTTTGGGAGGCTGAGGCGGGTAGATCACCTGAGGTAAGAAGTTTGAGACCTGCCTGGGCAACATGGTGAAACCCTATCTCTATTAAAAACACACAAATTATCCAGGTGTGGTGGTACACACCTGCAGTCCCAGCTACTTGGGAGGCTGAGGTACGAGAATCACTTGAATCCCAGGGCAGAGGCTATGGTGAGCTGAGATTGCACTACTGCACTCCAGCCTGGGCGACAGAGACTCTGTCTCAAAAATACAAACAAGAAAACAACTGTCAGTGTGTGTAGATATGTGTGTTTTACAAGTGAAAAAGAATTAGTTTGAAAGCCAATATGTATAATATAGATCGGTTTTAGAAATATAAATACACATCAGTGTGTATATTCAGAAAAGTGGGAAGGCTGTGTCATTAGAAATTGACAGTGGTTATTTTGATGGGTGAGATTGGAAGCAATCTTTTCTCTTTTACATTGTGCAATAAGCATTTGTTACTTTGATAAAGAAATAAGAAAATGAAGGCCACAGTTATTTGAGTCTGAAGTCTAAAATGTACCATACGTGCTTCATTTTGAAAATGGAAGCTGCTGAGCAGGAATTCCCTCAATATCTGGGCCCCTTCGTCACCCACCCACCCCTGACTTTAATAAGCATCACACCTGTCCCCGGATGACGCCTTGGCTCTGGCCACACAGGAAGAGCTGTTCTTCCTGTGTCTGAATCCCTGTCTCCCTGCTCATTCATTCATCGCTCGCCTCTATCCTCAGTCTCTTCATTTATTACAGGCTCTTTCTTATCCGTATTTAAACACCGTCATGTCTTGGCCATCCTGCAGGAAATAAGCAGAGTTCCTCTGTGTCCAGCACTTTATCCTAAATTTGTTACTCCATGATTACTTCGTAGAACCTGCCGATGTTTTCCAAGTAGACAGTTTTGTTCAGTTAATCTTTATTTATTCATTCCCACAGTATTTACTGTTTTCTGATGCAGAGATGAACAATTGACAGCTTCTGTTCTCAAGGAGCTTATGGGGGAGGGAAAATGCCCCCCAAACATCCCTTTAATAATTAAAAAACAACAAAACTTTGATTGTACGCTTTTTCTTTGAAGAAAGAGGCTTACTGTAAGTTGGTGTTTTACCTACTAATTGAAATATATATCTGTTTTTTGAGACAGAGTTTTCACTCACTCTGTCGCCCAGGCTGGAATGCAGTGGCACTATCTCTGCTCACTGCAACTGCTGCTTACCGAGTTCAAGTGATTCTTGTGCCTCAGCCTCCTGAGTAGCTGGGATTACAGGCATGCACCACCATGCCCAGCTAATATTTGTATTTTTAGTAGAGACAGGATTTTGCCATGTTGGCCAGGCTGGACTTGAACTCCTGGCCTCAAGTGGTGCGCCCGCCTTGGCTTCCAAAGTGCTGGGATTACAGGCGTGAGCCACTGTGCCTGGCCAGAAAGATTTTTTTGTTACCTTAATAAGTCATTAGAGAAATGCAAATTAAAACCACAACAAAATACTACTGGCCACCCTGTAGAATGACTGAACTAAATGAAGTGGCAATGCCAAATGTTAAAAGATGGCGGAACGGTGGCAGTTTCTCTCCATTGCTGGTGGGTATGCAGGGGACAGCCGCTCTGGAAAACAGTTAGACAGTTTCTTATTTAACATATGACTTAGTAATCCCGCTCCTGGGTATTTACCCAAGAGAAATCATATGCACAGATGAATGATTATAGTAAATGTTTATAGTGGCTTTATTCATAATATCAAAAACTAGAAAATCCCTAAATGGCTTTCACTTGGCAAGTGAATAAACACACTTGGGCACATCCACACTGGAACACTAGTCAGCAGAGAAAAGGAACAAATACCAATAGACCCAACAGCGTGGAGGAATTATATGTGTATTATGCTGAGTGAAAGAAGCGAGACTCAAAGCTTCACGTGTACTGTATGGCTCCATTTATATGACAAATGGAGAAAGCAAAACCAGAGATAGAAAGCAAATCCCTGGCTGCTAAGAGCGGGGTCGAGGGGGTGGGGTTGATTATAAAGGGCACGTGGGAATTTTGGGGGATGACACAACTGTTCTATGTCTTGACTGTGGTGGCACTTATTCATAGAACTCTACTTTTAAAAAAGTGATTTTATAAACTATATCTCAATAAGCTCAGTTTTTTTTGCGGTAAAATTTTTTTTGGATATGTGCTATATTTACATAGTTTAAAAATTTAAACAATATGAAGGAATATAGTGAAGTCTTAACTCCTAAGTTTCTTATCTTGAAGTCTCCTTATGCAAGTATTAGCATATATGCATATATTCTCATTCTTCTAATACAGAACACAGCTTCCATCTATAATTTTGTGTACCAGTACTTTCTCCGCTTAGTAGTTATGGTTCTTTTCGTATCAGTGCATTGAGATCTTCCCTCCATTTCTGTAGCGGCACGGCATCTTGTGGTATGAGTGCATGCATGTATTTAGCCAGTTCTCCTTTGATGGACCCACCGTACACAATGGTGCAGTGAATAAACTTGAACACAGTGACTTCTGCTATAACACTTATGCTGAAACAAATTTATCCCAGTACCAAGATTTATCAGAACAATGGGAGCTTAACCTGAATTTCATGTTTGCTTATGTGTGATTTCATCCCTGAGAAATACCAAGTGACTACAGAATGCTGTGGAGTTGTGTAGGAAAACACAAAACACATACACACAACAAACCTCCGATTTCACCAGGGCCTCCCTCTCAACTGTGGGTCACATCCATCCACAGCTGGTGTTGCAAGCTTCCCTTCCACTAAGATTGCCCTCCTTCCCCCACTTCACAGTAACTCACAAGCTGCAACCCTCTGACCTCCACAAGCTCACTGCAGGTCTTTTTCAAGGTAAAGTGCAGTGTTTTTTGCATTTCTTAACCATTTGACGTAGTTAAAACTAAATATTTTCATTCGATGTGTCACTGACAAAGTCTTGAGTGTTGTCTCCGTGACTCCATTTTTGCTAGAGGCCCTGTTGTTTTGTTGAAGTTTTGCATAGTGCAGTGATTTTTAGGAGCACCGATGTTGCATTACAGCAGAAACGGGCTGTAGTAAGTATGCAGGTCTCTTCATAGAATAGATTGCCCAGTGGAAGGGGTCAGAGCTTTAGGAGTGAATTTTGGAGGGACTGCTGCTGTGCTATATTTAAATCATGTGATTGGCTTGGTTTTTCCTTTTTCATAAAAAGGTGTGAGCTGAAGGGCATGTGTCAGCAACGGTTGAGGATAATCCTGTAGCCTGCAGTCTTTAAGTTTGTGGGAGTTTCTGGCTGCATGGTGGTCGTTAAGGAGGCTCTTGCATGTTGGTGCAAGGCAGATACCTCGTGGAGGTAGGACTCCCAGGACAAGGTGAGATGTGGATGCCTTGCCAGATCTGGGTATGAAGTTATGACTTTTCTCCCTCTAACTTCCCCAAAGTCACCTGAAACAGAGACCCGTAAGCACAGAAACAGAAAGGACAAGTTATTAGAATGGGAAGTTTCTGATTGTGAGGGAAGCCCCGTGGCAAACCGAGACACGTCCACCAAGTGCTCTCCGGGAAGAATGGCCTGCCAAGGCCGTACCATCCCAAGCACAGCAGCAGCATGGGGTAGCGCACGCCTAGCATAGTCACTGGAGAAAAGGAGGCGGGATTAATGCTTTCTTTCCTGAAGCTGTGAAGATGAAAGTCAAAAATGAGACGGGAGGAAGAAAGTTTAGGAAGTGTACCCAAGTGTTTATTTTGATATTTTACTCTCAAAAAGTTTTATGTTAAAAACTTTGGAAACCCTGCCAGCTTATTAGTTCACTATTTCTTTAAAGAGTTCTATTTAAAAACAAAGTAACTCAGAACTGAGTAGGAAGACATGTTCCTTTTCTGATCTTAGTTAACTATTAAAAAGTCCACCCAAAGCTCTCAATCTCAGCTTATAGTAAAGCCAGGAGGAAGCAAACGGCCTAAAGTCTTAGAATGATGACGGTGGGCTTTACACTGAAATGCTGTTTTCCCATTTTTTAAACTCATAAAAGCAGAAGGAGCTAGTAATATTGAGGAACAGAAGTTACGAAAATAAATTTGGCAAAGTACCTTCGAATAAGTTTGTATTTAAAATCTAACAGAGGAAGAAAGTTGTCTGTTAGGTAATGTGACCAGGCAGGTTTGATCTGGAAACTGGTGTTTTAAACCTCATTTTCTTGTCACCAGTGAATTGGAAACCCTGCTTATTTTTGAATTGCAGAGTTCATTTCTGCATTTTTCATAAAGATGCTGAAACAGAAGGATGTCTCTCTCACATTGATTGATCTTTTGAAAATAGTTACTGATTTGCTAAGCTGCTCTTCATTTTTTAGGGTTTTCTTACTGGCATTTCTGTATTAAAATTTTGTTTTGATGTTAATATTACTACACAAGAAGAAATAGAATATTAAACCCGTCACCTTAATAGGAAATCGAATTTTCCTTTCTGTGGGGTCTCTTGTCCTATTGTATTGTTAGAAAGATACATTTTTCTTTATAATCTGTTAGGATTTGGTGAAGCAGTCTTGCTTTTAGAAAGATGACTTTCAGTTGATTTTTTTTTTCTTTTGAGATGGAGCCTTGCTCTGTCTCACAGGCTGGAGTGCAGTATCATGATCTTCTCGGCTCACTGCAACCACTGCAATTCTTCTGCCCCAGCCTTCTGAGTAGCTGGGATTATAGGCACCTGCCATCATGCCCAGCTAATTTTTGTATTTTTAGTAGAGACGGGGTTTCACCATGTTGGCCAGGCTGGTCTTGAACTCCTGACCTCAGGTGATCCAAAGTGCTGGGATTACAGGCGTGAGCCACTGCGCCCAGCCTCAGTTGATTTTTATATGTAGAAAATATAAAAAGCATTAGATACTAGATTTTTAAATATCTTTATTGAAATACAGACCTGTTGTTCATGACTTTAAAGCTTTAAAATAAATAAAGGCTCGTTACCTCTTAGTCACTCTTTTGCTGCATAAATGCTAATCCAAGAGGTTAGGGATTGCTGCTGGCCTATTTTGTGTAATCAAATCTTTATGAGAGAATATTTTTGGGGGGTGCCAGCTTGTTATTTGCTTTGTTCTCTCTTTCGTTGTTTCCCCCAGAGATGAACAGCATTGGTATAACTTTTAACTTGGAGAAGAAATTTTCTCCTTTGCCCTTGTTTGGATTCAAGACCCTTTTGAATATCTACCAGACTGATTTGGTTTATTTAAAAGACAGACAGTATTTTTCTATGCTTTTTGAATGGAAGTTGGCTGCATAACTTGACTATTACAAGAGCATTTCCTGAGCGATGTGTCCCATGCTGCCTGCCCCCTTTGTTAATCATCCCCGTGTTCTCGAAGCGTCCTGGGAGGCAGGCACTGTTGCAAGCCCACCTCACAGGGGTGGGAGTGGACATTCACGTGGGTTGAGTGGCTTTCACCAGGTCCTGTGATTCATGAGGCAGAGACCAGGTGCCAGCTCATCTTAGGTGCTGCCGGCCAGACTCAGCCACTCCGATTTGCCTGCCGGTTTGAACAAGGACATGTTTGTCAAGCGGTTATGGGAAAATGATTTTTAAAAATGTAATCAGTCTGGGCATGGTGGCTCACGCCTATAATTCCAGCACTTTGGGAGGCTGACTGAGGCCAGCGGATCACTTAAGGCCAGGAGTTCGAGACCAGCCTGGCCAACATGGTGAGACCTTGTCTCTACTAAAAATACAAAAATTAGCCGGGCGTGGTGGTGGGTGCTTTTAGCCCCAGCTACTCGGGAGGCTGAGGCACGAGAGTTCTTTGAACCCAGGAGGCGGAGGTTGCAGAGCCGAGATGACACCGCTGCACTCCAGCCTAGGCAACAGAATGAGACTCAGTCCCAAAAAAATGTAATCAATCATTTCTTTATCACATAGCTTGCAATCACTTCTTAGTATTATCTCACATGAAAACTTCGTCCCACTTCAGTCTTTAATGAGTTTAGAGCCAGATTTTGTTCCATTCATGAGGCTTGACAGCTCTTTAATTTCCTTGTGATATGACACTGTTTAGTTCCAGACTGCTATGCATGTCATAACCAAAGAATTTGTTTTACGCCACTAATTTACTTCAAAGGTTCTGCATGGAAATATATTCAGTTAACATAATATCTCAGCCTGAGTGGGAAACTTTTAAATATAAGGAAATTCGGCTTACCTACTTGACAGTGTTTGCTGTCTCTCTCTCTCTCATCCCCTAAGTATACCAGCAGGCAGCCTCCTTAAAGTTGTTTCAAAGTTCTGTGTTCTTGAGATTATCAAATGATATTATTTAAAACAAAAATCCTTCTAGAAAACTTCCCTTATATAATGAATAATTACTTAGTCATTAAAGGGTAGCCAGAGATTTCATTTAACATGGCATACTGAATAAAACAGCATATTCTATCTACCACAAATTAGGTAGTGGCTTTACTTAGTATTTACTGATGTATGGTTTCATATATTATCTTTTCAGTAAAAGATTTATATAATGTTATTTCAAATACCTGGATGTTTGTGTTGAATCAAAAACCTGTGTTTTTGAGAGAGAATTTTTTTTACCCTTATGATAGTTTAACCCATCCTCCTAAAATTAGCCCCATCATGGTTACCTCAGCCCTGTCCTCATTTTTATTATATATTTTTAAAAAGTTTTTTGGTTTTGTTACTGTATTCCTAAATACAGGTTGAGTATCCCTGAGCTGAAAGTTTGGGAACAGAAGTGTTTCAAATTTTAGATGTTTTTGGATCTTGGAATATTCAAATATACATAATATCTTGGGACTCTCTAATTGTGATATTTATTCTTGTTTCATACATACCTTATATGGATAGCTTGAAGGGACTTTTATAAAATAATTTTAATTTTGTGCATGACACAGTTCTGACTGTGACCCGTCACATGAGGTCAGATATGACATTTTCCATGTGTAGTGTCATGTCAACCCTCAGTTTTGGATTTGGGGACCTGTAATAATGATTTAACTTAAACTATTACAAAAGAGTTCTTAATTGTTTGAGTGCATCTATTTTCATTCCCTTAAGTGAACTTTCTCTCCTTCCTCCAGCAAATGAAGAAACACCCCTGCCGCCAGTGTGACAAGTCTTTCAGCTCGTCCCACAGCCTGTGCCGGCACAACCGGATCAAGCACAAAGGCATCAGGAAAGTGTACGCCTGCTCGTAAGTCCTGGTTTCTAACGGAACGCAGTGAGAGGACTCAGGAGGAACCTCTGGAAGGTTTTTAGTGTAGTACCATTAACTTGCTGTGTGCTCCACAGTTCCTACATTACATTTCTCAATTGTATTATTGTTTTGGCATAGAGTTTTTGGATTGGGTTGTCACACTTAAATATGAAAATAAAAAAAAAAGGAGCATTTTCTTGCATATCCCACATACATTGTGTGTTTTTTTTTTCCCGAGACGGAGTCTCACTCTGTTGCCCAGGCTGGAGTGCAGTGATGCAATTTTGGCTCACTGCAACCTCTGCCTCCCAGGTTCAAGTGATTCTCCTACCTCAACCTCCTGAGTAACTGGGATTACAGGCACATGCCACCACACCCAGCTAATTTTTGTATTTTTAGTAGAGACGGGGTTTCACCGTGTTAGCCAGGCTGGTCTCAAACTCCTGACCTTGGGTGACCCACCTGCTACCTCCCAATGTGCTGGGATTACAGGCATGAGCCCTGGCACCCAGCCTGATCCCTGAGTGTCTTGGGGGAGCGATTGATTGGCAGTACAGGGTCTCTCTGCACATGTCGAGTTGGCCACATTGGCGAGGTGATTTGGCTAGCTTGTTTACTCAGGGCTGGTCACAGATTCAGTCCTCGGCTGGGCCCTTTGCCCCTTGGCTGCAGTCACCACTGAAGGTGGGGCAGCCTGTGACCAAATGCAAGGGACTGGGTGGGCCAACATCAACCCAGACTCCAGTGGACAGTCATAAGCTGCTGCTTCATACGTGAACACCAGAACGTATCTCATCATTAGTGAAAGGCTGTCACTCAGCTGGAATATACCTGGAGTGGGTTGATAAGAAGAAAGCATGTCTCATGAGAGAGAGAGAGACAAAGGACCCTGAGGCTAAAGCACTGAAATGTTACATGGATGTCAGTGCAGGCCAGATGGACCCTATGGATCAGGAGACTTATGAAGGTTGGCTGTCAGATTCGCAGGGGGTTATGATAACCGGGTAGGAATCATCTGATTCAGTGAAATTGAAGCTGTTTAGTGAGATAAGAATGATTATGAATAAAGTATGTGTTGAGACCAAATCAAAAGAATCAGAATTTAGAAGGATGCTCTGGGCCAAGAAGACGATGGGAGATCTGGCCCATAATGCTTCACTGATAGGTTTTGTTTATTTCCCCATGAACTCACTGTAAAGCAGTAAAATGCTGGGATTGTTCTGCTAACTTACGGCCAACAAAAAATTCATCCTCATGGAGAGCCCTCGTCCTTTGGGGGTGGTGCTGGCTCCTGCCACTGCCCTGCAAGTGTCTCTAATGTGAGGTCATCAGGGTTTAGGGCCAATCAGTATGAATTCCTCCGAAGCTATTTTGAAGGCAGATTTGAGACCACAAGAGACTTTTTGTCCTTCCCTCAGTAGCATTCTTGATACCTGGTTTTATAGCATACATAATAACTAGGGCCATTACCTCTTTTTTTTCTTTTTTTGAGACGGAGTTTTGCTTTTGTTACCCAGGCTGGAGTGCAATGGCATGATCTCGGCTCACCCTACCCTCCACCTCCTGGGTTCAACCGATTCTCCTGCCTCAGCCTCCCGAGTAGCTGGGATTACAGGCATGCACCACCATGCCCGGCTAATTTTGTATTTTTAGTAGAGACAGAGTTTCTCCATGTTTGTCAGGCTCATCTCAAACTTCCGACCTCAGGTGATCTGCCTGCCTCGGCCTCCCAAAGTGCTGGGATTACAGGCGTGAACCACTGCACCTGGCCAGCCTGTTTTCTAAACTATCTTTGGCCTGCTTTATTAAAATAAGTTTTTCTTTGAAAAATAATTGACCTATTTTTGATCTGCTTATCATCTACTGAGTGACCATACACACTCGACTGCCATGAGTATAAACATGCATGCTGCTTTTGTGCCTGGAAGAATTTGGCGCTGGACACTCATGTCTTTGTCAAGGCAGAGGACAGGGATAATTAACAGCAGCACAAAGGAGTCAAGGAGGGACCTTATACTAATGTGTTCAGCATGGTGCTCATTCTGAGAGAATACTGAGTCATTGTGAAAACTTCTTTTGAAATGCAATATTTTCCCTTTAAAATTAAAGCCATCTAGACCTGTAAATTAAGGGCCACTCCTAGCAAAATTGCTGATTGCGTGTTGAACCATGGTGTGAACTCAGCTTATTGGACCTGTCTGTGTGAACTGACGGCTAAGGAGGACCTTCGACCGTGAGTTCTTCCACAGGAGCTTATTTTGTCAGCAAGTGCGTTATCTCCTTGCCTTTCACCCCACAGGCACTGCCCAGACTCCAGACGTACCTTTACCAAACGTTTGATGCTGGAGAAGCACGTCCAGCTGATGCATGGCATCAAGGACCCTGACCTGAAAGAAATGACAGATGCCACCAATGAGGAGGAAACAGAAATAAAAGAAGACACTAAGGTCTAACATTGCAGATGTTTGCTTTACAGTGAAATTGTGTTGACTTGCTTTTCCCATTCATTTTTTTCCTTTCAAGTTTTTGTTGCATAGTTACAGTTTTAAAAATTCAGACTGGCTGGGTGCGGTGGCTCATGCCCACCACTTTGGGAGGCCGAGGCGGGTAAATCACGAGTTCAGGAGTTCAAGACCAGCCTGGCCGACATGGTGTAACCTCATCTCTACTAAAAATATAAAAAATTAGCTTGGCGTGGTGGCGGGCTCCTGTAATCCCAGCTACTCAGGAGGCTGAGGCAGGAGAATCGCTTGAACTTGGGAGGTGGAGGTTGCAGTGAGCTGAGATCATGCCACTGCACTCTAGCCCAGGCGACAGTGCGAGACTCTCCCAAAAAAAAAAAAAAAAAAAATCAGACCACACTGAAAGTATAAAATAATGATTAATCTCCCCATAGACCCATTCTGACCTCATCATCAGGAGTTCGAGACCAGCCTGGCCAACATGGTGAAACCCCATCTCTACTAAAAAAATACAATACAAAAATTAGCCAGGCATGATGGCAGGCGCCTTAATCCCAGCTACTTGGGAGGCTGAGGCAGGAGAATCGTTTGAACCCAGGAGGCAGAGGTTGCAGTAAGCCGAGATAAAGCCATTGCACCCAAACCTGGGGGACAAGAGCAGGACTTTTTTTGTTTTTTTGAGAGAAAAGTTTAAAGAAATAGTTTAGGCCGGACACAGTGGCTCATGCCTGTAATCCCAGCACTTTGGGAAGCTGAGGCGGGCAGATCACTTGAGGCTAGGAGTTCGAGACCAGCCTGGCCAACGTGGTGAAACCCCGTCTCTACTAAAAGTACAAAAATTAGCCAGGCGTGGTGGTGCACACCTGTAATCTCCAGCTACTCAGGAGGCTGAGGCAGGAGAATTGCTGGAACCTGGGAAGCAGAGGTTGCAGTGTGCCAAGATCACGCCACTGCACTTTAGTCTAGGCAATAGAACGAGACTCTGTCTCCACCCCCCCAAAAAAAGTTAGCAGATACTTAAAAAGCCCTCCTGTCTTCGGTGCTATGCTAGATCTGGAATGTACCCAGGTAAAAGCTTGTATGTGCTTTCAAGGAGTTAATCATCGAGTAAAACCTCCTCAGAATATAAGTCAGACTGATGTGGCATTAAAATGCAATACTTCAAGTGCTCCTGGTGGTGAGTTAAAGAATATGTGTGAAGCCAAGGCGTGGTGGCTCACACCTGTAATCCCAGCACTTTGGGAGGCCAAGGCAGGCAGTCACGAGGTCAGGAGTTCGAGACCAGCCTGGCCAATATGGTGAAACCCTGTCTCTACTAAAAATACAAAAATTAGCTGGACATCGTGGTGCACACGTATAGTCCCAGCTACTTGGGAGGCTGAGACAGGAGAATCGCTTGAACCCGGGAGGCCGAGGCTGTAGTGAGCCGAGATCATGCCATTGCACTCCAGCCTGGGCAATAGCGCGAGACTCCGTCTTAAAAAAAAAGAAAGTGTGTGCAAAGGTAGCTTCAGGTCATGGCCACGTGTGAAGGTGCACATGAACAGAGCAGAAAAGCTGGGGCACAGAGTGCGGAGAGGAGGGGCACGTTGGCTTGGGGAGGGGATTCAGAGTGGGATTTAGAGCCCTGGAAGCAGACGCAGTAGGGGAAATGGTGTGAAGGTGAGGAGGCAGGAAAGGGTGGGGAAAGCTTCCAGAGGCTCTCAGTCTAAAAGCAAAATCCTGACACTCTCTCCCACAAGGGGCGTTACAGTTCACCTCCTGCAGTCTCCCTGAGCACTCCTTCCTACTGGCTCTAGCCCCTCTTCTGTTGCCCACTCACAGGCCTGTTCCCACCTTGGGCCTTGGCACTCACAGCTTCCTATGCCTGGACTGCTTTCCCGACACTGCGTCAGGTCTCTTTTCAAATGTCACCTGTCACCAGGCTGTCCCTGACCGTACCACATCACCTAGCAGCCACACATATACCCCCCCCTTGCTTCCCATGGCCCTCATCCCACCCTGCTTGGCTGTCCTGGGTCTGACATACTGCATATTTTCTCATTTGTTTCTGTTCATCTAACTCCGCTGCCACAAATTTCAGGAAGCTAGGAGCTCATTTGTCCACTGTTGTGCCCCACTGGCAGAGCAATGCCTGCTAACAGCTACTAGGTTTCTCTGTGGAGTGGAAGAAAGGCATGGGCCTCCGGGTGGGGTGGCAGACACAGCTTTAAAGCCCCTAAATCCCAAAGCGTTCAGCACAAGTTTTCCTGGCAGCTCTAAAGTAAGAGAACCGATCATTTATCAACCACCGTGAAGGATGGTTTTCAGTCGTGTCATTTGCTTTCTTTCCCTGAAAGGTCCCCAGTCCCAAGCGGAAGTTGGAAGAACCAGTTCTGGAGTTCAGGCCTCCCCGAGGAGCAATCACTCAACCACTGAAAAAGCTGAAAATCAATGTTTTTAAGGTTCACAAGTGTGCCGTGTGTGGCTTCACCACCGAAAACCTGCTGCAATTCCACGAACACATCCCTCAGCACAAATCGGATGGTTCTTCCTACCAGTGCCGGGAGTGTGGCCTCTGCTACACGTCTCACGTCTCTCTGTCCAGGCACCTCTTCATCGTACACAAGTTAAAGGAACCTCAGCCAGTGTCCAAGCAAAATGGGGCTGGGGAAGATAACCAACAGGAGAACAAACCCAGCCACGAGGATGAATCCCCTGATGGCGCCGTGTCAGACAGAAAGTGCAAAGTGTGCGCAAAAACTTTTGAAACTGAAGCTGCCTTAAATACTCACATGCGGACACACGGCATGGCCTTCATCAAATCCAAAAGGATGAGCTCAGCCGAGAAATAGCCACAGATGCTCCATGAGGAAAATCCCTGTCCACATTGGAATAAAAAAGACATTTTTGTTACAAAGTTTGCAGTATAATAGAGTTAACAGTACTGTCTAGGCTGTTGCAATATATTCTCTTTCAATGTACCTTCCTTCACCTCGTCGTATATATCCTCGATAAGTATTAAAACAGTATTTGAGTTTAAAAGAGTTTGTATATATTTAAATGAATAACTTTTTATACTCTTTGTTACATGTTTGTATCAGTATTTAGTGGAAAACCATTTGAGTTGTTTTGGGTTAGAATTTTTCTTTTTGTACTGTTTCTTTAAAACAGAGTTCTTAGTAACAGGGGCAGTTCCTGAATTCAAATAAACCATTTTGTATGTTTGGATTTTGAATGGGTTAACTAATTACAGGCTAAAATAATGCCTTTTTTAGTGTTTTTAATTTTTAGAATTCACTACATAAATTGTAAGTAATTGTGGGTCTCAAAAACACTAGGAACTTTTAAGTGTCTTAGCACTTCCTCGATGTGCCTGCCCTGAGGGAGTGAGTTCACATTTGAGACAACTGCACTCCAGTGTGGACGTGCCTTTGTCTTCAGGCCATGCCGAAGGGTGTTTAAAGCAGTCTTGCAGGTCGCTCCTTTCCCAGCCGTGGATAAAAACTGAAGCTAGGAATCTAATAAGGAATGCTGATTTCCTCAGTTCCATTTTGAGGAATGGGGAAGGCTATTCTAAAGAAAAAAATGGGATTTGTTTTCTCGGCAGATCTGCAAGGCTGGCTTTAAGAGCACAAGGAGGGAAAGTAACGAAAGGGCTGGACTACTATAAAAGTTACAAATACGTAGTTAGACCAATAGATTTATATAGTCAGGTTTTTGTCATGTAATTTATTAACTAACTATTACAGAAACACAGCTAAGAATATCAAGTATTTCTCTGGCTCTTGACAGAAAAAAATCAGTTGACTTAACCCTTTGCTGTCAAAAGAGTTGGCGTTTCCTGTTCTGGGTGCTACTGCCAAACGTTATGGTACTTAGAGTCGGGATGCACAACTTCAACCACCGACTTATCAATGCAGCCGCCTGTGTATTGCAATTGGCCGTTACCTTAAGCACTGAGCCACCCGGGTTTAGTTCAGCCATTTCAAGAAGTATATTTAACGTCGGTAGTTCTGCTTTATTAAAATGCAGCAGAGGTACTCTTCTGTCCCTTCCGTTTATAGTTCTCTGAGAGAGTTCTATTTTTTGGTTTTGTTTTGTGTTTTCTTTTGCATTTTGTATCTTGTATTTATCCCTGAACATGTTTTGTACCTTTTTTTTTTTTTTTTTTAAGAAAAGGAATTCTTTTGTGTATATATAGATACTTGCATGATATACTGTAGTCAATGTTCGGTTCCTCAAAAGGTCTTGCTGCTGTCAGGTGTTATGCACTCCATCCATCATAACTGTATGAAACACATTTCATATGTAAATAAACGTGGGACATTTGGCCCTTGTGCTTCTGTGAGAGAATTATTGATGGTGGGTCTCTGACATCTTTGTGAAGTTTGGGAAGTAATTAATTGCAGCGACAAGCTACAGGGTGTTGCAGAATTCTTCCCACTCAGAAGAATGGCATATTCGTTCTCATTAGTAATCAGCTATTTTGTCACTTTCTTGTTGACTCCATCAGTACATGGGTACAATCCGAGGGTGTGAATTTCAGCTTGAAATTCCATTGCTGTTCCTTGTTTTGTTTGTATTGCTCTAAGTTGTATTCATAATAGCACTTTCATATGTTTCTGCATTTGAACCTTGCAATAAGCCTGTGTGGTAGGCCACATAGGTCCGAATAACCTAGTTTTACAGTTGAGGGAGCTGAGCTCAGATTCAGTTCTTTGCCGAAGCCCTCATAGCTGGTAAGTGGCTTTGCATATTAGAACCCAAATATTTTGCTCTCTAAATCTAATGCTCGCTCTATGTGGTTATGTACATATTGACAAATATTCATTTATTCAACAAATAAAAAGTATGTACAAAACATGATACAGAATTTTTGTTTTTGGCACTATGGCTTTATAAATAACCTGAAAGTCTTTCTACTCTTAAATACCCAGAGATGCTTAATATAAAATTAACACCTGGTAAATGCATAGGTGAGAATACAAGAAAATTTTAAAAAATGCCCAGAGGTCCAAAATGAAGAAACCAAAATCTAGATTCTAGAAAAACACTACACAGTGCTGTAACCCTGGGGGAAAACCTGGATTGTTCAGCTGAAGAGGAAATTGGTAAACTGGAAGATAGCCCTTGAGAAAATTAGCCTCAGCACAGAGATAAAGTGATGTTTCCAATACGAAAGAGAGGTTAGGAATCAAGGACAAAATGAGAAGATCCAGCTTCAGTTTAATGGAAGTTCCAGAAAGGGGGACTAGAGAGAACTGGGAAGGTCAGTGTAGAAAATCTTAGCCATTAATGAAAGACATTAATACTTGGATCAACAGTGAATGCTCAACAAAAATCATGCTGGGACATAAATTCTGCCCATTCTTCATTAGTTGTAGATGCTGGGTGTGGGCATTTGAGGAGGAGGATAACATGAGGTATGCTTAATTCTTAGGAAGTCCATGTACTCTTGAGTGCAGAAGTGAGAGCTAAGCCTGGAAGCAAAGGCTTAGGCCAAGTTGTAAAAACCCTTGAATGAGGCTGGGTACGGTGGCTCACGCCTGTAATCCCCATATTTTGGGAGGCCGAGGTGGGTGGTTCACGTGAGGCCAGGAGTTCACAACCAGCCTGGCCAACATAGTGAAACCTCATCTCTATTAAAAATATAAAAAATCAGCTGGGCGCAGTGGCAGGTGCCTGTAATCCCAGCTACTCCAAGACTGAGGCAGGAGAATCACTTGAACCTGGGAGGCGGAGGTTGCAGTGAGGGGAGATGGTGCCACTGCACTCCAGCCTGGGCAACAAGAACAAAACTCCATCTCAAAAACAACAACAACAAAAAAACCTTGAATGATAGAATGAAGGGGTTTGTATTGATAGAGATAGTCATTTGGACAGGGGAGTGATAGGACCAGATTAATTGGTGGCAGTGTTTAGGATGGAGTATATCAATCAGGATAGGTCGGGTTATGCTGTGGTTATGACCTTAAGCCTAAATAGCTTATCACAAGACATTTCTTGTTCACATTCAGTGTCCACTGTGGGTTGGCTGGAGGCATGGCTCCGTATCTCCTTGTCCCATTACCCCACTATCAAAAAGTTGCCAGTTGCTGTGGCAGAGGGAAAATGCAATGAAATGCTGAGGCCCAGAAGTGACAGATGCCACTTCTCACAAGTCACTGGCCAAAACCAGTCATACGGAGCCACCTAGTCACAAGGAGGCTGGGAAGTGCAATCCTCCCACGTGCCCAGGAGGCTGAAAATATTTGGACATCACAGGAATAACGTTTAAATTGGCATAGCTATGGTGCCAACACAGTAGGAACACTTGACCTAGGGTGGTGGGAGTAGGCTTGGAAAGAGGCTTCGGTTGTAAGTAGCATTTCAGAAACAGTTTCCAGAGGGTTTCTTAATGTGGAATACAGAGAAAGTCTGATCTGAAAGTTCAAGCTTATGTGATTCCTTACATTTTTTCTCAAGGTTTAGGTTACTTAAAAATATGGAAGTAGGCCGGGAATGGTGGCTCACACCTATAATCCCAGCACTTTGGGAGGCCAAGGCAGGTGGATCACCTGAGATCAGGAGTTCGAGACCAGCCTGCCCAACATGGTGAAATCCTGTCTCTACTGAAAATGCAAATGAGCCAGGCATGGTGGCACCCACCTCTAGTCCCAGCTACTCAGGAGGCTTAAACCCAGGAGGCAGAGGTTGCAGTGAGCTGAGATGGTGCCACTGCACTTCAGCCTGGATGACAGAGCAAGGCTCTATCTCCAAAAAAGAAAATTTTATATATATATAATATATAGTACATATATATATAATACATATGTAATATATAATACATATATAAAATATATAATACATACATAAAATATATAATACATATATAATACATACTTTATATATATGTAAAAATTAAGAGTTGATTACCAGGAAGATGATCTTAAGTTTCAGGTATACATACAAATTATGCTTTTGTTTTTATGTGTTTGGGTGATATATCAATAGCTGAGTAACAAATGCATACAAAAGAATGCCAGCAAAACGTTACTTGCAAAATGAGAAAAAGGAAAATGTAGGCTTACACTGCATGGCAAAGACCACTTCCTTCCTCCCAAGCACGTTTTCTGCAAATTCCTTACTCCTACCACAGCAAGTAGTCCAAAGAACAGCTGTTCTACCCTGAAGCTCTGGTGGGCATGCCTCACCAGTGTCAGCAGGCTAGTGAGTTTCCATCCTAGGATCTTTGACCAACAGTGAAATTTCCTCTTGAAATTTTTGGGCAGCCAAGAAATTTATAAAATATGACTCAGAGGAACCCTTCATCTATCCCAAAGGATAGTCTGAAAATAAAAAGTAATGTGCCAAATGTAGGATGCTATTTGTGCAATTTACACACACACGCATGCACACACACGCACACACACACGCTTTGCAAATATCAGATGCTGTAAGGATTCCAGATTGTAGCTCTTAATTTTAACATACATCTTCTAAACAAAGAACCTACCCTTAATTACCTTAAAAACTTGGCTCCTACTCAAGAGGTGTAACTCACTCTGCTTAAATGCATCCTTGAAACTTCTTGTTTTCTTTGACAATTTTTGTTTTTCTTTTCTCAGTTATGAATCTCACACCCTTACCGAGTTAGCTGTAAGCCTTTGGAATATGACAATGTGAATGTCTTTCTTTATAAAGATCATGATAACCAGAAAACAATCTATAGTAGATGCACAGAACATAAATAGAAAGGATTATTCATAACATCCCACTACAGCAGTCAAACCACAAACCATCCAGCAAGACAGGGAGAAACAAAATACATCCCCAACAACCAGAAAACAAATTACAAAATGGCAGTAATAAGTTCTCACCTGTCAGTAGTTACTTTGAATGTAAATGGGTTAAATTTTCTAATATGAGGACAGAGTGGCTGAATGGATTAAAAAAAAGACCTAAGTACCCGACTGTATGCTGCCTACAAGAGACTCAACTCTCTTAAGGATGCACATAGACTGAAAATGAAGGAATGAGAAGATACTGTATGCAAATGGAACCAGAAGAGAGCAGAGGGTAGCTATACCTACATCAGACAAAGCAACTTTAAGTCAGAAGCAATAAAAGAGACAAAGGACATTATATAACAATGAAAGGGTCAATTCATCAAGAGGATACAATAATTATAAATGTATCCAACATTGAATGAAGCACCTAAATATATAAAGCAAATATTAATAGATCTGAAGGGAGATAGAAACTATAATACAATAATAGTAGGGGACATCAATACCCCACTTTCAATAATGGATTACCATCCAGACAGAAAATTAATAAGGAAACATTGGACTTGAACTACACTTTATGACCTGACAGACATATACAGAACATCCCATCCAACAGCAACAGGATACACATTTTTCTCAAGTACACACAGAACTTTCTCCAGGATGGATCATATGTTTGGCTGCAATACAAATCTAAACAAATTTCAGGGGATCAAAATTACCTTAAGTATCTTTTCTGACCACAATGGTGTGAAACTTGAAATCAGTAACAGGAGAAATCTTGGAAAATTCACAAATAAGTAGAAATTAAACAACATGGGTCAAAGAAGAAATAAAAAAGAAAATCAAAAAAATCTTGAGACAAATAGCAACTATGTACCAAACACCTATGGGATGCAGCAGAAGCCATTCCAAGAGGGAAATTTATAGCAAGAAATGCCCATATTTCTGTGAAAAGTCTCTCTTCATGCTACTAGAAGTTTCTGGAGTAGCCAGTTGTCATTCTATAGTCACTGTTACCCCCAATCAACCCATTCTGAACAGCCCAGCCTCAGTTCACATGGTTTGAGTATAAGGCTGAATTTGAGACTAGGCTACTCTCAGTCTTTTCAGAGTATTTTCTTTTCACATCCATTTTTTCTTCACAGTCCCAATGGATTTTGAATGTTTTAGTAACGATTCAATACATTGGATAAAACTTTAATGATCTTAGCCTACATTTTTCTAGGCATTTGCTCATTTATATTTGCTGCCTTCTTTGGAAATCTAGATTTGGGGGTACCCTAGATCCTGTTTCAATTAAGGTCCCAGCAGAATGCAGTGCAGCACACTGCAAAAGGTTTAACTTTCAAGAAATTAAGGAAGGGACTATACACAGAGCTGTGTGCTGGAACAAGGCCTGAGAAGCCTGAGTAGGGGTGGAAGCTGGAGCTGTGGGAAAAGGGCACTCAGGAAGAGCCACTGCCAGAGCCACAGTGAAGCCAGGAAGGTGTGGGGAGCGGAATCACCAGGAGGCCCTCTCATCACACTCAAAGATTTCCTGCCCGCACCTCCCACCTGCCAAAGCTAAATACAAGCTAGATGACAAGGCAGCCACAGTAATAGTCTATAGATGTCCGTGTGTTGGGCACAAAACAGGACAAAGAAGGGTGGATGAAGGATCTGGGTTTCCGAGTGGGAGGTTATAATGATCACTGACACGTGGCATGCACTTTCAGGAGTGCGTGTTCTATGCCTGTTTTGTCAACATGCATTTTGTCCCCTACAGGCAGGCTCTCCAATGGAATACGGTACTTCAGATTCTACATTTACCCTTTCTAATTACCTTGCCAGGTTTCTCCTGGAATTATACCTTTTCCCTAGTGGTTATTTTTATGCAAGGAAACAGAATCACATTTCCCAGAAGATATTCCTTACCAGTTTCTAAATTCAATTTATGAGGTTAGTTCTGACTCATCACGTAGCGCTATTTATAATGTTTCCCAGTATTTAAGGGAACTGATTATTAAATTTGCTGTGCTATTTTATTGCAAGCTGCTTTATCCTTGAGCTTTTCTTATAGTTAGAACTGTACATTACATGACCATGGCAGATCTATTTGCAAATACAATCCTTGGCAAGACCATGTTTTCACCCGGGGGAGTTCTATAATTAGAGTCCACCATAGCACACCTCCAAGTCCAACTCAGTTCCAGAAAGTGTGGGTTTCGCCCCTGAGTCCATGAGTCATTTCCTGACCTTCAGGTCATGTCATGCTTAATTGGATTGGTTATTTTTGGAGAACAAATGCTATTTGTTTTTTAAAAAAGAACAAGGTAGGCACAGGTCCGCTGATCAGAGAGGATGGTGTGATGTTGACAAGAGTTAACGGGAAGTAGAGCAACATCTTCCACCCTTTCCAAGGTGGAAACAGATGCATCTGTAAGCAGGAGTAATGAATGTCTCTACTTTGCCAGTTCAGCACCTGAACTTCCCTTTCCAGTGTTGGGGGTACCTGCCATTGTATGAATCTTGGCAAGAGATAGATCTTACCTCCCACTGCAGAATCCAGAAGGTCACTCACCCTGACTCCCAGCAGCCTAACTTCAGGCACGGGATGACCAAAACTATGCTCCTGCTCGACTCTTCAGTAGGTGATACAAAGGAGCGGGCCAGTTCAACACCATTTGTCTGGTGGCGTGATGGCAGCATAGTGGCAATGGCCGTGGTGACTCTGAATTGAGAGTAGACTTGTGAACTGTTTGTCAAGGTGAGGGAAGTCAGTTTGTCTTTAAGGAACTACTGAATGTCTTGGACACAAGCAGTGCCAACATCATGGGGAGAACCTAAAGTTTAGACTCTTGGTTCCCTCTGAATAAGACACCAGCTAAACAACATGCCAGTCTCTGTTGTTTCAGAAGAGACCAAAATAAATGGAAGCGAGTGCCTTTCAATTGCTATAAGACCAGCCCCGGAAGACCTCCCTGCTCCCGTCACCATATCTAACCTCACCTCCTATCACTTCCCCCTACTCCCATGTCACTCCTTTTCGTTCCTATCCACGATTCATATTCCTGTTACAGGACCTTGGCACATGCTCTTCCTTCTCGTGGAATGCTCTTTCCCCAGTTCTCATGAGGGTTTTTCACATGTTTCACATCCGGTCCATGCAGAAGTCCCCCGCCTGGAGAGCCTTCCCCAATTCCCTTACTGAAATGTGCCCACCCCACTGAGCACACACCTGCTTTGCCACTCTCCATCTCCGCTTCCCATTATTTTTCTCCCTGGCACTTATCACTGCCTGACATGATATGCTTATGTGCTAAGTGTCTGCCATCCCCTGGAAGAATGTTCTAAGATTTTCCATGAACTCTCTGCTTGCTTTCTAATCTGAAACTGCCATTTCCTCTCATTGCAAGAGGCATTCTTCCTTTTGCGGCCTGAGAGCAGTGGGTATTAGTTATATTTTCCCCTTTGATCCTTATTCTGGACAGTCAAAACTGATCCTTGTTTTCTCAAACCCATTGCCAAGTGATGGGAGCCCGAATGCCCTTTCCTTTTTAATAGTTACTTGAATAAAGTGACCGTGTCATAAATAATAGCACCAGCCGGTTGATTGCTGCTGCTTCCGGAAACGTTAGAGGCCTGCTTTCAGGAAACGAAGGCATTATTTATTTTCATGTCCTATTTTTATGCCCAGCAAACTGCTTGCAAAAAACAAAAAACAAAAAACAAAACAGGTACCTAAAATATTTTTGTAAAATGACTGAGCTTCCTTGAGCCTTGATTAGTCATAATTTTTTTTTTCTTAGGGGTTGGGACAAACAGAAGGATCTTGAGCTATTAATTACCCAGAAGTAAGATCCTCTTTTTCTTTTTTATTTAGGTAGTATTTTTAAACCATCGTAAGTGGTTTTTATTCCTAATGATTAAAATGTGGAGGTGGGTTCTGCTCATTATATTTTTTCTCCACTTGAAAAAAGATGAAGTATTTAATGCTGAATTCTAAAAGCAATGTCATTCTTACTTTCAGTGACTACATGACATCAGCAACTAACCCGGGAATAAATCCAAGTTTCAGAGATTTTTCTGTTTAATCATTCATACAGACTTCCCTTGGTATTGGCAGTGGAAAAGTTCCAGAACCACTTCCTGTGGATACCAAAATCCACTGATATTCCTGGATATAAAATGGTCTAGTATTTGCATATAATCTACATTCCCCTCTATACTTTAAATCATCTCTACAGTACGTACAACACCTAATACGATATAAGAACTTGTTACACTATATTGTTTTATTTGTATTTTTAAAAGTTGTTTTTTTTTTTCCCCTCTGAATCTTCTTTCCACCATTGATTCAAACTGTGGATTTGAAACCAGCAGACTGCATTCAAATTATCTAAACCTCTAGTTTTTTCAATCCCCTCTCTCACCCTTTTCTAAGGTAGAAAGATGGTTAAGCAAAACAAAACCCAAAAAGCAACTTGGCAGTGGGAGCTCTAATGCTAACAAACATTTATTTAGGACTCGGGATTCTATAAATGTTTCTGTATCATGAGCTTTAAGTTCATACTACAATGCAACTGTGTGAAGTAGGCTGAGTTCATAATTTTACAGATAGGGAAATTGAACCTGCTTCTGTAAGAGCCAGGACTTAAACCCTGGTTTCTGGCACCAAATTCGGTTTCCTTCTTCCTACAAGTTGTTGATTTATCTACATATTCCAAGTTGGATGCTTTCATTTTTACATGGAAATTTCATTGTCTACTTCAATTAGACAACACTTTCAGAGGTGTTTAATAATAACCAACACATTAATGGTAAAAAAAAAAAATCCTTTTTGTATTTTTGTTTGTTTTTTGTAGAGATGGGGTTTCGCCATGTTGCCCAGGCTGGTCTTGAACTCCTGAGCTCAAAGAAATCTGCTTGCTTCGGCCTCCCAGAGTGCTGGGATTAGAGGCATGAGCCACTGTGCCCGGCTGAAAATACTTTTGAAGGTAGATGCAGAGGATTTCAAAGTTAGAGACCTGAGAGGTAATTTGTACAAGGCTTGAATCTCTCTAATGCCTTCATGCGTGGTCAACAAACAGCTGAGCACCTCCAAGGCTGGAGACCGTGATGTCATTTGAAAGAGCCCCAGTTCATCTTTGAGTTAGTTTTGACTACTAGAAAATTATTTGTTTTAAAGCTGCCCCTTTGTAACTTGGATCAAAATTATCTGTTTTATTTTTTTTCAGGGAACTATTTACCTGAGAGTGTGTTAACTATTTCAGCTTGTGTGCCTTAATGTTTTTTTCTTTAAGCCAATAACAAAAAAATCCTAAATTGCCACAGTACCTACTGTTTATTAAGGGTCTACAAAAGGTCAGATACTGTAATGTCCCCTTGTAGATACATTATCAGGATATCTGGTATATACATTATCTGCCAGGTATGTAAGTGGGCATTTAGAATATAAGGACAATACGTAGTATTTCTTGAGTATTTATAATAGGCCAGGAACTCTTTCAGTACCTTTTTTTTTTTTGAGGCAGGGTCTTGCTCTGTTGTCCAGGCTGGTGTGCCATAGCACAAATGCAGCTCACTGCACCCTCGACCTCCTGGCCTCAGGCAATCATCCCACCTCAGCCTCCCGAGTAGCTGGGACTACAGGTGTGTGCCCCTATGCTTGGCTAATTTTATAAATGTTTGGTAGAGACAGGGGTTTCACCATGTTGCCCAGGCTGGTTGACCTCCTGCGCTCAAGTGATCCTCCTGCTCAGCCTCCCAAAGGGCTGGGATTATAGACATGAGCCACTACACCCAGCCTCTTTCAGTACTTTTAAAATTTATTTTTATTTTTTTAGACATAGGATCTTGCTCTGATGTGCAGGCTGGAGTGCAGTTGTGTAATCATAGCTCACTGTAACCTCTAACTCCAGGACTCACGCAATCCTCCTGCCTTGGCCTCCCAAAGTGCTGGGATGGCAGGAATGAGCCACCACACTTGGCCTTCTTTTAATACTTCATATTAAATTTCATAATTCCAAGGTGTAGAGACTATAATTATCTTCATTTTCAAGATAAGATAAATGAGACTGCACAATTGCTCTAGGTCACACAGCCAGTAAGGAACAGCTTTGGCTCTTAATCACTACCCAGAAGGCCTGAGAATATTCCAGGATGATTAAAAGAGCACAGTGCCTGCCCTCCTGGAGCTTCCAGTCTATAAGAGAAAAGGAGACAGAAATAGATACCTTCAAAGTGAGGAGGTAAAGGGAGTGTGCAAAGCAATTAGGCAGCAGAGGGAACAGGCTACTCTCATAGCCTACTCTCAGGAAGCCCAGAAGGGCTTCCTGGAAGAGCCAACACCTACTTAGAAGAATAAGTAGGAATAGATGAGGATGCCCAGCAGAAGGGGAGCTGGGGGAAGGTTGCTCCAGACAGAGGGCAGGGCACGAACAAAGGAACAGAAGTCAGAGTCGGCGGGGTGTGTGCATAGAAAGGGGTGGTCTGGGATGCTAGAATAGAAGATGCTCTGAAGCCAACTGGCAGCAGGAAGCACAACTGAGTCACGGCCACCCACAAGTGCAGATGTGTTCCAGCAGTGTAAACAAGATCTACAGAAATTGCTTCCCATTTTAAATGGAGATATGGAAGTTACTATTTAAAGCAAGCCTTTCTGGAAAAAGAATATTTACACCGTGAGAAATCCAGATCGACACATTTTATGTTTTCTCAAAGTAGTTGTGTACCATTCCCATGGTCCTTCATCAGCGTCTGACTTCCCAGGATGTGTTTTCGAAACTCCCACATGTGGATGTGTGTGCATATTTGTCCTACTGCAACAACTTCCTTCCCACGGGGCAGTTCAACATTCCCACGCTGATACCACTCTGGAAGTCCAGCACACGCTTTGGCAGATGTATACCCTATGCAGACTATCACGGAGAAGCCCTTCTTTATCATTCATCCAAATGTTTTACGAGCTCATCATCCTTCTTGGACAAAAGCCAAATATTGCCACTTAACATAGTCACTATATTTTTGAAACCCAGAGACGTACTCCAGGCCATCTAGCTAGAGAAAATCCAGCATTATCCATGTTAACTGGAAATGTTAACCTGCATAACTAAAGGAAGCCAGGTGGTCAGCAGCCCCCACATCCACAGTGCTGTGTTACTCAACAATAACAAGTTGTATATAAATTGGTTTCCATGGTTTGTTCATCTCGGCCGCTTTGCAGGTGGCTGGGAGACGCAGCTTGTCTCTCCGCCTGTTAAGGAGCGAGCATGTCCCATTTACCCGCGACATATTATACACCAGTGTTTCATAAATATCAGGCTGTTTGTCAAAGACGTGAGGCTTATCCTAACAGGTTAGGAGACAATGATGAGCCTGACTCTACTATTTTGCCTGCTGTCTTTTCAATTTCCTTTTGTTTTTCCTGCAAGAAACATCTCTCTGAAGTGCGTGCAAGATACTGATGAATTCCTTTCCGATCTGAATTCAGTGAAGCCCAAAGAATACGCTCTAAGAAGTAAGTAGGTTTCCCTGGCCCATTGTGTAGGTGAACACGTGTAGGTGAACACAGGGCAGTGGAGGTTTGTGCTGGGAGCATTCTAGACAAACTCTTGAGAATTAAAGACACAGAACCAGAAAGGAAAGAGAAGATGAGCCTTAATTTGCATTTTGCCAGGAATCAAAGAGGGAGGAGAATTTTTAGCGTAGGAGGCTCTACCGTCAGTCTAGCCAGAAGAATCTCACGAAGACCAACCTCTTAAGATGAGAGGCCGGGTACGGGGGCTCACATCTGTAATCCCAGCACTTTGGGAGGCCAAGGTGGGTGGATCACTTGAGGTCAGAAGTTCGAGACCTGCCTAGAGAACATGGTAAAACCCCGTCTCTACTACAAATACAAAAATCAGCCAGGTGCGGTGGT
Organism: Homo sapiens; assembly: GCF_000001405.40. Lineage (NCBI taxonomy): Eukaryota > Metazoa > Chordata > Mammalia > Primates > Hominidae > Homo > Homo sapiens. The sequence continues at coordinate 58,997,287 of NC_000018.10, forward strand.
GCACGCCTCTACTCCCAGCTACTTGGGAGGCTGAAGCAGGAGAATCACTTGAACCTGGGAGGCGGAGGTTGCAGTGAGCAGAGATCATGCCAGCCTGGGCAACAGAGCGTGACTTCTTCTCAAAAAAGAAAAAGATGAGAATAGTTTATATACTGTATGATGCTGATTATTATTAACATCATTGATGTCATCAATATGGATAACATTTCACTGTTATATGAGATATCTTGGGTTTTTTTTTTTTTTTTTGAGATGGAGTCTCACTCTGTCACCCAGGCTGGAGTGCAATGGTACGATCTTGGCTCACTGTAACTTCGACCTTCTGGGTTCAAATGATTTTCCTGCCTCAGCCTCCTGAGTAGCTGGGATTATAGGTGCCCGCCACCATGCCTGGCTAATTTTTGTATTTTTATTTTCACCATGTTGGTCAGGCTGGTCTCGAACTCCTGACCTCATGATCCGCCCACCTTGACCTCCCAAAGCGCTGGGATTACAGGCGTGAGCCACTGCCCCCGGCTGGCTTCTTTTTCTAGACATTTAGTTTGCTTTTAGTAATGAGTTGCTTCCTTATTTGGGGAAAAAGTCTTGCCCATTCTGTGCTTGATAGTAAATGCTAAGGAGTGTGTTGGTAAATGCACGGGCTCAAGCTGGAAGGAGTGAGACTGTAGCCACGCCTCTTGGCATGTGATATAGATGGACTTCGGATGGTCAGAAGTTTATTATTAGTATTTCCCAAAATCATTCCCACAACTAAAGAGACACATACTTTCCTGCCGGAAAGGGACAAAAAAATCAGATGTGTTTTCATTGGGGTAACCTCTTTTTCAGAAGAATGATTCATAGTTGATGCTGATGGAAACCACTAACAAGGAAAAATGTAAAAACTTGCTTTTTCCAAAGCCAGACAAATGAACATAGCAATTTCCATTCACATTTTGAATGCATGACTAATGTACTTTGTATTGAAAAATGCTTAGTAGCATAATATCCATCATAAAGGTAATCAAAAGCTTTCATCTGATATTTTGTAATTCAAAATAGCACATAATTTGAAGCAGTTGCCATTCTACATGGGATTAGATGTCTGGATACTTAATGAAATAGCGAGAGAATACAAATCCAATTGATTTACTAGCCATCTTCTTCAAGTCCCATTTTGAAATTGATTGTGTTTTGCTACAACACTTGGTGATGTTGACAGGGAACATTCTGACAAACTGGGGCCAAATAAGCGGGCCAAGAAAATCCAGAAGGTGCCATGGCTGGCTCAGATTCCTGGTGATGAGGTGGTGGCACATATTGTCATCATTAGTCACAGCCATGTTAATGCTATATTTGCCTTGTAAGTTGCTCTAGTCATGCACTAACCTTGTTCCATCTGTAGGAGCCTGAAAATTGAAAATCTTGTAAGTTAAAAAGATACCTCCAAGATAAATGGTTTGGGAAAGAATTGAATGATTTATCTAAGTGGATAGATGACTTAATTTATTTTAACAGATGAATACAATAATCGGTAGTTTTTTAAACTGATTTTCATTCTAATGTACCGGAAAATACTTGGCGTTGTTGCTCTGACATTTCGCCTGAGATTTTTGAGCACAGCATGTCGTTCTGACCTTAGTTCTCAGCTTGGTTTTCCTGGCAGTCATGCAGATGGAAAAAGAATAAGAGTCACTGGTGAGAGTACTTTTATACGGCAGGCATCATTCCGAGGCTTGGACGGGAGCGGTGCCATTTAGTTCTAGCAGCCACTATGCGGGGGAGGACAGTGTTAGTATCATCTCTTTTATAAAAGAGGAAATGGAGCCACAGAAATGCAAAGTATCCTGCCTGCAGTGGTAGAAATAGGATTTGAGCTCACATCGTCCGATTCCTGAGTCTGCACTTTTAATTGTTGAATAAAATAAGCAACAACAGGGCTGGGTACGGTGGCTCACGCCTGTAACCCCAGCACTTTGGGAAGCTGAGGCAAGCGGATTGCTTGAGCTCAGGAGTTTGAGACCAGCCTGGCCAACATGATGAAACCCCGTCTCTACTAAAAATTGAAAAGTTAGCCTGGTGTGGTGGCACATACCTGTAGTCCCAGCTGCTCAGGAGGCTGAGGTGGGAGGATCACTTGAGCATGGGAGGCGGAGGTTGCAGAGACCCGAGATTGCTCCACTGCACTCCAGCCTGGGTGACAGAGCAAGACTCTGTCTCACAAAAAAAAAAAAACACAAAAAATAAATAAATAAAATAAGCCACAACAAGAGAAACAAGAACAACAGAATAAAACCCAATAGCAAGAAGAGTGAAGCAGAGCTACACATATCAATATGGAAGGATCGCATGGAAATAACATCAAGAAGAAAAAAACAAGCTGTAGAAAGTTATATACATATATAAGTTTAAACAAATGCAATTTAAGATGCTATCTTGCTCTATGTGGTTCTACATACGTAGGTCAAATGTTCAGAAATGCATGAGAATGATAACCTCCAAATTCAGTCCAGGGCTAGCCTTGGTGGGGATGCAATTAGGAACACACATTTCAAATGATTGGTCAAGTTTTACTTTTTAAGCTGGGTGGTGGGAACATAGGCATTTGTTTTATTGTTTATGCCTTTTTAATGTATTAAATATCACACAATAGCTTTTTTTTTTTTTTTTTTTTTTTTTTTGAGACAGTTTCACTCGTCACCCAGGCTGGAGTGCAATGGTGCGATCTCTGCGCCTCTGCCTCCGGGATTCAAGCAATTCTCCTGTCTCAGCATCCCAAGTAGCTGGGATTACAGGCATGCGCCACCACACCTGGCTAATTTTTGCAATTTTAGTAGCGACGGGGTTTCGCCATGTTGGCCAGTCTGGTCTCGAACTCCTGACCTCAAGAGATCTGCCCGCCTCGGCCTCCTGAAGTGCTAGGATTACAGGCGTGAAACACCACTCCCAGCTTCATGATGGCATTTTTAAATGCCACCTCCAATCCCCAAACACAAAGATGGTGGCAGGCATGGGCTATACAGGAGCTTGGATAATCGGCCAGGGCCTGAGGAATAAGGTAGAGAGAGAGTCCTTGAGTCATGGCTGTTCTAGAACAGGAGAGAGACTGATATTTAGAGAGACTCAATCCAGCAGTGGGCAAGATGGATTAAAAGGGGCAGCCATGGTAGGAAACACTGTAGTAATCTAACTCCAAAAGGAGGCTCCGTTTCAATCTTTCCACCATCTTTTTCCATTTGCTTTCTAACATTCTCATGTCCACCATCCTTACAGAAACAAAATCCACGAAGTACTTTTGTGTGCTTTGGTTTTGCCACCCTCCAAGGATCTTGGGATTTTTATTTTATGTCTCTTTTCGCTGCTGAAGTCCTTAGCGAGTGTTCTGGACTCACTGTTTCTGGTTTTGTTGCTGCTGTTTTAAACTCCATAAACCTCAGAAGTCCTACATTCAACTTCTTATCACGTACAAAAACCACATCCAGGCCAGGCACAGTGGTTTATGCCTGTAATCCCAGAACTTTGGGAGGCCCAGGCAGGCAGATCACCTGAGGTCAGGAATTCAAGAGCAGCCTGGCCAACATCGTGAAGTCCCATCTTTACTAAAAATACAAAAATTATCTGGGCATGGTGGCAGGCACCTGTAATCCCGGCTACTCAGGAGGCTGAAGCAGGAGAGTTGCTTGAACCCAGGAGGCAGAGGTTGCAGTGAGCTGAGATCACTCCATTGCACTCCATCCTGGGTGACAAGAGCTAAACTCCATCTCAAAAACAAAACAACACAACAAAAACCACATCCAGAAAGATCACTGGTATCCTCTCTCCTGGTTATTGTTAAATGTTCTTTCTCCTTAATGTCTACAAAGAGTCAAACTCTGTAAAATACTTGAAGAGATTTATTCTGAGCCAAAATGAGTGACTGATGTCCTGTGACACAGCCCCAGGAGATCCTGAGAACATATGCCCAGGTGGTCAGACTTCAGGTTAGTACATTTTAGGGAGATACGAGACATCAGTCAATCCAGGTAAGATGTGTATTGGTTGGTCTGAAAAGGTGGGACAACTGGAAGGGGGTGGGGTGGCTTCTAGGTCATAGGTGGATTCAAAGCTTTTCCTATTGGCAATTGGTTGAAAGAGTTTATCTAAAGACCTGGAATCCATAGAAGGAAGTGTGTGGGTTACGTTAAGGGATTATGGAGACCTAGGTTATTATGCAGATGAAGCCTCCAGGTAACAAGCTTCAGAGACAATAGGTTGTCAATGTCTCTTATCAGACTTAAGTCTGTTCTATCAGTCTTACGTTAACACTGGCCGGTTGTGCCTGAATTCTGAAAGGGAGGAGGGCATAATGAGGGATGTCCCCCCTCCCTTCCCATTGTGGCCTGAACTAGTTTTTCAGGTTGACTTTGGAATGCCCTTGGCTGAAAGGAAGGGTGCATTCAGATGGTTGGGGGTCTTAGAATCATATTTTTGTTTACATTAACCACCATGGAATGAGCTGCCCTTCCTCTTTCTTCATACTTATCTATTTCTATTGTAATTCTGGGTCGGGTCCCCTGTCTGGGCTGTCCTTCTATGCTGATAATTGGTCTCTTTTCTCCTTCTCTTTCTCTCTCTGCCTGACCCCCTGAACCTTCCCACAGGCACTTTGTTCCTTTCCTCATTGTACTTCTCTTGTAAACGAATCCAGGTTTAGAGACAGGATACTAAGCAGTGGAAATTGTGCTAGGCTGGCAATGGTAAGGCCTGGGACCGCCTCCTGCTTAGGCCAATCACCAGCTGTGTGGCCACATCATCTTGCTTAACACTTCACCTTTAACAAGGTTCCTCACCTGTAAATGGCCAGGCTGTGTCCTCAATTCTGGAAATCTACAGCAACTTTAAGAAATTCCAACCAAACCCTCATGACACATAGTTTACCTATAACAAACCTGCACATATACCTAGAACCTAAAATTTAAAAAAGGAATTCCAACTCCTAAGCCCAGCAGTGTGCTACAGGTAGTCTGTGCTGGCTTGAGAGAGCCAATTGTTAAGTGTCAAGGTGGTTGTTAAATATATTTTTAGGGGCTAACTCATGCAAATTTACAATTAAATTTTATTAAGAACAACAGTAATAATTTTTTTGAGACAGAGTCACTCTGTCACCCAGGCTGGAGTACAGTGGGGCAATCTTGGCTCACTGCAGCCTCCCCCTCCTGGGTTCAAGCAATTCTCCTGCCTCAGCCTTCTGAGCAGCAGGGATTACAGGTGTGCGCTGCCATACCTGGCCAATGTTTATATTTTTAGTAGAGACGGGGTTTCACCAAGTTGGTCAGGCTGGTCTCAAAACTCCTGACTTCAGGTGATCTGCCCACCTTGGCCTCCCAAAGTGCTGGGATTACAGGTGTGAGCCACCATGCCCAGCCCAAAAGTAATAAATATTCAAAACTCATCACTTCCTAATTATTTTACTACATTAAAAAAAATCTATCTGTAGGTCAGGTGCAGTGGTTCATGCCTGTAATCCCAGTACTTTGGGAGGCTGAGGTGGGCGGATCACGAGGTCAAGAGATCGAGACTATCCTGGCCAACACGGTGAAACCCTGTCTCTACTAAAAATACAAAAGTTAGCCAGGCGTGGTAGCATGCTCCTGTAATCCCAGCTACTCGGGAGGCTGAGGCAGGAGAATCGCTTGAACCTGGGAGGCAGAGGTTGAAGTGAGCCAAAATCGCGCCACTGCACTCCAGCCTGGAGACAGAGAATCTGTCTCAAAAAAAAAAAAAAAGAAAAAAAAATCTATCTATATTGTTAATGCTATTTACAGCTCTCATGTCTGTATAGTGGAAGTCACTGCTATGCTACTGTGCACGGCCTTCTAAGTTCGTGTTCAGGGACGTCACCTTGAGAGCTGGGGGTCAGCCACGGGGGCTGTATCTTCATCAGGGAAGTCAGCAATTGCTACAAGTCAGGGCTTGATTTATTGTTTTATTGTCTAGACTGAGGAAATTAATGGATAAAATGTTGAGTGTAAATTAGAAGTGTGTAATGACTAACCATTACATTATGAATAGCACAAAAAGATAAGGAAGTATCTTCAGTACTCCGTTATAAAATTCAGCAAAAAATTTGCTCACATCATGGACAAATAAGTTCTGACATACATCTTCCTTGTTTCACATCTGTATTACTCATTAACTTGAAAATATCAACATTCATGTTGGGACAATACTTAGTCAGCTGAAACCATAGATTGGCTACAGATACAAGAGTTGGGCAAAAATCAATGAAAGTATTCCAAGAGAATCAATTCATTATATGTGGAATTGATACTAAGGACCTCATTATTATACTGTAGGCTTCATTATTTGTAATTTGTGTATGTTATGGGCTGAATTGTGTTTCCCTCAAATTTGTATGTTTAAGTCCCAGTATGTCAGGATGGGATTCTCTTTGGAGACAGGGTTTTTAAAGAGATAATTGGGCCAGACGCAGTGATTCACGCCTGAAATCCCAGCTCTTTGGGAGGCCGAGGTGGGCGGATTGCTTGAGCCCAGGAGTTCAAGACCAGCCTGGGCAACAAGGCGAAACTATCTCTACACAAAATACAAAAAATTAGCTGGGCATGGTGGCACATGCATGTAATCTCGGCTACCCAGGTGTCTAAGGTAGGAGGATCACCTGAGCCTGGGAGTTCGAGGCTACAGTGAGCTGTGATTATGGCACTGTAGTCCAGCCTGGGTGACAGAGTAAGACTCTGTCTCAAAAAAAAAAAAAAAAAAAAAAAAAGAGAGATTGATTATTAAGCCCAAATGAGATGAGTTGGGGTGGGGGTTGTTTTAATCAATAACTGGTACCCTTATAAGAAAAGGAGCTTGGGACATAGACATGCCTGGAGGAAAGACCACATGGGGACACAAGAAGGCGGTCTCCTAGAGGACAAGGAGAGAGGCCTCAGAAGCAGCCAACCCTGCCAGTGCCTTGATCTCAGGCATACAGCCTCCAGAACTGGGACAAATGAATTCCTGTTGTTTAAACCACCCCGTCTGTGGTACTTCATTATGGCAGCCCTAGCGAACGAATCCAATGTCCCGCATGGTTTTTATATCAGTGTAATCGATACTAATCCCCACCTGGTGAGTGTTATAGGTTGAATGTGTCTCCCCAAAAGATATGTTGAAACCATAACCCCCTGGTTCTTGTGAATGTTAAGTTACTTGGAAATAAGGTCTTTGCAGATATGTAAGAGGAGGTAATACTAGATTAGGGTACGCCCTAATCCCATTATTGGTGTCCTTATAAGAGGGAAATTTGGACACAGACACAGAGGGAGAACATTCCACAAGGATGGAGAAGAGATTGGGGTGATGCCTCCTGGCCTAGGGCTGCTGGCAACTTCTAGAAGCTAGGAGAGCATGGAACTGGTTCTTCCTTGGAGCCTCCGAAGGGAACCAATGCTGCTCAGCCCTTGATTTCAGATTTCTAGTCCCCAGAACTGTGAGATAATACATCTCTGTTGTTTTAAGCCACCCAGTTCATGGAAAATTCTGAAGACAGCACTAGCAAACTAATACAAAGAACTGTGTATTAAAGCCTCTCAAATGCACCCTAAAATCAAAAGCATGCATTTATCATCCAGAACGGGGGGAGGGGGGAGAGGAGGCGGGAAAGCAAAGCACTGTGTCTCAGGTAGGTCCAGGGACTCATTTTCCTTGAGACGTAGCAGAGCTTTTTTTTTTTTTTTTTTTTTTTTGAGGCATCTCATTCTGTTGCCAGGCTAGAGTGCAGTTGCATGGTCTCAGGTCACTGCAACCTCTACCTCACCAGTTCAAGTGATTCTCCTGCCTCAGCCTCCCAAGTAAGCTGGGACTACAGGTACACACAACCACACCTGGCTCATTTTTGTATTTTTTCTAGTAGAGGTGGGGTTTTGCCATGTTGGCCAGGCTGGTCTTGAACTCCTGACCTCAGGTGATCTGCCTGCCTTGGCCTCCCAGCGTGCTGGGATTACAGGTGTGAGCCACCGTGCCTCGCCCCAGAGCATTTTCTTAAAGTGCAATGGGCCCATGTGTGTCTACAGCAGAGGACTTGCCAGGGAAGCTACTGATGTGGAATTATAACTTTGCTGGGCAGATCCTGGCTCCTCCCCAGGCTTCATGTGATTGCTGCATTTTGCTGCACTTGATTCCTCTGGGACAGAATGAGGAGGGAGGAAGGGAGGCCTCTGGATCCCAAGCAGCCTGCAGGGCTTTTCATTTCCTGTTTCTCTAATCTCATCACATTCTTGAAATTGTCCCCAAGCAGCTACTTTTGCTCTGAGACTTTCTTAACCCTTCAAGTCCCTCTTCCCTGGTTCCTATACCAAGCCCTGATGGCCAGGGCACTGAGCTTCCTACTCGGGTCACTTGCTCCCTTTGGCTTCCTCGTTTCCCTCCCGGAATGCTTATTTCATGTTTCTTGTCCGTGTGCCTCACCTTCTTTCCTGGAAGCCAAGGCCACGGCTGATGCCTTGTCGGAGGCAGGGGTCTGCAGGCAGACACTGAATGGACCAGCACCCATCATGGGCCCCTGGCCGAGCCTGGTTCCCCTGTCACCAGGGCAGGTCTGGTCATCTTGATTTTCAGTCTCTGAATGTTGCCTCTTTTCCCACCCAGCTGTTAGTCTGGAGGGCATTTTACTCAAGGCCTGACCCTCTCCTGGTGCTAGAGCAAGGGACAGAAAAGATGCTGAAATGAAGCAAATGTTAAAATAAAGGGTGAAACTGGGCTTCACTGAAATTCCGGGTTCACTGGATACCAAATATCCATGCTGCAGTAGACTGAAACACAGTCCCCCAAAAGACATCCCAATTCCTGGAGCCTGTGAATGTTACCTTGTATGGAAACAGGGTCTTTGCAGGTATGATTAAATTAAGGATCTTAAAATGTGGGGGTTGTCCTGGGTTATCCAGGTGGGCCCTAAATGCAGCCCCATGTACCTTTAGAAGAGAGAGACGGGCCAGGCTCACGCTGGTAATCCCAGCACTTTGGGAGGCTGAGGCAGTTGGATCACTGAAGGTCAGGAGTTCGAAACCAGTCTGGCCAACATGATGAAACCTCGTCTCTACTATAAATACAAAAATTAGCCAGGCATGGTGGCAGGTGCTTGTAATCCCAGCTACTTGGGAGGCTGAGGCAGGAGAATTGCTTGAACCTGAGAGGTAGAGGTTGGCGTGAGCTGAGATGGTGCCACTGCACTCTAGCCTGGGTGACAGTGAGAATCTCAAAAAAAAAGGGAGACAGGAGGAAATATGCATCCACCACACAGGCACACGCAGATGATGTGACCACAGAGGCAGAGTCTGGAATGCTGTGGCCACAATCCAAGGGGAGCTGGCAGCTGGAGGAAGGAAAGAACAGATTCTTCCTGCAGCCTCCACAAGGAGTGCAGCCCTTGCTACTGCCTTGGTTTCAGTCCAGTCATATTTATTTGGGATTTCTGGTCTCCATAACTGTGAGAAAATAAATTTCCATTGTTTTAAGCCATGAAATCTGTGGTAATTGCTACAGTAGCCACAAGAAATTGATATGCATGCTATTCTTGTTCTTTTGGTCTAAGGTTAATAGCTGACCAGACACAAGGGGGACTGCCAGGAAGTGTCTGCTAAGAGCCTGTCTTGGGAACTAGGCTGTGAAATGGAGGGCACATTCAGCTCTTTCTTTTACCGCAAGGAAATCTCTGGCACCAGATAGTTAGCATTTTACTGTATGCCCTGTATCATCAACTATAAGGCAAGGACTATTCTCGTTTTTAAAAATCTCCAGTGTAACAGCAATCTGGTAGGTGCTCAATAAAAGCTTCAAGGTCATAATTCCTTTCAGGATTTGTTTCTGGCCTGGCATTCCAGAAGCTTCCACTGCTTTCAACTTCATGATGTCAATGCATCATATTTAAAAACTTAAGACTGTAGACCAAGGTCTCCTTTTTCCTCTATTCAAACCCAGAAATTAATCAGCTGTGCATTTTAATATCCACATTTCATTGCCACCAAGCGAGAAAGAAAATTTGCCTGCCAATTAGCACAGAATTGAAACAAGTTGTTTTTAATCTTTTGAAAATGAAACTTGGAACAACTGCCATATGATTTGACGTAGCAAGTGCGATTAATCATTCATTTATCCTATTTCTCCCTCCAATGACAATCAGAATGTATTTTGATTTGGAGGGTGCCTGTGCCCTGGCATCTCTTAGGTTCTTGACAGAAGCTAATTAAGGATTAGTTTGGAAAAGGGCAACTTGTCCATTTGAATTCATACTCAGAAAGGAAGCAAATGCAATTTGAAAATTTGCGTAGCAAATGATATGAGCTCAGCTAGACAATCACAAATGCAATCAGTTTAGAAAGCAAATACCAAGTGGAAAGAAAACAAGAATTTAATCTTCTCAAATGAAGAATGGGATATTCTTCATGTGCCCTTCAGGATTTACCTAAGGAGGGAGACAGCCTCAGTTTTGACATCTCTTTTGTCTCCTTCAAAGTTTATGGTTCCAGACCCTTTCTTACACTTTAGGCTACAGAGTTGGGGCTACTCTGTGACGGAATAGGGGATTTGAAAATCATTTAGTGTGTTACAGGCCGGGCATGGTGGCTCATGCCTGTAACCCCAGCACTTTGAGAGGCCGAGGCAGGTGGATCATTTGAGGTCAGGAGTTTGACACCAGCCTGGCCAAGATGGTGAAACCTCATCTCTACTAAAAATACAAAAATTAACTGGATGTGGTGGTGCACGTCTGTAATCCCAGCTACTTGGGAGGCTGAAGCACGAGAGTCGCTTGAACCCAGGAAGTGGAGGCTGCAGTGAGCCCAGATGGTGCCACTGCACTCCAGCCTGGGTGACAAGATTCTGTCTCAAAAAAAAAAAAAAAAATTTAGTCTGTTACAGTAAATGCACCCAGTTTTTTTTTTGTTATTGTTTTGTTTTCCTGACACAAGGAGGACTTCAAAATGTCTCTGTGGAGCTGGATTTTGGGCATTTGAAGTTAGATTTTTTTAAGTTTAATTTGATTCAGCAAATGTTCACTGAGCTCCTGCCCTGAGAGATACATGAAGACATAGCGCCTCCTCCCTCCCCTCACCATGGGAGACAGACAGGTACACAATGACAACATACCTTTAAATGTGATATGTAAGCAAGAATCTGGAATGCTTCTTAGGGAAGAACATCCTTCAGCCTAGACTTAAAGGATGACTCAACATTTGCCAGGCAGATGGAAAGGAGGAACATTCCAAGCTTAAAGACAGTGTCGCCTGGTGCGTTCTGTATCTCGGAGCAGAGGAAATGAGCGTGGGTTGGGAGGACGAGACCAGAGGGGCAAGCCAGGTTACGAAGGGCCTTTTAAACCACACTCAGGAGTCTGGAATTAATCCTAAAAGTCAGAGCAGGCAAGCCTGGCTGCTCATTAAAATCACCTGGGACATTTTGAAAAACAATTAAAGCTCAAGCCTCACCCCTGACCAATTAAGTCATTCTTTGCGGGGGTGGAGCCTGGGCGTGAGTTTTTTTTTTTTTTTTTTTTTTTTAACGTCTCAGGTGATTTGAATGCCTACTAGAATTCCCACCAGAGCTGAGAATCACAGCCCTAGCTAACCGGTCTGCAAAGTTTTTCCCTAAAGGGCCTGATAGGGTCTCTCTTACAGCTACTCCACCCTGCCATTTTGTGCGAGAGCAGCCCTGACAATATGTAAACGAATGAGCAAGGCCATATTAAAAATAAACTTTTCTTAAAAGACAAGCAGGGTTATAGTTGGCCAACCCCTACTCTAGATGATGGGACGCCATTAAGAATTTAAGAAGTATATTGATTCAAAATTTTTTACAGATTATTACATGAATAATACATGAATTTGTTCACACTGTAAATGAATCTAAATAATGCAGACAAAGTTCAAGGCCTTTTTATTCCCTCATTCAAATACCAATCCCTTTCCTAGATGATAAGTGTTATCAATGAGGTATAAATTTTTCTAGAATTTTCTCCTTCCTCTTTTTGGTATGTACTAGAAAGACATAATTTTGTTTTGTAAGTTTAAAAAATATATTTATTGTTTTTGCCAGGCACGGTGGCCTGTAATCCGGCACTTTGGGAGGCCAAGGTGGGAGGATCACTTGAGTCCGGGAGTTCGAGATCAGCCTGGGCAACATAATATATAGACCCTGTCTATACAAAAATTAAAAAACAAAATTAGCTGGGTATAGTGGTGTGTGCCTGTAGTCGTAGCGACTCAGGAGGCTGAGGTGGAAGGATCGCTTAAGCCTGGGAGGTCAAGGCTGTAGTGAGCTGAGATCATACCACTGCACTCTAGCCTGGGTGACAGAGTAATGTTCTCTCTCTCTCTATATATATATATGTATATATGTGTGTGTGTATATATATGTATATATATGTGTGTATATGTGTATATATGTGTGTATATATGTACACATATATGTATATATACATATATACACACATATATATACACACACATATATATATGTAGGACACAGTCTGTGTCCAATTCTTTTTGCCATTACAAGAATTACTGCCACAAGCATCTTGCAATGTGTGCTCATGTGTGTATCCCTGGGGCAGATTCTGAGATGTTGACTTGCTGGGTCACTGTGCCTAGCAGTTAGAAAGGAGTCTTTGGTTAAACCCCAGACACTGACTCTGGCAAACTTCAACATAAAAGAAAGCTATTGGCGGAGTATGGGGCAGCTCAGAGGAGGGAGGGAAAGGCCAAAGACCTGCTTCCTGGCAGATGAGTGGAGCCCAAGCTTGGCTTTGGGCCCTGTCTAACTTCACTAAAGTCCTGGCAGAGGGTTGACCTTGTGTCACAGTGATGAGAAGTAAGGCTGGGTGTGGCTTCCAGGGATCCCTTTGGGCTCTGTAATGAGAGGACAGAGCACCTTGATTTTTTGGTCAAGATTGTGCACAGTTGGGGAGTGGTATTCTCTAAAAGAAAATCTAGTTGCTTACTAAGAAGAGAATGGCTTCTAGGAGACCAAAAAAATTTCTTCAGGCAGGGTGTGGTGGCTCACTCCTGTAATCCCAGCACTTTGGGAGGCTGAGGCAGGTGGATTACTTGAGCTCAGGAGTTCAAGACCAGCCTGAGCTACAAGGCAAAACCTCATTTTTATCAAAATAAAAAAAATAAAAATAAAAAAATTTCTTCATATTCTTACTGTCTTAGTTCATTTTCTGCTGCTATAACAGAATATGATAGACTGGGTAATTTATAAAGAAAAGAGATTTATTTTCTCACAGTTCTAGAGGCTGGGAAGTAGACTTCCCAGCATGGTGTTGGCATGGTGTTGGCATCTGGTAAGGGACTTTGTGCCGTGTTATCCCGCAGTGGAAGGTGGAAGGGTAAATGAGAGAGAAAGCATAAGGAACTAGGCTAGCTTTTATAATAACCCACTCTCTACACAAGTGACCCGGTCCTGCAATAATGACATTAGTCCATTATTAGGTCTCTTATTAGGCCTAATGAGCTCTTATTAGACCTCACCCTCCAATACTGGTACACTGGGGACTCAGTTTCCAACACATGAATTTTGGGGGAGACAGTCAAACCATGACACTCACCAACACTTAATTGGATTAACTTTAAAAATTTTAACCAATACAGTAGGTAGAAAAGAGTGGTATCTAATTGTCGTTCACTGGCAAGGCTGAACAGCTTTCTCATATTTATTAATCAGTTGGATTTCCTTCTCCAAGGGTTTCCTGTTCATATCTTTTGTGGATTTTAAATTAGTTTCTTTGACTTTTTAAAAATGTTTGCTTTGTGCCGGGTGCAGTGGCTTACGCCTGTAATCTCAGTACTTTGGGAGGCCGAGGCAGGTGGATCATGAAATCAGGAGTCTGGGACCAGCCTAGCCAACATGGTGAAACCCCATCTCTACTAAAAATATAAAAATTAGCTGGGTGTGGTGGTGCATGCCTGTAATCCCAGCAACTTGGGAGGCTGAGGCAGGAGAATTGCTTGAACCTGGGAGGTGGAGGTTGCAGTGAGCTGAGATCACATCACTGCACTCCAGCCTGGGCAACAGAGTGAGACCCCACCTCAAAAAAAAAAAAAAGTTTGCTTTGTAAGAGTTCTTTATATGTTCTGAATGCGATTCTTTATCTAAGCTATAAATATGGTGACTGTGTTCTCTCCTTATCTTTTAACTACGTTCTTGGTGCCTTGAAGAGTTTAAAGGAGGGGAGGGACATGGTCAGTCTTGTGATTCAGCTCAGTCTAGAAGATCACTGATGGCTATAAACGGCCAAGTTGGACACCAGCTCTAAAGTTCTGAGTGTGGTGAGAAACAAGGAGACTCAAACTCATTGGAAGAAAAATGGGAGGGTCGGTAATTCTCATTCCAGCAAAAACCTGGAATAATGAAAACCTATGGAAAAGAGGTCACTGATAACCAGCACCCACTGGCTGAGCCCAAGAGGTCTGATGCAGTGGAACTGGCCAAAGAAGAGGCGAGGGCTCCTGTCAAAAGCCAGTTAACCCGGTGAACTCAGCAAGTACCGTTTGTCAAGTTAGGACCAGGAGGTTTTCAAAATGACATATTCCTTTTTTTTTTTTTTTTTGAGACAGAGTCTCTCTCTCTCTCTCAGGCTTGAGTGCAGTGGTGTGATCATGGCTCACTGCTGCCTTGACCTTCCCTGGTGAGGTAATCTTCCCACCTCAGTCTCTCGAGTAGCTGGGACTACAGGTGCAAGCCACCACGCCTGGCTAATTTTTTGTACTTTTGTAGAGAGATGGGGTTTTGCCACATTGCCCAGAGTGGTCTTGAGCTTGTGGGCTCAAGCGATCCACCTGCCTCAGCCACCAAAAGTGCTGGGATTACAGGTGTGAGCCACCACACTCGGCCTATGTAGTTCCTTTTTTTTTTTTTTTTTTTTTAAAGCACACATGTAAGCAAAATGCAGTTCCTTCAACCTGATTTCCAGACTAAATCTCAGAAATCCAATTGCAGTAGTTAAGACAGAAATGCTGGAGGAGCTGGGTCATTTCACAAGCTCTATTGGGGTTTTCTCCTCACTCCTTCTAAGGATTACCATTATCTTTAGTTATGTCTAAGAATCTATATTCCAAACTGACAAGTAAAAACTGGGTCCTTGTGTCTATTTTAAAGAGTAAGAGGTTATGAATTCAGCTTAAACTGGGTTTGAATACACAGCTCTAATTCTTGCTAGCAAGTAAAAGGAGGTAGGTTTATGTTGTTGTGTATATTACTTATCATTTCTGAGCCTCAGTTTTCTCACTTCTACTACCCTTTACTGGTAATGTGACCTTGAGTGAATGACGTGACCTCCCTGTGCCTCAGTTTCCGTATCTGTAAAATGGGGACTATAATGATTACTTAGCTCATAACATTACACAGTTGTGTGAGGGTTAAATGAGACAATGGACAGAAAGCAACTCAAAACATGCCTGGCACACACTAGGGCCTACGTGTTAGTTGTTATTGTTACTGATGTCAAAACTGGGAGAAGCCTTTAGGGTCCTGAAGGCAGTCACCCGGTATGTATGGTGTGTGTGTGTCTGTGTGTCTGTGTGTGCATTTGTATGTGTGCAAGTGGTACTGCCTACACAGTGGTCCTCAAAGTGGTTCCTAATCAGCAGCATCTGTATCACATGAGAATTTGATAAAACACAAGCTCAGGCACATGTTATACCTACTGAATCAGAAACTCTGGTTGTGGGGCCCAGCATTCTGTGTTTTACCAAGCCTGCAGGGACACTGAAGCATGCTAGCCTGTGAAAACCGCAGGCCACCATTGCCCCTGAGAAAGAAATCCACAGTAGCAGCCAGGGTAGCCTCTGTCTGAAGCATTCGCGGCAGGGCAGGGCTCTGATCCCACCCTCCTGCCCCTTCTCCCGCCTCCCTGGGGTTAGGGGCTGACCAATATTCCTGGTCATTCACTCATTCACCCTTCTGCCCTCTGCCTTCTGCCCTCTTTCTTCCCTAAGAAGCTGGGGGATCACAGTCACAGGAGATTATGTCTTCTCAGTGCTGCTTCTTTCAAATAATTTGAGGGAAAATTCCAGACTGAGAGAGTTGCTTGGTAGGGCTGGAATTGCGGCTGATTCTGTGTGCCAGGGTTTTCTGCCCTGAGGGTCATGCTGTCTTCTCTACACTCTTTAAATTTCTGAGGTGGCACACACTCTGGGGGTTGGGCTGTCACATGTTCTTGAACACATACACTTCACCAGACAGAGTGTAAGAATGCACAAGCAAAAACCTCCAAATCCTTGAGGAGCAGGCACATAAAAGAGGGACATTGAATTGAATAAACATATGTACTATGGGAAGCTGAATGATTGGAACAGGTGGGTCATCAGGAATTTTAAAAAGCACAATAAATATAATCAGAGATAAGGGAGAATATGACTGATACAAAGCACGAAAACACAATCAGGAAAAGTCAAGAGGAACAGTTGAAATCAAAACAAAATTGATGGGATAGATAGTAAGATGGACAGAGGCCAAGAAAAATTAGTGAGCTGGAAGATCAGTTTGAAGATCTCTCAAAGCAGTGCAGAAAAGGATAAAGAGACATGAAGGTAAAAGAAAAACCAAAGAATATTGAGGCTAAAGGTGCCAACAGTTGGATAATAGAAACCAAAAGGAGAAATGTAACAAAGCAAACGGAAGGAAGGCAATATTTGAACGCATAATGACAATACTTTCTCTGGAATTAAAGGAAGATTAAAAATATCAGATTGAAAGGGTTTACAGGATGCTAAAACAAATAAAGAAAATTTACACTTGAGTACATGTCAGTAGAGATAAAATTAAGAATATTAAAAGCAATGAGGAAATCCTAAAAATTTCTGGAGAGAACAGCAATCAGATTGACATCAGACTTCAAAATGACAGAAGAAAAGCTGAAAGAGAAACCTTCTCTGTATGGAAACTAAATATTATATTACCAGCTAACTCTTTGTAAAAAAAAAAGAAAGTGTACTGGAAAGTTGCACACACACACACACACACACACACACACACACACACACACACACAAACACTTAGAGCTGAATGATAATGAAAACACCAGAGGTCAAAATTTAGATACAGATATAGCAGTACTTAGAGGGAAATTCCTAGCTCTCAATACATGTTATAAGGACACAAGGAAGGTTGAAAACATGAGCTAAGCAATCAACTCCATAAATTTATAAAAGATAGATCAATCTCAAAGAAACAATAAGGACATAATAAAAATAAGGTCAGACCAGCCTGGCCAACACAGTAAAACCCCGTCTCTACTAAAAACACAAAAATTAGCTGGGCATGGTGGCAGGTGCCTGTAATCCCAGCTACTCAGGAGGCTGAGGCAGGAGAATCACTTGAACCCAGGAGGCAGAGGTTGCAGTGAGCCGAGATGGTGCCACTGCACTCAAGTCTGGGCAACAGACTGAGACTCCATCTCAAAAAAAAAAAAAAAAAAAAAAAAAAGTCAGAAATGAATGAGACAGAAAAGAAACAAACCCATAAAGAATACCAAAATTAGCAAAACCAAAAGCTGATTGTTAGAGTCCTCAAGCAATAGTGAAGGAGGACAAGTGAGAAAAGATAGAAATAAAAACTGAAGAATGAAAAAGGAGTAAATATAGATACAACAAAGAATAAAAAATTATAAATGAATATTTGGAAAGCAAGACAAAACAAATAAATTAAAAATTTTTTGAATGATTCAAAAAGAAATAGAAAAATGGAAAACTATTAAGCATTTAAAAAATGGAAATTAAGACCTTTCTTCTCACTGAATTATAGACTATGATGGTTGAAACAGTTCCATTCTACCCAACTTCTTACAATATACAATCTCAGTTGTTCCAGCAAACTTCAAAAGTGTGAAAGTTGTCCATCTCACTTTACTTTTTTAAACCTTTTTATTTTAAATAATTATAGCTTCACAGGAAGTTGCAAGACTAGTTCAGCAATGTATCAGTTGTACCCATGGGATTTTAATTTATGGAAGTGACTTAGCATCTCCATTGAAAGGACAATGCCATTGAAAGATGATTTTTAGGCTGGGCATGGTGGCTCACGCTTGTAATCTCAGCACTTTGGGAGGCCCAGGCGGGAGGATCATGAGGTCAGGAGTTCAAGGCCAGCCCAGCCAACATGGTGAAACCCCATCTCTGCTAAAAATACAGAAAAATTAGCTGGGCGTGGTGGTGGGTGCCTGTAATCCCAGCTACTCGGGTGGCTGAAGCACAGACTTGCTTGAACCTGGGAGGCAGAGGTTACAGTGAGCTGAGATCGCACCGCTGCACTCCAGCCTGGGTGACAGAGTGAGACTCCGTCTCCAAAAAAAAAAAAAGATGACTTTTGGTACTTGCATTTCCTGGAAGGAGGGGCCTGCCATGCCACACAGAGCCACCTGGGGAAGCATATGGTTGGCCAGGAGGCAGGAGGGTGAAGGAGAAGCATAGGTCACTGCCTTTGTCAGGGTTTCTGCAGGGAAGCCAGGCAGAGCAGGGTGAACAGTGCAGGACTGCCTGGTTTGAATACCGTAGGTGGCCTCTGGGTAACATGGGTGATCTCAGATTGTCTGGCACCTGGCCCTGGGGTGCTTTAGGGCAGAGGAACATTGACTTGGTGTGTGAGAGTTTGATAAAGGCGATAGCTGGGGTCATGGGCTCTGGATTGATTCATTTGCATGTTAATGGTATGCTCCTAGGATAAGCCTTTGCTCCTTCTAAGAATTGGGTAGCCATGGGAGGGGCAGTCTCTTCTCAGTCAGCAAGGCCACAGATATCAGAGCTTGACAAATACAGAAAATAAGAAAATGTAGTTAACACAATTGAGTGATGAATGAGTGAATGCCAAATAGACAAATACAAAATCTATGAAAACACAGATCAAGAAGGGTTTCACATATCTTTCATACAGTTTTCCCCAATTGTGACAAACATAATTACAGCATATTTTTATTTATATATTTATTTTTTTAGACAGGGTCTCGCTCTGTCACCCAGGCTGGAGTGCAGTGGTGAACTCTCAGCTCATTGCAACCTCTGCCTCCTGGGCTCAAACAATCCTCCTACCTCAGCCTCCTGAGTATCTGGGACTATAGGCATGTACCACCATGCTTGGCTAATTTTTTTTTTTGTATTGTAGAGACAGGGTTTCACCATGTTGCCCCAGCTGGTCTCGAACTTGAGCGATCCACCTGTCTTGCCTTCCCAAAGTGGAATTACAGGTGTGAGCCACCTCGCCTGACCTATAGTACAATATTTTTTAAAAAATGAAATTGACGTTGATGTAATCTGTGGATATAGTTCTATGTCATGGCATGTGTAGATTTACGTAAGCCACACTCCAACCAAGATTCAGAACAATTTCATCACTAGAATGTTCTCCTTTGTGTTACACATTTACAGCCATATATAACCCATTTCCCTCAACATCAGTAACCCTAGTAACCAATAATCATTACAGCTGTTCCTGAAAGCAAAAAAGTGTGAAAGCTGCCCAACTCACTTTGTAAATTTGATTATAACTTTAATTCCAAAACTAGAAGAGGAAGAAAGAAGTGGTACAAGGATTACAGAGGGAGAAATAAAACTGCAGAACTAATAAGAAAGTTCAGCAAATTCACCAAATATCAGAACAAATTATAAAAATCAATAGCATATTTCTATGTCAGCAACAATCAATTAGAAAATATAAATTGAAAATAAAATACCACAGAAAATAGCCAACTCTACTCTATTTAGGAGTTGTTTTATCTAATCTGTTTTAAATTTACCAAGAAAAAAAAGTAAAATTATAAGGATACAAAAAGATTTGCATAAATAGCATGGTCTCCAATGATGGCTTGGTATAAAAATAATGTCAATTCTTCCTCAACATTAATGTATAAATTCAAAGTAATTTTAAGTCAATAGTCTAGTTGGATGTTTTGATGAACTCAGCAAACATTTTTCTGAAACTTGTATACATGATTAATTGTCCACAACTAACTAGATCCACTTTGAAAAAAAACAAAAAAAAACTAAAGGCAGAATACCTGATATACTACAAATCCATAATAATAAAAACCATATAGTTTTGTTTGTTTATGCTTATTTATGTCTTTTTTCCTTCATTTAAAAAATTCATTTCCTTTCATCTTTCTTCATCTCTTCCTTTCCCTTTCTCAAATTCCCCTTGTTCCATATGTGTGCTGTGTATCCTCTCATTTGTAGGTGTTCTTGTTTTGTGTATGTGTATTTGCCATATGTATGAATGGTTTTATGCTTCCACCCTCCTTCTGTTTTTATATATGTCATGCAGTGCTATATTTTTACAATTTTATGTGTATCTAGTCCAGTGCTAGAATCAGGGCTGGCTCCAGGGCATGCAATTCCTGCAGTCACACAGGGATCTACTCTTAAAAGAGCCTCATACTTGGCTGAAGTGTGATTTGCTGTCATCATCTTCAAATTCTTAACCATTTTTAAACAAGGGGCCCTGCAATGTCATTTTGCGTTGGCCCTACATGCTCTGTAGTCAGTGTCATCTCAGATAAACAAAATAAACCAGAGAGCTCAGAGGCAGATCCATGTATATATGAGACCTGGATATAAGAAGAAACTTGCTCCATGAATCCATGATGAAAGGGAAAACTATTTAGAGGTGGTTTTGGGATAACTGGTCCACCTTTTGGAGGGAAAAAAAAATGCACCATGATTCAGATGGATTAAAGACTTAAATACAAAAGGTAGAACTATAAAGATGGTAGGAGGTAATATTAGAAAATCCTTTTGTGACCTATGAATGGGGAAGAATTTCTTAGGAAAACACCAAAAACACAATCGATAAGCAAAATATTTGTGGATTTCATGATACCAAAAGTATGGGTTTCTGTTCATTGAAAGACACCATGGAAAAGCCAACTGACAGATAACTGCCAGAGTGTCTACTTTCAATGACTCAGACAGACAGAATCAAGGTATAGAATAATAAGCAGCTCTGGCAAACCAGAAAGAAAAAAGTCTATTAAAAATTAGCAAAGGACACATGGATTCAGAAGAGAACATTTAAATGGCTGACTAATCAATAAAAATACCCTGGCTCATTTGTAATTAGATAAATGAAAATTAAGCCAGTAATTAAATATCATTTTATATCCATTAATTGCCAAAAATTAAAAAGCTAAACAGTACAAAGCAAAAAAGAAAAAAAAAAAAAAAAGAGCCAGCATCCCTGGGGAATATAGATTGAAGGAGTCCCTCTAGTGAGTAATCTGGCTGGATTAACACAGACTAAGTATTTGTATGCCTTATCATTCAGCAATTCCACTCACAGGTAGAATCTGAGCTCCATCTTCATGTTGCTCTATAAAGGGACACATATAAGGATGATCACTGTGTGTTTCTGTGGGCTGGAGTCATCTATCCATCCATCATCTGGGGAGTAGTTAAGTCAAAGGTGGTGATGGATTATTATACAGAAGTTAGTGGCCCTGGACTAGATAACACATAAAATTGTAAAAATGTAGCACTGTGTGACATATATAGAAACAGAGGGAGAGTGGAAACACAAAACCATTCATACATATGGCAAATACACATACACAAAACAAGAGCACCTACAAATGAGAGGATACACAGCACACATATATGGAGTGAGGGGAATTTGAGAAAGGGAAAGGAAGGGATGAAGAAAGATGAAAGGAAATGATTTTTTTAAAATGAAGGAATAAAGGCCATAAATAAGCATAAACAAACAAAAAAGACTCTGCAGGACCAGGGCTGAAAATGCCATGAACTGTGGAACTTGATCACTCTAATCTTCCGCTCCTAAGGTTAAATGAAAAAAGAAAAAAATTAACTCTCTCTAAAGTAAGGTCTCACAGAACTGGATAAAATTTTTTAAAAACATGAGTATTTTCTCCTGGGTATATGTGGTGGAGAAAGAAAAGCTATCAAATTTTAGTTATACCTTTTCACTCCCCAGAAAGCGTTTGTTTTTTAAAAGAAATCAAACTCTTCATCTTTTTCAGCACTGTTGGTAGACAATGTAATAGCACGAAAATTCACATCATTGTTCTCCCAGCATGATGAGAGGGGCTATGTATGCAAAACATAGGCTCAAAGAGTAGCATCTGACTAGATCTGTTTCTCTTCTTTTTCAGTCACATAAGTTTGATAGATTCAGAAGGTAGAGCTGAGTACCTATCAATTTATTTAAACGTGACTCCAGAAAAGTAATTCTGCAAACTTATCTTGCCTTGCAATTCAGTGTATGACTCTCTGGGGAAGCTTGGGAGCAACACTTTCAATGGAAACAATGGACAGGCTGGGATCATACATGGAGTGTCTTTCCACCCCTGCTCCCAAGGGGAACTTCCGAGGGTGGTACTGCAAGCTTCATATACTGCAGGTGAGTGTGGGAGACCTGCACGCTTGCTCTTGCAGGACAAGTGAATGTCATGATATAGAACAAAATACAACTCCATTGATTCCTTTTCTTAATTAAAAAAAAACTATTATGATGTTTTGCAAAAAATAAAAACTAAGTTTTAAGTACTTGACAGAAACCTGCTCCGCATCTTGAGTGTGGGACATTAAATGAGACTGTTGTTCACAAACCACATAGGACTTGAGATATTCCTTCTACCACATTGTATGGGGCAAGACCTCTGGACAACTTTCACCGGGAATCCAAGGTCAAACACTGGTCAGCAGCTTCTATAGCTTCAAATGCTATAGCTCTCTTTTTGAGAGCTATTTTGAGTTTGCTGGTAGCTCTCTTCTGCCCTTCTCTGCTGGGGTCCAGTAGGGACTCTCCTCTACTTCAGATTTTGAGGTCCTTTACCAAAGGACCGCATCATTACTTGGTATGAGGTGGATTAAGTCAAGGAG
The DNA here is from genome assembly GCF_000001405.40 of Homo sapiens. Taxonomy (NCBI): domain Eukaryota; kingdom Metazoa; phylum Chordata; class Mammalia; order Primates; family Hominidae; genus Homo; species Homo sapiens. Next base: position 59,020,131 of record NC_000018.10, read on the forward strand.
CTTTAAATGCACTCCTGATTCATCAACAGCTTTTAGAATACCAGAGGCAGGGTGGACTTCCCATTACCCTTAACTCTTTTCTCAGAAACAGAGCTCTGAACATGAATTTGAGGTTATCCTAGCAGATGGGCCAGGACTTTTATGAAAACATTACTAAATCAGTTGACCAAGTTTGCAGGGCTATCTTCAAAGCATGTTAATCCTTTTATTGCTCAGGAACAAAGCAAACAAACAAAACAAAAACAAAAACAAAAAACAAAACTAGGAACAGCATAGCCTGTTATTAAATACAAAGATAGACTTTATGTGTGTCACACAGTACTAAAGGAAAATTACAAGTTGGCTAATAACAACTGTATAAAGTAACAATAAGAAATCCAAGCTCTCTGATATTAATGCTATAAAATGATCTTAGAATGGTTCGCCGTGGAGACAGGGAGATGACCACCTAGCTCCATTTGTCATGCTGAGGGTTGGGATAGTGATTGCTTGAGGGGATTAATCAGTGCATACAAATGTCATTTTCAAAGCAGATTAATGGTTTTGATATTGGAGAAAAAGGTCAGGCCTACACAATCCTCTAAATTACGTGTTTAAAACAATCACCTCAGAATTTTTTATTTATAATTTGATGTTTTCTCTATTGGGATGGCATTCTAGTTATTGGCTTGATTTGTTAATAAAATCTTTATTTGATACAATGTGTCCTGCCACCAAGAAATGGCAACTTGGAAATTGTATTGAAAATTGCAGGAGATGCAACTCTTAATGAACTCTAATATGGAAGAGACAGGCAATGGGGCAGATTATCCAAAACTAGTGGTTGCTTTTTAAAGAATCAGCTACATTAAGCCTTGAGGCTTTTTTTTTTTTTTTAATATGCATGTGTCTGATGCTCTGGAAATTCACTTGAACTACTCAGTAATGGAAAAGTCATCTTTTAAGAAGTTAGAACACTTTTCTTCTTTCAACATCCTTCTCTCCCACTCCCAATCTGATTATTTAGCAGCAAACTTACTTGGGATGATCATGCGTATATGTTATGAATGCCAAAATGAAAGAACATTGTGGCGATGTGTTTCCCAGGATGGGGCTGACTACAGTGTGGGCGTGTGTGTCCCTGATTCTTGTGCTGAAGAGGATGTGACTCTGATGTCTCGGCTGGGTAGGTACAAAAGAATATCCAGTGAAACTATCATCTCACAGCATAATGTTGGGAAAACCCCAGCTCTTAGAACCAAGAAAGGTAATTCCTTCAGGATTGAGCCAACCTTTCATCGTGATCAATCTAATAAACCGAGCCTAATGGAGGTTTGAGGGGTCCAGGGGTAAAGATGGTGGAATAAGTAATGGAGTAGGTAGGAAGGGAGACAATAAGGAAGAGATAGAGTTGAATCTTTATGTAATAAAAATATAAAGTTAAACCATCTTTCCTCACCCACAGCTGCCTGGTTAGGCTGAAGAAAGGAGGTGGGTGGTGTTTGGTTTCACTATTGTGAGTGTTCTGTGCCCTGGCCCATGTGTGGCAATCTGCCACCTGCCATATCCAGAGGCCATTCTGAACGAGGACTGTGTACTGTCAACATGTTGTAATGGATTAGCATTAAGAGCCCAGCATTTGGTCCTGGTTGTCACCTCCCAGCTGTGTGATCCTGGGCCAATTACTTAATCTCCCCAAGTTCAGTCTCTTCCTCTGTACAGTGAGGGGTGGCTCTGCATGGCTCTCTCTATGGCCTTCTAATCACTTCTCCCTTAGCTATGCAGAAGGAATACATTTTAGTCTCCACAGAAACTGATTTGACTTCCCCTAAGTCTTTCAAAGTTTTCAAAGCAAGAATTTTAAACCTAGATTTTTGCCACTATTGTATTTTATATTTATTCTGGTCATCCAGAGAAGAACTAACACACACTAAAGTTATACATTATTAGGAGTGAGAAGAACTAACATATAATAAAGTTATACATTATTAAGAGTTCTCCTTTAAAGTATTGATATTGCAGCTAGTTGTCAAAATCTTAAATGGTCCTTTGCATTTGTGACGATTCCTGTAGCTTTGGGTATATTATCTATCTAGCCAGGTATTTCATGTGCTGTTTAAAAAAGCAATAAATCATTGCAAATCAAATTCAAATTTCAATTCTTGTTGGATAAGCCGTAAATATCCTAGAAACAAAGATAAATGTGTAGTTATTATTAAATTAGCATTTCAAGTGACTAAGTGACTCTGTAAGTCTAATGAGTTAATAGTCCTTATTATTTAAGAGATTTGTCAATTAGCCTAATTTTTCAGACTAATGCCAAGCTTTCTAGCCAGAGTTGACATTAGAATAAAATAAAATATTAGAAATAATTGCCGTTGATAAAAAGATGTTTTGAGAAAGAAGCATTCAAAGAGAAACAAGATGGAGATTCTCTTTGAGGAACCAGGAAAAGAAAACGGCCTGGTTGTTGTGAGCTGAGCTGACGTGGGTGGATGGATAAGGGGAATTTAGTCTTTGCTGCCCAGGCATTTTTCCAGCTCTGGCACAGAGGCAGCAGATAGAAATTAGAGGTCTTTGCCCAGGGTAAAAGGTCCCCATCTGGAAAGGATTTGTCAGCTATTCCTTAAAGCTGTTTGATGGAGCTGCCAATATTTCCTCTACAGATGTGAGACAACCAGCTCGGCAGTACCAGGTGGAAGCTGTTTGCACGGACTGCACTCACCCAGAGGAGGGGAGCAGGGAGGGCTGGTCTCAGATCGGGCGAGAAAAAGTGCCCCAGTACTGCAGAGGGAGAGCAAGATCCTGGCAGGTCAGGACGTAACTGCTTTTGGCCAAAGGCTAGGGCAAAACGCTGCACAGTTGTTGTCATAGAATGTTATAAAATTTCACCCAACAGACTTTACCAGAGTTCCTAAGAATAAAAATATGTAACACCAGAATGCTGAGAGCCTGGATGGAACTTGGATGTGGTGATTATGAAACCCAATTATGGGATATTTTCCTAAAAATCCAGACCCATGCATTTTGGTGTCATTAATAGTCCTTTCCCATCGCTGCTGTAACAAGTGAACACACACTGGGTGGCTTAGAACGACAGAGATTCATTCTTTTGCAGTTCTGGAGGCTAAACCTCAGAAGTCAAGGTGTTGATGAGGTTGGTTCCTTCTGGAGGCTCTGAGGGAGAGTCTGTTCCTTGCCCCACTCCACGTGCCTGGTGGCTGCCAGCAATTCTTGGCACTCCTTGGCTTGTAGCCACATCATTCCAACCTCTACCTCCACCTGCATGTGGAGTTCTTCCCTGCGTGTCCAAACTTCCCTCGCATAAGGACACCAGTCATACTGGATTTAGGGCCCACCCTAACCTCATCTTAAAGTTGATTACATCTGCAAATACCCTATTTCCAAATAAGATCACATATGCTGTACTAGGAGTTAGGACTTGAACCTTTTTGGAGGACACAGTTCAACCCAAAAGACTACCTAATACCTACTTCCTAGTCTGGCTAGATTATCTGAGTTCCCTTTAACATAACAGGGAGTTGGGAGGATAGGGACTCATAGCCCCTTAGCTCAGGGCCCTGCTCTTAGAATATGCTTGACAAATGTTAGATAATCTTGCTGAAGTTTAATTGTGAGGCAGAGGCAATCTACCTGGTCACAGGGACCACAAAAGAGCTGACAAAGAAGGGGCTTGGGTGTTTTTGTTTTTGCTTTGTTTTTTTGAGAAAAGAATTTGCTCTGTCCCCCAGGCTGGAGTGCAGTGGCACAATCATGGCTCATTGCCGCCTCTATCTCCTGGGTCCAAGCCATCCTTCCACCTCAACCTCCCAAATAGCTGAGATCAGGCATGCACCACCACACCCGGCTAATTTGTAAATGTTTTGTAGAGATGGGGTCTCCTTGTGTTGGCCAGGCTGGTCTCAAGCTCCTGGAGTCAAGCGATCCTTCTGCCTCAACCTCCCAAAGTGCTGGGATTACAGGTGTGAGCCACCGCACCCAGCCTGGGGCTTGTTTTAAAGGTCTGTTTAACACTGACTTGTGTCTGATTTTATCCAGACACAACACTGAAGAGCTGCATATTTCCATTCTCGGGGACTCACTCTAAGTCTGAGACACACTCACTCTAAGTCTGTCCCATTGGAGACTTTATAATGTTTTATGATTATCACACTGTCCCAGTTTGCAGTGGCCAAAAGCAATGAGTTCCGAGTCGCTTAGAATCAACGTTTAACAGTCCTTTACAATAAGCTTTAAACTGTGCTCTTTCCTATGCTCTATTAGGCTAATTTCACCTTGCTTTGCCTGTGAGAATCACTAGGCCTACATAGCAGAACAACTGTGCTAGAAGCACGAGGGAAGATTTTTCTCCTCGAACTCTCTCTTACAGATTCCCTGAGCGCCAATGGAGAAAATGGAACTCTTTTAATAGTAACTCCTTGAATTACCCATAGAATTGCCTTTCTGGCTAAGGATTCAAAAGGAATCCAAAACATTTCACAGAATACCGTTTTGTGTTCTCAATTCAATTCAGAAAATATTTATTGAGCAATTTTCTCTCTGGCCTTTGTATGAGACATCACCTGTATGCGCTGGGGAGGAGGAAGGGGATCAAAATGATTGAGAGTATTCGTTTCAAAAAAATGCACAATTTAGTTAGGAAGAAAAGTGTGTGTGCCTGAGCTATTAGGAAACACTGTCAGGAAAGAAATGTCCAACCTCACATCAAGTGCTGGGGCTGGGCATACAAGCTGGAGAAGCAGAGCCCAGCATGGATAGAGTAAGAGTGGGGAATTTAGACAGGGCTTGAGCTGACCTTGTGTTAGTGAAGAGGTCAGGGTGGGGTGGGGTGAGAAGTTGTTGGAAAACAGATTCAACAGAGGTTTCCAATAAAGGTTTCATATTTCCCTTGTAGATCTGGAATCTAGCACAGCATAGACATTTAAGGCTGATTACTTAAGGCCGATTGGATGTGCGTGGGCTGCCGGTTGTCTTTGTTTACTATGGCAGGATTTAGAGCTGGGCTGTGGTTGATTGACAAAAAAACCAACCAACCAAAACAAAAAAAACCAAACCAAAACAAAAATGCCATTTGATTCCTTTAAAATTAGAAATAGAACTTCCAAAGGGAACAGACGTGCGCTGGCTGGTCAGTACACTTCGTTTTCAGTGGAAGAGTTTAGTTTGGATACCCAAATACTAACAGGAAGTAGCTCCAGGGAGCATTGGTTCAGAGCAAATGGAATTGGATTATGAAAAATTCTGCTGCCAGGTCTCCTGTGGGAACCTGCTGGTAACCTAGATCAAGCACCCCAACTCTTGGCCAGGGCTGAGGACACACAGATGACCCTTCCTTCTCGTCTCTACCCTTACCATGCTACAATTAAGAATCACAGTTAATCACATATTATTAGTCTTTCAGCAGCATTTTTGGACATTTCAGAAACCCTTGGGTCACAGACTCATGGGAACCTTGAGGGTTAGAGATGGAAAGGACATTAGAATACATCATGTCCCTTGTGTTTATTGCAGCATTATTTACAATAGCAAAGACTTGGAACCAACCCAAATACCCATCAATGATAGACTGGATAAAGAAAATGGGGCACATATACACCATGGAATACTATGCAGCCCTAAAAAAGAATGAGTTTACGTCCTTTGCAGGGACAAGGATGAAGCTGGAAACCATCTTTCTCAGCAAACTAACACAGGAACAGAAAACCAAACCCTGCATGTTCTCACTCATAAGTGGGAGTTCAACAGTGAGAACACATGGACACAGGGAGGGAAACATCACACACGGGGACCTGTCAGGGGGTAGGGGGCAAGAGGAGGGAGAGCATTAGGATAAATACCTAATGCATTCGGGGCTTAAAACCTAAATGACGGGTTGATGGGTGCAGCAAACCACCATGGCACGTGTATACCTATGTAACAAACCTGCACATTCTACACATGTATCCCAGAACTTAAAGTATGATAATAATAAAAGAATACATCGTGTCTGACCCACCCTTCACTGTTACGCAGATGAGGAAATGAGACCCAGAGAGATGAAGCGACTTGCTCAGGGTCACACAGCAAGCTAGCTCAAACTTGAGCCTCTTGAATGCAAGACTAGGCAATGTGGTGTGGTGAGATGAGGAACACCCAACATTTATCAAACTTACTGCCTGTCCTGCACTGTCCTAAGGGCTTTACAATCATTGTGTCACTTAGTTCTCATGACAACCCTACGAGGTAGGTACTATTATGATCCCCATTTTAAAGAAGGAGGAAAACCGTGTTCCCATCCTTTGTGGGGATTTTGGAAGTCCCCTGGTCTTAATTCTAACCGTGTGCTCCTGGGATTCACAGCAAGAGCACCTGTAAACTTGTCAGAAGTGCAAAGTCAGGTTCCACCTCGAACCTCCTGGATCAGAAACTTGCAGGGAGGGGAGGCAGAGAGCCAACAGGCCCTCAAGGTAATTCTGAGGCTTGTAAAATTGGAGACAACTGCCCTAGTCTTACCAGTAAGATCTTTACGCGCAATTTCTTCCAGTGCTCATCAGCTGTGTCCTGACTGGCTGCTTCTTACCTTTAATTTCAGACGGCACCTTTCCCCAGACTATGGGCTGCAATTGTATATTTCCATCTTATATTGCATTTCTCTCTCAGGGGGCTTGTTCACTAATAGATTTGAGCCAGCAATGGCACGTGTTTAGTTTTTTTGTACCCAGTACCGTGTGCTAGGAAAGGCCAGGAGAAAAGACTGATTCAGGAGACCCGGGTTTACTTCCAGCTAGGCTAAGAGTTCCTCATTCCGTGAGTTTCCACATTTTTGTGCCCTGTTTCCCTCCAGCTGTAAATCAGATATATTCAAAACCAGCTGTCCCCGCCCTGTTTTTTTGGAGACAGTCTCGCTCTGTGGTCCAGGCTGGAGTGCAGTGGCATGATACTGGCTCACTGTAACCTCTGCCTCCCGGACTCAAGTGATTCTTGTGCCTCAGCCTACCGAGTAGCTGGGACTACAGACGTGCATCACCATGCCTGGCTAATTTTTCTATTTTTAGTAGAGACAGGGTTTCACCATGCTGGCCAGGCTGGTCTCAAACTCCTGACCTCAAGTGATCTCCCTGCCTCGGCCTCCTCCCAAGTGTAGGATTACAGGCGTGCGCCACTGCACCCAGCTCCAGCTGTCCCTTTTTACTGTAAAAGTTTCGTTTTGAAACAATAGATATGAAAACACTTGGAAAAATGTAAGGCATTATTACAAACTAAATGATTTATACACTCTCTTTTTCTTTTCTGGTAGATACTTTAAGATTCAGAAATACTTCATTTTTGGCCCCTTCCCTCTTTCTTTTTACAATAAATTCTTCCTCCTTGTCTGGTGGGAGTGTGACCAGATGTGCTGCTGGAAAGATCCCCCTGGACACATTTGCTGCCGTATGTCTGTGAGTATGGACATCCAAGGTACCTGGGTGGGTTGTGATCTGTCGGTACTGTTTTATCAACTTCCCCTTATCCACTGCATTTCACTATTACATTTCATTCATTGCACGATGTCTGGCCAGTGCTGCCTGTTTCAGGATATTATGGTCTGAGTGTTTTTGTTTCCTCTACAAAATTCATAAGTTGGAATCTCACCCGCAATGTGATGATATCCAGAGATGGGGCCTTTGAGAGGTGCCTGTCATGAGGGCAGAGCCTTCACGAATGGGGTCAGGTAGTTTAGACAAGGGACCCCAGAGAGCCCTCTTGCCCCTTCCACCATGTGAGGACACAGCTAGAAGGCGCCATCTATGAACCAGAAAGTGGGCTCTCAACAGACACCGAATCTTCCAGCACTTTGATTCTGGGCTTCCCAGACTCCAAAACTGTGAGAAATTAATTTCTGGGGCATATAAGCCGCCTAGCCTATGGTATTTTGTTATAACAGCCAAATAGACTGAGACACAGGGAGATCACCATTTACCTTTTTTTTTTGAGACAGAGTCTTGCTCTGTCACACAGGCTGGAGTGCAGTGGCGTAATCTCAGCTCACTGCAGCCTCCACCTCACGGGTTCAAGCAATTCTCCTGTCTCAGCCTCCCGAGTAGCTGGGACTACAGGCGTGTGCCACTGCACCCGGCTAATTTTGTATTTTTAGTAGAGACAGGGTTTCATCATGTTGGCCAGGCTGGTCTCGAACTCCTGACCTCAGGTGATCCACCCACCTTGGCCTCCCAAAGTGCTGGCATTACAGGCGTAAGCCACCATGCTCAGCCCACCATTTACCTTAAACAAGAAAATGCACAATTGTTCAAGGGGAAGGCCGACCATGCCCAGTGTGATTGGTTTCAGGACCACTGAGAAATGTATTCTATCCCAAAACATTCCTGTTCCTTGCTGTCAGGTGACCACTGAAGATTAATTTTTTATTTGAGGCATTGCCTTGCCTACAGACATTACAGCAAGTCACCCAATACTTTTTGGGTGTTGCCCAGGCTGGAGTGCAGTGGTGTGATCTCAGCTTACTTCAACCTTCGCCTCCCAGGTTCAAGCAATTCTCCTGCCTCAGCCTCCCGAGTAGCTGGGACTACAGGCACATGCCACCATGCCTGGCTAATTTTTATATTTTTGTAGTAGAGACGGGGTTTCACCATGTTGGCCAGGCTGGTCTCGAACTCCTGACCTCATGATCTGTCTGCCTCAGCCTCCCAAAGTGCTGGGATCACAGGCGTGAGCCACTGCGCCCGGCCTCTTAGCATAAATTAAATAGAAGTACAATTGCTGGGTCATAACTTGAACCATTTGATGCTGTTTTCCTGAACAATTCATTTTTCCTGCCCCCAGTAGGAAACTCTCATGTGTTCCTTTACCCTCTCACCAGCATCAAAAGCTACTACCTTTATAAAAAGTGGAACCAATTTGATAGGTGAATACATTGGTTTAATTTACAACTTCAAAAAACTGGCAAAGAGGGTTTTTCTTTCCTAAGTTTATCTGTCACTTGTATTTTTCTCTTGTAAATTCGTATTCTTTACCCCCTTTTCCATGTGTGTATTAGTTAGGCTCTTCTTTTTTTTTTTTTTTTTTTGAGACAGTCTCGCTCTGTCACCCAGGCTGCAGTGCAGTGGGGCGATCTCAGCTCATTGCAACCTCTGCCTCCCGGGTTCAAGAGAATCTCCTGCCTCAGCCTCCCAAGTAGCTGGAACTACAGGCACACACCACCATGCCCAGCTAATTTTTGTATTTTCAGTAGAGTTGGGGTTTCACCATGTAGGCCAGGCTGGTCTCAAACTCCTGACCTCAGGTGATCTGCCCACCTCGGCCTCCCAAAGTGCTGGGATTACAGGTGTGAGCCACCGCACCCAGCCAGGTTCTTACTAATTTTTAAAGTTTATTATGTATATAAAGAATATTAATTCTGAGTCATATCAGCTGCAGACATCTTCCTCAGTATTTTGGTTGCTTTAAGATTTTAAAAATAATTATGACAAGTTAAGTGAAATCCATTAATATTTTCCTTTATATTTTTTCTCTTTTTTCATTAGTTTTATTCTTACAGCATCATTCTCCATCCTTAAAATTGTTAAAGGTTTTTCTACGTAAGTATGCAGCGGTTTGCTTTTCACAGGCCCGTTTTCTCGGCGTCTTGTTTCGGTGTCCTGAGATGAGGGAAGGCACAGCTGTTGTGTCTTCTTCCTGCAGGTTCATCACCTTGCTGGGTCTCATCCTCCCTCCGGCTGGAACAGTCTGCGTGGCAGCTAGGGAATGGGGGTCAGCCTGCAGGACATCGCGGGAACACGGGGAACCTCTGGCCACTTACGGGAGTCTGCCACTGAGCGAGGCGGAGAGCAATGAACAAAGAAGCAGAATCCCACGGACACACTGCCGGGCACATCTCCTCCTGTCAGCAGCCTCCAGCAGAGGAAAAAGTAGGCATTTGAATGAAACTAAGACCACCCAGGAGAAGTGACTTAGCCGAGTGTGCAGTTGGAAACGAATGCCTACAGTGCTGGCTTCTAGCAAACGCCCGGCAGCTTCCAAATGTCAGTGTGGAGGTTGGATCTCCGCTCTTGACAGTCCCATCTTTGTTTACCAGCAGCATGCTAAGGTCAGGCAAGGTCGCTAAAAATGCTGCTTTATTTTGTGGGTACAATTATCCAGTGTGTTTTTGTGCTGATCAAAGACTAGAACAGGGCTTGGGGTTTCACTGCAGCAATTCTCTAAGGAACAATTCCATGGCCACAGTGTCTGCTTTCAGTGTCACACTTACACACATGACCCGTAGAAGCTTCCTGACATCACCAGGAAGGGGAGTGATTTACATAGAAACTGAAGGGAGGGTGTTGAGTGTGCAACACAAGCTAATTCACACAGCATGCTATGTGTGAGCCAGAAACAGATTAACCCAGCATAGGTAGTGAGAGGCCGGATTTTGATGAGATAGACTGCATTGGGTTTTAGTGAAAAATCAGGAGCATTGCCTTCATTTCTACCTGCCTACCTATACACCAAGGCAAACAGAATGTGTCTCTCTCTCACACAAAAAAGCCTGGTCACTCAAGTACCTTCAGAACATGTGGAATAAGAGGGTCGGGCTCAGTGGCTTATGCCCGTAATCCTAGCACTTTTGGGATGTCAAGGTGGGAGGACTGATTGAGCTCGGGAGTTTGAGGCCAGCCTGTGTAATGCAGCAAGACCCCCATCTCTACAAAAAAAAAAAAAAATTAAAAATTAGCCAGGCAACAGAGTAAGACCCTGAATCAAAAAAAAAAAAGAACAGAGCATGGAATAATATTTGACAGATTTCTTTTAGGTCCACACAATTATCCTTTCTTACTGCAACTAGGGGGATAAAAATAAAAATGAAATGGCTGGGCTCGGTGGCTCACCCCTCTAATCCCAGCACTTTGGGAGGCCGAGGCGGGTGGATCACCTGAGGTCAAGAGTTCGAGACTAACCTGGCCAACATGGTGAAACCTCGTCTCTTCTAAAAATACAAAAATTAGCCAGGCATGGTGGTGGGTGCCTGTAATCCTGGCTATTCGGGAGGCTGAGGCAGGAGAATTGCTTGAACCCAGGAGGCAAAGGTTGCAATGAGCTGAGATCGTGCCACTGCACTCCAGCCTGGGTGACAAGAGCAAGACTGTCTCAAAAAAAGAAAAGAAAAGAAAAGAAAAGAAATTTCAGTGAATGAACTAGAAGGATATGAATGGATATGAATAAATGATAAGTAGCTTCAGGGAATATGCCTACTGTGGAAGGCATAGAAATTATTTTCTCAAATCCTATTCAGATTTTTTTTTTTTTTTTTTTTTTGGGACAGGGTCTCCCTCTGTCACCCAGGCTGGAGTGCAGTGGCATGATCTCAGCTCACTGCCATCTCCGCCTCCTGGCTCAAATGATCTTTGTATTTTTAGTAGAGATGGGGTTTTGCCATGTGCTGCCCAGGCTGGTCTCAAGCTCCCGGGCTCAAATGATCCACTCGCCTCAACCTTCCAAAGTGCTGGGATTCTAGGCGTGGGCCACTGCGCCCAGCCCTATTCGGGTCTTAAGGCCAAAAGAAAAACAGTAGCAACACCAACAAAAAGCTCAACAATAAGAAAAACAAAACACATGTATGTGTAAGCAGAGATATGATATAAGAAGGAGCCAAGAAGGCCTAGAGGTCCCTGGCACAACCTCTTTCCCAAAGCTGGAAGCAGCTCTAGCAGCCGGGTGGCTTCCTGTGGACCCATCTGTGATGGGAAGTGCTGGCTGTCAGGCTTCTGAATGAGAGGCAATCCCTGCTGTCCTGTAATTCCCACCAGGGGCCCTGGTTTTGCCTTCTAGGGCCCAGAAAATAATCATGCTCTCTTGTTTCTATTGCAGCCCCATCAGATGTTGAGGGCAGTTATGACGGCCCTGTCCAAGTCTCAGAACCCCTCAATTACTTCACACGATGTGGTTCTAGACCTCTGTCTCTGTGCCACTCCCCGCCCCCAACCCCGCACTCCCACACCGGCAGCCTGTAGACAGTTCCACAGTCGGAGTGGCAGAAAGAGCACATGCTCAGGGATCCTGTGACCCAGTCAAACATGCTTTGATTGCTAACTCTCACCTTGGTCAGATTGTGTGACCTCTATGAACCTCAGTTTCCACATGTGTAAAACAGGGGCATAGAATGGGATCTGTGGAAGGAATTAAATGAGATCATGAGCACTTACCACCTCCTCCTAAATTCATTCCTTGTTTCCTCATTCTCTTCGGTTAAGCCACGAGAGGAAAGAAAGGGTAGGGGCTTAAATCTGCCAAGGCTACATGCTTGGGCTGCTCTGACCTCGCTCAGTGAGCAGCAGGGTCAGCTGGATCGCAGGGACATACCACGTCCACAGAGCTGGGTTGCAGGGACATGCCACGTCCACAGAGCTGGGTTGCAGGGACATGCCACGTGCTTCCAACTCTCTGATGGGAGTGGAGCCCACAGTCATTAGAATTCACCATTGTGCTCATCTCTGCTAGGCTGGCCCTCAGAGCCCGACCTTTTAAGGCTGGATCACAGGATTTAGGCCAGACACACCTGGTATGGTGTTAGGGACTGAAACTTTAGGTTCCTCACCCAAAATGAGGCACCCTATGATCAGGACATTAACGTTATGTTAGCTTTCTTTTAGCAGGCACATTGAAATGTGGTCTCAAAATAGGGGTTTTCCATGTTCTGTTGCCATAACAAGTTTTTAATTTTTGTACTTAATACCATTAAAGGATGCTGGGCGTGGTGGCTCACGCCCATAATCCCCACATTTTGGGAGGCTGAGGCAGGAAGATTGCTTGCACCCAGGAGTTCAAGACCAGCATGGGCAATGTGGCAAAACCTCGTCTCTACAAAAAATACAAAAATTAGCCGGGCATGGCGGTGTGTGCCTGTAGTCCCAGCTACCCAGGAGGCTGAGCCAGGAGGATTGCATGAGCCTGGAGATGGAGGTTGCAGTGAACTGAGTTCATATCACTGCACTCCAGCCTGGGGGATAGAGCCAGACCCTGTCTCAAAAAGAAAAAACAAACAAAAACCCATCAAAGGTAAAATATCACATCTCTGAATGTTTGAAAATAAAAATCAATTCGGAGAGACCCAGAGATTCAGCATTTTTTTCTCTCTCCACTTTTACGTTAATCAGTGAGTCAAATCAACATAAGACCACCGTGTCTTCTAGAAGTTTAGAGCTAAATTGGGTATTTGGATTCCTGACTCTTTATCCTCCAAATAACCATTGCATTTGCTTAGAATGCTTTCCCGTCACATGAGCCTGTCCTTTGCTCTTTAGATGAGAACAATATGAGTGAATGTATAAGGAAGTTTTCATGACATACATACATAGCTATGGATTCAGCCCCTGGGCAACAGGGCTCTTACTTAACGGCCTGTTGCTTAAAGTGGGCTCACTGTGATTGAGCAAACCGGAAGTGGCTGCAAAGTTTTTTAGAGCATTGTCACAACCAATGGGTCTTCAACTTTGGAGTGCATCAGAGTCACCTGGAAGACTATTACAGCACAGATTCCTGGGCCCTGACCCAAAGACTCTGACCTGGTAAGTCTGTGGTGGGGCCTGGGAATCTGCATTTCTAATAAGTTCCCAGGTGATGTTGAAGCTGCTGGCTCAGAGACCTCTGCTTTGAGAACCGGTGATTGCATGCATCATTTCAGCCAATCCTCCCCACGTTCTTATTGTTTATAACACTTTCCATTTACAAATGAGCTAAATGAGCCTCAGGGAGGTTGTCCTCCCTCTAGACCAGTTATTTTCAGAAACCTTTATAAACCACTGATGGGTAAGTTCATTCACTAGCAGAATTTAGATGGAAAAAACATAGTAACAAAACATATTGAGCACTAGCTTGCCACATGAGGCATCAAACCAGATATTTGATGTTCTAGAATCCCCATTACAACCCTACCAAAAATTATACCCATTCTAAAAGCGAGGAAACTGAGGCTCAGGGAGGCTAAAGAAGTTGGCCAAACCTGGCAGAGCCCGGGTCCTGTATCTCTCCACTGCTCGGGAAACTGAGGAGGAGCAGGTGAATCAGCTCTAGGAGGCTGCTGGTTGTGCTGTAGTTGTGGCCAATTCCTGAGTGAAAACCCCTGTGAATGAAAAGGGTGGGTGTGGTGACTTCAGACAGAGACGCAATCACAAAGTGACTTAAATGGAAAAACTTGTATTCACGGCTGGAACTTCAAAATGTTAGGTAGTTAAATTCTTCAATTTAAGAAATTGCCTTAGATTTCCAGAGTTTGGTTATGAGCCAGACCTCATTTGTGAATAAGTTTTAATTCTGCAAAGACTTCTTTGTGCCCACAATGTTGAAGGCACGGGGCTCTGTCCAGGAGGAAATGTGAGTCTCTCAGAGCCGGCTTGAGCTTGGAGGCCCCTGTTTTGCAATTCCAGACACTTGCTTCGTTCTCAGATAGGTAAACATTAAATTCTTTAAGAAAGGGAATGAATTAAGAAGATGGTATTAACCATTCTTAAAGTGATAGGGCTTAAAACAGTGGTAGTAGTAGCTGTGTTCTCACGAGTACATACTAGGTTGCCTCTATTTAATGTGATTTATAAGCATTATCTCATTTGTTCTTCATGATAATCCTTTAAAATCTACTTTGATTATTTTGCAGATGTGGAAACTTAGACACAGAGAGGTTAATTCACTTGCCGGGGGTCACAGAGCTGATAAATGACAGAATCAGAGCCAGGAGCATCTGGCTATATGGCCTGTGCCCTAAGCTCCTGTGCCACTGGTCCTTCTGTTTTCATGCCTATACTTTGACCTACGTTAGGGTTGTTATTCATTATTATTATTATTATTATTATTATTATTATTATTATTTTTGAGACGGAGTCTCACTCTGTCACCCAGGCTAGAATGCAGTGGTGCAGTCTCAGCTCACTGCAACCTCCACCTCCTGGGTTCAAGTGATTCTCCTGCCTCAGCTTCCGGAGTAGCTGGGACTACAGGCATGCACCACCATGCCCGGCTAACTGTATTTTTAGTAGAGATGGGGTTTCATGTTGGTCAGGCTGGTCTCAAACTCCTGACCTCAAGTGATCCACCTGCCTCGGCCTCCCAAAGTGCTGGGATTACAGACGTGAGCCACCGCACCTGGCTCATTATTCATAAGTAACTAGTCCTCAGGATTGCAGGGGTGTTCTTTCAAGTGAAAGTCTTGCTTTGTGTATCACATCGATTCTTACTGATGTCTGCGTTCTCCTTCCCTCAACTCTTCGTCAAGCAGGACTGGGGTCAGGGGTTGGCATCTCTGGGGCCTGAGCTTGGGCAGCGTATTCTGTGCAAAGCATGTGGGGCACCAAACTCAGGTCAAGTCTGTTAGGGAAAGTCAAGATTCAAAAGGGAGGGATACCAAGTATGAAAGTCCACAGATAGATGAAGATGGAACCACGGAGGCTGAGCTGAGAAGCCCAGGGTCAGAGCAAGAGAGCCTCCGAGTAACTGCCAAGATCTGTGGATTGTGCTTTGGTTCTTGTTGCGGGGTGGTGTGTGGATACCCTGGCAGTCAAGGTGGACAGTAACATCTTTGCTCTTGCCCAGGGTTTCTAGGAGCCGTGGCTCATGCTCTGGAGTGCTTTTCTTGGCAGAAGAATGTGCCAGCCATCTGGACTACAAAGGCACCAGGTGGCACCTGCTCTGCACTGAATGGCATTCGTGTCTTGAGTCTTCTTTGGATCATCTCGGGACACACCAGTCAGATGACTGCATGGCTGTCTTTGGGTGCGGAGAGTTGATGAGCCTTTACTCTAGGAGCAGTCAGGGAAGAGACATTCTTTGGTATGGCGGGATCACGTTGGCCAAAGGATGGGAGACTGGCAGCCTTCCCACGAGCAGACTTCCTTCTGTTTTAGACACACTGTGTGTAACCTCCCATCAGTAAGCTTTCCAGGCCAGTGTCTAGTGGCTCCTTTCACTCCCTCTAGGTATAAATCAGGTACCTGGCTGCCAGGTATATAGTGATACCTGGGTATTGTATTTTCGTTATCCAAAGAGCCGAATTCTCTCTCATCATGGTTAGTGAAGCCAGGACCTAACATTTATTTTTCCTTGAAAAGCAGACAAGCATAAACATGGTCCACTAATATCAAATCAGTGTTTCTCCACCTTCTCCCTGCTGCTACCCTCCTGAAGCGCTCCTATCAATAATAGTGGTACTCTCTAAATAGGGAGTAAACACAGCCCAGGGCAGATTGAAGAAGCCTCCCGGGTGGTCTGCACCAGCCCATGAATAGGTGGTGCTACAGTCCAGGGGGGCTGTGGCCACCGTGAGTGCACAAAGGAGCTCAAAGCTCCTGAACGACCAGTAGGGACCTCAGTCACTGCCTTTTATTCCCAGTCTAACTTCTCCTTCGACATGAATTACATTGATTCTTCTTCTTTTTTTTTTTTTTTTTTCTTGAGACAGAATCTCACTCTGTCACCCCCAGGCTGGAGTACAATGGCATGATCTCGGCTCACTGCAACCTCCACCTCCTGCGTTCAAGTGATTCTCCTGCCTCAGCCTCCCAAGTAGCTGGGATTATGGGTGCCCACCACCATGGCTGGCTAATTTTTTGTGTTTTTAGTAGAGACGGGGATTCACTATGTTGGCCAGGTTGGTCTTGAACTCCTGACCTCATGATCTGCCTGCCTTGGCCTCCCAAAGTGCTGGGATTACAGGCGTGAGCCACTGTGCCTGGCCTATAGTGATTCTTAAAGCCTGCCCAGCACAACTGAAAGTCGAAGGTGTTCCTCTTGCTTTTTCTGAAAAGAGAAATCACATGATTTTCTTCTATGAAACAAAAAGACACTGCTTTTTAATGTTTGTTACAGATAATGTGCTTGAATGGAACAGCAGAGTGCTTAGAAACCCACTGTGTGTTTACTCTTGGAGTGGTCCCTTCTATCTTGGAGTTGATACATTTTTCCTGATCAGGTAATAAGGTTGAACTACGTTTTCAGTGCTGTAGGGCTTGTGGTGTTTGTTTTGGGATATGTGTATGCATATGTGTTACCATTCTCACTCTAATGAGAAAAGCGGAATGACCCACATTTATTCATCTGAGCCTTTGTCCATTTCTAGACAGTACTGTTGTCACAGGAGACTCTCCACTGTATCTTCCGTTTATTACATGAGTTAGGATGGCTCTATAACACAGGCCTTTTAAACATTGATTGTATTCATCAAAATTGTTTATTTCAGTGCTTCTCAAATTCTGGCCCACAGAGTGGTACAGGTGCTTGATGAAGTTCCGACTTCTCACTATAGTGAAATGGGAAAAATTCAGAAAATGGCATGATGTTTCATAAAGTTATGTTTATTTATATGAACTATTAACAGGTAAAATTTCTTAATTGTTTGAGAAATGTCAGGCACTGTGGTAAGCACGTTGAAATAGTATCTCATTTAATCCTCATGAAAATTCTCATTTTTGCTTTTAAAAATTGGGGTAAAATTTACATAACATAAAATTAACCACTTAGTGTAAAATTCAGGGCATTTAATACATTTACAATATTGCACAACCACTTTTTTTTTTTTTTTTTTTTTTTTTTTTGAGATAGAGTCTCACTCTGCCATCCAGGCTGGAGTGCAGTGGCGCAATTTTGGCTCACCACAACCTCTGCCTCCTGGGTTCAAGCGATTCTCCTGTCTCAGCCTCCCGAGTAGCTGGAACTACAGGCGCCTGCCACCATGGCTGGCTAATTTTTATATTTTTAGTAGAGATGGGGTTTCGCCATGTTGGCCAGGCTGGTCTCGAACTCCTGACCTCAGGTGATCTGACCACCTTGGCCTCCCAAAGTGTTGGGATTACAGGTGTAAGCCACGGCACCCAGCCTGCACAACCACTTTTATCTAGTTCCAAAGGTCTCAGAAGGCTTGTCTGATGGATGAGGTGCTATTTCAGCTGGGACCGGAATGGCAAGAAGGAGCTGGCCATGGGAAAATCTGAGACAAGAAAGTTCAGGCAAAGGATCAATTAGTGCAAACGTGCTCAGGCAAGAGCTCGGGAGCCTTATTAAGGAGAAGAAAGAAGGTTGAAGCTTAGTGAAGGTGAGGAAGAGTGGCAGAAAACACAAGAGAAGGGCAAGGCTAGACCATGGGGGACCTTGTAACAACACTAAGGAGTTTAGACTTCCGTCTTGGTGGAACGGGAAGGAGTGAGAGAGCTTGTTTTAATCTGGACAGTGATGTGATCTGGTTTATTTGAAAAATGATCACTCTGGCTCCTATGTGAATAATGCACCTAAGAAGGGCAAGAGTGGAAGCAGGATCAACTAGGTGACCTTTGCCCTATTTTAGATGAGAAATGGTAAGGCTGGGGTGATGGTGGCTGGAATCAAGAAAGAAGGTCACATTCAGGATGTGTTTAAGATGTGGAATTGCTAAGGCTTGTTGATGCATCAGATGTGAAGTGTCAGAAAAGAGACAAGTTGAGGATGATTTCTAGATTTGCGTTTCAGTGTCTGAGTCGATGGTGATGGCATTCATTAAGATGGAAAAGGTGGGAGGAGAAGCAGGGTCTGGAGGGAAAACCAAGCTTTCTGTTTTGGATGAATTAAGATGAAGGGGCCTTTTAGACAGCCACATAGAAATGTCAGGTGAGTAGCTGACCTATCATGAGTCACATCATAACTTGTGATATGATAGCTGACATTCATAAGTCATATCATAACTCGTGATATGGTAGCTGACATTCTTAAGTCATATCATAACTCGTGATGTGGTAGCTGACATTTGTAAGTCATATCATAACTCGTGATATGATAGCTGACATTCGTAAGTCATGTCATAACTCGTGATATGGTAGCTGACATTTGTAAGTCATATCATAACTCGTGATATGATAGCTGACATTCACAAGTCATGTCATAACTTGTGATATGGTAGCTGACATTCATAAGTCATATCATAACTTGTGATATGGTAGCTGACATTTATAAGTCATATCATAACTTTGTGATATGGTAGCTGACATTCATAAGTCATATCATAACTTGTGATATGGTAGCTGACATTTATAAGTCATATCATAACTTTGTGATATGGTAGCTGACATTCATAAGTCATATCATAACTTGTGATATGGTAGCTGACATTTATAAGTCATATCATAACTTGTGATATGGTAGCTGACATTCATAAGTCATATCATAACTCATGATATGGTAGCTGACATTTGTAAGTCGGGAGATCAGTGGAAACATCAAGGCTGGAGACATAAATTTTGGAGTCCTTGGGATATAGGAGGCATTTAAAGCCACAGTATTGAATCTGATCACATTAAGAGGAGAATGGAATGACCGATGGGGACTGAAGGCCAGGACCTCTGGTGTTCCAACCTTTAGAAGCTGAGAAGAACCCACAAAGGAGTCTGAGAATGAGTGACCAGTGAAATGGGGCACAAGTCAGACACTGGGGACCAGGAAGCCAAGAGAAGAAAGTGCCTCAAGGAGGAACGCTGTGGTCAGCGGGGCCCAATGCTCCGGGAGTTGATTGTGTAAAGAAACAATTTTTGGCTTTGGCAACCAGAGGCCTGCCTTTTGGTGACATTGTCAGGAGCAGAGTCAGTGGCGTGGTGGACGTGGAAGTCTGGTGGAGTGGGGTGAGGATGGGAGGATGCAGACACAATGACTTTGGACAACTCTTTCAAGATGTTTTGCTGTTTAAGGGAGAAAAGAAATGGAGTGGAGCTGGGCTCTGTACGGGGCACCAAGGAAGGTTGCTAAAAGAGAAGGGACTCAAGACATACCTATGGTATGTTGAGAATGACTGAGGAGAAAGGGGCAAACTGATGGCTGCTGGAGATGCTATTGTAGGTCAAACTACAATAGCCACAGAGCAATGTTTTCATAAGTGCCCCTGTTTTTTAAAAAAGGCCATTAAGGCCGGGCGTGGTGGCTCACACCTGTAATCCCAGCACTTTGGGAGGTCAAGGCAGGCTAATCGCTTGAGGCCAGGAGTTCAAGATCAGCCTGGCCAACATGACAAAACCCTGTCTCTGCAAAAAATACAGAAATTAGGTGGGCGTGGTAGTCCCAGCTACTTGGAGGCTGAGGCAGGAGAATCGCTTGAACCTGGGAGACAGAGGTTACAGTGAGCCGAGATCATGCCACTGCACTCAAGCCTGGGCAACAGTGAGACTCTGTCTTGAAAAAAAAAAAGTCATTAAATTCAAATGTGTGTGACCCACACAGTTAGGGGAGAACTAGCTCCCATGCTGCACAGAGCAACAGTAAGGGATGACTAATCACCAGCCACTTTCTGTGACACTTACCTCCCTAACAGCCTGGTGGCTTGATTCCTCTTCTCCTTCAAGTTTTTACACAGCAAAGCCTTCCTCGTCCCCTCTGTTTGAAGTGCAACTACCTAGCCTTCTTGACTTCATTTTTTCTCTTGATCCAACATACTATAGCTGCCATTTTTGATTGATTGATTAATTGTCTGTGTCTCTCCAGTGGAATGTAAGGCAGAAAGTTTGTTTTTCTGTTTTGTGCACTGCTGTGTCACCAGGTCACTGAAGCAGTGCTAGCCACAGAGTATTGTTCAATAAGTCATTGTTGAAATGAATGATTTCTTGTCTTATTTCCAGAATCTAGTGTATAGTTTCTTGTGGTAATGCTGAGGAAGAGGGATGAAGAACGAGCTCAGACCTGTCCATTAAGGATCGTGCTAGGAGGTGGCAAGTAGCCCAGACAGGCCAGGCTCAGGGTCCACAGTATGCAGCAAACCCAGCAGTGATACAGGAATCCCTGGGCTCTAGACTTTCCAAGACGGCAGCACTGGGTCTCACCAGGCAGGGGAAGCCCAGCTGCAGAAGACCGGGAGTGGGCCCCTGGAGGACGGGGAGGCTCTGCCACGGGGCAGCAGGCAAAGACCAGAACTCTGTTCCCTACAAGCCAGGCAAAAACGTCTGTATGCTGGGGTGGGACTGACTGGCAGGGTCCAAGCCCTGGGAGGGACACTGGCGAGGACAGATCAGGATGACAGGCACCGAAGCCAAACTCAATCTGGGGACTAGGAAACCTGTCACTAGGATGGAAAGATGGAGGGCACGAAAGGCCACTGGTCATGTCTGGGCCATCAGTGGGAATCGGAGACACCAGAGAAGCCACGAGGTCAGTCCTGAGATATCTAAAGCACAGGCCAAGGCTATTGAAATACAAAACAGCCCAGAAAACTACAAATATGTAGATGATTTATCTCCCACCTGGGTTGGTCTGGGGTCAGGGAGGGCCGTGCCTTATGTCAGTGGTCCTCAGAGAGCCGTCCCGGTGCAGTTTCACCAGCATCACCTGGAATTGGTAGAAGTGCAAATTCTTGGGCGCCACCCTAGACCCATTGAATCAGACTTTCTGGGGGCATGGCTCCAGCAATCTGGACTGTCACAAGCTCTCCAGGTTGTGCCTGCTGAAGCCTGAGCAGCTCTGTGTGAGCCCAGGCAGGAAAAGCCGAGGCCAACAGAGGTGGCCGAAGCCAGGCAGATTCTGACAGCAGCCTAGAGACAGAGAAGTACATTTCTTTTCTCTTTATCCCTATTTGCTTCCATTTCTCACCATCAGTCTCTGTGACTGTCTTTTTTTCCTTTTCCTTTAGTTTTTATTGTATTACTTTCAAAGGTTCATATTTTCTTTTATTTAAAATTTTCTTTTGAACAATGGAACCATTATTAATAGTGATACCTAGTATTACCATTATGCTAAGAGCTTGAAATATTTTATCCCATGCAATTCTCACAATAAACCTATAAAACTGGTACCCATATCATCCCCATTTTTACAGATGAGAAACTTCTTGATGTTCAGTAATGAGGTAATTTGTCCAAGTCTACACAGTTAGTAAGGTTAGAATTAGAGCTTACGTATAGCTTGTTTCACAAGGAAACCATGTCTTACTCACTATGTCACTGATATTTACATAGTAAAAGCAAAGCCTTCTGATTATCTTGAAGAATAATTTGTTGGCGACTGTTTTGTAATCCTCTCTCACCTCTCGGGCTGACTTCATCCAACACTAGTGCGTGCTTTGCTCTGTTGCAGTGTGTTCAGGTCTTTGGGTCTTAGCCCCTTGGAGCTAGCTATCTTGCTCAGAGCCTGTTTTCCTGCCAGTCTTTCTCGTTGCCCTCTCTTGATGAACTTGCAGGCCGGGAGGTGCATGCCCACACACACAGCGAGGCCCAGGCTTTGCTTAGCAACCGTGTTGGCAGAGGGGGAGCCAGTCACTCTGAAAAGAAAGAATCGCCCTGATTTATCCTTTCCTGAAATTAATAGGAGGCCGGAATCAGAATTGGCTGCCCTGCTTCCTCCTCTTAGCACTGTCTTTTAGATGTCTCTATAAATTTTGTTCCTATTTAATGAGTCCAACTTGCTGCTTTTCAAAGGAAAATCTGGAAGGCAGAGAATGGAGACATTCTCCAACCCTCCCTGATCCCTTCCAAGTCCCACCCAACACACAGCTTTGTTTTACAATAGGAAATACATTAGCTCTTTAGGGAAACACCCACAAGGATCACTGGTATAAATGTCAAAAGTTTGAGAAACTCACATACTTGCTTACCATCCAGTAGCAATTAAAAGGCATAACTTTTGTTTCTTTAGCTGCACATTCTGGGTAATGAATTTGTCATCAGGGTATGTTGGTTAAGAATTCTGTGATCTTGGGCAACCCTCTTAATAATCTCTAGGTCTCACTTTTCCCATCAGAGAAGCCAAAATGAAAGTGTCTTCCTTTTTACCTAATAGAGCTGTTTATTCATCTATTATTCATCTATTCAATCATTCACTCAACAAACAACTATTTATTTTTTTGGGATGGAGTCTCGCTCTGTCATCCAGGCTGGAGTACAGTGGTGCCATCTCGGCTCACTGCAACCTCCACCTCTCAGGTTCAAACGATTCTCCTGCCTCAGCCTCCTGAGTAGCTGGGACTGCAGGCACATGCCACCACGCTCAGCAAATTTTTGTATTTTTAGTAGAGGTGGTGTTTTGCCACGTTGGCCAGGCTGGTCTTGAACTCCTGAACTCAGGTGATCCACCCATCTCCCAAAGCACTGGGATTACAGGTGTGAGTCACTGGGTCTGGCCAACAAATGTTTTTTGCAAAGTAGTTTTGTACGACTGGAGAAGGGAAAGCAATCTCATTAGCGAAAGTACTTTGAAAGTGATGTGCTGCTACACAAATGGAAAGTCTTGGTGTTATTATTTCAAAAGACCAAATGGTAGTCATTAATATTGTTCAACAAATCTTTCTGTGTTCCTCCCTTTTGGGCACTTGGCAACATTCCACTTCCTGGACCCATTGTGATTGGGTGGGTCACATCATTAGTTCTGACCAAGTGGTACCTGGTATTGCCATTGCGCTAAGTGCTTTAGACTCTTATGCTAAGAGCTTAAAACGTGACACTTTTAGATTAGAGGGTTTCGTTGCTATTTTGTGGCCCTCCAGAATGCTGTTGTCATCTTCCATGGTCACTAGTGAGGTTTCAGATGGTAGCTGCTCTGTCAACCTGGGCATGCAGCATGAGCAAGAACAAAACAATTGTTTTTGGCTGGCCACCGTGGCTCACGCTTGTAATCCCAGCACTTTGGGAGGCCGAGGCGGGTGGATCATGAGGTCAGGAGTTCGAGACCAGCCTGGCCAACATGGTGAAACTCTGTCTCTACTAAAAATACAAAAATTAGCTAGGTGTGGTGGTAGGTGCCTGTAATCCCAGCTGCTTGGGAGGCTGAGGCAGGAGAATCGCTTGAACCCGAGAGGTGGAGGTTGCAGTGAGCCGAGATTGCGCCACTGCACTCCAGCCTTGGTGACAGAACTAGACACCGTCTTAAAAAAAAATTGTTTTAAGACTTGGAGGTGCTTTGTTAATGCATCATAATTTATTCTGTACAGATTGGGACAACCAAATGAATCAATCAATGAATGTATTATTGATAAGTAATTCCTGCGACAATTCTTCTTTTTCTTTTAGTGGTTGGTTAAGTGCAAGTTCGTTTTTAAAGATGCATCAGAATTCAGACAAAGGAATAACCCCCAAAGGCATACTCAGATACTTTCTCAGTCACCTGGTAAGGTAGGTGTCACGTGTGTCCGTGTGAAGAGACCACCAGACAGGCTTTGTGCAAGCAACAAGGCTGTTTATTTCACCTGGGTGCAGGTGGGCTGAGTCCGAAAAGAGAGTCAGCAAAGGGTGGTGGGCTTTTCATTAGTTCTTATAGGTTTTGGTATAGGCGGTGGAGTTAGGAGCAATGTTTTGCGGGGGGCAGTGGGTGGATCTCACAAAGTACATTCTCAAGGGTGGGGAGAATTACAAAGAAACTTCTTAAGGGTGGGGGAGATTACAAAGTACATTGATCAGTTAGGGTGGGGCAGAAACAAATCACAATGGTGGAACGTCATCAGTTAAGGCTATTTTCACTTCTTTTGTGGATCTTCAGTTGCTTCAGGCCATCTGGATGTATATGTGCAGGTCACAGGGGATATGATGGCTTAGCTTGGGCTCAGAGGCCTGACAGTAGGTTTATTTACTTAATTTCTCAATTCCTCATTGCTATGTAACGATTTATTAGTTTTCTGTCTTTAACCCTCTTTTCAAAGAATTTCCAAAGAAAAATAAACTGAAAGAAATAGTTTTCTTCCCTAAATACAGTTGATTTAAGCTGGTTTAATATGGATCAAATTCTACTGGGACAAATACCATGAAAACTGGTATGTTCCACTGGCAAAAACATCCTTAGTCCTCAGCTGATGGGCAGCAGAGTTCAATAAATGCACTGTCAGATTTCCATGGAATCTGTATTCAACAGGAAAATTTGTTTGTCTGCAAATTAGTAGTAATTGGATCCTATAAATCAGAGTGCTAATGGTAATGATAAAAATAAAACAGTACGTGACCAGGAAAGGAACTTGGTTGAAGCTCTGGGCCATGGCCATTCTGCTGGGAGGGAGGCAGGAAGAATGACGATCTCCTTTTTTTTTTTTTTTTTTTTTTGTTTTTGAGACAGAGTCTCGCACTGTGACCCAGGCTGGAGTGCAGTGACGCCATCTCTGCTCACTTCAACCTCTGCCTGCTGGGTTCAAGCAATTCTCCTGCCTCAGCCTCCTGAGTAGGTGGGATTACAGGCGCCCGCCACCATGACTGGCTAATATTTGATTTGATTTTTTTTTGTATTTTTAGTAGAGACGGGGTTTCACTATGTTGGCCAGGCTGGTCTTGAACTCCTGACCTCGTGATCTGCCTGTCTCGGCCTCCCAAAGTCCTGGGATTGCAGGCGTGAGCCACCGTGCCTAGCTGACGGTCTCCTTTAGGAATGTGTGGTTGGTTGATGCAGAAGGGATTCCAACACTGGGGCAGAATACGGAATCGGTGGTAGCAGAGTGGCAGTGACAGAATGAGACAACCAAAGTTAAGGGAGGAAGGGCTGGGCACAGTGGCTCATGCCTGTAATCTCAGGCGTTTTGGGGAGGCCCTTGGGAGGCTGAGGGGGGCATATCACTTGAGGTGAGGAGTTTGAGACCAGCCTGGCTAACATGGTGAAACCCTTTCTCTACCAAAAATACAAATGATTAGCTGAGCGTGGTGGCACACGACTGTAATCCCAGCTACTCGGGAAGTTGAGGTGGGAGAATCACTTGAACTCCGGAGGTGGAGGTTGCAGTGAGCCAAGATCCTGCCACTGCACTCCAGCGTGGGCAACAGAGTGAGACCCTGTCTCAAAACAAACAAACAAAAAAAACAACAAAGTTAAGGGAGAAAAGGAAACTTCAGCTCATGTCATCCAACCCTGCCATTGATATATTTTCTATGTCGTGGTTATTTGCTGAGCTGGAAGCCAGCACTCCTGACTCCTGGTTCACGTTCATCTTGTTATACCACACTGTCACAAAATAGGAAGAGGAGTGTTGTCATAATCTTTGGGACTAGTGAAATGCAGTGGGCAAGTGCAGACTCTGTAGTTGGACTGCTGAGCGTGTATTCTGGCTCAATCACATAGCAGCGGTGTGACCTTGAGTTAAGTGTCTCTCTCAGTCTTTCTGTGCTTGCATTTGCTCATCTCTAAAATGGGAAGAATAGTGACACATCACAGGACTCTTGTGAGGATTCAATGAGATAATGTATGTAAAGAACTTGGAAGGGTGCTTTATACATAGTAAGCCCTCAATACGTAGGAGCTATCATTATTAGCGTGGTGGTTATTTATACCTTTTAAGCTTTCCATCAAATAGGTGAAGAATGGGGAGAAGCTAAGGAATAGACCTTTGTTGGTTTCTTTTCACCACAGTCTTTGTGGTTTCTTCCAAGCTTTATAAAATCTAACCCTCCTCCAGGGAAGGGCAGAAGGCTTATGATTTCAATATATTTTGGGTGTGTGGCACTGGGGTAAGCAGCCTGTCCTGCCCTGAGGTTTTCTGGAGGTGAGAGGCTGGCATACAGGATGAGGGGTCATGGTGATAAATGCTCAGAGGGGTTAGGTGGGGGTTGGGGCAGGGGATCTAATGGCATGGTGGGTTCTGCTTGGGAAACCAACTTTTTTATTTTATTTTATTTTATTTTATTTATTTATTTAATTTATTTTTTGAGATGGAGTTTCGCTTTTGTTGCCCAGGCTGGACTGCAATGTCACGATCTCGGCTCACTGCAACCTCCGCCTCCCGGGTTCAAGCAATTCTCCTGTCTCAGCCTCCCGAGTAGCTGGGATTACAGGCATGCACGACCATGACCCCCTAATTTTTGTATTTTTAGTAGAGACGGGGTTTCATCATATTGATGAGTCTGGTCTTGGACTCCTGACCTCAGGTGATCCGCCTGCCTCGGCCTCCCGAAGTGCTGGGATTACAGGCATGAGCCACCATCCCTGGCCTATTTATTTATTTTTTGAGATGGAGTCTTGCTCTATCGCCCGGGCTGGAGTGCAGTGGCACGATCTTGGCTCATTGCAACCTCTTCCTCCTGAGTTCAAGTGATTCTCCTGCCTCAGCCTTCTGAGTAGCTGGGATTACAGGTACCCACCACCATGCCTGGCTCATTTTTGTATTTTTAGTAGAGACAGGGTTTTTTGTGTTGGCCAGGCTGGTCTCAAACTCCTGACCTCAGATAATCTGTCCGCTTTGGCCTCCCAAAATGCTAGGAATACAAGTGTGAGCCACTGCATCCAGCCTTGGGAAACCTACTTCAGAGTAAAAGTCTGGAGCTGGGGATTGAGGAGAGAGGGGTTTTTTCAAGGTGGATAGAGCAGTGGTAGGGGCAGGAGGAGCACGGGGTGAGAGTTGGGTGGTAGTGAGACCTTGTAAGACAAGGACCCCAGTGAGTAAATTACTGCAGTGTCTGGGCAGGAGAGCAGGGTTTGCACTGGCAATTGGCAGTGGGAATGGAGAGAGGAGAAATCAAGGACTCAGGAATTTTCTGGCTTGAGCAACATGGCAGGTGGTGCTGGCATTCTTGAGCTGGGGAACTCTGGAAGGGAGGCAGGTCAGAGTGGGAGCCTAGGGAGACA
Source organism: Homo sapiens (assembly GCF_000001405.40). NCBI lineage: Eukaryota > Metazoa > Chordata > Mammalia > Primates > Hominidae > Homo > Homo sapiens. Next base: position 59,047,599 of record NC_000018.10, read on the forward strand.
ATCAGTCCAACCTGGGAAAAAATTTTTTTGAAAATGGAGGGAACTGTCACAAACCCACAAGTTGAACTCACCCTCACTAAGGTAACCCCAGTGAAAAAACAGTCATGATCCTGGCCATTTTGAGGTTCTCATGTGTGCTGGTATAACTCACTGATGCTACCTGGTTAGCACTTATCACTTGTCTGCTTATCTCCAGGAGGACAGGGGTCAGACCATCTGTTCATTCACTCATTCTGAGGCCCATTTTGTGCTAGGCGCTGTCCTAAGCCCTGAGAACAGAGTTTTAATAAGCCATGCAAATGTGCCTTCCAGCCCTCAGGTTACATTCCAGTGAATACAGGCAGACAATAAATAAATGAATATGCAATTTGAAGTTGCAGCATGCAAATAAATGTATGCTAGGCCAGGGAGGATGGGTGCCACAAAGTGATCATTTGGAGAAGAGGCTGGGTGCAGTGGCTCACGCCTTACAATCCCAGCACTTTGGGAGGCAAAGGTGGGACGATCCCCTGAGCCCAGGAGTTTGAGACCAGCCTGGCCAACATAGTGAGACCTCATTTCTACAAAACATACAAAAAATTAGCCTGGTGTGGTGGCACGTGCCCGTGGTCCCAGCTCCTTGGGAGGCTGAGGTGGGAGGATTGCTTGAGCCCAGGAGGCGGATGCTTCAGTGAGCCGTGATCGCACCACTGCCTTCCAGCCTGGGCGACAGAACGAGACTTTGCCCAAATAAATAAATAAATAAAAGAAGAAAGCAAGCTGGAGGCTTTCTCTGGAAGGGCAGTCAGGGGAGGTGACTTTTGGCCAGAGCCCAGAAGAAAATAAAGGAATGTTCTAAGCAAAGAAAATCCTGTGGGGGAAGAATGGTCCATTCCGGGAGAACCGAATCACAAAGGTCCTGGGGAAGGAGGGGCGTCGCAGTGTGTGAAGAGCCTCAAAGAGCCCAAAGGTGTTGTGTGGAGTGAAGTGAGCCACGTGGACAGTGGGAGGAATGAGGTCAGAGACGGGCGGAGGCTGCCCTAAGGACTCTCCCTGTTGTTCTGAGACATAAACCTCTGAAGGGTCCCAGCAAGGGAGTGGCATGGGCAGATTTACATCTTGCAAGACTCACTCTGGCTGCAGGGCAGAGAATGGCTGTAAGGTCCAGATAGGGGGAGACCATTTGGGAGCTATTGCAAGTTATAAGAAAATCCCCAAACCCAACTTCTAGGGGTAAGTCAGGACAGAGATTATCTAACAGGAAAGGAAGAGAGTAAAGCTCTAGAACTGTAGAACTGCCTGGTTATGTCAACTAGCAGCTACATTTTAAAAATTAGGGTTTTTTTTTTTTTATACCTTGTGATAAAAATGTCTAACTATAACAGAAGCTTATAACTAAAATAAAGGGTCCCCCTTCTAGTCTCACTCCCCCCAGGACACCTGTATTTAACAGTTTCTTAGGAATTCTTGCAGAATCTTTCCATGTATTTATAAGCACTGTTCTTCTCCTGCACGCATAGGATTGCAGTATATACTTCACTGTTTGTACGTGGTGTTTTCATTTATAATACAGAATTGGCCTATTTCTCTATAAGCACACAAGAACCCACATCCCTGATGTTAAAGGTTATCAGTATGGCACAGTGGGGTACCATTATGTATTTAACTTGTCCCCATTAGTGGACATGGAGCTAATGTCCAAATTCTTTGCTGTCTTAGACAATGGGATAATCTCTATATATTTTTGTGCACTTGTATAGACATGTTTGTGGGCTAAATTCCTACAAGTGGAATGGGGGGTTTTGGGCATTTAACATTTAATGTGCATTTTCCAATTTACCTTCCCACCCACCAGGTATGAGAATCCCTGCTTCTCACCCCTCCACCACACTGGCCAGTATCCCACATTTTAATCTTTGAAAACCCACTTTGACTTTTATTCTCTTGGAAACTTGGACAAAAATGTAGCACCTGTATATTTGAGGGTGGTTTAAATATTTCAAACTGTTTTCTTGTTAGATTTTCAAAAAAATCTTAGAAAGCAGAAACCCTCATTTCCCTTTTAGAGGAGAGGAAAGAGGAGACATTACATGATTTTCTCAGTGTGAAAAGTTTAGATGAACTTGCTACTCAAGGCGTGGCCCACCCAACAGCCTGCAGACTCCAAGTCTGCATTTTAACAAGCACCCTGGGGAGGGGGGATTTGGCAGAGGTGAGGGATGCTGCCTGGAGTGGGGGGCAGGGGAATGCTCCCTTCTGCTCTCCTTCTGAAGGGAGCAGCGCTGGCTACTTTCCCCGGGGAGGGGAGGTGACAGATGGTGGGAAGGATGATCAAAAAGGCGGGGCCGGAGGCTTGTAGGGGCAGCTGCGGGGCAGCATGGTCAGATGGCAAACATGGCAGGACCCAGTGCCTAGGACCCAGGGAGGCTGTTGCCTGAGCAAACCCGCAGGCGAGCTGATCTGGGAAGCTGTGTCTTGACAGAGTTGCCTGCCTTTTCTGTATGACATTGATCAACAATTCCACTCCCTCTCCTAGAATGCCTACCGCCCTCCCACCCACCGGACACTCTCTATGTAGGACGTTCTCATTGTGGGGAGAACAGGGGAATCAATGGTCTCCGTCCCCAGGTGCAGACCAGAGGCTTGGTGCTGAGCCCCTCTCTGCTGGGGATGTACCTCTAAGTGGAGACGCTCCAAGTCCTGCCAGTTCCCATCTGTGACCACCACCCCAGCCCCCACCCTCTCACCTAGGTGTCTGGAGGTACTGCTGGGCCATTGTTCTGCCCTAGTTGAGCCAAAACTACCCTGGATTTTTAGCTATATTCTTTTAGAAGAGGGCTCTGACCCCAGCCCATGCAGAATCCATGCCAGTATTATATGCGCCTCCAGGCTGCAATCTCATTTCTAAACTCTAAACCCACACTGTCCAGCAAATAGCCACCAGGTAAGTGGGTAAGTGAGATGTGCTATGTGTGCAAAGCCCACACTGGGCTCTGAAGACTCAGTAAAAGGGAAAAGAATGTCAAATAGCTTATTAACAATGTTTCATATTGGGTACGTATTTGTAATGATAATATTTTGGATATATTGGTCTAAATAAATAACATTAAAATGATTTGTACCTATTTCTTTTTACCTTTTAAATTGTGGCTGCTGGAAAGTGTAAAACTGGGGGCAGCTGTGCTTGCATCCTGTTTCTGTTGAACAGCGCTGGTCTAGACACCTTACTCCTGATTCTTCCCCTTTGTAGCTGCTTCAGATCTTGCTTGGAGGAGGTAGGGCGTGAAGGAAGGGAGAAATGAAGCAAGTGAGGGAGGGAAGGAAGAAAGAGTTTTTCATCGTGTGAGGCCATGTGGAAAGAACATGAACCAGTGTCAGATCTTGGTACTGCTATGTGGTTGGTGACCTTGGGCAAGTCACCCTATCTTCTCTTAGCTATAATTTCTTCATAAAATGGAGGTCATAGCTACCTTGCAGGATTGTTTTGAGGTTTAGAAATCTCTAGCAGGCTCCTCCCACAGTGGTTGGCCTATATGACTTGCTCAATAAATAACAGTATTTTTAGTGGAACATGGTGGCATGCGCCTGCAGTTCTAGCTAATTGGGAGGTTGAGGTGAGAGGATCGCTTGAGCCCAGGAGGTGGAAGTCAGGGCCGTAGTGAGTGAGACCCTGTCTCTTAAAAAAAGAGAAATAAATAGCAGTATTTTTGCAGCAGTAGCACCTGAGCCAGTACATGATAGGTGCTCAGTAAGTGATCTGGAACTCGTGGATGCTTGAACGTTTGAGGTGTGGCTGGGTGGCAGCTGCCCACGGTACAAACAATCTGTTTTAGAGCACCTTATGCCCCACCCGCCACGTGCCCACTGAGATGACTGGAGGGACCCCGGTGGAAAGTCACCTTCTTTCTCTCGGTTCTCTCCTGCCAGGTTGCAGCCTCTTCACCTGTATTCAATGTGCTTGTTGGTTGGACTGTTCTCTCTTGTTCCCTGGGGACCTGTCTGGGAAATGCCCAAATTCCACTGGGATAACTGCCGGCAAGCATGGTGGACGAATCTGCTGTTGCTAAATAACTTTGTGTCGGTCAAGAATGCGGTGAGTCTCAAGTTGCTGGCTTTGAAAAGGCAGAAGGGTGCAAACCTGGAGTCTCATTTCTTCAAGCAGTGTGGTGAACTTTCCAAGGGCCAACCTGATTCTGGTATTTTCTCTGGAGTACTGGTGATGCTGTAGGAAGGTGGGCTGTGTGAGTGGGGGATGGCTTCTTGCCATGCAGTTGGTGTAACCGTACCAGGCTATGCAGAGGGCAGCCGCTGTGAACAGCAGAGGGAGGGGAGCATAGCATTGGCCAACAAGGGGCCAGTCATCCTGGCACATGTCCCGGAGGCAGCTGACCCTGCCCCATCACTGTTCTTGTGCCAGCCCATGTTGCCCAACCGGGAAAGGACAAATTATTCACCTCCGCCTGTTGAGTCTCTACTGCAATGGGACATCGCATCACACCCTTACTATGTGGAATTCTACTCAAGTTCAAAGATCTTGTTGCTTTGGAGCAACAAGATCTATGTGCGTCTTGGCTTCTCCAAAGCCCCAGTTTCCTCGTAATGCATTTGAAGCAAGTGAAAGTGAAATAGCTGTAATGAAATTATATCACCAATTCCACATATGCCTTGAAATCAAGGCTGAAAAGGGAATCGCTAAAGCGTGGCAGGGCCCTAATCTTTGCACGTAACAACTGACTAACTAGATGGCTGCCTTCCATTTGCAAAGGCCCAGCCATATGGACAGGCTTGCATCACCAGCTACCTGCCTGCAGGTAGGGCCCGCTTGTCTGTGATGGGGTACCCAGGGGATAATCTGGGCTGTTTTCCCTGATGCAAACTGATTTGGGCCACTTGCAGGAAGCAGTGGCAAGGATACCAGCCAGTGGCCTTTTTGAGGTAGAGCCCACCTTAGATCCTTGAAAGCAGAGGTGCCAGGGCCCTTTGGAGAGAATTGCCCCCAGGCGCTTCCTCACATTGACGAAAAAAATACTGGTAACCATCTCATCTGGCACAAGCATGGACTGTCTGTGGAACTCATTTTGACCATGTCAATCATCCATGGGAACTCTGGGGTTCTCCACAAAACATCATCTGGAGCCAAGCCCTGGTTCTAAATGAACATGTTCTTTCCACCTAGAGTTGGGGCATGGGGAGAGGCAAAGAAAAGAGAAAAACGTTGACCCCTCTGACTTCCAACCGCACCATAATGATGAGAAACTCTTACATTCCCGTAACATGACAGAGTTCATTTCCCACAACTGTCCTAGGAGATGGGCTATGATCATTTTGCTTTTTTAAACAAAAGAGAAAATTTGTCTGAATCTCCATTTTGTAAAATGGCAGCAATAATACCCACCATCCAGGCTTGGTACAAGGCTCAAGATGAGGGATGTGAAATATGAATATCTCTAACTCAATTTCCTTTGTCTTCCCATGGAAATTCGCCCCACCCACCTACTAAATTCTTCCTCCTAGTCCAGGCAGGTGGAGAGTGTGGAGCAGAACTGGTAAATGAAGGAAGAGTGACCTTTGCTGCTCTCTTTTCAGTGCAATGGCTGGACCTGGTACCTTGCCAATGACTTCCAGTTCCACCTCACCACACCAGTGATTATCTTCATCCATGTAAAGTGAGTCTGATTGGGACAAGCTTTTCTCCTCATGTGCCCTCTTTCACAAAACCCTCAGAAAGTATCCCAGTTCCGTGCAGAGCTGCTTTTTAAAATCTAGGAAACTTTACAGAAAAGTAAATACCAAATCCTCTACGGTCTGCCTTCTTCTGCATTCTTTTCCAACATTGATCCTACGCCAGTCAGTGTGTGTTTTGCAGAGTTACAATCAGTGTGTGCATGTAATATCTAGTGCTCAGCTTTTTCCATTTAACTGTTCTTATAAACATTGCCACATATTGACATAACCTGCATACTTGGCAGTTTTAGGGTTTATCTACCATTTTTATGGTTGGGTATCTAGATTGTGGCCAATTTTTCATGATTATAAATGTCACTGCAATGCATGCCTTTGAACACACTACTTTTTCTCTTAGTTATTTTCACAGGGGCAGATTTCCAACTGGAATTGCTAGGTCAAAGGGTAGGAACAATTCTGTGGCACTTGTCACATATTGTGAGATTGCTCTCCAGAAAGAGTGAAGTAATTTACAACGCCCTCAGCCATGTATCGGTGCACCAGCTTTCCCACATTGGATATTTATCACCTTAATTTTTGTTAGTTTTAGAAACACCTTAAGGCCTCAATAATTCATGGAGAGACTTGTAGTTGTGGATTATTCATGCCATATTTTAAAAATTTATTGTTCTTTGTGTTAAAATATATGTTCAATTTAAGAAACATTGGAAAACATTAGGAGTTAAGAGAGGGGGGAATAATCACCCCAGTTCCACTTTGTCAGTCAAGGGAAGGAGAATTTGCTGCTAATATTTTGGGGCTTATCCTTCTGATATTTTTTCTGCCCAGTTTTTTTTTTTTTTTTTTTTTTTTAAAGAGATGAGGGTCTCACTCTGTCACCCAGGCTGCTATAGTGCGGTGGTGCCATCATAGCTCACTGCAGCCTCCAACTCCTGGGCTCAAACGATTCTCCTGCCTCAACCTCTCGAGTAACAGGCATGGACCACTGCACCTTGCTAATTTTTTACCTTCTGTAAAGAGATGAGGTCTTGCCGTGTTGCCCAGGCTGTGCCCTGCTTTTGATACATGAAAGCATTCTGTATATACACCTTGGTATCTTTCTTTCAATAGTTTTATGACACATGCATTTCCCTATATTATTTTATTTTTAAAGCAACATAATTTAAATGTCTGCATAACATTCCATTCCATGAACTAACTATATAATTTATGTATACCTTCTATTGTTTAATACTGGGATTATTTCCAATGTTATGCATTCATAAATAATGGCTTGATAAATATTTTCATGGAAACCATTTGTCTCCAACTTTGATACTTCTCTACAACATATATCTTTGAGGGGAATTAATAGGTCAAAGGGCATGAATGTCTTTTACGCTCTTGAATCATAATGATAAATCACTTTCCGTAGAGGGAACATCAATATTCAGTCCTCTAGTCATCCAATTTAACTGTTGCCAGAATGGAATATTAATAATAAAACAAAACATCTGAGTCTTCACATGTTCTTCCTTCTGTGTCCAAGTTTCCTCTTCTTATAAGGACACAGTCATATTGGATTAAGGCCCACCCCAATGACCTCGTTTAATGTTAATTATTGCTTTAAAGACTCTATCTTCAAATACAGTCACACTCTGAATTACTGGGGGTTAGGATTTCAACATAGGACTTTGTTGGGGACATAATTCAGCCCATAACATTCAATGTCAGGAAGATTTATGAGTTTAGTTGAAATGGTGCTAGCTGGAAGAGACTTGTGGAGTCTGTGGTGGAGATACTGATCTTGGAAGTAGGTGCCAGGGACTGGGCTCAAGTCCCCCAGGGAGTTAAACACATATTTACTCGGGTGGCTGTGGGTTTTTATTGGATGGCCTGACTACCACTTACCTAGGACACTGAGTTCTTATGCCTCCGCACTCTAGACTTGCCTGGGAACCCATGTGAGTGTCCTTGTGACTGAGGAGCACTGGCCCCGTGTCAGCATCTTTCCCAAAGGCTGTCGTGGAAGGTGGATTTCAGTCCTTCAGCTGAAAACCCACACTGTCCAAACTTGTGACTATGCAACAAGATTTAGCTTATAAGTGGAGGGAAATATAAAAGTAGGGCTTTTCTTCCTTTAGAGAATATAATTCCATGGAATGCCAGTGGAATCAGGTCTTTCTGGAGCTCAGTAATTCAAGGAGAGAAGAGCTAAGGGGTCTGGCAGAAGTCATAGTAAATATACATACAGCATTATTACCATAACCCCCTGCTTACCCTCATAGCAGACATTAGTAATCAATCATAGCATCATGGAGCTAGAATTCATCCTTCTTTCCAAATATTACACTAACATTGGTACTCTGGCTGAAAATAATTTTCTCCCTGTATCACTTGATAACTGAATAGTATCTATCTCATCCCTTCCTCATGAACAGCCATGGCAACTTTCACTAGCAGAATTGCATTGTCAAAGGCATTTTCCAGGTCAGGCTGTGCCTGGATGGTCTCGCACTTGTGTTTGACATTTCTTCCACACCACTGTGGATCCTCTTAATCCCAACCCTCACACTTCGGAGCAGGTACAACCAGACAGCGCCTCACTCTGGGTGCTTCAGGAAACATCCTAGTCTTATACATGCACGGTCCCAAAGTGTGGAGGAATTAATTTGTGTGGGACCATCCTTAACCCATTTGAGATAGAAGACAGTGGGAAAATCCTTCTGTCTTTCATCTCACAGGACAGTTTTAAGGTACATTTCATATGGCCCTGTGGAACATTCTGGAAGAACTGAGCATTGGCCACCTTGATAGCACATCCTGGTATTGGTTTTCCCTGCTTCCCTGTTCTCCTACCCTATCCCTCATTCCTACACCCACGTGAACTACCTGCACCCGGACATTTGTCTCAGGCTCTGCTCCTCAGTTGAAGGCGTGCCTGGTTCCCCCTCTGCATTAGTCCGTTTTCACATGCTATAAAGAACTACCTGAGACTGGGTAATTTATAAAGAAAAGAGGTTTAATTGACTCATGGTTCTGCAGGCTGTGCAGGCTTCTGCTTCTGGGAAGGCCTCAGGAAACTTACAATCAGGGCAGATGGGGAACCAGGCACATCTTAATATGGTGGGAGCAGGAGGAAGAGAGCAAAGCGGGGAGGTGCTACACACTTTTAAACAGCCAGATCTCATGAGAATTCACTCACTATCACAAGAACAGCAAGGGGGAAATCCATCCCCACGATCCAGTCACCTCCTATCAGGCCCCACTTCAACACTGGGGATTACAATTCCACATGAGATATGGGCAGGGACAAAGATCCAAACCATACCATCCTCCTTCTCGATCCTCTCTCCCCTGTGCTTGGAGTGGGTCCACCCCGTGTCCCACCCTGCCTTTGACAGTCCTCTCTCCCAAATCAACCACCACTTGTATCCATATCGGGTTTCATAGATGACAAGGGACGTTCCCAGGCATGGACTCCTTTTGAGCTGCATAGTAAGCCTCAGGGTGGGCAGGCGAGGATGCGATTACTGTTCCTGTCTAGACCAGGAAACTCAAGCTCAAGGCCCTGCCCGGTGTGGCACAACTAATGGATGGTCAAGACCGAGGCTGCCTCAGGTCCTCCAGCCCCAGCCCCGCTCTCCCTGCCACTCATCAGCCTCTCAAAAGCAGGGCCTCTCAAAAGCAGGAAGTACCTCTGATGGTCAGGATTTCCAGCCTTTCGTGCCATAGGAAGCGCATGTGTGGGGCAAGAAACTGAAGGGCACTCCTCTCCGTATCCTCTCTTCTTTGCAGGAGTACACAGATCCTCATCCTCCTTGGGGCCATGCTGTTCTTGGCATCTTTCACAGCCACTGCTCTGATCACCTTGGCATATAAACTTCCTGTCGTGGCTCCATCAGAAACCAGGTAATGCGGTTCCCCAGCCTGCCCCTTTCTGGCCAGGACTTCCCGGGGAGGGCTGCTGAATGCCAGGCTGTTCACCCTGTGCCCTTTGGTTCATGGAAAAAGTGGGTATGAAACTTTTGGTCTGGATGGGAAAGCTGATTGCCTTCTTGCTTCCAAACTTCTGAACCTTTCAACCTGCACTGGTAGGTCCTCTCTGAACTCAACGTTGCCCATTGAAACGCTTCCCAGAGGAAGGAGCGCCCCCATGTGGCTGTACTGTGTTTCTCCTCCAGCAGCCAATTGCTGCTTGGTGGCTCTGTTGGATGGAGAGACTGAACCTACCTCTTCAAGGTCACACAACTAGTAGGTGGCACAGGTGTGATTTGAACTTAGAAGCCAATCCACAGTGCTATTTCCCCTCCCCAATGAGGCATGTATGACACTTACACAGGAAAAACTGTTATGATTACCTGCTAATCTTCTCTCAATGCAGTGACACAAATGAAAATCAGATTATGTCAGTCATCTGCTTGAATTCCTCCAGTGGCCTCATTGGTCACCCTCCTACCTGCTGACACTGGACCAGCCACACCAACTCATCTCAACGCACCAAGCACGCTCCCCGAACCCCCTTCCCCACCCTCCCCAACCCGGGGCCTTAGCACTTGCTTTTGAGCCTGAATTACTCTTCTGTTAAAATCTAAGATCTTGGCAGGGCTTTCTCCTTCACATCTTTCAGGTGTCTGTGCAAATGTCACCTTCTCAGAGCAGCCTTTGCCGATCTTCCAAAATAAAATGGCCAGAACCGTTCCTGGTATGTGAGTGTTCCATGTGAATCTGTGAGTGGGTGGCATATGAGAATAAATGAATGAATTGGTGACAACATCCCAAGCCTCCTGACCAGGAGACTATCATGCCCTTCCCATATCATGGCATGGTGAAGTGATTGAGGAGGAGGCTCACTCATGTCCAGCCCAGCGGTTTTCAACCCTGGCCACATATTAGAGTCACTTGGGAGCTTCTAAATCTACTGATGCTTTCATCCCCACCCACCTCCGAACAATTGAATCAGAATCTCTGGGCATGGGGCCCAGGCAGCGGACTTTTGTAAGCATTCCCAGGGTGCTTACAAATTCTAATTTGCAGAATAAATTCTTATGTGCAGCCACAGTTGAAGAACCATACGTCTAGTCCTCAAACACCTTCCCTTCCTCCAGTGGTCCCTGCATGGGCAGCTAGGGGCTGAGAGTGCGTCTAGCTTCAGTGGGGAATGGTGATAATTTTAACGGTGATAAATTTAAAGCAGGGGTTCTCAATCTGCCTTTGGGAAACTCAGGAGAGTTTTAAAATTTCTAGTCCCTGAGTCCATGTGCAGAGATGATGATTCCCTGGGCTTGGGTATAACCTGGATGCCTCCCGTGAATGGCACTGTTTAGGCAAAGCTTCTCAGCCTTGAGGGGGTATCAGGGTCACCTGGAGGGCTTCTTAACACACAGATGGTTGAGCCCACTGCCAGTAGGTCAGGGTGGGGCCCATGAGTCTGGGTTCCTAATAAGTTCTCAGGTGATGCAGGTGTTTTTTTTTTTTGTCTGTGTTTTTTATTCTATTGCAACAGAGTCTCACTCTGTCATCCAGGCTGGAGCACAGTGGCATGATCACCGCTCACTGCAGCCTCAACCTCCTGAGCTCAAGCGAACCTCCTGCTTCAGCCTCCTGAGAAGCTGGGACTGTAGGCATGTGCCTCCAGGCCTGGCTAATTTTTTTTTTTTTGTAGAGTTGGGGTCTCTCTATGTTGCCCAGATTGGTCTCAAACTCCTGGGCTCAATGATCCTCTTGCCTCGGCTTCCCAAAGTGCTGGGATTACATGTGTGAGCCACCATGCCTGGCCTGACGCAGCTGTTGATGTCAAGGGATGAAACCTTGAAAAACACAGCTTCAAAGAATAGTTTTTGGTGTCCTTTTAATAGCCTGGCCTGGACCTCTCATCACTTCTCTCTCAGGACAGTCTCTGTCCTTGGGACCCTTGGGTTCACATCTGGGTGCTACATTTTTAGAACATTCTGACATATTGGCCACCAGACACAGCTATTTAAAATGAATACACTCATGATATTTCCTTGGGATCTGGGGTGGAGGGGCCTGAGGGAATTTGGAACCTAAACAAGCCAACTTTGGCTGAGGTGGGGCCATGAGGTCACTGTTTGCGCACCATGACTAAGGAAATGAACAAGTGTGCCCTAAATGTACCTTTGGGCTTGCTGATTATTCCAATGGACATCTCAGGGATTTGGATTCCCTTTGCCATGTCCAGATCAAACATAACATTTTGGCTTATTTCCTTGTATTTTTCAGTGAAGAGGCGATTGTATTGTATTTCGTGGAGTACTACACAAAGCCCTACTGCCGATTTGGGCCAGTTCTTGTGGGCCTCTTTCTGAGCATTTACATGCACCAAAACCACCAGGAAAACATTCTCAGAACCAAGGTATGATTTCCCGTGCCTCACTCTATGGGCATGGGTCTGGCTGGGACTGTGTGGCCCACCTGGCCAGGCTCTTCCAAAGCTGTGGATGAAGCAGTCAGCCTGCTGGGTACTGTATTGTGCTGTAGAGTGTTACTGATGTCTCTCTGTGCTAAAGAATCAGAAGGAATTGGCCAGGTGCAGTGGTTAACACCTGTAATCGCAGCACTTTGGGAGGCTGAGGCAGGAGGATCCCTTGAGTCCAGTTCAGGACCAGCTCAGGCAACATGGTGAAACCCCTGTCTTCATTTTTTTTTTTTAATTTAAAGATAAGGCCTTTATCTTCCTGCCAGAGCTTGATTCTCTGCTTTCTTCACTGACCTCTCCTTATGATCCTCCAGATTTGGAACCCAGTGTGGTCCCATCTGTAGGAGCTTTGGTACTGACCCAAAGAAACCACCAATGTGAGAAAACATACCCAGTGAGATTACAATGGCAAGACTTTCTTCTGGAAGAGGATACTGAGTTGGGTTGGATTTTTAACAGCACATGCTCAGTGGTTTCTATATACAAGATTCTTGGTCAGATTTGATGGTTGTGTCTGGGAATCAGGACGTGAGGTGTCTAGAGGGGAAGCTGTTACTTTGCTTTTCCAGATGTACCCCAAGCACTCATTTTCTTCTCTGGCTCCTTTGTGGGCAATCATTCTAGTTCACCATCCAATCTCGTTACTCAAGCTGGAAACCCGGGTTCATCTTGGATGCCTCCTCCTCACTGACCACTGCTCTCAGCCAATCATCCCCCATGCTCTGCCGATGGTTTCTCCTGCCATCCTCTCTCATCCTTTTGAACTGACCTTAAAGCTCTTCTCATCTCATGCCTGGATGTTGTCACTTGTTTCCTTGCCTCTAGTCTTATTGATCTCAAATCTACTCTTGGGGTGATCTATTTAAGACACCACCTTGGCTGTGCCCTTGAACGGTGAAAAATCTTTCAATGACTTCCTTTTACATCCATGATAAGGCTTGATCTGTTCAACAAGGCCTTCAGAGTTCCCATGACATCACTCTGCCTGTCTCTCTAGCATCATCTCTCTCACCACTCTCTGCCTTGCACTTTGCATATCAGTGATACCAACCTGCTCACAGTGCCCTTGACTGCCGCCACTGACACACACACAAGCTGTTCCTGGCATCTGTGCAGTTGCTCATGCTTCTTCCTCCGTCTGGAATCTGCCTCTACCCCCTCCCCTCTACTCACCTCTCCCTTTCATCTGACTTAACTCCTGTTTTGCCTAGAAGGCTCACCTAGACTTTTCACCTCCAGGAAGTCTTTCCTTATCCTTCCAGGCCAGGCTGTGTCCTTCTTTTTGGTTCCTCTGTGCACTGTATATTCCTGGGCCCTGGTTTGTACCGCATGATAAAGCATTTATTCACCCCATAGACTGTGAGCTCCTGGAATTCACTACTTGTATCACCTCTGAATCGCCAGCATCTGGTTCTGAGATCCTGACTCACTGAAGGTACTCAACACATGAATGAATGAAAGAGAATTTTCTTCTCAATGGAGGAAGGGCCAGAAGTTAGGATACAACTCCTGCCCCAAACCCCTCTGCCAGGTCCTACCTTTGTTTGCCTAGGCTTTGTGGGTACCTTACCTAGATGTTCCAGAGAAGAGGCCCTGGTCCTTGGAAAACCTTGTGTTGCCCATGGGAGGAAGAAGAGATAAGATTTTACCGAAAGGAATGAATATACAGAAGCTGTGTGACTTTTTCTATAGGTTGCAGTTACGATATTTTCCTGGAAATGCACAATTCAGTTGTAGACTATAACAGAGTGCCATTAAAGAGAGGCTTCAACATAGTCCAGGTTACATGGGAGCCCAGGGAGAAAATGTGTGTCAGCAAAGGGCAAAACTTAACTTGAAGAGGGAGCATTTGGGAATGACTTCAAGGGCCAGGGTCAGCACCAGGAAGCCCGGAGCTGAAATACAAGCCAAGTTAACCTGGAGAAACGCGCACAGTTGGGTACACCAAACTCAAAGCTTTAGAAGCTAGAAAATAAAGACACGGGGTCTAAACTGGAGGAAGCTGCCAGGAGTGAGATAAGGCAGGATGCACCATAATAAAGATAAGCAGACAAGGACAGAAAGAGAACATGATACCCAAGATGCATTTTGAGAGACTGCAGGCCCATTTGGGCCAGGGAAGTAGCAAAGGGGTGAGGGAGATCCCAGGCTAAAAGAGTGGAGTGCCACTGAGTATGTACCTTTCCTCTCCCGCAGCCAGGAACCTGAGACCTAAGCAGGTCTCAGAGACAAGACGGTGGACTGATCCGATGTTGGTTCAGTGCAGTGTAGACATAATCACAGCAGCTTGAGTACAGCACGGAGAAGCAAGAGAGCTCCTTGGAAGACAGATCTGGGTCTAAAAAGGTCAACTCAGGTGACGCAAGGTCAAGATCTTGAAGTGAGTCAGGTGTTAGGATTTAACTCATGGGGCTATTCTTTGAGCTGAAGACTTCTCACATTCCCATTCCTTCCACTTGACTAGGCTGCTGCCCAGGCCGGGGCTGTGTGCTGGAGGCCCTCACGTTTATGGTGAAGGCGGAAGCCATCAAGGAGCATTAATCTGGTTACCGGACAAAATGGGAGATTAGGAGTGGGTTAGAACATTACTTATTGATTTTCTTTTCACTTTCATTTTGAAATGATTATAGATGCCCCAAAAGTTGCAAAATTAGTACAGAGAGGTGCTGTGTGCTCCAGCTCCCCAACAGGCAACGTGTGACACAACTATGGTACCTGACCACAGCCAGAAAATCACATTGGCACAATAGACCTCAGATCTACCAACACATACTCATTCGCGCACGTCTGTACGGTTCTGGGTAATTTTGTCCCATGTGCAAATTTGTGCAACCACCCCCACAGTCAAGGTACAGAACTCTCTGTCACCACAAAGATCTCCTGGCCACCCCTTTTAAATTACAACCTTCCATTTTAGTCAAATCTATGCTGACTGAGGTTTGCGAATAAAGACCTAAGTGACAGGAATAACACCAAAAAATAAGTTTGTGTAGGAGGAGGGAATTATACAATGGCTAAAAAGGGCTGGGCCCCGCCTCTCCTCTCCCCGGAGATGCAGGTCCTGCTGGGGTGGAGCTGCTCCCTGGTCACCCTATTTGCGGTGGCCGCTCTGGCATACATGGTGGATGACTCCTCTGCTTCCTCTCTAGTAGCTGCAGCTCTCTACCAAGCCCTCCACCGGACCCTGTGGGCGGCGGCTGTGGGCTGAGTCCTCTTTGCGTGCCACGGAGGATATGGAGGTATGGAAGCGGCTCCAGGCTTTGCTGTCGGGTTCACACCCTGTTCCTTTAAAGGTGACAAATCGAACACACAGGGTGTGTACCGGAGTGATTTCTGTTTTCTGGAGTGGTTGATGAATGACTGATATTGATTCAAAAATATCAATTTCTCTCCATCCTTGGAAAAGACAAAGGATTTATGTATAAGATTTTTACATGGATTTATGCACAAGTGTGGGTTCTGAAAGAAGAACATGCAGCCTCTCCAATGCAGCTAGTTTAGAAGTTGGAAAGGGAATTCAGGCAGAGTAATGTCATGAGAAAAAAAAAAATCAGTGCTTGGGAGCACTGCCTTCCAGCCACAGCACCTTGAGCCTTGGTTTCCCCATCCGAAGGTGTAGATGGGGAATGCTTGCCAGGATCCCCTTTGATAACTGAGTTGGCTTTCAACATGCAGAGAGCCAAGCAGATAAAAGGCTTCAATGGAAAAGAATCTTCTCCAGGTTAGAAGGGTGTATCCAAGTCACCTGATGCTTTTCTCCCCGTGATCTCTATTTGGCGAGAGGTAGGAACTGTGTGCTTGGGACGTCAGCAAACAACAGGGCAAGGCTGGCAGGAAGCTCCCAGAAGAGATTCTGGCCTCAAGCGACCCAAAGCCCTGACAGAGGAGCAGTGGATCTGGGGGGAGGCATGCCTGCTTCATACTCTAGGGAAATAACCCATCAGGAGGAGTTTCAACTTAGCCTGTAAACCCACACCAGTCAGCCTCAGCAAAGGTGGTGGGAAATAATGATTTACCGGTAGCACTGACCACGCCCCTGGGAGGAAGACCTATAATTAGCAATGAGAACAACCATGTCAGGAGAGAAAGCAACACAGTGAAAATCCCACAGCTGGTGAGTGGCTGAAGTAGAAAATGAACCCAGGTCCCAGCACGAAGTCCAAAGCCAGTGCTCTTCACTCCTAAGTGATAGCACTTTTCCCAGATGTTAATTAAAATGGTTCCTAAATTTTACAAGTATTTTAATATAACGATGCTCTTTAATATTGTAATTTTAAAATGAGCCTTAATGATCTTTCATATTTTAATTTTAAAAGCTTTCCCTTATATGGAAAAGTGATACTAAAGAGGAAATGGACTGCGTTCTCTCTGACTGATGTATTTGCATTTATGGGAAACTCTGGGATATGTTACCACAACCCTGCTGCCTCACCCCATGACCATGTCCCCGAGCTGTCATAGAGCCTCATAAACAACTACTCTCCGTGGCCTGGCACAGGCCATTTATAATGTTGCAAACATCACAGTATTCCTCTCTACTGTGAGAGCTGCTGCTGTTTATCAAAAATAACTGGCTAACAAATGATATTAGAGAGGAATGACTTAGGTGAAGTTACAAGATTAAACAAATTTGCATTATTATTATTATTATTATTTTGAGACAGACTCTTGCTCTTGTCACCCAGGCTGGAGTGTAATGGCACGATCTCGGCTCACAGCAACCTCTGCCTCCCAGGTTCAAGCGATTCTCCTGCCTCAGCCTCTTGAGTAGCTGGGATTACAGGCGCCTGCCACCACGCCCGGCTAATTTTTTAATTTTTAGTAGAGATGGGGTTTTGCCATGTTGGCCAGGCTGGTCTCAAACTACTGACCTCGTGATCCACCCGCCTCGGCCTCCCAAAGTGCTGGGATTAGAGGCGTGAGACACCATGCCCAGCCTGCAGCATTATTATTACAGTGGAACAAGCAAATGCTCTCCATCATTAGTCTGAGTAAGGATGCTATCTCATCACCCAGGAGATGAGCAAGCCAGTTTACTTATTATTGAGCAATTTATCATTCAAAGGTGTGTTGTCACTAGCAAATCCACAACTGTAGGGGCACCTGATGTCCTAGATTTGTATCTCCAAAACTATCTGTAAGATATCAATATTGATTAGTAGGTGAATGTAGGAGGTGATAGCTTAAATACATTTTTGGAAAATATGTGTCTACCTGGCTCACACCTGTAATCTCAGCACTTCGAGAGGCCGAGGCAGGTGGATCGCTTGAGCCCAGGATTTCAAGACCAGCCTGGGCAACAAGGCAAAACCCTGTCTCTACTAAAAATACAAAAATTAGCTGGGCATGCTGGTGCGCATTTGTAATCTCAGCTTCTTGGGATGCTGAGGCAGGAGAATTGCTTGAACCTGGGAAGCGGAGGTTGCAGTGAGCCGAGATCAGGCCACTGTACTCTAGCCTGGGCAATAGAGTGACACCCTGTCTCGAAAAATAAAAAAGTGTCTAGCTGATGATCTTTAGAAAAAAATAAGAGTTTGAATAAGAAGAAATGTTTAGTTGAGACTTTCAGGACTAGAAAGGATCTTGATGATTCAATGAATATTTAACCATCTTTGCTTGGTAGCAATGTTGACCATGCTGGTCTTGTTATGCTCAAAGTTGTCTTCTGTTGAGCTGCCAGAGTCATCTGACCACATTACTCCTTCAGTTAAAGCCCTTCAGTGGTGGTCTGTCACCTACAGCTTTCGTCCTCAAACTTAAGTATATGTGGGCCTATTCTAAAGAAATAAGAATTATTTTGGATTCTTGGTGTTGGCTCAACTTATTTTTATTCTTATTTTTTCAATGCTTTTTTTTTCCTGGGAACATAGATTCAAGTTACCCTGACTATCTGCTCTTATTTTTGGTCCAATTTTGCCTAAACATGAACAAACATAAACCTAGATACAAAATTTTATGTTTATAGCACATGCATTCAGAAAGCCAAAACAAATTTATGAAGTAATCATAAAACTATAAAACCAATAAAATCTGCATTAGCAACATTAATATGATATGATGAACAGTTGCTGGAATCACCTGTGGCTCATAATATGAACACAGTATTGTTTGCTTTAGGGCGCGTTCTTTTGTGTTTGGCTTATCTGCGTGAGCATGGATTCTTTGCTGACTTCATTCTTCTACAATTACTTTGTTTTGTTCTACAGTGAAACTGTGGTTTACCTTTTATAGCCTTCACTTGGGGGAAAAGCGTCTTTTGTCTGTAAGTCCATCTGTGTTTATTCACTTAATTACATAAAATACTTCTTGAATGCTTATTCTATGCCAGGTACTGTTCTAGAATCTGGGGATACAGCAATAGACAAGAAAAATCCTTCCCTTGCGAGAGATTACAGTAGGGTCGGGGGAAGTTTAAATATAGTGAATAAAGATAAAGCAGGGATTAGTGGGTAACTAACTGGACTAGGGGTACATTTGCAAAGATGTGGTATGAAAGCATTCTGGGCAGATGGAATGTGAAGGCAGAGGTCTCTAGACTGGAACGAGCTTAGTGGCTTGGAGGAAGAGCAAAATGACCAGTGAGATAGGAACCAAGGGTCAAGGGGGAGAGAGAGGTGGGAAGGGAACTCAGAGAGGAGGGTAGGACCCAGGTTAGGCAGAGCTTTCAAGGCCATGGGAAGAGTTTGGATTTTATTTTAAATGCCACATCACATGAAGTCTTAGTCCATTTCAGCTACTATAACAAAAATAAAGCCCCATAAATGAGGTGGCTTAAAAACAACAGAAATTTATATCTCACAGTTCTGGAGCTGGGAGGTCTAAGATCAAGGCACCAGCAGATTTAGTGTTTGGTGAAGGCCTGCTTTCTGGTTCTTAGCTGGAACTTTCTAGATGTGTCCTCACATGGCGGAAGGGTAGGGCTGTCTCTCTGGGGTCGCTTTTATAAGAGCACTGATACCATTCCTGAAGGCCCAGCCCTCGTGAACTAATTGCCTCTCCAAAGACTCCACCTCTTGATACTAACACCTTGGGGATTAGGATCTCAACATATGAATTTTGGGGGAATGTAAACACTCAGATCATAGCCCATGATTTGATTTGTGGATTTGTAAAATTTATTTTCAAATGGACAAATAATAACTGTATTTATGGGGTACAATGTGATGTTTTGGTATATGTATACCTAGTAGAAAGATGAAATCAAGTTAATTAACATAGGCATCACTTCACCAAGTTATCTCTTTTTTGTGGTAAGAATGTTAAGAATCTTTTCTTTTAGCCATTGAAAAATATCCAGTACATTATTATTAACTGTGGTCACTATGCAGTGCAATAGATCACTAAAACTTACTCCATCGGTTTAACTGAAACTTTGTACGCTTTGATCAATATCTCCCCCTTCCCCATTTCTCCCTGATATGTGATTTTAAAAGATTACTCTGGATGTGGTGTGGGGACTATAAGGTGGCAAGAACAAGAGCAGAGACCAACAGATCCACTGGGAAGCTACCATGGAGGCCCACGCAGGAGGTGATGGAAGATTCACGAGGGTGTTAGCCATGGAGGTGAGGAGCAATGGTCTGATTTGAGACATATTTTTGGAAGCACTCTATGGAGTCTGGAATGAAAGGAGTCTGGGAAGGCTCCAAAGATTTATCCTGAGCAAATTGTGATTCACTACTGAGCACTTTTAATGAGGCTTGTGCAAAGGAGAAACAGAAGTTATATTTTATATCTGTGGCTTAAAACAACAGAAATTTTTTTCTCTCACAGTTCTGGAGGCTAGCTGTTCAAAATCGAAGTGTCAGCAGGGTTGGTTCCATCTGGATTTTCTGAGGGAGAATCTGTCCCATCCCCTCTCCTAGCCTCTGGTAGCTGCTGGCAAGCCTTGGCATTCCTTGGCTCATGGACTCTTCACTCCAGTCTCTGTCTTCGTCATCACATGGTTCTCTTCCTTGTGTCTCTCCTCTGCATTTGTGTCTCCTTTTCTGTCTCTTATAAGGACATTTGTCATTGGGTTTAGGGTCCACCCTAATCCAGGATGATCTCATCTCTAGTTCTTTCTCTTAATGACATCTGCAAAGACCCTTATTCCAAATAAGGTTACATTCTGAGGTTCTGGGTGGACATATCTTTTGAAAGATCACTATGCAACTCACTAGAGATAGCAATAAGTCCTATTCAGAAAGGAAGTTTTCATTGCATTTAATTT
The DNA here is from genome assembly GCF_000001405.40 of Homo sapiens. Classification (NCBI taxonomy): domain Eukaryota; kingdom Metazoa; phylum Chordata; class Mammalia; order Primates; family Hominidae; genus Homo; species Homo sapiens. The sequence continues at coordinate 59,067,893 of NC_000018.10, forward strand.
TAATTAAGTTAAATAGCCACAAGTGGCTAGGGGCTATTGTCTGGGACAACACAGTTCTAGAATATATACCAAGTTACAGAATATTTGTCCTGAAAGGCACCTACAAATGCAAGCCTCTCACTGACAGAAGAGTTTGAGGCCTGGCAATGTTAAATGCCTTATCCCAACGCCCCCCTGTGGCTGCATCTTGATCCAGAACCCAGGTGAATATGAGGAATTTTTACCTTGTTTTATACATGCAATGTTTTATGCTCAGGGGCTGAAACCATGTATCTCTCTTGTGTTATCATAATTCTTGCAACAGAAAGGTGGTTTTTGGTTTGGTACATTGTCTTAAAATGATAACGCATAAAGACTTTCTTAGGAAAAGTTCACAGACTTAGGCACAGAATGCAATGGGAGCATCGATGGGATGATGGGCATCTTCACTGGCCCAGAGACAGGCTGTGGCTTCATGCATCAGTGCTTGTTCCCTCCAGGTCTGGTGAACCGTGTGCTTTCTTGGGACATCTGGAGTTTCCTGTCCAGCATCAGTTATGCTCGCTACTTGGTGCATCCGATTCTGATCATCCTTTACAATGGCCTTCAGGAAACACTTATTCACCACACTGACACCAACATGGTGAGTTAGCACGCAGCTCCTAGTTCTGTTACGGTAGGTTATGGTATCATAGCTTGTTCTCTTCTTGAGCAACAAGGCAACCTATTTGCTTTCGTGGAAGTCTTTTTTTTTTTTAAGAGCTTCATTGTTCTTTGCTTTATTTGTGGCAGAAAGAGGGAGGGCTTCAGCACAGGATAATATCTTTTATTTTATTTATTTTATTTTTAATATGTAGCACTGATTGTCCTACAGATGCATTTCATAGAGCTAGGATGGTACACTTTAGATCTGAACACAATAGGAATCCCAGAGTAAAACTGTGTTCACCCTGCCCACTTTCTCTCCAGTTCTATCTTTTCTCTGGACACCGTGTGCTGACCTTCGTCACTGGGCTGGCCCTGACGCTGTTCATTGAGAAACCATGTCAGGAACTGAAGCAGCACCTGCTGGGCCATGAATGTTCTGGTTAAAACACAAAAGAATGGATGGGCCTTGTTGGTAATGACGAGCAAAGATGAGGTGGCCTTATCTAGGTGATGAATGCTTGTATTCCCGAGAAGGGGTGTGAATCTCATTTTGTGAAAGTTTAATATATACATTTTCTTTGCATTTAATATGTGAAAGAGTTCTTAGTTCTTATGATGTAAGAGAGTTCTCTAAATTTTTAGTAGCACAATAATAAACTTCTGTTGTACCATTTTAGCAAACAACAACAACAACAACAACAGAAACTGGATTTCTTTTTGGTTTAAACTCCATTTGATTGTCTGTATCAATGATCACAGGAAATGATTAAATGTCGTGCATTTAATGTAATTTGGGTTATGAAGCTCATTTGGGTTATGCTCTTCACTTTTCTCTGTAAAATTACAACATGCAGTATGCACTTTCCCACGACAGAATTGTTTATGTGTTATTATGGCGTCTTTGCAGACTTGTAACTTTATCCTAGAACCTCAGTGGTATGACCCGCTAGCATGCATACTTCATGGGTCTGTCATTATAGGGCCTTTCAAATATCACCTATTCTTCACCATAGTCCCTGTTTTGGACTGAATTGTATCCCCTCCCCCAAAAGCTCTGTTGAAGTCCTAACTCCCATTCCCTCAGAATGTGGCCTTATTTGGAGCCAGGGTCTTTATAGAGATAATGAAGTCCAACGAGGTCACTGGGGATGGAGATTCTAATCCAGTATGACTGGTGTCCTTATAATAAGCAGAAGTTTGGTCACGGAGACAGGCATACACACAGGGAAGACGATGTGAAGACCCAGGGAGAAGACAGTCATGTGCAAACCCAGGAACACCAAGGCAAACCCCAGAAACCGGGGGAGGTAAGGACAGAGTCTGCCCTGGAGCTGCCCGAGAAAGCATGGCCCCGTGGGACACCTCGATTTTGGACTTCTGGCCTCCAGAACTGTGAGATAATTCATGTCTGTTGTTTCAAGCCACCCAGTTTTTGGTACTTTGTCACAGCAGCCCTAGATAGATGGATATCCCTATGCACCAACATAGGGCCTCAACAAAAACTAACAGAGAAGGAAGAGACCTCAGCCAGTGGTTTCCAGCCCAACCCCCTCAATTTGCAGCGATGAGACCTAGAGATGAGGAGAGACTCGCAAGGCCAAACAGAGATGCTAGGATCCAGGCTCTCGGATGTGTGTTTTTTCTAGGTGTATAATTATGCATTAACTGTCTACAGTTATGGATTAATTAAGTCCATTCCATCGCTTATAATAAAGCTCTTTGTGTACTTACTCATTAAAGTATTAACAACCGCAGGCTACAAGGTCCTTATTAGCGTGGGATGCGCCACATCTGAGGATGCTCTTTGCTGTCCAGTGCGTTTGCAAAGATGACCAATGTGGGTGGGGAGGGGAAGGCTGAACGTTTCACACACTCTGATGGCCACGGACAGCTAACCTTGGCCTTGCCAGCCAGCCACGGGGATCATCTCCCTGAGGATGATGAGATGAGAGACCTCATCTCCCTGAGGTCTGGTCCCTCTGCTGAAGAAGCCAACCTGAGGGAGTGGGGCGCCAAGGCTCAACAGCCGCGCTGTGAGAAGGCAGCCTAATTGGCTTTTCAGTGAACGCCGAAGTTCATCGAGTTCCTCGGGAGCCCCCTGGTGGCTTCTTTGGCACCTGAACCCTCTCACTTCGTTAGGCCTCCAAGGAGCTGTTGAGGACCAGTGGCATTTTCAGGGTAACACTGCCACATGGGTGGACTTCGGTGGGAGATGACTCACATGCCAACATCGTTCTGCAGCCAAATTGCCAAATGCTTCCAGTTATGAGGCCAGAAATCTGGGACCCGTGGAAGTAACTAGCTAATGACTGACACAGCATTGGAAAGACTTTTTTATAAGGGAAAAAACCCAACCCTCCTGCTGTTGTAATTTTATATAACATAAGGCAGGGTTAGAGAAATCCAGTTTTGTTCTGGGTTTGTTTCAATCTAGAATTCCCCGGAAGTTTAAGATTTATAGATTGTGTATACCTTATTTGGATTCTGAAACAAATTGTAAAAAAGTATTATGATGTTTATAAGCCTGGAAATTTAAATACTGATTAGGTGATTTGATGATATTAAGGGCTGATTGCACTTTTTATGTAATAATGGTATTGTAGTTATATATTACTACATATATATACATACATTTATATCTCTTATCTTTTAGTTGCATACTAAAATATTTATGAACAAAATGATATAAAATCTGATATTTGCCTCAAAACAATATTGGGTGGAACTGGCATAGATGAAATAAGACTGGCTATGTGGTTAATGTTTGAAGCTGGGTGATGGGTCCATGGAACCTCATGCTTTTTCTCTATTTTCATTTTTATTGTTTTAGAGACAGAGTCTCGCTCTGTTGCCCAGGCTGGGGTGCAGTGCAATATCACACTGCAGCCTCAAACTCCTGGGCTCAAGTGATCCTCCTGCCTCCGCCTCCCAAGTAGTTGGGCCTATAGGTGTGTGCTGCCATACCCAGCTAATTTTTTTTTTTTTTTTTTTTTTTTGAGACAAGGTCTGGCTCTGTTGCCCAGGCTGGAGTGCTGGAGTGTAGTGGTGTGATCACAGCTCACTGCAACCTCTGCTTCCCAGGTTCAAGCAATCCTTCTGCCTCAGCCTCCCAAGTAGCTAGGATTACAGGCATGTGCCACCATGCCTGGCTAATTTTGGTATTTTTTGTAGAGATGGGGTTTCGTCATGTTGCTCAGACTGGTCTCGAACTCCTGGGCTCAAGCAATCCACCCGCCTCGGCCTCCCAAAGTGCTAGGATTACAGGTTGTGAACAACCGCACCTGACCTCCCAGCTAATTTTTTTAAGTTCTTGGTAGAGATGGGGTCTTACTATGTTGCCTAGGCTGGTCTCCAACTCCTGGCCTCAAGGGATTCTTCTCCCTCAGCCTCCCAAAGAACTAGGATTTTAAATACCTAGAGCAGGTATTTAAACCCCAGAAAATTCTGTAAAGGGGCTCTTGAGGCCCTATGCTCAGGCCACTCCCACCTTGGGGTGTCTACATTCATTTTCAATAAATCGCTGCTTTTGTTGCTTCATTCTTTCCTTGCTTTGTTTGTGCATTTTGTTCAATTCTTTGTTCAAAACACCAAGAACCTGGACACCCTCCGCTGGTAACACTTCTAGTAAAGCTCAAAGTTGAGAGGCCCCAGGGTCCTTGAAGGGACGAGAAGCCTTTAGAACTTTAGTCCCTAGACCCCAAGTGGGATTTAAATCAATACTGCTTGTATATGCTGAGAGGCGGCCTCTTTTGGTGGCCTACTCACATTTACACCCCTTCCTCTTTCACTACACAAACCCTGATGTTGTTCCCTTATCAAGGTGCCCATACCAAGGGAAATCATCATATTTGGTAGAAACCAATAATGTGCCTCCTCTTTTTCTTTGCCAGTGACTGGTGCGGGTTTGGGTATGTGACCCAGCTCTGACCAATGACACACAAGGAGAAGTGCCCTGGGGACTTCTGGGAAAGATGGGCATGGCTGAAGAGGGGGACGGACATCATGGAGAAAGTCCTTGTCTTTACCACCTTCAGCCTTGTCACGCTTCTAGATCTGTAAATGTGAAGAAGGACAAGCTTGATGCTCAGAGGCGGACAGAGCAGGATGTCTAGGCTGAGGGAAGCCAGGAGGATGGGGATTCTACAGAAGAGTGAGGGCTGTGTGAATACCGCATCCTGGAGGCTGCCCGATCCCTGCCAGACAGGCCTTGACCCTCCAGGCAGAAGGTTGGCAGCTGCTTCTTTGGGGATTCTGACTGGCCCAAGATGAAATCCCTAAAAATATTGACATTAAAGGCTCTTCCAGAAAAGTCCCAGCCAGATCCCCTCCAGTGAAGCTCACACCATGGGCTCAGAGTAGGGTGATCGACTCAGCCTGGCTTACCTGTGACTTTTTTGGTTTTGGTGCTGAAACTCCCACGTTCTGGGACACCCCTCAGTGTTGGTCACCCTGACTCAAAGCTTCCAGTCAGCTTCTAAGTCCCTCACCCTTAATCATGAGCACAACCAGGGTTACCACAAGCCTGGGAAAAGCCTTTGACATCTGGAAGGGGTAAGACTAAAAGGATTCCACAGAACAAAGGAATTTTGAGAGAGGAGATTATGCAGAGAGAAGAAAACTTAATGAAACTATCACTATCCTTGTAGAGGTAAGAGATCTTGCCCCAGTAAAATAGAAACAGGATGTTAAGACAGAGAAGTGATTCTTCCTTCTTTCACTCATTTGGTTATTGACTCAGTCATTCAGTTAATAACCAAATATTTCTGACAGCTACTTATTATAAGAATGTCAAGAATATTAATATGAATGTCAGAAATCTTGTGCTGTTCCAGCACCCAGAGCAGGGAGAATGAGCTGAAGTTGCATTTTGCTCTCGTTTAAGAAAGGGGTAGGCCGGGCGCGGTGGCTCACGCCTGTAATCCCAGAACTTTGGGAGGCCGAGGCGGGCGGATCACGAGGTCAGGAGATCGAGACCATCCTGGCTAACACGATGAAACCCCGTCTCTACTAAAAATACAAAAATTAGCCGGGCGTAGTGGCGGGTGCCTGTAGTCCCAGTTACTCGGGAGGCTGAGGCAGGAGAATGGCGTGAGCCCGGGAGGCGGAGCTTGCAGTGAGCCAAGATTGTGCCACTGCACTCCAGCCTGGGCAACAGGGCCAGACTCCATCTCAAAAAAAAAAAAAAAAAAAAAAAGAAAGGGGTAAAGTGCTGGGTATTTCAGCAGATTCTGTGATATAAATGCATTTATTATTATTAATTCAAATGTTGATTGAATTTTTAAAATGTATTGATTATACCTAGGAATGCATTGATATATGCTTCCAAGTAACAATTCAATTTTATATAGTATTTCCTTTTTGTTAGGTAAGAAACTTAAAATAATTAATGTCTAATTCTGCACCTTTTGTTCCTACCATTATTAGCAGATATTTTTTCATTTTTGTTTTTTCATTGATGTATAATTTTCATACAATAAAATTTACCTTTTAAGAAGTATACATGTCTGTGAGTTTTGACAAATGAATAGAGTTGTATAACCACCACCATAAGCAGGATATAGAACAGTTCCATAACTCCTGAAAATTCCTGGGGCCCCTCTGTAGTCAACACCTACCTCCATCCCTGGCCCTTGGCAATCACCTATCTGTTTTCAATCCCTATAGTTTTGCCTTTTCTAGATGTATTTATTTTTAAATGTTTAATTTAAAAAACTAAAAATTTCAAACAAGTCTAGAGAATGAAACAATTCATACCGCATATATCCACAATCCCAATTAAACACAGGTTGACATTTTGCCATTTTTCCTTCAGATGTTCTTTTTGTTTGTTTAAAAAATAAAACATTGTAAACTCAATTGTAGACCTCCCTGTATCCCATTTACTTCCTCCCTTTTATCCAAGTTTCACCCATTTTTTTAACCAATATGCATGTGTCTATAAATGGTATACTCTTTGTTTTTAAGCTTTATATAATTGGGTCCATGCTGTACTACCCTTTAAAATATGATTTTCCCATTACACATAGTTATATAGTCCATTAATTTTTAATGCTAATGATATTCTATCATGTGCACGTGTATCTTAAATGTTTATCCATTCCCCAGTTGGTAGATACTTGGTCTGTTTCGTTTTTCAGTATTGCAAACATTATTGTAAACACCCTTTGATGGTGTTTCCTTGTTGAGATGTGTTAGTTTTTTGGGGTATGTGTTCAGGAGAGTAATGGCAGAGTCAATCTTACCTGATAATGCTAGACAGTTTTCTAAAGCGATTTTTACCAATCTATGCCTCTACTGGTGGTGTATGGGAGTAGATACTATCACTTCAGTGCCTGCTCCCCAATACTTGGTACTATTAACCTGTTCATTTACTGCCTCTGATGAGTGTAAGGTAGGATGTGATCATTTCAATTTGCATTTCCTATCTACTAATGGGGTTGACCAGTTTCCAAGTGTATTGGCCATTCAGAGTTTCCTCTTCACAGACTGCCTACCATATCCTTTGCCCAGTTTTTTATTGGATGTTTTTCTTTTTGTTATTGATTCTGAGACATCCCTTATTGATACGGTTTGGCTGTGTCCCCACCCAAATCTCTTCTTGAATTGTAGTTCAGGGGAAAGACCCAGTGGGAGGTAATTTAATCATGGGGGCAGTTACCTTCCTACTATTCTCGTGATAGTGAGTGAGATCTCATGAGATCTGATGGTTTTATAAGGGGCTTTCCCCTTCTTTGCTTGGCACTTCTTCCTGCCATTATGTGAAGAAAGACGTGTTTGCTTCCCCTTCTGCCATGATTGTAAGTTTCCCAAGGTCCCCCCAGCCATGTGGAACTGTAAGTCAATTAAACCTCTTTCCTTTATAAATTACCCAGTCTTGGGCAGTCCTGTATAGCAGTGTGAGAAGGAACTAATACAATTGTGTATTCTGAACATTAATCTCTCATCGATTATTTGTGTTGTAAATACTTTCTCCCCTATGGCAACTTCATATATGATGTTTTTCCTATGAAAGTTTTACAGTTTAATGTAGGCAAAATTATCAATCCTTTCTTTTTGGTTTTGTCCTTTTTTGGGTCTTGTCCATGAAATTCATAGAAATATTCTTTTATATTTTTTCTGTTAGGGAAAAAGTCTCCAGTGAAAATTCCTGACATCGTGCTGTGGTCCTTTGAGTTCTCTGTTAAGTGAATTTGTAAGGTTAAAGCAGTTCTCAGTGTGGAGGTGGGAGAAGGGGAGGCTTTTTTCCCTCCCTAGGGGAGAATTGGCAATGTCCGTGGGACATGCTTTATTGTTCTTTAGTGAGTAGACACCATAGGCCGTGGATGCTGCTAAACACCCTACAGTGCAGAGGGTAGTGCACCCCCCACTCCTTGCAAAGAAATATCCAATAAAAAATGTCAATAGTGCCCAGGTTGAGAAACCCTGGGTTAGAGAATGATGGTGATGATTGGATCACTGAGTCCACACCAGCCAGGAACACTCAGGTGTGAAGGGCTGTCAGCACTTAGATAAGTAACACTGGGCCATCCTGTGTTAAACTTGGCAAACATACCCTGGCCAAGAGAGACGAGTCTATCGGAGGAAACTTGACTGAGTGTGCCAAACAGTCTAATTTTTGCTCTAATCACAATAGGAGGAGGAGGAAGTGCTGTCAGTGCTTTTTAATCAGATCTCATTTCCATGCTAATGACCCCTACCAAGGATGATTTGTATTATGTGCTGTTTCCAAGGGCACACACCATATTTTCTAGTCCCTAACAAATGATCAGCTAATTTCCGTGTTTATTAAAAATTTCATGCCCTCTTTACTGATGCAGGGTAAAAGTGTGTTTCTGTTTCCTCCTTTGTAAAAAGATAAAATTTGGCCAGATTAGAGCCTGCTGGTCTGTACAGGCTGGTGGCAACGGAATCACCCAAAGAGCTTTTTAAAAATCTAGGTTCCCAGGATCTACTCCTGGAGATTTCCAGATTGGAGTGGGGCTTAGGAATCTGTGCTTTTTTTTTTTTTTTTTTTTTTTTTTCCAAAACTTCCAAAAGGATTCCAATGAGCCACAGGACTCAAGGAGTGACAGGATTCGTTCTACATCACGGTCTCAGTTGATGACATTCACGTGCAAATAGCAACTTCTCCAAGACATGCACAGTCTTTGGCCCAAAGTCAGCTTTCTTACGCCCAAAGGGCTTCCCTAATAGGCCCCCTTTGGGAGCCATAGTCATTCTTTCAAGCGGCCAGGTACCCTTTGGCCAAAGATCTCTTCCATTATGGGTTCGTCCAGGAGCTTGGGGCACTTGCTCTCTGACAGCAGCCTCCATTCATTAACGGACTCAGGCCAGTACCAGTGCTCACTCATTCCTTTGTATGTTCAAGAAATATGTATTTGTTCCTGCTGTGTGCCAGTTACTGAGCTAAGCAGTAGGAACACTATGTAGAGAAACACAGGTGCAATTTCTGCTCCCTTTGACCTTATAGTGAGTGCCCTGCATGAGGGTCATGATAATCACACCAAAAATACCTAATTTCAACTTAAGTGAGAACTGTGAAAGCCTGACCCTAACTAGGAGGCCTGAAGTGGAATTTCTGAGAAGCTAGCCCTAAATTGAGATTTGTAAGACAGTGATACCTAGTATTTATTGAGGGCTCATTATATGCCAGGTACCTTCCTAAGCACTTTACAGAAACCAAGGCATTTAATCCTAATACAGCATGCACATAAACACTATTATCCTCATCTACACATGGAGAAACTGAGGCACAGAGCTATGTCATTGGTGCAAGGCCAATGGTGGGGGCCAGGTGGGGGCACCAGGATATGAATCCAAGCAGTTCGAATCCAGAGCCCATATGCTCAGCCACCATGTCCTGATGGGTTAACCAGGCAGGGGGTTTATGAGCAATTCTTTCCAGAAGTTTGACTGTGAAAAGCAGGAGAGAGATCGCTGGAAGCTGGAGTGTGATGTGGGCTTGGAAGGTGAGAAAGACTTAGGACATTTGCACTCCTTGAGGATTCTGTGAGGTATTTTATGTTTCCTCAATGCTTGAAGGAAGATGAGGACTAAGGAAGCTTAAAAGAGGGTCTTACCACCAGACCTGGGGGACCGAGGCCTCCTCCAAATGTGCTGCTTTTTCCCCATTGTCACACAGCCTCCCTGTATCTCCCCGGGAGGCCCCCTTGTTCCCTCCAGTTGTGCAAACATGTTCAGGATCTTCATGGATCTGGACCAGAGACAATAGAGGACACTTACAGAGACTGGCACTCTGTGGTTTTCAGATCCACGCTGGGAATGGGATGGACTTGTGAACAGTGAGCTGGTGATATCTTCCTCTGGTATCAGATGAGGCTCACAGCCTCATAAAAGCTTCTGAGACATGTAGAGACCCTTTCTTGGGAAACATCTTATTTTACAGAAGATGAACCTGAGACCAATGGGCTTCAAACAAATCAGCAAATCTGGTCATGTTGGACACAACAAATCAGTGTCCAGAACCCAACAGAACCCAAGTCCCATGAGATATTTTCTTTAACTCTAAACAAATCCCCTACTACAATCTCTGGGCTAGAAGGGCAGTCATTCTCCTTGATATCCTTTTATAAAACCCCTGCGAGAAACAGGGGAAGTCTGTTAAGGTTTTAGATACTCTACACTTCAGTGCTTACTGGATTGGGAGTTTGGAGAAGCACTGTCTAGCTGTTAATTACATTTTAAAAGTTCAAACTACTGCGTTCCATTGTGGTCTGACATATAGACACTTTGTTGCTGAAGCTAAGCATTCCCAACCGCAGAAATTTGACTTTTCAGTTGCTACTTGGTATGAATAAAGTAAGCAGGTTGTGATGACTATGGTGATGAGGGTAAAGGGTTTGAGGGGGTGGAGGCTTAGGTGAACATCAGCAGGAATCTGCTGAGGGGAGGTGGCATGGTGGGAATGGAGGGATCAGGGAAGATGGGAATGCCATTGTCTGTGTTTGCCTGAAAGGCTGCAGAAAACCACAGGACAGGCTGAAACTGGAGGGAGCAGGAGGACGCTTTCTCCACGCTGGAAATGGATCTGCAGTGGGGAGCTTCTCTGGCCCCAGACTGTGCCTTCCCAGCTGGCAGTCTGGGAGTTGCTTCCCTTTTAGGATTTTTCAATCTCAACCTCTCCTCAGCGAGGAGTGGACCAATAAACCCATGATCTTCAGCTTTCTGTTCTCCAGCTGTCAGCCTTCTTCATCATGATGACTTCTGGCAGGGCAAAGAAGGAAGACCCAACCCACTCCATTCTTGGAAGGGAAGATTTCTTACATGAATGCCGAGGCTACACTGAACTGGCATATGGTTCTTCTGTAGAGTTTTATGAGGTTTAAGGCTACATCTTGCAGATATGGGGGCTACGGCCACTAAAAAGAGATTGTTCCTGGGGCCAGACACTAGGAAAAAGGAAGTCCTTAGCCCAGGAAACTGAACTAAGAGGGCAGGCTGTGGATAGTTGAGAGAGACAGAGAATAAAAAAGAGAACTACTTTCTTTTTGTTCAAGATCAGATTGTCACAAAATTTAGTGAAGACAAAGATTACTTGGGGATGTTGATAAAAATACATTTCCTGACTCCTACATACTAACAAAAACAAGTAAGCGATTCTGATGCCTACACTTCAAGAAACACTGATATTGACATTAAGGGCCTGGATGTCCCAAAATATGCTCCTAGAGGTAGAGGATACGAAAACAGCACCATTGTGTGGAGCAGGATGTGGAGAAGGGAGCGATGACGATGAGGATGCTGCTAAGGTCAGATACTTCCATGGAAGGTGCCTGCTCCAGGGCAAAAAAAGCAGCAAAAGGTTGCTGCCTGCCTTGCTTCTGTCTCTTTATCCAGCCACCCTGTGCTTGCTCAGCAGGATTATCAGCAAGGTGGCATGCTGGCTGCATGGGGAGAGGCTGGCTCATAGCCAAAGAATCATGCTCATCCTGCTCACCTGAGAATTAAGAGCCTTATGTGCGGTGCTCTTCCATGATAGTAACGAGGGACACAATTATTGCCACACTTGGGGCTTATTCTGAGAAGGTCTTCCATACAACTTGCCCCAGGCCTTGTCAAGAATTCCTCCAGTCTCACTTCTTCCAAGCTGTTAGTCATCTAGCTAAATGGTTAGCTGCTGCCTGGGAATTAGTGAAGATCTATATATTTGGCCATCTCTTCTTCCAGGAATTCAAAGTTCTACCCATTACAAGGATTTCTCTGTCCTGCCAGAGCTACCCCTGAATGGGGCTATAATATTGTATCAACTTTCAGATGATTGCGTGGCACCTTCTGTAAACCAGGCTGAATGTTTTCTTAGTCAACTGATCCCAGGAAACCAGCCGTGAGGTCATGGCAGATGGCATTGTAGCAGCAGGAGGTGGTGCACTGAGATTGTACAGCCTCTGCTCCAGTGATGTACCGTCACTTTCAGGACCTGCCCCCATATTCCATATCCACTTATGATGGAGACCTCTGCAGGCATCCAACCTTATGACTCACTGGATTAGATAAAAATTCATTATGGATAGCTTAAGTCACATGACCACTAATGTCCCATAGCCAGGTATTCTGTTTTTACAAGGGCCCAATGGCAAGTTAGAAACTTTTTTTTTTTTTTTTTTTTAGACGGATTCTTGCTCTGTTGCCCAGGCTGGAGTGCAGTGATGTGATCTCGGCTCACTGCAACCTCTGCCTTCCGGGTTCAGGCAATTCTCCCTGCCTCAGCCTCCTGAGTAGCTGGGACTATAGGCGCCCACCACCATGCCCAGCTAATTTTTTTTTTATTTCTAGTAGAGATGGGGTTTCACCATATTGGCCAGGCTGGTCTAGAACTCCTGACCTCAGGTGATCCACCCACCTTGGCCTCCTAAAGTGCTGGGATTACAGGCATGAGCCACTGTACCTGGCCACAAGTTAGAAACTTTTACTTAGAAGAATATTAATAGCCAAAGAGGGCTTGGCTTTGATTCATGACCCCAGAGACCTTTAAGGGTTTGTCATAGATTTCATAGAGCTACTTGAGGTGCCACAGATACTTGGAGTACTATTTATAGGGGCCAGATAGCAAAGGTAGACCAGCTGGAGAGTCTTCTCTTGCCCATCACTTTCAGGAATAATTCTCAAAGCCACATCTCAGTACCATGAGAGCTACTTCCCAGGAAGCCACGTGTCACTTGGAGAGTCATTGCCGCAGCTGCTGAAGCAGAGCCATGCTTCCTCCATCATGTTTTGGCAACTAGTATCATCAGAAATCTACCATGATCGGGATATCATAATATAATCATACACTGCCATGACCAGGAAGCTGCCACAGAAAAACCAGACATGTCCAAGATGTTTTCCAGCAGAAGCAGCAGAGGTTTTGTGTGTATCTCACTTCTACCTTCCAAATCCCATGTGAATGCCTGCTTGGCAGAATCTAAGTCTCAGTCACTGCCTGTGTTAGTTTGCTGTGACTGTCATGTTAAAATATCACCAACAGAGTGGCTTAAACAACAGAAATGTATTTTCTCACAGTTCTGGAGGCTGGAAGTCCAAGATCCCGGTGATGGCAGGCTTGGTTTCTCCCGAGGCTTGTAGACAGCCACCTTCCTGCTGTGCCCCCAAATAGCCTTCTCTCTGTGCGCTTGCTTCACTGGTGTCTCTTCCTCTTCTTACCAGGACACCAGTCCTATTGCATTAGGGGCCCACCCTTATGGCCTTGTTTAATCTTAGTTGCCTCTCTGAAGGCCCTATCTCTAAAAAAGGTCACATTGGGGGTTAGAGTCCCTTCCTTCCTCCCTCCCTCCCTCCCTCTTTCTTTCTTTCTTTCTTTCTTTCTTTCTTTCTTTCTTTCTTTCTTTCTTTCTTTCCTTCTTTCTCTCTCTCTCTCTCTCTTTCTTTCTTTCTTGAGATGGAGTCTTGCTCTGTCACCCAGACTGGGGTGCAATGGTGTGATCTCAGCTCACTGCAACCTCTGCCTCCCGGGTTCAATCAATTCTCCTGCCTCAGCCTCCTAAGAAGCTGGGATTACAGGCACCCACCACCACACCCAACTAGTTTTTGCATTTTTAGTAGAGACGGGGTTTCACCATGTTGTTCAGGCTGATCTGGAACTCCTGACCTCGTGATTACCCACCTCGGCCTCCCAAAGTGCTGGGATTACAGGTGTGAGCCACCGTGCCTGGCTGGGGTTAGAGTTTCTACGTGCTTTTCTGGAACACAATTTAGAGTATCTGATAACAGTGCCCTAGCTGCAAATGGGTTTTTAAAAAATGTAACATTTAGCTTTCTGGTTTCTACAGTACAGCAGTGAGAAGCCGGGGGGATCTGTTTCAGGCCAGTCCCTTTATGGAACCCACAGCTGCTGCAAGGACCAGCCTATTAGAATCTTCGGACACAGACTCTGCAGTGGCACCAGGGAAACAAGCTTGCCTAGCATCACACAGCAGCATATGTTCAGCTGGGGCCACCGCCCCTTTTGGCTCAGCACAGGTGCAACGCAAAGGAGCTTTGCTTTTCCTGGGCTCAGGGAAAGTTGAAGGCAACCTGAGAATAGGTGCTTCCTGGGGAACGGTGTTGAACCTAACCCCCTTCCTCCACTCTTTAAAATCAGGTAACTAGTGAACTGGCACCCACCCCGAATCTCTCCTCATGTTACATCGGGGCCCAGGATACGTGTGCAAACTGAGCTTCGGAGTCACCCCACAATCCCATGGTTCCTCTACGTCAGCGATTCTGAAACTATTTGGACTCGAGATTTCTTTATATCTTCAACATTATCTGGGACCCGAAGAGCCTTTGTTTATTATGTGGAATATATCTATTGATATTTACTATACTAGAAATTAGAAATGGAAAAAATGGGATAATATTTATAAATTCCTTTAAATATAATAAATTATACATTTCATGCTAACATATTTTTATGGAAAATACCAGTTATTAATTTTGAGACAGAGTCTTGCTCTGTTGCCCAGGCTGGAGTGCAGTGGTGCAATCTTGGCTCACTACAACCTCCATCTCCTGGGTTCAAGCGATTCTCATGTCTCAGCCTCCCGAGTAGCTGGGATTACAGGCACATGCCACCATGCCCAGCTAATTTTTATATATATATATTTTTTGAGACAGAGTCTCCCTCTATTGCCCAGGCTGGAGTGCAGTGGAGCAATCTCGGCTCACTGCAACCTCCACCTCCTGGGTTCAAGCAATTCTCCTGCTTCAGCCTCCCAAGTAGCTGGGATTACAGTCACGTGCCACCACACCTGGCTAGTTTTTGTATTTTTAGTAGAGACGGGGCTTCGCCATATTGGTCAGGCTGGTCTCAAACTCCTGACCTTGTGATCTGCCCACCTTGGCCTCCTAAAGTGCTGGGATTACAGGTGTGAGCCACCACACCCGGCTAATTTTTATATTTTTAGTGGAGACAGGGTTTTGCCATGTTGGCCAGGTTGGTCTTGAACTCCTGATCTCAGGTGATCAGCCCGCCTCAGCCTCCCAAAAGTGCTGGGATTACAGGTATGACCCACTGCGCCTGGCCTCTTTTTTATTTTTTTTTTAAGCTCAGGGTAGGGCATATATTTTCAAAACAAAAAATGCTAGCGAGAAGACTGTCATTGTGCTACAGTTTCAGAAATCTCTTTAATAGCTGGCTAAATAGAAGACATAGCTGATCTTACATCCGCCACTGCTGTCAGTCTGTTGCAGTATCACATATCATGTAGCTTCTGGAAAACTCCAGCATACACTCACTCATAAAGGAATGAGAAGGGAAAAAAGCAAGCATCTTGGTTTTATTCTGAAAATAGTGTAGACCTTATGGATTCCCTGGAAGTCTTTCAGGAACTCCTGGAGGGTACCCAGATCACACTTTGAGAATCGCCGCTCTAAGCCAATATGCAGATTAATGGAATGAATAACCGTGGTGTATTTCCCACCTAAAAGACAGGCTCTGTGCTGAAGACCGACACTGACAGCTTTCGGCCAGGAACTTATCTTTCCCAGCAACAAAGAACAGGGTAAGATACACATGAAAGTTTTAGGGGATCATGAAAAGAAGGAAAAAAAATTCAGAGACAAGACAATTGGAATACCCTTGACTGAGACTCAAAAAGAAAAATGAAACTTTTAGTACATCATATTGAAAATCCCATGGATTCAAAAAGAAGGCAGCATGTATGTAAGCCAAAGTGACGGCATAAGGAGTTCTTTGTTAGAAAACAGGGAAAGAGAAGCAAGAGAGCAGGCAGGCAGAAGGGCAGCCAGGACCATCAGCTCGGGTGCGTGAAATGAGCACGGGGAAAGAAAGGGGTTTCTTTTCTGTTTTGTTTTAAGTAGAATCGTAATTGGGATGGGAAGGGACTTTAGAGATAATCTATTCAAGGACATCATTTTGTAGTGAGGCAACTGTGTTGTCTCCTGCCCGAGTTCACCCACCTGCTCTTCCTACCAGACCACGTGGGCAGTGCACTGGAACAAAATCTCTCTATCAGATTATCTCTCCTCTGTTTGTCTCCCTCTCCACCTCTGTGTTCATATGCATAACACACACACACACACACACACACACACACACACACACACACACACACACACACGTTTTCTTTCCAAATTTCCTCTTAACAAAGTCTAAAGAATAATCACTGTTTCTTGCCTCTATGATTTTTTTTGACCTCCTCTGAACCCCACACATTGACGAAGTGCCAGCCATAGCAATAGTTTCAGACCCGTGGAGTCAGCTGTGCTGTTGCCAACCTCCATCACCTGTCCGCCTTTATCCTGGGCTCTGTTCCTGTGGATTTGAACAAATAGATGAGCGGCATCGGAAGAAAGCTTTAGCTGCATGTGTTTGGGTGACCACGAGAGGGCAGCACGTAAGAGACCAGTGTCGGCCCCGCTGCCTTCTTGAACACACCGGAAGCCTCCTAGGAAAACTGCAGATTTTGTCAGACTGTGAAGTAGAAGAGTCAAAGAGCCTTCATTGCTTCCTTTTAAATGACCAGCCTACTAAGGAATTTAGAATGCCCAAGTAAGGTTTTCACTTAATCCTTTAAGAAATACATCTAATATTTCTAATCTAATCTATCATTTTCAATGGAAAACAGTATTTTTTTTTTCAGTGATTCTCACTGCTTTCTTTCTGAGGAACTTGAAATGAATCTTATGTTTTATTTATTTTTCAATTTCTAAGGTAAGGACTGCTGGTCAGACTGGACTTCAAAATTCCTGGATCCTTAAGACCCAATGCATCAGACAAATGTCCTGCTGGATCCTCCCACCGTCAGCTAAGGGACAGTGCTAGCTCTCTGGTGAGGGAGATCCGTGTGGAGGTCTCTGGCATTCCTGGGTCAGTGGATGGCTGGGAGAACTGCTCAGCTCCAGGTTCCAGGGCCTCTGATCAAAGCCAACCCTGGGGGCCAGCCAGAGATATCGCAAACCTAAGGACTAACGTGGAATCTACACCTGCCTTGGGAGTAAAGAACAAGCAGGGTGCTTTCCGGGATGGCTTTGGGATGAGATGCCCAAGACTTAGTGCCCCTGGCATTGCTCAGCTCTCAAGCTGACTTCCACAGCACCCCCATGGAAGCTTCATTGGTGCATCTTTGGGTCTTGAATGCAGTGCTACAATATTGACGAGGAAAGTCTCCTTGGAACCACAGGAAGACAAAAGTGCAGAGTGATTTGCTGGCCTTGGCTAGGACAGGGTCCAGGGTGCAGCCAAGGGAGGGTGATCTAAGCCAGCCATTCTCCTAGTGTGGCTCCTGGACTATGCGCAACAGCATCACCTGGGAGCTTGTTAGAAACACTGGTTCTCAGTTCCCATGCAGACGTCTTGCATCAGAAAATCTGGGGCTGGGGCCCAGCAATCAGTGTCTCCAAAGGCCCTGAGATCATTCTATTCAAGTTTGGGAACCAGCAACACAGCATTTAAGTGGAAATGTTTATAGTTGCAAAGCCAGGTGAAGCTTGAAATGCATCATAGAGGAAATGAGGACAAGAATGTAGAAAAAGAGTAAAAACAGAGAGGAAAAAAATTTACAAGCCATCATAGAGTGAAAGAGCTTCCCCTGCTGCCTGGGGGTGTGGGAAATGAGAGTTGCACCTGCTCACAAGTATGACCAGCAATTTAATATCTATCTAGAGCTTTCAACCCTGCCATGTCAAATTTATTTAGCTAAAAACAACTCTTGTGGTGGTGACCTTTTATTCAGCTAATATTACTCCCCTCAATGCCTCCAAAGCACACAGAGAAATTGGAGGGCTGATGAAAATCTTTAAAGTCTACTAAATACTAAAGCCTTCCCAAACACTGTGTACTTTTCAGAGAGAGTTTCTTTTTATTGGAATTTCAGATTATTGAAAGGTTATCTGTCTCCTGTTCCTAGAGGGATTAAAATAAAACAAAAGCAAGAAGAACACATTGTGATGTGTGCTTTCCTCGCTGAACTGGTGGTGCTTATCTGACTGCAGTGATGGGCAGCCAGTGGGAAGATGCCAAAGTCCTTCCAGAGAATTTCCCCAGGAACTTGGGAGGCTGAATCACCAGAATGAGAAAGTTCTCTGGCATTCTGGGGATGCATTTCCTTCCACATTGCTGCATCCCTGTATGCTGGAGTTGCATGTGACTGCCCCATGCCTCAGTTTCCTTTTCTGGAAAATGACAGCTTCAGGCTCTTCATGCTTCTGGCAGCCATGATTCCCCTCTGCCTAGCTCTATTCTTTTTCTCTCATTACCTTCCTGGCTCTTTTCTGTGTTACATCGCCATTCCTTGGGTTTCTTTTCTCTGATCTATATATTTTGTTCTGTTTCATAATTTTACATTAATTTTTATTTAATGCCACAAGCCGCTTACCTGCTTTGAGCTCCACAAAACCTATACTTTGAGGTAGAGTAGAATTGGAAGTTAGAAAACCAGATTCTGAATCTTTAAGCAAATCACTTTAGTTGAACCTCAGTTTTCCTACCTGTAAAGTGCTTGCCATGTGCCAAACAGAATTGTTTCATTTAATACACAAAACTCATAGAAATAGATACTAAACAATCTTTCCAAGTAGATATTGTTAGTATCCCATTTTATAGTTGAGAAAAATGAGGCTCAGAGGGGTTGAGTTCCCCAAGATCACACAGCTCATAAATGGCAGAGCTGAGATTTCAATCAGGCAGTCTGACCCCAGAGGCTGCACCCTGACTACTTATTATTAACAGTGTCTGTCCCTGCCTTGCAGTTTCGTTACAGAAGGAATTGAGACAACATCTGCAAGAACCTTTTGAAAAACGACCACTATGCAAAGGGAAGGAAGCGTGCTATACTTTTCCATTCATAGTGGAAGTAGAGGACCCCCACTTTTCATGATCCCTGTTCAGTCATAGCTTTTGTTCAAGTTGTCTGGTCGAGTTGTTTAAAGACAGTGGGCAAATAAAAGGGAACAAAATGCAGAACAATTTTAAGAGTCGGAAGCACAAAATCATGACAGAAACAAGATGAGCCTGAAGTGGAGGCTGGTAAGGCCCGGGAGATGGAATAGGCCCCCCTTTCTTACTGTAGTCACAGACATCCTCTTCCTAAACCCCAGAATAACAACTCAGCAACTGCTATGATGCTGTTGGCACTGATTGGAATCCAACCCCAGGGCTTTGCCTCAGCAACTGGAGTTTTTTCTTCTACTTATAATTAACTCTTCTTCTCCATTCTCACCTCTGTTCTCACTCTCTAATTCCCTCCTCTGTTTTTTAGAGATAGGGTCTTGCTCTGTTGTCCAGGCTGGAGGGCAGTAGTGCCATCATAGCTCACTACAGTCTCTAACTCCTGGCTGCAAGCTGGGAGGATTGTTACAGGCCTGAGCCACCGTGCCTGGCTCCCCTCCTCGATCTTCTCTCTTTATACCCCCTTGTGAGAGAGACTGCTGTGTGTTCCCCAACATCTGTCTTCTCCTTTCATAATAGCAGACTGTAGCTAGGCACATGGTTGCCCAGCTGAACGCCATTTCCCAGCCTCCCTTGCAGGCATAGCCATGTGACTTCATATTCCCTGACTCAACAGTTAGAGACATGTGTTTACTTATATATAATCTAGTTCACCTGACAGCTGGCTGTGTGATGTGGGCAGAGATGTGCTGGCCACACTTGATCTCAGTATCGCTGAATTCATCTGCTCTCGCTCACTCTGCTCCTCCCAATTCAGGTGTAGTCTGGCTCTGAAAGAATGCAGCTTGCCAGTGTTTCTTTCTCTGGCCATCTAGCTTACTCATATTACTTTGATATCATGCTTTGTTAAAGCACAAAAATGCTCTCCCTGGGCTGGGCTCCATGGCTCACACCTGTAATCCCCACACTTTGGTAGGCCGAGGTGGGTGGATTGCCTGATGTCAGGAGTTCAAGACCAACCTTGCTAACATGACGAAACCCTGTCTCTATGACAGGGTGGCGCCTGCCTGTAGTCCCAGGTACTCAGGAGGCTGAGGTGGGAGAATCACTTGAACCCGGGAGGTGGATGTTGCAGTGAGCTGAGATTGCACCATTGCACTCCAGCCTGGGTAACAGAGGGAGACTCCATCTCAAAAACAAACAAACAAACAAACAAACAAACGTTCTCTCTGCATGTGCAGAGGAACACACTGCCTAATTCTCTGACCCCTAGACTGTCAGGGAGCTGAGCCTGGAATTTGGAGGCGGGCAGAGAGAAATGCGATTTCTTTTCATCCCATAGTAGAAATGACTCTAATCAACAGCTAATCATCACTATCTAATGGGGTCTGCTCTGATCTGCCACAACAAAAAGAGAACTCATTGAGGTTGCAATGAGCTATGATCGTGCCACTGCACTCCAAGCCTGGGTGACAGGGCAAGAGCCCGTCTCTTAAAAAAAGAGAGAAAACCTATACTTGCTGCTGTGAACAAGGAGAGAGAGTTTGATTAAGCAGGATGGACATTTTCCAGATGGGCTGCAAGGGGGTAATGCTTTTTTCAGGTGTAAAAGTGAGTTTATTAATGAGTTAACATGGATTGAGGACTTACCATGTACCTGATGAGGTACTAAACCCTTTAGATGGGTTATTTAACTTAATCCATCCCAAAGTCTCTACTACTATTTCCATACTATAGTTGAAAAAAGTGAGACTCAGAGAGGTTGAGTCACTTGTTCAAGGTCACACAGCTAGTAACTGACAGAGAAGGGTTTGAACCAAGGCCAGCTGATTCCCTGGCCTCTGCCCTTAATCAGCACTCTGATGAAGACTACGTGGCAGTCCTTGGGATGGGAGATTCCAGATCATAGGAACAGAGATGCTCAAGGAAGCTTTGCAATGACCAGAGGCTGTGGCCCTTCAGGCACCTCCTTGCCACTTGCCTTTGTCCTCTTCTGATACCTGCCCTTTGGCTACAGGGTAGGATCCTCCCTCACGTTCTTCATTGGTGGGCTCACTGGGCTCTCCCAGCCTTTCCAGCCTGATCCTCTAATTGGTATCTCATGTAGAGGGCTCTGTGCTGGTGACTAGTGGGTGATGAGAGCTCTGGCACCTGTTTGGCCAGTAGACAAATGCTACAAGTCCTTGTACTCTCCTTTCCCTGCAACCTCTCTAAGGGGTGGAGGCGGGGGGGTTCAGGAAGGGGCAGGAGCTTTCCATGCTGTAGGCCCAGGGACTTCCCCTCAGCTCAGGCCTGGGACCTCTGGCCACAGTTCCTGGGCCAGGGGACTTAGCCCACACATAAGAAAGAACTAGGAACCAGGACTGTGAGACTTGAGATCACATCATGAGTGATGCTATTTTTCAAAAAGGAAGTAAGAGGTCGGGTGTGGTGGCTCATACCTGTAATCCCAGCACTTTGGGAGGCCGAGGCAGGTGGATCACTTGACGTCAGGAGTTCGAGACCAGCCTGTCCATCATGGTGAAACCCTGTCCCTACTAAAAATACAAAAAAATTAGCCGTGCATGGTGGCGTGTGCCCGGAATCCCAGCTACTCAGGAGGCTGAGGCAAGAAAATCGCTTGAACCTGGGAGGTGGAGATTGCAGTGAGCTGAGATCGTGCCACTGCACTCCAGCCTGGGCGACAGAACAGGAGTCCATCTCAGAAGAAACAAAACAAAACAAAACAAAAAAACAAAACACACAAAAAACCAAACAAAAAAACCCAAAAAACAAAAAACAAAAAAACCCAAGGCTCGATTCCTGAATACCTATCTTGTTTTCCCAGTGACAAAATACATTCCTGGAAGGTGAAATATTTTTCTCCTGGAATTATGTGCTCTTTAACCCCTTTCAACACTTAGAATCTACCTAATTCATGAAGTGGCACCAGCTTATTTGACTTGTCCTTTTCTTTCATCTGTATACAGCAATGTCTTGTGTATTAGTTTCTTAGAGTTGCAGTAACAAAGTACTAAAAAGCGGGTGGCTTAAACCATAGAAATGTCATGTCTCACAGTTCTGGAGACCTGAAGTCCAAGATCAAGGTCTTCAAAGTCAGCAGGGGTGGCTTCTGCGGGCTGCGAGAGCAAACCCGTTCCATGCTCTCCCCCAGCGTCCATGGTTTGCATGTTCCACGCTTTCCCCCAGCATCCATGGTTTGCACCCATTCCATGCTCTCCCCCAGCATCCATGGTTTGCACCCGTTCCATGCTCTCCCCCAGCATCCATGGTTTGCACCCGTTCCATGCTCTCCCCCAGCATCCATGGTTTGCACCCGTTCCATGCTCTCCCCCAGCATCCATGGTTTGCACCCGTTCCATGCTCTCCCCCAGCATCCATGGTTTGCACCTGTTCCATGCTCTCCCCCAGCGTCCATGGTTTGCACCCGTTCCATGCTCTCCCCCAGCGTCCATGGTTTGCAGGCAATCTTCGGGGCTCCTCAGCTTGCAGAAGCACTGCCCTGATCTCTGCCTTCATCTTTATGTGGCATGTTCCCACTATCTGTGGCCACATTTTCCCTATTTATAAGGATATTTGTCATGTTTGAATAGAAGCCCACCCTACACCAGTATGACCTCATCTTAACTAATTATACTTGCAATGACCCTATTTCCAAATAAGGTCACAATCCTGAGGTACTGGGGAATAAGGGCTTCAGAATATGAATTTGAGGGGAACACAATTCAATCCATAACACCTTTCAAAACTTTAGGTTTCTTTTTCTTTTTTGAGACAGGGTCTTGCTCTGTCTCCCAGGCTGGTGTGCAGTGGTGTGATTTTGGCTCACTGCAGCCTCAACCTCCTAGGCTCATGCGATCCACCCAGCTCAGCCTCCCAAGTAGCTGGGACCACAGGTGCACGCCACCACATGTGGCTAATTTTGTTTATTTTTTGTAGAGATGAAGTCTTATTACATTGCCCCATCTGGTCTTGAACTCCTGGGTTCAAGCGATCTGCCCATCTTGGCCTGACAAAGTGCTGGGATTACAGGTGTGAGCCACCGTGCCCGGCCTAAAACTTTAGGTTTCTAATAAAGCACTTCTAAGGGCTCTTTGAGACAATATTTTCCACTGTGAATGAGGAGGTATATGAAAGAAACTCTCTTAAAACACAGTGAAACTGCTGTCGACAAGACAGCTGCCTCTCGGCATTAAAATGCAAAATTGGCCAGGGAGAGCACCATTCCCTTTGCTATGTGAGATGACACCGCCATCTTGGGCATGGCAACTGAGTGCACTTCCATCCTTGAAGTCTATTATTTTTGCAATGAGTTTCAAAACAGGCAGAAGAAACAGCTGCTCTGGTGTGAATTTGCTCCCTCCCCGTCACTCTGGCTCCAATTATCTGCTCAGAGACACCAGAAGGAAAACACTTTGCTCTTCCTCCCACATAGACAGAGCTTGTCCTCCTTTCAGATCAACTAAGGGGCAGTTTGCAGCAGGGTTCTGCAGAGGGAGACATTCTTGTTTGGCCTCACAATCTCTCCTAGTCTTATGCAGATTTCTGACAGTCTGTTATTTGTGTGGTCTTTGAAGACATGGTGGCCCTGCAGCTGAATGGCGCTGGGCAGGCCTGTGGCATGGAATAACCAGAGGGCCATGGAGGGGCAACTTTTACAGCCACCCCTCAATGTTGGCCAAATGTGACTCAGCCTGATGCACTGCAAGGTGAGTCTGAGGATCACATGCAAAGGACAAGCTGCCACTCTGTTGTGTTTTTGATTGGAAGGGTCGGTGTGTGACTTGTCTTTTGAGGGTAGTGACATTTCCTTTTCTTTGTCCTGTTCAGCATATCATGGGGACTATGAACTTTCTGTTCTTGCCACTGACATTCCCCTTTCTAAAAATCCAATCAAATAACTATACAGGTCTAAGGAGAGATGATGAGGAGATGATGGGTCTCCGTGAATGGCACAGAGGCCACATTCAGAGTAAAGCTGGGCATTCACTTGGGCATAGGAGGCCACTTCCAATACCACTCATGTCGCCTGACTCAACATCAAGGAATGTAGGGACCAAAGTAAAGAGTGATGTCCCCAACCTGCCTTCATCCCAACCTTTGCCCTGTCTTCATGTCCGGGCAGGTGCAGCCACCCAGCTCCTCTTTTGATTGTCTTCCCGTCCCTGAGACAGAGTTATGGAAAAGATCCTCTGATGGTTTAAATGTATGCCTTAGGGTCAAGGGCTTCTTGTTTTTCGCTTTTCGCTTTCAGGGTCGTTTTTCTTTTCCACAACAGTGCACATGATATTGCATTGGGGCTGTGTCCAGCCTTCTCCCCTGGTTTCTTGACTTGCTCCTCTTGGATCTTTAGAGAAGGCTGGCTGGATTCTTGCTTGTCTGGGATTCCTGCTGTTTTTCAGATTCCTGGTTGCCCTACCTTCCTCTCCAATGTCCATGTTCTTCTGGAGGTTCTGTCTCTCAACTGCCTGCTTGGCTTGCTTCAAACCCTCTCACTTCCTTGGAGTCCTGGTTGCTAATCTGGTTTTCATCATCCCATCCCTCAGAAGAGTCACTCTGGAATGTTTATACTGAGCAGGGATATTGAAGCTAGGGACAGGGACCCGTGCTGATGTCAGCCCTGGGCAGATGGATTGAAGGAGAGCAGAGCATGAGTATGGAAGGGCCTGGATCAGTAGCAGAGTGCCAGTAGTCAATGGTAAAATCTGAGCCAAATAAATGGCAAAATCCCAAGAAAACCCAAGACCAAGATAGCTGCGGCTGGTGTGGATATAAGTAAGAAACCATGTGTATTGAATCTGGCTGAAGTTAGATTCTGAAGGCACAGGGTGGTGTTTGAAGCTTGGCTTCTGGCATGCTGACCTCTTGAGCGATAATTGCCCATAATTCTGGACCATTCCATGAGCTCCTGAAGACTACATCTGCCCTGGCTTTCTCTTCCCAGGGCTCTTTTGGGGCCTGCCTTACCTTGGTCATCACTGAAAAAGGCATTGGATTTATATTACCTGAGGTTGGCCTTATCCATGCAAATAATTTAGCTAGGTTGTGTTAGAACTGGATTGCCTCTTCCTGGAGCATCTTTGGGGTTACGTGGATGCTTTGAGCAGGAAAATCTTTGAATCACAAAAGTTTATTAACATGATTTAGCCAATCAAAGAGGAAAATCCTTAGTTCCCTGGGGCTTCTGCACACAACTTTCGAGGAGCAGGTGTCACCTGAGTGTATCACCCAGCTCTTAGGTGCATCTCTCAAACATCTACCTTTGTGATGTAGTCACAAGAAATGGATAGCAGTATTGAAGGTTTCCTGAAATAATAGAGAAGAAGAAATTAATCAAATTCCCCATTAGAGCATCTCAGTTCCTTCCTCCTAAGTCCCTCTCCTCATCTTTCCTCCTTCTATTTGTATGTAGGGCATCTATGAATTCTCTATTTTGCCCCAAGTAACTCCTCTTTTTGCTTCCTAACTTGCCCCTTGAGAGTTTTAATTTGCCCATACTTGCTTTCAGCTCCAACTAGGAATTGTTAGAAGCAGAGCCCAGCTGACCTCAGCTGGACCCCCTGTCCTGGCTTCTTCAACCCTTGTTCTGTGAGCCACTGCTGCATAACTCAGTGGCCCTCTGAGCTTCTCTCTGCTCCAAGTGGTGTCTGCTGGGACAGGTTCAGGGTGGCATCTTCACCCCATGTCCAGTGCCCCAGCAAGGATGGCTCAAATGGCTGGAGGTGGCTGGAATGGCTCTCTTGAGGTCATGTCTTTGGGACCTCAGTTCTTCCCACTGGCCTGGGTTCTTTGGTTCTTCTGCAGGTAGTCTCAGGGCTTGTGCTCTCCATGTGGCCTCTCCAGCAGGAGGTTCAGATTCTAACGTGGTAGCACAGGGCTCTCAGGTACACAGAAGTGGAGGCTGCCAAGTCCTCCTAAGGCTTAGGCTCCCAACCACACAGCGTCCCTTCTGCCACTTCGTTGGTTCAAGCCGACTAGTCACAGGCCCAGCTGACACTGAAGTGGAGGGAACCAAGCAAGGTATGAATCAGGAGGTATGGTTCACTGGACTCACAAACCCAGTAGCCCACCACGCCCAGGACCCACTGCTGAGCAGTGAAATCCCTAGGCCTTGTGTTTCGTTCAGATTCTGACTTCTTTTGATTTTGTTCGGTTTCTTTTTGCTCAATTTCCTGTTCTCTATTTCCTGATACTTATGGCTAAATTAAACCAGAAATCCCAAAACTTTGCTTAGTTTATGGATATGGTGCAGACTCACAAGAATTTTGATCTTTCATGACACATTTATATTGATTTTGTGGTGGAATAAGGTATAATAAATGATATCGGCTATATGGGTCTCCTTCTGGCCTGTAAATCCATGTGAAGCAATGGATTTAGTGGCTTTTGGGATCAATACAACATGGAATTGACAAATAGTGGAGAAGAGGTATGCATGTGGAGTGAATTCTTCTCATATTTCTGATCACAGAGCCTGGCAAGACAGAATGTTCCATTCTTGTTCACAGTATACACTTTACAGCGGGCTTTTACATAAATTCTTTTGCTTGCTCTTCCATAGAGCAGAGGGGGATGGTAGAATTATCCCTCTTCATACAGGAGGATCCTGAAGCTCAAAGTCACCCTGCTGGTCAGAACCAGAGCTGGTTGGGACTGGCTCCTGCTCTTCTGATCTTGTGTCAGACTCTGTAGTCCTGGAGTCCTGGTTGTTAATTTAGTTTTGATCATCCCATCACTCAGAAGAGTCATTCTGGAATGTTATACTGAGCAGGAATATTGAAGCGAGGGACAGGGACAAGTGCTAATGTCAGAAAAGTGCTGCTTTTGTTAGATCAGTACTTCTTAGATCAGTGGTTTGTTTTGTTTGTGTTTAAGCAGCAGAACATTTTCTAAAAACAGAAGTAGAATCCGGTAAGTGAAACCATCATGGGCCAAACTGATCTAGCTACAATAGGGTAACAATCTTGGAGTCTTGTGATTGTTTGAAGAAATATCGAATGTCTTTCATGTGCTAGGTGCTGTGCAAAACTACCAAATTCACGCCTCAGATGAGCATCGTCTCCTGATTTTAAAGACACCAAGGATATGAGAGGTTGAAAAACCTGTCCAGATCACTCACCTGGTTTTCCAAGGTGTATTAGTCTGTTTTTTCACTGCTGATAAAGACATACCCGAAACTGGGTCATTTACAAAAGAAAGAGGTTTAATTGACTCACAGTTCTACAGGGCTGGGGAGGCCTCACAATCATGGCAGAAGACGAAGAGCAGAGGGCCGTCTTACATGGCAGCTGGCAAAGAGAGAAGGAGAATCAAGTGAAAGGGGTTTCCCCTTAAAAAACCATCAGATCGGCCAGGCGCGTTGGCTCATGCCCGTAATCCCAGCACTTTGGGAGGCCGAGGCGGCTGGATCACCTGAGGTTGGGAGTTTGAAACCAGCCTGGCCAATATGGCGAAACCCCATCTCTACTAAAAATACAAAAAATCAGCTGGACGTGGTGGAAGGCACCTGTAATCCCAGCTACTCGGGAGGCTGAGGCAGGAGAATCACTTGAACCTGGGAGGCGGAGGTTGCAGTGAGCTGAGATCGTGCCACTGCACTCCAGCCTGGGTGCAACAGAGGGAGACTCCCTCTCAAAACAAACAAACGAACGAACAAACAAACAAACAAACAAACAAACAAAAAAACCCATCAGATCTTGTGAGACTTATTCACTACCACAAGAACAGTATAAAGGAAAGTGACCCCATAATTCAATTATCATCTCCCACCAGGCCCCTCCCACAACATATGGGAATCATAGAAGCTGCAATTCAAGATGAGATTTGGGTGGGGACAGAGCCAAACCATATCACAAAGTGACTTGTGTTTCCCTCAAAGTTCAAATGTTGACAGCTAACCCCCAATACCTCAAAATTTGACCATATTTAGAAATAGGGTCATGGCAGATGAAATTCATTAAGATAAGTTCATACTGGAGTAGGGTGGGCCCTATTTCAACACAACTGATGTCCTTATAAAAGGAAACTTTGGACCCAGAGACCAACATAGACGGACGGGGAATATGATGTGAAGATGAAGGCAGAGATGGGGGGACGCAGCAGAAGCCAAGGAACACCAAGATCACCAGCCAAGCACCAGAAGCCAGGGGAGAGGCAAGGAACAGAATCTCCCTCGCAGGCCTTGGCAGGAACCACCTCTGCTGACACCTTGTTCTCAGACTTCCGGTATCCAGAACTGGGAGATAATCCATTTCTGTTGTGTAAGCCCCCAGTTTGTGGCACTTGGTTACAGCAGCCTGAACAGATGAATACACCTGGCACAGAGAACCAGGAGGCAAATCCAGGCCAGACTGCACGTCCCTCTGCAGACTGCAAGGCCAAGGGGCGCCATCCGCATGCTGGGTGGGAAAGAGAGAGTCCCCAACAGTGCATCAGAAACATGTGTCTGAGTGTTTGGGAAGAATGGCTGGGAGTGAGGGGTGGCGCTGTGGGTTAATTGGCCCTCAGGGCTTTGTTTTCTGTCCTTCTGTTTTCCCAGCACAGGCAGTGAGAAGAGGCAGGGAAAAGACAAACAGTTGCTGCCAGGTTTGATGACAGGTGCCCAGAAGTGCAGTGGGCATATGGGGAGGCTCTTCTAAAAGAAGCATGCCCCAGACACACTCCACACGGTTTCTGAACAAACAGGTAATTGAAATATGGTTTCGTCCTGTCTTCCGCCAGCTGGACTTTGTTTGCTGTTTGCAAAGGCTGGTCTCTATTAACCTGCATGCTTCCATTTGGACACACTCTTCTGGCTAATAGCACTTCAGCAGGCTTCCTGGAGACAAACAGGCCTAGAATATTGTTGCTTTATTTGCCAGGTAAATAACAGGAAGCCTGTGTGAGGACAAAGCCCTCTAACTGGGAAGGCAAATAAAGTGATGAAAAATACATGATTTCTCAAATTAAAATAAAGTTCAACTGATCAGAGGCATTGAGGAAGATCTACTCATCAAATACGGAGAGCATGTGTGGATTTATATCCTTGCTTCAAGGTCAGGTAGCCTTTCATCATTCAAAGGAAGGTGCCCAAGTCAGTCCAAATACACAGGGAAGAGTCTAAGAGCAAGGCTACTTACTATCTTAGAATAAAAGTTTTTTTTTTTTCTTTTTGAGACAGGGTCTCACTCTGTCACCCAGGCTGGAGTACATTGGTGCATCTTGGCTCACTGCAACCTCTGCCTCCCAGGCTCGAGCAATTCTCCTGCCTCAGCCTCCCGAATAGCTGGGATTATAAGTGTGTGCCACCATGTCCTGCTAATTTTTGTATTTTTAGTAGAGACGGGGTTTCACCATGTTGACCACGCTAGTCTCAAACTCCTGACCTCAAATGATCCACCCGCCTCAGCCTCCCAAAGTATTGGGATTACAGGCATTGAGCCACCGCGCCCGGCCCAAGAAGAGTATTTTCTAATAAATTCGACCTTATCCTTGCCCATGGAAGAGAGCAGGACACACAATTTAAAATGTAGATGATTGTTTTTATATGTAGCTCATTTGATAAAAACAAAACAATAATAACCTACCCTCAAACCATTCCTGAAAGCGGAATATTTTTGGGGGGTAGAAGGGAGGGGATAGTAAGTGAATAGATGTTTTCGTCTTCAAAATTCCATTTTAAAATTGCCCATCTGGGAAGAAGATTTTTGATGCATATACTTTTGTATGTTTTGAATTTGAATTTGTGAATATAGAGCTACTTAGAAAGCAAAGCAAATGCCATTAAAACTATTTTTTTTTTAATTGCCTACTTTTCCAAAATATACCACTGGCTTCTTTCCCCAAACACTCACCCTCCAGGGTTCCTTTCCACCCAAGCTCCCGCTTGTTCTCATCATTCATGTGCACAAGGGGAGTTCATTTTCTTGTCTATGCTGACTTATAATAGGTTTCAATTGATTTTGGTATCAGTTGTTTGCTGAACAATTGCAAAAGGCTCTATCCTAAATTAGATGGTTTGATGAAGACGTGAGACAAGACACAGCCCCTTGATAACAAGCGCTGGTGAGGATGTGGAGAAAAGGGAACCCTTGTACACTGTTGGTGAGAATGTAAATTACTACAACCACTATGGAGAACAGTTTGGAGTTTTCTCAAAAAACTAAAAATAGAGCTTCCCTATGACGCAGCCATCCCACTCCTAGGTCTATACCCCACCAAAAGGAAATCAGTATTTTGAAGAGATATCTGCACTCCTATGCTTGTTGCAGCTCTGTTCACAATAGCTAAGATTCGGAAGCAATCTAGGTGTCCATCAACAGATGAATGAAGAAAATGTGGTACATATACACAATGGAGTACATTCAGCCATAAAAAAGAATGAGATCTTATCATTTGCAACAACATTCATGGAACTGGAGATCCTTATGTTAAGTGAAATAAGCCAGGCACAGAAAGACAAACATCGCACGTTCTCACTTATTTGTGGGATCTAAAAATCAAAACAATGTTACTCATGAACATAGAGAGTAGAAGGATGGTAACTGGAGGCTGAGAAGGGTATGGGGCAAGGGAGGTGAGGAGGGTATGGTTAATGGGTACAAAAAAATAGAAAGCATTAATAAAACCTACTACTTGAGAGCACAACAGGTGACTATAGTCAATAATAACTTCATTGTACCTTTTGAAAGAACTAAAGAAGCGCAATTGGATTGTCTGTAATACAAAGGATAAAGGATAAATGCTTGAGGGGGTGGATACCCCATTCTCCATGATGTAATTATTATGCATGGCATGCCTGTATCAAAACATCTCATGTACCTCCTAAAAATACACACCTACTATGTACCTAAAATTAAAAAAAAAAAAGGTTTTTAAAAAGACACAGCCCTTGCCTGCAGGATTTATTGAGGCAAGAGTCAGACCTGATAACACAAGAAATTTATGGCTGTCTACTAAACAATGAACCTTACCCAAAGAGCGTTCGGCACTTTGGCCTCCACTCCAGAGAGGTGATTTCTAAGCCCTTGGAATGCCATGCCTGATAAGAGCCTGTTTCTCTGTGGGTTCTGAGTGGCACCAAATGGTCTAACAATATGATTTGTGGGGGAGCTTTGGGTCATACAGTATCAGCTTGACCTTGGGAAGGGCTGGAGACTGAGCTCAGCCACATGGGCAGCCACAAACATCCACATGATGGTGCCCCAGTCAAATCTCCAGACGCCAAGGCTTGGGTGAGCTTCTTTGGCTGGCAATACTCAATAGTCTGCCACTGTCACACATAGTTGCTGAGAGTTGTGACTCCACTGGGGGTAGAAACTTCATGCTTGGAACCTCCCTGGCCCCTGCCCCAGGGGTTCTTTCCCTTGGCTGATTTTAACCCGCATCCTTTTGTTGTGATTTTAGCCTGTGTCCTTTTGCTGCGATAAACCATAACCATGGAAGGTTCTATGAGTCCTCTTAGTGAATTACAGAACACAGGGGTGGTTTGGGGGGGCCTCTAACCTTGCAATTGGTATCAGAAGTGAGGTTCATTCATTTTGGGGGTCCCTGAACTCTGCAGTTGGAGTCAACTAAGTACCAAAGATTGAAAGAGTCTTAGGGGTTTGGTAATTACTCTTTATTCAACATGTATTGAGTACTTACTACATGCCAGGTACTTTAACACTTTATCTCTTTCAAGCCTCATAGCAAACTTTGAAGAAGATATTATTGAAATCTTACAGATTAGGGATTTGAGACTCTCATAAATTTCCCCACGATGTACAGGGCCAAGCCTCAACTGAGTGAGAGAGCTTGTTCCTTGCAGCCATTGCCTGTGGTGGATTTTCACTGGGGGAAACAGTCTCTACCCTCCGGGGTCTGACTCAGTGCGGGGAGATAGGTGAGCAGACATAGAATCAACACAGAGCACTAAGTGCTGTGGAAGATAGAATGGACACTTATCTTTTTGTCTGACCAGCAACCCCCATCCTTCTTCTAAGAACAGCTCCCCTGAGTATTTCTCCTTTCCTGCTTCCAGTCTGTGGCTCCGACAGGAGCTGCTGTGTCCTTGCACCCCTGGCCCTGGAACAGGCTTGGACTCCTGACCCAGGTTGGGCCAATGGTAAAACCCTGGCCGTGGTTGATGGACTAGGGGTGAGCATCTGACCCAAGCCAGGCCTATCAGAGCTTTCCCTGGCAAGGTAGAACTTGAACTAGAAACAGGGCCCCTCTCTCTTCCTGGTGGTGGAGTCGGAAAACATAAAACTTGAGAGCTCACAGCAGACAGATCTGTGCCATGTGGAAGTAGCCGGTCTGTCCTGAGAGGGAAGGAAGAGGAGAGGAGAGGAGAGGGGAGGTTAGGGGAGGTGAGGGGAGGGGAGGAGAATCAATGGCTTATCATTCCCTGGAGGCAGTTTTTTTCTGAGGCCCAGCCCCATCCCTCCCCTAGCCAATGTCCTGGGGACACACGTCCTTCAATTCCGGGTGGTATCTCAGGGGCCTGCTAAAAAAGCTCCCTGTTTCTTAAGTGTGTTGAAGTTAGGTTGTTTTTCTGTCATTTGCAACTGACCATCTTGGCGGAGTCCAGGAAGGCTTTCTATGGAGATGACAATGAAAGAACAGCCATTAATAAGAATCAGCCTAAAGCACACATTGAAGGACACAGGAGCTTGGCCTGGAAGAGAGTGGGTGGGAGTGCTTCAAAAGGAATTGTTTGCCGGCTAAATGAAAACTATCATATACCTTTATGATTTTCTAGGATAAAGATGCAGAAAATTGTTTGAATTGTGAGCCTGGAAATTCTGCTAACTGGCCCGGCTCCCCAAAACTTTCCTGGACCTCCTTGAGGTTGCTTATAAAGCTTAAGGGTCACTATGGGATATTTATTTGTTGGGTCAAAGCATCAGAGAACTTGAGCATCCTAGGCTAAAGGACAAAAGTGTGGAAATACCATTGTTCTCGGAAGAGGCCACTCCAACCTCTGCAGTCTAAACAATGAAGAGTGAGAAAGGCAACTTTAAAAAATCTCACGTAACGGGTAGGTCCACAGACATGGCAAACTAGACAGTTATAAAGTATGACTCAGTGATGTCACGAGGACCCAGATTCTTAGGTTCTTGCCGTCCTTGGTAGATTGTATAATTGTCCCCAAATATTTACAGCCCCCCTGTGTTAGGATTATGCCACCCCCTTTGTTCACTCAAGCTTGGCCATGTGATTTATTTGGGCTAGTGAAATGTGTAAGAGACAAGATCCATTTCAAACAGAAGCTTTAAGTGTCATATTTAAAGGTTTCATGTCTCTTTTCCTCTGCTAAGATGAGCAGGTCCCCTACAAGAGCTGTCTCCATAGACTGGCCTCAGAACAGAGACCCAGGCAAAGCCCATCCATGTTGGATATACAGCATGAGCGAGCAATAAACCCCTTGTGTTGTAAGCCACTGAGATTTGGCCTTCGGTATTAGCTTCAATCTCCGATTGGGCATGAGATGGCTACAACGATTCCAGAATCACCTCCTGGCATGACAACACCCAGAACAAGAAGAGAGACCTACTCTTCCCAAGGGTTTCTCTAAAAACAAGGGATGCTGCAAGGAGACCCACACAGACTTTCCCTTATCTTATTTGCTGCATGGGGCAGGTAGAAAGACATCTAGGTTCTATTGGTGCTAGTAGGGGTGGTGGCGGGGATTCACCCCAGGCAGGCGGTTGTTCTGCCCGATGCCTGCCCAGGGCTAAGGCTTGTGGCCAGCACACTCCCCCATCAGGGCTCCCTTGAGTAACCTGAAGGTCCCCTGTGCTCAGGAGGATTGCTCAACCACTGAACTTCTACTATTATCATTAACAGTAACAAAACATAATCAATAATCCACAAAACTGCACTCCTAACTCCTTTCTTTCTGAAATCACATTCCTATCTAGGTTTAGGGAAAAAAAGACAGGAAAGTGTGTGTGAAGTTAAATATTTGTGTATCCACGTATGCATTCCGGTCACTGAAGAAATAAAGGATAGTATAAAACATAGATCCAACCCTCAGAAGCAATTTCAGAGTGGTGAGGGAGAGAAAAGAATCACAAAGGGCAAAGCAAGCCTGTGTGACCATCTCCAGAGTAATGTAGACAGAGGATGTAGGAACTCTGAGCACAAGTGGCTTTTTTCTCCCATCCCCAAGAGGGCGAGGAGGGACGAAGGAGCCAGGAGGGAGTCTGCTCAGCTGCACCGTTCCTAGCATGTGGCAGGTGCACAGCAAGTGTTTCTCCAAGGGAAGTAACAGGGCATCCAGGAAACTCTTACGCTCCCTCACTCTGAGCCATGTTGCTTATTTCCATACTGATTGACCTTAAAATGGATTTGTGTGCATGTGAAATTTGTCATGCTTACAAGAGGGTGTATAATGTACTTTTATAGCTCAAAGAAAAATAAATAACCATGGACCTGCCACCCATTTTAAGAAATAAAACATTTCCAAGCCCCTTGGATCTCCCTGGGAGCCCCACTCCAATCATTCTCTGTTCACTTTCTTCAGAGGTAATCACTGTCCTGAATCTCAATTGTCTATTACTTCTTTTCTTTTCTTTTTGTTTTTCCCTTCCTTCCTTCCTTCCTTCCTTCCTTCCTTCCTTCCTTCCTTCCTTCCTTCCTTCCTTCCCTCCCTCCCTCCCTCCCTCCCTCCTTCCTTCCTTCCTTCCTTCCTCTCTCTCTCTCTCTCTCTCTCTCTTTCTTTCTTTCTTTCTTTCTTTCTTTCTTTCTTTCTTTCTTTCTTTCTTTCTTTCGTTCGTTCTCTCTTTCTTTCTTTCTTTCTTGACAGTCTCGCTCTGTCACCCAGGCTGAAGCATGATCTTGGCTCACTGCAACCTCCGCCTCCTGGGTTGAGGTGATTCTTCTGCTTCAGCCTACTGAGTAACTGGTATTATGGGTGCCTGCCACCACACTTGGCTATTTTTTGTACTTTTAGTAGAGATGGGATTTCACCACATTGGCCAGGCTGGTCTCGAACTCCTGACCTCAAGTGATCCACCTGCCTCAGTCTCCCAAAGTGCTGGGATTGCAGGCGTGAGCAACTGCGCCCAGCCACTATTACTCATTTTCATTCACTTCAGAGTTTTACCACAAATGCATGTATCCCTAAGCTTTTGCTTATTTAGATTTGCCTGTGTTTTAAACTTACATAAACTTAATCATACTGCTACTTGCTTTTGATCTAATATAATGCTTTTGAGGTATATCCATGTTGATACATGTGGGAATAAAATATTTTTTATATTTAATATTTCATTGCTTGAATGCATCATAATTTATCCATTTTACTGTGGATGAGCATTTTGGTTGTTTGCAGTTTTGTTAGTGGAATAATGCTACTATAAACATTCTGTGTGTGTCTCCAGATGTGGGTGTGTGAGAGTTTCTCTAGAATACATACCTAGGGGCAGATTGATGCTTCACAGGTTTGCGCATCTTCAATTGTACTTAATAATGCTCATCTTCTTCCACAGTGGTCCTACCAATTTACTCTCTCACCAGCAGAGACTGAGAGCTTTTGTTGCCCTGAATCTTTAACCCTTCTTGTCAGACTTTTAAATTTGGTTCAATCTGGGCAGTATGAAATCTCATTATGGGTTTTGGTTGTATTCCCTCCCTAGTTACTAATGAGGTTAAAAAATGTTTTATATGTTTATTATGCATCCATGTTATTTATGTGAAATGCCTTTTGTTAAAGCCTTTTTTTTAGAGAATTATAGGATTTCTTTTATATTCTGGAAACTAGTTCTTGATTTACGTATTCTAAGTATCTTCTCTCAATTCATGGTATGTTTTATCTCTCTCTTTTAATGGTATCTTTTGATTTGAAAAAGTTCTTAATATTAATGTAATTAAAATTTTCAATATTCTGTTTATTTATTTATTTTCTTAGAAAGGGTCTCACTCTGTCACCCAGGCTGAGTGCAGTGGTACAATCACAGCTCACTGCAGTCTTGATCACCTATGCTCAGAAAATCCTTCTGCCTCAGCCTCCCCAGTAGCTGGCACTACAGGCACACACCACCACGCCCAGCTAATTTTTTAGTTTTTGAAGAGACAGGTGTCTTGCTCTTTTCCCCAGGCTAGTCTCGAACTCCTGGACTCAAGCGATCTTCCCTTCTTTTTTTTTTTTTTTTTTTGAGATGGAGTCTCACTCTGTCACCCAGGCTGGAGTGCAGTGGTGTGATCTCAGCTCACTGCAACCTCTGCCTCCTGGGTTCAAGTGATTCTCATGCCTCAGCCTCCCCAGTAGCTAGGATTACAGGCGTGCACCACCATGCCCAGCTAATTTTTGTATTTTTAGTAGAGACAAGGTTTAGCCATGTTGGCCAGGCTGGTCTCGAACTCCTGACCTCAAGTGATCCGGCCCCCTCAGCCTCCCAAAGTGCTGGGATTACAGTTGTGAGCCACCATGCCTGGCCTCCTTTTTCTTTTTTTTTTTTTTTTACTTTTCATATGAAAAATAAACTAGCACAGCTTTAATCATTTGTTAAACAATCCATTGATTTCCGCTGAGAGTGGGTACCAGCTATGTTTGGTTCCCATATTTGTGTGAGTCTTTTTTGCACCTTTATTCTATTCTGTTTGTCTACTTGTTTTCCCCGCTGGTACTACCACACTATCTTAATTTCTACTGCATTGTAGATTATTTCACCTGATTCTTCTTCAGAAGTGTCTTAGCTATTCTTGATCTTTTATTCTTCCATATAAATTTTAGGAGTCAAACCTGTTGGGATTTTGACTTGAATTCCATACAGCAAACAGACAAATTTAAAGAGAACAGATATCTTTTCAAGAGGGAGTGTTCTATCCATAACTTTGGCATATATTTCCATTTATTTAGGTCTTCTTTAAAGTGTTTAAAGAAAAGTTTCTAATTTATGGCATAAAGATAATAAATATTATGTATTAGATTTATTTTTAGATATAACATACGTTATTGTAACAATTTTTAAATTATTTTCTATTTTTATTGTTTTCTATTTTAAATTATTTTCTATTTTAAATTAAAACATAGCTTTAATTTTCCATGTACCTGTCTCAGAATTGTGTTTTTATTAGTTATCTATAACCCCATAATATTATAGCCAAAGAATGTGATCTGTATGATATTACTATGTTGAAAACTTTTGACACTTATTTTATAACCGTGGATACAACCAGTTTTTCTAAAAGTTTCACATATGCTTGAAAATGTGCGTGTTCTTCACTCATTAGGTATACTATTCCACATATCTCCATTAGATTAAGATTGTAGATTTTATTTTTCTAGTCATTTTGATAGTGCTGGCTGCTTGATTGATGAGTTTTTTGTTTTGTTTTGTTTTTTACGACAGGCTCTTGCTCTGTTGCCCAGGCTTGAACGCAGTAGCGTAGTCATGGCTCGCTGCAGCCTCGACCTCCCAGGCTCAAGTGATTCTCTCACGCTGACCTTCCAAAGTACTGGGATTACAGGTGGGAGCCACCACGCCAGGCCAATTGATCCGTTTTTTGAAAGAGTGTTAAAATCTCCCAGTATGATGATGAATTTTTTTATTTTTCCTTTTAGTTCTGTCATTTTGCATTGTTTGAATGTGAAACTTTTTTATTAGGTGCCCACGTATTTAGATCTATTATTTCTTCATGGTGAATTGAGTCTTTCCGTTATATGTAGTGACTTTCTTTATCTCTAATGATGCCTTTTAGCTTAAAGTCTATTTTGTCTGAAGTTAATACGGTGACTCAAATCTTCTTTTGATTAGTGCTTGTCTGAAATATATTTTCTTTTACTTTCAACATTTTCATGACCTTATGTTTTGGTGTGACCATTAAAAATAGCTTATAGCTGAAATTTTAAAAGTCAAACCTGACAATATTTATCTTTCAGTTGGAGGCTTCATTTTGTTTACATTTATTTTAGTTACACATTTAGATTCATGTCTATCATCTTATTTTGTAGGTTCTATTGGCTCTGTTTTCTTGTTTCTTCTCTTTTCTTACCTTCTTACGGACTTTTTTTCCAGCAGTATTTCATTTCTCATTCTCTCTATTATTTGAAAGTTAAATCTTTCATAAATATTTTTTAGTGGAAACTCTAGAAATTTTGGGGACTAATTTATCATAAGTCTAAAACTGATCAATTTTCACTCTCTTGAATAATATGAGGATCCTAGAACATTTTAACATCAATCACTTCTCATTTACAAACTATTATTGTAATGGATTTTAGATCTATTTTGATATTTTAAAACTATATATATTGTTATTTACATTGCTTTATATTAGTGTTTATCGAGATTTTACAATTTATCATTTAACCATTTTCTTTGCTCACCACTCATTCTTCAATCTAATTTCTTCTTTCCAGGATCAATAATTTTCCTCCCATCCAGAGAACATTTTTAAGAAGTTCCTGGAAGGAATTGTTGGTAATATTCTGTTTCTTATTTGTTTAAATATACCGTTTTTCTTTATTTTTCTTAAAAGATAGTTTTGTTACTTATATATTTCTAGATTCTTAGTTATTTTCTCTCAGTACATTGAAATAATTGTTTCACTATTTCTGGTTTCTGTTGCTAGTGTTGAGAATCTCTTGTCAACCTAATTGTCACCCGTTAGTATATAATTTGTCTCTTTTTTCTAATTGCTTATAAGATCTCCTTTGCCTTGGTGCTCTGGAGCCTTGTTAATATTTGTCTAGACAAGGATTTGATGTTATTCATTCTGCTTAGGATTCACTGGAAATTCTGAAACGGAGGTTCTTCAGGCTGCTATAACAAAATATAGCAGTCTCTTCAGGTGGCTATAACAAAATAACATAAACTGAGTGGCTTACAAACAACAGAAATTGATGTCTCACAGTTCTGGAGGCTGTGAAGTCCAAGATTGAGGTGCTGGCAGATTTGGTGTCTGGTAAGAACTGGGTTTCTGGAAGAAAGCTGTCTTCTCACTGTAACCTTACTTGTCCAGCCAGAGGGGAGAGTGATCTCTCTGGGGGTCTCTTTTATAAGGGACTAATCCCCATTAATGAGAACTCTGCCCCTATAATCTGAACACTTCCCAAATGCCCTACCTCCTAACACCATCGCCTTGGGGGTTAGGATTTCAACATGTGAATTTGAGGGGACATAAACAGTCAGTCCATTGCAGTGTCTTAGGCTAATTCTAGAAAACACTGTGTCAAGTGATACTATCAATTGTTTCCACAAGGAGTAAACTCATGGAGACCCACGGCCACAAGTAGACAACTGAAAGATGACATTGGGACTGCATCAGACTTCCCAGGAAGCTCTTTAGTCCAGATGCATGTGAACTCCCGAAAGCAGACTGTTGATTCAAGATCTGGCAAATAAAGACTTGATGAAGTATGTCTGAATTAACCAATGAAAGAAATAAAATGTGGTTATTTGTTTTAAATATTGTTGGCATTGTTTTGATATTCTGTTTTCTGATGGGCATATAAAGAGCCACTTTTGTTTCTTGATGTATTCCTAGTTCTTGATTTACTAGACTCTATTCTCACTAACTGAAACACTTTAAAAATAATATCCACCAGGTGCGGTGGCTCACGCCTGTAATCCCAGAACTTTGGGAGGCCTAGGAAGGTGGATCACTTGAGGTGAGGAGTTCAAGACAAGCCTGGCCAATAAGATGAAACCCCATCTCTACTAAAAATACAAAAATTAGCCAGTCGTAATGACACACACCTGTAGTCCCAGCTACTCGGGAGACTGGGCAGGAGAATCTCTTGAACCTGGGAAGCATAAGTTGCAGTGAGCCAAGATGGCACCACTGCACTCCAGCCTGGGTGACAGAGCGAGTCTTCATCTAAAAAATAAAAAAAGATATCTTTTTCCCTTTGACATATCAAAATTCAGAATCAACTATTTTCCTGAGTCTTTTTTACATTGCATGGCAATGTAATTATTTGCATAAGCTTAACAAAAAGCTGTCTCCTTATTTTTATTTTTAAACTAGAATATAATTAGACAAATTGATTGTATAACCAAGGGCAAACCTGCAATATGTTATTTGAAAATCAATCTCATTTTTTCTGATATGATAAGCATATCAGTAAATAGGCCTAACTTCATAGGTAGAACAAATGTCTGCAAAATGCTCCCAGGAAACTGATCTGGTAAAAGGACAGTCCCTTCTTGGCAGGCCAGGAATTTAGGAAATGTGGGAACCACCAAGGAGAAAAGTATTAACTTATAGCTGCTACAAATGAAATCTGGTGGAGATGAATTTTGGTTTTGTAGCCTTGGAATAACTGAAAAAAATAAGAGTGATTTTTAAAATCTCTGGAATGATGGAGGCTATTGAGAAAGCAAACTTGGATTCCTTAAGAACTTGCTGGAAAGAAGCGAATTGTCTGGCTTTAGTAGATGCTCACCTCTTGATGATCACACAATAGAGAGGCTTATGTGTCCTAAGACCACTTGCTGCTCTTTCTATGTATGTGGACCAGGCCAAATAACAAACACATAATGACTCCTGCCTTTTTTTTTTTGCATGCATGTGATTTTAAATAATCTTTGGAGAATACCTAGAAACACAATGGGGAGTATTAAGAAAAGTTACCTGAAATTTGGAAGTAAGGGAAAAAGATGATCACCTGCCCTACGTTGTCATTTTAGGGCATCGTTTAACAAGCTGCTTCAAAGTCATCTGCCTCTCTAGATAAGGGAAAGAAACTTTTCTTCTTTTGCGATTTCTATTGATTAGAGCCCAGAAAGCTTATGACTCTAGAAAGTTAGATGTTAGTTTATAGAAAATAATTGCTGATGAGATGCAAACAATTTTTGTCTGGTAAAGGAGATAATTCCAAAAGCTATGGCTTTTTTTTTTTTTTGGCCCTGTATGACATTAAGCCATTAAAACTATTCAGAAATCATAATCCAACATTACATATATATTTATACACACAAACAGCACACACACACATTTAGTGTCTCTTCCCTTGAAATGGCAACTGGCTTTGTCATTCTCTGGTTCTCTTATTAATGAGTCAAACAAACACTGCCAAACATTGCTATGTATTTGTATGAGAAATAGTGGTTTTCTTTAACATTTTGAAAAGTATACTTGGCT
The DNA here is from genome assembly GCF_000001405.40 of Homo sapiens. Lineage (NCBI taxonomy): Eukaryota > Metazoa > Chordata > Mammalia > Primates > Hominidae > Homo > Homo sapiens. The sequence goes on from NC_000018.10 coordinate 59,108,919, forward strand.
ATTCTTGTCCCCTGTGCATGTAGCCCATTAAAATCCAGGGTGTAGGCCAACAGAGGTCAACAAATACCAGCAATAGTATTGCTTGCACTCTGGGTTCAGGCTTTACTGAGGAATTCCTTTACTTTCCTGACAGTTCAACTGTTCATTAAATTTTTTTGAAAAGTTCAGTGTGCTGTACTGAAAGGAATCTCTCTGAATATCTAGTCTGCCATATTGATTAAAATGGAAGCCCTTCCAATTGACTTTTTAGGATTTAGCTGTGCTTTATATTTTGTGAACCAGGGCATTCCTGGACAAGGAAAATGCCTCTGTGGGTTTCATATCACCCCTACTTCCAATTTATCTCGGGACCCTAAAGGGTGGGAGGATGGCTAGGGCAGGAAAGGGCAAGATGAGTTCATTCTGAGCCTGGGTCTAGTACAAAGGGAGGATTTGTGCAGCCGCAGGGCAACATAAAGGCTCTGGATGTCTAAGGCATTGGAGGGAGGGAGGATTGAAAGGAAGGAGGGCAGAGGTGTAGTGGGGTAAGGCGTTTCATATCCACATCCAAAGTCTTCCTTTGGAACTGCAGTGTGCCTGGCACCATTCCAGGGTGAAAAGGAAGATCATGCAGAATGGCATCTGCAACACATCTGTTGCCTCCGGAGTAATCGGGCTGGCAGTGAACTCAGCTGCTGTGCCTGAGTTGGAAGGCACCTCCCCTGGTTGCTTTCTCCACGAAAGCTGGGTTTGCACTGCATTCACTCACACTTTCTGAGTCTTGCTCCTAGGACTTGGGGAGCTGACTGCAACAGGCAGACTGAGAAAAGGTTACACGGTTTAGGAGCGAGTTGCTATCCTTGGTTATACACACATGACGTGCCAAATCTTTAATTTCCCCCTTGGATGGTACCCTAAACTCTAGCAAGGAGAGGAAGAGAGATTAAGAATAAAGAAAAAATAATAAAACACTGTCAAGTTGTGAAATTCAGCGTGTTTGAGCATCTACTGTATGTGAAGCAATTTTTTAGGAGTATATGGTTCTTAAGAAAAAACTCCAGATTTTCTAAGACTGTCCTGATTTCGTATATTCTGCCCCAATTTCAGACTCATTCTCAGAATTTTGTCTTTGCTTTTAGATTGAAAACTGTGTAACTATTCCCAGATGTTCTTAGTTTTTTTTTTTTGCAGTATGTAGTTGAATATGCACAGACAAGTTGCCACTCTCTCATTCTCTGCCTCCTCTTCTGTAAAACACAAAGACACCTACAGAGTGGATATCTGTTGTTTGGTTCTGCCTAGAACCTCTTCTGTCTTTTGAGAACAATATATTTATTTGGGGAACAGCCACTTTCACACCGTAGCCTCCCGATCATGGGGGTCTAGAGAGGGCTCCAGTTGTAGTTCCCATTATCCCTGGACACAGAGGTGACATATTTCCCAAACCAGTTATAATTCTCCAGAGTTTTCCTTCTGGAATTAAGTGATTCCTCTCCTCTCTGGAGGTAAAGTTGGGAAGGTAATGGCCCCCTGAACTGCTGGATGCTAGATTTTGGCCCCATGGAAAAAGCTAGTCTGAGAGAATAAACTACCATGTTTGGAAAATGAAGAGAGAGAGAGAGAGAGAGAGAGAGAGAGAGAGAAATCTTGAGTCCTGGGGCTCAACTACTCTGCCTTCCCTGAGATAGACTGTAGAAACCAGTAGAAATACCCCTTTGTGCCTAATCAGCTTTGAGTTAGGTTTCTGTCACTTGTAACCTAAATATTTCTGACAACTCCTGATGATCATAAGGATTATCCAAAGATTACTTAAATTTGTTAAGCTAAAACTACTATGCAAATGTACAACAAAATTATTATTGTGAAATGATCCTGCATTCAGGGACAAGGCAGATGTAGAGACACTTGACCTGGAATATATAGTTCTAGTGTCTGAAAACACTCCCATAGACACAGAAGTGGACCAGAAGTAAATGGAAGTGGACCGGAAGTAATCCAGAAATGGACCAAAGTAGCCCCAGTGAGCACGTTTGCTAGTGAGGTTGAGACGTGAAGTTATGAAAATCCTTGAACTTGTTCAGACCATGTTGTTCCTTGTGTGAAACTGTTGTTAGAGAACGGGTTCCTGCTGCAAATGCAAAGTGTGTGTGGCTGAGAAGCTCCTCTTGGCAAATTTGAACCCATTATTAATTGCTTCTAATCAAGATCTAATACAGAAGAAAATTTGCTTCGAAGAAAAGGACTGCTGTTAACTGGAGAAGTCAACTAAATCTCACAGCATATGTGTGAGGGGAGGGAATGGTTGCTTTACATATTATTGAAATTAGCTAAGAAGAGAAGGAAAGCCAGTTTGATGATTGACAACTGACTATGAACTGCAGATAAAAATGCACTGATGGCTCTCCCCTTTGGGTAGGGCATGGAGTGGGAGCAGCATGAGGTCTGGGAAGGTGTGGACATTAGGAGATCTCTTATTGAGTCTCTTGGGCTGAGTCATTCATCAGCAAAAAGCCATCCCTGGGGCAGATCCCAGTTCGGTTTGGGGGGACTTTGGGTGGATGCTGGAGGCTCCTAGGGAAGCGCAGCTTTGTGGGGCACACTGTGTTTTCTTCCTGCTGTGGAAAATCAAGTGACCATCTACCAGGTGGTCTGTGACCCTCTCCAGGGCTCTCTGGGATCCTGTTCAATTTTAACAAACACACAACCATGATGTGCTGGCACTTCTGGCAAAAACGTGTTTTGGCAAAGGCAAAATTGCTAATGAAATTAAGTAGCATTGTTCCATGACCAATTTACCAGCTTCTAAGAAAACTGGCACTTGAGCATAATCTCAGCCATCAGCCTCAGATGCTTCTTACCTGGGCTGCAGAGAGCCCCTGTGGGGAGAAGGGTCAGGGAGGTTCCAAGGGAAGAATGCCGTGGCCCATCATTTCCTTCCGTGATTGAAGCCTGCATGGCCTTTCCCTTCCCACTGTTTCTATCTGTCTCTACCTTGACAATTGTAAGGAGGTTTTGAATTGGCTAAGACTATATTTACCAGTATACTAAGTGACAGAAAGCTCATTTAGTCCAGCTTAAACCAAAGGGAGACTCATGGGAATACCAGGGGGGTCTCGCGGAACCCCGGACAGGAATGTGGTTATGGCAGAATCTTTGGAAGGTGGAATTCAGCAGGGTCAGGGCTCGCTCTCCATTTCTCACTTCCCCCCCTCCCTGTGCATCCCTTCAGGGTCCCTTCTCCCTCTTTCTACAAACGCATTGTCTCTACTTCTCTGGTTCATGGAGGAAACATGACAGCAGGTAGTGTAGCCTCAACTACCGAGGGAAAGACCCTCACATCCATAGATTCTGGGAAAAAGCTCACTGTGAAAGCTGAGTCAGGTCCCCCAACCCAGAATGTGCATTAAGGTCATGGGAATAGGTACTGTGTTCAGTCCAGCTATGGTCCAGCATCTATGCCAGGACCTGTGGCTGGGGTTGGCCATATTCTATTGGAATATGAGGCTGCTTCTGCAGCCATGTGGGTAGTGAATGGAGGGGTAAGTTCCTAGAAAAAAGGAGATTAGGGGTAACACAACCCTATAGCTGTCCACTACACCACCTGACTGGCCATGTGGCCTGACTCCCTACATCTCCATTCTACTTTACTTGCCGATGAATAGCTCTTCCTGAAGCCCATCCTCCGCATGTGACTCCTGCTCAGAATGTTCTCTGCCTCCCACGGCTTTGACAGTTAGGTCTCAGAGACCTAGAGTCTCTGACTATGAGGTTCTTTAGAGCCCATCTCAACCTACACTTTATCAAATGCATGAATTTCTTCTATAGTTTCCCAGAAGTCTCTGCTTGTATATGTCCAGGGACCAGGAACTCACTACTACTACAGGAAAACCTGTTCCATTTTTCCAGCTGCTAATTGTTAGATCTGTTCTCTCTCTAAAGTGATATCTTTCACTCATTGATCCTGGTTCTTCCCTCTGGGGTCTAATGTCTGATGTCCCCTACAGCTAGTTTAAAGTAATTGCAATTCCACCCTTACTTCCCCTTCTGCATGTCTTCTTGTTTACAACCTGAATAACCTCCTTTTCATTTTCCCATATCTATTTCTTCTTCTGTGTGTGGTTGTTTTTTTGTTTGTTTCTTTTTTTTGATACAGAGTCTTGCTCTGTTGCTCAGGCTGGAGTGCAGTGGCACAATCTCACTCACTGGAACCTCTGCCTCCTGGGTTCCAGTGATCCTTGTGTCTCAGTCTCCCAAGTAGCTGGAACTACAGGTGTGTACCATCATGCCAAGCTGATTTTTATATTTTTAGTAGAGATGGGATTTTGCCATGTTGGCCAGGCTGGTCTTGAACTCCTGGCCTCAAGTTGGTCCACCCGCTTCAGCCTCCCAAAGTGCTGGGATTACATGTGTGAGCCACCATGCCCAGCTCCCGTATACATTTCTAATGTGCTATTACATTCCAATCCTCTCCATTTTAAAAGCTCCTCTCCTGATGTGCTGTAGTTTGTCAAGGATCCTCTTAAAGTGTTTTGTTCAGTACTGAAAACCATGTACCGGGAAGACCTCCTCAGCCCAGAGAAGAATGGATCCATTGCTGCAGACATTCTGAAGCTGATATTTGTACTCAGTGACTCTCACTTTGGGCAGTCTCATCGCACGCACGATTACATTCAATTTCAGTCCATGGAAACTCCCTTAGTTCCTGTGATTTAGTCTAATGTTGAGCACAGATCAGTTTCTGTCCCACTTCTTCCCATCACAGCTGTCTTGTTCAGCCTTGCTGCAGAATCCAGAAACCATCCTGACCAAAAGCAGGAAAAGCCCCCGCCCCATTGGTCTGGTGCTGGTTGACCCAATGTCCCAGTCTGAGAATTGCCTTTCACCTTGTATTTGAGATCTGGTTCTCGGCCGGGCGCGGTGGCTCACGCCTGTAATCCCAGCACTTTGGGAGGCCGAGGCGGGCGGATCACAAGGTCAGGAGATCGAGACCATCCCGGCTAAAACGGTGAAACCCCGTCTCTACTAAAAATACAAAAAAAAATTAGCCGGGCGTAGTGGCGGGCGCCTGTAGTCCCAGCTACTTGGGAGGCTGAGGCAGGAGAATGGCGTGAACCCGGGAGGCGGAGCTTGCAGTGAGCCGAGATCCCGCCACTGCACTCCAGCCTGGGCGACAGAGCGAGACTCCGTCTCAAAAAAAAAAAAAAAGAAAAAAAAAAAAAAAGAGATCTGGTTCTCATGTCACACTCTATGGACATTTAGCAACTTGATCCTTGTGAGAATCAGCTGAAGATCCTGGCCCCCATATTAACCCATTTATGCCAGAGGTTGCAATGTTTTGAATTTTTGCATAAATGAAAAATCAGACCTTGGTGATGACCTTGAGCAGTAGGATATGAATAACTTTCACATGCTTAGCATTCCAATAATGGAACACTAGGCATAAGTGGGTTTTAATATCCTGAAGCTCTGCTAGGTGGATGAGTTGTTCCCTTGCTGAGACATTTCCTGCAGATAATGAGCCTGCTTACTGAGCTTCCCCCATCACCTCTTCCTGGCTCTCCTCTAGCTCTGCTGTCTGTCTGGTTACTCTGTTCATAGATGTTGGCCCCAGAAGCTGAGGCTTGATTACACACCCACTGTCTTCTCTTCTACCACATAGGACATTGAGCTATGCCTGTACTGTCTCCCACGACCTGCCATGGAGACTGAGAACCCCTAAGATGTCCTGCTCCAGTGGATAGTGGTAAATTCAGATCCTAAATCTTCCCAAGTACCCTCATGTCTTTAAAAGTTTGTCAAAAGGAATTCTGTTATGAAATCAAGGAAAATTAAAAAAAGTGTTTTTAGTGCACAGGTTAGGGTGCATGTGTTAGATTAGACACACATAGACTCAAAATAAAGGGATGGAGGAAGATCTACCAAGCAAATGGAAAAAAAAAAGGCAGGGGTTGCAATCTTAGTCTCTGATAAAACAGACTTTAAACCAACAAGCATCAAAAGAGACAAAGAAGACCACTACATAATGGTAAAGGGATCAATTCAAGAAGAAGAGCTAACTATCCTAAATATATATGCACCCAATACAGGAGCACCCAGATTCATAAAGCAAGTCCTTAGAGACCTAGAAAGAGACGTAGACTCCCACACAATAATAATGGGAGACTTTAACATCCCACTGTCAACATTAGACAGATCAACGAGACAGAAAGTTAACAACAATATCCAGGAATTGAACTCAGCTTTGCACCAAGTGGACCTAATAGACATCTACAGAACTCTCCACCCCAAATCAACAAAATATACATTCTTCTCAGCACCACATCGCACTTATTACAAAATTGACCACATAGTTGGAAGTAAAGCACTCCTCAGCAAGGGTAAAAGAACAGAAATAGTAACAAACTGTCTCTCAGACCACAGTGCAATCTAACTAGAACAGGATTAAGAAACTCACCCAAAACTGCTCAACTACATGGAAACTGAACAACCTGCTCCTGAATGACTACTGGGTACATAATGAAATGAAGGCAGAAATAAAGATGTGCTTTGAAACCAATGAGAATAAAGACACAACATACCAGAATCTCTGAGACACATTTAAAGCAGTGTGCAGAGGGAAATTTATAGCACTCAATGCCCACAAGAGAAAGCAGGAAAGATCTAAAATTGACACCCTAACATCACAATTAAAAGAACTAGAGGAGCAAAAGCAAACACATTCAAAAGCTAGCAGAAGGCAAGAAATAACTAAATCAGAGCAGAACTGAAGGAGATAGAGACACAAAAAAACCTTTCAAAAAATCAATGAATCCAGGAGCTGGTTTTTTAAAAAGATCAACAAAATTGATAGACCGCTAGCAAGTCTAATAAAGAAGAGGAGAGAGAAGAATCAAATAGATGCAATAAAAAATGATAAAGGGGATATCACCACTGATACCACAGAAATACAAACTACCATCAGAGAATACTATAAACACCTCTACGCAAATAAACTAGAAAATCTAGAAGAAATGGATAAATTCCTGGACACATACATCCTCCCAAGACTAAACCAGGAAGAAGTTGAATCTCTAAATAGACCGATAACAGGCTCTGAAATTGAGGCGATAAATAATAGCCTACCAACCAAAAAAAGTCCAGGACCAGACGGATTCACAGCCGAATTCTACCAGAGGTACAAGGAGGAGCTGGTACCATTCCTTCTGAAACTATTCCAATCAATAGAAAAATGGGGAATCCTCCCTAACTCATTTTATGAGGCCAGCATCATCCTGATACCAAAGCCAGGCAGAGACACAACAAAAAAAGAGAACTTTAGACCAATATCCCTGATGAATATTGATGCAAAAATCCTCAATAAAATACTGGCAAATCAAATCCAGCAGCACATCAAAAAGCTTATCCACCATGATCAAGTGGGCTTCATCCCTGGGATGCAAGGCTGGTTCAACATACGCAAATCAATAAACATAATCCAGCATATAAACAGAACCAAAGACAAAAACCACATGACTATCTCAATAGATGCAGAAAAGGCCTTTGACAAAATCCAACAGCCCTTCATGCTAAAAACTCTCAATAAATTAGGTATTGATGGGACGTATCTCAAAATAATAAGAGCTATTTATGACAAACCCACAGCCAATATCATACTGAATGGGCAAAAACTGGAAGCATTCCCTTTGAAAACTGGCACAAGACAGGGATGCCCTCTCTCACCACTCCTATTCAACATAGTGTTGGAAGTTCCGGCCAGGGCAATCAGGCAAGAGAAAGAAATAAAGCATATTCAATCAGGAAAAGAGGAAGTCAAATTGTCCCTGTTTGCAGATGACATGATTGTATATTTAGAAAACCCCATCATCTCAGCCCAAAATCTCCTTAAGCTGATAATCAACTTCAGCAAAGTCTCAGGATACAAAATCAATGTGCAAAAATCACAAGCATTCTTATACACCAATAACAGACAAACAGAGAGCCAAATCATGAGTGAACTCCCATTCACAATTGCTTCAAAGAGAATAAAATACCTAGGAATCCAACTTACAAGGAATGTGAAGGACCTCTCCAAGGAGAACTACAAACCATTGCTCAATGAAATAAAAGAGGACACAAACAAGTGGAAGAACATTCCATGCTCATGGATAGGAAGAATCAATATTGTGAAAATGGCCATACTGCCCAAGGTAATTTATAGATTCAATGCCATCCCCATCAAGCTACCAATGACTTTCTTCACAGAATTGGAAAAAACTACTTTAAAGTTCAACCAAAAAAGAGCCCGCATTACGAAGTCAATCCTAAGCCAAAAGAACAAAGCTGGAGGCATCACACTACCTGACTTCAAACTATACTACAAGGCTACAGTAACCAAAACAGCATGATACTGGTACCAAAACAGAGATATAGACCAATGGAACAGAACAGAGCCCTCAGAAATAATACCACACACCTACAACCATCTGATCTTTGACAAACCTGACAAAAACAAGAAATGGGGAAGGGATTCCCTATTTAATAAATGGTTCTGGGAAAACTGGCTAGCCATATGTAGAAAGCTGAAACTGGATCCCTTCCTTACATCTTATACAAAAATTAATTCAAGATGGATTAAAGACTTAAATATTAGACCTAAAACCATAAAAACCCTAGAAGAAAACCTAGGTGATACAATTCAGGACATAGGCATGGGCAAAGACTTCATGTCTAAAACAACAAAAGCAATAGCAACAAAAGCCAAAATTGACAAATTGGTTCTAATTAAACTAAAGAGCTTCTGCACAGCAAAAGAAACAACCATCAGAGTGAACAGGCAACCTACAGAATGGGAAAAAATTTTTGCAATCTACTCACCTGACAAAGGGCTAATATCCAGAATCTACAAAGAACTCAAACAAATTTACAAGAAAAAAACAAACAACCCCATCAACAAGTGGGCGAAGGATATGAACAGACACTTCTCAAAAGAAGACATGTATGCAGCCAACAGACACATGAAAAAATGCTCATCATCACTGGCCATCAGAGAAATGAAAATCAAAACCACAATGAGATACCATCTCACACCAGTTAGAATGGCAATCATTAAAAAGTTGGGAAACAACAGGTGCTGGAGAGGATGTGGAGAAATAGGAATGCTTTCACACTGTTGGTGGGACCGTAAACTAGTTCAACCATTGTGGAAGACAGTGTGGCGATTCTTCAAGGATCTAGAACTAAAAATACCATTTGACCCAGCCATCCCATTACTGGGTATATACCCAAATGATTATCAATCATGCTGCTATAAAGATGCCTGCATATGTATGTTTACTGCGGCACTATTCACAATAGTAAAGACTTGGAATCAATCCAAATGTCCATCAAAGATAGACTCGATTAAGAAAATGTGGTACATATACACCATGGAATACTATACAGCCATAAAAAAGGATGAGTTCATGTCCTTTGTAAGGTCATGGATGAAACTGAAACCATTATTCTCAGCAAACTATCGCAAGGACAAAAAACCAAACTCCGCATGTTCTCACTGATAGGTGGGAATTGAACAATGAGAACACCTGGACACAGGAAGGGGAACATCACACACTGGGGCCTGTTGTGGGGTGGGTTGGTGGGGAGGGATAGCATTAGGAGATATACCTAATGTAAATGATGAGTTAATGGGTGCAGCACACCAACATGGCACATGTACACATATGTAACAAACCTGCACGTTGTGCACATGTACCCTAGAACTTAAAGTATAATAAAAATAAATAAATAAATAAATAAAATAAAATACAAATACAAAAATTTAAAAAAATGCACACAATTCTACATTGTTCTTATAATGAGGAAGAGTCCATTTTCCTATTCCTTGAGTATGGGTTACCCTGTGACTTTGTGACTTTCTTTCCTTCTTATTCCCATTTGTCCCTGTGCCCTGCCACCCCCACACCCTCAACCTTCTGAAGCAATGATAGTTTTCTTTTTTTTTCTTTTTTCTTTTTTTTTTTTTTTGAGACAGAATCTCGCTCTGTCGCCCAGGCTGGAGTGCAATGGCGCGATCTCGGCTCACTGCAACCTCTGCCTCCTGGGTTCAAGTAATTCTCCTGCCTTAGCCTCTCGAGAAGCTGGGATTACAGGCACATGCCACCACATCTGGCTCATTTTTTGTATTTTAGTAGAGATGGGGTTTCACCGTGTTGCCCAGGCTGGTCTCAAACTCCTGACCTCAGGTAATCCACCTGCCTTGGCCTCCCAAAGTGCTTGGATTACAGGCATGAGCCACTGTGCCTGGCCAGCGATGGCTTTCTATATGCTGTTATGGCCAATAACAAAGAGTCAAGTTATTACAGGCACTTAAAAAAAAAGCTTCATTGAGATATAATTCACATAACATACAATTTACCCATTTAAAAAGTACAATTTGATGCTCTTGCCAGACACTAAATCTGCTGGGATCTTGATCTTGGATTTCTCAGCCTCCAGAACTGTAAGAAATAAACTCCTGTCCTTTATAAGTTACCCAGTCTAAGGTATTTTGTTATAGCAGCATGTACAGACTAAGATATGAGCCTATAGTTTAACTTTTTGCTTAGCAGGAATATTTTTCTCAAGAGCACCTTTAGCTTGAACTTCCCCACATTCTGTTTCAAATAAAGTTGGTTCTTCTGGAGAATATTTTGGAGCTCTCTGTTTTCACATACTGCCTCTTTCCACTTGTCAAAATCTCTGACCTGCTATCCAGGGAGCTGAGTAGGAGCAGTAGCCTCTGGTCTTCTTGGCTTCTCTCTCTCAGCATGGAACCACTGCCTTAGGAGTGAGCTGGGGCAAAGGTGACCAGCTCCAAGTATTCATGGGCTTCTGTACCTGAGGTAGAGGCTCCATCCCATGAATGGGAGCTTGACAGAGGAAGGAATAAGGTATATTAACCTCTTGGTTGCACTCATCAGAAATTTAGCCATTCAACTTGTAGTTGGAGAGGATGAGAAACGCTGATGGCCAGTCCCTCCTTGTGAGTTATGGCAACCTCTGATTGAATAAGAAGATGGAGCTCCAACTTCTTGGCCATACCCACCTTGGAGTGGAACTTCCATTAAGCTGAGCTACAGTAGGGTGAGGGAGGGGTTGGGGTGTGGTTCAAATGCCATGAACTCTTATTCTTCTTAGTGACTTCAATAGATTTTCTTGAGTAAATGTTTCTTCATTTGTTGTGTGCCCTTTTGACAATTTCCAGAAACTCTGAATGGTTTGTTTAAATAAATTCCACCAGTTTTTCTTTTTTCACTGGGGACTGCATCCATGGAGTTCCTCATGCTACCGTATGGGAAGGGGACCAAGTTATAAACTCTTAAACTCCCAGTAGAGACCATAGTCTTGAAAGTCTGGACTTTTAAGAACTGGAACCTATAAGAGAGAAATGGCTTGTATTTTCCTTTTTGGTCCAAAACCTTGGGTTTGAAAAGCAAGTGCTGAGGAATCTTGAGGACTGCTGGCTATCTTTCAGTACATCTCTGTTTTCATTTCCTTTAGACTTACTACTGTGCAGTGAAAATTTGTGTGCGTGTGTGTGTTTAACACATTGTACCTTGAATGTAATTATTTATACATGTCTCAATTCCTTCCTTAATTTGTAAATTTTGGGGGGGCAAAGGCCATGATTTTGTTTGGTTTTGTAACCCTTAGAACTCTCTATAAGTGCTTATAGAATGAATTATATACCCGAATAAATGATGCAAATAAACATATCACAAAATGACATTCTGGTTGCTCCTATGTCCTACCATCATCTCAACTTTGGGCAACCCACCCTCACTGAAATTCACCATTCTATCTGAGTTTCCATATGTGACTAATGCCTTTTTACTGTTCTGATCATTTACACATTTTTTGCAAACAGTCCTAAATGACATCTTTATACTCCAGGCTCTTTTCCTTCTCAGGGCTTTAGCAATTGCTGATCCCTGTGCCCAGGATGCTCTTACCCCAGAGCATGGAATGGCCAGCTCCTTCTCATTACTTATAACAGTATAAATGTCTAAAATTATTTTTTGTCTGTTAGTTTACTGTCTTTTTCCATACTAAAGCATCATACTAGCAAGGACCTTGACTTGTACACAGCTGAATCCCCAGGTTCTCTAAAAATGTAAGTAGTAAGAATTTATAAATATATGCTTTTTAGTGAATTTAGTGAGTTTTCTCAAGGAGAAGCAAACTTTTAATTTACTTCTACTTCTTCTTCTTCTTTTTTTTTTTTGAGACAGAGTTTCATTCTTTTTGCCCAGGCTGGAGTGCAATGGCATGATCTCAGCTCACTGCAACCTCTGCCCCCCGGGTTCAAGCAATTCTCTTGCCTCAGTCTCCCGAGCAGCTGGGATTGCAGGCACCCACCACCACACTCGGCTAATTTTTGTATTTTTAGTAGAGATGGGGATTCACCATGTTGGCCAGGCTGGTCTCAAACTCCTGACCTCAGGTGATCCACCCACCTCGGCCTCCAAAGTGCTGGGATTACAGGCGTGAGCCACCATGGCCAGCTGAAAACCTTTAATTTAAAACTTAGAATTTTTTTTTTTAAACAGAATCTCACTGTGTCACCCAGCCTGGAGTACAGTGGCATGAATGTGGCTCACTGTAGCCTTGACTTCTGGTACTCAAGTGATACTCCCACCTCAGCCTCCCAAGTAGCTGGGGCCATAGGTGCACACCACCAGACTTGGCTAATTTTAAAATTTTTGTAGAGATGGGGGTCTCACTTTGTTGCCCAGGCTGGTCTTAAACTCCTGGCTTAAGTAATCCTCCCACCTTAGCCTCCCAAACTGCTGAGATTATAGGCATGAATCACCGCACCCAGTCTAAAACTTAGAATTGATATTTAACCAAGTCAAGTCATCCAGTCATGGAATTATCATACTGTCATATGTGGTATTGATAGTTTTGCTCCATTTCTCCATGTGTCCATTCTTTTAATACCGCCGCATGAATCCCAGGATGCTGTTCTTGCCCCAGTATAGACAGCCAGACATGAGCTACCTACTTTGGTGAAAAAAAAAAAAAGAGGTCTCTATAATGTCTGAGACTATGGTGGTGAATTCTTGACTTCTAAGGCTAAAATCACCATTCATATGTAAGGTCAGAAAGATTTAAATGGGGACAACATCTGGAATAATCCATTTTTCTTTGAAATCCCTTCAAAACTCTAGACTAAGGCATAGGGAGGAGAGTTAGAGGAGAATCCGAAGAGTTTACAAGGGCTGCACTTACATTGTCCCCCTTTCAGCTTTGTCTTGAAGGTGCAGCAATGTATAAAGATATCTGGCCTTTCTAGGGTTGATAATTCCACAGTGGAAGTGTGTCACCTGTACCTCTGAGTGTCAACAGCCTTTCCAGTGTCTCCTGAGCACAGTGGTATAGGATAATAGAATAGAGATGGGCTCAGGAAGTTAGCCAAGAAAGGCCCCAAAGAGAGAGGACTTGAAGAAGCCTGGGGCTTCAGGTCTGACGGCTGCTGGTGCAAGTGGGTATGAGGACCACAGCCGTAGCAGGACCTCAGGCACTTCAATGGGGACAGTGAGGACAGGAGCCAATGACTCAGAGGGTGTCACTGTGGAAGAGGTCACACTTGAGGCCCAGCTAAGACAGGCTACCCTTCAAGGGATGCTAGAACTGGAGTGAGATAGATCAAGAGGGAGAAGCAAATACAAAGAGCTGCCCCTGAAGGCCACAGTACACCTCCCTGAAACTCACTTGTCACGTAGGGGGAAAAAGTGGGGATAGGAGAGAATCTTAAAATAATCTCAAATTATTGAGATTACTGACACCCAGTTTTAAAACTGAAAATGATGATACTCAGTTGTTACCGACCAAGTAAAGGGGGCTTTAATATAACTTTTCTTTTCTTTTCTTTCTTTTCTTTTTTTTTTTTGAGACAGAGTCTCGCTCTGTTGCCCAGGCTGGAGTGCAGTGGTGCGATCTCAGCTCACTGAAGCCTCCGCCTCCCTAGTTCAAGTGATTCTGGTGCCTCAGCCTCCCAAGTAGCTGGGATTACAGGTGCCTGCCACCATGCCCAGCTAATTTTTGTATTTTTAGTAGAGACAGGGTTTCACTGTGTTGGCCAGGCTGGTCTCGAACTGCTGGCCTCAAGTGATCTGCCTGCCTCAGCCTCCCAAAGGGCTGGGATTACAGGTGTGAGCCACCGTGCCCTGCCAACTTTTCTAAATTATAGGAAAGTAAAGTTACGTTTTTGCTCCCCGGAGGCCATGATTGCAAAATTTATACTTGCCACAGAACATGAGAGGCCACAACTTGGTTTTTACAGATGAGAAAACTGAGGCCCAGGGAGTAAGATGGGTGGTTCAAGGTGGCACTACTATGTGTGGGTACGGCCAGGAGGACAGCCTGGATCTCCCGGTTCTGGTTCCAGGCTGCTCAGCATCACACGGTGCTGCCTTCCTGCATCTATCAAGCTTATGCAGAAAGTATTGAGGCTCACTGATATGTCAAGTATAAGAAAATGTCTCCCTAGCATTTAAAAAAAAATAGAGCGTTCAGTTAAACTTAGGAGCCAAAATTTAAAAGCTCTTGACTGTTTCATGACAGTTAAGTAGCATGGGACATAAAATCAAAATGAGCATCTTTTGCTAAGGAATGTTCTCTTCCTTTCTATCTTTTTCTCCTCTCCTTCCCTCTCTTTAATTATTCCTGACACTTTTCTTAGCATAAAATTCCTCATAGCTGGTTGTAGCATCTACAAGGAAAAGCGAGGCAATCAGAACAGTCAGCTGGGGTGGAAGAGAGTGGTAATTTGAGAAACGGCTTATTTTGACAGGAGCACTTAGGCAGCAGAAGGGGAGATGGACTGAGGAGGAGGGAAAAGGCAGCCCACATTTCTACCCTCTGATTATGACATCTCTAGGGAACAGAGCCGTTCTTCTGAGGCATACCCTTCCACAGATGCAAAAGATGGAGAAGGTAGGGAGTGACTCAGAGAGCCGGTGTCTGGCCCCATTATCCAGCTGCTTCTGACTCAGATCTGAGATGAGACAACTCATTCCTACCCAGACAGCTTGCAGTGTTTTTGCTAGGGCTGACCAAATTCTCAGTCATTCATCATATGTCTTTCTGTTTGTGCTTCATTTAAGAATGAGTTCTACCTCTCTCCATCAAGAAAAAAATTGAACAGGATCCCTGAGGTTCTTCAGCACTCATGACTTGGAGCTGCTGTTGGTTTCCCCCAACACCAGTCTGTAGGCAATAACTTGAACTCACAAACTGGAAGCCTCACCTGAGGCTGGGTTTACTCATGCAGCCTGGTGGCTTCTAAGGGCAGGAAAAACTGAGGAGAGACTATGCGGTGCAGCAGATGACAGTTTGGATTTGGCAGACCTGTATTCAAGTTGGGCACTGTCATCTCTTAGCTCTGTGATGTCAGCCATGTTGCTTATCATCTCTGAGAACTACTACCCATTTTCTATAAAATAGTTTCTTTTATAAAAATGAAATTGATAGTAAATATAAAGATGTACTTAACTGATACAAAATAAACACATAGGAAATGTTATCTGGCATTGCTTCTGTAGCAATTACACCCTCCCCACTCATAAGGGCTACCTGGTATGCTAAGAGTGCATACCTTTAATGATGGCCTACCTAGTTCACCTGTTACACCCCTACAGATGTCAAACACTGCACATTTACAGCTTTAACTGGATCCAAGGACAGTGTCTTATTCACCTCTGGATTCCTAGTGCCAGATGGAGCAAATAATTTAATAAATAAGAAAGAGAACCAACCGTGTCATGAAAGACTTCTTAAATTTCTATTTCTTATTATCTCACCTGAAGGAAACAAGGCTGTCTAGGAATTATAAAGAGATGGTTTGTGGTGTGTGTCAGCCTGTGTTTATGGAATTTCAAATGGAAAATTTACATATGTTTATTTTTCCATGGAAAAGGGAGAAATAAAGCAATGCTATGCTTTGGTTTAAACTATGTAATCAAGAAAATGCTATAATGACCAGGACCTAAGCAGAGAGAGGATTCTTGATTTCTAACGCTAGTTAAACTAGATCTCCCCAGATATTGGCAGAGCCAATGGCAATCAGACTCTGCTTTTCATGCGTCTTTGGAAGAACAGGCTGATTAGAGCTAAGACCCTGTATTTGATATCACAGCACAACTGGAGATGGGAAAATGAAGATCTAGGAACAGAGAACAGAGAGGGAGAGAGCTGATCCCCAGCAAAGGGTGAGGAACTATTTAGGTGCTTGATGAACCTGTGAGGCTTCACTTGACTTTATTGACTTCCTTTGTGAGAACAAGTCAAGAAGACAAAACCGGGGGCCCAGCAGCATCAAGAACTGATCCAAGAGGCATCTTCAAGATCACATCTGTCACAGCCACATCCGTGCTGAGGGACCGTATGGATGCTGAGAGTGTACCCTTCCCTGTGAACAGGGCTGTGAGGTTGGAAGGATGGGTGGTTGGGTGTCACTGCTTCTGCTTTTTTGCCCCATCACTTGGGCCTCTTTTCCTGTTTTTTTAAGGGCCTACTGTTAAGGAGGTGCCATATGAACAGTGTTGAGGATGATTTTTAGTCAGTGCTTGTCCCTTGCTCCATTTTCACTAGTGAATTTAGGAGCTGTTCAGTAACATTTCAAGAGAGGTTCGCGGATTGCCTTGTCTTTTAGAGAAGATGCTGCTGTAGGTAGAAGTTTGACCCTGATGGGTTCTAAATCCCTTTGAAGCCTTAGAAGTTATGATCCTAAAAAATAATTGGCCAACAGCTGGGTGATTTGGACTGCAAGTTCACCCATGGCCAAGACACATAGATCATTTTGTTGGAAATATAGGGCTGTTGGAAGAGTGGTTATATTAAGAGTTGCCTCAGTTATCCACTTTGCTTTGGGTCAACAAGACTTAAATATGGAACCATTATTTTGAATGTAATTCCTTAAAGCCTAGT
This sequence comes from Homo sapiens, assembly GCF_000001405.40. Classification (NCBI taxonomy): domain Eukaryota; kingdom Metazoa; phylum Chordata; class Mammalia; order Primates; family Hominidae; genus Homo; species Homo sapiens. The sequence goes on from NC_000018.10 coordinate 59,125,845, forward strand.
CCAACAACGTAAGTTTCCCCCTGCCTTCCAGATTTAGTTATTTGTATGACATTGAAAAGTCATTTCTCTCTCTGAGCCTTAGCTCACCATCAGTTAGGTGAAAAAGTTTTACCCATGTGATTTCTATGGTACCTTCTAAGTTTCACATAGCTTGACTGTCTAAAATCTTTTTTTTTTTTTTTTTTTTTGAGATGGAGTCGTGCTCTGTGACCCAGGCTGGAGTGCAGTGGCGCGATCTTGGCTCTCTTGGGTTCAAGTGATTCTCCTGCCTCAGCCTCCCAAGTAGCTAGAATTACAGGTGCATGCCACCGTGCCTGGCTAATTTTTGTATTTTTAGTAGAAATGGAGTTTCACCATGTTGGCCAGGCTGGTCTCGAGCTCCTGACCTCAAGTGATCTGCCCACCTCAGCCTCCCAAAGTGCTGGGATTACAGACATGGGCTGCTGTGACTGGCTAAAATCTTATTGTGTGGGATTAGAATTTAGTTTAGCCTTTCTGGAGGGAAATTTAAAATTTAAATGTTAATGCTGTTTGGCTAAGTGATCCAATTTCTAGGAATTTTATCTTACAAAACTGCCAAGACACCCCCCACCCCACCCCACATCATAACATTGTTTCAAAAGCAACAAGTAGAAACAAATTAATAAGAAGGGAGAGGGGCTAGATCTGGAAGGACACACAGCATACTTCCAACACTGGGAAATAACTTGGATTGCATTGAGAGTGGAGTGGGGTGAAGGGAGATTTCATTTGTCTGTAATCTGGGTTTTCCATGGGAATATTTATGTGTTACTTGTGTGACTATATGAAAAAAACCCACCCAGCTTATTAAGTCAGATATTGTATTTGGTGGTTGGAGTAGCCTCTTCAATGATTAGTTATACCAGTCAGGGTGCAGTCAAGAGACAAAGATCACACCAGTAATTTGAACAAAGAAAATTTAACATGTTAATAACTAGCAACTAATAACAGTGGATTAACTACTTAGGGAGTAAAGAGAACTCTAAAGAATACAGGACTAGCAGATACAGGGAGTAGCCACGACTTATAGGGCTGAAGCAGTATACCCAAGAACAGAACAAACTTGAAAGAGGATCTGCCTCCTGATGTCTGAGATTAGATTTCGAAGCTGTGGCTGTGGTCCCCTGGATGGTAGAGAAGTTCTCTGAGGTGTGACGGGCTAGGATGGCAAGCAGGAAACTGCCCACAGAAGTGCCAGTGAGATGCACTGGAAGACCATCCACGGCACTGGTGAAACTCAAAGGGCAGCCAACCGCTGTGCAAACATTGTGACTTGCTGGAGGGTGAGCAGCACTGGGAATCACGCGTGCCACTGGTATCTAAATACCACAGGTATCTACATACCACAGGAACAGGGGAAAAGGCACACGAGAGCCTGTCCTCCTCTGGTGTCCCCCTAGTGCTCTCTATTGGCAAAGCTTAACATTGTGTCAGCTGGCAATGGAGAAAGTTCACAGGGTTCAGCTCTGTATCACAAAGCAGGGCAAGGAAGGGTAGATTTGGAGAGAGGTCATAATTGTTCAAAGGCACAGGTCGCTCATTTAGCTAATCAGCTTCCATATGCATCCTCCTATACATGTTTGAACTTCTGGACAACAATTAAACAACTCTATATTTCCAATGAACAAGCAGCAGCTAACCTTTGAATAAGTGAAAAAGTTCTCACTTTCTCCAAAATGAGGACATATGCAGTCCCAGTCATTGTATCCTTGCTGGCTATATTATTTATTTTTTAAATTCAGTCACAGTTCCACTGAATATTCTGTTACCTAAAGACTAAATTATAAAGTTAACATCCAAGAACTTGCATATAAATGGATAATAGGTAGGAGGAAGAAGAACAAAATGGTTATAACATGCAAATTAATATGTACATATAATAGGCAAATAAAAAAATATGCAGCTGTAATATAGCCCTCATTTCTATAATTGGCCACAAGGTCAAGGTGATGATTTTATTCTACCACTACCCATTCTATAGTTCCCTTATTTCAGCGTGCAACTTGGCTGATAATTATTGTTTATATGGTGAAGTAACCAAAAACTTTGTTTTTCAAAGGTCTGAGTCCTCAGTAGTTCTGTCTTTTAAAGAAATTTTTGGCTGCTGTAGCCATTTTTTATTGAACATGAAAGAACTAAAAGACATCCTAGAGTACCCACTGAGTTTCAGATAGAGCTCTCCTTGGCCCCATTTTGTAGTAGCAATCCGATTTTCTTTTAGTAATCAGAATCAATTATTCCAGCCATTTTTCTGCTTTCTGATTCAGTGTATAAGGAGCCCAAGGGGCTCGAGGGTAGTTTCATCTGCCAATTTGATGGAGCCATTGCTGTGTCCCTAGCAGGAGCATTTCCCCTTGGGGAATAAGATTGCCAACTAGCAGAGCTTAAGGTTGCCAAGATGGGAAGCAAATTTTTGAGAGTACATTACCGGGTATAATATTGAGAGGAACCAATCTCATTTCCACTTTTTTATTTCTGGACTCATGTGTTCTGGTTATGGAAACAGCACTACATAATTGTTATCAATTGAAAGCATATACTGCATTCTATAAGACAAAACTAAAATTTTTAGAATTATCTCCAAATTGATATCATTATCAAAGCTTCAGGGAGCCCTCCGACTTTTCAATCAGGCCAGCTGCTTATGAGTGATGAGGTATGTAATAAAAGCAGTTTATTACATAGGCATGAACCAATGCTGAATATGTTCTTTGCTGTGAAATTAGTTCCTTGATCAGAAGCAATAGTGATGCTGCATGTAATGCCATGACGATGGGTAAGGAATGCTGTGAGTCCACAGATGGTGGTGCTAGCAGAAGCATTTGATGCAGAGAAGGCATATCCATATTTGGATATGTATCTATTTCAGTGAGAACAAATCTCTTCCCTCTCCATGATAGAAAATATCCAATGTAATCAACACCTGTGACCAGCTGGCTGGTTAGCCCAACCAAAAAAATTTGCCATTTTGGGGCTCAATGTCAGTCTCTGCTATCTGCAGAGTAGGCAATCAGCAGTGGCATTATTCAGGTCAGCTTTGGAGAAGGAGAGGCCATATTTTGGCCCACACATAACCTCTATCTTGATACCATGTCCAATTTAGTTACAGGAATATTGAGCAAGTACTTGGATGGCTGAGGAAAGAGGCTGATTGATATCCATGGAGAATATAATTTTGTTCACCTGGTTATTAATAGCCTCCTTTGTATGATATGCATTTGATAAGCATTCACTTGGGACACAAATATCTTCATAATTTGCACCCATTTTGAGAGATTTGTCACATACCTTTTCCAAAGACATCCTTGTCACCAACTTTTCAATACAGTTCCTTCCACATCCCTGATGATCCAGTCAAATAAGTAGCAAACGTCCACAAATAACTGTAGACCCATGCTTTTAGCCCCCTCTCAACCCAATGTACTACTTGAAGTTTTGCCCACTGAGATGTTTTTCCTTCAGGTGTCCTTTGGAATCACCTCTATGTGGGGCTGTTAGGTGGCACAACTGTCCACTTTCAGGTGGTACCAGCATATCATGCAGACCCTATTGTAAACCAGGCTTGAGGTTTTTCTTTATCAGTTAACTGCAGATGGGAAAATTCCCAGAAGGGGACTGAAGGTATGGACTGGAAAGGACGCAATGCAGTAGTATTGAAGGAGTCTGAGCCACCTGCTTATTCAAATTATTCATTCCTTGTGGATCTGCCTAAGCTTGGTCTCTTATATACCATTTCCACTTGGTGGCAAATGCTGCTACATACATCCATCCTAATGACTAGGTGGGTCATAAAATACTCAGTACATGATAAAAAGCTTGGGGTGCATGGTCACCTGAGGTCCCACATTTGGATTTTCAGTCCCTCCAAGGACCAATGGCAATACAGAAGCTGTTTCTTAAACAGAAGAGTTATCTATAGAGGAGGGCATAGGTTTCCTCCAAAATCCTAAAAATCTGCTCTGCAATTTTCCTTTGGTAGCTGCTAGAGTTTTCATATAGCTTTCTTATTTGTCATCCACACTTTGAGTTATTATTGTATCTGTTGGATAATGAGATCCAAGTGGTACAGCAGCTTTCACAGGAGCTGGATTTGCTGCAGAGTCTTCTCTTTTTATGGTCCTTTCTTAAAACAGAGGCTTCACTTTTTATTTTCCCCTCTTAAAGCTGGCAGCCTTATGGGTCACTGGCAGCCTATGAGTCACAGATGGGTTAAAGTAACACACTCAAAGTGGTCTAGGTTGTCTCCAGATTCCAAAAAGACCTACCAACTGTTGTGCATCTTTACTTGCAGTAGTTGTTTAGAGATGTAACAACTCATCTTTCACCTCGGAAGTAACGCCTCAACATTATCCAGACCATTGAACCACCAGAAACGTCACTAAGATGGCAGATGTGAAATTTTTGTGTGTTTTTTTTCTCACGCCTTCTAGTTTGCATATTTCTTACTAAGGCATCTAGTGCACTTTCTAGTTCCAATTCATCAGCTCCAATCAGTATAATTTTATCAATGTAGTAGAAGAATGTGATGTTTTTCAGAGTGTCAAGATGATAAAGATTTCTGTAACTATATTGTAGCAGATGGCAGGAAAGTTGACATAGTCCCAAGATAAGACTGTGTGGGTGTACTACTGGCCCTGCTAGGTATAAGCAAATTGGTTCTGCTGGTTCTTACAAATTGATATGAGGGGGAAAAGCATTATTTAAGTCAACAGCTGCATACCAAGTGCCAGGGGCTGTGTTGCTCAAATACAGATCTGGAATAGCAACACAATTAGAATGACCATTTGATTAAGTTTATAATAATCCATAGCCATTCTCTAACATTTACCCATATTCTGTACAGGCCAAACAGGTGAGTTAAGTGGGAATGTGATGGATATCACAAACTCTGTATCATTTTGTCCATTAATAGTGGCTGTGATTTCTGCAATTCCCTGCCCCTCCACCCCCAGGGATGCAGTATTGCTTCTGGTTTACTATCTTGGTGAAGAGGGAACTTTCTATGGACTTCTACTTAGTCCCTCCTACCATAATGGCCCTTACCTATGGGTCAGAGAAAGAACTTGGGGATTCTGAGAGTGACAAGTATATCAATTCCAAATATACATCCAAGAGGTGAGGAAAAAACAATTGAGGGAAAGGGAGCATAGACCAGTTGGTCCCACTGTGAATCAGATTTGGGCTAAGGCTTAATCTGCCACCTGACTGCTATAAGCCTTCACTTTGACTTGTGAGCACAGTCACATCTGAGGTCTCTAGGAGTTAGTCAATACAGAGACAATGTCTGCTAATTCCCAAAATATCTGTGTAGTTCCTTTTCCCCAGTGTATAGTCACTGTTATAAATGACTACATGTTCCACTGGGAAAGCTTAGGAAAAAAGCTAAGGTATACACTACCTGACTGAGTATTAGTTATCTGAGCTGTGACAGACTGGGACTGGCAAAGCGGAAACTGCATACTTTGGTGCTGATGAGACTCCCTGGGAAGCCACCCCCTGAGGTATAAGTTACACTTGCTAGTAAGCCACTCTAAGTGGTACTGGGAAAACTTGCTGAAAAGCATGTACCCCTGGGTGTCCCACAGGCCACTGGAACTAGAAACAGAAGCCCCTTCCTCCTCTAGTGTCTTTCCAGCACCATCTACTGAGAAAGCTTAACAATATTTAAAGTTAGTCCAGCTGACAATGCACAAATGTTTCCAGTATCACAAAGCAGAATGAAGAAGGATGGATTTGGAGCTGAAAGGCAAGAAATTGATTAGACTATTTATTGTATCAGTTTTTTAAAAAATTGAGCACCTGTTACCTGCCAGGCATGGTATTTGCTGCCAGGCATGCAGAATTTAAGAGATCGAATTGATGGCAGCGGCTGCCATCACACTAGCTGTAGCAGAGAGGTGTGGCTGGGGCTGCACACCCCATGGAGCTGGTGGGAGCCCTACTTCTTCTGAATTGGGGAAGGAGCTCCCTGCCTGTTGCTGCAGCCACCCAAACTGTGGCTGGTGGTTTGGGTGGTTTGGTTCTGGTGGTTCTTATAAATTGATATGAGGGAGAAAAGCATTATTTAAGTCAACAGCTGTATACCAAGTGCCAGGGGCTGTGTTGCTCAAATACAGATCTGGAATAGCAACACACAGAGGTGCAGGACCTGGGCGTCTCTCCAGCCTGCACCCTGGGGGGCCTGGGAATCCCCCCCCCCAACCCCTGCAGGCTCAGAGGTGTCTACTCCTGCTGCCTGGCCTCTCTCCACTCCCTGTGCTGGCTCTGCTCTCAGAGTGGGCGGTTGGGGTGGAGCCCTGGGGCCATGAATGGCAGGGTTCAGGCCAGGGCCTGAAGGCTGGGGGCTGGACTGCCAGTCTTGCAGACCAGAGTAGGGACTCGTGGTGCCTCTTCCAGGCCTGGCCATAGCTCCTCATGGACCAATCAGCAAATACTTCCTCCCCTCTGAGGTTCATAAAAGCCCTGGGCTCAGCCAGAGCAGGAGAGAGGACAACCAGAGCAGGGCAGAGAATGGAGAGATGATGGGATGACCACCTCAGAGAGGAGCTATCCTCTTTGCTGAGATCTTCAGAGACATGCAGAGATGTCTGAAGAACCTGCCTGGGAGAGGAGCCATGCTCTCCAGGGTTGCTCCTCTCTGTTAAGAGTGGCAGACATCCAGGGTCTCCTCTCTGCTGAGAGCAGCAGATGTCAGGATAACCAGTGGGCAGAGACAAGCTACCCTCTTCAGGGCTTCTCTCTGCTGAGAGATGAACACATGACAGGACAACCTGCCTACAGAGAGGAGCTAGCTATCCCACTGTGGGTCTCCTCTGAGCTGTTCTAAAACTAAATAAAGCTCCTCCTTGTCTTCTTCACCCTTCACTTGTCTGTGAACCTCATTCTTCCTGGACGCAGGACAAGAACTTGGGCAAAGACACCACCAGTCACAGAGGTTTCCGGAAAGAAAACTGACACCCCAAAGATCTTGCAACACAATCTCTACCCTAAGGAATCACATAGATCCATGAGAAGATAGGAAATATACAGAACAACTATAAGAAAAGGAGTGTCTAATGTACAGCAGGGGAAATAGGAGAAGGGATATCTGAGTGTACCAGGGAAATGCCTTCCTGCAAAGAAGTAGGGTTGGGCCTTTTTTCTTCCAGGGTGTGGAGAAGTCTTCTAGACAGAGAACTGGGACAAAGGGAGGGCATTATAAAAAGGGACTCCAGCAGGAAAAAAGGCAGGGTGGCATGATCACGTACGGTGTTCAGAGCACCATGAGTAATTCAACAATGATGCAGTACAAATTTCTAGAAGGGAAAGATTAAAGATGAAGCTGGTATCATTCTATGTGTGTGTGTTTAGGACTCTCCCCTGTCATGCAAAGGAGTTGGATAAATTCCACAAAGTCACATGGCATGGGCTAAGACACAGGCTTTGTTGGGAAATGCGCAAACTCACAAAGCAGAGGTGCATGTAGTTCTCCAGTCTTCTCTTTTTCCCCATGGAGAAGTCTGCTAGGGTATGTGATAAACATGGCATAGGTTCTACTCCAGCGGATGGAGTCTTAGCCTATCTGGGTTTTTATGGATGAAGTGAGAGAAAACGTTTTTGTCAGCAGGAGAATACACAGGCTGCTTAGCACCAGGCTGGATTTGAGAAAGCCAGCTGCCCTGCACCCTGGGAAATCTGGAGCAGTGGGATGTTAAAAGTTTTTCGTCTAGAAAGAGGAAGGCTGTGGTCATGTAGGAAGCTAGACTTGGGTGTTACCCTCCTGTGGAACCAGAGGATCCCCTGGGTCTCAGCTAGCTGCCTGTTTGGGCAACTCATGGTGGACCCTCAGTCTCATTTCCATACAGTGTTGCCCTTTGCATATTAGACAAGCATGTAAAGGCCAAATAATAAGGGTTTTATTGCCATGTTAAGTAGTTTTGCTTTTAACTGGTTAGGCAATAGAGACCACTAAAAAATTTTCAGTGGCAATTTGCTCAACATGATTGGACTTGCAGATTAAAAAGAACAGTCCAGTAGCAGTGTGGAGGTTAGACTGGAGGGGTGTGAGACCAGAGGCAGAGAAATGAATAAGGCTAAAGAAAAAGAAGAGGAAGCTTGAGCCAGGGCATTGACAGAACACGGAAAGGAAAAGATATGAGGATATTTGGAAGTAGAATCGATAGGCTTTCTGGCTAACAATTGGATGTGGGATAAAAGTTACAGGAGATTGCAGGAGAAATCAAGGCTAACTCCCAGGTTTCTAGCTTAGAAATCTTGGTAGACAGAGGTGCCATTAATCAAGAAGAGGGATATAGGAATGAAGGAGAATAGCTGACGATTCAGAAAGGAAGACAATGATGAATTCCATCCTGGAAATGTTGAGTTTGATGTCTTTGGGGCACCCGTGAGGTGGTGTCCATATGCAGTTGGATTTACGGATTCAGGTCTCGGAAGGAAGACCTTGCCTGGAATATAGATTTGAGAATCTCCAGAATATAAGTGTAGGCTGAAGGTTATGATGGGGGAAGAAACAGTACATGAGTGTAAGCATAAGGCCCCCCCAAAAACTGCCAGAATACTGACACTGAGTTATTATGGCAGCCCCAACCCAACGTCAAGAAGAGCAACTCAGTGCATCTTAGGAAAAGGCTTAGAATCCTCTAGAGTTTGTGGGAAAAAGGACTTCATTTGGGAAGGGACCACCAGTGACAGAACAATGAAGAGAATGCTCTAGTTCTCTAAATTACTTATCATGGATTAAGAAAAAAATAGTAATGACAATTCTTCCTACTGCTTTTGAGAGTCTATTTTGAGTCAGGTAGGTGCTTTTCACATATTACCTCACTTGACTCTCACAACATCCCTGTTAGGTAGTTTCATTAGCTTCATTTTATTGATGAAGATATTGACATTCAGAGAGATTACCTCACTTGCCTAAAGTGACAAGTTACTAAATGGTAGAGCTGGGATTTGCATCGAGAACCCCATCAATAGTGCACCTTTCACTCTAAGCATGGGGTAAAAATTCATCCCTGAAATGCTTTGGGTCAGTTTCGTGGTGGAGAAAGCACCAGCCCAAGGACCTGGTGTCAAGTCTTGGCAGTGCCCAGGTCGGCTCTTTGTCATTGGGTGTACCCCTTACCCTCTCTGAGAGGGGCAGTTCTCAGAAAATGATTGCAAGGAGCATAGGGCAGGGGTTGACACCTAAAGTCACAATAAGGTCAGGTAAGGAGAGGGAATATGGCCAAACCAGGAGCTGAGAAAGAGGCCTGCAGGGCAGTACACTTCTCCCAGAGCCATCTACCCACGTCAGGAAATTTAGATTGAAGTTACTATTAGGGCAGCCTCAGGGAGGAAAAGACTGCACCAAAGAGCAGCCTTCTATGTGCCAGGGGATGGGTGGGTATTAATATCTCCCTCCTTGTCCCCCAGCCGTGTAGAGCTGGATGGAGTGGACAACTTGATAAAAGATTACCCACCTAGCACTGCCCCATGAGCCTTGCTTCATCATGGTGCTGGATGCAGGGCAGGGAGAGCGTACTTTCCTCGCTGTGGCCCTTGGGCTGGTGCTGGCTTCCATCTTAGTGGTGGTAGCCTGTCTCTGTTTCATGTGGTCCTCAGTGGCCTCCCTGTCCTTCACATCCTATTTTCTGATGACTGTCACTGGGTTCACTGCAAATGGGTTCATGGTTTTCCAAAGGTAAAACAAACATGAGAACAGCTCAGTAGTTAGAGGACCTGATGAGTGTTAAAATATAAGTTTACAACACGTCTCTCCGGTCAGGAAAGCACCAGGTGTATGTGAGTTACACTAAGAACAAGCTACACCTGCCATTAGAATGTCTGTAATACATGCAGAGAGATGGTAAAGACTTCAGCTATGAACCCGAATGGTGGTGATCACTGTGCTTGCTGATCATTGGTAGTAATTAATGATGATGATGATCATGTCTAACATTTAATGAGCACTATGTGTCACACACTATTCTATGTGCCTTACATATAAAAATGACTCTTCATAACCTACTCCTGTGAGGTAGGTGTAACCACTATCACTATAAAAAGAGGCACAGAAAGGTAAGATAACTTACTCAGGGCTGCACAGCTAGTAAGTTTTAGAACCTGGATTGGTACCCAAGACTGTCTTTTGCTAGAGCTTAGGCTCTAAACCTCTCTGCTAAGCTATTATTCCAGTATACAAACTGCATGTTATGGGTTGAATTGTGTCCTCCAAGAAGACATTTTCAAGTCCTAACACCTGGTACCTGTGACTGTGACCTTATTTGGATACAGGGTCTTTTATTGCAGATGTAATCAAGTTACAATGAGGTCACATTAGAGTAGGGTGGGTTCTAACAAATATGACCATTAACCTTAGAAGAGAAGAGGAAAGACACAGACACAGAGTGAAGACATGGGAAGATGGAGGCAGAGACTGGAGTTATGCTGTAGAAGCCGACGAATGCCTGGGGCTACCAGAATCTGGAAGAGGCAAGCAAAGATCCTTCCTTAGAGAATTTGGGGGAAGCAGGTCTCAGCAAAACCTCCAGAATGTCAGAAAACAAATTTCCGTTGTTTTAAGCCACCTGACTTTGGCATTTTGTTATGGCAGCCCAAAGAAACAAATCCAGCGCGTATCATTCACAAAAGTGGGGAAGACATCTTCACAGGGCCCATGCTCCAGTGGTTCTGTGCAGGCCAATGTGGTTTATACCTCCATTTACAGGGGCTGATTCTCTCCATGACATATGCTTGCATCTAACATTTATAAAATTTACAGTCTACAAAACATTTTTACTTATCCTACCTGTGATTGTCATAACCATCAGGGCAGATACTACCAACAGTTGAAAAACTTTTTAAAACTAGACTTTATTTTTATTATTTATTTATTTATATTTCAATAATTTTTGGGATACGGATGGTTTTTGGTTACATGAATGAGTTCTTTAGTGGTGAATTCTGAGATCTTAGTGTACTCATCACCTGAGCACTATATGCTGTATCCAAAATGTTTAGGCATTATTTTTTTGGAGTAGTTTTAGGTTTACAGCAAAAATGAGTGGAAAGTATAGAGATATACCCATCTACTCCTGCCCCCACACATGCACAGCCTCCTCCACTATCAACTTCCCCTGCCAGAGTAGTACATTTGTTACAATTGGTGAATCTACACTGACACATCCTTATCACCCAAAGTCCACGGGTTACATCAGGGTTCACTTTGGGGTTGTACAGTCTATGTTTTGACAAATATATAATGATATGTACTCATCATTATAGTATCATACTCTCCCCCCTACCCCCGGCAACCACTGATCATTTTACTGTCTCCATAGTCTTGCCTCTAGAGTTCACGGGAAGGAGTACTTCACTGGGGAAGAGGCCACCAGTGACAGAACAAATGAAGTGAACATTCTAGTTCTCTTAATTACTTATGTCCTGGATTAAGAAAAAAATATTAATAGTAGCCATAATTCCTCCTACTGGTTCTGAGAGTCTATTTTGAGTCAGATGGGAGGTTTTTTTTGCATATTATTAATACCTCACTTGACTCTCACAACATCTCTTGCCTTTTTCAGTATGCCATGTAGTTGGGATCATACAGTATGTTGCCATTTCAGATAGACTTCTTTCACTTAGTAATATGCAGTTAAGCTTCCCTCCTGTCTTTTCATGGCTTGATATTACATTTCTTTTTTGCACTGAATAGCATTTTATTGTCTGGATATCCTGCAGTTTATTTATCCATTCACCCACTAAAGGACATCTTGGTTGCTTCCAAGTGTTGACAATTATGAATAAAGATGCTAAAAACATCCGTGTACGGGTTTTTGTGTGGACATCCGTTTTCAAGCTGGTATTTGGGTAAATACCAAGGAGTGCAATTGCTGCATCATATGGTGAGAGGATGCTTAGTTTTGGAAGAAATTGCCAAACTGTCTTCCAAAGTGGCTGTAACAAATACGGTTTTTATTTGGTGGATGAGCAAAGGGTTCATGGAGGTGAATAAATTAGTCTAAGACTGGACAATATGCAGGGACTTCTACCCAATGTCTTCCTGTGTTGCTTCTCACCCAATGCTCAACCTAAGCAGGAGCCTGGAGGCTGGGCCAAAGGTTCTGATGTGAAGATATCACACTGGGTTCTAGGTTTATTGGTCACATTTTGGACCCTTACTCTATTCCCACAAACCTGTTCCACCCACAGCTTTCCTCATTGAAGTTGAGGGGAACTCTACCCTTCTAGTTCCATAGGTTAAAAACCCTGGAGTCAGCCTCAATCTCTTTTCTTCTTTCACGCCCTATATTTATTCTTTCAAAAAATCCTGAAGACTCTTTCTTCAAAATGTATCCAGATTCTGAACCTTTAGTGCTGCCACCTTAGTTCCAGCAATTATTAGTGGCAGGGTTAACTATCACCATATCTTCCTATGTACTAAGCACTGTGTCTTGCACTTATAATTTTATACATCTGATATTTGGAAGAATTTTACACAGACTAGCTTCTGGATCTGTACATTTCAAACCTTGTTTTTCCTCTCCATCCACTTATTTCCAAGGTCAAGTGCTGCAGAACACTTTCATATCAGATGCCACTTCCAGTGGGACTTCCTGCCACGGTGCCAGGTGAGTTGGCCCAGTGGATGGCAGTATTCCCAGAAGCCATTTTTTACACGAGGATGGCAGGAAAGACCATGAACCACATAAATAAATTCACTAAACTCAAACCAAATGTATCTCCAACTCGTTTCCTCCTTAGCTGGATCCCCAAAATTCTCCTTGTCCCTCCAACAGGAGGGGAAATGTAATGGAGGTGAAGTTGGAATGCAAAGAAACAGAACTCTTAACCAATAGCAATTGCAATATCTTGCTTTTGAAAGTTTTACACATTCTATGGTTAAGTTTCTCCCACACCTTGGAAAAACACCTTTGCAATTGAAGGGTCCCAGAACTTACCTTTCATTAGCTTCATGGTAAGTCAGCTTCTGGTATATTTTAAATTGCAACCTGATCCTTTCCCCCAGACCTCCCCATTCAACTTATCTGCTTTTCCTGTTGTCATAGCACCTCCATCCTTTAGGTACCGTATAAATTATCCATTATGTCTGCCTTCGGTAGAATATAAGCTTCATGAGGGCAAGAATCTTTGCTTGTTTTGTTAACTGATGTTTCTCAAGTGCCTAGAACAAGGCCAGGTGCATGGTAGGTGCTCCATAAAGATTTGTGGATAAATAAATACAATAAAGAATGCATAATGCATACACGAGTGAGTGAATGAACCAAAGGTAATCTAGGATCAGAACTGTGATGATCTAGGACTTCTAAATTTAAAACTTTGAGTTATATTCCACTCATTTCCACTTAACCTTGGCCATGTCAATGAACCTTTCTGGGCCTTTGCTTTCTCGTGTATGAAATTAGGTGGTTATGTATTCATTTAATTAATATCTATTGCAACCCAATTATGGTCAAGGCATTCAAAGATACTTCCTTGCATACAAGTGGTACCACTCAAAATGCAGAATTCAGCGGCCTCAAAAGTCCCGCCTCTTCCAAGCCCCGCCCACCGCAGTCCATCTTTAGGCCCCGCCCCAATTCGGCTCAGCCCGCCCCAGCGTAGAGGCACCACCTTTCCTCGCTGCAGTCATCCAATAGCCAAGATACACGGCTAGGTGATTTGCGAGCGGGAGTTAGGTGTCCTCTTGGCGCCTGACCAGAGTCGGGAAATTCAGCTCCTCTTGAGTAGTCCCTTCCCCGAGTTGCCCCCCGAGGTATGCGGGGTCACTCGCTGCTCGATGTTCCCTCCGAAGGGTCGGACAAGGCTCCGGAGCCCTGTAGCTGCCCTCCCTAGGAGCCCCGGGTCTTCACTGGCCGAGGTGCCCACCCCGCAGCATTCTGGGAGTGGTAGTTTTCTTCCTTCAGGTTCATTCCTGGCTGGCCAGTGCCCAAGACTGGCGAGACTACGATTCCCAGACGCCCAAGCGAGTCGCCGGTCACGTGGCCGCAAGGACGCTGGGCCGGTGGGCGGGGGCCGGCAGGTGCTCCGCAGCCGTCTGTGCCACCCAGAGCCGGCGGGCCGCTAGGTCCCCGGAGACCCTGCTATGGTGCGTGCGGGCGCCGTGGGGGCTCATCTCCCCGCGTCCGGCTTGGATATCTTCGGGGACCTGAAGAAGATGAACAAGCGCCAGGTGACGGAGGAGGGTGGTGAGCGCGCCGTGGCCGGGACCGCCTGTGCTAGCGGGGAGTCGGGGCTTCCCAGTCAGGGCTCCGGCTCCCAGTGAATGCGGCCGGGCGGCCACCCGAAGCTCCCGCGCTGGGCTCTCAGGCCCTGGGTTCTACGCCTACGTGTGGGCATGGGTGTGCACTTCCTTGCCCTGACAAGAGCACAATTAGGGGAGGGTGCAGGAAAGGGGAGAATAGAAACCCCGTGCCATGGAATGTCAAATGTGGTTGAGAATGCCACAGCCACGCTTGTGGGAGAGATGACTCGGTGAACGACAGCTCTCTGAGCGTATTTGAAGGGCCACCCGGTGAAGAGGGAACCGATTTCTCTGTGGGGCTTCAGAGGCCTGACTGCCGGCAGGTGGAAGAGGCAGAAAGGCAGGCGAGAGGGAAGAACTTTCCTACAACGGGAGCTGTCCAGCGATGCCTCCCAAAGCAGTTTCTTCCCAGCCTGGGCAGTTGTTTTTCCCCTGACCGTGGGTCGGGACTAAATAATGCTCCTTGTGCCTAGAGAGCTCACAAGCTGTGCGCAATCATTGTGGACTCAACCAGTGTTCCCAGCGAGATTCCAGAAGCCTTCTCTAACTTCTGAGATGGCTGCACTCTGAATATAGGAGGCAGTGTAGGGTCTTTGGGCAGCTGGGGTGGTTGAATTCCCTCTCCTTTGTGAGAGGACCTCAGAGGAAAACGTTCCTCTTGCTCTCTTTTTAGCCACTTATTGGCCATCATCACTGTCTTTGGGGCCTTATCTCTTCACTATAAGGTTAAGAGTGAGTAGGGATTGGAAAGGAAGCCCTCTCAGTCAGGAAAAATACGACTATGTAGGCTTCTAGGTAGAGAATTTGGGGGACCTGTAGGACCTGAATATCACGGTGGATACTAATGCCACTATTGCTACTAATAAATTGTGCTAAGAAAAATGGGACCTTCCAACCAGGGAGTTTTGATTGTCTTTGAAAATGGTATTAATCCTCATTATTTTGATGGCATCCAGTTTCATTTGCTCCATCATGTTGAGATGTGGGGTGGTGCCCATGGGAGGTCACAGCTTACTCCTTTAGGCATACGTGTTTTTCCCCTCTCACTCTCCTCCCCCTTCCCCAAGTAGAATTTCAGACTAGTGCAGTAGTGTGGGAAAGTTTGATAATTTCTATTTCATCAACCGTGTTTAGGATGTGGTAGTGTCTAGGTGTGCAAAGCTGATGACTCCTGTTTCTGGAAGATGAGTTGTAGTAGAGATTATCACCAGCTTAAAAAAGTAACTGCTAATGTCCTGAGCATTGATGCTGTTCACAAGAATATCCTCCAGGAAGCAGAGCTTTGTTTAAAAATCTAGACTTAATGGCTGGGTTTTTAAAGTGTCTCTAAAATTGGTACTGATTACTGATGGCTATAATTGCAGACTGTCAGAAAAGGCCCTCTGATGAGTGTATTGATCCCTAAACCAGTTTGCCCTTTGAAAGATCAGTGTGTTTTTGCTCTCAGCGATAAGGCCTGCCAGTAGCTGGCTGTATTGCCTGTTTTGCTAGTCTTCTAATTAAAATTCAGCAAGCTCAAATCTACTGCTTCTTGGTACTTTTTAAAAAAGCTTTGTCTTTTTTTTTTTTTCTCTTCTTCCCTCCAAAATAGCATCTTATGACACTTTGTCAGGCCTGCATGCTCCACCAGTCTTGAAAGCAGGACCTTCTTTCTCTGCTGCCCCTGCTTACTATTAAAGCAGGACCCACATGCAACACAAGGGCTCTTTGTTTCTGCAGTGAGGAAGAGAGGAAGAAATACAGCTACTGGCAGTGCTGCTGCTGTCAGCCAGAATATTTGATCTGAAATGTTTGCTTAAAACTCTTAGACATTGGCTGTTTCATCATTGGTTGACAATGACTGAGTATGGACTTAGTTCTACACTCTGCTGTGAGCATTAAGTGCTGAGCATACAAAGTTGGTAGGCAAAGGTGAACAACAACAAAAGCACCTGTGAAACATGGTGGTGGTTTTTTTTTTCCAGACCGCAGTCAGCTTGTCAGTAGTTCAATCAAAATTACTTTTCTGGATTCCAGGATTTTATGCCTAGAATCTGATTCGTAGGTTTCTTAAAGTTAAGGTGTTAAAAGTGTGATCTGTGGTTTCTTAGTTTGATTTTTATATTTTTGTGTATTTGGACATTTCCTTAGCAGGTAGATGGCTTGCTCAAAGGAAGTTTTTTTGAGGAATTGATTTTGCTTTCCCTTAATGAACTTTTCAAGCATGGGAAATTATACTGGAAAATATATTCTTGGTACAAGTTCTTTACTGGCTAAGTGGCAAGATTTTATCGGGGTGGAGCCAGATGACTTGAAAACTTGTCTGAAAACGGCAATCGTTGTTTAAAACCATGGTTTGGGGCTTTCCTCATCAGATCTGTAATTCATAATGAAACAGCGGTTATTTATCAAATCCTTTAAGTCAGGCAGAGCCGGTGGGGAGGTTTTTGAATGTAAATTCCAGTGAACAGCTTCTGCTTTAGAGTGACGTGACTTGTAAGGCTGATTTTACTTTAGAAGCAGTGTTTTGTTGTTGTTGTTGGAATCTCAATATTTATTGAATGAAGACATGAATGTTTTATCTCTTCTAACGGCTCACTTCTTTGCATTCTTAAGTATTTGCTTTGTGATCTTTGATTTTTTCCGTTATGCTCTTTGAGCTTATGGTGAAATGGTGTAAAGGCTTTGATTGTTTCATGGCAACTTTCTGGTAAATATTCTTCATTTGATGAGGGATAAAAGACTACATATTGGGTACAGTGTACACTGCTCCGGTGACAGCTGCACTAAAATCTTAGAAATCACCACTAAAGAACTTAATCCATGGAACCAGAAGAAGCAATGGTTTAACATATTATAGCCCAACACTTTGTCAATGTCTGCTTAGCACTCCAGTTTCCTTTTTCACTCTCCTGGGAATATAGTGATAGTTTCATAATTTGCTATTGACACAGTAGCCAAGTCGCTTTTAAAAATGGTGTGTAGGCTGAGTGCAGTGGCTCACGCTTGTAATCCTAGCACTTTGGGAGGCCGAGGCGGGCAGATCATTTGAGGTCAGGAGTTCAAAACCAGCCTGGCCAACATGGTGAAGCCCCGTCTCTACTAAAAATATAAAAATTAGCCGGGTGTGGTGGTGCACACCTGTTATCCCAGCTACTCGGCAGGCTGAGGCAGGAGAATCACTTGAGCCAAGGAGGCGGAGGTTGTAGTGAGCAGAGATCGCGCCATTGCACTCCAGTTTGGGCAACAGAGTGAGACTCCATTTCAAAAAAAAAAAAAAAAAAAAAAAGTGTGTAACTTTAATGTTGAATTATATTTATTTTCCTATTTTGATTTATTGCACCAAAATACATTAACAATTATCTTAATTCATTTATGTCCTCACTTTCAGTTGTATCCTTCATTATTGCCTCAAATTACCTATTTTTACAGTTTTAACATTAGCAAGAGACAGTTCTGAGCTCTGCTTTTCCTACATCAGTCAGAGTTTGTTTTCAGAATAGAGAATAGTTTAAAGAAGAAAAGTCAATGACTCATAATTTCACTATCCTAAAATAGCCTCTCTTAGCGTCTTGGGGCATCTCTTTGTATTTGTTTTATCGTTTGGTGAGATCCTACTGCAGCTTACATTTTTCACTCAACATACTGTGTTTGGTCATGTCATTAAAGTTCCTTTTTATTTTCCTCCCCCAACCCAACCCGCTTTCTCCTCCACTCCCATTAAGTTCTTTATGCATTGTTTTAAATAGTGGAGTAATCTGCCATTTTCTTTTTTTTTTTTTTGAGATGGAGTCTTGCTCTGTCACCCAGGCTGGAGTGCAGTGGTGCAATCTCGGCTCATTGCAACCTCCGCCTCCCGGGTTCAAGCGATTCTTGTGCCTCAGCCTCCCGAGTAGCTGGGATTACAGGCACATGCACCACCATGCCTGGCTAATTTTTGCATCTTTAGTAGAGATCGGGTTTCACCATGTTGGCCAGGCTGGTCTTGAACTCCTGAGCTCAGGTTATCCGCCCACCTCGGCCTCTCAAAGTGCTGGGATTACAGGCATGAGCCACACTGCACCTGGCCCCACTTTCTACTCAGTTATTTCCATATTGTTGCTCATTTATTTCCTTTTCCACATTATTAGAATTAAGACTGTAATAAATGTCTTCGGGCCATAATTCTCAACCTGCCTTTAGTTTATACTGAATTCCTAGAAGTAGGATTATGGGCCAAGAGTAACCTCTTAATACTAATGCCAAATAGCTTTCAGAATGGTTTATCAATTTGTATCCCCATCACAGTGTATTCTTGCTAGCACTAAGTATTAGTATTAACAACAACAATAAAAAAACCAGACACTTTAAATTTCTTAGGCAAAGGCTAGGTGTGGTGGCTTACGCCTATAGTCCCAGCACTTTGGGAGGATTGCTTGAGGCTAGTATGTTCAAGACCAGCCTGAGCAACATAAAAAGACCCCATTTCTACCAAAGAAAAAAATTTAGAACTACCCAGGCATGCCAGCACATGCCTGTAGTCCAGCCACTTGGGAGGCTGAGGTGGGAGGATCCATTGAGCCCAGGAGTTTGAGGCTGTGGTGAGCTATGGTTGCACCACTGCACTCTAGCCTAGGCCACAGACTGAAACCTTGTATCTTAAAAAAAAAAAAAAAAAAAAAAAGTTGCTAGAAACAAAAAAAAAGGAAGGGGTTGCAAGGAGGGTAGAGGCAGGATTATTGGTTTGAACATTTTTTATGTTTATTTACTACTTGTATTTTCCTTTGGAAAATTATAGTTTTAAGCTTTTACCTTTTTCTGTTGGAATTTTAGTGTTTTTCTTATTGCTGATTTGTTTGCACTCACCATTAAAGATGTTTATTTTATCACTATTTATTCAACAAATTGAATACTTAACTTTTGCCAAACCCATGTTGAATCTTGAGGATACAGCTATGAGCAAGGCTGAAATGATCCCTACTTTTGTGGAATGTAAGGTCTAATGCAAAAGACACATTAGGTAATTATATGCTTAATTATGATGCTGATGAACGATACAAAGAAATACAGGATGCAGTGAGAATATATAATAGGAAGACCTAGGCTGGCCAGAGTGGAGATTGGCAAACCCCATTGCACCACCTGTTTTTGTAAAGTTTTATTGGCACACGGCCATGCTCTTTCTTTTACATATTGTCTATGGCTGCTTTCCCGCTACATTGGCAGGGCTGAGTAGTTTCAATGAGACTATGTGACCCGTAAACATAAAATATTTACTGTCTAGCCCTTTACACAAAAATTTGCTGATTTCTGGTCTAGCCAGTCAGGGCAGGGTTCTGTTGGACACTGACATTTAAAGGTGGATGTAAAGGTGAGTGTTTGGTAAACTAAGGGGTTCAGGGAGGGAGCCTTCTGGGTAAAGGCCCTGGGGTGGAAAGAAGCATGTGAGGTGGAAGCATGGACAGATACCACCAGTGCAGCTGGGGTGAGGCGAGCTTCACAGGCTGAAGCGGGGCTGCAGGGTTATATCAGACAGGGCCTTAGAGGCCATATTGTAGTTTAGTCTTCATCCTCAGAGTAGTGGGATGCAATCAAAGGGCTTTAGGCAGGGCATAGACAACCAGGTGACCAGATGTGCATTTGAAAACCAGTACAGTCAAGCACCATATAATGATGTTTCCATCAATGGTGGACTGCATACATGATGGTGGTCCCAAAAAATTATACCATATTTTTACTGTGCCTTTTCTATGTTTAGTTACATAAATACTTACCAGTGTGTTACAGTCGCCTGCAGTATTCAGTACAGTAGCATGCTGCACAGGTTTCTAGCCTAGGAGCAATAGGCTACATCGTATAGCTTAGGGGTATAGTAAGCGACACCATCTGGGTTTGTATAAGTACACTCTATGATGTTCAAACAACAATAAAATCACCTAACAACGCATTTTTCAGAATGTGTCTGTCATGAAGTGGCGCATGACCGCCCAGAGTGTATCACAGAGAATGGATCAGAAGAGGTGTGCATGGGCATTAGGAGACCTGTCATGAGGCTTCACAGCAGCCTGATGGGCCCCGTTGGTGATATGATGAGAGTGGCAGCAGTGGGAATAGAGAGACCTGGACAAACTCCAGACGTGTTTGGAAAGCCAGAATGTATAGAATGAATGGGTAGGGGGTGGCTCCAAACAGCAGGGTGATAATAATGTCATTTACTGAGAGAAGGATCCCTAATACTGAAAGCTTTTGGAGAAGGTAAGTTTAATTTTGACATGTTGAGGATGGGGTATCTTTAAAGACATCTAAGTGGAAACATCAGGTAGGCAGTTGGAAGTCTCTGAATTGGGAGTAGTTAGCCTGATGGGACCAATGCCAGCATTCAGGTAGAGGAGGAGATTCAGGTAGAGGAGGAGCAACTGGCAGGAAGACAAGAAAGTGGTGAGAAGTGGATGGCATGCCATCCTGGAAGGCAGGGGCTGAGGGTTCGAAGAAATGATCATGTGTGTTGAGAGCTGCTGGAAGGTCAGGTAAGGTGAGGGCCGACAGTTATCCTTTGGATTTAGTGAGCATGTGACTGACTATGTAGGTTGAGGACTGAATATAGATGGTGAAGAAGGGGAGCAACTTGGGGTAGACACTGTTTTGAGAAGAGCTGTGAAGGAGAAGAGAGTGTGAAAGCTGGAGGAGGATGTGAGGTGGAGGAAGGGTTTGCGATGGGAGAGTCTTTAGCTGATGGGAGGAGGAGGTATAGAGCCGTGATTCAACTTTCACTGCACCTCAGAATCACCCCACCCCTCCCAGTGATCCAGCTGGTCTGGGATGGACTTTCCAGGGCTTCCCCGATGATTCTGAGGTGCAGCCAAGGTTGAGAACCAATGGTATAGAGCAGTGGTTCTCAGCTGTGATTCCCACTCCAGCAGCTTTCGTGTCACCTGGGAATGTGTCTGAAGTGCAGTCCTCAGGCATCGCCAGCTGATCCTAGTGCACGCTGATGCTTGCGCTGCTGCTGTAAAGAACTGTCCGGACACTGAGAAGTCAGAACCACGTAGAACCACCTGGCAAAGTCTCCATTTGGACTTCCCGAGTGTCTTTCACTCCGACTTTTCCAGGCCTTGTGTATTTTAAACTGTATTTAAACTGTGTTTAAAACTGTATTTTAAGTTGTACTCAATGCTCAAAAAGAGTTCATACCACCACATTCCATCTCAGTTAATATTAAATTTGGATAGTTGAGGAAAATGATGTTGCCCAGAGCCACGTGATCCAGGTCCTCACTCCAAACTCAATTCAAAAGTATGTTCTGGAAAGCTGGTAGGGAGCTAAGGTGGGATCTAACCTGTCTAACATCACTGCCTCCAAAACACTAAAACTATATTAATAGCAAGGAGAGTTTAGAAGTTATCAGTTACTCCAGGATACGCCCGGGAAAAGGAAACAAGATCAGCCAAATACTAGAAGCTGGAAAACAGATGGAAGAATGGGAACTGGCACAGCCAGAGAAAGCCAGGATGTGAGCGGCACTGGGGGAGGCTGTGGCTCTTCAGGTTTGTGAGGCAGAGAGAGTCCTCAGAGACCCAGGAATTGGTGTCCCCAGAACTGAAGGTGAAGGGGACCGTAGGGCTGAAATCAGTTTGATTGGGTAGAAAAGCAGAGAAGCAGTGAGACCCCTCGCTCTCCTTGTCTTCCACCCAGAGGCCTCACCCTCCTCAGCAGAGGTCTGGGAGTTCATTCCCTGGAGAGGGGAACAGAAATCTCTGGAGGAAAAGCTGCCAGGCCTGGTGGGGGTTATGGCTCCCACCCTATAAGTGACTGTGCACACTGCATGCTGAGGGTATAAAAACAGAAGTGAGGGGTGAAGGACCTCAGATGTACACAGAACACGGTCCTCAGGTGTACACAGAAGTGAGCACAGATGCCAGGAGAATAGGCACCTGTGGCCCGGTGGAAGGGGGTCATTGAAGCAGAGACCCACGTGGGGATAGAGCCATTTTGGTTCTAGGGTGTGTTGCTGAGAGTGAGTGGTCCCAGTGGAGGGAAGATCTTTGGAGATGTGGATGGGGGCCCAGGAATTGAGACAGCACAGTGTTGATGGACCACCCACCTGGCTCTGCAGATCACCCCAACAACTGCAGGATTGTGAAGAGGAAGATTGAGGCAGGTACCAAAGTAAGGAGCCTCCCTGGAGGGCGGTGCTGGCAATGCCGTGAGGGGCTTTGATTTTGAGTGGTGCTAGCCACAGCAGCGTTAGTCCCTCTTGCGCCTGGAAGGAAGGCGGATGTTTGGGCTGACAGGTCAGCTCCAGCCTGACAAGGTGTTGGCACATGGGCAGGTGTTGTTTTCTCCTTTAGTCACCAGGAGTTGGCAGGTGCAGCAGGCAGCTGTCAGCAAGGAAGAGCCTGTGCTTCAGCCCATGCCATGCTGCAGGGAGCGAGGCAAGCCCAGTGGGTCTAAACGCAGTGGTCTGAGGTAGATCGGGTGGGCTTTCACCTCCTTCTCAGAGCTGATGTAACTAGTGCTTATGCATCAACTCGTGTGACCCTCCCACCTGTGCTCCTTTTTTTTTTTTGAGACGGAGTCTCGCTGTGTCGCCCAGGCTGGAGTGCAGTCGTGCAGTCACGGCTCACTGCAAGCTCTGCCTCCCGGGTTCACGCCATTCTCCTGCCTCCGGCTCCCAAGTAGCTGGGACTACAGGCGCCCACCGCCACGCCCGGCTAATTTTCTTTTGTATTTTTTAGTAGAGACGGGGTTTCACCGGTAGCCAGAATGGTCTTGATCTCCTAACCTTGTGATCCACCCGCCTCGGCCTCCCAAAGTGCTGGGATTACAGGCGTGAGCCACTGTGCCCAGCCCCACCTGTGCTCTTAACCAAATATTTGTTATTTACCTTTTAAAACATTTATGAAAAATTTAAACCTCCAGGTGTTTAGAGTTTCTGTTCACTGGTTTTAAAATGTCATTTTTAGAACAGGATGGCCTCATTGCCAAGCACTATAGGACTCCAAAGCTTCCATTTGAGGCTAAAGGTAGTTCTAGGTGAATCCACAGTGTGTGGATCTGGGTTAGACCTGTGCTCCCCATGCTGCGCTGTGTCTGGGACTGGTCTGCATCGGGAGGCTCTGGTGGCAGGCCTTGAGTAGTGGAACTCTCTAGGGTATAAGGTGCTGGGAAATCCCAAAGAGGTGATTAGGGCCTCCTTGAGGCTTTAACAAGACAAACCTCACAGATTGCTCTTTTTTTCCTCCCTTCTCTCTCACTTAAGGAGAGATGATATTTGCAAGTCTCTTTCCAGGGACAGAAGTTGAAATACTGCAGAATTTTGTACCTTGTGTTAGTTTCCTGTCCTAAAATCATGTCTTTGAAAAAGTTTGATAACTGCATCTCCAGCTTCACAGGTTGGTGGATCTTCTGCTATTGGTTTTCATCGTGGTTTCCTCTTTTTCATTCCAGCTCTATTACCAGGTTTTAAACTTCGCCATGATCGTGTCTTCTGCACTCATGATATGGAAAGGCTTGATCGTGCTCACAGGCAGTGAGAGCCCCATCGTGGTGGTGCTGAGGTAGGTCCCCCAGGCTGGCCTCCAGCCTCCAACCTCCATCACAAGGCTGCCTTGGGCCTGAGGAGCGGGGCAGCCTTAAGTGAAAACCTGCGTGACAGCTAAAATTCAAGATTTTAATTGGATAAATTATTAGTCTTTATTGATATCTATTTTGAAAATGTTTCGTTTTTTTTCTGGCTTTTGAAAAATCTCATCTTTCTTAGTAGACATTTTAGAGCTTTAACCATGTTGATGCTCGTGTACCTAATCCATTTCAAATGACAATTTAATAATATGTGGTATTCCTGCATTATTTCTATACAAATTGATTTTTAAACATAACTAAAAATGTTACTTCATTTTCTTTGTACCAAACAGGCAGAGAGAGCCTGTATCCCCAGTGCGTAGCATTGTGTCTAGTATTTTTTTCAAGCTTCTTCAGTAATACTCGTGTATTGATGGCTACTATCTTCTTGAGACTATGATGCTTATAAAAGTACAGCATGTTTATTTTAGAAAAGTTAACATTAGAGTTAACTTCACACAGCCATAAAGCCATCCAAGGGGAAAAACTTAACATCAATTTGAAATCAAATGGCCGTGTTTGGGAACTGATAGGTGCTTCAAGACGCTGTCGGTCCAGTGTGTCTTAGGTCATCAAATCTGTTGTTTTCAAGGTGGCATGGTAGGCTGTGGCAGTAACTCGGGCGGAGTCACAGCCTACCAGTGCAGGAGTTGAGGCTAGAACACAGGGCTCTTAGCTCCCAAACCAGTGCCCTTTCCCTCCACCAGGCGTTGCCACCACCTCGTGGGGCCATAGCCATGATCCATGCCTCACCAGGCCGCCCTCATGTGGTTGGCCAAGGGGCACACTTCTAGAGATCGCGTTTTCATGAATTTAGAAGCCTGAGGACAGCCTAGCTCACAGCAGAGCTGTGGGACCTCCGACCCACTCGTGTTCACACTGTGCTTTGGGGACGCCCCTGGGGTTGGGGTGGGTAGATTAGGAGTGGGGAGAAGGGAAGCACACTCATGGATTCAGGAAGCCTTAGCCTTGCTTCACATGCAACAGCACCACCTTCATGTCTTTTATGTGGTTATACTTCCTGGTAAGATTTCATGTGAAGGAAGGATTTTAAGGCTTTTTTTTTTTTAAAGAAGAAGAAATTTAAAACCTCAAATTTAGATGGACCCTCTCCCTTAACAGATAAGAAACCTGAGGCCCAATGAGGCCAAGCCTCAAGCATCTCCCAGTAACTTTTGGCAGAGCCAACATTAGATCTGAGATTTCCTGGCCCTCCTCAAATCTCACAGACACACTTGCACACAGAAGGTAGTGTGAAATTGCTGCACTTAGGGACTTTTTTTTTTTTAAAGCATCCTTTGTAATGTTAAAGCAATTTGGTTTGTCAACATAAACCAATGACATCCCTAAGGGATGTGTGGTTTTTGGGGGAATCTGGCCCATGAGGAAAGCAAGTAGACATTGATATTAGTGAAACATTGAAAAGAACTCCTCTCCTGATAGGACATGATAATGACCCTTGATGTCCAACTTCAGGACACCTGTGGCCTCTGCAGTCTGTGCAGGGATCTTTTCCTAGCTGCAGTTCCCTTAACCGTTACTTTTCTATCAACATCTTCCCACTGTATCTTCAGGAATTTTGTTGAAGGAGTAAGGATGAAGCCACAGATGAAATTATCTTAAGCATTTTAGCTTTTTTTTTTTTTTTAACACTGAAACAATTATGTTTTATTTCAGAGAAGACAAAATAGAATTTCATATTGTGGGGAGGAAAAACTCAATTGTTTTGACTGTGATGTTTTCTCTTAAGTCAGTTGTATTTCTAGCCCTTTTCCCCCATCATTCAGATTGGCTGATTTTGAATGCTTCATCCATGTCCATACTTAGTGGCACTGGTTTCACTTAAACGTAAACCTATCAGAAGGTACTTAGTGACAGGCTGCATTTCTCCCTGCCACCTTCTGCACCTGCTGAGATGTTCAAGGTGGGCCAGGCTGGAGGGGAAGGAGGGCCAGCTTCCCGAACTCCTGTTGGGAGGCATGGTTTTCTTTGTTTCCACTAGAGCACCACGGAGCTTCAGTGGTTCATTCTCCTCAGGTTCTTCCTGCTCAGCAGCCATTACTCATCCTTGGTTGCACAGCCCCCGTCAAGCTGTATTTCTAGGTCTTATTTTCTCACGTATTAAAACAAAGCATGAGCAAATACATATAATGAATTTTTAAAATTTCAGCTTCCAGCATATCGCAATTTACTTTGAATCCGCCAAAGATTTTGGCACAGGTTTAAATCGGTATCATGTGGAATTATTTATTGACTTCCACAATAACCCAGTCAATGTTTGTTAGAATTGGGCTTTTGTAGAATATGGTGGAAAAGATGCTGGTGCAGGAGGCAAAAGACTTGGGTTCCGGTTTTGTCCCAGCCCTCAGTTTGGCATCAGGGCGGGTCCTGCTCCCCAAGTGCATCCATGTGTTCCTCATTTCTTAAGTAAGTATTGCAGTATCCTAAGTGCTGGAGGCCTGCTCTAAAGTGAAGGGATTGCCCTAGATGATTAACTAGCTGTCAGCCTGCAGTTCTGGAGGAAAACACTACTATATTTGTAGATGCAGGACTTTTTTTAAAGCTAAAAATTGGTAGCTTTTACTTCAGAGTTGACAATTATCCTGGTTTCTTTTCTACCTGATACAAACTGCAGAGGGTCCTGTCAGTGCTCATGACATGTTAATCTCAGTAGAAGTCATTTCCTTTCGCACATGTTACCACCTTGAGCAGTTAAGAAGGAAGCCACATTGGCTCGTTTTATAGCTCCTGAGACCTACTTGACTATTGAGTTTCACCTCTGACATGTCTATTCTGATCGCCTTTTGGACACAGGGTAATGCTGATACTGACTTTGTGCTTCTTTCCAGTGGCAGTATGGAGCCGGCCTTTCACAGAGGAGACCTCCTGTTCCTCACAAATTTCCGGGAAGACCCAATCAGAGCTGGTGAAATAGTTGTTTTTAAAGTTGAAGGACGAGACATTCCAATAGTTCACAGAGTAATCAAAGTTCATGAAAAGTAAAGAGGCTTTATTTCCTTTTGGTTTTGTTATGTAAATTTTTGGTAGATTCATGGCTAATTAGAAACTAGTAAAAGCACTGGATTATGTTCTGAGTTCTGCCATTGACTCACTGGGTGACTTTGGACCAAATGCTTAACTCTTTCTGTAGGATGGGAGTTGTAGTAGTTAAACCCATAGTAACTCACAAAGTGATTATGAGAATTAAATGAACTAATGTTTACTAAAGCAATTCATAAACTTAAATTGCTGCACAAATATAAGGTATGATGTATTATGACATGTTAGTTATTTGAAGGAGCTCAAAGAAAATCAAGTCACATTGCAACAGAGGATGGTTTTGATATGAAAATTATTTTCTGAAATGCAAAAAAAGCTAGCTGTTTTTCTATGTTACTTGGGCCAAAGTGGCATTTTCAGCAGTAATATTAGTCCTGGATGGATAAAAATTCATTTTCCAACTCATCTCATGATTTGGCCGTTGCATATTCTGCATTACTTTTCCACCGCCCCATCCCCTACTCCCCAAACAGCCTTGCTGTTAATACCAGCTGTGACTTACTTATGAAGACCCTTTTCTGGAACCGGAAACATTTACTTCTTGCTCAAATATATAAAGTTGCCATGAGAGAGTACTTCACATGATTAGTAAAAATGTTACATTTCATATACTTGGTTATTCATTTACCTTTATGCAGCTTAGTGTGGATTTTTATCTGTGTGAGTCATAGAATTAAATTTAGGTATGCATAGGTATGTTTTTAAATAATGGAGCATTTCTCACTGTGTATGTGTGTGTGTGTGTTTGAGTTTGAGAGAGAGCGGTAACTACTTGTACATATCTGGTATTAGATTCCCATTCCATTCACTGCTTCTTTTTTTGAGATGGAGTCTCACGCTGTCACCTACGCTGGAGTGCCATGGTGCGATCTCTGCTCACTGCAACTTCCGCCTCCCGGGTTCAAGCGATTCTTCTGCCCCAGCCTCTCGAGTAGCTGGGACTACAAGCATGCACCATCATGCCTGGCTAATTTTTTTTTTTTTTTTTGAGGCTCTGTCTCCTAGGCTGGAGTGCAATGGCATGATCTCAGCTCACTGCAGCCTCCACCTCCTGGGTTCAAGCAATTCTCCTCCCTCAGCCTCTCAAGTAGCTGGAATTACAGGCATGTGCCACCACACCCGGCTAATTTTTGTATTTTTAGTAGAGATGGGGTTTCACCATGTTGGCCAGGCTGATCTCGAACTCCTGACCTCAGGTGATCCATCCGCCTTGGCCTCCCAAAGTGCTAGGATTACAGGTGTGAGCAACTGTGCCCGGCCCATTTACTGCTTCTTCACAGGTGTACCCCACAGATATTGATACTTATTCACTTCACATTACTCTAAACATGAGAACAATCCAGTTTCAACCTGTGGTGATACACTGGTCCTGTACTAACGGTTACTTGATGCCTACCTGTTAGATTCCTGAGGAAGAAGCATCCTCAGTCATGATGTGACAGTACTCGCACTGACTTACAATTAATTTCTAAAGATGATCAATTGTTCCAAGTTGAGGAAGTGTTGATTATTTGCTCTAATTTGCATGAATTATGAGAGACTGTCAGGATTTTTATCCCGATTTCCTTTATAACCGTGGCTGCAAATCAGCTTGCTCTTTTTGATATGGTTTCAAATCTTTGGGGGCTTTTGGCATTTTATCTCATTATAATAGTGCATTCTTTTTTCATCTGTCTTACTGAAAGAAGACCCTCTTTACAGCTCCATAATACTACAATATTATGTTTCTAGAGTCAAGGCTATCTGAGTACCAGTTTAGAATGCTTAAAATGAGTCCCACATGTCTCTTTAACACACTGGTGTTATGCCATTTGTGATTCTTGTTTCCTTGCAAATTTGACTTTATACTACCGTGGTCAGTGGTGAAGGAAATAATGCAGTAACAAATTCTGCATTTGGCAAGGAAAAGGAAATCTGAGGACAGCCTAGAGCACACTTGGATTTAAATTACTTTGTGCTCAAATCTGTGTGATCTAGGATCAAGTTTATGTCTAGAGTGAAGAGGAATAGCATCCATGTTAACAAATTGGTCTATGAGGCTGGGCGCGGTGGCTTATGCCTGTAATCCCAGCACTTTGGGAGGCCAAGGCGGGTGGATCACTTGAGGTCAGGAGTTCTAGACCAGCCTGGCCAACGTGGTGAAACCCCATCTCTACTAAAAATACAAAAATTACCTCGGTGTGGTGGCTGACACCTGTAATCCCAGCTACTCAGAGACGGAGGCAGGATAATCGCTTGAACCTGGGAGGCAGAGGTTGCAGTGAGCTGAGATCGCACCAAGGCACTCCAGCTTGGGTGACAGAGCAAGACTCCATCTCAAACAAACAAACAAATAAATAAACAAAAAACCAAATTGTTCCATGAGGCCTAAGAATGAAAACAGTTCAAGTCCAACACAGGTTGTTAAACCAGCTTCATGACCTGACTTCTGACCTATTCTGACTTGAGGTGAATGAAGTGAGTCTGGAAAAGCTCCTTGTCAGCAGCGTTTTTGTGTGTTATGAATCTGGACTTGAAAGAATTGCACAGAGGTGATTCACATGATTTTGCCCACTGATGAATGACACTAATACACTTGTTTACAGGTTAAAAAATGTCAGGTCCTAGTTTATTCGTCATTCCCAGAAGCCATGTGGTAAGAAGGAATTCTTCATTGTGTGCTGTGCTGGAAGCAAATTGTTGCCCTTGTGCTTGGTCATGCTTTTTGTTGTCAAGGATACTTGAGTGTTTTGGAATTTAAGTCTACAAAACTGTCATTAGATTTGTGCTTCAGTTGAATGGTTGTCTTAAGCAGTCATCTTAGACTAAAGGAAGGTCAGGTTATCTTTGACTGTTTTTCTAAATGCTCCTGTCTGACAGTAAAGTCTTGAGTAAACTAATATTTTTGTTAATGATGCTGTGCTGAAAATAATTTTTGAGAAGACATTATTTTGCTTTCCAGAGATAATGGAGACATCAAATTTCTGACTAAAGGAGATAATAATGAAGTTGATGATAGAGGCTTGTACAAAGAAGGCCAGAACTGGCTGGAAAAGAAGGACGTGGTGGGAAGAGCAAGAGGGTGAGGATTCACCTTTAAGTTATATAGAAGGTTATGAAAAACACTTAGAAATGAAGAAATTAAATCAATAGGCTAATGAGTCGTTAATTACAAATATGACATATCAGGAGAGTTTTAAGCAGTTCTAGTTTATCCTGTGAAGACTAAATACAACTTAGAAATTCCTAAAGACCTAAAATCTAAAACTGAACCCAATTATATTATCTATATGATGGGTTCAAATCTGTTTCAAAATAAATCCAGCCAGGCGCAGTGGCTCACACCTGTAATCCCAGCACCTTTGGGAGGCTGAGGCAGGAGGATCACTTGAGCCCAGGAGTTCCAGACCAGCCTGAGTAACATAGGGATACCCCATCTCTATTAATAAAAATTTTAAAAAATTTGTTCTAAAAAAAGAAGAAATATAAATCCTCACTGAGAGATTAGTTATTTGTGGATTTTAAATAACCATTACAAGAAAGTCTCCCAGAGATAACCACTGTTTAACATTTCAGGGAATGCTGTAGGTACTCTCTGGGCTGGTACAGATGTGTGTTATGCATATATATAATTTTACTTAGAATTTGATTATTTTTCACCCAACAGGAAGTTGGAAATAGCTTTTCGTGTCAAATCTACATCTGTATCTTTTTAAGTGGCTACAAGCTGTTTTATTGCGAATAATTATTTATTTAACCAATCCCCTTTTGGTGGACACTTAGATTATTTCCTGTTTTTCGCAACTAAAAACATTTCTGTGATACATCTTTTAGTATTCATCTTTGTATAGTTGTCCAGCAATGAGTTCTGCTTCTGATTGACATAACAGAGAATGTATCCTCATTAAAAACCAAACAAGGGAATTCTTCCCCTCTCTTGGCAACCCTTTTTATGTTTAACAGCCATTAGAAATGTTTTTTTATCTTACCTAAATCTCACTAGCTTTTTAAGGCTGGAGAGACTGGCTCCCATTTTGTCAGGTTTAGCGTTATTAGTCAGATTGTGGCTTACAGCTTCTTCCTCCTCCTTTAACCATTTTTCTTTGTTGCATTTTCACTTGAACATCTCCGGGGGGACCAGGAGGGCTTCCAGTTAGTCCATCCTGTCTTTCCAGACACTCTGGTGAAAGGCTTTGGATAAGAGAGAGGATGGAACTACTGATTTATAAAAGACTGGAGGGTACCTATGGGTGTGTTACCTTGTTTCCCATGAGCAGAGATGATTGAGACCTGGGTCCATCTGATTACATATTGCTGTTGATTTTGTGAGCATAATCGTTGGCTGGTTTATGCACTGAACCTCCTTGCTCTGGGATCATAATCATATTTGAGTATAAGTTATGGTATTCACATTTGTATTTGCTACCCAATACATTTATTTGTTATATCTGACAAGCACTGGGAAATGAAAATAATTATTTGCATTACAAACTCATTATTCATGTACTTTGAAAGCTTTATCTAACAGCAGTTTTTATATGGGCTATCTGAATCTTATCTTCTAAATAAAAACTAGATTTGTGAAAGTTGCCTATTCTTTTTGTACAAGCGGCTTAACTATTTTAATTGTAGCAAGTGAAGACAACCAGCATCACTATCTCAACCCAAGTGCCTACTTAGAAAACTTGTCCTGGCTGCCAGTGCTGATGCTCCTTACTAATAAAGCTGTTTGAGACAGGGCTGAATACATCCTTACAGCCCTGGTCAGTGGCATTCCCTCGTACAATTCATTTCTTAAGACTGATCTATAGTGTTTTCAGATGTTGCCATCATCATGTTATAAGCAGCTTTTATATCTCTTGCTTTTTATCCCACAATTTAGGTTTTTACCATATGTTGGTATGGTCACCATAATAATGAATGACTATCCAAAATTCAAGGTAGGAATTTATGTGTGTCTATATTTATTTACTTCGTTAAATATTGGAGCTTTTACTTCTGCAACTGTAAACAGGCAGTCTTCTTAAAACATGTTGCCATTAATAGGCCTGCAGAATATCTGTAGTTAACTACAAATTAATGTAGTCATTTAAAGCAGCAACACTTAAATTATTTAAAATAGCTACTTTCCCCTTGTATGTTCAGTGTTCTAAAATGGCATTTATCTAATTGTTGCTTTTTATTATGGAAATTTTCATACACACACAAAAGTAGTACCATAAACCAGTAATGCTTACCTCTCAACTTCAACAAAAATGGTATCTCTCTCTCTCTCTAAATATATACACATATATGTATATATATACACACACATATATGTATACATATGTGTATATATATATATTTTTTGGACGGAATCTGGCTCTGTTGCTCAGGCTGGAGTGCAGTGGCACAATTTCGGCTCACCACAACCTCCGCCTCCCAGGTTCAGGTGATTCTCCTGCCTCAGCCTCCCTAGTGGCTGGGATTACAGGTGCCCGCCACCACACCCAGCTCATTTCTGTATTTTTAGTAGAGACGGGGTTTTGCCATGTTGCACAGCCTGGTCTCGAACTCCTGACCTCAGGTGATCTGCCCGCCTTGGCTTCCCAAAGTGCTGGGATTACAGGCGTGTATCCATATTTTTTAAAAAAATCACTTGACAAACAATGGGAAACCTGCGTAGGAGTAAGCACTGCATTTGCTGTGTTTGTTCATTTTCTGATCTTTAGTCCATCAGTATATTTTTGGGTTTTTGACCATAATGTAGCATTGAACAGCTCATTTAGAGAACAAGCCATGGGGGGAAGAGGTAATCTTTTGATTCTGTCCTCAGCGCAGTATTTAACGGACTTCATCTGAATACATTTACAGACCAAATTTCTTTGTAGACCTCACAGTGATTTTCCATTGTGTTTTCTTTCCAGTATGCTCTTTTGGCTGTAATGGGTGCATATGTGTTACTAAAACGTGAATCCTAAAATGAGAAGCAGTTCCTGGGACCAGATTGAAATGAATTCTGTTGAAAAAGAGAAAAACTAATATATTTGAGATGTTCCATTTTCTGTATAAAAGGGAACAGTGTGGAGATGTTTTTGTCTTGTCCAAATAAAAGATTCACCAGTAAAGATGGTTTTCTTTTGTGGACTCTGATTTGAATCTGCTCAATCTCTCTGCCAATTGTGGGAGACTCTACACTGAGTCTGAGGGTCTGCACCACTTCAAGAACCAGGCAGGCTATTTAGGGCCTGGCCTGCTAGTGGGGCAAGGCATGGTCCACATGTATAGTTGTAATGTCTGAGTTTCAAAAGTAAAATTCTTAATATAATGACATTTCTGGGGGGAAACAAAGGGGCCCTTAAAAGAACACAGTTTCTTATTAAAGTGTAATCTGAGAAACTAAGAAAGTCAAAACCTTTTAGAAGGAAGGGATGTAATCTGCTTTGTTTTGTGGTATGATATATCTTGAGATAGTTTGTTAAATTATTTGAAAAGTGTTTAATTATTAAAAATGGTGCATACTCCTCTGAAAAGTTGCAAAAACTCCAGAAGGGTAAAAGTTGAAAATTGCAAAAACTACAAAAGGTCTCTTTCTTCAGTCTTCCCTTTCTACTTCCCAGGGATACCCACCATTAAATTAGATATTTGCACTATATATAGTCCTGCAGAGAAAGTAGACCCTCTTTCAAGTATTTATCAAGCACTTTTACCCAGCCACTGTCTGATGTGCTGGAGGTACAAAGTCCCAGCCCTGACGGAGCTCACACTGGAATAGGAGGAACAGATAACACACGAGCCTGTGATTTCAGGTACTGGTCATTGCTGTGAAGAAAGATAAAGCATGTTAAGCAGATAGAGGGTGACAGAGGACACTGCTTTTCAGATGGAAGTCAGAGGAGACCCCTCCAAGGAGGTGACATTAAGCAGAGTTCAAAGAAATGAGAGGGAGTGGAGCACGTAAATCCCGGGAAGCGCATTATAGCCAAGTGCAGAGGCCCCGAAAAGGGAGCGCTGTTGGCGGGCTAGAGGGTTCTCACACTTTAAGGAGTACACAGCCACCTGTCTTCTTCACTGCTGATGTGGACTCAGGAGGTTTGGGGTGAGCCTGACTACGCACTTCTAACATGCTCCCAGAGGATGCTCATGCTGCTGGTGCCCACTTTGCACAGTGAAATGTTAGAGGAGTCAAAAGGAGGCCAGTGATGTTTTAAAATGCACTCTTCAGTTTTACAAAAATGTTCTCTTTTCACCAAATACAATGATGTTGACATCCTTTCAATCAGGACTTACAAATCTACCTCATTCTTTTACGTTTGTTCAATTCTGATCTAAGAATTTAGTGGCCCTAAAAGTCACTTAACCACCGATGTGGCCTCCAGTGAGTTACTTAACTTCCCTCAGCCTCAGATGGAGGATAAGAACTGCACTTACCAAATGGGGCTGTCATGAGCAATAAGCCGCATGGTCCTTGACATGTCCACAGTATCCGCTCGGTAGACGTTCCCTATTGTTGCTCATGTTTTCCCTTTCAGTGTAAACCTGTGTCACGCCTGTATGGTTAATTTTCCTGAGTGAGCGCCTGGCTTGGTAAGGACCAGCAGGCGTGATCCGCTGGGAACAGCTTGCCCTTTAATCCTTTCTCTCTACTAAAATAGGCTATTGCAACAATAATGGACCTCATCCTGTTGAAATCAGCAAAGTGAAAGAAAAAAAGATTTACAGAATACTTTCTAAAAACATTATTCTCTTGTGCCCTTTAATACATTGTTTTCTTAAGAAAAAATGGATTTTTTTCCCCTTACCTAAAACTGGTATTTTAAAATGTTGGGTCAAAATCATATTATTTTATCATCTTCTTGGGCTTCTGTAGTTAAATTTTTAAAAAACTCTTATCATGGCTAAGCTTTTTGGTAATTCTTTGAACATGCCTAACATTCTGAAATGAGCTTTGCAAAGACACCTAAGAACCCTGACGGGGCTCAGCCAGTGCCATTGAATTGTGGATTTTAGTGACAAAGATGTCTTTTGACCTCCCTGATGCTGTTGGTCCTTATAAAATGGGAGCGATGGCAATTAATGTTGGATTGAAGTTCTTTTATCTGGGGCTCTCAGTTGTAGCCTCAGTGTCTGGAATGTATCAACACGAACCAAGGATGTGTCTGAGCAGACAAAATCAGCACTAGAACATCCAAGCTGCTTGCAGTTTATTCATCAGGTAGAACCTCTTATTGGGAGCTTCTCAGTGTTCATGTGACACATTTCTCATGTGGTTACACAACTGCTTTTCCACTTTGCAACAGCTTAGAAGCATCAGAGTAGAGGGTTTCTGGTAGACAATGGCCAGACAGGTAATACCCACTGAGGAGGAAGAATACAAACTATAAAAAACAGATGCAAGGATTTCAGGATGCTGCCTGGTGTATCCACAAAGGCGACACTGTGTTATAAGAAGACACTTAGGAAGAAGTTAAATGGCGTTTGCCATACTGCATTTGAGATCAATTTAGGTTTTCATCCAGACTGGCAAGTTTCTACTACGGGGTAGGGTGAGCTTCAGTTTTTTCAAGAGGTGAGTGGTGGAACCTCTGGTTGATTTCCTAAGCCACAGGCCTGAGTCCTGCTCTTCTACCCCTTTACCCCTTGACAATTAATATGTTAACATTATGCAAATGCTAGAAAAATAGAGCTCCTGCAGACATGCACAAACACTCCAACAACCAGACTGTGGACACTAATCCGCCTGTCTATTGAGATTTTGGACCTGCCACTGTCCCTGCAAGTCTGGGCAAATGAAGCATTGTTGGCAAGAGGAAGAAGCCTAACCTTTCTAAGTTAGCAAGGTAAGAGAATCTCTAATTTAGAGGAAGCAAACTTGGGCATCTGTTCTTTAAAAAAACCTCCCTAGGTTACTAATGTGTGGTCAGTATTGAGAACCACCGAGAAACAGACGTCTGCACACATTAGTTGAGAATAAATGTGATTAGGATGCTTGACTGTTCACATCTTCCTTCTCGGCTTCATGAAGTTATTTTCAGATTGCATAAGGAAAAAACAGAAACACACTGCATCTATGTGTCATCCTCTCACCACCATTTCCCCCACTAAGATGATGCTAACCTCTGAATGGTCACTTGAGTTCTAGGTGAGCCTTCATCTTACAAAGTAGCCTTTGGCCCAGGGCACTGGGCGATCAACTTAGTCTCATCCTGAGATTCTGGGCTGAGATCCATCCTTTACCACTTGTGTTCATCAGGTTCTCTTCATTTCTTTTCTTTTTTTTTTGAGTCAGAGTCTCGCTTTGTTGCCCAGGCTGGAGTGCAGTGGCGCGATCTTGGCTCACTGCAAGCTCCACCGCCCGGGTTCATGCCCATTCTCCTGCCTCAGCCTCCCGAGTAGCTGGGACTACAGGCACTTGCCACCATGCCCAGCTAATTTTTTATATTTTTAGTAGAGATGAGTTTTCACCGTGTTAGCCAGGATGGTCTCAATCCCCCGATCTCGTGATCCGCCCACCTTGACCTCCCAAAGTGCTGGGATTACAGGCGTGAGCCACTGCACCCGGCCAGGTTCTCTTCATTTCAAATGAGGAGTATGGGGTGGGGTAGGATAGAAGGAGGAGTTGGGAGTCACACAATGATTTAAGCCCTGCCTCAACTTACCAAACAGGGAATCTTTAACAAATTCAGACTCAGTTTCCCTATCTCCAGAATTAGCATCAGGGCAGGTCAAGAGTTTATTGGATGCCTGGATTTAATCAAACAGAGCTTTACTATTTCTTCTTCAAGGTCACTTGAGTTTGAGCACTTAGAATTAATTAAAGCCTCCCAATCCTCTTGAACACTCTTCTCTGTTGTCTGTGGTCATAAAATTCTACTCAGATTTTCTCTGAATTTTAAATCTGCCCGCCTAGATTGTTGCAGACATATCCTATGGCAGGGACATTTTTTCCCCAGGGACCTTGCTTTTAGCTGCATGAAGCTTCAGGATGGTGCAGGGGGACAGAAACCTCTTTTACACTGAGTCTTGTTTCTGCGCCAGTTCTGTGCCGGCGGGGAGCGAACGCTACCTACACACGTGCTGTGGCCAGGCCTTCTTCTGTAGGATTCCCTCTGGCCTCCCTCTGTTCTTCATTCCATCACCCAAACACTGTCTGTCATCTGCCTCTTCTCAGGTTTAATGATTTCCCTACTAGTGTTTAGCTTCTGCCATACTGCAGGATATTTTCTTTAATAGGCCTTATTTTTTAGAGCAGTTTTAGGTTCATAGCAAAATTGAATGGCAAGTATAGAGGTTTCCCATATACCTCCTACCCCTACATAGGCACAGCCTCTACTACTACTTACCACCCCACTAGAGTGATTCATTTGTTACAATCAATGAACCTACACTGATGCATCATTATCACCCAAAGTCCATAGTTAACATTGAGATCCACTCGTCGTGCTATACATTCTATGGATTGGGACAAATGTGTAATGACATCTATCCTCCATCATAGCACCATACGGAATAGAGTCATGGCCATAAAAAATTCCCTATGCTTCACCTATTCAGCCCTCCCTACCTTCAACCACCGATTATTTTTACTGTCTCCAGAGTTTTCCCTTTTCCAGTATGTCATATAGTTGGAATCATGGTATGTAGCCTTTTCAGTTAGGCTTTTTTTTTTTCCACTTAGTAATGTACATTTAAGTTTTCTCTATGTATTTTTTCTTTTTTTGTTTGAGGCAGAGTCTTGCTCTGTCACCCAGGCTGGAGTGCAGTGGCACAACCTCAGTGGTGCGGGTTTTTGTATGGACATCAGTTTTCAGACTCACTTGGGTAAATACCAAGAAACAATCCACGATTGGTGGATCATATGGTGACTGTGTCTAGTTTCGTAAGAAACGGCCACACTGTCTTCCCAAGCAGGTGTACCATTTTGCATTCCCACCAGCGATGAATCAGCTTTTGTTGCTCTACATCCTCTCCATAATTTGGTGTTCTCAGTGTTTTGGATTTTGGCCATTCTAATAGGTATGTCATGGTAGCTCATTGTTTTAATTTGCATTTCCCTAATGACATATGATGTTGAACATCTTTTCATATTTATTTGCCATCTGTATACCTTCTTTGGTGAGGTGTCTGTTCAGGTCTTTTGCCCTTTTTTTTGAGACAAAGTCTCACTCAGGCTGGAGTGCAGTGGTACCAAGTAGCTGGGATTACAGGTGCCTTCCACCACGCCCGGCTAATTTTTGTATTTTTAGTAGAGACAGGGTTTCACCATGTTGGCCAGGCTGGCCTCAAACCCCTGACCTCAAGTGATCCGCCTGCCTCGGCCTCCCCTGGGATAATAGGCCTAAGCCACCATGCCTGGCCCCATTTTTAAATAGGGTTATTTTCTTACTGTTGAGTTTTAAGAGTTCCTTGTATATTTGGAATAATAGTCCTTTTTCAGATGTGTCTTTTGCATGTATATTCTCCCAGTCTGTTGCTGGTCTCATTCTCTTAACATTGTCTTTTGCAGAGCAGAGGTTTTTAAATTTTAATGGAGTCTTGCTTACCAATTATCTCTTTAGTGGATCATACCTTTAGGGTTATATCTAAAAAGTCATCACCATGTCCAAGGTTACCTAGATTTTCTCCTGTGTTATCTTCTAGGAGTTTATAGTTTTGTGTTTTACACTTAGGACTGTGATGTATTTTGAGTTAATTTTTATAGGTGGAAGATCAGTGTCTAGATTGTTTTTGCATGTGGACGTCTAGTTCTTCCAACACCATTTGTTAAAAAGACTATCTTTTCTCCACTGTATTGCTTTTGCTCCTTTGTCAAAGATCAGTTGGTTATATTTATATGGATTTCTGAGCTGTCTATTCTGTTCTATTGATCAATTTGTCCATTCTTTTACCAATACTACCTCGTCTTGATTACTGTAGCTTTATAGTAAGTCCTCAAGTCGGGTAGTGTCAGTCTTCCAGCTTGCATTTTTTCCTTAAATATTGTATTGGCTATTCTAGGTCTTTTGCCTCTCTCTATAAACTTCAGAATTCGTTTGTCTATACCCACATCATAGCATTTTTATTAAGTGTTTATGTCTGGAGAAAACATGCAACTTCCATTGCCATATTCCTTTGTAAGTCTCATTTCTCAAACTCATCTATGAGGTTGAATTCCTCTCTTTTCAAAAATCTCAACTTAATTTTTATCTGCTTTCCCTGATTTGTGCAATGGTATAGAAACGCCTGAGTTTCTTCCTCTCCCTGAGAATTATTGGGAGCTTCCTCTGTTATTTTTCTGTTTCACTGGACATGCCTGATATCCTTTCCAGCATCTGGTTAATTTCTTGTGTCTGGGTACACATTCCCCCTCCCTCTTGGTTATCAGTTTCAACCTCTCTTGATTCGATCAGTGGATTTAAAGGCAGATGGATTGATTTTGACTTCTCACTAAAGAAGGAACAGAGCCTAACAGAATCAGCCTGCCATTTAGAGCTCCTCCTACCTGGTGGCACAAGGAACAGTCAACTGGAACTTGATAGTGGATTAAAGACCCAAGGGCAGTCCTGTGATTCATTCTCAAATTTCACAAATCATCCTTAAGATGGTACATTTTAGTCCCTCATACCTCATGGTGTCACTTCATACATGGTTCATAGGCCAGATGCCTTTTCAATTAACATGGGAAACAAACATGAAAAAGGACACTGAAATACCATTTTTCCTACTTTTATCCCAAAAATGTTATGTTTTCTACTCTGATTTTTAGTGGCTAAGTGAATAAATAAAATGCTGTGAAATATTTTTTAAACTCAACAATGGCCCTTACAAAAGCTTCCTGACACGTGTGTAGAAAGTCATAGTTTACAAAGGGCTGGCTTCTTATTTGCTCCCTGGCCATCAGGAGCAAGGCAGGCTGCTGCACTCAAAGGCGTTGAAAGCAATCTCGACTATAAGACACTAAGTGGAAAAACACTTCCCATGGAAAATGCCCTCTTCTGTGTTTTTAAATTTTCTTTTCTTTTCCTGTTTGAGTTGGAGTCTCTTTCTGTTGCCAAACCTGGAGTGCAGTGGTGCAATCTTGGCTCACTGCAACCTCTGCCTCCTGGGTTCAAGCAGTTCCTGCCTCAGCCTCCCGAGTAGCTGAGACTACAGGCACCCACCACCACACCCAGCTAATTTTTGTATTTTTAGTAGAGAAGGGGTTTTGCCATGTTGGCCAGGATGGTCTTGAACTTCTGAGCTCAGGTGATCCACCCACCTCGGCCTCCCAAAGTGTTGGGATTACAGGCGTGAGCCACCGTGCCCTACTTTAAATTTTCTTTTCTTTTCTTTTCTTTTTCCGAGACCAAGTTTTACTCTGTTGCCCAGGCAGAGTGTAGTGGCATGATCTTGGCTCACTGCAACCTCCACCTCCTGGATTCAAGCCATTCTTGTGTCTCAGCCTCCTGAGTGGCTGGGACTACAGGCATGCACCACCACACCCGGCTAATTTTTGTATTTTTAAGAGATGGGGTTTCACCACGTTGGCCAGGCTGGTCTTGAACTCCTGACCTCAGGTGATCCTGCCTGCCTTGGCCTCCCAAAGTGCTGAGATTACAGGCATGAGCCACTGCACCTGGCCTAAATTTGATTTTCAAAGAACCTCTTCAGTCTGTTGCTTCCAAGATGACCTCTCTGACCACATGCTTCTCATGAGAAGAGAAGAAGCTTCTCTTACACATTTCTAGACTTCCTCCCAGACTGAATAAGATCCTCAAGGTGGAAAATTTAGATGAGAGGATCCTTATAAAGCCCAAAGAAGTGATGGAACTTCTAGGGAGTTGTGAATGCCTGATGTTTAATATGTAATGCCTTCTCGCTTTCCAAATGCATTTTGATACAGGAATCTGTTAGGTTCAGTTAGCAGAACCACCCAGAACACTCCTCAAGGTATTAGACTAGAGAATGACCTGGGGTTATCTACAATAATTTCCTGTTTCTCAGAAGCAAAGAAGACAGAAGTTTGGGGAGCACCAACATTGAAAGGGTAAGTGGAGAAGTCCACAAAGGAGCATGACGAGAAGTGGCTGAACTGCAGGAGGAATCCAGGACAGAGGGGTGGTATGGACTCCTCCATCAGAGGGGTGATATGGACTCGTCAACATCCTCCATATCACCCAGGGTGGGAGAGATCTAGGTATGTGGCCATGAGATCATGGAAAAAAGAAAAAGCATCTCACTGGTGACCAGGGGGAGAGTTGGTTTAATGGAGGGGCAGGAGTCAGATTTGGGTGCGGTGAAGAGTGAATGATGTCAGAGGCTGATCAACATTAACATTTTGTTGAGCATTATATGCAAGGTGCTAAAGCCACCAGCCTTGGTTTTGATCCTCCATATACTCATGGCAGCAATTTTCTGTTTTATTTTGATAGCCCAGACACCTGATGCATTTTTCTTACTAAACAATCATAGTCACAAACTGTCAGTGTACTTGGAGTATTGACATTAATCCGAAGCTTGCATTGTTGTATGATGGCATTCAGGGTCTGGGGAGCCGTCCAAAGGGCTGGATCTTCCCACTTTGTTGTTCTCAAAGAGTTCTGCTTTGGTGACAACTATCATAACTCCCCCAGGAACATATATCCAGTCACTGGATGAAGTGTTCTCTTTCATGTTACATTTCACAGGTGTGTTTTTGCTACTGAGTTACCCCAGAGAGCACATAGCAAGGGCTCTCAAACTTTAATGACCATAAATAACGCTAAAAAAATGCAGATTCACCTTTGATGTACATAGATGCAAAAATCCTTGACAAAATACTAACAAACAATTCGATAATACATTAACAATCCTAGGCTCCATTCCCAAAGATTCTGACAAGGCAGAAGGTCCAGAGCTCTCAAGAAAAAAAAAAAATCATTGCCATGAAAGAAGTGGCCTTCACACACGTTTGTTTTGTTGTTGTTGTTGTAAGTTAGGGACCAGCAGAGGCTAAATGTGATTGTCTCTAAAGTCAGGGTCATTTTATAATTATGAAGGTATCAATTCAGCAAGAGGATGTGACAATTGTAAATATATATGCACCCAACACTGGAGCATCCAGATATATGAAACAAATATCACTGGAGCCAAAAAGAGAGACAGACCCCAATACAATAATAGTTAGGGACTTCACACTCCACTTTCAGCATTGGAAAGATCATCTATATAGAAAATCAACAAAGAAAGATCGAACTTGATCTACACTACAGACCAACTGAACCTAAAAGACATGTACAGAACATTTTTATCCAACAGCTGCAGAATACACATTTTTCTCCTCAGCACACGGAACTTTCTCGAGGCTAGACCATATGTTAGGTCCCAAAACAAGTCTCAAATAATTTTAAAAAATTAAAATTATATCAAGTATCTTTTCTGACCACAATGGAATAAAAGTAGAAATCCATAACTAGAGGAACTTTGAAAACCACACAAATACATGGAAATTAAACATGCTCCTGAATGGCTACTGGTCATGAAAAAGGAAATTTTAAAATTTCCTGAAACAAATGAAAATGGAAACACACCATACCCAAACCTGTGATACAGCAAAAGCAATATAAAGAGGAACATTTATAGCAATAAACACCTACATCAAAAGTACAGAAAGACTTCAAATAAATAACCTAACTAGAAAAGCAAGAGCAAACCAAAGGCAAAATTACTAGAAAAATTTATGATCAGAGCTGAAATTTAAAAATTGAGACTAAAGAAAACTACAAAACATCAATGAAAGAAAGTTTTTTTTTTTAAAAAAATAGGTAAACAAGGTTGCTGTTTGAACTCTTGTGAAGGTGGCTTGCACTGCCGTGAGGTTCCCGGCCAAGCAGGACAGGTTTATTTGTATCTATCCTGCTTTTTTAAATAATAAGAAGACCATCGCAGAGGGAAGGCGAATCCCCATAAGTAAGGCTGTTGAAAATCCTACAGCTACAGAGATTCAAGATGTATGTTCAGAAGTTGGACTTAACGTATTTCTTGAGAAAAATTAAATGTACTCTAGAGAATGGAATCGTGATGTCCAATACAGAGGCAGCTCAAACAGGTCCAGCTCAAACAGGACCAGCTCAAAC
Organism: Homo sapiens; assembly: GCF_000001405.40. Taxonomy (NCBI): domain Eukaryota; kingdom Metazoa; phylum Chordata; class Mammalia; order Primates; family Hominidae; genus Homo; species Homo sapiens. The sequence goes on from NC_000018.10 coordinate 59,168,778, forward strand.
GGCTCCAGCTCAAACAGGAAGATGGCGGCCTCTGCCTTGTACAGTTCCCATCATGTAAGTCAGTAATGTTGTATGCAGCAGAAATAATACCTAAACTAAAACGAAGGACACAAAAAACAGGAGGAGGTGACCAAAGTCTTCAACAAGGAGAGGGAAGTAAAAAAGGGAAAGGGAAGAAAAAGAAGTAACCTAGTGTCAGCATCAAGTTTGTGGTACTACTGTCAGAGACATGAATGGAGGCTTCGAATTTGTATTGGAGGAAAACAGAAGCTTTTTGTTTGCGTCATTTAACTGAGCTGTGAACCCTTGTGCCTCTCCTCTTTATTATCGAAGTTGACAGTGAAACAAATTTACATCAGAAGTTTGCATCTCGCTTTCATGAAGTATAAAAGAAGTTTTTAGTCTTTCAGTGCAGTTATTTGGAAGAACAAATATTTTTAAATGGACAATGGACGGTACAATAAGTTACTTGAAATAAGTTACTTGTTTCAGATAAATTTCAATTAGATTTGAAATAAACATTTTGTCTTTTAAGTTAATGAAATAAAATTTGAAACTGAAAAAAACAATAGGTAAACAAAATTGGCAAACCTTTAGCCATATTAAGAAAAAAAGAGAGAAGGCCCAAATAGACAAAAGGAGATATTACAACTGTTACCACAGGAATTGAAAGGATCATCACAGACTATTATGAGCAACTATATGCCAATGAATTGGAAAAAGTAGAAGAAATGGATAAAAGCTCTCAGCAAACTGCATATAGAAAGAATATACCTCAACACAACACGGACCATATTTGACAAACCCACAGCTAATATAATACTGAACAGGGAAAACTGAAAACATTCCTTAAGATCTAGAACAAGGAAAGGATGTCCAGTTTCACCACTTCTATTCAACATAGTACTAGAAGTCTTAGCCAGAGCAATTAAATAAGAGAGAAATAAAGGACATCCATATTAGAAAAGCAGATATCAAGTTATCCTTGTTTCAGATGACATGATATTATATTTAGAAAAACCTAAAGATTCCACCAAAAAAACTATTAGAACTGTAAATTCAATAAAATTGCAGGATACAAAATTAACTTACAAAAATCAGTAGCATTTCTATATGCCAACAGTGAACTGTCTGTAGAAGAAACCAAGAAAGCAATTCCATTTACCATAGCTACACATAAAATAAAAGAGCCAGACCCATAGTTTGTACCTGTAATCCTAGCCACTCAGGAGGCTGAGGCAAAAGGATCGCTTGAGCCCAGGAGTTCAAGGTTGCAGCTACATGTGATCACCCCACTGCACTCCAGCCTGGGTGACAGAGTGAGATCCCCATCTCTAAAAAAAAAAAAAATAATGATAATAAAATAAAATATCTAGTAATAAACTTAAAGAAGTGAAAGATCTCTACAATGAAAATTATAAAACATCGATGAAAGAAATTGAAGCAGATACCAAAAAATGGAAAGATTCCATGTTCATGGATTGTAAGAAACAATATTGAAAATGTCCATAGTACCCAAGCAATTTATGGACTCAACGCAGTCCCTATCAAAATACCAATGACATTCTTCACATAAAGGAAAAAACAATCCTAACATTTATATGGAACTGTAGAAGACCCCAAGTAGTGAAAGGAATCCTGATTTAAAAAAAGAACAAAGCAGCTGGGCGCGGTGGCTAACACCTGTAATCCCAGCAATTTGGGAGGCCGAGACGGGCGGATCACAAGGTCAGGAGATCGAGATCATCCTGGCTAACATGATGAAACCCCATCTCTACTAAAAATACAAAAAATTAGCCAGGCATGGTGGCGGGCACCTGTAGTCCCAGCTACTCGAGGGGCTGAGGCAGGAGAATGGCGTGAACCCAGGAGGCCGAGCTTGCAGTAAGCCGAGATCTCTCCTCTGCACTACAGCCTGGGCGACAGAGCGAGACTCCCTCTCAAAAAAAAAAACAAAAAAAAACAAAAAGAACAAAGCTGGGGTATCATGTTACCTACATAATACAAAGCTGTACTAACTAAAACAGCAGAGTGCTGGCATAAAGACAGACATATAGACCCGTGGAACAGAATAGAGAACCCAGAAATAAATCCACATATTTACAGCCAATTAATTTTTGACAAAGGTGCCAGGAACGTACATTGGGGAAAGGACAGGCTCTTCAATCAATGGTGCTGGGCAAACTGGATGTCCATATGCAGAAGAATAAAACTTGACCCCTATTTCTCAATATATACAAAAATAAAATCTAAACAGATTAAAAGTTAAATCTAAGACCTGAAACTATGAAACTCCTAGGAGAAAACATTGGAGTAATTCTCCAGGACGTTGGTCTGGGCAAAGATTTCATGAGTAAAACCTCATAAGCACAGGCAACGAATGCAGAAATGGGCAAATGAGGTCACATAAAGCTAAAAAGCTTCCACACAGCAAAGGAAACAATGAACAAAGAGACAAGCTAAGAATGGGAGAAAATATTTGCAAGTTATTCAATTGAAAAGGGAACAATAACCAGAATATATAAGGAACTCAACTCAATCACAAAAAATAATATTATATATAAATGGGCAAAAGATATGGACAGACATTTCTCAAAAGACAACTTACAAATGGCCAATAGGTATATTTAAAAAATGGTCAACATTACTAATCATCAGGGAAATGAAAATCAAAACCGCAATGAAGTGTCACCTCACTTCAGGTAAAACGGCTTTTAGCCAAAAGACAAAAAATGTCAGATGCTGGTGAAGATGTGAAGAAAAAGGAATGCTCATATACTGTTGGTGAGAATGTAAATTATCACAGCCACTGTGAAAAACAGTATGGAGGTCCCTCAAAAAACTAAAAGTAGAACTATTAAATGATTCAGCAATTCCACTGCTGAGTATGTAGCCAAAATAAAATAACTCAGTATGTCAAAGAGATATCTGTGCCCTGTGTTTATTGCAGCACTATTCACAATAGCCAAGATATGGAATCAACTTAAGTGTCTACAATAGATAAATTGAAACAATGATACATATACAAAATGGAATATTACTCAGCCATAAAAAGAATTAAATCCTGTCATTTGCAACAACGTGGATAGACTGGGAGGACATGAGGTTGAATGAAATAAACCAGGTACAGAAAACAAATATTACATATTCTCACTCATGTGTGGGAGATAAAAAAATTGATCTTGTGGAGGTAAAAAGTAGAATGATGGTCACAAGAGGCTGGGAAAGGTAGTGGGGAGTGGGGAGATAAAGAGGGCTTTGTTAATGGGTACAAAAATACAGTCATATAGAAGGAATAAGAGCTATTGTTTGATACTACAATAGGGTGAATATAGTTAAAAATAACATTGTATATTTCAAAATAACTAGAGGATTGGAATTGGAATGCTTCTAACAAAAAGAAAAGGTAAATATTTGAGGTGATGGATATCCCAATTACCCTGTTCATTACACATCATATGCTTATATCAAAATATCACATGTGCTCACTAAATATGTATGACTATTATGTATCCATAAAATTTTTTTTAAAATAAAAATAAATGGTCAGATTTAGGATACACTTTGAAGGGTTTTTGGCCTGAGAAACTTCAAGGATAATGTTGTCATTTATCCAGATGGTGAAGATTGTGAGTGGAAATTAGATATTTGGTTTGGGACACAGTAAGTCTGTGATGCTATTAAACACTCAAGTTGAGATGTTGAGCCGGCAGTTGTATGTACGTATGTTCAGGGATGAGTTTGAGGCTGGAGATATAAACTTAGCAGTTGTTAGGTTAATGATACTATTTAAAAGCCATAAAACTGGATGAGATTATCAAAGGAATGAATGTAGATATTTCTTTATGCCTGAAAAACTTCAACTATTTTTATAGTGCAGGCCTGCTTACAGTGAATTCTTTCAGCTTCTATTTGCTGAAAAAGTCTTCATTTGCTTTGATTTTGAAGAATATTTTTGCTGGATAAAGAAACCTAGATTGACAGGTATGGGTTTTTTTCAGTTTTTAAAAAATGAACTTCCATTATATTATGGCTTACATAATTTCGAACATAAAGTCTGCTGTTATCCTTATCTTTGTTCCACTGAACATAATGCATCTTTTTTCCCCTGGCTACTTAAAAATTTTTCTGTTTATTACTTGTATTCATCAGTTTGCATGTGATGATCTCTGACATGGGTTTATTTACTTCATTGGAGTTCACTGGGTTTCTTGAACCTGTGGGTTTTAGTCAAGTTTGGACCATTTTGGGCCATTATTTTTTCCATTTTTTCCTGTCTAGTTCTCTGTCCTCTCTGGGACTCCAGTCACACATATGTCGAACATCCCACAGGTAACAGATGCTTTAATTTTTTGTCTTTTTTTCCTGTGCTTCATTTTGAGTAATTTATACACTATGTTTTCAAGACTACTGATCTTTTCCTCTGCAGTGTGTAATCTACTGGTAATCTCATCCAATGTGTTTTTTACTTCAGTTTTTTTTTTTTTACCTCTAGATATATTTTTAAACGTGTATTTTGTTTCCGTCATCATTATGACAATGTTTTCCTTTACCTTCTTGAGTATAAGAAACAGATTCATAAAAGCTCTTTTAATGTCCTTGACATCCATTATGTCTGTCATTTTGGGGCCTGTGATATTGAATTTTTTCTTCTCATTTTCGATTATAATTTTCTGATGCTTTGGATACCTGGGAATTTTTTATTTGGTACCAGACATTTCAAATTTGTTTCTGGGCACTAGACTTTGTTGTATTCTTTTGAATATTTTTTTTTCTTTTGAGACTTGCTCTTAAGCTCTGTTAAGGTGGTTTTAGTCTATCTTTTGGCCCAGGGCTAATGTAAGCCCACTGCTAAGATGATACCCTTCTGAGGATTCTAAATGATGACCCACGTTTACAAGGTCATTCCACTCTGGCTGGAGGGAGTACAAGCTATTCCAGTCCTGCCTGCACTTCATTAATTGTTTTGTGTGCTCCTTTTAGGTGGTTCTTTCCCTGCTCTTTTTCTCATGTATATGCAGGTTAGTTCTCAGTCAAAAATTTAAGAGGACCCCTCTGCAGATTTCCAGAGCTCTCTCTGTGCAGCTCTCTTCTCTCTAGTACTCTGTCCCACACATTCTAGCCATCTTGACCTCTCTGAACTGTGAGCCCTATCTTCTCTAGTCTTCAAGATTATTGGGCTCTTTCTGGGTTTCTCCTCCATATGCTGTGGTCTGGAAACTGTCTCTAGGCAATAAGCTTGTGCAATAATAGGGCTCATCTTGTTCCTTTTCTGAGATTACAGGCTTGCACTGCCTGTTGTCTAGTGTGTAAAGATATTGTTTCATTATTTTATCCAGTTTTCTAGTTGCTTAAAGTGAGAGGATAAATCTTGCTCCTATTCACTTTGCTTTGTTCAGAAGTAGAAATTATTTTTTAAAATCCTAGTTTTATCACCACCTAATATTTTTTAACTTGTTGTATTTTATGTGATATATCTATCCAGTCTAAGTTGCAAATAACAGAAACTAATTCTCATCCAACCAGAAAAACAATTTTCTGGAAGGGTTTTTAGTAACCCACCAAATTGCTATGGAAGCAAGAGATCCAGTCTCAGAAAATGGAGGAAGAGAGGGAGGTTAAATTTTCAAAACCTTATTAAAAAAAAAAAAAAGGTGAGGCTACTAACAGTCCTATGAATATACTGTGTCTACCACTTTAGATCACATGATTCTGGTACTTTTATCAGTAACCATGAGCTCTGGACAGTGGGTGCAGTCAGAGGCATGGCATCCACAGTGTCTCTGGAGATGAGATGTGCGTGCCTTGGCCATCTTCTTTCTCTGCTTCTTCAGAGACAAAAAGTCCAGATGGGTTACATTTGATTGACTGAGACTTGGTGACATGCTTATGCCCTGATGAAAGGAAGGCTGAGAAATAAAATAGCTCAGATTTTCAGTTTTTATAGTGGGAGGAAGTCTCTACCTCCCACTATATGGTATAACTCATATGGTAGAGTTAGAGGAAGACGTAGAAACAGGTTCCAATAATGAGGCATATGGCACGTACATAAACACGTGACCTGTTCTTCCAGATAATGAGAGTGTAATCAAAACATCATATTTGTGACTATTTTATGAAGGGTCATGGATATGCACAAAAGGAGGATACTGCTTTCCATTCTATTGTCTTGTGACCTCTGTGCAGTCTAATTGTACCTGTGTACCCAATTTCCTTTTCAGTGGCTTTCTTCCTCTAGCTAGAGAAACTATTAGCTGCAAAGGTCAGAGAACACGACCGAGTCTTTCTTTGTGTCCCTGAGGATAGCCCAGAACTTTGTTGATGGGCTTCAAGTTGCTAACCCAGGAAATGGAGGATACATTCATACTATGCTTGAATCTGTCTGGCTTGTTTTTGGTGGAAAAGACAAAGTCCAGAGGACAAGGATGGACTCCAGGTAGTTTGCCTTACTTTGCTGGACATTCTGAGGGACCCGCACCCTTCAGTATGGGGCTCAGAATAACTCTAGGGTAGTAATGCCTACAGGCCCTTTGCACATTGGTCCAGGGACCTGGGAACAAACTTGTGAAATAGAGAGGCTCCCAGGGCACAGAGTCACATTACCTCCCTCTGCTCTCTTCTAGGCTTCCCCACAATTCAGGAACATCAAAGAAATGCCCTCAACTGCCAGACTGCGGGACAACTTAGGCTGTCCTCTCATGCCCTCTGTGACTATAAAAGTAGGTCTGGTAGAAGAGCAGTCACTGGGACCACCTCCTTAGGATGACAGCCCAAGTCCCTTCTCTCATGACCAGCATCCTCTGTAGTGAGTTCTTAGCAGCTTCCCACTCAGGCCTGCTCTTGAGCGCAAAATAAAATGCTTTATTTCAAGCATGCAAATTCTTAGGCAGCAGAGATGTAACCACCCCAGCCTGGGCCCACGTAAGATCATGGCTCCCCTCTCCTCTCCGTGTACAAGGCTTCCTTTGTTTAAAGCTCATAGATCCATCTTTTGAAACTGTGCTTTCATTGATGAGAAAAGATACCAGCTCAATTCCATGCCAGAGGAATTCTATTCTTAAAAATGTTTTATGGGCCGGGTGCGGTGGCTCACGCCTGTAATCCCAGCACCTTGGAAGGCCGAGGCGGGCGGAACATGAGGTCAAGAGATCGAGACCATCCTGGCCAACATGGTGAAACCCCGTTGTCTCTACTAAAAATACAAAAATTAGCTGGGCGTGCTGACATGCACCTGTAGTCCCAGCTGCTCAGAAGGCTGAGGCTGGAGAATTGCTTGAACCTGGGAGGTGGAGGTTGCAGTGAGCCGAGATCACACCATTGCACTCCAGCCTGGCAACAGAGTGAGACTCTGTCTCAAAAAAAAAAAAAAAAAAAAAGTTTTATCTTCTTGACACTTTAAATTATTAATCTCCAAAGTCTACTATCTGGTAGTAGATAGTAGTTTGAAACACAGTTTTCCTGGGAGCCCTCTGCAGATCTTTGAAAGCAGCATCTACAGAATCTTAAATTATTTCACTATGGAGGGAAGACAAACCACCTACATCTGTGTGACTACGGCACCCAGCTTCATTCCTCCAGTAGAAACTTGGAGATTTCTAGATCCTGGGTTCCTGTGTTGGGACCCAGATCCTGCTCTCAGATATTCTTTGTTGTTCTTGTTCCTTCTGTCCCACAGCATGTCTGAGGTCCTTCCTCTGCTTCCTAAGAAAGCCAGGCAGCCCTGGTTCCTAAGAAAACAAGTTCCTTCTGTGGTGTTGAATTAAGTAGCAAGAGGGCCTGAAAGATAAAATCCTCTAGCTCAGCCTGCCTCTGCCCCTTCTCTTTCCAGAAGCATTTCCTAAAACATTTAAGCCACATTGACACAGGTGGCCTCAGTTCTTAGTTCATTTAAATAAATTTTTTATCATTTTTAATTTAACTTTATTTTATTTTTTATTTTTATTTTTTTTAGCAACAGAGTCTCACTCTGTTTCCCAGGATGGAGTGCAGTGGCATGATCATACTTCATTATAGCCTCCAACTCCCTGGGTCAAGCAATCCTTCCACCTCAGCCTTCTAAGTAGCTGGGACTACAGGCGTGCACTACCAGGCCTGGCTAATTTTACAATTTTCTTTTGTGGAGACAGGGTCTCCCTATCTTGCTTAGGCTGTCTCAGTCCTGATAATTAAGTGATATGGGCACAGGGTGTCAAGTCTCAATGCACAGCTGTGACAAGCCTGGGCCGATCAGCCTGGAGGTGGAAAGAAGCGGGAGGGGCAGGGAGGCTTTCCCTGGTGTTCGCACCCACAAGGTGCTGTCTAGAGTCTGGGAGGAGGTGGGCAGGGGGGTGGTGTCAGCCAGAGGCTTCAAACACTGGGACACTGCTCCACATCTGTACTGTGTGTAACTGTCCATTTATTCTTGACCAGGTATTCACTTGCCCTTTACGTTCTCGGCATTCTGCTAGGGCTGTGGGGATTGATCCAGGCTCTGCCCTAAAAAAAGCCAAAAAAAAAAAAAAAATCCTTGGGCACCCTCTCCACCCACCTCTAGATGTCTTTTGGTCCTCACAGGTCCTGTGGGGCTTCCCCAGGTTGCCTCTTCTGGGTCTCATACCTTGAAGGCATAGCTCCTAACCAAATAGGCAAAAACATAGTCACGAATAGGGGCTTAACGTCTGTCTCCAATCTCCATGGGAGGTAACACAGATGGGGTCAGTGCAGATACCTTGATAGCTAAGGTAGGGAAATTTGGGGAGCAGGGGCTGTAAATTCTCTAAGTCCATTAAGTCACACATTTACGTTTATCGAACACAGGGATTTGTCTAATTAACTGAGTTTAGACAGCATCTTGCACAGTGGCCCATGCTGACAAGCTTGGCTTCCCACACCCATTGGAAATTGATGTTATATGAAAATGCCTTGGCTCCCATCCATGCTGTGGCTGCACCCTCACGCACACACATACCCTACGTATATGCACATATGTGGCTTTTGATGCATGGGTTAGCTTAAAATCTCAGTCCAAATTGGTCAAATAAAAAAATCAAAATAACAAATTTGTGTCATTCAGGCAACTGCTAGGAACTTACAAAATGAGAAATCACTGCAAGGACTATGACAGTAAGGTGTAAAATGGAGATTAAGGGGTTTAAGAGGAAATTTGAAAAACAAGTAGCCGAAGATAAAGAGGTAAGTAACAAATTGTCTGGGAGTGGAGCTCCAGACAGTTCCTGTAATTCTCCCTGGCTATAGATTGAGCAACCTGGGCCCAGCACTGGCAGAGTATACACCACAGCAGGTATACCAGGGAGCTGGGATGGGCTTTCCCGTCAGAAGTGCCTCTCACCAGCAGCCACGGTAGATGGCTGCTAGGACCTCGAGTGGTGCACACTCCTTTGCACTTGGAGTCATCCTGCCTCTCCCCCATCTCTTGTCGTTTCCAGCTTTTGCCAGGTGGGGAGTTAGGCGCAAGAAAGGAAAAGAGGCCGGAAGTGGGAAGGAAGCAGCTAGAGTAGACCCAGGACTTTCTAACAGCTATCATTTTCTAAGAGTTTCCTATCCTTAGTGGTTTTCAGCCGTGGCCCGTTAGAATTATCTGGGTGCTTTGGGAGGCTGAGGAGGAAGAATCACTTGAGGCCAAGAGGTTGAAACCAACATGGGCAACAAAGTGAGACCCCCCCCCCCCACCCATCTCCACAAAAATATACAAAAATTAGCTGAGCTTGGTGGAGCATGCCTGTAGTCCCAGCTATTCAGGAGGCTGAGGTGGCAGGATCACTTGAGACTGGGAGTTCCATGCTGCAGTGAGCTGTGATCACACCACTGCACTCCGGCCTGTGCAACAAAGAGAGACCCTGTCTCAATAATAATAATAATAATAATAATAATAATAATAATAATAATAATCAGGGTTTCTGGCCCCAACCAGTTTATTTGAAAGACAGTCTTTGCAGGGGGGACCAGGCATTCTATCTCTTCAAGCTTCTGGGTGACTGTCATGGGCAGCCAGGGTTGAACGTCACAATGTAAAAACAGCTTTCTTACCTCTGGTGGAGGAGAAGTGGTCTCCATTAAGCAGGTCAGGGATTCCTCTTCCAGGGGATATTACTAGGACAAGTGATCCCTGCATCTCTAGCCCTGTCGACTGCGAGAATTTCTAGATGGTGTTCTACCCACCTCACCTTTGCCATGGAGCAAAGATCCCCTCAGAGGCAGCCCCTCCCTGAGAGCCACCTGCTTCACTCACTTCCTCCTTGCAGCATTCTCTTCAAATCCCTCTCTCTTTATGGCAAAGCAATATCTGAGAATCTGAGAAGCGCACCTCAGTGTTATGTGTATGAAGTTGAGGAAGGTAGTATCTTAGTTCATTGAGCTGCTGTAGCAATACCATACAATCAGTAGATTTTAAACAACAGAAACTGATTTCTCAGCCAGGCTTAGTGGCTCATGCCTGTAATCCCAGCACTTTGAAAGGCCAAGATGGGAGGATCACTTGAGCTCAGGAGTTCAAGACCAGCCCGGGCAACATAGTAAGACCCAATCTATACAAAAATAAAAAAAAAAAATAGCCAGGTCTGGTGGTGCACACCTGTAGTCCCAGCTACTTGGGAGGCTGAGGTAAGAGGGTTGCTCAAACCAGAGAGTTCAAGGCTGCATTGAGCTGTGATCACACCACTGCACTCCAGCCTGGGTGACAGAGTAAGACCGTGTCAGAAAAGAAAAGAGCGAAAGAAAAAGAAAAGATTGATTACTCACAGTTCTAGAGGATAGGAGGTCCAAGATGAAAGCACCTGCAGGTTCAGTGTCTGGTGAGGTGTCTTCCTGATTCCTAGATGGCCATCATCTCCCTGTGTCCTCACAGGGTAGAAGGGGCTGGGGAAGCTCTCTGGGGTTCCTTTTACAAGGGCACAAATCCCATCCATGAAGGCTCAGTCCTCATGACTTAATCACCTCCCAAAGGCCCCACCTCCTAATACCATCACACTGGGGCTTAGATTTCAACATACGAATTTGGGGAGACACAGACATTCAGCCTTTAGCAGGTAGGAAGGTTAGCACTTTGGTTCCCACACATATAAACGCCCCTAAGTCAGTGCTTCTCAGAACTTCACTGTGCATAGGAATCACTTGGGGATCTTGTTAAAGCGCAGATTCTGCTTTAGAAGTTCTGGGATGGAGCTGCGGGTCTGCATTTCTAACGAGCTCCCAGGCAGTGCTGCTGCCGTTGGTCAGTGGACCCACGTGGAATAGCCAGGCTCCAGGATGCTATCACCTTCCAGCCTTTCCTCTGGAGGTTTTGGGGTTTCTACTTGAACCTACTGGGTCAGACGGCCTCATAGGAAAGGGTACCAGAATGAGAAAAACCTGAGATCCTCACTGGTGGTAGGATGTGCTGTATTGATTTGGCTCAGAATACACTGAGACAAGAGCCCAGGTGAAAAGTGTTTCTTCTCCTCGCTGGGTAACAGAGCCATGAGGCTCATCCGCAGAAAATCAACCACGACCTAAAGGCAACATGGAAAGAGAGTGTCTCCTGTCCATGCCCTTCTGTGACTGCCCAGTCAAGAACACCCTCTGTACCCATGCTCACCTGATCATACTGGGATCATCTGCTGTGATCAGCCCTCCCACTGCGTGCTGGTTCTTACCTTGTTTCCTTGGAGCTCCAGGGTACAATCTCTGTTAGTCTGGAGCTGAGAGGGTGCTTACTAATTACATTTATTGGGTGAACGTGGATGAAACAATCTGCTTGAATCTTGTAATCTATGTTTCTATTGGCACCAGCCCCAGGACAGGGTGTGTCATTTGACAGGAGGTACTAAGCAGGACTCCATATTGAAAACACTCCATGACAGCTACCACTAAAGGAATTTTCAAATTTCATTTTTTCCCCAAACACTGCCTTTCTTAGCTGCTGAGTTTTCTGTGTCTCATCTGCATGGAGCCTCTTCCCCCGGAAAAGGGATTAGGCAGGGCCTGGGCGACCCTCCAAGGAAGGCGGAGGCTATTTGCATCTCTAACCACAAGGAAATTACTCCTGACAGCCCAAAGTAAAGCAGAAATATTAAGAACCATGGAGTGACGTTCCTGTACCAGAAGAAAAATGGAAGATTATAAAAAGTTTTAGAGGCCAGAGCACAGCAGTAAATTGTAGATTATGAATATATATTTAAAGTCTGCATGAAAGTCAGTGGCCTTTTTTCCTCAGAATTTGCAAAAGTGTGTTTTCGATGGGCTGTTTCAGAGTTTTTTGATTATGATAGCTTAACATATGACGTTTCTAATTTCCTTATGTTATTGTCCTTCAGAAACACTGGCTCTATCTCCATTTTAAAATTCCACACAAAAAAAAAGACAGGTAATTTGCACATTTAGGAATGTATTACCCAGTTTTTAAATGGTCCAGACATTTGAGTTTTCCTGATACCTGCTTCTGGCTAATGTATGCAAAAGAAGAAGAGCGAAGGGAGATAAAATTCAAATCGATATACTTTGTACCCACTTATGAAAAGCTCTGGTGAAAAATATGTGGACCTGAAAGAATGCAGAGGTGACTCTCTATTGCTACTCACCCTGAGGCCTTGGGGTTCTCGGTGATGGATTCAGGGCTTCTTCTCTGGCCACTGTTGGGTGATATTGGTGATATACACACAGGAGGTTAATTTGTTGGAGCCAAAAACTACGCATGAGTACAACAATAATAAATATTACTTTAAGTTAAAAAATGAATCCCGGCCAGGCACGGTGGCTCATGCCTGTAATCCCAGCACTTTGGGAGGCCGAGGTGGGTGGATCACCTGAGGTCAGGAGTTTGAGACCAGCCTGACCAACATGGTGAATCCCTGTCTCTACTAAAAATACAAAATTAGCTGGGTGTGGTGGCGCATGTCTGTAATCCCAGCTACTCAGGAGGCTGAGGCAGGAGAATCGCTTGAACCTGGGAGGCAGAGGTTGTGGTGAGCCGAGATCACGCCATTGCACTCCAGCCTGGGCAACAAAAGTGAAACTCTGTCTCAAAAAGTGAAAAAATAAAATGAATCCGTCTGGCACAGTGGCTCACCCCTGTAATCCTAGCGCTTTGGGAGGCCGAGGCGGGCAGATCACTTGAGGTCAGGAGTTTGAAACCAGCCTGGCCAACATGTTAAAATCCCATCTCTACTAAAAATACAAAAATATTAGCTGGGCGTGATGGCGGGTGCCTTAATCCCAGCTACTTGGGTGGCTGAGGCAGGAGAATTGCTTGAACCCAGGAGGCGGAGGTTGCAGTGAGCCAAGATTGCACCATTGCACTCCAGCCTGGGTGACAGAGTGAGAATCCATCTCCAAAAAAAAAAACAAATCTATCCATAACACCTCATTTTTACTGTCCAGTACCAAGGCGTTTTGGTGGTTTTCCTGTGTGAGCCTGCAAATTAATTATGGGTCAGCATGCACTAGAACACTACCTGGTTCCTGCAATATGCGAAAGTAAAACCTCCCCTGTGTGGGAATTTAAGTCGATCTTTGCTTGCTGAAAGGGTAGCAGTGACTTTAATAAACACCAACTCTTTTTTTTTTTTTTAAGAGATGGGGTCTCGCTCTGTTGTCCAGGCTGGAATGCTCATTGCCAGCCTCAAATTCGTGGGCTCAAGTGATCCCCCCACTCAGTACCTGTGACTACGGGCATGTGCCACCATGCCTGGCTAATTAAAAAAATTTTTTTTGTAAACACAAGGTCTGGCTTTGTTGCCCAGGCTGTCTTGAACTCCTGGTTTCACGTGATCCTCCTGCCTCGGCCTCCCAAAGTATTGGGATTGCGGGGGTGAGCCACCATGTCTGGCCCAAACTTTTTTAGACCAATGAATATCTTGCCAAAACGTGTAAATATTAAATAACATGAATTAATGAATGTAATCCTTTAATTTCCCAGTCTTACACAAAGCCTGGTGTCTTTAGCTATGACATTTAAGTAGCTGAAATCAAATATATAATTAAATTCTGCAAGAAAATAAAACGGAAACTCAGATACCTTGGAATAATTACACTGAAGATGTTAGCAATTCTCTGTCTTGTTATTATTGGAGTTGGCCCTTAGGAATGCTTTCCTCTGGCTGGGAATACCAGCTGCAAACATAAAATCTCACTTGGGACTACTCCTTCCCTTAAGGGTAATTTGTCCCAGCTGTAATGTGGGTAGCATTAGAGAAGTCAGGTTAAATTTTGCACAGAGGAGATTAAAGGCTCAGGATAGTGATATATAGGATATATATTTTGATGGAGGGTTGGGAAGATGTGGTATAAGTGCACTTGGAGTTGCTGCAATACCATCCTGAGTGCCTGGGGAGAGTACCAAAATGGGGAGGTGATTGGATGCTGGTGGCAAGAATAACGCTTTGAAGACATTCTGTCTCATAAGCGCCACCTCTGCACCAAACACTAGCAGATGCTGCCCTGCGGGGCTCTTGGTTATAACAGGCAGAGCTAGTCTGGGGTTCAGTTCCTGGGGAACTGCAGGGATTAAGAATGCTATGAGAGGCTGGGTATAGTGGCTCACACCTGTAACCCCAGCACTTTGGGAGGCCGAGGAAGGCAGATCACTTGAGGTCAGGAGTTTGAGACCAGCCTGGCCAACATGGCGAAAAGCTGTCTTTACTAAAAGTACAAAAATTAGCCAGGCATGGTGGTGTGCACCTGTAATCCCAGCTACTCAGGAGGCTGAGGCAGAAGAATCACTTGAACCGGGAGGTGGAGGTTGCAGTGAGCCGAGATGGTGCTACTGCTCTTTAGCCTGGGCGAGAGAGTGAGTGAGAGTCTGTCTCAAAAAATACAAAAATAAAAAATAAAAAGAAGAATGCTATGAGATAGGGAAATGGAACCAGGGTCTTGGACTGAATGCAAAGCAGGAGTAAGCTTCCCCCATGTGAATAAAAAGGCTGGAAAAAGCTGTAGCAAGAGTTGATTAAGGTTCTGTTTTTTTTCATAGCTGCATGCCCAAAAAGGAAGGTAGGAGGACATTAACACATCCTTTCTCACAGGACCTTCGCTACGCTGCTACCTGATTCTGTGTCTGGCTTTGCAGTATCTCAAGGCTTTTATAAAAGCTGGTTCTGGACTGTTTACTATGGGGACGTGGAGAGTCGGTGGGGACAGCAGCAAAGCCACCAGAGAAGCCTCCTAGAAAAGATGAAACTACAACCCAAAATTCGGAACTTGAACAGGAAAATAAATACCAGGAAGATCAATTTAATTAACTGACTCCCTTGGAAATTAAAATATTAATTAAAAGTTTAAAGGATTTTAAGTCATTATGTTTAAGATTGTTAAAGGCAAATGAAGGAAAACCAACTATAAAAATCAACATTAATTAGGCACAAATGGATGAAAAACAGGAGTGTATGAAAAACAAGGAATTTGAAATCTAGGAAATAAAAGTATGCTGATGATAATTAAAGACTCAAGGGATAGGATATACTAGACTAGATACAGGTGAAGAGATAACTAATACATTCAAGGTAACACTACGTAATGCTCCTGAGTGCAGGCCAGAGAAACGAAGAGACACAGAAAGAAAAAACAAGAAACAGGTAGACACAGAAGCTAGAGTGAGAGACTACAACATGCACCAATAAAGAGTCAAGAAAGTACAAAAGAGGAAATTCCAGAGAAGCATTATTTGAAGATCTTATTCCAGAATACTCCAGAACTGAATAAAGTCATGAACCCTCACCATAAAGATATTCTGTATGTACTGAGAAAAGTAAATAAAATTAAATCTTTACCTAGACATATCTGTGAAACTGAAGAACATCAATGATAGAAAAATCTTTGGAGTCATCAGGGAGAAATGACTTGTTACCTACAAAGTGGCATTTAGGTTAAAAGACGACTTCTTGGCCAGACACTGTGGCTCACGCCTGTAATCCCAGCACTTTGGGAGGCCGAGGCGGGTGGATTACGAGGTCGGGAGTTCGAGACCAGCCTGGCCAACATGGTGAAACCCTATCTCTACCAAAAATACAAAAATTAGCTGGACGTGGTGGCACGTGCCTGCAATTCTAGCTACTCGGGAGGCTGAGGCAGGAGAATGGCTTGAACCTGAGAGGCGGAGGTTGCCGTGAGCCGAGATCGTGCCACTGCACTCCAGCCTGAGCAAAAAGGGTGCAACTCCAACTAAAAAAAAAAAAAAAGACTTATCCACAACAGTCTATTCTAGAACTTCGTGAAGTGAAATTTTTACGGGCTGGAAAAATATCTGTTAGGGCTAGGGCCAGACATGGTGGCTCACACCTGTAATCCCAGCACTTTGGGAGGCCAAGGTGGGTGGATCAAAAGGTCAGGAGTTCAAGACCAGCCTGGCCAATATGGTGAACCCCCCCCGCCCGTCTCTACTAAAAATACAAAAATTAGCTGGGCATGGTGGCGTGCACCTGTAGTCCCAGCTACTGTGGAGGCTGAGGCAGGAGAATTGCTTGAACCCAGGAGGTGGAGGTTGCAGTGAGCTGAGATAGTGCCATTGCATTCCAGCCTGGGTGACAGAGTGAGATTCCTCTCAAAAAAAGAAAAAAAAAATCTGTTAATATGGAATTCTACCTAGCTTTACTATCGCACATGAGTAGGGACACACTGATGAGCTTTGTAGACAGAGGACGACTAAGGGCATTTTAATTAATTATTGAGTACTAAAAGATAAAAAATAATGAGCACAGTTTTGTGCATTTTATTTTCTTTAAAGATGAAGCTCTGGACAATAACAAGAAGAAACAGGCATGCATATGTCAGTTCCCCATTGAGTATAAGCTCCCTAAGAGACAGGAGTTTTGCTGTTCTCTGCTATCCCTTCACCTTCAATCCTTAGCACAGCCCCTATCACATAGGAGGTGTTTGGAAAGTATTTGTTGAATGAGTAAACGAATGAAGTAGGGTAGCAGCAGAGATTTAATGGGCAAGTATACCCAGGTATTTGTGTTGTTCTAGAAAGAACTAGAGATACTGATAAGCTTGACCCATTGTTAGAAATAAATAAGGTTAATGCTACAAGAATGAAATATCAATAAGAGCTTCTGAAACAGGAGAGGAAAACAAAGAGAACATAAAAATCTTTATTAGCCCAACAGAAAGCAGAGAAGAAAGAGAAGTAAAAAGTTGGTAAAGAGAAACCAGATGGTAGAAATAATTCAAATGCAACAGTAATCACAGTAGATATAAATTGAATCAGCCTACCTATTAAAGGACAGGGACCATCCAATTAGATTAACACAAAAGAGCAATGATGATAATTATAATGAACCAAGTCCAGAGAATTTCTAAAACAAAGTTACCAGTGAAAGATTAAAAAGAAAAGTTTTGGAAATGATATTCAAGGCACATATTTGTCAAAGGAAACTTTTACAATATTAATATCAAATAAATAGAATTTAATTTAAAAAGGTTACTAAGGATAAAGAAAGACACTACATCATATACAAAACAATGCATGCAGCCAACATAATCTTGTATGTATCTAACACACAACCCTGAAATATATCAAGTAAAAACTAAAAGAATTACGAGTAACAAAACCAGAGTGGAAAATTTTAACAACCTTTATCAGAGATTGCTAGATGGGCTAGGCTCAGTGGCTCATGGCTGTAATCCCAGCATTTTGGGAGGCCAAGGCGGGTGGATCACCTGAGTTCAGGAATTTGAGACCAGCCTGGTCAACACGGTGAAACCCCGACTCTACTAAAAATACAAAAAAAAAAAAAAAAAAAAAGTTAGCCGGGTGTGGTGGTGCATGCCTGTGATCCCAACTACTACTACTACTTGGGAGGCTGAGGCAAGAGAATCGTTTGAACCCGGGAGGCAGAGGTTGCAGTGAGCTGAGATCATGCCACTGCACTCCAGCCTGCACCACAGAGTGAGACTCCATGTCAAAAAAAGAAAAAAAATTAAAACGTCTATGGAAGATCTGTTCAAAGTGATGCATAATTAGAGAGATCTGCATCCAAAAAAACAAAAAAAAAAACAAAAAGAAAGAAAATATATACTCTTTTAAAGAACACCTGAAACATTAAGAAAAGGATTACATATCAGGACTCAATTTTCAAACAAGTTTCTATTATTACTATTGTTAAAGGAAATTAACTGGAAAATCAAGTAAAGATGTCCACATATTTGGAAACTGAAGCATGCACTCCTAAAGAACTCATGGCTTAAACATCATTCCATGATGGACAGGAAAAGATCATTAGAACTGATGGCAGTAGCAGACTCACATATGGTGAGCTACAATTGCAATATACACTGATGATACCTAGAGGTGAATTTATAGCCTTATACTTAATTTTTTTAAATTTTACTGTAAGTTCTGGGATACATGTGCTGAACGTGCAGGTTTAGTATATACGTATATATGTGCCATGGTGGTTTGCTGCACCTATAAACCTGCCATCTAGTTTTTAAGCTCCGCATGCGTTAGGTATTTGTCCTAATAGCCTCATACTTACATTAAGAAAATAAAGATGAAAAACATATGAATTCTTAAATTTAAGAATCTAGGAAAAGGACAGAAGAGAAGACCCAAAGAACATTGAAGAAACATAATAATAAAATTAAGAGAGAAAATTAATAAAATAGCAAACAAACAGTAGAGAAGGTCAAACAACATCCAAGTGGTTCTTTAAAAAGACACATAAAATAGAAAATATTTGGCAAGATTGAACAAAATTAACTGTATGACCAAAACAAAACTAGTAAGGGATGAAAACAGGTACAGCAGATTTTTGAAATCATTAGTAAATACCTGGATAATTTTAGGTAAAAAAGTGAATATACAGGGAAGAATGATAATTTCCTAGAAATATACAAATTATCAAAATTAACTTAAGAATAAAGAGAAAGTCTAAGTAAATAACAACAAAAATCATTTTAAAAATTAAATAACCAGACAAATACCTCTGCCCCCATAGATGCAGATCGTTTTATAAGTGCATTTTACATCATAGTCAGGAACCGATAATTTATATATTCTACAAACTTTTTCAGAAAATAGAAAAAGAGAATGAATTATTAGGTATAATAGTGAGAGAAGTCACTTCCACTCCTATCCCTTGATTCCTGGGCCCAAGAGTTCTGGATGTGGGAGAGACAGACCTAATATTAGTCTCTGATTCAAAGTTTATACATATCCTTTAAGATAGAACACCATACTTTCCAGGTGCCATATTCCAATTGGTGCTGTAACTTAGTCTTCAAGAAAACATTCAGGCTTTCCATCAGGCCAGTCATCTCTAAGTGGTAGGGTATGTAGCAAGAGTAGTTGGTTCCACAGGCATGAGCCCATTGCTCTGAAATGGGTTCCTCCATCAGAGGCAATGCTGTTCCATAATAGTGAATAAGGCATCTGTGAGCATGGTGTGACAGAAACGCAACAGGCCGAGAAGGCACATCCATATTCAGAACACTTGTTTGTTCAAGTTAGACAAATCCCTGCCCTCCCCATGATAGGAGAGGTCCAGTGTACCAATGAATGGCACGATATTGAGTCAATGTAGTCTCTGCTGTTAGAAGATGAAGCACTCATCAGGAGCATTAGCCAGATCAACCTTGGCAGAGGGAAGTCCGTATCATGAGCCTATGCAGAGCCTCCATACCTATTACCACAGCCACTTCGTTCATGGTCCCACTGAGTAAGCACTGGGGCAGCTAGGGAAAGAGGCAGACTGATATCCTCAGAGCCCATCACTTTGCAGATTATTTTGCAGAGGCTCCTCTGCAGTAGATGCCTGTATTAGCCTGTTCTCACACTGCTAATAAAGACATACTTGAGACTGGGTAATTTATAAAGGAAAGAGGTTTAAATGACTCACAGTTTCACATGGCTGGGGAGTCCTCACAATCATGGCTGAAGGCAAAGGAGGAGCAAAGTCATGTCTTGCATGGTGGCAGACGAGAGAGCGTGTGCAGGGGAACGGCCCTTTATAAAACCATCAGATCTCATGAGACTTATTCACTATTATGAGAACAGCACAGGAAAGACCTGACCCCATGATTCAATTACCTCCCACTGGGTCCCTCCCATGACACGTGGGAATTACGGGAGCTACAATTCAAGATAAGATTTGGGTGGGGACACAGCCAAACCATATCAATGCCCTTTGGTCAACATTCACGTGGGACACAAATATCTTCAGAATTTGTATCCACATATCTATTCTCCCAATTTCCTTGTCACCAATCGTTCAATATTATTTCCTAGTGATGCAGAATTTTTGCTCCTTAGTTCAGCTCAATCCAGGTTCTTATCTCACGACCAGGAAGAATTAGGCATGTGGACACATTGAAGGATGAGGAGGGCAGAATTTATTAAGTGAAAGGAAAGCTCCAAGCTAAGAGAGAGGTCCTGCAAGCAGGTTTCCACCTCACCAGGGCCACCACACACTAGCTGAAGAGGCCAGGCTCTGCCCCTGCATAAGGCGTGAATTCCTGGTGGCTCCACCCCATTACCCCAGTGCACATGTGGGCATGCCCAGGCAAGCCATAGATAGTATTGAAAAAGGCAACATTCAAGAGGCTAAAGGCATTATTCAGAAAGAATCAATCAGGAAAGGGTGGGCAAACAGGGGCAAAAGTCCTCCCTCTGGGTCATGGGTTTCATCTGGGACCAGCAGTCCAGTCTTTCAGCCTTCAGGCGGTTTTGGCTTGAAGGTGAGGTTTCATCGGGGACCCTTCCCTATCTGCCTAGGCATTTGTCTGCCTCTTGCCTCTATCACAAGTCCCTTACTATCCAGCCAGACTATTAGCAACTCCCCATGAATTAGTATATGTCTGGCCATCTCTTGTTCCAAATCTACTGGGCAACCAAATGTACCGCAAAATGGTTTTCCACTGGGAGGGTTTTCCTTACTGCTATCCTTCACAGTTGTCCCTGAGTGAGCCTGCAGTGCCTAAGCTGTCTGCTGTTGGGTGGTACCAGCCCACCATACAGACCCATCTGTAAATGGGCTTGAGGGTTTTTTTTTTTTCTCTTTGCTTAATTCATTATATGTCACTTCCCAGGAGACAACAGATGTAGATTGATGGAGAGGAGGAAATACAACAGTAAGTGTTGAAGGAATCACAGGTACCACCTCATGCCACTTACTTGTACTTTTCAGACCTGTTTGCACTTGGTCCCTCCTATACCATTTCCACTACATGACTGTTTGCTGTTGCACATGCTAACCGTTAAAGCTGATGAATCAGACAATATGTAGTTCATTACAGGAAGCTCAGGCCTAACCATGATTAAGTATTCAGTCTCTATCAAAGCAAAGCCAATAACAGGGCAAAACCTTGCTACTGAGAATGGTAGCTGCAGAAGAGGGCATAGATTTGCTTCTAAATCATTGAGGTCTGCACCATAATTGTCCTATTGGAGCCTGCCAGGTACTTTATATTATATTTCCATTTGCCATGGACACTTCTAGCATCATCAGATTTGCAGGATCATAAGACTCAAATGGTAGGGAAGATTGCATTGCAGCCAGAACATGCTGCAATGACTTTATTTTTTCTGGTCTCCACTCAAAACAAGCATCTTTGTGGGAGACTCTGTAGATTGGTCAAAGCAGCACACTCAAATGTGGTATGTGTTGCTTCTGAAACCCGAAAAGGATAATCAAGCATTATGCCTCTTTTTTTCATGGTAGATGGTGCAAAGTGCAGCAACTTATCCTTCATCTTGAAGGGAATAGCTTGACATGGCTCAAACCATTGAGCCCCCAGAATCATCACTAAGGTGGTGGTCCCTTGAAATGTGTGGGGTTTATTTCCCACCCTCTAGGTTCTATATGACTTACTAGGGTATCTAAAGTAACTGTCTACTTCCTGCTCATCAGATTCAATCAGAATAATGTCGACATAGTGTATGGGTGTGATGTTTTGTGGACTGTAGAGATGACCACGCTGTCTATGGACTGTATTAGGGCCAGAGGGCAGTAGAGTTGAAAAAGCCCTCAGGCAAGACTGTGAGGGTGAATTTTTGGCCCTGTCAGGTCAAAGCAAATTGCTTCTGGAGATCCTCATAATTTTGAATAGAGAAAAAGATTTCATCTAGGTCAATAGCTGCACACCACATCTGTTAATTTTCTCAAGTAAAATTATTAGGATGCATCTGGGATGGCAGGTGCAATTCGAGCTGCCACCTGATTAAGTTTATGGCAGTACCTAGTCATTCTCTAAGATCCATTCAGCTTCTACAGGCCAAACAGGTAACCTAACTGGGGATGTGATGGATATAATTACCTCTGCATCTTTCAAGTCTTTGATGGTGTAATTTTGTAGTTTTCTCAGGGATGTAATATCGTTTCTGGTTTACTACCTGTGTCAGGAAGGGAAGTTCCAAGGGCTTCCACTTAGCTTTTCCTGACATATTGGTTCTCATTCCATATGTCAGAGGGCCAATATGGGGATTCTCCCTGTTTCCAAGATGTCTTTTCTAATTTTACATTCAATAACTGGAGAAGTAACCACAGAGTGGTCTGTAGACTAACTAGGCCACTGTAAGTTGAACTTAAGCTAAGGCTCCAAATATTTCTTGATTTCTGAAGGCTCCCGCTCTTGTTTGTGGGACACAGTGGCATTTTCTGTCTCTAAGAATTAGAATTAATTCAGAGCCAGTTTCTAGCAATTCCCAAAAAAGTCCAGGTAGTTCCCTTTACCCAATGCACTGTTCTTCTAATAAATGGTCCCAAGTCTCTAGGGGGGGAAATTTGAGGAAGATTTATAATATGTGCATCAAACATTTGTATATGTATTTTATGTACTTTCATGTATGTTTGTACATATGTACTTCCTCAAAGAGCCCCAAGCTAGCTTCAATTAATGGATTGTGGGTCTGTTAATTGACTTATGTCTGGAAATTCAGTGAATAATCATGACTCTCCACTGTGGTGACTCAAGTCAGTTTTGGGGCTACCAGACTTAGAGTCTTCCTGTTACATACACCAAGAAGCACTCTAGTAGGCTGTTTTCTTCCCATGGACACTATGATCAATTAACCACCACTGAACATCTTTGAAAGTCTAGGAATTCTTATTACCAGTGCATCTCTGCATCCCTTTATAGTAGATGCACCCACCATGACTTTGGTGGTTAAATGTAGCCACTTATCCCCTTTCTTATCCTGCTTCTCTTACCCCCTTTGAAATCATGGAGCCTATCTCAATGGTGGTCTCCACCGCTGTCGTATCTGCTCTACAAAGAAGAGCAACCACGAAGCTCTTCAAGGATTCAGGTTCTCCCTTCACTTATGGATTTCTCAATGCTTTAGTTGAGGGAGTGTCTTCTGGGCCTTTTTGTGCAAGGTAGATGGGGGTGATTAGGATGCAAATTGCCTATGATAAATCCAGTCCAACATTCCTAACTACAATGTGACAGACACTCATCCCACCAAGAGCTCAGGTCTATATTTCCTCCCTTGAATCTGAGTGAGCAGTTGGAACCACACTGACCAACAGAGTAGAGAGGAAGTAATGCTATGTCTCTCTCTCTTTCTCTCTCTGCCTGTCTCTCTCTCTCTCTCCTCTCTCTGTTGGACTGCCTGCTCTGGGATAAGCCAGTTACCATGCCACGAGGACACTCAAACAACCCTGTGGAGAGGTCCATGTGAAAAGAAACTAAAACTTAACTGCCGACAGCTAATACCAGCTTTCCAGCCCTGTGAGTGAGCTGCCTGGGAAATGGCTCCTGTAGCCCATGTGAAGCCTTCAAATGGCTGCAGCCCCAGCCAGCATCTGATTACAACTTTACAGAGACCTCAAGCCACAGTGGCTCACTCAAGATGCTCTTGAATTCCCAACCCACAGAAATCAGGAGAAAAAACTATTATTATTATTAAACTATTATTTTAAGCCATTATGTTTTAGGGTGATTTATTACACAGCAATAGATAACTAATACATATACCTTACTTATGAATACGTACATGTATAATAAAAATAGAGAAAAACATGCCTGGATGTTTTTATATCAGGATAGTTATTACTTGTAGACATAGAAAGGTGGGGTGGGATTGGGGAAGGGTCCAAAATAAGCTTCAGAGGCAACAGCAATATATTTTTTTAAAGACCTAAAGCAAATATGACACAAAGTAAGATTTGTTAAGTCTGTATAGTATGTGCATGATATATAATCATATACAATATTATTCTGTGCTTTTCTGTATGTTTAAAAAACTAAATTAAAACAGTAGTGGGGGTGGGGGGACTAAAAAGGACTTTTGTATAGATCACAATTTTGCCTAAGGTTAAGTCTGCCCCAAGTTCTCAATGGCCATTGACACCACACTTAATCTGTCTAGGCTTTAGCTTTTCAGTGGAAATCTCAGGAGACCTCAAGCTTTCTATTTTTGCTATAGAGAATGTGGCAGAAGAATGTCCCCAAATTGCTTGGCAATCCTCCTAGAAGCAGAGCTGTGGGGGTTATTTTCTAGAGCCATGTATACACTGAAGGCGCTGTTCATAGCCCTCTACGGGACTGCTTTTGTAGGTTTTATCTTTGTGAGTGAAAACATATATGAGGGACTTAAAGGAACATCATATTATGGATCATAGAGGGTTTTGTTGTTGTTGTTGTTGTTGTTTGTTTTTGAGACGGAGTCACTGTGTTGCCCAGGCTGGAGTGCAGTGGTGCGATCTTGGCTCACTGCAACCTCTACACCCTAGGTTCAAGCAATTCTCCTGACTCAGCCTCCCGGGTACCTGGGATTACAGGCATGCGCCACTATGCCCAGCTAATTTTTGCATTTTTAGTAGAGATGGGGTTTCGCCATGTTGGCCAGGCTGGTCTCGAACCGATGACCTCAGGTGATCCCCCACCCCCACCTCAGCCTCCCAAAGTGCTAGGATTACAGGTGTGAACCACCGCGCCCAGCCACAGAGCTTTAAAGTGGAACTCCTGTTCATCCTTTCTCTCATGGCAGGGATGTCTTTTACAATGTCCCTGACGGGTGGTGAATCAAGCCCTGCTTTAACACCTGATGGTGACAGGTGCTCATTCCATGGGGCAGTGTGTTCTGCAGATGGGTGTGGAAGGTGCTCAGCTCCTGCTGAGAGAAGCCCTGGTGGCTCTCACTCACTGCTTTTAGCTTCTAAAGCAACACATTAGAAGTCTACTCACTTCTACATGACAGCCCTTCAAATCAATGTTTGGAAACAACAATCTGGTCCTTCTTCAGACATCCCCGCTCCTGGTAAAACATCCTCAGCTCTTTCAAAAAGAAAAGACTCTGGCAATTCTTGAACACCTGTTATACATGGCCTGGTGCTTACACAGGGTTTTATATAATCTTCAAATTTTCTGTGATTATCTACAGAACAGATAGAGAAACGGAGGCCCAGGGCACGTGAGTGACTTCACCTAAGGTTAGAAGGC
Source organism: Homo sapiens (assembly GCF_000001405.40). NCBI lineage: Eukaryota > Metazoa > Chordata > Mammalia > Primates > Hominidae > Homo > Homo sapiens. The sequence goes on from NC_000018.10 coordinate 59,194,131, forward strand.
TGGAAAAGCAGCAAAGCCACATAACGAAGACTGACTGAGCCCACGGACCTTCTGCTACTCTGTGGGGCTTTTGAAACATGGAGGCTCATGGGACACCGAAGCCCTCCCTGCCTTCTTCACTTCCTCCATGTTCTGCCACACAACTCCTAAGATGTGATGCTGAGAAATGGACATGATATGATGCTTTTTAACATTACTTTAAAGGCAAAAACTGCAATTACTATTGCACCAATTTAATATTTTAGTTTATTTGTTCTTCTTTCCAACCCTTTGAGATATGCAGCAAAGGCATTAGAGGACTGGGCGCGGTGGTTCACGCCTGTAATTTCAGCACTTTGGGAGGCCGAGGAGGGTGGGTCACCCGGGGTCAGGAGTTCAAGACCAGACTGGCCAACATGGTGAAACCCCATCTTTACTAAAAAAATACAAAAATTAGCTGGGTGTGGTGGTGCGTGCCTGTAATCCCAGCTACTTGGGAGGCTGAGGCAGGAGAATCACTCAAACCTGGGAGGCAGAAGTTGCAGTGAGCCGAGATCACGCCACTGCACTCCAGCTGGGAGACAGAGCAAGGCTCTGTCTCAAAAAAAAAAAAAAAAAGAAGTCACATACAACAGACTAGGAAACTGAGGCTCGGTGTGATGGATTGCCTAAAGAAACCAACCGACCCTTCGGTAAAGGATTGGGATGTAAACCCACATCTTCACACTCCACATCAGTCTTTTCCATTGCACTAAGACCACAATAATCCGGAATCTCATCAGCATGAAGAACTGGTTCCATGTGAATCAATCTGGATTTAAGTATTAATTAACACAGCCTAAAATGACTTTAGCCTCTTTGGCAATCATATGACACTATTGCCTTATACAGTTAGAAAGTACTCTCCCTACCCCCAAATCTCTTTTTTTATTTGTTTGTTTTACAAAAACTGCTGTGACATCATATCTTCTCCTTGTGCCACGGAGTTGCATTGATCCTTATCAAACTCCCTCTTCCTTCCCTCGAAATGTGCCCAATCCCACAGCTCCAGCTAGGTCAGGGGGTATTTTGAACTATCCCTGTGTCACCCAATATAGTATCAACTCCCATAAGAACTAGACCACTCATACTTTTTATTTTTATTTTTTTGAGACAGAGTTTTACTCCTGTCACCCAGGTTGGAGTACAGTGGTGTGATCTTGGCTCACTGCAACCTCTGCCTCCCAGGTTCAAGTGATACTCCTGCCTTGGCCTCCCATGTAGCTGGGACTACAGGCGCCCACCACCACACCTGGCTAATTTTTGTATATATTTTTTTTTGTAGAGATGGAGTTTTGCCATGTTGTCCAGGCTGTTCTCGAACTCCTGACCTCAAGTGATCTGCCTGCCTCAGCCTCCCAAAGTGCTGGGATTACAGGCACGAGCCACTTTTGCTATGCACGTGCTTGTTCTCATCATGGAGCTATTGATCACACTGCTGGAAAGCACAGCACTGAGGATGGAGCCCTAGGGCACAGATTCCAAGTACAGTTTCCTGAGGAAATATGATGGCAGAGTATATGTTCAGATGCCACCATTGCATCTTGACTGTGACAACCATGGGTGTGTAGAGAGGGAGCAGCGTGAGTGTCACCGCCACTCCCCCAACCCACCCCGAGATATACCCCCTCCATCCAGCAGCGGGAGGCTGATGAATTTGGAAGGAGAGAGACACATGTGGAGACATCTCCCACATCCTCCTGACATAAAATCATTATTCTATTTCATTACAGACCATGCTCAAGGTCACCATGAAGGTCATTCAGTGCCACTGCTTTTCCCCACCTCTGCCTCACCGGTAGACTTCAAGTTGCTTGGAAAAATCCTATCCCAGCTTCCTCATTTTGGAGCTTCCTCTTAACTGAAGTAGACCACCCCCCACCAAGCCAACACACACACACACAGACACACACACACACAGCTTGACTCTTTCTAATTACTTAGTACCCTCTCCTTTTCCTGTTACCATTTTCTCCCAAACAGATGGTGTTTATAGACAGAAAAGAAATGGGAGTTATTCAGCTGCAAGGCTGGTAATTGATACCCAGAAATCTACCCTCCAAAGACACCAGCAGAGGGGGGCTCTCATGGATGCAGCAACTAAAATGGCTTGGAGCAGAGACCGACTCACCTGGCCTGGGCCGTGTCCAAGGGGCAGGACAACAACTTAGTGTGCTAGAAGCCAGCTAGTGAGGTGTGTGTTCCTGGCTGGCTTTTTCCTGCTTCCCTTTGAACTTCCAGGGCTGTATGTGTGAGCTTTATGTTCATGCAGCCGGCAGCAAACAGAGACCTGCTTTTCCCTGAGCTGGTTGGCAGCCACACTGCCAGCAGCTATTTGCTGAGTTTCTGCTTGATTCCTGTACTCTACTCTCCACTTGTTGCTGTGGGAGACCCAAGAGAAATGCAAAGGCTCTTAGGGTGATGAGCAGGCTGTGCTGTCAGGGCACTCTGCCCTTTCAGAAATGCCCTAGCCAAAGGGATTTGAAGATAGGACAGGAGGCAGAGAGGGAATGAAGGGGAGAGAGTGTGTTTGTATATTAGGAACTATAGGAATAATCGTTAAATGTGGAATATCTCACACACACACACACACACACACACACATTTGGTACCCAGGAATCTTGGGGACAGATGGAAAGGAGGTTTGGGTTTAAGGTGGGAGAAGAGTTCAATTTCTGAACCAGTTGCCAGGGGAGTTCTAATGGTGGAGTCCGAAAGTGGGTAGAAAGTATGGGGTGGCTTAGGGGTCCCGGGCACTGAGAAGGGTCATGAAAAGAATCACAGGTTCCCCCGTCATCCCAGGACGAGGGCTTTCCTAGTCATAGACAGCTTCTTTGTGGGGCAGGGGTCTGTCTGCAAGAGGTTCTGGCAATGCATGGGATTTTGAGGCATCTCCCAAACCTTAGCCACTAACAGTTTCAGGGACCTCTTTATGCCACTAACAATTTCAGGGATTTCTTTCCTTTTCCCATAAAAAGATAATCTCTTTCTGGGCCAATGCCTAAAATGTGTGCAGCAAAGGGAAATATTTTTAAACCATAATTATACCCAAATCAAAAACTTTATGCATAATACACTCAAAAAACCATAATGAAATAAGGCCTAAAGTGCAACAGGTTAAACTGAGGGGGAAGATACCAAGTGGAGGTTTGGAGTATAGGCTTTGAAATTAGGTGGGGCCTGAGATCTGTCCCAGCTCTTCTGTTGGCTTCTTAAGAGGTTTCCATCACTCTCAGACCCTCATCTTCTTAATCTGTAAATTGGGGACTGAGATCTACACCTTCCTTATAGGGGTCTTTTAAGGATTAAAAGAGCGATTGTCTTTTATGCAGTCATGTCAATAAACAGCAGCTATTATGAGTCCATCCATGCAAATATGTTTTACTTTAGGTGTGAAAGGTTCATTGATCAACATATAAATGATAGGATTTCTACTTATGTAAGAGAACAAGCAAAGAGAACATGAGGACAGTGAGAGGATCAAAGGGAGAGAAAGAAGAGGAAAGAAAAGACAGGAGCAAAAACAACGAAGGCTGGGCTGAAGACAAGGGACAGCACAGGTTTATGATCTTGGCCAGAACCAGCTTTTGGTTCCCAGGAGCAGGTGGAAGACTTTGATTACACTCAGCAAGGGATTATCATCCTGCCAGTTACTGAAGCAGATAGCTTGGCTTTAAACTGTTTCTGTGCTTATTTGGCTTGGGCAAAGAAATCTTCTTGCCAGGTCAATTGCTAATTAAATAGCCTCCAGATTGAGACTTGGTCTCTGCCCTTGAGCCATATACAGTCTGGATGAGGAGATTAAGTACCAGTGAACAGAAGATGATGACCACCTGAACTTCGAAGGGGCCAGAACAAGCATTGGAAGCAGGGCCCAGGGCTGGGCTGGCCAAGGGGACCACCTGGAGGCATGGTACTTTGGGCTGAGCCTTGAATAGTAGGTTGTGCACAACCAGAACCAGTGGAAAGGAAATTCCTGGCAGGCAGAATAGCAAAAGGATAAAAGAGGAAGACTAGCTTCCCTGGAATGAAGGACTTGTGGCCAAAGGTGGCAGGGGGCTGGTCAGTTCCAAATGAGGCCACAGGTAGGGAAGGTTCTATTGTGTGCAGCTCAAAGACTCAGGTTCCCAGGGAGGTATGTCGATTTCCTGACGATGGGGCAGAATCGATGGTAGGGAAGGGCGGGAAGGTCAAAGTAGGGTATCCAAGCAGAGGGAACCATCTCAGAAAATGCAAGGCAAGCAGAACATGCTGGGGGTGGGGGAATGTGGCAGGGGGCCAACCATGTGACAGCCGCACCTGAGTTAGGGAAGATCCTCAATTTGGGGAAGTGGCGAGTTGGGTGGGAGGTTTCCTGCTTGCTCATTTCTTGTTTAAGGGACAACAAATTCTACTACAAATAAAAATACAACTTAATCTAATGTTCCATAGAAAGTACAAACTTTTGGGAAATCAGGCAACAGGTCTACACATGCAGAAGGAAAAAGATTTCAAGCCGGTATGTTTTTAACTCAATTTTCTAGATTTGCCTCAGTTGCATCAAGCATGTGTAGACAGCCATGTCCTCTAGTGCCTGATTCAAGTTATTTTCAGACTTTATCAGCACTGTCCTTGGAAGTCACTGTAGCCTCCATGTTATAAGCTGAATGATGATAAATAAGTGGCAATTTTCTTCTTTCATTCTTGTCATTCCCATACATACTACTTTAATGGCAAAGCAATGAGATTACTGGCATAAATGCCTTCCTGTCCCCAAGCTCATCCCTGGATCATTTTGCCTGAGGTTGAAAAGCAAAACAAACCAAATCAGTAAAGCATCTTCTTTCAAATAAGGGGATATTCCTTGGTATTCAAACTATATTTTTCAATTGTTCAAAATCGGTTTATTTGGTTTCTGTAGAATACAAGAAAGTTAAAAGGTGATTTTAGGGGCTCAAATGAAAGAACAACTTCATTGTTAATTCAACCTGTTTTGTTAGGATATTTATGCCTCAAATAAAGAATAAAGAATAAAAACTCAACACAATGGGAGAATTAGAATCTGAATTGTGATAAAATTCATGCCTGTATTTATCAATTATGAAAGTGATTGGGATACCCTCTAGCCTGAGCTGAAGCCAGGCTTATCAAACCCACTCTGTTCATGAGGATTAACTATTAACTTTAATTCAAAAATATCAGTACACACAGGTACTCCAGAGAGCCTTCCCAGCTGCAATAGACCCAACACACTAATTTACTAACAGTCATTAACCAGTCTGAGAAGTCAGTACGTGGTGACAGACCAAATATTTCATGCAAAAGTGAAACAAGTGAGATGCCACCAAGTGCAGTCACACAGCACTATTTTAAAGGTGACCTCTGGGAAATTTAGAAATGATCAGCAAAATTCTAAATGTGCACATATTTAGACAGAGCAATTTCATTTTTAGGACTATGGCATGCAGAGATACTCACTAACATGTACAAAGATCATGTATAAGAATGCTCATGGCCAGGCGCTATGGCTCATGCCTGTAATCCCAGCATTTTGAGAGGCCAAGGAGGGAAGATCACTTGAGATCACTTGAGCCCAGGAGTTCGAGACCAGCCTGGGCAACATAGTGAGACCTCATCTCTCCAGAAAATAAACAAAATTAGCTGGGCGTGGTGGTGTGCACCTGTGGTCCCATCTACTCAGGAGGCTGAGGAGGGAGGACCACTTGAGTCCTGGAGGTTGAGGCTGCAGTGAGCTGTGATTGCTCCACACCACTCCAGCCTGGGCAACAGAGCGAGACCCCATCTCTTAAAAGAAAAAAGAAGAAGAATGTTCATCACAATCAAAACATTGTAATACAAAGAAGTGGGCAATAATTTAGATAACCATCCACAGGGGACAGGTTAAATAAATGATAATACCTTCATACAAAGGAATACTATTCCTTCAAAAGAGTAAGGCAGGTTTATGTGTAGTGGTGGGAAAGCATCCTTAGCATATTGTTTAGTGAACAGAGCAAGCTTCAGAGTATAATGTGATCTCAGCTGGGTGTGGTGGCTCACATCTGTAATCCCAGCAATTTGGGAGACCGAGGTGGGCAGATCACCTGAGGCCAGGAGTTCAAGACCAGTCTGGCCAACATGGTGAAACCCCATCTCTACTAAAAATACAAAAATTAGCTGGGTGTTGTAGCCCGTGCATGCAATCCCAGCTACTCGGGAGGCTGAGGTGAGAGAATTGCTTGAACCTGGAAGGCAGAGGTTGCAGTGAGCCAAGATTGTGCCACTGCACTCTAGTCTGGGCAACAGAGTAAGACTCTGTTTCAAAAAAAAAAAAAAAGAATAGAATGTGATCTGACTTGAAAGAGGAAAAAATAAAAGCTTCCACACATGTCATTGTGGATAAGAGCAGGTCCTCTGTGGTCAGACTGTGGGGGTTTGAGTCCTGGCTCTGCTACTTACTAGCTGGTCACCATGGAAATGTGAAAGAGGCCTTGGTATCCACTTCTGTAAAATGGAAATAATAAGAGTATCTGCCTCATTGGCATGTGATAGGCTTTCAGAAAATACCAGACAAACTGTTAGTAATGATCAACTCTAGGGTGTCGGACATGAAGGAATGGGGAACTTTAATTTTTACCATATTCCCTTTCAGACTATATTTTTTATAGGAATGTTTAAACCGTCTTTTGAAAAGATGTTGTCTCAAAACTAGAAGCCATCTATTAACAGGTAACTACTCTTGGCACACCCTCAGTGTGATTGATGAGGATTAATGAAGGGTGAAGATATTTGTCAGTCCAACTGGGCCCATAAGACGCCTTGAGATTCTCCTCCCAGTAGAGGGAGGCCTTGGTCCACAAGGAAGTCATGTCCACTCACAACTGCAAACCTCTAGGCACGAATGACTCCATCCAACCTCCCCACACTAAGAAACCTGACCAAACTCTAGGATGGCTTCTATCAGCCCAAGACTGTGAGCCCAGTCCCTCTTAAAGTGCCTGCCTGAGAAGTCTCAAATACTGCCTAAAGAATTTGTTCCAGCTAAAACAACTATAGGCCCCTGCCCTCCTTTTGCTTAGAGCAGTTACTTTAGAAAACTTACAATTATAAATCCTTTCTCTGCCACTTTGAGATGTAAATCTCCTTCCACCCAGAATCTCCTTCCACCCAGAGGACCTGGGAACCATGGCTTTGAAATGCAAACATCTAGGGACATAGCTCCCTTGTCTCCCGGTCTCTGTGGGAGGGTAACAGACCAAATTCAGTGGGTGCCTTGCTCCAATTTGCAAAACTACCTCCTGCCATAAAGATATGAGATATTTGTTTCTCCTCCAGATAAGCACTAATTAACAAACACAGATGGCTAATCACATTGACCACCCCGCCGCCCCACTTTTACATTCTTCAGTACTTTTCCTTTAGCACAATCCAACCTACGGTTTAAAAAGCCTAGGCTGGGTACAGTGGCTGATGCCTGTAATCCCATCACTTTGGGATCCCAGGGCAGGAGGATCACTTGAGGCCAGGAGTTCAAGACCAGCCTGGGCAACACAGTGAGATCCCATCTCTCCAAAAACTAAATAAATAGTCTCCCATCTGTTATTTCAGTGGAGTTGAGTTTGGTTCTATACTAAAGTCCCTCTCTCCCCTGCTGGAGTAGACTGAATAAAATCAATCTTGCCACCTCTAACAGCTGTCCTGCTGTTTCTCTTTGACACCACTGATGAAGGAGGACTTGGTCCCTGGGAAGGCCAGGACCATGGAGGAGGATTTGGCATCTACCCAAGTGGTATTTACATTTACTAAACCTCTGCCTCCCTGTAAATACCAGGAGAAGAAGAGGGCAGAGGTGCTCATTATGCAAAAGACAACTGAAACGTGCAAGAGGGACTTTTCCTTCATATGAATGATAGGAAATCTTATTTATTGAGTACTTTGTAATGTACTGAGAAATATGCTAAGCTCTTAGTATACAGCATTTTATTGAATCCTTAGAACAACTTTCCAAGGTAGGTGTCATTATTTTCTTGGAATTCATACTTCAGAAAGATTAAGAAACTTGCTCCAGGTCACACATAAGCTCATAAGTAGCAAACCTAGGAGTCAAACTCCAGAGTCCCCGTTCTCCAGAAGCTTTAGTGTGACCTGGATAAAAAGCCTTGTAGCTGTGCAAATGAAGTACAGCTGAAATTTGTTGTTTATCTTAGAAAGTTTTCTTTCCATGGAAAGTAACTACATCTTAGTATATGGCACTAGTAATGGCATTACTAAAACAATAAGAATGACACACAGCTCTGTGGTGAAACACTCAGCTTTATTTTTCCCCAAGCTGGGTTTCAGGCCACTGAAATGGGTGACCATAGTACAGATCACAGAACCTTGCCTTCTTTTCTTCCTAGTGAGATGGCCAGGTGGGAGGGGGTCCCTGGCAAAACTCCAGCTGGCTTGCACAGTGGGGTGGAGCCTCCAGAAGCTCATGCCATTTGCAGTGGGTAAGAGCCTGGCCCCTCCTCTTCCTGCATAGAACCTGGGATTCAATCTGTAAGGTGGGAAGTGCAGCAGCAGAGAACTCTGGCCTTGCAGAGAGTCCCTGTTCCCACTTACTTTCCTTTTCACCAAATAAAACCCTGCTTTACTCATGCATCAAATTGTCTGTGAGCCTACATTTTTGTGGCCATGGGACAAGAACACCATCTTTAGCTGAGCTAAGGAAAAGTCCTGCAACATTTTTGGCACCCAACGTGGGGCTTGAGAAGTGGTGAGTGAGATGCAAACCAAGAATTCTTTTCCCCTCTCTCTTTGGAGCCTTTTCATCCTAGGAGTTCTGAGCTTATGGGAAATCACATTCCCAACTCCTGTCGCTCCCGGGGGTTAGGAGCCTTTTCATGGCCTTACCTTCCTTTTTCAGGATGGACCTGGTGAGCAGCCGGCTTGCCACTGCTCCCCGCTCCTTGCTGGGGCTGGGACCCATGGCCCAAGGGTCCCACACAGCCAGCTGGCTGGTTCCCAGCCACGTGCCATGCAGCCTTCCTCTTCCCCAGCCAAGGGATTTTACTCCATTGGACAGTAATTAAACTTTTCTCCTTGTGGAGAAACCAGTTACATAAGAATAAGAAGTTCTTCCCCAGGCATTTTTAAACTGTTTTTTTTTTCCTTCACCTTCTCCACCCCATCAGCAGTTACCATTTAGTGAGGTTTTTTCTTTCAGAAGAAGTTTTGCTAGGCTAGGAATGATAAGCGCCCCTGTTTATATTCTCCGTAAAGTTTTGGTTGTGAAAAAGGATCTTGTGGGGACTGGGTTTTCTTCTGCCTGTCAGTGTGTGTATTGTGTGTGATGTCTGTAAAAAGAGCTCTATTAATTTGGCCTAAAGAAAAACGAGTGCTTGAATCAAGCATTTTTTTTTTTAAGGGAAGTTAAAAGCTGTGGTACCTTTCAGTTCACATGACTTTAATCTTTGAGAAATAAAAACAGCTCTAAAGACTATTGGTAAAATGCAGGTCAGGTGCAAGGTTTGCTAAATGTTTTGAGGTTACAAACTGATTTTTGAGTTTGGGAAACTATTTGACTTGCCGGCTTCACAATTGGTAGGGCCTGGGGACATGTAGAACTAACCACACCCTTAATTAAGAAGGCAACTTTGGCTGCACTGAGCACACAATTAAAGCAACTTACCAGATTTTACCCCAAAGTTAAAAATTGCTAGGAGTTACCATTATAATGTATAATTGAAACTACTGAAAATAAATTTACATGCAAGGAGTGTAAGAACAGTAAAATGTGTTTTTTAGTAAAAGGTTACAAAAAGCCATGGAAATGTACATTTTTGCCTATGGTTAAAGGATTGTTTTGAGTTAGGAAAAGCTGAAGGTTCAAACAAGTGGTGGAAAGATTGTGGAAATTAATCTTGCAAAGGGGTTCTCTATGTGAACATATTGACTAAATTCAAAAAGGTTATAAAAGGTTTTTGCTTCTTTAAATTTCTGAGTCATCATTTTGGCACAATAAATAACTTATGGTAATCTGGAATTCTATTTCCTAATATCAAGGGCTTCAAATACATGTAACGGGCTTCCCAAAATCAAACTTCAGTTTCAAAATTGTCTTTCCTGACACCTGGCTTTTCAGATGAATCAGAGGGCCCCTGAGACATCCATAAAAGAGAGGTAAACAGGATTATTTGACATGTTTATGCCAAAATGATGTGGGATTGCCAAAATGATGTGCAGTCTTCTTTAGGTTATATCTTGGTAAACTATGCTAATATGCATTCCAAAATTGTATGGGATTTCTAAAATTATAATATCTAAGTATATGCTACCAATCATAATTAGGGTTGTTATGTTAAGTTATTGTAAACTACAGAGATAACCAAACTTCTTTGTCAATTGTGTTTCTAACTGTAACTACCCTGGACATTTTGCTATTCACAGACAATTGTTGTCCTGTTTTAATCCTTTTCAAGAGATGGTCTACAATATGCTGTAGGCCTTTAACATGTGCTCTCAAATATAGGCTTCTGATAACTTTGGGGATTGTAACATTGGAATAAAGGAAAATGTACAGGACTCATAAAGAGCTGAAGTGTTCATGAACATCAAGCAAAACAAAAGTTAACTAAATGAACCGAACTCAGAAAGCTGAAGCAACCTTTTGACTTTCGCTTGGATTATTGCTGATCCTTGTTTTGTTTTTCAGAGTCAAGGAAACTTACCTTGAACTATTTATGGTCTTTAATAATTGAGTAAGGTATATGCCTATGAACAAAATTTGGAGCATGTTTGTTTCTCTCTGCCTGGTTCCTCTAAAATTTGGAAACTGTCTCTGATTATTCTTATGGCAATATATTTGTTCACATCGGTGCAATGAGAATCCATTTTCCTTTTGCAACAGAACGAAATTGGAGAAAGTGTTTATTCTACCAAGGCTTTGACTGGAAGGGTATGCTTCCCTTTAAGGAGTCAGTCTTGGCTTGCAGAGACAATAAAAACCCAGTGGGGAAACTGGCCTCATACACTTGCCAACACAGTACCTATACAGGGTTTCTGACCTGTAGTCAGTAAACAATGTCACTTTCTAACAGGTCCAGAAGCTCCAAGTTTATCTTGGGACCTTAGGAGGAAAGGATCACTTAACTTGCAGGTTGGACTCTGCTTTAAAAGGTCTTATCTGAGATTCCTTGGGGAACAGAGTTCCATCAAAGCCAATCCTAAAGGCTTATATAGAAATAATTATTCTTGCTGCACTTTATGCAAACAGTCAGGCCAAATATGAAAGTAAAGTCTATTTTTCAAACCGCTCAGTCCTATGATGATACGTTTTTTAAACAAAAATGAGGACTGGAGAGAGAGAAATTATATTTCAAAACTTATAATACATTTGTCATTAAATTCCAAACTCACTAGTTGTTTTTAATATTTTGCCTACATTTTACACTAACCCTGCTTGTTCCTGTGAACCTACCAGCAATCTCCAGCTGCAGCTCAGAAAGAACAAGAGGGATGGATAATGTAAAAATCTGGATCAATATTCTAGTTCTGGCCAGGCGTGGTGGCTCACGCCTGTAGTCCCAGCACTTTGGGAGGCCAAGGCAGGTAGAGCACTTGAGGTCAGGAGTTGAGACCAGCCTGGCTAACACGGTGAAACCGCATCTCTACCAAAAATACAAAAAATTACCCAGGTTCGGTGGTATGTGCCTGTAGTCCCAGCTACTCCTCAGGAGGCTGAGGCAGCAGAATCATTTGAACCTGGGAGGCAGAGGTTGCAGTGAGCCAAAATTATGCCACTGCACTCCAGCCTGGGCAACAGAGTGAGGCTCCATCTAAAATTAAAAAAAAAATTCTAGTTCTGAGCAATTATCCTGTATATCCTCCTAGGTGATGGGATTAAATAGGATGCCCACCATTTGGAGGTTTCCTATTTGAGAAAGTAAGACCAAGGGAGCTAACCAAAGCCAAGCACAATGCACCCAAATCCTAGCAGGCATAACCATAGCCACTAGTTATCTGGGTGTGTCACAAGACATCTTTTTCTCTCCCTTATTGGAGGAGGACTCAGTTCCACAGTTATACCTTAGCATTTGGCTTATGATAAGAAGTCCATGCAACGTGCAACCCCCCCGCTACCGAGACATATTTTTGTCCCAAACTCAATTCCAAGCTTCAGGTCAAGGCCATAGGAAAGAAAACTGGATTTAAGGGATCCAGAGGCAGATGATAACAGAGGTTAAAAGGCACAGGGCAGGTAAGCACGGCTGATTCCTGCCAATTAAGACAAGCCCAAGCTTCCTGTTTCATGGATAAAGGCCATGTTAGTACTATGGCATAAATGAGTTCTAGGGAATTCAAGGCTACTGAAAGCAGGGGAGATAAGGTGTATGTGGGTAAGAGTGGATGACTCCCACCCCCTAGGCCTCCCTGCTTCATGGGTGCAAGCCGCTTTGGCACACATGATGGTGCCTGCCAACGTCACCAGGACTCGGGAATGCAAGGACAGAAGAGGAAAGGGGATCGTCTTCCCTCTCTCCCTCACATACCCCGAGTATCTGCTAGGAAGAGAAGGGAACCAGGGATACCTGCTTCCCTCTTTCTCGATGGGTAGCCATTCGTCTTCAGTCTGTACCCCATTTGAATGCATCCTGAATCCCTGGGACTCCTTTAAAAGGTGCCTTCTTTTTTCCTTTCTTCTCCTCTGACCTCTCTTTGCTGATAGGTAATTGTGTCTCTGTACTACAGGACACTCCCTTCAGATGCATCCTCCAAACTGGAAAGAGTTAATTTCCCAAACCTTAAACTGGCTGGCTTAAGATTGGGCTCAGGGAGAGGGAACCCAGAATCCCAACATGCCAGCAAAAGGGTCAAGTGTTTTTTAATCAGTCAGGCTTTTAACCCCTATCTTCCTGGGCAAACTGGTAAAAGGCCTTGGGATTTTTTAGCTGTCCTTACCTCCCCCTTGTTTTGTTTTGATACATAATTTCTAGTAACTCATTTTATCTATTCTTGCCTTCAGGTCATTAAACTCCAAATGTTCATGCAACTGGAGCCTCTGAGGATGGCCCCTTCTGCCAGGAACCCTTAAATAGGTCTCTGAGATCTGATTACCATTTCCCCAAAACAGCACCCCTGTCACCTTCCTGCCAGCAGGAAGCAGTTAAGATTGGTCCTCATCTTTGGGAGGCTGAGGCGGGTGGATTATGAGGTCAGGAGTTCGAGACCAGCCTGGCCAACATGTTGAAACCACATCTCTACTAAAAATACAAAAAAAATTAGCCCAGGATGGTGGCGCACACCTGTAATCCCAGCTACTTGGGAAGCTGAGGCAAGAGAATCGCTTGAACCCAGGAGGTGGAGGTTGCAGTGAGCTGAGATTACACCATTGCACTCCAGCCTGGGCAACAAAGCAAGACCCCATCTCAGGGGGAAAAAAAAAAGATTGGTTTTCGTCCTTATCCTTAGTTTAACAGCAGCTAGATGTATGTCTTTAGATGGGGTAAGGGGTCCCTGGCAAAACTCCAGTGGGTCTGCGCACTGGGGTGGAGCCTCAGGAAGCTCACACAGTTTGCAGCCGGGAGGAGCCTGGCCCTTCCTCTTCCTGTATGGAAGATCTTCCTAGGATTCAAACTGTGAGGCAGGAAACACAGCAGCAGGGAACTCTGGCCTTGCAGAGAATCCCTGTTCCCCCCACCTTTTTTTTCTTTTCAGCAAATAAAACCCTGCTTTACTCATGCTTCAAATTGTCTGCGAGCCTATATTTTCGTGGCCGTGGGATAAGGACCCTGACTTTAGCTGAGCTAAGGAAAAGTCCTGCAACACCAGCACCCATTGGTCTCTGAAATTCCTCCCCTTGTATATTATCTCACTGCCCAGCTAGAACATCAGCTCCCTATGGGTAGGGAATTTTCTGTTTTGTTAATTTCTGCATCTACAGTGTCTATGGAAGTGCTTGGTCCATGGTTGAAGCCCAGTAAATATATGTTGGAGAAAGGAGGAAGGAGGGGGAAAAGTGGGGGAAAGAAGAAGGGAGGAAGGAGAAAAGATGGATGGAAGGAAGGAAGGAGGAAATGGAGGGAGGGAGGGAGGGAAGGAGGATGAGAGGGAGAGGGAGAAAACATAAATGGGATTTAGAAATTTAGTACCTCTAGTTCAATTCTCATCCCTATTCAGACTGAACAGTGAGCGAGCTGTGGCCAGAGAAGTGAAGTCAACAGCCAGTTGGGGGCAGTTCTCCATGTCTCAATCAGGTTAATTATTTCCTCTTTCTTGGTGGTGATGATAGGGGAGGGAAGGGGGTGGCTTTGAGAAGAGCTGAAATTTGACAGTTTCTCAATCTCAGCACTGCTGATATTTTGGGCCAGAAAGTCCTTGGTTATGGGTGCTGTGCTGTGCGGTACATTGTAAGGTGATTAGCAACAACCCTGGCCTCTGCCCACTCCATGCCAGTAGCACTGTCCCCCTCCACTTGAGCTGTGACAACCACAGATGTCTCCAGGCATTGTTAAATGTCCTGGCGGGGGTGGAGGCCAGGTATGTGGACAAAATTAGCCAAGGTTGAGAACCACTGGAGTATTTAAAATTCAGTGCTTCAAGAGAAGTGGGGGACATTTCAGGCTCTGAGGTATGAAAGCCACGGCACAAACCGTGGAGGCAGCAGAAATCTTGGGATCTGGCATGATCCCAAACTCAGAGACAGAGGAATATTCATCAACATGATGACTCAGGAAATGAATGTTTTCATGGTCTGCCAGCCCTTCCAGGTAAGAAGTTAAGAAATTTAATAAGAAAATTGATCTCTACGCACACGAGGAAAGAGAATCTAATGAGCAACAAGCCAGGCAGATTCAAAAGCCTCCAGTTATTCTCCCTAACACAGACGCAGCCATTTTTGAACACAATTATGAACTTGAAACCCCACAGGGGAATTCAGGAGAAATCATTGAAACATTTATTTGATGTGAAACCTCTGACCCAAGCAATTCATAATCAATTAAAGTGGTAGGGCCTGGAAGATTTGACGGTAGCATAGTTCTGGGATTTATTGACAAATGGTCGGTACAAGTAATAATTGGTGGCATCTGAAATTAGATCTGAACGTCAATAAAAATCAAGAAGGATTCCACAGAGCTCAGTACCGGAAACTATATTATCCAATATGCAGTGCTCATTAACAACCTGGAGGAGAAAGTCAATTTGAGTTAGATTACATTTTCAGATAATGCAAAATGAGTGAGAAATGGCAAATACCAAAGATAAATTAAAGTTAAAATTACCAAAGGGTCTGAATATTTGAGAACCTTGGTCAGAACTCAGTAAGATGAAATTTAACATGAAAAAGGAAAATATTACACGGTCAGGCTTGGTTACACCTGAAGGTCCGAGGAATCAGATAGCACACAGGGGAGGCTGGGGTGTGGTGGATAAGCTAAAGGGAAACTTGGCGTTCCTCCCACACACCTTGGAAGGTCGACTTAAGAATTTAGCAGATTGTGTCTTTAAGGAGATTTTGCAGCTGGAGAAGCAAGTCAGTGTTATAGACCTGCCATCCTAGTCAGAGTTATAGAGTTTTGCTGCAGGAAAATGGAAATTCAGGTGCAGTTTGTATCCTAATATGGCTACAAGGTGATTCAGTGCTTTGCACGTCATCGTTTTATCATGGTCATCATCATCACCACCACTTACCAAGTTCCTATTGATATGCTAGACTGTTCTAAGGACTTTATTTAGCTTTGAAAAATCCTCACAACAACCAGGTATTATTAGTCACGTTGTACAGATGAGAAAACTCACAGAGAGGTTAAGTATTTTGCCCAAGATCACACAGTAAATGGCAGAGAAGGGGTAGGGATTATCAACCCATGTTCTTTGAGAAACAAACTGCAGTAGAGGGAATCTGAAAAAAAAAAAAAAAAAAAAAAAAAAAAAAAAAAAAAACCTAGCAGATTCCTATCAGATTTGAGGAGTGGTGAACTTTGTAGGTGAGATCAGCCCTAGAGAAAGAAAGATAACATTTACTTTCAATATGCTCCTCCCGTATATCATCTAGGAATTTGTTTGGCTATAACAAAAACCTTAAACAGTGGCTTATACAAATAGGGGCTTATCTGTCACATGTAACATGAACACAGTGGTGGACAGATACTAGCAATGATTTTCCATTTCAACAATGCCAAGGCTGAAGTCTCCGCGTATTTCTTGGCCTTTCTCTCAAGATTGCAGGATGGCTGCTAGAGGTCGGTGGAATGTCTACAGTCAAGGCAGGAAGAAGGTAGAAGGGCTGTGCCATCTATATCTGTTCCCTTGATCACAAAAGCAAAAACTTTCCCAGAACCCACTGCAGGCTGACTTTCACCTAAGTCTCATTGGCCAAAACTAGGTCACATGGCCCCTGCTGTTCAGGGGGAGACTGAGAAAGCAGGACACAGGACTGCCAAGATTGAATTGAACCATGGTCCATTGCCTGAACCTGGGCCTGGGGCTCTCTGCAAGGAAGAAAGGAAAAGTGGGTATTGGGTAAGCTACTAATGGTATCTACCACTACCTTTTTCTCTCTTCTCTTCACCAAGCGACCTGATTCCTGCAGTGTCTTGATTTGAGCAGCTGACATATTCTAGCCAAAGTGTGAGCCAGGAGGGGGATAAGATGTGCCTATTCCCATTGTTCATTTTCGGTAGAGTGTATGAAAAGGAACTGAAATCAAACATTTGTCAGAGCAGGTTCTGGAAACTCCTTTGCCAGGGCGAGCACCCATGGAGGAGTTTGAGCGTTCACTAGAATAAGGGTCCACCAGGCATTTCTGTGCAGTACATAAAGTCAGAATTAGAGGCACCCCCAAATATGGAGAAATAACTTGATGGCTTCTCCAAACACAGAGCACTGGCTTTTGTATCAGGAAAAGATTCTAGCCTACAAACAAACAAAAAGCGAAAACAGAAAAACTGGAAACACCCACATATCCATCGACTGGTGAATGAGCAAACAAATTGAGGGATAGCTGCACAACAGAACACTCGCAGAAAGGAACAGATATCTGATACATGCCACTGCTGGTCTGAATCTCAAAAGCATTGTGGTAAATAAAAGACACCAGATACAAAAGACTCATACACTAGAGGACCATCTATATGAAATTCTAAAAAAGACAAAACAGATCTAGAGTAAGAGAAAGCTTATCAGTGATTTACTAAACTTGGGGGGAACTATTGGAGATGGCAGGAATGTTCAATATCTGGATTGTGGTGTTTGTGTACATTTGTCAAAACTCGACAAAGTACACCCTTAAAATGGGTACATTTTAATATGTAAATTATACCTCAACAAAGTTTATTTATATTTTTTGTCTGTCTACATCTCCATTTTTATGTTTTTTCTGTTTGCTTCTTTTGTCCCTAGCCAAATTCCTTCTAGAAAATTCCAATTTTGTTTAAGCAGCACTCCAGGGGAAGTGGTGTTTTCCCAACACCTAGTGGAAATGCAGAATGCTATAGGGGCTATGGCAGCATTGACAGTAATTGCCCCAATTCAATAGTAGGAAGAGACAGTGTGATGGTGAATTTTATGTGTCAACATGGCTAGGCCGCAGCATGCAGATATTTGGTTGAACATTATTCTAGATGTTTCTTTGAAGGTGTTTTCTAGATGATCAACATTTATGTTAGTAAACTTTGAGTAAAGCAGATTACTCTCCATAATTTGGGTGGGCCTCATCCTATCAGTTGAAGGCTTTCAGAGAAAAAGACTGACCTGTCCAAGCAAGAAGGAATTCTGCCAGCAGACTGCCTTTGGACTTGACCTGTAATTCTTCCCTCGTCTCCTATGTGTGCCTAGCTTGCAAATTTTGGGCTTGTCAACCTTCCATAATCACTTGAGCAAATTCCTTACAATAAATCAATCTCTCTCTCTCTCTCTCTCCCTCTCTCTCTATCTCTCTCTTTCTCTTTCTCTCTCCCCGCGCCACCCCCCCCCCCCCATTGATTTATATATATACACATGCTGCACACACATCTGGTAGGTTCTGTTTCTCTGGGGAACCCTGACTAATGCAAACAGGTAACACCATGGAATTAGAGTAGTGAAGCTCTAGGGCCTCCATGTACAAGTTGCCACTCCAGGGTTAGCCATGAAGGGTGATACTTAGAAAGGAGAGTCTGCAACGTACTGCAGGGGTTCTAATGCCAGCCGGCTGCTTGGCCATGGACAAGTGGTTACACTTTCCAAGACTCTTCCATCCCAAGAAAGAGACAATAAAAATACCTACTTGTTCAAGAAAGAACAAGGATTTAATGAGATATTAATACAAAAAGTTTACCATTTTTGATATTTACTACTAGAGGGTGACTCACCCAAGGTCACACAAAATCTCCCAACTTTTGGGACAATACTCCTCTCACTGCCTCTGGATACCTATAAAGTGTCCCTCCTTTGTCTTCAATGACATCTGAAGTGGACCACACTACTCTGAACCTTGACGGCCAACATTAGTTTCAACTTGGGCCAGGTGCAGTGGCTCACATTTGTAATTGCACCTTCCCTTGGGAGGCGAAGCCAGGAGGATCACTTGAGCCCAGGGGTTATAGACCAGCCTGGGCAACATAGCAAGCCCCTGTCTCTACAAAAAAAGAAATCAAAAATTGAAAAATAAACTTGAATTAAAATACCGATTTCGGTGGGAAGGATTGTCATGGTATTATAATATTTGGTACCATGATAAGTAGTCTTAGGAGGCTTTCTGAAAACTCATCTGAGTTGGTCTTAGTCTTTCTGTCACCATGGTAGGCAGGCTGTGAATAACCCTTCATATGCATGACACTGTTTCACCATCAATGCCTATCCCTTCCTGGGCCTTCCCAGGGGGCCGTGCACGGAGGCTTTGCCTATTCTTGGCCCTCCCAGACACCCTTGTTTCTGCCATAATGTAATCTGCGGGTCTGAAAACCTGGGGGCTGCAGTGCTGGGCGCTATCAAGAAAGAGAACAAGAGAGATGGATGGATGTATCTTGATTTGATAAGTCAAATCAGATTAAACTAATGGCATTTCAGAGATTTTTCTGAATAATTTTTTCCTTAGGAACTTGTTACTGAAGTTGGTTGCAACTTTTCTTGGCTGAAGTTGAGAGACTATGGCTGGGAGAAGCCAACTACCTGGGGGTGGGATAGGAGTGGGGGTGGGAGGGTGGGAGTCATGATTCGGGGATAATCACTTTACCTTTGTGAAGTCAGCTCTTTATGTAGAGATATGAAGTTGTTTAATATTTATAGTCTTTTTTTTTTTTTTGAGATGAAGTCTCAGTCACCCAGGCTGGAGAACAGTGGTGCTATCTTGGTTCACTGCAGTCTCTGCCTCCCGGTTCAAGCGATTCTCCCGCCTCAGCCTCCCGAGTAGCTGGGATTACAGACGTGTGCCACTACACTTGGCTAATTTTTGTATTTTTAGTAGAGACGGGGTTTAGCCATGTTGGCTAGGCTGGTCTAGAATTCCTGACCTCAAGTGATCTGCCCGCCTCAGCCTCCCAATGTGCTGGGATTACAGGTGTGAGCCACTGTACCCGGCCAATATTTATAGTCTTTAAAAATTTTGTCCTGACAAAGATAGGAAGAAAGGTAGGATGAAGGGCATGGCCCCTGCAGATGGATCCTTAGAAGAACAAGAGCTGCTCAGCCCCAGAACGCTGCCAGCCCCACCCCTTGCGCCATCACCTACTCTCTCTGGTCCCTCTCCTGCCTTAGTCCTCACCTCTGTGTTGTCTGAGGAGTGGGTATAACACTTGGAGCCTCCCAGCCTTCCAGGCCGGGTTGACCCAGAGTGCACAGTGGCTTTCATTGTCCCAGGCCTGGATCCCTTGGCCAAGAGGGCTAGGACTATACCTGTGGAAAGTTATGGAAAATAGTACCCCTTCCTCACCAAGTCCCTCGACTGATGCTCAGTTTCCTCTGGAGGTGATCCAAGGAAGTGACTCCTTTGTGGCCATGCTCAGCACCCCTGTCTCTTACTTTCTCAATTTTAAAGGGGAAATAATCACGCTGAAGGATGCTCCAATGGATTAGCCAGGGTGGGGAAGGGAGGAATGATTGTCCCAGGCAAGGAGCTGTTGATGGCACAGGAAAATGTAGCACAGAGAAGACTTAGGGTGGGCATGATGGTGTCTCAAGGAGTCCTCAAGGACCAGAGGGCAGTGCAGAATAGGACCATGTGACAGGGGAAGAGCTAGGGAGACATATTTAGGTTCAATATAAGGAAGAGTTTGCTAAATTCAGTTTTCTCTGAAGACGAGAATAAGTGAGTTCTCCAGCACTGGAGATGTTCAAGAACACCAGGAGCACTCGGCAAGGATGCAATTAAGGAGAATGGGCAGTTAGATTAGACGAATGGGTCTTGGCTGGGGGCAACTCCACTCCTACCCCCAGAAAGGGACAATGGCAATGTCTGGAGATATTCTGGTTGTCACAACTGAGAGGTCCTACTGGCCTCTAATGGATGGGGACAAGGGACACTGCTCAACATCCTGCCATGCATGGGACGGCACCACCACAAATAATTATCTGGCCCAAAATATGAATAGCATTGAGGTTGAGAAACCCTAAATTAGATAAGCTATAAAGCCTGAGTGGAGGGTAATCGCCCCCTCCCATCTGTCTGGCAACCCAGAAGACCATGGAAGGGCATCAGCGACATGCTGGGAAGAGCTGGATTTCAAGCAGGACCGTGCAGTAAGATTTTCAAGTAGATGAATCTCAGAAATATATTTTCAGTTTCAAACATTGTGGGTTATATTTTGGGATGCTGGCCATTTCTGCTGTAGCCAAAACTATGAGCCTGTTATTCTCCACACAGCAAATTTTCTGTTCCCACCATTTGTAGCTACTTCTGTGTACAAGTTGGAAGGCAAAGATCTAAAGACAGGGTGGGCTAGGGGGTGGAGAAGAATAGAAAACAAGCAAACAGAGGAAACTACAGTGAAGTTTCCCTCAAAGGCCTCTAAGAATGATCCCTGATATCTCTTCTAAAATTATCTTTTAATCCACCTTTTATGCCTGCTGGGTACTGCAATTTGTCGAACTCCAGAAAAGCCCTGGAATTACAATGAAATTCGTTGTTACCAGATGTGTGAATCAATCAGATGGCTATGAGGTCAACTCTTGGCTCTGTCAATTACCATCTGGGCCTAGGCAAGTTATTTAACCTTTCTGAGCCTCAGTTTCCTCATTTATAAAATGGAGTAAATAACACCGACCTCATGGGATAGCTGTGTGGAGCACATGAACAAATGCACATAACAATCACACGCAGTCCCTGGCACATAATAAGTACTCACTAAGCAGCAGCTATTACTTGTATGATCTTCTCAGGAGACTTAAATAGCACAACACTGGGTTAGGCATTGAACAAGAAAATGATGCTATCTTGAAAATCACAATCTAATACAGAAATTAGCCTGCCCTAATTACAGTTCCCCATTATTATTAATTTAAAGAATAAGTAGCTGCTGGACAATAGATACACATGATCTCATGTAACTGTCCTACCACCCTAGGGAGGGAAGCATTACCAGCTCAATTTACAGATGATGAAACTGACATGCCCATGCTAAGTGAGGTGCCAATCATAGCTCCTAAATGGCAGAGGAGGAATTGGAACCCAGGCCAGCCTGACTCCTAAACTCCTCACCACTGCTTCCTTGTTCTCCATCATTCCCCATCTTGCTCTGCTTCCTTCACTCCAGCCTGGACCTGGGAATCTTGGAGCATCTCCCTGCAGCAAGACCTGCCCTCAAAGCCTTCACTGGCTCCACATATAAATGGCCAGTCACAACTTAAGGTATTTCCCCTCACAGAGCTATTTTCATTTGGCAAAAATAGCCACTAAACTTAAGCAGAGACTCTCAGCCTGGAATCCCCTAAGAGCAATGGTAGAGATGCATGAGCTGTTTTGCACATTTCAAAAAGCCATGAAGAAACTAAAATGCAATGTTTCATTGATTTATATTGGAATTACATCGACTCTCTGAGGTGATGCTTGTTATTTCAACCTGATTAGAAGCTCTGATTGATAGACAGTTCCTTATGTCTTTGATGAATAAAAAAATGGGAAATCTAAATATATATGGCCTGTTGCACAGTTAAAAGCTCATCAAAGCCTGAACTCAGCCATGCATGGTAGCTCACGCCTGTAACTCCAGCACTTTGCAGGGCCAAGGTGGGAGGATAGCTTGAGCCCAGGAGTTCAAGACCAGCCTGGACAACATGGTGAAACCCCATTTCCACAAAAAATACAAAACCTAGCCAGCCATGGTGGCATGCACCTGTAGTGTCAGCTACTCAGAAGGCTGAGGTGGGAGAATCACTTGAGTCCGGGAAGTCAAGGCTGCAGTGAGCCATGATTGTACCACTGCACTCCAGTCTGGGCAACAGAGGGAGAGCTTGTCTCAAAACAAAAACAAACCCCCAAATCACAAAATACCCCTGAGCTCCATGGGATAAAATAATTTTACAAGTGCACTCGGTGATGAACTATCCATGGTCACTGAGCTAAAAGGTCACAGCATAAATCATGGAATATCAGGCACTAGGTTGGTTCTGGTAGAGTTTCTCAGCTATCCGTCAAACTCCATGGACTCTTTCTTCCACAGTGATGCAATCAGAGCCAGGCATAACTGATTATTAAGACTGCAACCCCCAATCTCTCTTGCAGTTAGCTATGACCATGTGGTTGACTTTTTACTAATGAAACACGAGCAGAAGAGATAAATGCTTCATTTTGGCTGGTGTATTAAGAGAGCGGGCGTGCCTCCTCCATCTTCCCCTTTTTGGCACCTGCAACCCAAGCTATGCAGACAGATAGGAAAGTGCTCATCACATGTGATCCATAGACCAGCTGCTCCTCCCAAACTATTTGTTTCCCATCCACAATGAGATAAAGATCTTGTACTAGGACACAAGTCAATAACATCTCTACACACATTGTTTAGTACAGCTGACTTTTTTTTTTTTTCATAGCAAGATGCTCTCGATGAAGGAAGCCGTACATTGACTTGCATTCTAATGCAAGCTCCTTCTCTCCCTGCAGGCCAGCCCTTTGAGTAGTGCTGCTGTAGGGAATGGTAGAGACCCCAGGTGGTGTGAACCCAGGTTTCTGATTATCAATGTGGAACAGAGCTGCCTGCCAACCTGGAACACCTGCCCTGGACAGAAAAGAGAAATAGACTTCTCTTTTGAATGGGTCATTGCATTGCAAGGTCTCTTTCTCATAGAGTTTAGCTTTCCCCTAACTATGTCAGTGGGGTTAATCATATTTACCCAGCTGTCTGTAGTGAGGATTTTAAGAGGTGTATGAGAGGACACCCAGCCAGGATCTACTGGGGCTTATTCATATCAACTGAATCAAACATGCAAAGGTTCCATTCTCTAACTGGAAACAGTCCACTGTCTTTTCTGGTTAGAAGTTTGGACTCAGCCTCCTTTTCCTGGAGGACAATGTATCGATTCAAATCTCTTGAGTCCCATCTTTGTGCCTAAGACTGGGCCAGGCACTGTGGAGGCAGTATCGAGCCAGATGACATGGGTGCTGTCCTTACAGGGTGCTACAGCAAGTCATGTGGCCCAGCCGTAGTCTGCAGGCAGGAAACCTGTAGGCTGGGGTGGCCTTGGAGCAAGAGCTAAGGTGAATGGAGGGGCCTAGGTATCTCCTGGCGTGTAATGGACACAAGAAACAGTGTTGCCTGAATTAGCAGAAGTGTTGTGCTTTCTAAACAATTATTTCTACACTTGAATGTCTTTACAGTGGCTTCCCCTTAGTTTCATGGGGATGGGAGGAGGTGGAGGATTTCATTTGAAAGATTCTAAAATAATCTTGGTTAAACTAAAGAGAAAGAGCATTTTTCTACAACTTAATTTGGAGAGATAAGGGTTTAATGCGCCTCCAAAGATCCACGGTTGCAGAAGGCATTTCTTAGACCTGGGCATTTCTTAGGTTTGTTGTTCATTCGCCAAATACTTATCAAGCACCACTATGATCCAGGTGCTCTGCAGACACACAGAGGAACAATACCAAGTCCCTGTGTTGAAGCAAGCTCACTGTGTGGGAGGCAGCACGCCTAGGGATGATCAGTTGCCTGCCAATGGAACACTTGCCTACTGACAGAGCCTGGGAACGGAATGCAGAGAGGCTGGGAACCCGGGAGGGATGGAGCCCAGGCCAGTCTGTGGACCTTTTTCTTTTGATTTTCACTTAGCTCACTCACTGAGGATAGTATTATTGTATTTGGTTGGCTACCAAACTATTAATGATCTTAAAATTGACTTTTTTTCTCTTAGACCCAGACACATGCATGAAAATACTCTTCAGATCCAAGAGTACTCAGTCATGCAATGTGAGTGTGTAATCACTTAAGAATATATTGAACACCAAGCACAGTGGCTCATGCCTGTAATCCCAGCACTTTGGGAGGCCACGGCTCACTTGAGGTCAGAAGTTCAAGACCAGCCTGGCCAACATGGTGAAAACTCATCTCTACTAAAAATACAAAATTAGCCAGACGTGGTGGTGCATGCCTGTGATGTCAGCTACTCCACAGGCGGAGACAGGAGAATCACTTGAGCCGGGAAGGCAGAGGTTGCAGTGAGCCCAGATTACGCCATTGCACTCCAGTCTGGGTGACAGAGCAAGACTCTGTCTCAAAAAAAAAAAAAAAAAAAAAAGAAGAAGAAGAATGTATTGAATCAGCAGATACTCAGACACAAGTGTATGTTTTCAACTTTATCAATATCAATATATCAATATCAACACCATGTTGACATGGAACACTAAAGACCCAACAGGGAGGCAATTAACAAGCATTTGAGGAGGAATAGACCTCACCTATTCCAACCACACGGCCAACTCTGGCAGCCAAAACGTGGGCAACAGCATCCTACCAGCTTCTATTTATTGTTGCATTGCTATGGTGCTGATCCCCTTTGTATCCATGGTATTTAGAACCTCGGGGATTGGGCTGGTGACCATTCTTTAGATCTGAGAACAGAAGGAGCAGAGGAACGTTGAGCAACTCTAGAGGGGTGTGTATGTGGCAGTTTAGGGACAGTTTGAGCTTTCAGGTAGAGGCAGCCTAGGGAAACTGGCATAAAGCAGTTTCTTTCTCTATTCCATGGAAGTTGCATGCTTGTGAAAAGGGCCAGCTATCTTCTGTCTTGCCATACAAGTGGGCAGAGCTGCCTGGGAATACCAGGTGGGTTAAGGATACTGCCCTTAACCTTAAGGTGGAGGGCAGCAGAGGGGGAGAGAGAGACAGAGAGAGAGAGAGATTGGGGAGGAGGGGAGAGAGAGAGGGATGGGAAGGGGAGGAGAAGAGAGAAGGGGAGTGGAGGGGAGGGGAGGGTATGGGAGTGGAGAGGAGGGGAAGGGAGGGGAGAGGAGGGGAGAGGAGGGGAAGGGAGGGGAGAGGAGGGGAGAGGAGGGGAGAGGAGGGGAGGAGATCTGCAAGAAAGAGGCAAGGTCCAGAAAAAGAGAGAGAGATCTGCAAGGAGGCAAGGTTCCAAAATCTATGGGCTGGGACAGCAAAGATGTGGCCTACGAAGAGAAAGGTCTGGAGAATCAGAAGGCCTTCAAATGGTGGTTCCAAATCCCTCCAGCAAAGCCCATCCATCTTTAGAGCTCACCCGTCTCCAGCTACACCCCCCACCCCTCCCGGCCCAGATCAGGCAGCGGGGTCGCCCTCTCCAGGACTCTCAAGGCAGCTAAGGCTGGAGGCGCCGGCGAGCCTGGAGAGGGAGGAGTTCACTAAATTGTGTTGGATGGAAGGCGTCGAGGACCGGAGGAATTAATCCGATGTGGGGAAGGCGGACGGGGCTACGAGGAAAAAAGAGGGGGCAATGTACACTCAGCCTTTTCATCACTCGGCGGGGAGATGGATGGTTTTCCGGACCGGGCGTCCCAGCGCCCCGGTTAGCTATAGGGAGACGTCAGAGCGCTCTGGTCCGCGATAGAAGAGCCCCCCAGCCCCCCCGCCCGGGCTTCCATATAAAGTAGGGGCCCTAGTGGAGGCCGCAGCAGTAGCACCAGCGGCTGCGGCGGCGGAGCTCCTCCGAGGTCCGGGTCACCAGTCTCTGCTCTTCCCAGCCTCTCCGGCGCGCTCCAAGGGCTTCCCGTCGGGACCATGCGCGGCCGTGAGCTCCCGCTGGTCCTGCTGGCGCTGGTCCTCTGCCTGGCGCCCCGGGGGCGAGCGGTCCCGCTGCCTGCGGGCGGAGGGACCGTGCTGACCAAGATGTACCCGCGCGGCAACCACTGGGCGGTGGGTGAGTGTCCTGGCCGCGGGAGCCGCGCGCTTGTCCTCCTCTGGATCAGCCAGCCGGAGGGGACCTGTCTCCCCATTTCTTTGCGTTTCCCTGGCCCAGCTTTGGGAGCTGGGTTTGTTGTGACCTTTCTATCGGCAAACACCTTCCCCGTTCTCCTAAAACTCCACCCCACCTTTCCCCATTCTAGGGAGCCCATGAGTCCCTAGTCAGCCGCAGGCTGGTCCGCTGATCCTTTCCCGCTCGCTTCCAGCCTGTCTTCCCCAGGGCACCCGAGCTCCCAACAGCCAACCCCGGTGCAGATCACCTTCCCTCTGCGCCCATCCTACATCTCCTTTTGTCCGCCTAGTCTCAACCTGTCTGGCACGGTACTCTCCTAGAATAATCTTGGGGAGCGTTGTCCCTTGAAAGCATCTCAGAACCCTGGTCCAGCTCGGTGGCCTCAACAGCGACTGGCATGGGCTGAAATCTAAGCTGCGCCTATGCTCCCCGCAAAGCCACAGGTGTGGGGACCTAGGGTGCAGCGCTCCCGCCCCGGGTTTCACATCTGTTCAGTGCGCAGTGCCCTGAATCCCGCCTGTCTGTGACTCTCTGGAGTTTCCTCAGTCCTTCTCTTCGCTTTGCAGCGATATTCTTTTCCCTGCCCTTTTGCCCTCCCTCTTTCCAGCCAGCAGGCTCTGAGCTTGGGGAATCTCGCCTGCTCTCCAAGCTCATCCCGATCTCTCTGCCCCTCTGAGCTCCGCTCTTTCTCCGCCCTTCTTGACCCACGACTTCGCCCTTTCCCCTCGCTCCTTTCCCATTCCCTCTGCAACAGGTCCTGCTCTCTAGGCACCGGCTTGGAGGCTCCCTCGCCATGGCCCCTAGAACCCAGGCGGAGAGGACGGCCGCGCTGCGGGTGCGGAGGGCGCCTGCGGGTGGGGTCAGGATTCCGCCCTGCGCGCACTCGCTGCTTTCGCTCAGCTGGGAGGCAGGAAGCGCCTGGCAGCCTCGGCTCACCCAGCATCACCCCAGGGCTCTCGGCGTCGCCGAGCATAGCTTCCAGCAAACGCAGAGCGTCCAACTTCCTCACTCCCCCACCTACCCGCCCCACAAAAGCCAACTACAACAACCCCAACCAGCTTCTTGGGAAGCTGGTTAATCCCTGAAGAGATTTAAGAGTGTGTATGTGTGTGTGTCTCTGTGTGTGTGTGTCTCTGTGTGTGTGTGTGTGTGTGTATTTCCTTAGCCATCTACTTAGAACGGGCGCTGGGGAACGGTGTGTTGAACAAGTACTTGCTAATTCATATATCGGCTGATTCACAAATCTTGATAGAAGATAAATAATTTGGGGGAAGGAGTGGGACTGGAACTGTTGCTTCCTCAGCTCGTCTGTGTCGTGTGTGCTTTTGTGAGGGAAGTCGAGATCTTTGGGCTGCAATAGAGTGGTTTCCACTGTTGCTAAAATAATCATTTGCCAAGTCTTGACAGTTCCAGAGATGAGAGGATGTGTGATCGCTGAGGGACAGGAGGAACCCAGCAGTCTGGTGTGGAGAGGAGAGGTTGGAATGGGTGAAGCTGAAAAACCCTCCATTTCAAGAATGAAGGATGCTTAGCAGGTGTTGAAGAATCCAAACTTAGAATTGATGCTTCTTAAAGAGGGCTTCTGGGAGCTTAGATCAAGTGGCCATTATCTGGCCCAGCCACCAGCCAATGGGGCTGGAAAGATGGAATGAAAGTTCTGGATTCCCAATCTCTTTGTACTCATCTATATTATTGCACTAATAAAGCTTATTATTAGGTAACGCTTGCAGGCCCAAAGGAGGACAATAGAGTTAACTGGGGAGTGGCATCGTGTTATTTCTGGTGCAAGTCAAGCCAATCTTGATTTGCTGTAGTTCCGCAGAACATCTGTCTCCAGGTATTTAGGGTGTCTGCCGTTTAATTGCCCTTCATAGTGGTACTTGAGCATTCCTAACCCAAAAGAATACCAACCAGTGGTGACCCCAAATACCATTTTCATATTTATTCTCAAATGCACTTTTTTCTCTCCCTTTGATAACTGTGCAGAGTTGAGGAGGAGCAAGGGAAAGAGGGAGGTGAAGTAGAAACTCACATTTTAGCCTAAAATTACCTTGCGGTTGAGAAAACGTTTGCTTTGAGTAACATGCCCTCTGTTGGAATATGAGCATTGACAAGGATGAATGATGTTACACTTCAAATTTAGCTTTCAGTTATCTCAAGAAAATGCTTATCCTCTTCAATCACCAAAGACATGTAGTTTAGTTTTAATTATATAAAACCAAAGCTACATGCTGCTGTCCATGAGGATGCTGTCAGCACACATTTACAGGCTTGGTAAGTAAATTGCTTCTTCTAGCTGAGAGAAGCATGGTGCAGCAATGGAAAAAAGGTTAACAGCTTGAAAACTTAACAAATTTTTATCTGGCTTGATGTTCGTGGAAATGTTTTGTTTGTGTGATGAAAATATATGACAACACTTATACTGGCTACTATTCCCTGTGCACCCATGAAATGCTCCTAACTGTGGTTCTAACTTGGACGTGAGACATATCCCAGAAGGTTGAATTTGGAAATACCAGTATTCCACTGCAGAATGGCTTGTTATGGCCCCAGAAACTGTGGAATAGAATTTAAGTGTGGGTCCAAAAATACTACTTCTTAGTAGTACTCAACACTTTCATCTATGTCTTATTCATTTCTGTTTCAAACCTTCCCTTTAGTAGTATCTTTAAATGATTAATAAAAAGAACAAAAGCTCTTTTTTTCTCTGATCAAGGTTTTATTTTTTCAAGTGCCTGTCTTTTGTCTATGGTGAGGTTTCCATTATTATGATATGGGCACTTGACAGATGATGTTGGGAGAAGAGGTGGAAGTGGGCGTATCATCCATGTTGCCATGGAGATGACGATTTGGTTGACAGTCACTAGCTCAAAAGCAAAACTGGACCCAGGGAATGTGTACTTCCCTGGGATGTTACAGATAGCGTGCTCTCCTTAGCAACCAGTCTATGGAACTAGAGATAAAGAACTGATCCCCACACATTCCCCATATATGCAAGTACTGAAAGTTAGTACAATCACAGAATGGAGAATAACTTTCTCCTCCCATTTTAGAAAAGTCCACAAAATTATTCAGGCATGACAAAAATGAGGTTCTTATGTGTGATATCTGCATCACTTCTCTGTTTTACTGGCAATAACTCTTTCTCATTTCCAGCATTCTAACTAGATGATAGTCAGTTAGAAGGGCAAGGTGATCTAGGTCATCACTGGGAGTATCAGGATTCTAATCCTGCCTTCCAACCATCATGATTTAATTTCCTCCATATAAATAAAGTCAAATGCATCACTACTTCCTGGGAAGTTGCACAACATAATCACCGTTATGGCTGAATGCAAGGTTATTGAGTGGCTATCTGAGCACCATGTGACCAAGCTGATACGTGAGGAGCCAGTCATTCAGGATTCCAGGTCTTCACTTGGGACAGTATCCCCAGTTAGGATCCTGAAATTGTGTGAAGTCTCATGTCATAAGCAATTTGGCAAATGCTCACACTGCAATGCAGTAAACCTGATTTTAATGCTCCTTAATACTCATAGAATTAATTTTTCTCAATTACATAATGCATCATGATATATTGGCATATAATCCCTATTTTTATAACATTAGAAAGC
Source organism: Homo sapiens (assembly GCF_000001405.40). Taxonomy (NCBI): domain Eukaryota; kingdom Metazoa; phylum Chordata; class Mammalia; order Primates; family Hominidae; genus Homo; species Homo sapiens. The sequence goes on from NC_000018.10 coordinate 59,224,076, forward strand.
CTTTTGTAGACCTTATCCTTATTTCCAGATCCCAGAATGATTTTAGCTACCTTATATTCTTAGCAAGTTAGAAGACATTGCCAAGCAGTGTAATAATGTAGTCTAGATTGTGAACTGATTTTAATCCTAAAATAGTTGCTTACATCTATGTGACCTCTGGCAAGTCTCATTTTCACCAAACCAATTAGCATATGGATCAAATGAAATCCAGCACATTTAAACATCCCATAAACTGCAAATCGCAATACACATAAAAGCAATAAAGTTAAAGTGAGGGCTTCTCTGTTGGTGGATAGAACTTCTGGGAAGGGGCCTCTTTCCATTTTAAGACTGAAGATCTTTCAAATTTTATGTTTGCCTTAAATACTTCTAATGCCAGTCAGTGTTGGAACCACAAAGACCTTTTTCCTTGCACACTTTAGATCAAAAGCACCATAGTTTTGTTGACGTTAGAAATTTCAAAGTGCTACAAAGTCCAACTACAGAGAGAGGAAAAATCAACTGTAAGAAATAGAGAACATGAGAATATTCAAGCAAGGGTCTAAAGTGTTAAGAATGCAGACCTTGAATTCTGTACCCACTTCTGACTCCAAGTTATCCTCTCTTGCATACATAAATTTTCATGTTTTTGATGGTTTGGCCTCCTTAACAGCAGCTTTTTAAAAAAATTATTTACAAGGCTAGTACACATTCCTGGAGCCACTGATAGACTTTCAGACACCCAAGAGAAAATTCTGCATTTATGCGGCTGTAAAGTGTTACTCAGGGCTTGTTTTCAACTTGTTTTTCACTACACTCTTAACAAACAGTAAATCTGGGTAGTTTTCTCAGTTCAGTCTCAACTAAAACTCTGAGAAAGTTTAAATGAAAAATTCCTTTGGTATTTTTTTTATTACGATAAAAGGAAAGAAATATTTTTAAAAAACCACACAAAGAAAAGCATGGAGACTTTTATTTTCAGCAGCAATTCAAAATTGGCTGGGGAAGATGTTTAAACTCCATCTTTCAGCTGGAAATAGAATTTGGTGCACACAGAATTGATGATAGAATTTTAGATATGGAAGCCTCCTTAGATTTAATCTAGTCTACCCTGTTCATTTTATAGTTGAGAAAATTGAAGACTAGGGGTGCTAAACGACTTGGCAGAGGTGACCTAACTAGTTAGGAGAGGTGCTGGAACCAAACCCAGGGTTCCTGGGTTGCAGTTCTGAATGCTGTCTAGCTCATTGCACATTTTGAACAGAGAGCAAAATCTATCTGTCGTTTATGAACTAACTCTTAATAAAACATGATTTATTCTGCATTTAGGAGGAAGCAGCACAAACACAATTAGCTTTAAATTTCTTTTAAATTTCTCATTCATTCCCTTTGGTTAAATTTGTGGCATTCTGAGTGTTTTTGTTTTTGTTTTTACAGGGCACTTAATGGGGAAAAAGAGCACAGGGGAGTCTTCTTCTGTTTCTGAGAGAGGGAGCCTGAAGCAGCAGCTGAGAGAGTACATCAGGTGGGAAGAAGCTGCAAGGAATTTGCTGGGTCTCATAGAAGCAAAGGAGAACAGAAACCACCAGCCACCTCAACCCAAGGCCCTGGGCAATCAGCAGCCTTCGTGGGATTCAGAGGATAGCAGCAACTTCAAAGATGTAGGTTCAAAAGGCAAAGGTAAAAGAAACATACATGCAAGATGGGGTGGGAGGTATCTGGGGAGAGGTGGAAAGAGGGCAAGTTCAAAGGAGGAAGAATAGAATTGCTTATGATATAAACCTTCACAGTCACTACATTAGGCTAACACATGCTAAGCACATTGACAGACAATTTCTACATTCTCTTCTTTTTGACATATAGTCAAAAGGATATTGATTCCAAACTCCAATTTAGGAGTTTTTTTCAGCAATTTTGTCTATTTGCCATTACGCATTGATGGGATTTTTTTTTTAACACACAGGCCCTACAAGAATGTTTTGATAGTGAGTCTGCAAACTATTTGAGTAAATCCTTGTGGATCTACAGATTTTATTTTATTTCTGGTGAACACTAGTGGAAGTTCCTGTTTTTAGAAGACAGCATTCTTGTTTGCTACCTTTGACACAAAGTAGCACTTCTTCATATTTGTTCCAGGAGTACCTAGTTCAGGTTTCATCCTAATATTTTAAAACTCAGTGAACATGTCTGAGATCAACAAATCCATCCTGTATATGATTTTATAGAGGATAGGGGAAAATAATTATACTAAACTGGCAATGCTTAAAGACAGTGAGCAAGATAAGAGAGAATAAAATTTACAGGAAGAAAGCAAGGCAACTGAAAATGAGGTGATTATCACTAACTTTTAAGTTTCCATGAAATGTATAATAAAATACAAAATAATAATTACAATAACAACGGTGGCTAGTTTTACTGAATATTTACGATAATCCAAGTATTGGGCTAAGCAGTTTACCTCCATTTTCTCGGCTTATGCTCACAGAAGTCTTAGACGGAAGATTCTATTATTCTCTCCATTTTAGAGGTAAGGAAACTAGTCCCATAGCTTTTCACTGATAAAATCAGGGTAAGGGCCTGTGTTCAGTCGGCCTCAGACAGTCTGTACCATGCCAGACATCTTCCAGAAATGGTCCTCATTGATCTTAATATAAAGGATCCAGGCTGAAGGCCTTGCTACTTGCTGCTTCTGACAATAAATAATATTGCTTTCCACTCACAGTACTGGAGAGCTTCCTTCTTCACTCTTTCATGGTGAAGACTGATGGCCCCTTTAGGGGCTCAGAGCTGCCTTTGCCAAGCCTCGGCTGGCTTTCTGGAGGGAAGCTTTCTATTTCACTGCCCTTTGGGTCTATTCTGGTCTTTCTCTTTCTTTTTTTTTCTTTTTTCTTTCTTCCTTCCTTTCTTACAAGTTCTGGCTATGTGGTTTCTTTTCTTCCTTTCTTTCTTTCTTTCTTTCTTTCTTTCTTTCTTTCTTTCTTTCTTTCTTTCTTTCTTTCTTCCTTTCTTTCTTTTCTTTCCTTTCTCTCTTGCTCTCTCTCTCTCTTTTTTTTTTTGACAAGGACTGGCTATGTTGCCCATGCTTGTCTCAAACTCCTGGGCTCAAGTGATTTCCCTCAGCCTTGGCCTCCCAAATGTGGGTTTCTATGCTAAATGGAAACTGAAGTTCACTTGTTGCACTAAGCACCTAGAGGGAAAGTCTTTGTAGCTTTTATTCAGAAAAAAAACAAAAACCAAAAACAATCCTAGATTAAATAAACCAATACAGAAATAAATACCAACTTTGTACAAAACCCCAAGCGATTGTCTGGTCCATACCTGTGTCATAGGTGTTATGTCATCAGCCCCCTTCTTTACTGATTGATCCCATACTCTGAGGGTTCTGTGAACTTGCAGGTGACTTCTCAGATTCTAGCTGCCATGCCTTTTTCATGGTCAGGTGCTTTGCCAGAGTTCCTGTAGGTGGATATCCAACAGCAGTACCCTTCTCATTTGTCTGAACAGTAATAAAAATTGCCACCACAAAACCCTTGAAAATAATTTTTGCAAACATTGAACTGGACTTGCCCTCATAGCTCGTTCATGAAATACTCCCCTCTACTAACACACAATCATGTTACTATTCTATAGTGCCTCATTTTTGAAACAAACAGCAGTGTCCAGTTTGTTATTTTATTTCCTCAACCTGGCTCTGCATATCTTTGGAATCTTTTGGCAAATTCAACTCCTTCCTTAAGGATCAAAAATTTTCCACCACATTCAGAAGAATATTCTGTAAGCTTCAAAGGCAACAGCAAAAAGAATAGCTCCACAAAGGTGTCTGAGTAGCAGTATAATAGGATGGGTTGAGTGGGCAGCTGCCGAGAGTGACTGCTTAAAGGGGGCAGTCCTTATCCCAAGTGAACTGAAAAAGGTCATCAAAAAGATGATAAAAAAAATCAGGCTTTGCTTTTCTATTATTTTTATGCATTGTTTTTCTTTTTACAGGTTTAGAAAGCCCATCTCATTTAATTCCACCTCCAGTTGAATAATTAGTTATCGCACACATTGGTACTATTCTTTTGGCTATATTTCCTAGTAACACAAAAACAAGTTCCACAGTTAGTGTTTGCAGAGACCAAAATATTTTATTGCTTCTCTTGCACTGGAAATTCCACCTCAATGAAAGTATGCTGTTATGAAAATTGAAAACACCTTACAATGATCTTATTCAAAAAGAAGGGGTGCCAAGAGAGTAGTTCTATTAGAACCCATATATCTCCCATATCTTAGAGTTATGGGAGTGTTAGAGGGAAACTTAATAACTTAGCTAAGCATTGCCAGAATTAGCAGCAGGAGTTTTCAGAGGCTGAAGGACTGTTCTTAAAATTAAAAACTATCTACATATGCTCTCCTCTCTCATTTTAGTAATAAAACATCAAGTACTGTTGCCAACTCTCTTGGAGCTGTGGTTAGAAACTCCAAGCATTTCCTATGTTTTGATGACAAAGATATTTACTTAATTCATAAAGGATGTGTGTAATGTGCACTGAAACTAGATTGCTCGACCATGGAAACAGCTCCAGAACTTTCAGAGCAATTATGCCCAGCAATGTTCAAGGTTAACCTTAATCCTTTTAACTGTGCCCTTCTCACAAATCTTTTAATTCTATTCTGCAATTAATGGAACTTTTCCCCCATGGTTTCTGCAACATGAAACTCTGTTCTGTTTCTGCAACATGAAACTCATCCCCATGGATGAAGCTCCAGGGCCTCATCCATGATCCTGGATGTGGTTGTTCACTGTCCTGGGTTTCAATGGAGGTTTTAGTTGGCCTTTGGTCTACCTTTATAATTTGGACTTAGTCCCTTATTCTTTGCAGCTTAGGTCTCTCCTTTTATTTAGTGGACATGAAGAGGGCAAGGAAGTGAGCTACAAAGGCTGTTATGGAAAGAAAGTAAATGTGTTCGTTCTTCACTTTTAAGGGACTGCTCTCACTGTCTCATCAAATCAGTACAGAGAATAGGAAGGTCTTTTTTCTGAATATTTGAAATGCTCCAAAGGAAGTGCCAAATATAGAAAAAGCAACATAAAATCAAGAATCACTCATAACCTTCTGATTACCCTGGCACTTTCTATGAAGGAGTAGAGTAAAGTTGGCCCCCACCTGGAATATAGCTCCTCCCTACCCCCAACAATGGACCCTGCCCATTGCCTCCCAGTTCCTTGATCTTCCTAGGTTCCACAACTCTCTTTTTCCTTTTAGTTTTATTCCCTCCAGCCAAACCTCTCTTATTCAATATTTTGAGCCAATGGGGGAGTTATGTAGATTTTTTTCCCTACACATTAGCTGGCCCCTTTTATGACCAATGACTCATAAGGCAAGATGTGTGGTGGCATCTTCGGACAGGCAGCAGGCTTTAATAGGGCAGCCTGGGTTGGTGGAGGCAAGCAAAGCTAATTGGCATGCGTGGGAATCAAACCCCAGGCCCTGGGCTCATTAGCCCATGGTCAAAACAACTGAGCCAGAGGAGGTAATAATTTGCCCAAGAATATCAGTAGTTCCTTTATTAGAAGAAAATGGCTGATATGGAAGTTGGGGAATCTGAATTGCCAGAGAATCTTGGGAAGAGTAATAAGCTCTTAGTCTCAACAAAAAGTGTTTTTTCATCTCAGCGCGTAAAGGGTGCTATATGGGAACAAAGAAGTATTTTAAAATTATAACTACTCATTCTTTCTTTAGCCTTAGTTAATTTGAGCAGAAGCCACAACAAGCAAACCACAATAAATTTAGAATTGGCAGAAATCCACATTAACTCCTCTTCCCAAGTTTCCACACTACTACCATTTACAGTTGTAGGTTTGTAATGTATAATTATGTAATGCAGAAACTAGCTTTGACTTGTGTAACGATGCACTGTCAAAGTAAGCAAAGTAAGAATTGAAATTCCACATTCCCAGAATTTAACACTCAGCTGCTCCTCTAGTAATAAGTTCCTGGGGATAATACATTAACCAACATTGGTTGAAACATACCTGAGTAATCATATCAGGATGCATGTTAAGCTGATAAAACAATAAGATCCCAAAATGCAGTAGCTCAAAAAAAAGTAGAAGTTAATTTATCTCCTGGGGGACAGCTCTGGTTCTCAAATTTTACAGGCTCAGAATCACCTGCAGGGCTTGTGAAAGTACAGATTGCTGCGCTCCGCCCCCAGAGTTTCTGATTTAGTAGGTGTTAGGCTGAACCAAGAATTTGCCTTTCTAACAAGCTCCCAAGTGATGCTGATGACTTGTAGGAATGGATTTACTTCTAGGATTAGACTTCAGCTCACTCTGTTTGCTGAACTCTTTCTAATATTTCTTAAGTTGGTAGACTCTCTGCTCCAGGTTCTCAACGTGAAGGAAGGAACCCCCAGCTGAACCAGCAATGATAATGATGGCCTCTCTCAAAAGAGAAAAACAAAACCCCTAAGAGACTGCGTTCTGCAAGCATCAGTTCTACGGATCATCAACAAGATTTCCTTGTGCAAAATATTTGACTATTCTGTATCTTTCATCCTTGACTAAATTCGTGATTTTCAAGCAGCATCTTCTGGTTTAAACTTGTTTGCTGTGAACAATTGTCGAAAAGAGTCTTCCAATTAATGCTTTTTTATATCTAGGCTACCTGTTGGTTAGATTCAAGGCCCCGAGCTGTTACCATTCACAATAAAAGCTTAAACACATTGTCCAAAGGGCAGGCTGTTCTCTTATTTCAATCCCAAATGAGAGGATAGTGTGGCAGAGATGAACAAACAGCTTGAGGACGTACTCGTGTGCTCACTGATCAAGTCAGGCTGAAGCTCTCCCCTCTGAATCCTTGTAGTGACTTAGAGCCTTTCCAGAGGCTCCCTCACTTTCTCATTCCCATCAGGTGAGCCAGGTTGAAGATGGAGGCTAGCCCTATTCATCACTTAAGAATTCCCTAATCTTCAGCCCCTACCATGACCAGGTATTTTGCTGATATTACTGAGGGACGCCTCCTAATAGTCCTTTAAGCTGAGAATTATCATTTCCATTTAACAGATGAGGAAACAGAGGATTAAAGAGATCAAGTGCCTTGCCCAAGTCACATAGTAAATGGAACTGGGATCTAGACATCCACAGTCACCAGATTTCCTGCATTACTCATTTTAAACGTCCCTTTCAGTATATTTATGCCTAGCAAGTAGCACTGTTTTTTCAAAATTTCATCGCCAGTCTGGGAGGAGTCGTCCCCAGTGCCAGATTTAGTTAGTTCCACAGCTAAAGAATAAGATGAATTCAGTTCCTTCCATTTTCAGAGAATGTGGCCTGGCAGTTCGTTAACACTCACTAGTTCTATTTTTTTTTTTAACCGATTCCTTTTTTATCATGACATTTGCACATTAACAGATTTTGAAGCTTCTTGCCATATGTTTAGAATTTCTTCATTTAGGAAAATCACATTAGCAACCTTAAAGAGATTTGCTTGCTCTTGTTTTGATTACCTAGAACCACATAAGAGATGATGAGTTCTTCCTAATTTCTTTTAAAACCATGTTGATTCACAACATATACACAGCTAGACCTGGGGAAATGTGTGAACTGTGTTTTCAGTGTTACCACGTTCCTCTACAGGGCCCCTGTTCTCTATCATGAGACTATCTTCAGCCTCTTTCCCAAGGACTTGATCCTGACCTATGTCAACTAAAGCCCCCATGCCGCTGATGATGAAGGTGTAAGCCCTCTCAAGGATTTGCCTTCCAATAGGACACTCATAGAGAAAAAAAAAAACACCAAAAAAAACACCCCCCAAAAACAAACCAAAAAACCAAAAAACAAACAAACAACACCTTCCAGACCCAGGGGAAGCTTTCTCTAATGGTGGGATTTCAGGCAAAAAGAAAAGGTTTCCTGGACATAGGCCAGTGCTCCTAGAATAACCCCATCCAGACTATCACTTGTTTGGCTGTTTCACAAGAGTAAACCTACATGATCCCATGTTTTGGCAGCCATCACTTTTTTCCATGAGTTCTGATTGCGATGTAAGAACAGCTCTCTCAAATCTCCTCTCCCTTGCAGTGCTCCTCTGTGCCAAACCCGGTCAAGGTTAGAATCTTTTTGAGAGGTATACTCTTCCCTGCAAAATTAAAAAAGAAATTATTTGCAAGGGGAGTTATATCACACCACACATGTGTGTGCCTATTGGGTCAGGTAATTTTTAGCTAAAGATAATAGCATCCACCTTGGGTAGTTTAAGTAGAAAAGGAGAAAACCGATGGGTAGATATTAGTCAGGGAAGACCAGAGAACCGGGCTCAAGCCTAAACTTGCAGGCTCAATGCCCAAAGCCATGTCTCTAATTGTATTGATGAGGTGGCTACCCCTAGAAGCATGCTGCAGAACTGCCTGAGTCTGCGCTCTCTTCCTCTGCCTCTGCTACCACCTGTGCCTGCAGTAGGATTTCCCCCGCCCCGCCCTCCCCAGAGACTCCCAAATCAGTCTTGAATGAGTGTCTGATTGGTGGAACCTACATTATATTCCTGTACCTAGCTGCAAGGGCTGCTGGGAAATGGAGTTTTTAGGATTCTACTTTGGGCTCTTGGGACTAAAATAATGGGACCCTATCAAAATGGAGAGAGGGTGTTCAGAGATGTGGTTGACTACAAACAATATATGCCCCTTCCCTTTTTCCCCAAAAAGAATTTTCCCTTTGATTCCTGCCCATTCCTACTCTAAAGAACAGTTAGTCCCTAGCCTGGGACTCAGGGAAAGCAGGAGCCTGGTGGCTGTTCTGCACAGCACACAGTCCAGGTGTGTCCATAGTACAGCAAGATGAAAAGATTGCTTCTAAGAGCAGATACCTTAGAAATCCTGGCAGCAAAGCAGGATAATCAGAAGGAAGAATCCAAAAGGGAAGAAAGCAGTAATGGCCTTTGAATTTCTCCTTTGAAAAGCAGTCTTTTTTTTTAATTTTTAATTTTTATTTTTTAGTGCCACAGGTTGGATTGCTCTGGGCGATTTGGCAGTTTTTGCATGTCATTAGAGGTTCAGTAACACACCAAGCAGGCATTTCCGGCAGAGCAGTACAATTTCTAGCCTCAAAATGCTCGCCTTTTACTCCCTACTTGGGGAATATTTTATCATTACCGAGCATCTTAACCCAGCTTGGTTGTGTGGGGAGTAATCTAAGTAGAATGTAGAGATTGCATTATTCACTTCCTTAGCCACTGGCTGTTTTATTCAGACAACATGAAATAACTCTTCAAGGGAGACCTGTAATTATGAACCATTGTCATCCTCACAGCAAAGAAACGATGTTCACCATGTGCATGGAAAAGGCTCCTAGCTCCACCTCCAAGGGCTTCGTTTCTTTTAATTAATCACCTTAAATCAGACCCAGATGTGATACAGAATCCTCTCCCTACCTTTCTTTCCACTCTACTTAGTTCAAAAATGTTATATAACATATATAACATATATATAACATGTTATATATAACATATATAAAACATGTTATATATAACATATATAACATGTTATATAACATATAATATATACAACATATATAATATATTATATATCATATTATATATAATATATTATGTAACATATTATATATAATATATTATATAACATATGATATATAATATTATATAACATGATATATAATATGTTATATAATATATCATATGTTATATAATATGTTATATGTTATATAATATGTTATATAATATGTTATATAATATATCATATGTTATATAATATATGATATAGTATATAATATGTTATATACTATATCATATATTATATAATATATGATATATTATATAATATATCATATAGTATATAATATATATCATATGTTATATGATATATATTATATATTATATATCATATGTTATATATCATATGTCATATGATATATAATATATTATATATTATATAATGTATAATATATTATATAATATATAATATATAATATAGTATATATATTATATATATAGTATATTATATATATAGTATATATATTATATATACTATATAGTATTTATATATATATTATATATACTATATAGTATATTATATATATACTATATATACCATGGTATATATAATATAACATATTATACATACCATGGTATATATAATATAACATATTATACATACCATGGTATATATAATATAACATATTATACATACCATGGTATATATAATATAACATATTATACATACCATGGTATATATATAATATAACATATTATACATACCATGGTATATATATAATATAACATATTATACATACCATGGTATATATATAATATAACATATTATACATACCATGGTATATATATAATATAACATATTATACATACCATGGTATATATATAATATAACATATTATACATACCATGGTATATATATAATATAACATATTATACATACCATGGTATATATATAATATAACATATTATACATACCATGGTATATATATAATATAACATATTATACATACCATGGTATATATATTATATAACATATTATATATACCATGGTATATATATTATATAACATATTATATATACCATGGTATATATATTATATAACATATTATATATACCATGGTATATATATTATATAACATATTATATATACCATGGTATATATATTATATAACATATTATATATAATAGATTATATATACTATAGTATATATATTATATAACATAGTATATATAATAGATTATATATATTATATAACATATATATGTTGTATTGTATAACATATATATGATGGACAGACAAGGTAGATCATGATATGGGTGGATTGAGAGGAGCACCTGATTAATGCCAAGGATATATTATACTCCAAAGGAAACTCCAATAGCCTCAAGGAAGAAAATGTATTTTTCATCCTTCCACTCTCTGACACTAATTATATACTACTCTTTCCAAGAGTGTTGCTCAGATTCTTTACCCCTTGTTTAAATAAATATTTAAACATTAAAAATATACTTTGGTGGCCGAGCACAGTAGCTCACACCTGTAATCCCAACACTTTGGGAGGCCGAGGTGTGCAGATCACCTGAGTCCAGGAGTTTGAGACCAGCCTGGCCAACATGGCAAAATCCTGTCTCTACTAAAAATATAAAAATTAGCCAGGCATGGTGGTGCATGCCTGTAATCCCAGCTACTCGGGAGGCTGAGGCATGAGAATCGCTTGAACCTGGGAGGCAGAGGTTGCAGTGAGCCAAGATCACACCACTCCACTCCAGCCTGGGTAACAGAGTGAGACTGTGTCAAAAAAAAAATATATATATATATATACACACACACACACACACACACACACACACACTTTGGGCATGAAGAAAACATGATAATCATATTTTTAAAAATCCTCTTTTGCCTCCTAATTTAACTCTAAGAGTTTTTAATGTATATTTTTAAATGTAAAAATCCAATCTGTTAATTATTTTTGTTTAATATTCCAAATAAGAGATTTCTCCTATTGATTTATACTGATAATTGACAATCCAGCACCCTCTCCTTTAGAAACATTTGGTACTTTGGCTGTCAGTTGTATCTGTATTAATTAGAAGTAGTTTTTGGATACATGTGACAAAACCAAATCAAACCACATATCCATGGCTTAAAGAAGACAGAAGTTTAATTTTCTCTCACATCACAAGAAGTCTAGAGGCTAGAGGTGCAGGCCAGTGCAGTAATCCGAGGATTCAGAGCCAAGATCTTTGTGATTCTCTTTAATTTCCCTTCATGATTAGCTATAAAATGGTGGCTGCAGCTCCAGCCAACGCACTCCAGTTTCATTTAGAAAAGAGAGAGGGAAACAGAAAAGGGTAGGATCTGCATATCATGAAAACAAAACTTTCTGAGAAATCTTCAGCCTTGGTGTTTTGGTCAGAACTGTGACACATGACTATCTCTAGCAGCAAAGAAAGCTGGAAAATATGATTTTTCAGTGAGGACCTTTCTACCACATCACCTCCCTGCTCCCCTGAAAACAAAACAAAACAAAACAAAAACAAAATTTCTCTTAATAAGGAAAAGAAAATGGATGTTTGATAGGCAACCAGAGGTGTTTGCCATGTCAGCTATGACAAGATTGAATCCGAGAAAGAACCAAGTTGGAGCCAGGAGGTCTTAAGCCTGACATGACTAGAAGATGCGTAGACAATAGGCCCCCATGTTTAGTATGAAATTGCCCTGCCCTGTGTCTCGTTCTCAAGACTGAGTGCCAGGAAACCAGGTTTACAAACATGTGGTCTTCAGGACTTCACCTACCCTCCATCTCTGAAAACAAAAGGCTGCAATGAAGATCGTGTTTTATAGATTGGGCGTCACTTTTAATCTCTACATGTATTAGTCAGTTTTCATCCTGCTGATGAAGACATACCCAAGACTGGGTAATTTATAAAGGAAAAGAGGTTTAATGGTCTCACAGTTCCATGTGGCTGGGGAGGCCTCACAATCATGGCAGAAGATGAAAGCCACATCTTACATGGTGGCAGACAAGAGAGAAATGAGAGCCAAGTGAAAAGGGAAACCTCTTATAAAACCATGAGATCTCATGAGACTTATTCACTATCATGAGAACAGCATGGAGGAAACTGCCCCCATAATTCAATTGTCTCCCACTGGGTCCCTCCCACGACACGTGGGGATTATGGGAGCTGCAATTCAAAATGAGATTTTGGTGGGACACAGACAAACCGTATTACTAAACTTAAACCCAAGATATGACAATTTCCAAGTATCTATTTACATGGAAAAAAACCCACTTTGTGCTGTATCACTCCTATCTTTATGCATGCATTTCTGTACAAACACATGAGGGAGGTATATTTGCACTCTTCCATCTACATCATCTCAGAAACAAGGGGTCTTGGTAAATAAACTGGACTAAGGTAAGCAATCTGGACTCTGGCAGAAGGGAACACATGGCACTGTTTTTGTTTTCCCTGTGATTGGATTCACGAAACTAATTAAAAGATGATGATGACTGAATGATTCCACAGGACTCTAGATAGAAAGACCATTTGTGCAGACCTTCAGGAATAAACATTGTAACAATGAGCATACCTGTGGCTGTTAGAAACCCCTCAGCTCAGGCCGGGCGCGGTGGCTCACGCCTGTAATCCCAGCACTTTGGGAGGCCGAGGCGGGCAGATCACGAGGTCAGGAGATCGAGACCATCCTGGCTAACACGGTGAAACCCCATCTCTACTAAAAAAAATAACAAAAAATAGCCAGGCGCGGTGGCGGGCGCCTGTAGTCCCAGCTACTTGGGAGGCTGAGGCAGGAGAATGGCGTGAACCCGGGAGGCGGAGCTTGCAGTGAGCCGAGATCGCGCCACTGCACTCCAGCCTGGGCGACAGAGCAAGACTCCTTCCCCCCGCCCAAAAAAAAAAAAAAAAAAAAAACCCCTCAGCTCAAATTGGCATGAAAGATAAAAGGATTTATTATCTGATATACAAGAACTCCAGGCTGGGTGCAGTGGCTCACTCCTATAATCCTAGGAATTTGAGAGGTCGAGGTGGGTAGATCACTTGAGGTCAGGAGTTTGGGACCAGCTTGGCCAATATGGTGAAACCTAGTCTCTACAAAAAATATAAAAATTAGCTGGGCGTGTTGGTGGGGTGCCTGTAGTCCCAGCTACTCCGGAGGCTGAGGCAGGAGAATCCTTTGAAACCGGGAGGCAGAGGTTGCAGTGAGCCGAGATTGCACCACTACACTCCAGCTGGGGTGACAGAGCAAGACTCTGTCTCAAAAGAAGAAGAAGAAGAGGAAGAAGAAGGAAGAGGAGGAGGAGAAAAAGAAGGAGAAGGAAGATTATTCTGGAGGGAAGGAGGAACTCAGGCTTGTTTAGTTCAAGGTAATTCAGTGACTAAAATATATATTCAGAGGTGGGGTCTTTCCATTTTCCCACTCTGCCAGCAGTGTTTCCAATTTGTCCTTAAGCTGACTTCTCTCACAGTCACAAGATGGCTGCTGGAGCTCCAGGTGTCACATCCAGACCTGACAAAATTCAGAGGAAGAAGAAGGACTATCTCTTTTGAGGCTTCATCTAATTAATAGGGATAAATCCTTTCCCAGAGATCTCTAAATGCCTCACAACTTAGTAACCCCATGGGCTACATGGCTGCGCTAAAGCCAACACTAATGAAGGGAATCGAGGCATCATGATTGGACTCGCCCAATTAGGATTTACCGATGAGTCATGTTGCAGGAGGGGCAAGCCCCTAAACAAAATCAAGACTCTCTCGGTAAGGAAGGAGGGCAGCTTTGATTTGTAATTGACACCCAACAGCATCTGCCACATGTGTGAAGTTCATTTCTTGTGATCTCACACTGCCCTGGTTCTATCAATATAGCAATCTCAAGAATTAGTCACTGCCATTAAGTGGAAATGTTTTAGGTTTTATTTCCTACTCAGAGGCTCATGTAAAGTCCTTTTGAATAGTTTTAAAGCCATGAATCTTTTAAGAGCAAGAAATAGTACATCTCCTTCTCTCAAAGCACTCAGCCTGTGATTACAGTTGACAGGCTGTTCCTCCCATTTGTCTGGGCTTCTCTCATCCTTTACTCCTCTCTTTGCCTTGCAACACAAGTGGCTGTTACTGTAACAACATAATTGCTGCTCTGATTCCACCACTGAAATAAACAGAAATGAAAAGGAAATAGAGAGCTTCAAATTGTGTTCTCCTCCACCTGGCAGTTTCCCAAAATGCCTCAGCTAGAGACAGCCCAAATGGACAGGCTAGGGGTTGAACCTGAATTAAGAAATGAAAATCAAAAAACAGGCCCAGAGCAGATTGTAGAGGAAGCTCCTTTCTTCCCGCTTAACTCCTGGGGATGGAAGGAGAGGAAAAAGGCGAATAATGTGGAAAAAATGTTGAATTTAGTAGAGAGGAATTGGTAGCATGCTGGTCTGATGCTCTTTGTAGATGTGCCATTTGCCTGGACAGTGTCTTGAAAATTAGAATTAGTCACATTTAAACATCCAAGGATTTCATATAAAAATCCAGGTTGCAAGCTTTTGCAAAATCAGAAGATCCGCTACTGGGCCTGCTTTCCCAGAAGACAATCAGTGCTGGTGCTGCCCCTATAAATGGGGGACGCATTTGTGACTTCGCCACACTCCTCACCACACCCTAGTGCACACTTCTGCCTGCTCTGTTTGTTTACAGTACCTGCCTGCTCCCTCTAGGCATTTGAATTTATGATCCCAGTTTACTGTTCTGTATGTCAGGGGGAAGGGGACTGTTCCATGATTTGTTCAATGATATTGTTTAAATTCCTGTTCATGCTTATGATTCTCTACAGTGTGTGCAACTTTTTTTTTCTTTTTGACAGAGTTTTACTCTTGTTGCCCAGGCTGGAGTGCAGTGGCATAATCTCAGCTTACTACAACCTCTGCCTACCAGGTTCAAGTGATTCTCTTGTCTCAGCCTGAGTAGCTGGGATTACAGGTGCCCGCCACCACGTCCAGCTAACTTTTTGTATTTTTAGTAGAAGCAGGGCTGGTCTCTGCTAAAAAATGTTTAGTAGAGCCCATGTTAGCCAGGCTGGTCTCGAACTCCTGACCTCAGGTGATCCACCCACCTCGGCTTCCCAAGTGCTGGGATTACAGGGGTGAGCCACCGCACCCAGATGTGCAACATTGTAGAAAGAGTTTTGCCCATGTAATGTTTGCTCCCCCAGATGATTTTGAAGATTCACTCCTTCCCAGGCTGGTCACTGAGATAAGGATGGAAGCCTGTTAAAAAAGAGGTGAGACTGCTGGGCAATGCAACTCACTCTGAAATGTTACTGGTGAGCAGTTCTTGATAAGCAAGCAGAGCCTGGGTGGAACCTCGTGGAATGTTTGGGAGCAGACCATCTGCTTCTGAGATTCATTGGCCAAGAGTTCTCACTGTATCTTGAAACGAACCAAAAAGCAGTTCTTACATAGAATCATGCTGAGGTCCTGTAATCTGTGTGGCCCAAACCACATGTGATCTCCCTCTGCTCTGTTTCACCTAATTTTGTGGCACTTTTTGTGTTCGTGAGATAACTGAAGGCACAGTTCTCATAAAATGAACAATCATTATTTAGAGATTTTAACTTGGCAAATAGAAGTTTTCACTAGTCTCCTGATAATTAGCTTGAGAGAGAGATTTAACTTGTTTGAAGGCTTCAAGTGATTTCATATGATTTTTTTAAGAGATGGGGTCTCACTATGTTGCCCAGGCTGGAGTACAGTGGCTATTCACAGGCACCCCATCATCGTTCACTAAGCCTCAAACTCCTGACATCAAGCCATCATAGTCCCAAGTACACAGAAGATGAAGGAAGGATGATTTTTGATAGGTGAAATGTTAAAATAAAACGTAAGAAAGAGTTACATGGAGAACCTCTTTGTCAAGTTTGAAAACAGCAATAAATGTCTGTGTCCGGTCTTGGTCCTGGTGGGGTAGTGGGGCGGGGGCTTTCCTCTGTCTCTCCTAACTCTGCTCTCCTTGCTGAAGGGCTGAGTCCTGAGCTTCATGTTTGACTTATTCCTGCTCCTCCAGGCCCTGAGAGCTGACTTTCTTCATTTTAAGTTGGCCAAAAGCAAAAGATGCAATCCCGAACACTGCCACCTAAACAAGAAGCCAGGTATTCTTTAAACTGAAAGAACATTTGTTACAGGCAGAAGTGCAAGTCAGGTGACCATAGGATTCCAACTGTGGTCCTGGTGGGTCATGAGGGTAACCCAAGCTCCGCCCCATGGGTGTTGGTTTCCAGGGCATAACCCAAAAAAGGAAATCCGAAGCGGTTACCCAGTTGGTGAAGTGACCTCTGGATTGGTTTCTTGTAGACCTGAACCAGGATTTTTCAGCTGGTTTTCCAGTTTCTGCTGAGCCAGAAGGCTAACAGTCATAACAAGCCCTTTATTTATTAAATCCAGGGCTGAGATATAATATTCTTCCGCTTGTGCCCTCTCAATGCGTTCAAAATGAACCTCATCACCTGAATGTTTTTCTTGAGGAGGCTGGAGTAGTCCTCCTACCATACGGTTTCATGGCTGAAAAGGCCTCTCCGTGTGCCACCTGGCTACCTTCCAAGCCATTCCCCACACGCCCCAGGACCACAGGAGATCGTGTAATTCTCACGCTTGAAACCTTCCATGACCCCCCTTATTCACAGGCAGAAGGTCAGCCCTTACAACAGCCTATTGCCGGGCCAGACCTGGGCCACCGCCTCCAGCCTCACCTGACACCCTCTGTGCCTCACTAACAAGACTCCGCTCTCACTGGACTTCTTCTGTTTCCATGGATTCACCAAGTCATTTGCCGCCTTGGGCCTTTGCACATCCTGCTGCCCCTCTTTACCTTTCTATCTTGGCTTATGTCTCCCTCTTTCAGAGAAGGCTTCTCTTTCATCACCACCTCCCCAAAATAAGTTACTCTCCCTTTTTTCTTTGAAATTTCTTCCATTCAACCGAGCAACCCCACTACTGGGTGTATACCCAAAGGAATAGAAATCATTTTACCAAAAACACACATGCACTCACATGTTCATGGCAGCACTATTCACAATAGCGAAAACATGGAATTAACCTAAATGCCCATCCACAGGGGACTGGATAAAGAAAATGTGATACATATACACCATGGAATACTATGCTGCCATAAAAAATGAAATAATGTCTTTTACAGCAACATGGATGCAGCCGGAAGCCATTATCCTAAGTAAAGTAGCAGGGGAACAGAAAACCAAATACCTCATGTTCTCACTTATAAATGGGAGCTAAACACTGAGGGCACATGGATACAAAGAGGGGTACAATAAGCACCAGGGCTTACGTGAGGGGGGAGAATGGATGGAGGGTAAGTGTTGAAAGACTACCAATTAGGTACTATGTATGCTCACTACCTGGGTGATGAAATCATTTATACGCCAAACCCCAATGACATGCAATTTATCCATTAATAAACCCACGTATGTACCCCTGAACCTAAAATAAAAGCTGAGAAAAGAAAAGAAGAAATAATACAGAGAGACCCTTTTTATACTGTGCCCGATTTCTTCCAGTGGTAAAATTTTGCAAAATTATACTACCACCATAGTCAGATACTGAACAATTTCAACACTGCAGGATCCCTGGTGTGGCCCTATTAGAACTACACCCATTCTGGATTCCACCACCCCCCTTTACTCTGTCCTCCATTTCTAAAATTTGTCATTCAAAAAATATTATATAACTGGAATCACATAGATTACACATCTTTTGTGATTGGCTTTTTGTTGTTGTTGTTGTTGTTTTATTTATTATTATTATACTTTAAGTTTTAGGTACATGTGCACACTGCGCAGGTTAGTTACATATGTATACATGTGCCATGCTGGTACGCTGCACCCATTAACTTGTCATCTAGCATTAGGTATATCTCCCAGTGCTATCCCTCCCCCCTCCCCCCACCCCACAACAGTCCCCAGAGTGTGATGTTCCCCTTCCTGTGTCCATGTGTTCTCATTGTTCAATTCCCACCTATGAGTGAGAATATGCGGTGCTTGGTTTTTTGTTCTTGCGATAGTTTACTGAGAATGATGATTTCCAATTTCATCCATGTCCCTACAAAGGACATGAACTCATCATTTTTTTATGGCTGCATAGTATTCCATGGTGTATATGTGCCACATTTTCTTAATCCAGTCTATCATTGTTGGACATTTGGGTTGGTTCCAAGTCTTTGCTATTGTGAATAATGGTGATTGGCTTTTTTTTTAACTCAGCATAATTCCCTGGCAATTCATTCAAATTGTTGCAGGTATCAATAGTTGTGTCTTCTTATTCTAAATAGCATTCCATGGTTTGCATGTTCTACAATTTGTTAAACCACTCACCTATTGAAGGATATCTGGGCCGATGCCAGTTTTTGGCTATTACAAACTAAGCTGCTATGAATATTCAAAATTTTTATGTGAACATAAATTTCCATTTCTCTGGGATAAATGCCACAGGGTGTGAGTGCGGGGTTGTATGGTAATTACATATTTAGTTTTATTTTTAAAAACCTGCCACTCTGTTTTCCAGAGTGGCTGTATTTTACATTCCCACCCATACTGTATGAGTAGTCCAGTTACTCATCCCTTGCCAGCATTTGATGTTGTCACTATTTTTTATTTTAGCCACTCTTGAAAAGATACAAGATAAAACACACATAATATTACTCATATTCCTGTATATTAACAAAAACATACAGAAACTGAAATTAAAAGCACAATATCATTTACAATATCACTTTCAACCACTCCAAAGAAAACGAAATACTTGGGAATTCACTACACAAAAATGCATATCTCATTACGATTTTCATTTGCATTTTCCTGATTGCAAATGGTGTTGAGCATCTTTTTACCTGCTTATTTATCATCTGTATATTCTCACTGGTGAAATGTCTGTTCATGTCTTACCCATTTTCTAGTTAGATTTTTTTAAAAAAACTATTGAATTTCAAGAGTTCTGTGTGTGTATGTGTGTGTATATATATATATATATTTTTTTTTTTTTTTTTTTTTTTTTGAGAAGGAGTTTTGCTCTTGTTGCCCAGGCTGGAGTGCAATGGTGTGATCTTGGCTCACCACAACCTCTGCTTCCTGGGTTCAAGCGATTCTCCTGCCTCAGCCTCCCGAGTAGCTCGTATTACAGGCATGCACCACCACGCCCTGCTAATTTTGTATTTTTATTAGAGACGGCGTTTCTCCATGTTGGTCAGGCTGGTCTTGAACTCCCGATCTCAGGTGATCCACCTGCCTCAGCCTCCCAAAGTGCTGGGATTACAGGCGTGAGCCACCACGCCCGGCCTCTTTGTATATTTTTGATACCAGTCCTTTCTTGAAGATGTGATTTGCAAGTCTTTCCTCCTAGTCTGAACCTTGTCTCTTCAATGTCCTCACATAGGCTTTTTCAGAGCAAAAGTTTTTAATTTTGATGCAGTTCAGTTTATCAATCCTTTCACAGAGCACGCTTCTGGTGTCAAGTCTAAGAATTCTTTCTGTCTCTAGATTCCAAGGGTTAATGCTTATGGGTTTTTTCCTAAAAGTTTATAGTTTTATACCATTTTGAGTTAATTTTTGTGTAAGGAGTGAGACTTAGGTTGAGATTCATTTCATTGTTGTTCCAGCACTGTTTATTTAAAAGACTACCATTTATTCATTAATTTGCTTTTGTACTTTGTCAAAATTCAGTGAGTGTATCTGTAGGTCTATTTCTGAGTTCTCTGTTCGATTCCATTTATCTATGTGTCATTCCTCTGCCAACACCACACTGTCTTGATTACTGTAGCTGTGTATTGGGTAGAGTGACCCTCCCACTTTATTCTTATTTGTCAAGATAGTTTTAGTTATTCTAGGGTCTGTGCCTTTCTGCGTAAACTTTAGGATAAGTTTATTTATGCCTACAAAAAGTGTTGTTGGAATTTTTATGGGAATTGCATTAAACCTACAGATTCATTTGAAGAAAATTGACACCCTTACTATGTTGAGTCTTCCAATTCCTGAACGTGGTATGTCTCTCCATTTATTTAGTTCTTTTCAATTTCTTTCATCAATATTTTGTAATTTCATCATACAGATCCTGTACATGTTTTGTTAAGTACATACCTAAGTATTTAATTGTATTTGGAGTGATCTTAAATAATATTGTGTTATTAATTTCAGTTTCTATATGTTATTTGTTAGTACACACAAATGCAATTCATTTTTGTGTGTTTATCTTGTATTCTGCAATTTTGTTGAACTCATTCTCCATTTGATAAAGCACCGCTGTAAAAAAGTCTACAGTTACTGCTAATCATTTAGCTTGTTGATACGGTGGATCACATTGATTGATTTTCAAATGTAGAATAAGTCTTGCATACTTATTACTTAAACCGCACCTGATCAAGTGCGTATCTGGTTGCCTCCTTTGGAGAGGTTAATTAGACACTCCAAACTGGTGTTTATTCTAAGTTCTAAGAGATTTTTAATAGTTTCCTTGAGATTTTCTATGTAAACAATCATGTTATCTGTAAATAAAGAAAGCCTTATTTTTTCTTTCTGATTTGTATGTCTTACATTTATTTTCTTGGTTGATTGCAGTGGCTAAAACTTCCAGTGCTGTGTTGAATAGTAATGGTAAAAGTAGACGTCCTCACCTTGTTCATGATCTTAGGGGGAAAATATTCAGTCTTTCACCATTAAGTATGATGGTAACCGTGGATTTTTTTTTACAGCTGTGCTTTATCAAATGGAGATAATTCCCCTCTGTTCCTAATTTGCTGGGGCTTTTTTTTAACACCATAAATAGGTGTTAGATTTTGTCAAATGCTTTTTTTGCATCAATTAATATGATCATATGATCCTTCTAATTCAGCTTGTTGATATGGTGGATCACATTGATTGATTTTCAAATGTTGAATAAGTCTTGCATACCTGGAATAAACCCCACTTGATCATAGTGCATAATTCTTTTTATACATTGTTGGATTCAGCTTTCTAATATTGTATTGAGGATTTTTGCATCTACACTTATGAGAGATATTGGTTTGCAGTTTCCTTCCTTCCTTCTTTCCGTCCTTCCTTCCTTCCTTCCTTCCTTCCTTCCTTCTTTCTTTCTTTCTTTCTTTCCTTCTTTCCTTCCTTCCTTCCTTCTTGTTTGGTTTTGTTATCAGGATAATATTGACCTCATAAAAGGAGTTAAAAGTACTCTGTTCTCATTTATTTTCTGTTAGATATTATGTAACAATGGTGTATATTCTTTTTTAAATGTTTGATAGAATTCTCCTATAAAACCATCTGGGTCTGGGGATCTCTTTTTTGTTGGGAGCTTTTGAATTTTGAATTCAATTTCTTTAGTGGTTACAGGACTATTTCAATTGGTTTGAGTTTCAGCAGTTTGTGGATTTTAAGGAATTGGTCCATTTCTGATAAGTTGACAAATTTGTGAACTAAAGTTGTTTGTAGTATTCTCTTATTACTTTAGTGTCTGCAGAATCTGTAGTGAGATCCCTTACTTGATATCCCTTATCTATTAGTGGTATTCCTATATCCCTTATCTATAGTGATATTCCTACAAATTTGAAGAACCAGTGTCTTAGGCACTTCAGGCTGCTAAAACAAAATGCCTTAGACTGGGTAATTTATTGCTTACAGTTCTCGAGTGTGGAAAGTCCAAGATCAAGATCAAGGTGATGGCAAATGTGGTGTCTGGTAAGGGCCTGTTTCTCCTAGAATGCGCCTTCCTGCTGCATCCTCACATGGTGGAAGGACCAAACACATCCCCTTCTGCTTCTTTTATAAAAGCACAGTCCCATCCATGAGGGTGGGGCCTCATTATTTCCCAAAGGCCCAACCTCTTGATATCATTACATTGAGGATTACATTCATTGAGGATTACATTTCAATATATGGATTGGAGGAGTGGGAGACACATGTAGACCATAGCAACCAACATTTTGTTTCACTGGTTTTCTCCATTTTCCTATTTCTAATCTCACTGATGACTGCTCTTATGTTGATCATTTCCTTCTTTCTCCCTTCTGCATTTTACAGAAAGCCCCTTACCTTCAGAGGTGCACTTTTGCCCAAGTTTCCTGAGATCTGCTGCTGCCTAATATCTTCTACGTTTCCTTGTGGAACTTTCCCTCGATGTGGCTTCCAAGTAATCTCCGCCTCACTCTCTCTAAATCTCACAGCACTTGCACTCAAAATATAAATGTTTATCACATTAGGTGGATCCCTTCACATTCAGAGGTGTATTTTTGCTGGCAGTTTCTGAGATCTGCTTCCACTGGGCCATCTTTCTATCTTCTTTCTATGTGGAAGGAAAATATCTTGGGCTGTCAAAATTACGAAACTAAAGGGAAAAGTCAAGCTGGGAACTGCTGAGGGCCAACCTGCCTCCCATTCTGTTCTGTCACCCTCTGCTCACTGAGATAAGTGCAGATCTGATTGCCTCCCTTGGAGAGGCTCATCAGAAACTCAAAAGAATGCAACCCTGTCTCTCACCTGCCTACAACCTGGAAACCTCCTACCCGCTTCCAGCTGTCCTGCCTTTCCAGACCAAACCAATGTTCATCTTACGTAAGTTGATTGATGTCTCATGTCTCCCTAATACGTATAAAACAAAACTGTGTTCTGACCACCTTGGGCACGTGTCATCAGGACCTCCTGAGGCTGTGTCACAGGCATGCGTCCTCAACCTTGGCAAAATATGCTTTCTAAATTAACTGAGAGCTGTCTCAGATTTTTGGGGTTCACATCTACATACCTTCCGTGACAATCTTGGTTATTTGGGGCTGCACTATATATTTTCTATGAATGTTCAAGTCATAACTATCTTCTAGTTTCACTGAGATTGGTGTTTGAAGGTTTTGTTTCTCTTGCATAATATCTAGGAAGGGAAAAGAAGAGAAGGAAAGATGCAGTCTCAAAAATTATGTTTTTACTGGAAGCCTTTCTTATGAGATCCTTTAAAAAAGAGGATAAGAAAGATGTGCCTTTGGCTTTTCCAGTAACAAAGGGAGTGGACACCATTTTAGTATAAACGGAAATCTTACCTGGAACCTCCGATTGGATGATCTAGTTTAGTATTTCAGAACAACTCTTAAGGTAGATAATATTATGCAAATTATAAGATTAGTAACTTGAGGTATATAATTAAAGAACTAGCTCAAGGGCACCTGTCTTATAAATTGGAAAAACAGAAAATCAATTCTTTCAACTCCAAGGCAAATTCTAATTTACTGTACAACAGCTGTTTCCTACAAATACTCCAGAGTCAAAAAGATAATTCCCTTCCTGAGACCATTAATGTCTGTTCTAGGAAGCAAGTGAATGAAAAAAGCAAATTTTAAAATATCTTTTCCAACCTAGGATCCTTAAGTGTCACTAGCATCTCAGCCACCTATGTGTTATTGGAGAGTGGCCATAAAAATTACAGAATTGCAAAGAATTTTCCCACCAGATGTCTTACACACCTAAAATTCTACTATTAAAGAATGACTCCTTTGGGTTGGTCACCATGACCCCAGAAATTTAAAATGTAACTATTTCTAGATGGGTGATATATTAGGATACTTATTAATGCCTTGGTATTCAATACCAGGTTTTAGAGACTAACCTAAGTGGAAATCCCACAGCATATAATGTCTAATGGAAGGCCTAAACTTATTATCTATTTGCTGTGTTTTGAAGCCTCCAGGAAGGGGATAGTATGAATCAAATAGTTTTGACTGTGCAGGCACTTAAAATCCTAATCTTGGCTGGGCGTGGTGGCTCACAACTGTAATCCCAGCACTTTGAGAGGCCAAGGTGGGCAAATTGCCTGAGCTCAGGAGTTCAAAACCAGCCTGGGCGACATGGTGAGACCACATCTCTACTAAAAATACAGCAAGTTAGCCTGTCATGGCGGTGCACACTTGTAATCCCAGTTACTCGGGAGGCTGAGGCATAAGAATCGCTTGAACCCAGCAGGTGCAGGTTGCAGTGAGCTGAGATCAGGCACTCCAGCCTGGGTGACAGAGCTAGACTCTGTCTCTGAGAAGAAAGAAAGAAAGAAAGAAAGAAAGAAAGAAAGAAAGAAAGAAAGAAAGAAAGAAAGAAAGAAAGAAGGAAGGAAGGAAAGAAAGAGAAAGAAAGAAAGAGAAAGAAGGAAGGAAGGAAGGAAAGAAAGAAAGAGAAAGAAAGAGAGAAGGAAAGAAAGAAAGAAAGAGAAAGAGAAGGAAAGAAAAAGAAAAAGGCAGAAAAGAAAGAGAGAGAAAGAGAGAAAGGAAGGTAGGAAGAAAAAGAGAGAAAGAGAAAGAAAGAAAGAGAAGGAAGGAAGGAAGGAAGATTCTACTCTTAGTTGAATTTTTTAAAAAATGATTAGATTTGAATTAAGAACTGCCCTACTGTAGAGCTCATTTTATTGAAGAAAAAAAAGTAAATATTTGTTCATGAGAGTCTCAAAGGTGCAGTCAATCACACTTTGAATAAATTAACTTAAAACCAATTTCTTCCTGATGAGAATTATGGAGCAGCATGAAAACATGGAAGCATAAGCTTTCTTAGCCTCCTGATTTTTCTTAAGGTGGCTTTACTGATATAAAAAGCCCCATGGTTGAGTTGACTTCGCCTGAGTGGGAATGTGAGTGGAAAAGGAGGAGCTTTTCATTTAAGGGGGAGCGTAAAGTTCAAGACTGGGGGTACTCAGAAGGGAAGGTCATTTTCTGGCTGAAACCCTTATTGCTGATGATTGCAAGAGGGAGTGAGACATTCTACTAGAAGCGTCTACTGCACACTCAGCAGTTGAAGTTCTCAAGATAGCCATCAGATGGCAGCCTCAGCCAAATTTCTGAAGTAAATTTGCTCTCCGGATCAGAATTTTGCAGCTGGGAGATATTACAGATCCTATAGTCCAGCCCCTTTATTTCCCAGCCAAGGAACTCTAGCCAGAGTGAAGTCAAGTCTTGCTTAAAGCCACATATCAAGTCAGTAGCAGAACTAGGGTTCTTACTATCTCCCAACAAGGAATCCAATAATCTCCCTATGATCGTGATCTGAAAGAAGCGTTCCCTCACCCCAAAAAGAAACAAAGTAGGGTATAGAAAAAATAAAAAGAGCCTTCTGAGTGCTCAGACAGCTGTTTGAGGTTGAGTACAAAGTCTTACAGGCTAAAACTTGAGCCTTGAGCAGATTTTTGGTCAACTGTCAGGCAGTCAAGTTAACTGAGGACCCATTTGCTCTCCAAAAAAAAAAAAAAAAAACGGGTGTGTAGGAGGAGATGGGAGAGGTAGGAAGGGGTGGGTCAGGGATAGAAGAAAACCAAGGAGAGGTCGGCCGCAGTCACGCACGCCTGTAATCCCAGCACTATGGGAGGCCGAGGCGGGCGGATCAATTAAGGTCAGGAGTTCGAGACCAGCCTGGCCAACATGGTGAAAGCCCAACTCTACTAAAACACAAAAAAAATTACCAGGCGTGATGGCGGGCACCTGTAATCCCAGCTACTCAGGAGGCTGCAGTGAGCGAAGATCGCGCTACTGCACTACAGCCTGGACGACAGAGCGAGATTTCCTCTCTCAAATACAAACAAACAAAACAACAACAACAATAACAAAAGCAAAGAGAGACCCCTGGAGGAGATGAGCTTTGATTGAAGAATAGAAAGCTGCAATGAGGCCGGACGCGGTGGCTCACGACCGTAATCCCAGTACTTTGGGAGGCCGAGGCGGGCAGATCACGAGGTCAGGAGATCGAGACCATCCTGGCTAACACAGTGAAACCCTGTCTCTACTAAAAATACAAAAAACTAGCTGGGCATGGTGGCGGGCGCCTGTAGTCCCAGCTACTCGGGAGGTTGAGGCAGGAGAATGGCGTGAACCTGGGAGGTGGAACTTGCAGTGAGCGGAGATTGCGCCACTGCACTCCAGCCTGGGCGACAGAGCGAGACTCCGTCTCAAAAAAAAAAAAAAAAAAAAAAAAAAGAAAAGAAAGATGATGCAATGAAAAGAGAAAAAGCATCCTGCAGAGGAAACATAGTGTGTGCCCAGATAAAGAAGGAAAAACAAACCCGGCATTTCAGCAGAGCTGACCTCTGCAAGTGAAAAGTAAGCCAAGCTTCCCTTGAGGCCAAGCTTGTCTCTTCTCACACTTGCTCCTCACAGGAGCTCCAGCCTCAGCCCCACCATTCACTGAACTCTCAGTGACCAAAAAGCGTCTCTAGCCAGTCTTTGACATTAGAGTTCTTTTAAGTAATTATTCTCTTTCCCAACAGAGCTGGCATTTTAGGCTTGTCTCTAATTTTGGATAAAAAGGCATTGTCCACATCAAGCAATAGTATAGAGGTCAATAGTATGAACTTCAACGCTGTGAAGGTCAGCTGTTTAGAGCAGAGGATCTCTGTTACTAAGAAGACAAATGGAAAACAAGATGGATGAGTGAGTCTTGTGGATGAGCCTTGAAGGTAGAAAAGGCAATGAGGCTTGAAATTGCAGAATTTTGTGGATGTATTTGTCACTGCACTTAGGCCAGTGGACACGCAATATCTGTTAGCTAATCAATGCATCTTTATTGATTCTAAATAGGCTGAACTGGTAAGGGAGCAACATGATGAAAATGGTATTTAGGAAAAGTTTTCCAATGTGAGTACCTGCCTGCAATGTGTGTAAACAGCAAGAGCCTGGTGGGAAGACTAGTTTTGTCTCGTTTTTAACAGCTTTATTGAGATATAATTTACATACCCACGATTCACCCAAAGTGCACCATCCAATGGCTTTCAGTGTGTTCACAGATATGTGCAACCATCACCGCAGTCCATTTTGGAACACTTTAATCACTTCAAGAAGAAACTTCATACTTTGTACTTCCTATCCCCTCTGTGTCCCCATGTCCCTGTATCCCATCATGAAGCAACCACAAATCTTTCTGTTTCTATAGATTTCCCTATTCTGGACTTTCATATGAATTTCCATTCATATAGTATATGGTTTTTGGTGACTGGCTCCTTTCATTTAACAAAATGTTTTCAAAGTCTACACATGTTGTAGCATGTATCAGTACTCATTCCTTTTCATGGCAGAATAATATTCCGTCATATGGATACACCACATTTTATCAGGTCATGTGCTGATGAACATTGAGTTGTTCCCATCTTTTGGCTATTGTGAATAATGCTATTATAAACATTCATGTGCAAGTTTCTGTATGGTCATACAGTTTTCATTTCTCTTGGGTGTATCTTACCTGGGAGTGGAGTTGCTGGGTCATGTGGTAATTCTGTGTTACTCATTGGAAGAACTGCCAGAATGTTTTCCAAGGTGGCTGGCCCATTTTATATTACCATCAACAGTATATGAGGGTTCCAATTTTCCACATTCTCACCAACACTTCTTGCTACCTGACTTTTTAATTCTAGCCATCCTAATGCATGTGACATGGTATCTCACTGTTGTTTTGTTTTGCATTTCTCTGGTGACTAATTATGTCAAGTATTTTTTTCATGTGCTTATTGGTCATTTATAGATCTTCTTTGAGAAATATCTCTACAGGTCCTTTGCCCATTATAAAATCGGGTTACTGATCTTTTTATTATTGAGTTGCAAGTGTTATTTATATGTGCTAGAAATGAGTTCCTTATCTGATATATGATTTGCAAATACTTTCATCCATTCTGTGGGTTGTCTTTTCACTTTGTTTATGGTGTCCTCTGAAGCACACATGTGTGAAATTTCAATGAAATGATTTTATCAATTTTTTCTTTTGTTGCTTTTTTTTGTATCATATTTAAGACTTTTTTGCCATAATCCATGATCATGAAAAAATTTACCCCTATGTCTTCTTCTAAGAGTTTTATAGTTTTTACTCTTACATTTAGGTAGTTGATCTATTTTGAGTTAATTTTTGTATGTGATGTGAGGTAAGGGTCCAGCTTCATTCTTTTCATGTGTATATCCAGTTGTTCCAATTGAAAAGACCATTGTTTCCTCACTGAATGGCACTGGCACCCTTTTTGAAAATCAATTGGCCACAGATGTTTGGGCTTACGTATGGATTCTATTCTTTCAATTGATCTATATGACAGTTCTTACACCAGTATCACACTATCTTGATTACTATTGCTTTGTAGTAAGTTTTGAAATCAGGCACTGTGAATCCTCTTGATTCTTTTTCAGAATTATTTTTAGCTATGCTGGGTTCCTTAAAATTCCACATAGAATTTAGAATCAGCTCATCAATTTGTACAGGGAAGTCAGCTGGGATTCTAATAGGGATCATGTTGAACCTGCAGATCAGTTTAGGACTATCAATCTCCTAACCATGTTGTCTTCTGATCCTTGCACATGGGATGTTTGTCTATTTATTTAGATCTTTTACTTCTTTCAACAAAGTTTTGTAGTTCACAGTGTTAAGTTTTGAACTTTTTGTTAAATGTATTCCTATTCTCTTCTTTTTGGTGTTATTGTGGTTGGAATTGTTTCCCTTATTTCGTTTTGGATTGCTCATTGCAATTACATAGAAATGCAATTCAATTTTGGATATTGATCTTGTATCCTGTAACCTAGCTGAACTCATTTATTTGTTCTAAAGTTCAAAGCCTCAAAGTGAAAAAGTACATGGTGGCCCAGTGAAAATCACAGTGCACTGATGTCATTTGAACAGAGAGTGAGGAGAGAAAGAAGGTAGAGTATGAATGCCAGTCACAAGCCTGGAAAGATAGATGAGGTCAAATTCAGGAGAAGCTCACATGTCATACTCAGGAGCTTCGCTCTTCTTCCATAGGCCGTAAGAAATTGTTTTTAAGCAGCGGAATTGTTTGAGACAACTAATTCTGACCACAGTGGGAAAGACAGATTGAAAGGATTGAGGAATAAGGAGAACAATATGGAGGCTGTATTTTTATAGCTCCAAAGCTTAGCAAAAGAAAGAGAGCCAGGCTCTTTGGAAGCAATAGACCAAAGAAGTTCTTTGAAAATAAAATTTAGGCCAGGCGCAGTGGCTCATGCCTGTAATCCCAGCACTTTGGGAAGCCGAGGCAGGCAAATCACATGAGGTCAAGAGTTCTAGACCAGCCTGGCCAACATGGTGAAACCTCATCTCTACTAAAAATACAAAAAATAGCCAGGTGTGGTGTCGCGTGCCTGTAATCCCAGCTACTCAGGAGGCCGAGGCAGCAGAATTGCTTGAACTCGGGAAATGGAGGTTGCAGTGAGCCGAGATCACACCACTGCACTCTAGTCTGGGTGACAGAGTGAGATTCCATCTGAGAGAGAGAGAGAGAGGTGGGGTGGGGGGCTCAATTAATTAATAAAGAAATACCATAAAATTGGCCTAGATGCAGGAAGTGCCACCATAACAGAAGCACTGCATGCCACGGGAGGCCATGCAGCATGAGTGAGATGATAAAGCCCCCAAATGGGAAACTGGCAGGGAGAGGAAAAGCAGAGGTAGGTGAATACAAGACATTCTGAAGTAAAATCAATGGGGCTAAGTACTTGACTGCGTTTAAGGGTTGAAAGAAAGGACTTGGATTTAGGTATGGTTGATAGTGACCCTAAAAATTAGGATCAAAACAGAGCCTGGGTAGTAGTCCAGAGCTAGTATGGTGCTCCACAGTGTCATGAACCTGGATCTGGATCTCTCTCTTTTTTTTTTTTTTTGACAGTCTTGCTCTGTCGCCTAGGCTGGAGTGCAGTGGCGCCATCTCGGCTCACTGCAACCTTGCAACCTCTGCCTCCTGGGTTTAAGCAATTCTCCTGCCTCAGCCTCCCGAGTAGCTGGGATTACAGGCATGCACCACTACGCCCGGCTAATTTTTGTATTTTTAGTAGAGATGGGGTTTCACAGTGTCGACCAGGCTGATCTTAAACTCCTGACCTCAGGTGATCCATTCACCTTGGCCTCCCAAAGTGCTAGGATTACAGGTATGAGCCACCGTGCCCAGCCTATCTCTTCTTCTTCTTCTTCTTCTTTTTTTTTTTGAGACAGAGCCTCATTCTGTCGCCTAGGCTAGAATGCAGTGGTGCAACTTCTGCCTCCCAGGTTCAAGCGATTCTCCTGCCTCAGCCTTCCAAGTAGCTGGGATTACAGGCGTCCTCCACCACACCTGGCTAATTTTTGTGTTTTTAGTAGAGATGGGATTTCACCATCTTGGCCAGGCTAGTCTCAAACTCCTGACCTCAAGTGGTCTGCCCACTTCGGCCTCCCAAATTGCTGGGATTACAGGCGTGAGCCACTGCACCCAGCCAGGGACCTGGATCTCTTCTATGCTGTTGCTCAACATCCTCACTGTGTGGCTTCATGGCATGGGCCAAGATGGCTGCCCCAGCACCTGCATCACACCTGCCTCAGAGCCAACAGACTGCAGTTGGGGGGTGGGGGCAAAAGAAGGGTTTCTCCCTCTCCCCCTCCCCGTCCCACTCCCCCTCCGCCTCCCGCTCCCCCTCCCACTCCCGCTCCCTCTTTGCATGGTCTCCCTCTGATGCTGAGCCAAGGCTGGACTGTACTGCCGCCATCTCGACTCACTGCAACCTCCCTGCCTGATTCTCCTGCCTCAGCCTGCCGAGTGCCTGGGATTGCAGGCGCGCGCCGCCACGCCTGACTGGTTTTCGTATTTTTTGGTGGAGAGGGGGTTACGCCGTGTTGGCCGGGCTGGTCTCCAGCTCCTGACCGCGAGTGATCTGCCAGCCTCTGCCTCCTGAGGTGCCGGGATTGCAGACTGAGTCTCGCTCACTCAGTGCTCAATGTTGCCCAGGCTGGAGTGCAGGGGGCATGATCTCGGCTCGCTACAACCTCCACCTCCCAGCCGCCTGCCTTGGCCTCCCAAAGTGCCGAGATTGCAGCCTCTGCCCGGCTGCCACCCCATCTAGGAAGTGAGGAGCGTCTCTGCCTGGCCACCCATCATCTGGGATGTGAGGAGCCCCTCTGCCCAGCCACCCAGTCTGGGAAGTGAGGAGCGCCTCTTCCCGGCCATCATCCCGTCTAGGAAGTGAGGAGCGTCTCTGCCCGGCTGCCCATCGTCTGGGATGTGGGGAGTGCCTCTGCCCCGCTGCCCCGTCTGAGACGTGAAGAGCGCCTCTACCCGGCCGCGACCCCGTCTGGGAACTGAGGAGTGTCTCTGCCCCGCTGCCACCCCGTCTGGGAGGTGAGGAGCATCCCTGACCGGCCGCCCCATCTGAGAAGTGAGGAGCCCCTCCGCCTGGCAGCCGCCTGTCTGGGAAGTGAGGAGCGTCTCCGCCCAGCAGCCGCCCGGTGGGGGAGGTGGGGGGCAGCCCCCGCCCGGCCAGCTGCCCCGTCCGGGAGGTGGGGGGCAGCCCCCGCCTGGCCAGCTGCCCCGTCTGGGAAGGGAGGAGCCCCTCTGCCCGGCCGCCACCCCGTCTGGGAGGTGTACCCAACAGCTCATTGAGAACGGGCCATGATGATGATGGCGGTTTTGTCCAATAGAAAAGGGGGAAATGTGGGGAAAAGAAAGAGAGATCAGATTGTTACTGTGTCTGTGTAGAAAGAAGTAGACATAGGAGACTCCATTTTGTTCTGTACTAAGAAAAATTCTTCTGCCTTGGGATGCTGTTAATCTATAACCTTACCCCAACCCCCTGCTCTCTGAAACATCTGCTGTGTCCACTAAGGGTTAAATGGATTAAGGGCAGTGCAAGATGTGCTTTGTTAAACAGATGCTTGAAGGCAGCGTACTCCTTAAGAGTCATCACCACTCCCTAATCTCAAGTACCCAGGGACACAAACACTGCGGAAGGCGGCAGGGCCCTCTGCCTAGGAAAACCAGAGACCTTTGTTCACATGTTTATCTGCTGACCTTCCCTCCACTATTGTCCTATGACCCTGCCAAATCCCCCTCTCCGAGAAACACCCAAGAATGATCAATAAATACTAAAAAAAATTAAAAAAGGAAGGGTTTTCCCTTACATAACATAGGTCATTATTTAATCACATCTAATGAAAAGGGAGTCTGGGAGATGTCTTTATTCAAGACATCCAAGTGATCAGCTAAAATTTGGAAGATATATGGCTGAGAAATAAGGTAGAAAGGAAATTGGGATATAACTTTCCTCCAGGGGTTAAGAATTACTCTAAAAAAAGAATTATTCTCAGGTGGATCCAAGATGGCAGAATAGGAACAGCTCCAGTCTACAGCTCCCAGCTTGAGTGACCCAGAAGACGAATGATTTCTGCATTTCCAACTGAGGTACCAGGTTCATCTCACTGGGGATTGTCAGACAGTGGGTGCAGGACAGTGGGTGCAGCACACCAAGCATGAGCTAAAGCAAGGCGAGGCATCGCCTCACCCAAGAAGCGCAAGGGCCCAGGGAATTCCCTTTCCTAGCCAAGGAAAGGGTGACAGACGGCACCTGGAAAATCAGGTCACTCCCACCCTAATACTGCGCTTTTCTGACAGTCTTAGCAAATGGCACACCAGGAGATTATATCCCGTGCCTGGCTTGGAGGGTCCTATGCCCACAGAGCCTCGCTCATTGCTAGCACAGCAGTCTGAGATCAAACTGCAAGGCAGCAGCGAGGCTGGGGGAGGGGCGCCCGCCATTGCTGAGGCTTGAGTAGATAAACAAAGCAGCCGGGAAGCTGGAACTGGGCGGAGCCCACCGCAGCTCAAGGAGGTCTGCCTGCCTCTGTAGACTCCACCTCTGAGAGCAGGGAATAGCCAAACAAAAGGCAGCAGAAACCTCTGCAGACTTAACTGTCCCTGTCTGACAGCTTGGAAGACAGTAGTGGTTCTCCCAGCACGCAGCTTGAGATCTGAGAATGGACAGACTGCCTCCTCAAGTGGGTCCCTGACCCCTGAGTAGCCTAACTGGGAGGCATCCCCCAGTAGGGGCAGACTGACACCTCACACAGCCGGGTACTCCCCTGAGACAAAACTTTCAGAGGAACGATCAGGCAGCAACATTTGCTGTTCACCAATATTCACTGTTCTGCAGCCTCTGCTGCTGATACCCAAGCAAACAGGGTCTGGAGTGGACTTCCAGCAAACTCCAAAAGACCTGCAGCTGAGGGTCCTGACTGTCAGAAGCAAAACTAACAAACAGAAAGGACATCCACGCCAAAACCCCACCTGTACGTCACCATCATCAAAGACCAAAGGTAGATAAAACCACAAAGATGGGGAAAAAACAGAGCAGAAAAACTGAAAATTCTAAAAATCAGAGCACCTCTCCTCCTCCAAAGGAACACAACTCCTCACCAGCAACGGAACAAACCTGGACGGAGAATGACTTTGATGACTTGAGAGAAGAAGGCTTCAGACGATCAAACTACTCCGAGCTAAAGGAGGAAGTTTGAACCCATGGCAAAGAAGTTAAAAACCTTGAAAAAAGATTAGACAAATGGCTAACTAAAATAACCAATGCAGAGAAGTCCTTAAAGGACCTGATGGAGGTGAAAACCACGGCATGAGAACTACATGACGAATGCACAAGCCTCAGTAGCCGATTTGATCAACTGGAAGAAAGGGTATCAGTGATGGAAGATCAAATGAATGAAATGAAGCAAGAAGAGAAGTTTAGAGAAAAAAGAATAAAAAGAAATGAACAAAGCCTCCAAGAAATATGGGACTATGTGAAAAGACCAAATCTACGTCTGATTGGTGTACCTGAAAGTGATGGGGAGAATGGAACCAAGTTGGGAAACACTCTGTAGGATATTATCCAGGAGAACTTCCCCAATCTAGTAAGGCAGGCCAACATTCAAATTCAGGAAATACAGAGAACACCACAAAGATACTCCTCGAGAAGAGCAACTCCAAGACACATAATTGTCAGATTCACCAAAGTTGAAATGAAGGAAAAAATGTTAAGGGCAGCCAGAGAGAAAGGTCGGGCTACCCACAAAGGGAAGCCCATCAGAATAACAGCTGATCTCTCGGCAGAAACTCTACAAGCCAGAAGAGAATGGGGGCCAATATTCGACATTCTTAAAGAAAAGAATTTTCAACCCAGAATTTCATATCCAGCCAAACTAAGCTTCATAAGTGAAGGAGAAGTAAAATACTTTACAGACAAGCAAATGCTGAGTGATTTTGTCACCACCAGGCCTGCCCTGACAGAGCTCCTGAAGGAAGCACTAAACATGGAAAGGAACAACCGGTACCAGCCACCGCAAAAACATGCCAAATTTTAAAGACCGTCAAGGCTAGGAAGAAACTGCATCAATTAACAAGCAAAATAACCAGCTAACATCCTAATGACAGGATCAAATTCACACATAACAATATTAACCTTAAATGTAAATGGGCTAAATGCCCCAATTAAAAGACACAAACTGGCAAATTGGATAAAGAGTCAAGACCCATCAATGTGCTGTATTCAGGAAACCCATCTCACATGCAAAGACACACATAGGCTCAAAGTAAAGGGATGGAGGAAGATCTACCAAGCAAATGGAAAACAAAAAAAGGCAGGGGTTGCAATCCTAGTCTCCGATAAAACAGACTTTAAACCAACAAAGATCAAAAGAGACAAAGAAGGCCATTACATAATGGTAAAGGGATCAATTCAACAAGAAGAGCTAACTATCCTAAATATATATGCACCCAATACAGGAGCACCCAGATTCATAAAGCAAGCCCTTCGAGACCTACAAAGAGACTTAGACTCCCACACAATAATAATGGGAGACCTTAACACCCCACTGTCAAAATTAGACCAGTGAGACAGAAAGTTAACAACAATATCCAGGAATTGAACTCAGCTTTGCACCAAGTGGACCTAATAGACATCTACAGAACTCTCCACCCCAAATCAACAGAATATACATTCTTTTCAGCACCACACCACACCTATTCCAAAATTGACCACAGAGTTGGAAGTAAAGCACTCCTCAGCAAATGTAAAAGAACAGAAATGATAACAAACTGTCTCTCGGACCACAGTGCAATCAAACTAGAACTCAGGATTAAGAAACTCACTCAAAACCGCTCAACTACATGGAAACTGAACAACCTGCTTCTGAATGACTACTGGGTACATAACGAAATGAAGGTAGAAATAAAGATTCTTTGAAATCGATGAGAACAAAGACACAACATACCAGAATTTCTGGGACACATTTAAAGCAGTGTGTAGAGGGAAATTTATGGCACTGAATGCCCGCAAGAGAAAGCAGGAAAGATCTAAAATTGACACCCTAACATCACAATTAAAAGAACTAGAGAAGCAAGAGCAAACACATTCAAAAGCTAGCAGAAGGCAAGAAATAACTAAGATCAGAGCAGAACTGAAGGAGATAGAGACACAAAAAACCCTTCAAAAAATCAATAAATCCAGGAGCCGTTTTTTTGAAAAGATCAACAAAATTGATAGATGGCTAGCAAGACTAATAAAGAAGAAAAGTGAGAAGAATCAAATAGATGCAATAAAACATGATAAAGGGGATATCACCACTGATACCACAGAAATACAAACTACCATCAGAGAATAATATAAACACCTCTACGCAAATAAACTAGAAAATCTGGAAGAAATGGATAAATTCCTCGACACATACACTCTCCCAAGACTAAACCAGGAAGAAGTTGAATCTCTGAATAGACCAATAACAGGCTCTGAAATTGAGGCAATAATTAATAGCCTACCAACCAAAAAAAGTCCAAGACCAGATGGATTCACAGCTGAATTCTAACGGAGGTACAAGGAGGAGCTGTTACCATTCCTTCTGAAACTATTCCAATCAATAGAAAAAGAGGGAATCCTCCCTAACTCATTTTATGAGGCCAGTATCATCCTGATACCAAAGCCTGGCAGAGACACAACAAAAAAAGAGAATTTTAGACCAACATCCCTGATGAACATTGACGCAAAAATCCTCAATAAAATACTGGCAAACCGAATCCAGCAGCACATCAAAAAGCTTATCCACCATGATCAAGTGGGCTTCATCCCTGGGATGCAAGGCTGGCTCAACATACGCAAATCAATAAATGTAATCCAGCATATAAACAGAACCCACGACAGAAACCATATGATTATCTCAATAGGTGCAGAAAAGGTGTTTGACAAAATTCAACAGCCCTTCATGCTAAAAACTCTCAATAAATTTGGTATTGATGGGACGTATCTCAAAATAATAAGAGCTATTTATGACAAACCCACAGCCAATTTCATACCGAATGGGCAAAAACTGGAAGCATTCCCTTTGAAAACTGGCACAAGACAAGGATGCCCTCTCTCATCACTCCTATTCAACATAGTGTTGGAAGTTCTGGCTAGGGCAATCAGGCAGGAGAAAGAAATAAAGAGTATTCAATTAGGAAAAGAGGAAGTCAAATTGTCCCTGTTTGCAGATGACATGATTGTATATCTAGAAAACCCCATCGTCTCAGCCCAAAATCTCCTCAAGCTGATAGGCAACTTCAACAAAGTGCCAGGATATGAAATCAATGTGCAAAAATCACAAGCATTCTTATACACCAGTAACAGACAAACAGCCAGATCATGAGTGAACTCCCATTCACAGTTGTTTCAAAGAGAATAAAATACCTAGGAATCCAACTTACAAGGGATGTGAAGGACCTCTTCAAGGAGAACTACAAACCACTGCTCAAGGAAATAAAAGAGGATACAAACAAATGGAAGAACATTCCATGCTCATGGGTAGGAAGAATCAATATCGTGAAAATGGCCATACTGCCCAAGGTAATTTATAGATTCAATGCCATCCCCATCAAGCTACCAATGACTTTCTTACAGAATTGGAAAAAACTACTTTAAAGTTCACATGGAACCAAAAAAGAGCCCACATTGCCAAGTCAATCCTAAGCCAAAAGAACAAAGCTGGAGGCATCACGCTACCTGACTTCAAACTATACTACAAGGCTACAGTAACCAAAACAGCATAGTACTGGTACCAAAAAAAGATATAGACAATGGAACAGAACAGAGCCCACAGAAATAATGCCACATATCTACAACTATCTGATCTTTGACAAACCTGACAAAAACAAGAAATGGGGAAAGGATTCCCTATTTAATAAATGGTGCTGGGAAAACTGGCTAGTCATATGTAGAAAGCTGAAATTGGATCCCTTCCTTACACCTTATACAAAAATTAATTCAAGATGGATTAAAGATTTAAACGTTAGACCTAAAACCATAAAAACCCTAGAAGAAAACCTAGGAAATACCATTCAGGACATAGGTGTGGGCAAGGACTTCATGTGTAAAACAACAAAAGCAATGGCAACAAAAGCCAAAATTGACAAATGGGATCTAATTAAACTAAAGAGCTTCTGCACAGCAAAAGAAACTACCATCAGAGTGAACAGGCAACCTACAGAATGGGAGAAAATTTTTGCAATCTACTCATCTGACAAAGGGCTAATATCCAGAATCTACAATGAACTCAAACAAATTTACAAGAAAAAAACAACCCCATCAACAAGTGGGCGAAGGATGTGAACAGACACTTCTCAAAAGAAGACATTTATGCCACCAAAAGACACATGAAAAAATGCTCATCATCACTGGCCATCAGAGAAATGCAAATCAAAACCACAATGAGATACCATCTTACACCAGTTGCAATGGCGATCATTAAAAAGTCAGGGAACAACAGGTGCTGGAGAGGATGTGGAGAAATAGGAACACTTTGACACTGTTGGTGGGACTGTAAACTAGTTCAACCATTGTGGAAGTCAGTGTGGCGATTCCTCAGGGATCTAGAACTAGAAATACTATTTGACCCAGCCATCCCATTACTGGGTATATACCCAAATGATTATAAATCATGCTGCTATAAAGACACCTGCACATGTATGTTTATTGCGGCACTATTCACAATAGCAAAGACTTGGAACCAACCCAAATGTCCAACAATGGTAGACTGGATTAAGAAAATGTGGCACATATACACCATGGAATACTATGCAGCCATGAAAAATGATGAGTTCATGTCCTTTGTAGGGACATGGATGAAGCTGGAAACCATCATTCTCAGCAAACTATCGCAAGGCCAAAAAACCAATCACTGCATGTTCTCACTCATAGGTGGGAATTGAACAATGAGAACACTTGGACACAGGAAGGGGAACATCACACACTGGGGCCTGTTTTGGGGTGGGAGGAGGGGGGAAAGATAGCATTAGGAGATATACCTAATGTTAAATGACGAGTTGATGGGTGCAGCACACCAACATGGCACATGTATACATTTGTAACTTACCTGCACGTTGTGCACATGTACCCTAGAACTTAAAGTATAATAAAAAAAGAGAGAATTATTCTCATCGTATCCATTAGATGCACATAAATGCTGAAAGAGGAACAAGGATTTTATGGAGCTTTTAGGAGCCTACAGAGCAAAAAATAAGATTTTATGTGAATGCATTTGTTTTGGGATAGCTTCTGGGATGTTCAGGTGGAGGAAACCAGTAGGCATTTGGAAATTTATGTACAGTTGGGTCCTTATTTCCCCTCCTTAGGCCATGCTCCTTGAGTGTTAGGACTTTATCATTACATGCCCACCATGGTGTGTGTGTGTGTGTGTGTGTGTGTGTGTGTGTGTGTGTGTGTGTGTGTGTGTTTTACGACAGAGTCTTGCTCTGTCTCCCAGGCTGGAGTGCAGTGGCACGATCTCGGCTCACTGCAACCTCCATTTCCCTGGTTCAAGAGATTCTTCTGCCTCAGCCTCCCGAGTAGCTGGGATTACGGTGCCCGCCACCATGCCCGGCTAGGCCCACCATGTTTTGTAACGGTCTGCAGATTAGATAAAGACAGCAGGAAATGAAGATGGTACAGGAAAGAACACAACTAGAACCTCATTTTAAAAAAATATCTCTAGAGAGACTGCAGAATCCAGCCACTGTTAGGATTGGAAAAAACATTTTGCAGACAACTTTGGACAGGAAGATATTCTTGTATACAATTCATTCAGAATCCACTAACATAAACACACACACTTATACTAAGCACAGAGCAGAGGAAAGCTGCTTCTCAAATGAGCTGTCACATTTTAGGTGTCTGTGGTGAAGTAATGAGGGAGCAGAGATCTTAGAGACCTAGTGCTCCAGTGAAGTTTGTTGACAGTACTCTGTTTAAGGTCCCAGGAACAAGCAATGTCACAGTCACGACTGGGCCACAGATCTCCTGACTCCCAGGCAAAGGAGCTGCCACTGCACCTGCCATTAAAAAGCCGACGGCTCAGGGTGCTGGGGAACCCTGCAGTTTCCGTGTCCGCCAGGGCTGGGGGAGGTGTGGTCAAGGATCTAGATGATTTAATCCAGTTTACCAAAGGGGTTTTATAGTGAGCAATTAAGGCGTGGTAAAGGCATTAATCACTAATGAGTCATTAACTCTGCCCACTATTGTACAGTTAACAAGCGGAGGCCAGATTATTAGAGCTGGTCCCCAATAAAAGGGACGACAAGGTCACAGAGAGCACCATCCGCCTCCACAAGGGTCGGGTGCGTCCGTCTGGCGCTGCGGGGTCTCGCCTTTACCAGGAGGGCAAGAAGGCACCAAGGGGGAGTGCGGAGCTCTGGCTACCTGAGCGAAGAGGAAGTGCAGCTGTTAATTACTTTAATTGTATTTTGTAATAAATTAATTTTTAATTTTATCTTCCCTGACAGTCTTTCCCTGCCCACCTCCTGGAGGCTTGGATTCCATTCATGTAATAAGATTCTGCTGGTGAAAAGGAGCTCTTGGAATGTAGGCTGGAGAAGCGGACTGGGCAAGGCTGGGAGTGGGGCTGGGAGCCTGGGGTGAGGGGCGGAGCTGGATGGGATGGATGATGGGGACAGCATCTCATCAAATGCTGAAGCCGCCAAGGCTCTCGGGTCCGCACCCAGGGTGCCCTCACCGTACGCCGACCGTGTGGGGAACACGCTCTCTGGAAGCTGAGTTGGGGGTCCTGGTCTCTCTTGCCGCCCCCTGCCCCCAGCTTCCTGCGCGTGGGCTCCAGCGGTCTCCGCAAAGACTTTCAGCTAGCCTGTGAATTTGGACTAGAGAGGGAGCAATTGGCATTCCCTCTACCGTCACCAGATTCTAGATTAACTGGGGCGGGGTGGGGAACAGGCAGGGATTGTCTCCACTAGTTTGACAATTCCCATTCCCCAAACACTGAATATGTATTTAGGGTAAATAAATTTAGCAGGGTGGTCCCAGTTTAGTTGGTGACCTCTGGTCAAAGCCCGCCCCTCTTGGGGGTTCTCTTCCAGTCCCTCCACCCCATCCCACCCTGACCAGCCCGGATCACCCTCCTGAGCAGCGCAGGTGGGGGCTCGGACCGGCAGGGGACAGAACCGTGTTCGGAACTAGGAAATCCACTAGGGATACACAGCCTGGACCGGTCCAGGGCCGCAGTGCCTAACCCCAGGACACCGAGCGAGGGCGCCTCCGCGGTCCTACGGGAACCTCAGGACACTGAGCGAGGGCGCCTCCGCCATCCTACAGCTGTTCTCTTAACGTCGAGCCTCTGGAGCCCAGCAATCCAGAGAGGCCGAGCCCTCAGTCCCCTGCGTCCGTGCAGGAAAGAAATTGGGCTGCGAGCATCGCCAACAGAAGCCGGGAGCCGTGGCGCGCATTATGGACACGCCGCCCTCGCGCGCAGAGACTGCTCCAGAAAGGGAAAAACGCAAAACTTAAAACGCGGTGGCTCACGCCTGTAATCCCAACACTTTGGGAGTTCGAGGCGGGAGGGTCGCTGAAGGTCAGAAGTTGGAGGCCAGCCTGGCACACATAGTGAGACCCTCGTCTCTACAAAAAAAGTAAAAACAAAAAACATTAGCCGGGCTTGGTGGCGCACGCCTGTGGTCCCAGCTACTCGAGAGGCTGAAGCAGAAGCATCGTTTGAGGCTGAGAGGTCAAGGCTGCAGTGAGCTATGATTGCGCCACTGCACTCCAGCCTCAGCGCCAGAGCGACACCCTGTCTCTAACAAAACAAAACAAAAACTGCCGTGGGGCTGGCTGATGGTGGCCACGGGGTCG
Organism: Homo sapiens; assembly: GCF_000001405.40. Classification (NCBI taxonomy): domain Eukaryota; kingdom Metazoa; phylum Chordata; class Mammalia; order Primates; family Hominidae; genus Homo; species Homo sapiens. The sequence continues at coordinate 59,265,490 of NC_000018.10, forward strand.
CGGGGGAGGTCCGCTCCCGGCAGGCTCCAGCTCTCTGGGTCAGCGGAGGTACCCCGAGGCTCAAAGAGCGGTCAGCTCCCCACCTCCCCAAAAGTGCCTGACTCCGCCCTTCTCTCGGCGCGGTCCAATTCGCGGCGTCCTTCCCCTCCCCGCCTTCGCTATCTGAGAGCCCCGCCCAGGCCCCGCCCAACCTGGTTCGCAAGAGCAGAAGAGGATCCCGGTCTACAGACCCGCTTGCTTTCCTCCTAGGGCGGGTCAGAGCAGACGTCGTCGGGGTTTGGGAAGGAAGCATCTCCAGACCTCTTGAATTGACTGAAGCCAATAGAGGCTTGCCCTAGGTCTGTGCTTGGAGCAGCACGGTGCCTTTTCTTCTGGAACCTCGTAAGACCCATGTGGTTCTTGTTTTCCTTCTGTGGGCACTGGTAGCATCACCTGAGCCAAATTTGCAGCCTCATTAGAGAAGATTCAAGAACCATTGCATGTGATTCTTGGGAAAGTGATGCAGGCTTCCCTCGGGGTCCCTGAAAGCCTCATGCCCGTCCTAGACCGAGCCAACAGTCTAGTTTTGGAAGCTTGTGACTCAACTTCGGCCGGCGCCTCTCTGCAAAGCGTTTTCTCTAGCCATGGGCTTGAGCAGAGGGGCCCCAAGTGTTTCAGGGCCATCGGGGTTTTAATGCTCTTTATCACAAGCTGCTCACCTCCAGCCAGAGTTAAGTACTGGATTCCCGTCCCATCTGCACCCCTACTCCTAGAGCTGGCAGTGAATCTCCCACCCTCAGAGCTGCCCTGCGGGGCTTGGGGACGGGGGAACCCTGGGGCAGATGATGTGTGAAGATCTCTCCAGGAGGCTCAGGAAAGCACAGCTAGTGCCCAACGCTCAGGATCTCAGTTCCCAATATGGCCTAATGAGCTGTCGTAGAATTGATATAAGGAGCACTTATCAGCAATGTTTTCCCAACACGCACTATGATGGACACTTTTGGTTATTTCAGCCCCAGCACTTAGAAACAATGTAAACTGGGACAACCTCTCCATGCCTCAGTCTCCTCATTTATAAAATGGGGCTAATTGTATCTTCCTGGTAGGATTGTGGTGAGGCTTAACTGAGCCACTAGATGGAAACCTCTCAGAAGAGTGCTGGCACATAGTAAGCCTTCAATAATTATTAGCTATTTATATTTTCGTGATCATTTTCCAAGGGCTTGTCTCTGAAATGATGCCTGGAGAGATGGTTTAGAAGAAAATCTATTCTCATCTGAAACTAAACAGTAGAAGAGGAAGGGGAAGTAGCAGAAAAACTCATAAGGAAAGAATTGAAAAACAGCACAGAGGAGAAGAAATGGATAATCTTGGCAATGATCTAAGGGAAGTGAAGAAGATGCTGACGGTGGCATGCTCAAGGTCACAGGTGCCCAAGACTGCGGTAAGAAGGAGGACAGGGCACGTGTGGTACTCACTTGGAGCCCATGAAGTTGGAAGTTCTGTAAATAAATCATCCCTAGGGAATGAAAGAATGAAACAAATGATAGGCCAAACACACATTCATTCTGGTTTTGTTTTGTTTTGTTTTCTTGCTAAAAGGTGATAACACACGGGCTGCTCCATCCTCCTCCCCCAAGGAGACATCCTTGTGAGGAAAAGTGCAGATATTACTCCCTACCTCTTGGGGGGGAATAATTTATTCAGTACATTTTTACTGATCAGCCTACTGTGTGCAAGGCACCATCTGGAGGTCTAGGGGTACACAGCCCTGGTTATGCAATAGCCTCTTAGACCCGCAGAGAAAGGACTGGAAACTATGATGAGGCTTCCCATATTCCCAGCTCCAGCGTGGTCATCCTTTTCCCAAGTCGGTTTCAGGAACCGGAGAACAGCCAGGGAATTTCGGGGAAATGGGGACGATGATTACAATCCATATTGCGTCATGCCAGGGTCTTGGTACTTTCCACAAAGCCTTTACAGGTGATCTTATTCCATCTTTCCCACCTTCCAGAGAGACAGAGTTTATTTAGACGAGGAAAGGGGACTGGGAGCTTCACTAATTTGCTCAGGACCGACAGACAGTAGCCAGTTGATGCTAATTAAGGCTCTGGGGGCATCATCCTGAAAGCACGCTTAGGGACGGGGGTTGTGGGGTGGACGCCCCCCCCCCCCCCGTGCCAGGACCTGTTGGCGGGCATCCAGGTTCTGCTGGCGGTCGCCCAGCTTCCAGTGTCAACGGTGGATATCGAGCACGCTCAGGCGGGAGTCCGGGACTCTCCTTCTTCAGAGAGTCTCAGGAGATTGTGAAGCGGGCTGAGATTTCGAGATTCCTTCCTCGCCCTAGAGCCGGCGCCAAAGAACTGCAGATACTGTCCAGGGCACGCCCGCAAGAACTAGCTCTCGGGGCGGTGGCGTAGGGCGCTCCAGGACACTCTCCGAGCGCGGCACCTCACCAGACGCGCCTTTTACCGAACTCTGGGTTGGCGAGTGTGGAGCGAGTTGGGGAGGTTAGAGAGTCTCGCGGCTCCGAAAAGGAAAAGCATCTCTTTGCCTCAGTTCTTGTACCGCTGGTGATCAACCTTGGGTGTTAGGGACTGGCACCGAACCGGAGATCTGCTTGGTGAACTGAGAGGAGTCCTTAGGAGAGCGGGGACGCCAGGGGCCGGGGGACACTTCGCTCTCGCCCTAGGGAAGGTGGTCTTGACGCTTTCTATTGAAGTCAAACTTGAAAATATCAGCTGCCGCTGGACTATGGGGCTAGCGGGGGAACTGGGAGCGCGCTAGCATCTGAGCCTTAGCCCCATCCACTCCGGACCCCAAGCGCGCACGCCGGCTCCAGGGAAGGGCGCCTCTGGTCTAGGCCGCCGAAGCGTTCGGAATGGGGACGATTCTCTGCTGCAGCGAAGTGTCCCTAGAATTTTCACAAGGAAACCCTGAGCTTCTTCTCAGTCCTCCTCTTTCCCTGACCCACCCTGTCCGTCAACGCACCCTCCTCCCGTACCCCAATATTCACTCCTCTCCCCAAGTCCTGAGCGTGCTTAAACAGAGTCGAAACAAAACAAGCATGTCTTTAATTCTCCTCTCAAATAGTTTGAAACTACTTATACAAAAGTTTCTCAAACTCTATTTTTCCGCCTCCCCTGCTTCCCTGTTATGGTTATCTGGGGGTCTCCAAGCCTCCTGGGAATGGCCAAGTTTAGGAGCTTCAGCCTGTTTGGGCCTGGAGGCTCCAGCGCCTGCGGTGATGGGAGCGGCGTGGCCAGCGGGGCCCGGCAGCCTGTTGCCCTCCAGCTGCAGGGCTGAGGTCCGCGAAGTGCGTTGAGGCGGCCAGAGGGCCTCTCCTCAGGCCTGAAAGTCGCCCTTCTCCCCGTGCATCGGGAGCAGGCGCGTGGCCCTGAACTATGCTTGGCGGGTGGCTGCAGGCGACAGGGAAAGAGGGGCCGAGCTGGGGAGGGGGGTTGTCCCTGGGAGAGAGGATGCGGGTACGGTGCGGTCGGCCCGGGGTCGGATCCCAAGACGTTCCCCAGTGCCCCTAGAGGGCCTGCCACGGCTTCCCGATGGCCTGGATGTGCTCCTTGGCTTTCAGACGCAGCGCCGCGATGCTGCTGTTGCGCGGGTCCGCCTCGTCCAGCGGGAACTTGTCCCCGAAGCCGGGCCCGCACGGGTAGGAGGGCGGCGGCGGCGCGAGAGGTTGCAGGCCGGGGCCCAACGGCGGGGAGTTCAGGAAGGGCGGAGGCGGCGGCGGTGGCGTGTAGCTGGCAGGCAGGCTCTGCGCCGGCGGCCCGAAGCCCGGCAGGCTCTGCAGCGCCGTGGCGCCCCCGCCCGGCAGCGGCGGCCCGAGCCAGGACTCCAGCGGCAGCGCGCCCCCAGCCGGCCCGCCACCGCTGCCCGGGCCCGCCCCGAGGGGCGACAGCGTCGCGGAGGGCGGGGAGCGGCTGAAGGAGAGGAGGGGCGAGTCCTGCAGCTTCATGGAGGACACTTCCAGCTTCTCCTGCCGCCGCCACTTAGCCCGTCGGTTCTGGAACCACACCTGCAGGAGAGAGCACAGGGGCCGTCGGGCAGCAGCGGAGGCTGCGGCCGCGTCCCCAACCCTGAGCCGGTTCAGCTCGGCGGGCTCCACTCCGTCCCCCTCAAATAAAACTAGGGGCGCAACTGTTATGCATGTGCCGAGAGAGGCCCGGATCTTCCTTCCTTCCACCCACTCCTACTCCTCCCACCCCGCGTTCTCTTTTCTTTTCCATCCCCTTTCTCTCTCTCTCTCTCTCTCTTTTTTTTTTTTTTTTGGCCTCTTCTCTCCATTATCGCCTCTTCTGAGTCTCTTTGTCCCATCCTAGTCCTCCGTGGCGTCCCACCCTTTTCTCTGTTTATCCATAGCTGTGGTTGTATCTGTTTCCAACTCCTAGTGCGTAGCAGAAGCTCAGAAAAAAAAAGTGAATTTAACTCCGCAATCGAATCGTAGAACTTTGAAACGAGATCTCACCAATTTTCTGTGACCTTCTGGTTGGCAGCCCCTCCTAACAGTTTAGACTTGCTTGTTCTCTGTATGGTACAGATCTAAGTTGCTGTATTTTGGTCTCAGACTTTCTCTGCTTTACCTACCCTTTGTCTCTAAATACAGGTATAAATAAATATTGTTAAGTAGAGTAATTGGCAAGAATGGGCGTTAAAATTCAGCTCTTTTCACGGATTACTGGTTATGATAACTAGATAGGAGCAAGTGGGGTTTATTTTGCCCCAACCATATTTGAATTGCTGCTTTAATATTTTTATTTTTATTTAATTAATGTCTGCTTACTATTTCTGCTGTTTGTTATTACTTTCAAGGAGTACAATCATTCCAGTCTATTATATCTACTTTTACATTACAAAGTTAATTTTGACATTACCCTAAGACCTTAGCTCAATGACAAGGTTTTTTGCTTCTTCTTCTTTATCTGTACGAAGTCCTTGCCAAGAGTAACGTCGGGTTCTTCCAATGAAACTTCATTACTGATTTGATAAAAGTGCTGGAATATGTGTAATTACATTTTTACTACCAGTTCCACCTTCACAGGCAAGACAGAGAATCCGTTTAGTAGAGAACACAAAAGAATTTCAGCCAAACTGGTGGCTTTAGTGCTATATTTATGAAGGGAAATGGGGAGATTGTTGCAACCTCAGAAGGGAGAAAGTAGTTTTCAGTCAATAAGGGCAGGGGACCCCCGAGGAGAGCTGAAAGAACAGCAATCCAGCACCCAAGCACCGCAGGGCAAGTGTGTGAGAGGCTGCAATTAGGGAGAAAAAGAGAAACAACAAAAGTGTAAGTACCCTGTACCATCCTAGAAAAGATTCATCTGCATATCTAAGGCCTCAAGTCTCCCTTAAATATTAGATACTTGCCAACAGTAGAGAAAAGAAACACTGATTTGGGTGAGGGCTCCTGTCCCACCACCTTCTCGGCTTCCCTGTCTGTCCCACTCAATTCCCTACCACATCAGCTGTAGCCTTCAGATCTAGTGTCCCAGGTTATAGACTGAAGGATTGAGGTCGGTTATTGCAATGCTCTACTGCTGCCCTCGGTGTGGGAGATCCTGCCTAGTATCTCTACCATCTGATTACATCATAGTCATGTGTTAAGAATGGCCATATGCTGGGTGCTGTGCTGGCCCTGTGGTCACAAAGAAGTCACAGACACTGTTCTCAAGAATCTCACAACTTAGAGGAGAAGCCAAAACTCCTGAACAAGTAATGAGGGAGGATGCAGGTGGGCTCAAGTGCCCAGGGAGCTGAGTCTGCTTTGCTTGGATTCTGTAGGGTACTGGAAGGCTTTGCCTCTACTCTTTCTCTTGTATTCATTCCCTCTCCCATCCTTCTTTTTTTGAAAGCAGGTGATAAAATTTCCACCCCTTCAGTGAAATCACTGCAGCTTTACTGCCCCAAATTAGGAGACATTGAACTGTCCTTGCTGGTTAATCCCAAGTCACATTAGGGAATTATATTTTTTAAGCCATGACTTTTACTCATTACTTTCAACTCTTAAACTAAGCAGAAAAGAAAAAGCAGCAGCTTGTCCTCTTTTACTTTTAAGACATGGATAAAAGCTCCGAACACTTGAGTGTTCTCATTTCCTGGAAATCTAATTTATTAGACACACACAAAAATCCCATCTTAGTTCCACTGCCTTTCAGATGCAGTGAAATTTGTTCCCAATGTCTCTCTTTCAGCCCTCTGTAAACTCTCCCAATTTGGAAATCCTCCCAGATTTTTCACAGATGACTAGCAAATATTTAAGGCTTTCAAATATTTTAATGATCAGGGATTAAAGATAATTCAGCTTTAATTAAAGCGAAAACCCCTTTACAATAAAAAGAAAAGGCCTTTGCAGCGAGAAGTTTGGTTGGATGTGCACCAGAAAAGGAAAAGTCAGTTTCTTAAATAAATCCACCCGAAGTTTCAACTGCGAGGTGCCAGGCCCTTCGCAAGGAAACAGGGTTTTCGTTTCCAACTCGGTATTCGCAGCTAGTGACGAGGGTGGCATTTGGGGCCCCAATCCTGTCACCCTCGATCACTACCTGCATTCCATTTCCACTCAGCAACCCCCAACCCCTTCCTGGCTATGTCTAATGAGCTGTCGGCCTCTTCATCTTGCAAGTCATTCCCATCTTCTATTTTGAGTTTAGAAGAGGGAAACCCCCAAAGGGGAGCTCGTACTACAAACTGGAACAGACTGCTTGAAGGGCGATGCACAGGGAACATCGAAGATCTGTGCCTCTCCCTTGAGACTCTGGGCATGCCAAGTCGAGGAAGGACAGTAATAAATGCATGGACACCCGTGAATTCCGAGAAGCATTGGCTGCAATTTGGGCCTCGGGCCCTCCCAGATCCCAGTTCCTCAACCTGGGCGCTTTACCTGGACCCGGACCTCTGGTAGGTTGACCTTGCCGGCCAGCTCCTCGCGGCTGTACACGTCCGGGTAGTGGGACTTCTCGAACGCGCGCTCCAGCTCATGCAGCTGGTACGTGGTGAAAGTCGTGCGGTTCCGCCGATGCTTTTTCTTGGGCTGTTCCTCCTCTGACAGTTTCGCTTCGCCGGTGGCTGGCCCGACGGGCAGCCCTGGGCTCGGCCGTGCCTCCCCGGGCTCCTTGGGGCAGTAGGGTCGAGGGGCTGGGGCGACGAGGCCCGGGAGGGTCAGATGCACTCCCCAAAACACCCTTGGGCCGACCCCGCCTCGCTGTGGGCACTGGCCAGCCCGCCTGCGGGCTCCGAGATGGCCCGGGGAGGTCCGTGGTGAGGGCGGCGATGGGTCCTAAGCTTTCTCTGAATGCAAATTGGAAGCTCCCGCCATAGACGGTCCCCAACCCCGCGCCCAGTTGCCTTAATAAAAGTTAAGGAAGGGGCGCTCTCGTCTGGCCAACTCCTAAGCTCGGGCGCCCGAACGGCCTCGCACAGCCAGGGGTGCGCACTCACCTTCGTACTCGGGGGCGGGCGCCGGGGCTGGCGGCGGGGAGGGCTCGGAGCCTTCCTCGGGCGCCTTGGGGCAGGCGGGCCGCGCGCCCAGCCTCCTATCCCGCTCCTTCGCGCCCCGGGCGCCCCGCTCCGCCGGGAAGGTGCCGAGGATCCCGTCGTCCTTGGTAAACCCCAGGATGGCCTCGATGCTGTGAAGTCGCGAGGTGCTCCCGCCCGGGCTGCGGAGCAGGTGGCCGGCAAGCGAGAAGCTCCCGTCGGCCATGGCTGGCGCGCAGCCCGGCAGGTGCATGGGGAGCGCCGGGAGGCGGGAGGGCGCTTTGGAGACGGAGAGGAGAGGCTCGAAGCCGGGTCTTCCCGAGTGCGGCGGTGCAACCCGACGGGTCCCGACCCTAGGTCAAGCTCCGCGGGCGAAGCCCGCCCGGGCTGCGCACGCTGGGGGTGGCCGAGCGCTCAGCCCGCTGCCGCCTTAGTCCCAGAAGTCGGAAGTTCGGGCTCGGGGTAGCTGGGGCTCTCGGCGCTAAAGGCGGGGAGCCAACTGGCCCTCGGCTCCTCCCCTCTCGCCCTGGACCCAGCCCCTTCTCTCGGCCCCTCCCTCCACAGAGGGGCGTGTCCTCACCCGGCCCAGCCACAGGGTCCTCTAGTGGCCACCCCTGGGCCGGCACTAGGAATATTCCCCTTCCACCTCTTGATCCGTTTTAAGCTTTACAAACACACTCCGGGGATCCGCGGCGGGATGCCTGATGGGCTCGGGAACCTGGTCGCGGCGCACCCCTAGTCCTGCCTCAGTGGGGCCGACGCCCTTGGGCTCATCTCTCCCCTTGCGTTTGTCTCCCTCTACTTCGGGCTTACCCTCTCACTTCAGACTACCCCCTGGGGGTCACCTCCCTCCTTGGACGCACCCCTCCCCAGCTTCAGACTCGCCCCTCTAGCCCCCTCTGGCTCACCTCCGCGGGGCCGCCACCCTGGCCTGTGCCCCCTGGAAGCGCCGAGACCCAGCCGAAGGCTTCCCAGCCCCGCACTCGTCGCAGTTTGAATTTCCCCTCGCTGGCTCCCTTTTCGGGACCCACTCCTTTCTTGGCTGGGTTGTACGAAGTCCCGGACCTCGCGTTTAGTTTGTCCGTCTATATCTGTTGTAACTCCTCCCAGTCCCCTCGGACTTGAGCGCCGGCAGCCTCCCTCCTTCCCCGCAGCGCCCACCCCAGGGCCATTTATGTCCGCAAGTCCGGTGACCTCTAGCGCCCGATCGCCCAGCAGGAGACTGGGAGCCCCGAGTCGGATGTGCTGCCGGGCTCAGGTCCCGCAGGAGACCCACCTGGAGTTCCTCGCTCCCGCCCCTTGTCCTGCGGGGAGGGCGGGCTCCTTTACTGATGAGCAGCGGTGTCGCACTCCCGCCTCCCTCCAACACTCCGGGCCAAGGAGATGGCCCAGAGCTGGCTGGGGAAGGACCTTCTCCCGGGGAAGAGGCCTCTCGCCTCCCCGAGGGTTCAGGAGTAATTGGCTTGCAGTTCTTTCTCCTTTGGACCCCCTCGAGGCTTCCGTGGCCCACAGTGACTGATCGGCCACTTGGAAAGATGATTGGATAGGGTGAGTGTGTTTCACCTCCAGCAGCGCGGATGGACAATGGCGCTGTGAACGTCTCACCCCTCAAATCTGAGGCGAGACCCGAGGCGAGCGCTTGGCCTTCCCTGAACTGGTGGCCTGAACCGTGAATTAAAATGCTTTCCTATAAAAGCTCAAGGACCTAGAGGACAATATCCCTAAAATCTCCTTTTCAGTAGGCGCTCTGATCTCCACAGCAGGGGTGTCTTCTTTATCCCGCTTGCGTTCAGACAAGCGTTTGCTGCGTCCCTTTAGAGGGCAAGGCAACCGTCGAGGGCCACGTCGTGGGCATCAAACAAATTGGGAAAGGCCAGGGCCGTTGGCCTGGTGGAGTTTAACGTCCAGTCTGGAAGACAAGACAAAGGAAGAGGGAAAACACACATCCTCAGATCCCCAACCTTTAAATTGGTGTTAGAAGGATGTTTGCGGAGGACAAGTCAATTTCTTAAGGATCATTCAATGGTTAATTCCCCATGATGGGCATATCTACTTTTAATAAAACTATATAATGGCAAACTAAAATAAGGGCAAGCATGTGACTGCAGGAGATAGAAATTGAACTAATTCAAGTCAGAAATTATCTTTTAAGAAAAAAGCTAAAATTAATGAAAGTTAATAGCACTTTACAGTGTTCACATATTACTTTATTTACTTATTATTTATTTGTCTGTTTATTTTAGAGACAGGGTCCCTCTCTGTTGCCCAGGCTGGAGTGCAGTGGCATGATGGTGGCTCACTGCAGCCTGGAACTCCTGGGCTCAAGCAATTCTCTCGACATGTCACTTTGTAGGTTTCAGAATCTTCTCACATTCTTCATGTCATCTGATCTTCACAACCTTGTGAGGTGAGCAGGACAGACATATTGGTCCCCATTTTACAGAAGAGGAAACTGAGGCTCAAAGTGATACAGCTATTAAGTGGAAGGGTCAGGACTAGAACTCAGGCCACTGACTCCTTGTCCAGTGTTTTCTGCCTGCAGCTCATTTGTAATTATTATTGTAGTGTGTGATCTTTTTGAAAAGAATCAAAGCCCATCTTAGCCTGCAGTCTGTCTTTAATCCTTCCCTGAGACTGGATTCTGCATCTAAGAGGCGGAGGTAGAAGCAGTTTAGCTCCCAGAAGAAATAAAGTCAGAGCCTATAGAGAGTGGGCTTTGGGTACCGGCATCCAGGGCAAATTAACAAACCCTCTGGAAAGTCCCCTGACAGACCAGGTTTTGCCTCCTCCTCCGCCCCTCCTCCACCTTTCCAGGGCCCACAAATGGCCTGGTGGCACCCGAAAAGGTCTGACTGCCAGTGACATAGACCAGGTGGCTGACGTGCTGAGGTGGTGGTGATCAGAGGGCAGCTGTGGGGATAATTAATTGGTATTTGTTGTTCCCCCTCTGACCGAGAATGCTTTTTATGCAAACTTCCCCAATATTAAATTGATCTCGATAATCACCGCTAAACAAAGATTGGCAGCGTTTCCTTAAGCTCCTGCCCACACGCTGCTAAGGGGTTTATGGCCTTGTTTTCCAAAGTTAATTCCTCTGGAACTGCCCAGCTCCTCCTAATAAGTCCAGGTGAGGTTAGCTTTTATTTACTGTTTGTTTCAGAGTCTGGGGAAAAAAGCAGAAAAGACTTCAACAGCCACTGGCGAGGGCAGGGGTGGTGGTGATGGGGGTGGGGGAGACAGGGCAGAGGAGGACAAGGGGGAGTTGGGGCTTCCTTTGTGCAGGACATAAAGAGCTAGTCAGTACCATTGTGGGCACGGTGGAGGGTACTCCAAGCAATCAGCCGGGGGTCATTGTTAGGGGCTAATCTACGTGTGTATTTCCCAAGAACTCGATTAGGGAAGATGAATGGACTGGGCCATGTCCCTAATTCTTCTAGCATGAAGCTGCATTTTTCCAGCAGTTAGGCTAGCTCATAATCAGCCCTGCTTCAGCAACAGTAAGGAGCCTGGCTTCTGAACCCCACCTCTGATTAATTCATTAATTCATTAGATGGATCAAAGAAAACCCCTCCTTCCATCCCCCACCTGCGGCCAACCTTAGACACAGCTAAAGCCCCATTAAACTTCGGATGGTTGGGAGACACACATTTCCAAACGTGAGGAAGTTGTAGTATAAAGCGACTCCTTGATCGTGGCTGTATGGAGAAGGTCCAATTTCTGGAAGTATTCTGGATGAACAGTCTCACCTACAACACGGGGGAGACATGCATATCCCTGTGCACTGGACGGAGAAGGAGAGGGAGAGCGGTGAATTAAGGACATTCAGCCACAGTCTCTAGTCATTTCACCTCTCAGCGATGTTTTACATTAGGGTGAAAATGTCTGTGGAAAGGCCTATGATATATCAATTCGTAAAGTGTATCAAATAAACTTGATTGTCTGCATGTAGATTTTCCCCATAGCAGATGTATTTTAATCCTGGAATAACTCCCCCTGTGTCACGCCATATTCGAGGACCTCCTCCTCCCACTAGCTGATACACGTGCAAGAAAGGCAACTTACTTTTAGTTTTAGCCAGAGCAAAACACAACTCATATAATCACTAAACACGCACACACACCATACACACACACTGAAGTTCAACAAATTCAGTTGTCAAGAGTTAAGAATACATACAAGAGCTACTATTTATTGAATGCTAAGTACATGTCAGTGGGTATATGCCATAAGCTTTTGAGTATTATTTTACATGAATTGCCCAATTTAGTTCTTACGATAATCCTATGATGTAGATGCTGCTATTATTATTATTATTAGAGACAGAGTCTGGCTCTGTTGCCCAGGCTGGAGTGCAGTAACATGATCACAGCTCACTGCAGCCTCAACCTCTTGGGCTCAAGTATCCTCCCACCTCAGCTTCCTGCAAAGCTGGGACTACAGGTGCAGGCCATCACATCCAGCTAATTTTTGTATTTTTTTGTAGAGATGGGTTTTCGCCATGTTGCCCAGGCTGGTCTTTAACTCCTGGGCTCAAGCAATGTTCCTGCCTTAACCTCCAAAAATGCTGGGATTACAGGCTTGAGCCACCGCACCTGGCCAGTAGACACTATTATTATCCCTACTTTACAGATGAGGAAACTGAAATACAGAGAGGTTCTGTAGCATGTCCAAGGTCACACAGCTGGTTTCAAGTAGAGCCAGGATCTGAACCTAGGTGTTTTACTCAGGAATGCTTCCTTCTGCCCACCATGTGTGCTACCCCCAACACGGTATGTGTATTAACATGCACCATTAATTCTCCAGTGGCCATAAGAGAACCAGCAGATAAATTAAAGCAAGAAAATTTGGGAGTCAAAGGTAACAAGAATAATATAGTTCAGAGTGATGTGGGGATGAGAAAGGTATGGTGGATGGCCTATAATTTATTAAGTCATTTAAGATGGTTACAGGTTTGCTAAAAAAAAATAATAATAAGTATGCCATTCAACTTTCCAAGGCTATCTCATGAAGCTTAGGGAGTTTTCTCTGTTCTGAGTTTCAAATCACTCTCAGTGGTTTGTGAACAATATATATTTAAGCATCTAAAAGATATTTTTCAGCATTGGCCTTTGATGCTGTGAATTCTCCCCTATATTGTATTATATATTGCATATCATGGGCGAGTTGCTGGCAATGGTTGCAAAAATATCACTAGCTAAGCTCTTTTAAATACTGACATTGCATCCAGAGATAAAATACACTATGCTTGTTCATCTCTCACTACCAGATCTCCCTCATTTATGAAACATTAGCTACTTGAAGCAACCCACAAGGTATATCAGAAAAATGTTCTTAGAGGTGCCTACCAGAACCCCATTTTTACATGCGGGCAACTAACAATGAATATCCTTGGCCACTTTCATAAATATATGACCTTGACACATATGATAAAGACATTTCCAGTATAGTAGTTTACCTCTTACTATGACAATCTGGATGTTCTCTAGTATTTTCAGACTAGATTGAAGCAAATGTTGATATAAGGATAGTGTAGTGAATAATAACCCCATCAGATAATCGTGGCTGAAAGACCATAAACCAACAAAGAGATGGGCCTCATGTAGACATTATGGGTTTAATTGAGAGCCCTCGCAGATGGGCATATGGAAGCAAGCATTTCATCTCGTCACAAGACGAAATGAAGGGCAGTTGAGAGCTGTTGTTTCCCAGCAGTAATACCCTGTTTGAAAGCCTTCCTTTCACTTAAAAATAGGGACCACAGCTCTCTGCAGACCATCCAGCAATTAGCAAGAAGTCTCCTCCTTGGGAATTTCCATTGTTTCCCAATTATGATATTTTTGGAAACAGCATCACTTAAAACTGCCCTCCCACTTAGTGTCCTGTTATTTCAGGGGATCGTATATTGAAGATTTAGAAAACGAACTTTGATGATTATCTGTTCTGTTCTCTTATTTCTAGCCCCCATTTTAACATTTTAGATGTGAAAAATGTGTGGGCCCAGAGAAATTAAGCAGTTAGCCCAAGGTGAGACAGAATGTTTGTACTAGGGCTTGGACTGGAGGCCGGGTCCCAGACTCCCAGGGTGTCCACTGGGCACTCTGGCATTAGCACCGCCATGCTGAGCTCTCAGGCTGTTACACTCAGATGCCCCACGCTTATAGTTAGAGAAAGTCAGTGCATGAATTGTGGAGGAATATATTTGTTGTACAAACACAATGAAGTTACTCTTCACACAACTCCCCCGTCACTTACCAACCCAATTATCTTGGTTCTGAGCTTGCTTTTACAACTGATGCAAGTTCAAGTAGCCTCTCGGTAAGAGGAAAAATTCCCTTGGCAATAGATTTGCAGGGATTTTTGGCAAACAGCTAATATTGCTACGCATTGGTGTGCTGGAATCAGCCCCTACTGGCTTGTAAGAACTTATGGTTAGCATCTTCCCAGTTCTGAGTTCAGTGATTCATCTTAGTAGCTTGAAATCAGCCACAGTGGTAGTAATTTCACCACAGCAATTGACAAACACTAAAAATCAGACAGTCCCCCTCTCAACTTAAAAACTAAATGATATTTAAACATTACTAGCATATTACTGCTCCTACCTCATTAAAAATGAGGAAATCAGGAAGTGTTTATTATTGTTATTATTTATTATTAAAACTAAAACAAAACCATGATTGACGGGGTGAGAGACGTCTACCTTTTTACTCAGAAATGAAAATTTACATCATTATCTCAGAATATATAAACAAAAGAGGGAACTTGGATTTCTGCCAAATAAATGGACTTTTTTGAGTTGTTAGGAGCAAAGCTATATTAAGATAATTCCTCTTTACTTGTTTTCTAATTAAACTAATTGAATTCAGAGTGTCTAGGGGGAAGCACTAAAGACATTTATCTTGAGGGGATGATGGTCTTGAAGCCTATCAATCCTCTTAGAGTGCTAAGAAGGCAAATCCAAGGATGCCCATTTTGCAGCAGCCTTGACCCAACCCCCACCAGGGGTTTGGCTGGCTCTAGTCTTTTTCACAGCAAGGCAGTGTTCTACTGAAAATCATTTGGCTTCCAGTTCTCTACAACCTCTGGTTTTCTTTCTAGCTCACTGGTTGCTCCTCGGCAGTATCCTCCCTGGATTCCTCCTCTTGTCCTTGACCTCTGAAAGCTGGAATGCCCAGCCCAGCCCTAGGTCCTGCTCCCTATTTAGACTCACTTTCTTGATGCTCTCCTTGACTCTACTCTGGAACTCTTTCTGACTCCTGTAGTTTATTGACTGCCTGTTAGGCATCTCCATTTGCTTGCGTATTGAGTACATGTTAGAAACAGAGTTTCTGAATAGGACTTCCCTCCTGCACCTGTTCTACCACCATCTTCCTCATATCTGTAAATGGCTGTTTCACTCACGTGTCTCAAATTCTAAGCCATTTCTCTTTCTATCACCCAATTTGTCAGGCAATCCTGTTGGCTGTAGCTTCAACATATAAACAGATTCTGATGGCTTTTCTCCATCTCCAATCTGGTGCAAACCACCATTCATCTCTATAGGGCTCAAGTGGTCCTCCTGCCTCAGCCTCCCGATTAGCTGGGACTACAGACATGTGCCACCACGTCTGGCTAATTTTTTTGTATTTTTGGCAGAGACGGTGTTTCACCTTTTTGGCCAGGCTGGTTTCCAACTCCTGACCTCAGGTGATCTGCCTGCCTCGGCCTCCCAAAGTGCTAGGATTACAGGTGTGAGCCACCACACCCAGCCTCCTTTGTATTCAGATAAATAATTATAGCACAACTCTGGTTCAGATCTATAAATATGTGTTGGGTTACTCTCCTTCTCTTCTAATTCAAAGTCAACATACACATTCTCATTCCCCCAAATGGAAGCTGCCTGCTTCTTAAAATAGGAGTTTAACATATTCCATTTTATGTTTTAATTTGGAGAGTGAAAAAAAAAAAAACCCAGAATGCAGCTAACTCCTGACAAAGCACGAGCTACTCACAAGCAGAAACAATTCAAAGGCCAGGACTGTGTCTCCTACTTCCTTTTTAAAAAATGTGTGGTTAAATACACACAACTAAAAATGTGCCATTTCAATCATTTTTGAGTATATGGTTCTGTGGCATTAAATACCTTCATATTGTTGTGCAATCATCACCTCCATCCATCTCCAGAACGTTTTAATCTTCCTGAACTAAAATTTTGTATCCATTAATCAAAACTCCTCACCACTCCCGGTCCCCAGCCCCCAGCAACCATCTTTCTGTCTCTAGGAATTTGACTACTGTAAGTATCTCATGTGAGTCAAATCATAGAGTATTTGTTCTTTTGTGACTGGCTTCTTTCATTTAGCATAATGTCTTCAGGTTTATCCATGTTGTAGCATGTGCCAGAATTTTCTTTCTTTTTAAGGCTGAATAATATGCCAGTGTATGTATATACTACATTTTTCTTATCCATTAATCTGTTGCTAGACACTTGGGTTGCTTTCACCTCTTAGCTGTTGTGAATGATGCTGTTATGAACATTAGTGTGCAAATAACTGTTTAAGTGCCTGCTTTCAATTTTTTTTTTTGAGACAGAAACTCTGTTGCCCAGGCTGGAGTACAGTGGCATGATCTTGGCTCACTGCAACCTCTGCCTGCCAGGTTCAAGAGATTCTCCTGCCTCAGCCTCCCGAGTAGCTGGGATTACAGGTGTGCAGCACCATGCCCGGCTAATTTTTGTATGTTTAGTAGAGACGGGGTTTCACACTGTCACCCAGGCTGGGCTCAAGTGATCCGCCCACCTTGGCCTCCCATAGTGCTGGGATTACAGGTGTGAACCACCGCACCTGACCTGCTTTCAATTCTTTTGGGTAAATACCCAGAAGTGGAATTGCTGGATCATATGGTAATCCTGTGTTTCATTATTTGCAGAACTGCCACATGGTTTTCCACAGCTGCTGCACCGTTTTACATTTCCACCAGCCACACACACGGTAGATTGTGAATCCTTGCCAATTCTTGTCATTGCTTGTTATTTTCTGCTATTTAAAAAAAAATAATAACCATCCTAATAGGTGTAAACTGGTATCTCATTGGTTTTGGTTTGCATTTCCCTAATGATTAGTTATATCGTGACTTTTTGCATTTGCTTATTGTCCATTTGTATATCTTCTTGAGAGAAACACCTACTCAAGTTCTTTGCCCATTTTTCAATTGGGTTGTTTGTTCTGTCTAGAGTTTGTAGAACACTTTATGATTAGCAAGATGACTAACAGAAGGCTAGAACACAATCAACTCTTGATTATCTCAAGCTAGTAAGAGGTGCACAGAGAACCACAAACATCAGATTGTCTCTAAATGACATATGTTTGCTTTGAAAATGCATTAGCATCAATGTTGAATCATTCACACTTGAATTATCCCCTCCCTATCGTGGCTGCTCAGCACTTCAACTTTGTCTCCTTTTCACGTTTCTTACTCAGTTCCATTTCTTCCTCACACCGTAAATTACCATGTCATCCTCCACAGGTAAAAAATATGTGTGTTCTAGTAAACTAAGCCGAAGTATTATTAGAGAAAATAGAGTATGTATTGCATGTGTGCGTGTGCGCATGTGCGTGCATACGTTTAGGGAACTACTCTGCAAGTCGGCTATAGAACAAGCTTTCCCCAAACTCCTCCACTCTACAGGGTCTTGGGGAATTTCTAGCACAGTGTCCGGTGCACAGTGAGCTCTTGAGACTCTTAGTTCCTGTTTTGTGTTGACTAGATGCCCCTGAAAATTTATATGTTGAAGTTCTAACCCGCAGCACCTCAGAATGTGACCTTACTTGGAAATAGGGTTGTTGCGGATAATAATTAGTTATGTTACAATGAGGTCATAAAGGAGTAGATGGTCCCTAATCCAAAATGACTGGTGCCTTTAAAAAGAAGGGGAAATTTGGACACAGACGCACACCCGGATGAAGGCAGACATCAGGGTGATGCTTCTACAAGCCTAGGAACACCAAAGACTGCCAGCAGCGACCAGAAGCTCAGGGAGAGGCATGGAACAGATTCTCCCTCGCAGACCTCGGAGGAAACCAACCCTGCAGACACCTTGATCTCAGACTTGCAGCCTCCAGTATGGGAGACAATCGGTTTCTGCTGTTTAAGGCCCCCAGTCTGTGGTCCTTTGTCATGGCAACCCCAGCAAATGAGTACCGTTCCCTTCCCTTATTTGCCGTCTTCCTTACCTTCATGATAAGCCCCTTGTTGTATTTGTGAAAAAGCTGGTCTGTTTTATTATGCTTTCCTACAAATCTCTGGGAAAGTCTTGTCTTCCTTGAGGTGCCCAAGAAAAGGTGTCGATGATTTTTGGTGCGTGTCGAGGTCGGATGAACTTTTTTCAGCTCACAGATATGGCCAGATCTCTCCACCAGTGTTCTTTGCACATCACACTTTATTAAATTTTGATGAAACTTGTGAATACCCTGTAAAGCCTCAGTTAAATTATTCCAACATTGTTTTATTAAAAGTATTATTTATTTTTTCCAGCTCTATTGAGGTATAATTGACAAATAAAAATTGTATATATTTGAAGTGTACAGTGTGATGATTTGATGTGTACACACACTTTGGGAAATGATTACCAGAGGATTTTTTTTCTATTTCTGTGAAAAATACCATTGGAATTTTGATAGGAATTGCATTGAATCTGTAGAACACTTTGAGTTGTGTGGAAATGTTAATAATATTAATTCTTCCAATTCATGAACACAGGATATCTATGTATTTGTGTTTTGTTTAATTTTTTTCATTAATGTCTTATAGTTTTCAGCATACAGATCTTTCACCTCCTTGGTTAAATTTATTCCTAAGTATTTTATTCTTTTTGATGTCATTGTAAACAGGATTTTTTTCTTAATTCCTTTTTTGATTAGTTTTTTTGTTACAGTATAGAAATACAACTGCTTTTTGTATGTTATTTTGTATCTCGAAACCTTACTGAATTTGTTTATTAGTTCTGACTATTTTTTGGTAGAGTCTTTAGAGTTTTCTACTTATAAGATCATGTTATCTGCAAACAGAGACAATTTAACTTCTTCCTGTCCAATTTGGATGTCATTTATTCATTTGTGTTTTTTTGTTTGTTTGTTTGTTTTTGTTTTTGTTTTGAGATGGAGTTTTGCTCTTGTTGCCCAGGCTGGAGTGCAATGGTGCTATCTCGGCTCACTGCAACTTCCGCCTTCCAGATTCAAGCGATTTTCCTACCTCAGCCTCCCGAGTAGCTGAAATTATAGGCGCCCGCCACGACGCCCTACTAGTTTTTTGTATTTTTAGTAGAGACTGGTTTTTCCATGTTCGTCAGGCTGATCTCAAACTCCTGACCTCAGGGTGATCTGCCCGCCTCGGCCTCCCAGAGTGCTGGGATTACAGCCGTGAGCCACCGCGCCCGGCTCATTTGTTTGTTTTTTGCCTGATTGCTCTGGCAAGGACTTCCAATACCACGTTGAATAGATGTTGTGGACGTGTGCACCCTTGTCTTGCTCTGGATTATAGGGGAACACTGTTGAGAATTATGTTATCTGTGGGCTTGTCATATATGACCTTTATTATGTTGAGGTACATTCTTCCATGTCTAATTTTCTTAGAGTTTTCATAATAAAGATTAGAGCAGAAATAAATGAAATAGACACTAGAAATAAAATAGAAAAGATTAACAAAACTAAAGGTTGTTTTTTTAAAAAAACAAAATTGACAATTTTTTAACTAGACTAACCAAGGAAAAAAAGAAAGAGGATCCAATTATAACTAAAAGGGGAGATATTACAACTGATATCAAGGAAATAAAAAGGATCATAAGAGACTGCCATGAATTTTTATTATTCTAAGATAACCTAGAAGAAATAAACTCCTAGAAACATACAATTTACCCAGACTGAATCATGAAGAAATTGAAAATCTGGATAGATCAACAAGGAGATGAAACCAGTAACTTAAAACCTCCCAACAACAACAACAACCAAAAATCCAGGACCAGATAGCATCATGGGAGCTTTAACGCCACCCTTCTGAAATTCTTCCAAAAAAAATGAAGATAAAGGAACTCTTCCAAACTCATTTTAAAAGGCTAGCATTACTCTCATACCAAAGCCAAATCAGGACAGTATAAAAAAGATAATTACAAGTCAATATCCCTGATGAATGTAGATGAAAAAATCCTCAGTAAACCAAATTTAACAGCACATTAAAAAGATCATTCACCATGGTCTAGTGAGGTTTATCCCTGGGATGCAAGGCTGGTTCAACAGTAAATCAGATCACTAATATGACATGCCACCTTAACAGAATGAAGGACAAAAATCACATGATCATTTCAACAGGTACAGAAAAAGCATAAGGCAAAAGAACATTCCAATATTCTACATTCTGAAATTTAGTATAAAGCTTGCCTATTTTGCAGACTTTGTCAAGCTTTTGCTGCCCTAAAGGCAAGTCAGATAGTTCATGGTCCTACAGGAAAGGGCAAGCCACAATCTCCTTTTCCTGCTCCCCCTTTCTCCTGTTCCTGGCCTTAGTCATTGTCAATGCCATGTTCATCTCAGTAACATTAATGAGCTGGATACCATGAGTTAACTTGGCATGTGCCATCTCATTTCATTTCAGAGGTCAGTATTATTATAATCCTTCTTCCCTGAAGTCTCCATATTCAATATTTGCAGGAGTTCCTTTGGCTCTGCTTCTCCACCACCGTGCAGGCCACCGTCTTACCTTGCTTGGACAGAGGACTGAATTAGCCTTCTAACTGGTCTCCTTTCTGCTACTCTTAGCTCCCTTCTCTCCACTTTCCACGCAGCAGCCAGATAATGTTGAAAAATATAAATCGGATCATGCCACTCCCTGCATAAAATTTACCCAAAGGCTCACTGTAACAGGATAAAATCCAAACTCCTTGCACTGCTCAAGAAGACTTACTGTTTTTCCACTTCTCACATCTCCTGATTTAACACTTCCGACTCCTTTCCTATCCCTACCAACTTGCTCACTGAGCTGCACCCCCCTCTTGGCCTCTTTCCTCTTCTTGAAAGCCTCTTCTTGAAATCCTCCTTCTTGAAATCTTGAGCTCCTTTCTGCCTCAAGACCTTTGCCCTTACTATTCTCTCTGCCTGAAATGCCCTCCCTCAAATATTTGCATGAGCTTCTTATAATTCCATTTTTTTAATAGCACCTACTACTCTCCAAACCTATCTTCTTTATTTTACTATCCGTCTCCCCTCACTGGAATCTTAGCTACGTGAGAATAGGGACCTTACCTCTTGGATCTCCAGCACCCAGAACATATGTTGCACACAGTCGTGGTTGAGTCAATGAATAACTACAAGGAACTCTATTTTTCACATAAGGAAGAAGTTAAGCAACTTGTCTGGTTTCACACAGCTATTAATTGGCACAAGCATACATTTTTTCACATTCTTATACTCAGTCATCTGGAGTTTTTCTAAAATATTAATTATTTCCCATGTGTTTGGAAAATGTCAAACTGCTTAGCTTTCCTTCCCAAATAGTCCACAGAAATCATTTGATCACTTTCAAAAGGCATGTCAGTCCACTCCAGTCTTGTTAGCATCAGCGCTGGCTGGGGTTTCCTCCACCGCCTTTGATGTGAGCGTTCATCAAATGAGGAGACAGGGGTTCCCATGCAACGCCATTGCCATCTTGCTCAGAACCCACACCACTCTAGGGAATGTCAGTTTTTTCCCCCAAGGCGGGTCCAGCAACTCTACTGTTTAGTTTACTTTTACAGTTCACGGTGATTTTATGAACATCTCTTTGTTGATTTTTATTGTGCTTTCTCCTTTGACCTCTTAAGCCCTAAAAATGCTGATCCTATATGTTCTGATGAACCGAATTAGCCCCTTTTAGCCACCAGATGCTTTCAGTAGGGTTTACAAGATGCTCCCCAGAAGTGTCTTCATTCAAGTGTTGGGAGTTTACGGTGCTTACTGCAGGGCGTGTGCATTGTCAGTTAAATGAATGATCTTTAAAAAAACACAACTTGGAAATCTTCAAGGGCTTCTGAAATGAGTTAAGAAAATAAGTAAACCTCATTTTGTACATACATGCTATCTTTCTTTAACTTCAGAAATTAGATGCCATCTAAGAATGATGTTTTTAGCATATAAACAGAGTTGTAAAAATATATTGTTTTCAAGGGCTAGCCGCATTTTAGAGTTGGGTAAAGGAGCTAAACTTCGGCACAAGTAAATTTCTTGTACTAGTCTTTCTACTTTTGGTGAGGTTTGAAATTTTTCCATAACAAAAAAAAATATATTTTAAAAGGCAAAAAAGCCACAAGTTTTCTAAATCTGAATTTAATTTGTACAATTTCAAAATTTATTACATTCTCCAAGCATACTTTTTGCAGCTCTCAAAACTGCTCTTTCTAATGTAGACAAGCAAAGGATATTATGGTCCAGGAATTTCACTTCTGAGTATATACCCAAAATAATTGAAAGCAGGAACTTGGACAGATATTTGTATACCCATGTTCATAGCAGCTTTACTCTTAATAGGCAAAAGCAACCCAACAGTCCATCAGTGGATACGTGGATAAGCAAAACATACAGTAGAGCACTATTCAGGCTTAAAGAGGAAGGAAATTCTGACACACGCTACAACACGGATAAATCCTGAAGCCATTGTGCTAAGTGAAATGAGCCAGTTACAAGAAAACAAATACTATATGATTCCACTCATGTGAGGTACCTAGAGTAATCAAATTCATAGAGACAGAAGTAGAAAGATGGTTGCCAGGGACCAGAGTGAGAGGGTAGTGGGAAGTTACTGTTTAGTGGGTATGGAGTTTCAGTTTGCAAACGTAAAAGTCTGGAAATGGATGATGGTGATGGTTGCACAGCAGTGTGAATATACTTAATGCCAATGAAATGTACACTTAAAAATTGTGAAGATGGTAAATTTTCTGTTGTGTATATTTTACTGCAATTTAAAAAATTAATAAAATGTTTCTTTTTCTTCTTTCTTTTTCTTTCCTTTCTTTCTTTCTTCTTTCTTCTCTTTCTTTTTTTTTTTGAGACAGGATCTATTTTGTTACACAGGTTAGAGTGCCATGGTGCAATCATAGATTATAGCTCACTGCAGCCTCTCTCCTGGGCTCAAGCAATCCTCCCACCTTAGCCTCCTGAGTAGCTGAGATTACAGGTACTCACCATCATGCCCAGATAACTTTTTTGATTTTCAAGTAGAAACAAAATCTTGCTATGTTGCCTAGGCTGGTCTCAAACTCCTGAGCTCAAGGGATCCCCCTGCCTCAACCTCCCAAAGTTCTGGGATTACAGACATGAGCCACTATGTCCTGGCTAGAAT
The DNA here is from genome assembly GCF_000001405.40 of Homo sapiens. Lineage (NCBI taxonomy): Eukaryota > Metazoa > Chordata > Mammalia > Primates > Hominidae > Homo > Homo sapiens. Next base: position 59,288,293 of record NC_000018.10, read on the forward strand.
TTCTTAAAAGGGAAAAATTAAAACAAAAACAAAAATAGGGAGACTCTGAATTCCACTGCAGAGAGCACTCAAAGTCCGTTTACATTCTTCTTTATTTTAAAATTGTTATTTCTTCAAAGAGCCACATTGTAGTCTTGGAGTAGAAATTTCTTGTTGAGGTTTTCTGGTGATTTATGTGGTATTTTTTAGGGAATACATTTTATTTCTCCAACATCTTCAGGGCACACATGTGGATGTAACATGTGTTACTATCAGAATGCTGATAGTCATTCTAATAAAAACATGGACTGGCCACAGACGTAAACAAGAGGAGGGGGAAGAGAAACACAGAAGCCTCCAGGAGCCCCACATCCATGACCAGTGGAACATTTTGGGTTTAGCACGGTGCTGGATCTGAAAGTCCACACAAAACATGCTACCTGACACTTGAACGCTTGGGAGCACCAGTCTTGTAAATGCCTATAAGGATAACAAGACATAAGTTCTCCCTCCAGAATTCTTTTGGTTAGACTGTCACTATATTTTATTTTATTTTATTTTATTTTAAGACAGTGTCTTGCTCTGTCACCTAAGCTGGAATGCAGTGGTGTGATCTTGGCTCCTTCGCCTCCCAGGTTCAAGCGATTCTTGTGCTTCAGCCTCGCGAGTAGCTGGGATTTCAGGTGTGCACCATCATGTCCTGCTAGGTTTTGTATTTTGAGTAGAGATGGGGTTTCACCATGTTGGTCAGGCTGATCTTGAACTCCTGGCCTCAAGTGATCCACCCACCTTGGCCTCCCAAAGCGTATATTTATTTCATTTTAAGTGTTATATTTTTAATTGCATTAAGAAATATAAAATTCTTATAGAAATTGGAATTTTTTGCTGAGAGTGATATTTATATATTGCTCAATGCTTTGAACCCTTAAATGAAAGTTCTAAACATGAATATTAGAATATGAGACAAATATCTATCCGAACAATTGGGCAGAGGAGAAAATGAGAGCTTAAAAATACACAGAGAATCCCAAATGTCATTGTATATTTTTGTTTCCATCTCTCTTCTCATCATACTTTTTTCACTAGAGCTGTTGACAAGTGGAGAAGTTTATTCATTTCCGCTTCATCATTTAATCATAAAATATAAAGCATCCATTAAGAAAAACTTAAAACATGTAGTAAAGTTGAAAGGATTGTAAACACCATGGACCCCCCATCTAGATTCTAAAATTAATATTTTTTCTTTATTGTTCTATGACACCTATTTATCTCTCTAACTACTCAACAATCTCTTATTTTTTTGTGTACTTTTAAAAGTAAGTTGCAGACTTCAGTGCATCTCACTTCCAGATACTTCAGTATGCCCTTAATTAGCTAGAGCTCAATTTTTTTTAAGGATTCTAGCCTAGTGTGTTTGTTTTAGATGAAACTGCCAGAACTTTCCCCAACAATATGTAATATATACAAGAATCCTGATTGCTCCATATTCTCACCAAAACTTGTTGTTGTCAGTCTTTTAAATTTTAACCATTCTAGCAAGTCTGTGGTTAGTTTTCGTTTTCATTTCCCCGACAATTACACTGAGCACTTTTTTATATACTTGTCCATTTGCATACTTCACTTTGTTAAGTGTTTGCTCACATTTTCTGCCCTTCAAAAATTTGTTTTAAATTTTTTTATTATTGAGTTGTAAGGGCTTAAATATATATATATATATATATATATATATATATATATATATATATATATATCAATCAAAGGTCTGGGTCCTTTGTCAGATATAAATTTTGCAAATATTTTCTCCCAGTCTGTAACTTGTATGTGGCTTGGCTATTTATTTTCTTAATGATATCCTCTGATGAGCAGGAGTTTTAAATTTTGATAAGGCCTAATTTATCAATTTTAAAATTTTTCTATTCTCTAGAAAAGCTCTCCTTATTCCAAGATCACAAAAATTTTCTTCTGTGTTTTGTTCTAGAAGCTTCACAGTTTTAGTTTTATGCTTAGGTCTGTGATCCACAGTGAATTAAGTTTCTAGATATGGTATGAGATAAGGGTGTAGGTTTGACATGTTTCAGCACATTAAAAAAAAAGACTTTCCGTTCCTTCATAGGATTGCATCGGTATCTTTGTCAAAAATCAATTGGCCAAGAGATGGAGGTTAGTGGTTTCTAGGGCTTGGGAGTGGGAAGAGGGAGGATAGATGTGATTATAAAGGAGTTGAATCAGAGAGATCTTTGTGATGATGAAACAGATCTGTATCTTGATTGCAGTGGATGTATGAATCTACACGTGTGATAAAATGGCACAGAACTATACACACCCATTATGCCACTGTCAATTTTCTGGTTTTGATATTGCACTGTAATTATATAAGATGGAACCATTGGGAGAAGCTGGGAGAAGGGTACATGGGACCCTTTCTGTACTATCTTTGCAATTACCTGTGAATCTATCATTATTTCCAAATAAAAATTTAGAAAAATCAGTTGACATATAATTGTGGATCTATTTCAGGTACCAGTATCGATCAGTACCAGTATCAATTGGTACCAATATCACCCTGTCATGGTTACTGTAGCTTCATAGTACAGCCTTAAGCAAGTGGAGTAAACCCTCCAAACTTGTTTTTCTTTTTCAAGATGGCTCTGTATATCCTACTACACTTGCCTTTCCAGTTATATTTTTGAAACAGCTCATCTTTTCCTACATGATAGGATTATGATTGAGACTGCACTGACTCTATAGATCAATTTGCTGTTTATTGATAGCATGACAATATTGAATCTTCTGATCCATAAACATTTATTTAAGTATTCTTGAATTCTCTCAGGAATGTGTTGCAATTTTCAGTGTACAGGCCTTCTACATCTTTTGCTACATTTATTACTAACAATTTTAAGTTTCCTAATGCTATTGGAAATAAAATTGTTGTAATTCCATTTTTGAATTGTTTGCAGCTAGTATATAAAAATGCAATTGATCATTATATACTGACATTGTTTCCTGCAACCTTACTAAGTTAACTTATTAGTTCTGGTGGTTGTTTTATAAATTCCTTATAATTTTCTGTGTTAGTAATCATGTCATCTGTGAATAGAGACAGTTTCACATCTTCCTTTCCCATCTTTTCTTTTCTTCCTTTTCTTCTCCTTTATTGCACTGGCCAGGGCCTTGGTACAACGTTGAAAAGAAATAACGAGAGTAAATTTCTTTGTCTTGTTCCCATTTCTAGAGGAAAGTATTTAATGTTTTACCATCAAGGATGTTAGCTGTTGGTTTTTCAAAGATGCTCTTTATTGAGTTGATAAAGTTTTATTCTAATCTTAGTTTGCTGAGAGTTTTAAATCAACAATGGGTATTGGATTTTGATAAATGCCTTCTCTGTTGACATAAATGATTATATGGGGTTTCTCTTTATTGTGTTAATATGGTGAATTATATTTATTGAGTTTTGAATGTTAAATTAAATCAACCTTGAATTTGTAAGATAAACCTCATTTGTTCATGATATATTGTCCTTTTTGTGTATTGCTTTGTCCTTTTTGTGTATTGCTGGATTTTCTTTTCTTTTTTTTTTTTTTTGAGACAGATTCTCCCTCTGTCACCCAGGCCGGAGTGCAGTGGTGCGATCTCAGCTCACTGCAACCTCCTCCTCCAGGGTTCAAGTGATTCTTATGCCTCAGCCTCCCAAGTAGCTGGGACCACAGGTGTATGCCACCACACCCAGGTAAATTTTTTGTATTTTTAATAGACATGGAGTTTCACCATGTTGTCCAGGCTGGTCTCGAACTCCTGATCTCAAATGATTTGCCCACCTCGGCCTCCCAAAGTGCTGGGATTACAGTGGTAAGCCACCACATCCAGCCTGGATTTTATTTTCTATTAGTTGTTGAGAATTTTAAAAATTTAAATTCAACAGAGATATTGGCCTGCAATTTTCTTTTTTTTAAATAATGTTTTTGTCAGGTTTTGGCATCAGGATTATATTTGCCTTATAAAATGACTTGAGAAGAATTTCTTCTTCCTCTTTCTGAAAGAGTTTGGGTAAGATTGTGCTATTTTCCCTTAAATATTTGATAAAAGACACCAGTGAGGCCATCTAAGCTTGGTGTATTCTTTGTGGGAAGGGTTTTAATAATTATTTCTATTTTTTTAAGACATAGGGTTATTCTATATATCTTGCATCAGTATTTGTGAGGTGCATTTTTTTCAAGGAATTTGTTAAGTTCACCTAAATACTTGTCAAGTTTATTAGCATAAAGTTCTCCATAATATTCCCTTATCCTTGAATGACTGTAGGATTTGTAGTGTATCCCCTCTTTCAATGTTGATATTGGTCATTTGTGTACTCTTACTTGTTTCTTAAGCAATTCAGCTAGGTGTCTGTCAAGTTTGTTGATCTTTTAAACGACCAACTTTTGGACTTCTTAATTTTTTCTATTGTTTGTCTGTTTTCTATTTCATTGGTTTGTGCTCTCTAGTGTTTCCATCCTTCTACTTACTTTGCTGAGTTCTGTTATGTTTTTCTGAAGATTATTTTCATTTGTTTGTCTGTTTGTTTCATAGTCAGCAAACATGGCTGGATTCAAACTCAAAACCCTGTTTCTCTTAAGTGGGCAGTAACAGAATTCTTAGTTCAGTTTGTTTAGCCTTCACTGGGCTGCTCAGAGTATGCCTAATCTATGCATAGTTCAGGGATTAGCCAGGATCTTGAAGAGACTTTATACACGAATTTAAAATCCCCCTCCTATAGCTCTCTCCTTTCTAGGATTCGCTCTTTCATTTTGCAGCTGCTGTGGGTACCCCAAACTCTGCTGGTTCTTCAATACATTAAGGCTGCAGGTTTTCTATCTGAGTTTTAGTTGTCTTACTTGGCTTCAAGTGGGGTCTGCCTTCAGATGAAACCTGTAAGCAAAGGAAAACTCACCAGTGCTTTTTCCTTCTTCTCAGTTCAGGTTTCATTTCTCTCCAGTGTGGACCTGCTTTTGGCTGCTTCCAGTGCTTTCAGGCAATTGTTTCTTTATATTTTGTTCATAGTTTATGGTTGTTATTTGCAGGAGGGTTGATCCAGTAGGAGCTTATTCTCCACTATCAGAAGCTGTAAGCTCTAGTTTTTTCACTTTTAATTTCACTCCTCTCCCTGTGTCTGATGGTTCTGTTTGTAAGCAGGAATTTGGCTAAATTTCTAGTGCCAGGAGCAAAACCAAGGTACTTACATAACTCACAAACTAGATCAGTTGGTTTCTGGGTAACTGAGCTCACTATATCAATAGTCCTTCAAAAGCAGAACTCCTGCTTCATTGTACTGTAGGAGTCCATATCTAATTGGGACTAGACTAAGCAAAATTGGGAAGTCCATTTAATTTGTCTTCTTGGAATTTATTCTTCAGCACCTGTCCCCAGAGTCATTATGGTTCCTTCTGCCTGAATAGAAATGCCCCCCTGGATCTCTAGATTTTTCTCTCCTCTCTTTTAGCATCTATCAAAACTCTCTCTTCCTCCCCGCCACTCCTGGAGCCTGGTGTCCCTTTCCTCAGTTGAAGCTAGTAAAGGACTGAAACCTAGTTCTGTGGCAGTGACAATGGGCTAATGTACTCTCTTTCACAAGATAAATCTCCACAGTGACCACCCTGAAACCATAGAATGAATTACAGAAGGTAGAGTAATCCAGCCCCCTCATTTTCACTGTTGAGAAAATGGATTTCCAGATAGTATAAATAACTGGTCCGAGGTCATGTGCTAGTGGGGTTGGGACTAAAATCCTCATTCCTGACTATGAGTTGGCTCAGGAATGGCTTCAAACATCAAGTCCAGTGGCAGGGTGTGGAAGGGGACAGCATTGCTGCCTTCTGCATGGTTGGCTTCACTCCTAGACATGGGCAGTCAGCATTCAATTACCCAGTGGGTTCACAGTGTTCCTACTGTATGATAAGAATTGACAAAAAGAAGTAAGGATGTCTTCCTGAAAAAGAGAAAACTGAGAGGGGATATATCAAAGCCTGAGTGGGAATGTAGGCACAATCTGTGCAGTTTAATTCAACAGAACCATGACCAATGGATTAAAGATGCAACCATTTTCAGCTTAAGACAAAGAAGGATTTTCTAACAACTAGAGCTGTCTACAAATGGAAGAGCTGGTGGTTAAATTTCCTTGGAGCAGCAGATAGTGACTTCTGTACCACTGGAAGCTTTCAAATAAGGCTCAACTGGGACAGTTTGGGAAGGGTCCCTTTATTGTATGGGAGATTGGAATAGATTCCCTCGTAGTCCTTAATAATTGTTGGATTCTAGGTTTTGATGATGGGAGACCTTTTTGTGCTCCTCAACATCATACAGCACAGACACCTATCTACCCTCTAGAGAGAAAGGGGCCTTCTGGATGCCCTAATACATGTCCTCCCTCTCCCAACCCATACACATGTGATTTGGTGTTGATTGGGGTGGTGTGGTTTGGCATGGTGAGGGGTGGTTTAGTGTGGGGTGGTGCGTTGTAGTGTAATGTGGTGTGATAGGTTGTGGTCTGGTGTAATGTGATGTGGGGTGATGTGATATACTGGGCTGTGTTGTGGGGTTGTATGGTGTGATATGAGAGGAATCATGGTCAGAGTCTTCTAGCAGCTGTGCAGCTTCATTGAGACAACGACCAAATTGCATTGGAGTAATGTTGGCAGTCAAGAGGAAGTGCCAATTTAGTGATTTCCTTAGCAGAACTGGCTGCATCTTTTACAAGAAAGCACATCTTCTTTGTCATCCTGAGGCTAGAGTGTGGAACAATTTGGCAGCTGTAGTATTTTATGTCATACAAAGTGTACAGATATCAGGCCACATACAGCACCTCTCACCCATCCATACTACCCACCTCACCAACTACAGGGCAGAGTCAGGCATTAAACTGAAAATAAATGTTATCTATTATATTGTAGTTTTTAAAAAAGTGAGTTTTTTAAAGTTTCTGCTATAAAACAAATCACAACTCACATGCCATTTCTGATAAAAGACAAGCACAGTTTTAAAATGTGCCCATGGCATCTGGGTTTGTGGACTAGAAGGCTAATCAGCCTCAATCATTGCACCAATGTTCTCCCAGGAATTTCCAAGACAGATTAAACTTTGCCAAGGACCATAGGTTTTGGACCTCTATTCATTTGTTTTATTTGCTTAATTTTATTACATGAAACTTTTTGTACAACACATTTGAGAACCCTGGGTTTAGAACAACTTAGACCCTAAGTTTTCGGTCTCAGTTTCCTTTTCCTTTGATAGATCTTTATTCACTGTATGAACAGAGTCACCAAAAAAAAAAAAAAAAATCAGTATTTTGTTTTGGTTTGGTGGGCTTTAGCTAAATAGCTCGAAGTGTTTCAGTGGTAATTGTCCTAAGTCTTTTGAATTATTCCTTTTGAAAGAGAGCAGATATTAGGGGGGAAAAATCAGTGTCTACCCTGAAAGCTTGTGGCACCAAATGACAGTGTGATTTACTGGAAGGTAGTCTAAAGGGGTGGGATGGGAAGGGACAGGAGAAGAAAAAAAAAAGAGAGATAGGGAGAGAAGGGGATGAAAGAGAGAGAGAGGTTGGGAGGAGACAGAGAGAGATTGATTTAACTTCTTAATGCTCTCTGTTAGTCTACCCACTTTGTTCCCATTGCTATCACCAAGTTCAGACAAGGAGAGTTAAGCTCAACTCAAAAAGAGCAGCCGTCTGCCTGGTTTCCCTCTGCCTCTAATTGTGCCTCCCTTGGTTCCATTCTTCACATGGCCACTAGAACGATGATCTCCATTGCAAAGGGCTAGTGAGGTCTATTCCCTGCCTCAATTCGTCATTGTTCACCACATCTGTGCTACCGCCACTTGGCTGAGAAGCATCCAAGGACCAAAGGATCCAAGCATACTTGATGAGTATCATTGACAAATTCAAGGATCCTAGAGGTGAGGGGTGGGGGTGGTGACCTTTGATTGCCCTGGAGTCTGTAGACTCAGCTCCCTGTGGGAAACCCGGCTCCCAGTAGACACCTTGACTCTCCACATTTCTCTCTGAAGGGACCTGGTGTCCTGCGAATAGTTGGACAGGGTGAGAACTTGGCCTCCAAGGAAGAAAGTTGGAGAGGAAATGCCCCTTGCTTTTGTTTCTTCCTGGCTCATCTCAAGGTCTTTAAGCAGATATGTGTTCTGCATCATCATTTACAACTGAAATTTTCCAGTTTATCTCATTTATAACTAAAAGGAAAGTAAGGTTCCCGCTGCAAGGTGTTAGCTAAATGCTCTGCCAGGAATATTTAGAACAACCAAATTATTGTCTGTCAATGGATCATCGTGGTTTTCCTAACTGTGTTCACTACATTAAAACATGTACTGCTTGAAACGTCCCACAAGAGAGTGGTCTTTTCCAAGGATGGCTGGTTCCCTCCCTCCACCCCTCCCACCCCTCACATCACGGAACACTTCTGCTCCGCTGTCTGCTTGATTTCAGTGAAGGTGGCCTGGGCTTTTTCTTTTATGGTATCCAAGTCCATGTTCTGGAGATTCTGTATCTGCCCAAGAATAGAATCTTTATCTTCTTCCTCTTCTTGATCTTCATCTACCATTTTCCGGAGATCTTCAGGTAAATCCACATCATCTCCAGCCATCTGGATTTGATTCTCATCCATTTCACTCTATGTGAAAAATAAATAGAGATAGATAAATAACTCTAAACTACTAACTCACTAACTAAATAAATTTTAAAAGCAGCAGGAAAAGGTCTTTAGAGAATACAGGAAGTGAGTGGCACTCTTGGCCTTGCAGCAGAGCCTGGTCCTGATGGCAGTTGTGGGGGCTTCTGTAGGGGGGTCCTTTCTTCATGGCACCTTGCGTCGATCAGAACCTTCCAGCATGGTGGTTCTCCAAGTGTGGTCTCTGGACAAGCAGCATTAGCATCATCTAGAGCCTGCTGGAACTACAAATTCTTGGGCCCCATCCCAGACCCACTGAATCAGGAACTCTGGAGATGGAGCCCAGCCATCTGGAATTTTTTTTTTTTTTTTGAGAGGGAGTCTTGCTCTGTTGCCCAGGCTGAAGTGCAGTATCTCGATCTCAGCTCACTGCAACCTCTGCCTCCTTGGTTCAAGCAATTCTCCTGCCTCAGTAAATCTCAGTAGCTGGGATTACAGGTGTGCACCACCACACTCAGCTGATTTTTTTGTATTTTTAGTAGAGACGGGGTTTCACCATGTTGGCCAGGCTGGTCTCGAACTCCTGACCTCAGGCGATCCAACCACCCCGGCCTCCCAAAGTGCTGAAATTACAGGTGTGAGCCACCACTCCCAACCCCATCTGGATTTTTAAGAATGTCTTTCTCTCTGTGATGCTGATACACACAAAAGCTGGGGCATCACACCCCAACTCTGCCTAAGGGCAGCTTTGCAAGTCTTGCAGATTCTATCAGCCCCATGCCAAGACCCACTCACCTGGTTGACCCCACTGTAGAGGATGAGGTCTCAGTTTATAGTAACTAGACAGTATGCATTAATTCACTCATCACACCTTAGTGGCAACTTTTTCTTAATCATGGCTCTTTTCCTCCCTTCCACTAGACAGGGAGCCCGTCATGGGCTCTTGTCAGATTCAACTTTCCACCGTTAGCACCTGGACTGGAGTCTAGCACACAGTACACATGTATTAAGTGAACCATCAAGGGCATGGCCGCCACTCAGCATACTGGCAGTCTAGCCTTCGGTGTTGCTGACGCTGTCACAAGCGCCTTGCACATTTCATTTTGTGATTTTAGGAGTGTCTGTTCTAGAATTTCTTAATGCATGCTGCCTGGTCTTTGAGATTCCTTTATTTTTTTTTTTTTTTAGACAGGGTCTCTCTCTTTCACCGAGGCTGGAGTGCAGTGGTGCAATCTGGGCTCATTGCAGCCTTGGCCTCCTGGGCTCAAGCAATCCTTCCACCTCAGCCTTCCAAGTAGCTGGGACTACAGGTATGCACCCCCATACTCAGCTGAGATTCTTTTACCACTTAGGCTATAGAGTCTCTTGTTCTGTAATGAGAGAGGAGTCTAAAGAAAAATATTCTCTGGGAAAGGTTAACAGTAGCTTACATCCCCAGATGGCTGCTGTCAGATTTTTTGGAGATCAGGTTGTAACATGAGGTGACCTGGGTTTCAGGGAAACAGAAGATTAAAAAGAGTGTCAGAAAAGCTAATGAGAGGAAAGATCTATGTTAGAGCCACCTGAATATGTTGTGACCAGCCTTAAATTTGTTACCAAAGCTCATGAAAAATCATATTAAAAAATGACGATCTTAGTCAAACAGACTACATTGCTTTAAGAAAGATTTCTGCACCTGGTGACTTCTGAGGTGGAGTTAAAGACAGCACCTAAAGAGAGATCTGAATTCTCCCTGTCTGGGTGCTATGTAGGAATGATCAGAAAGAAACATCAGTTGTCTCTAGGTCCAAACAGCACACCAGGTAACCTGGAAACTTCATTCTTCATCTGGAAAGTGGGTTGGAAGGACGAGATGGCTGAAGTCTTTTCCAGTTCTAACACTCTGTGGCTCCCATCCTTGGAGGGGCTGAAGCCCAGCTGCCTTTCCTCAGGGCTCTCTTCTTTGATTCGGTTCCCTGGGCAGAGTGACACAGGAGTCTGGCTCAAGAAATAGCTTGAGAAGCAGATTTCTGATGCAGCAGGAACCACTGATTTTGGGAAGGACAGTCTTCACCCAGGCCCTCCTTGGAGAGCCTGGAGGACAGTCCCACTCCGCGCCAGCCTCCGGAGATAAGTGAAGCCTCTCCCTGCTCTTGGCCAGGGCCTTGGGCCCTCCAAGTGCTTAACGGATTAATTAGTTCCTGGTCAAACTGTTGTGGGATTAATTAGTTAGTTAATCCTTAGGGGCTCCCAGCCAATTGTGCATTTCTATTTATTTTTTATTTGCCTTCCCTAGCGGCTGCTTTCCTTGCTGATCGTCTTCTGGGACTTTTTGCAGGAAGGAGAGGAAAAGCACAAGGTGGACGACTCATTCTCAGTTCATGCCAATGTGGGACATCTGCCCTCTCTTATGCATCCTGAAATCAAATGCAAGTAATCTGAAAAGACATTCCCGGGAATTCTGGCCCCTTCCCTCAGGTTGGTAGTAAGATCCCCAAGCATGTCACCAGGTTTGAACCTGGACAGGGTAACTGCTGTGGGCTTGCAGGGATGGGCAGCTAGAGGGGCTAGAGGAAAGCGTGTCAGCCAGCCAGGAGTATAAAACACCGAACACACTCATGAGGGCTCACGGGATGGTGCTCGCCTGCCTCCCATTCACAGGGAGACTTCAGCGAGGCCACCATCTATGGCTCTGCAGCGCTTGAAGAAGCTTTGGGATGGTTTCCTCCTTCAAGGGTGACTCTGAGGTTCGTTTTATCCTTGTGCTTCTTGCTCAGGGAAGGGAGAGCAGTGCAATTCTACGTTGCCTTATGGAGAGGATCTTGATTGCCCTAACTTTTATCAAAGTGGTTCTCAAAGTAGTTCTCAAAGTGGGTTCTCCAGGACAACAGCATCAACATCTTTTGGGACTTTGCTAGAGATGCACGTGCTGGGACCCTACTCAGACCCACTGAATCAGAAACTCAGGGCTCGGGCCTCGCAATCTGTGATTTAACAAGTCTTCCAGGTGATTCTGGGGCTTGCTGAAGTTTGAGAACCCCTGCTCTACATTTCTTGAAGACAAGGGCTGTAACTTACTCATCTTTCTGTCTCATAACCCAGCAAGGTTTCTGGCATGTAGACACAGACAATTATATGTTTACTGAATAGCCGGGCATGGTGGCTCAAGCCAGTAACCCCAGCTCTTTGGGAAGCTGAGGCGGGGGGATCACCTGAGGTCAGGGGTTCAAGACCAGCATGGCCAATTTGGTGAAACCCCGTCTCTACTAAAAATGCAAAAAATTAGCAGGGAGTGGTGGCACACACCTGTAATCCCAGCTACTAGGGAGGCTGAGGCAGGAGAATCACTTGAACCTGGGAGGCAGAGGTTGCCATAAGCCAAGATCACGCCACTGAACTCCAGCCCGGGCAAAAGAGAGAGACTCTGTCTTAACAAATAAATAAATATTTTTAAAAATTAAAATAAATGTTTACTGAATGATTCAATGAACCTATTGTCAGAGAGGATAACAGCCTTAGTAATACTCAAATTTGTAGGTCCTCTTTGCTGTAAAGAGCTCTGTTTTCGTAGCTATCGGTTTATCTTTATAATTCCATTGGGGCATCGCAGCCTAAATTGCCTGAGTGAGCACATTAGTTCTACCACTTATAGGATGGGTGACCTGGGGCACTTCGTATAGATGGCCTCTTTGAGCTTTATTTCCTTGTCTGTATATGGAGAATTGCATTATTTGCCTTAGAGCTGTGGAAGGTTAATTAGATGGTAACTGAATTATTTAGAATCTGTTAAGCACTCACCCAGTAGTAGCTATTCATAAAAATAATAACCTTCAGAGGTGGGCAGGGGAATTTGCTGTGGGCAGTCTTGCACATGGGGTTAGCTCTGTCAGGAGGCTGTGATGTCCTGGCACCTTACCTCTGACCTAGCAATGACTCCTACCTTCACCCAAAGGCTTGGTTTTTCTAACAAGCCAGGCTTAGTCATTTCCTCTTTAGCACTAGGCTCTCTATTCTAGGAGAAAGCTACCTAGCCAGCCCTAGCTCCCCTTACCTCTTGTCAGGCCCGCCCCTGACTTTTGTGGGTGGCAGAACATAAGTGCTGATAGAAGTTCCTGGCTCACAACCTGGCCCTCTTTTTTTTCCAGTTCCTGGTGCCAGCCCTCACTGGGAAGGGCCTTAGGACCTTGGGTGCATGGCCCCTACCCCACTCCTCAGGCCTAGTCTGCCTGGCCACTCTCAGGAGCACAGATCTGCATCGGAGGCCTGAGAATGCTCTGGAATGCACTTAGGCAGGGCGTTTGGGGTCCTAAGCAGCTTGAGCATAGTCTACAAGAGGGGTGTGGGCTCTGCCTGGGCTAGGCCCTTTGGCCCACAGACTCTTCACCCCGTGTGAAAGAGTGTGGCTAGAAGAGAGACCAAGAGAGCCCTCTAAAACATGGGCCCCAGGGCAGTGGCCTCAGATGTCCAGGTCCAAAGGCAGCAATGGGTGTACTCGATGGCTGTGGTCAGAGAGTCCTGCACTCACCATTGATCTAGAAGTACAAGGCTACTGGCCCTCCACCAGAGCATGGCTGCTTCTGGAGATGATTCTAGTCTTGAAGCCAATTACTCTGGGCTGCAGCCTGTGCCATGGACATCTTATGACTAAAGGTAGGACAACCAGACAAGGCCGTTGAGTGGCTAGAGGAGAAAATGATGCCCTCTGGAACCAAATGTGGGCCTGTAGCCTCATTAGCTCTGGATCCTAACTAATTGAGCTAGCCCTAGACCTAGAACTGGCTAAGTATTCAAGTATCTCCTTTGTAAAAAGTTGCAGCCTATCCAAACCGTTTTCTGGTGGAGGCAGCCTAGGAGAATGAAAGATTGTGGGATTTGGAGTTAGACATGGGTTTGAGTCCCAGATCTGCCATTCACCAATGCATGACCTTGGGCAAGTCAACTTATGTTTCTGATGTCCAATGGAAGGGCCACTTAGAGGACTGTTGAGCAGATTGAATGAGACATGCTGTGAAACAGCCTCGCAAGCATCTAAGCTCTGGACAAATGGTAGCAGTGGTTATGAATATTTTAGAGGAAAGAGGGCAGCTCAGTGTCAAGATCCCTGCTGAAAGGATCCCTGGGATAAAGAAGGCATGGACAGTGAAAGAGACGGTGGGAGAGTATCGGCCCTTAAGAGAAAGATCCGGGACACAGCAAGCAATTAAGAAGCATAAATGGGATTTATACAGTGGACACAGCAGCCTTGTTTCCTCTCTTCCTAATGAACCACCCTGCTGACAGGACCTTGTCTGCAATTCAAACAATGAATGTCTTGTCCACACGTTCTGCTGCCCATTGACAAATCTTGGGTTGGGGAGACCAGGAATATTTGGACACAGTTCACACTTCAAGGAAAAGAAGTAATGCCTCATTACAACCCCCAAATACAAGTGCAGTTATAGCCAATGTGAATCAGCATCACTACAGGCCGGAAGCAGCTCCAGGGAGGGAGGGAAGGCTCAAGGATGAGAACCGTGGCGTGAATGAATGAATGAGTGAGCCAGCACATAATTAGGGGACTTATAGGCTATACTTTGTTCTTAGAGGCTCTGTTTCAGAGATCGTCTCATTTCTAGAAATCTTATCAATTTGGGATATTGTTTAATGCAGTTAAGAGCTAATTATTTTTATGCCAGCTGATGAGAATCCGTTTTAATCTCTTGTTTTTAACCAGACTTATTATCTTTATGGCCAGTGCTGAGTACCCCATTATTTAAATAGCTCCATATCCTACCATTGTCATTTCCTGTGACTGATGCCTGACCTTTCACCAAAGGATAAACATGACCCTGGATTTCAAGACTTACTACTTCTTGGACCTGGATAAACTGGACTTCTCTTTTACCAAACTTGAGATACCATGATAAATTATCTTAGATGGTTATGTCTTCAAAAAGCTGAGCATTCTCCTCTTGTCAGAGTCTAGTTAGCTAAGCATGTTGTATAAGCAAATACCAGTGTGATTGATATTAGGTAGATTTGATTTTGTTTTTGGTTTATTCACTTATTGTTGTCCACAGGATACCAAAAGCTAGAAGAATGGATTTCTTTCACATGGAGGAGTTCATGTAGCGTGAGATTGACATAATGGTGAGGATCATGGACTTGAGCAGTCAGGTACTTGTCTTCATAAACCACTCTCACTGTCCTGGTTATGAGTGAGGCTGCTGCCCTCAGAAGCTAGTGTGTGACTGGTGTGGAGGCCCTGGGCTGGGGCATGCTGGCTGCTCCTTCTGCTGTGCCCCACTGCTGCCCTTCCCTCTTTAGCTACTTAAAGAGCCCTCAGCACCCCTAGAGTAGGACAGATGGTGTGGATTTGTCTTCTTGAAGAATAGGCATCAGTTTTCAGTTTGATTGAAAGTGTGCATGCGTTGGGAGCTACATGGAATGAGAATTTCTAGATACCAGCTGTGCACATCTCATACCTCTTTCCCTTATGAAGACATTCCACAGGGACTCAAGAAGCTCCCGGAGGCCGCATATCCAAGCCTCTCACTTACAGAGGAGGAAAGTGAGGTCTCGAGAGGTAAAGATTCTTGCAAAAATGTCATTCTGCTTTTTAGGGGATGAGAACCTAGCACAGCTGCCAGAAGGGTCTAGCAAGAAAACATGGCTTGTGGGCTCGGATTGTCTCATGGCAGAATCTTGCTCTGCCATTTACTGGCTGTGTGACCTTGGAAAGTCACTTTCCCTCTCTGAGCAGGCGTTCTCATCTGTAAAGGCGAAGTGATATCTACCTACCTCACAGGGCACTTGTGAAGATGACGTGAGAAAGCTGGTGTGGCCAAGCAACACGTCTTGAAATCCTGCTTCACTAGTGTCCAGTGACTGCTTCCCATCCCCATGCTCCCTGTAGACATGTAGTCCATTGCTCTTTCAAGGACATGAGTAGGAGGAGCAAACCGAACTGGGGCAGGGTGAGGAGGGGAAGGAAGAGATGGCGGCTGCTGGGGCCTCTGATGGCCTTCCCACCGCCTGGCCACCAGAAACAGCTGCTCAGAAAGCAGGAGGTTTCGGTGTCTCAGACCCTGCTGGGCAGCCCCAAGAGCTCCTAATCTGAAGGGGTCTGGCAAAGGAAGGTTCACACAATCATCTTTGTTATTTTTTTTAAGAGGCAAATTTTACATTCAACTGTAATGGAGCTTTCAATGTGACACATTTAAAGAAAACTCTGTTAAGTTTCTCCTATATGCATCTTTATTCGAAATGAATGGTGCCCTTAATACGGCAGACAAACACCAGGTGTAACTAAATCATATAGCTCAGCAGGGGTCACAACATTATTTTTCAATGACTAACCTAGATTGACAATTCTGTTAATAGGATTAGGGTTCATTGTGGAACTGTTTTCTCTTATTAATTTAGCTTGACTTACATATACATTTTAAATTGGCCAGGGAGAGGAACACATTTGCTTTTAGAAAGAATCTTGTAGCTTTATTTAAAACATATTGCTTCCTCTACTTGAAGAAATATGGTGTTTTAATTATAAAACAAGGAAACCTTTGTGTTTTATACAAAACTACAATATCCAATCTGGACTAGTTATTTTCATAAAATTGTATTTTACTGTAACTCTAATGGCAGGTAAATTCTTTCTGTTGTGTTGACACTTTGTTCTTTGGGCATTTTATTTTATTTTATTTTATTGAGATGGAGTCTCACTCTGCTGCCAGGCTGGAGTGCAGTGGCACAATCTCGGCTCACTGCAACCTCCAACTCTCTGGTTCAAGCGATTCTCCTGCCTCAGCCTCCCGAGTAGCTGGGATTACAGGCATGCGCCACCATGCCCAGCTAATTTTTGTATTTTTAGTAGAGACGGGGTTTCACCATGTTGGCCAGGATCGTCTCGATCTCCTGACCTCGTGATCTGCCCACCTCGGCTTCCCAAAGTGCTGGGATTACAGGGGTGAGCCACTGCGCCCGGCCGGGCATTTTTCTTTCTTTTCTTTTTCCCCAATAACATCCATTTACTCAACAATCAGTGTGTGTGTGTGTGTGTGTGTGTGTGTGTGTGTGTGTGTGTGCAATTTTCTATATCTCAGGCACCTTGCTAGGCACTGAGCACAGAGATTTAAAAGTCGGTCCCTTTTTAAAAGGAGCACACAGTAGGTGCAGATATTTAGGGTCATAAGATGATGTAGGAGACATGGACTCAAGATATATGGGGACATGGAGGAGGATGACCCAATCCAGAACTAGGTAGAGGGAGGGAGATCATGGAAGGCCCTGGAAGAAGTGGCACTGACCAGAGTCTTACAGAAAGCAAAGGCCACAGGGAGCAGGGAACGAAGCAGGAGGAAGTGCTAGTCCAGGCAGGGAGTAGTAGCAAGAGGTGAGGCTGGAGAGACAGGAGCCATATCATGGCATACAGGACAAGGAGTTCGGATTTTATTCTAAAAGACATAGTGGCTTTAAACAAACAAACAAACAAACAAACAAAAAACAGGAAAGAAACAGGATCAGATTTGCATTTTAGAAACCTCAGTATGGAGGGGGACAAGACTCCAAGTAGAAAAGCTATGGTGAATTGAGAACTCTGAATTAAGATGACTTGGCGATTTACTGGACGTGCAGCTGGAGCAGGGAGGGAAGAGGCAATGGTGACATCTGGTAGCCAGCCTGGGAGATGATGGGCTTGTCGGGAGAGCCACCCATGGAAGTGGAGCCTATAGGAGGAGCAGGTTTATGGGGAGAATGAGCAAGTGAGTTTTGGATATGAGCTGGTTCTACCTGTGAAGTGTCCAAGGAAAGGTGGCTGCAGTTATGAAATTTCGGGAGATGTGGTCTGGAGGTATAGATTTGAGAATCATCAACATGTAGGTGGTAGCAAAAAGCAATGGCAAGGTGCAGCCCTCGAGGACAATGTGCAGGCTCGAGTGAGAAGAAGAGCCAGCCAAGGGGGCACCCCGGAATATCCCACAATTTGCAGGCAGACAGAGAAAGATAACTCATAAAGAAGAAGCAGTACGAGAACAGGAACCAGAGGGTGATGTCTGCAAGCTGAGGAGAGAGAGGGCTTTAAGGAAGAAGAGATCACCAGTGCTAGAAGAAACAAAGAGGCCCCAAGAGAAATTAAGGGAACCACTTACTGTATTTAGACAGACCCTGAACATCTGGAAGAAGAAGGTTTCAGCAGAGCAGTGAGAACTAGTCATTTAAGGGAAGACACCTAAAAAGCCATGTTTACTCAGAAAGTACTGTTTCCTTGTTTTAGATGGGAGAGATTTGACCTCCTTTATTAAGGAGAGGCCAATCAAGAAGGAGAAACTGAAGATACAGGATGTGGAATAATTAGTGGTGTGCGATCCAAATCTAACGTGAGCATCATGGATGACTTTAGGCATTTTAAGTCCTCTGATGACCTATAATTTGACAACTAGAGGAAATCGACATAATCTGGATATGTGTACACGAACATTATAATGACTGGTATAGATACATATACATATACATACTTACTGCAGATTACTGCAATTTGATTACTGCCCTTATTTAATTACTTATCTGATTACCAAAATTAACAATGGTCACCAAAAGACATTGGTATAGCAAATAGTATTGTCACTAACAATTAATAAACTTGAGACCCAAGACCTTTTATTGTTTATCTAGAGGGCTATGGCTTATGTTGCTCCTTTTCAAAGAGTCTACATTTGCTTTTCCCTGTCAGCAATAGAGTGAAACTCTTTTTCAGAGGAAACACCAGCCAAATAATTTCTTTAGAAAATACAGTTCTAATTCCAAAATGTGACATAGTTATCCTCATTAGACCTGACAGCTCCCGGGAAGACATTTTCTCAAATCTGCTCCCCGTCGGGCCTTGGTCAGGGGAAGGGTCTAGAACTGAATCCTGCTGTTATGTAACCGCTGTGGTGGTGACCCTGGGGAATTGTGAATGAGGCACCCAGGGGGTCATCCCTCATTAGCTGGAGGACATGTTAAATTCGTCCAATTCCCTGTGGGCTGTTAATACTATTACTATGAATGCTTACCCAATATGGGCTTTAGAAGATGGCACAGGTTAAGTATTCTGCAAACCTGGCAGGGAGGGGACGGTTATTAGGAACCCACTAGAGTCCCAGTGACCCCTGCTTTCTGTCTTGTGCCGTTTTCTTTGTCAGACAGTCTGTTCAGTTCTAAAGTCTACCACCAGGAATCTGATGCCCAGTTTAGAGGGATATGAGGAGAAGGGGGCACGAAAAAGTCCTGGATGAAGAGTAAGGAGGCTTGAGTCTCCATTTGTCACAGCAAGCTTTGTGACCTTCGGAACGTCCCTACATTTACATGATCCTTATGGTTATGTATTGAGTGCACACATATGGTATGTGCTTTTCCGGATGTAAAAAAATAAGTCTATTGAAAAGAGAAACAGCACTCAGACACTGGTGTCGAGGAGCCAAAGTACTGTGGTCATCCAGGAACCTGAACCTGTTCTAGGAAAAGAACTTAGAAGGTTGGAGGGAAGTGATGGTTGGCATGTTCCTCAGATGACCTTGGAAGCCAAGCCCCAAAGAGGGGACTTATAAGGACTTGGGAATCTGTTGCTCTGTTTCCCTCCGAATACAGCAGTTCCTTTGGTTCAGCCCTCGGTCAGCCCTCCCCTGGCCTCAGTAAGAGCCAGCACTGGCAGGCCTGCCTCTCCTCTCCTTCCCTCCAGTTCTTTGGACAGAGCACCATGCCTTGGGCTTGTCAATCACATCTCTTAGTGACCCAGATGGGCACTGTCTGGCCTTCCAGGGTCTCCTTGCTCCTTAATGAAGCATCTAGGAGACAAAACCCTACACCTCGCATCCCCACTGTGTTTTTCTGATTTTTTTTTTTTTTTTGAAATGGAGTCTTGCTCTGTCGCCCAGGCTGGAGTGCAGTGGCCCAATCTCGGCTCACTGCAGCCTCTGCATCCCGGGTTCCAGCAATTCCCCTGCCTTAGCCTCCTGGGTAGCTGGGATTACAGGGGTCCGCCACCATGGCCGGCTAATTTTTTTTGCCCGGCTAATTTTTTTTTTTTTGTATTTGTAGTAGAGACGGGGTTTCACCATGTTGGCCAGGCTGGTTTTGAACTCTTGACCTCAGGTGATCCGCCCGCCTCGGCCTCTCAATGTGCTGGGATTACAGGCGTGAGCCACCGCGTCCGGCCTCTCTCTAAGGATGGCTTTCTAAAGGTTCCATTACGGAGTTTCCTCTGCGTAATCAGAGACAGACTTTAGGTACCTACAGTTCAATAACAACCAGCAGCTAAGCCACTGGGTAAGTTGGCTGAATTCAGTATTAGAATAAAAAGCATGGCACTGGAGGCCTGGGGCATGATTCTGCCCCCCATAAGCTTCATTTATTCAGTCATCTCTCAAGGCCGAAGATTCCAATTCCTTCAGCCCGCCCTCGATTGCTGTCGTTTCAGAATCTCTCTGCAGCCTGGTCACTGCGGAGACAGCGGAAACTCGGCTGTTTGCGAGCTCCCTCTCCCGTTATGCCATGGGAGGATAGAAAACGCACGATCTGGTCCTTAATAACAAAATAGTAAGGCTTTTTTTTTTTCCTTTTCTTTCTTTCTTTGTTGTTGTTTTGTTTTCCCCCCCATCCCATCCAATGACCTATCAAGACTTTTTTTTTTTTTTTTTTTAAGTCACCTCTAGAAATTGGTTTCTGCCCCTCCCTGGTCCTGCCACCACCCGCAGCCCGGGTTCCGCCTCCCGCGGGTGCCAGTGGCCGCGGCGCTAGGAACACCAGGGGGCGCCGGCGTCGAGGATTCGGGGCCCGCGCTGGCGACCGCTGCGCCCTCCTTGCTCCAGCCAGGATCTGGCTTGGACGGGAGCGGCTGTTCTGCATAGCCTGGGCAGACGTTAGCCTGGGAAACGTGTCTGTCCCCCGCAGCCTCTTTTTCGCCACATGGGCCATCGAAGGGTCCCTGTACCCAGAGCCTCGTCAGTGCGGGGACGCGGGCGGGAGGGTAACGTGCGACAAGTGACAGCGCGGGAGGCAGAGGAGGCGCCCAAGGGTGGGGCTGGTTTGCAAGCGCAAAGTGTTGCACTGGGGTAGGGGAAGTTAGCCACAGCTGGTGATAACTGGACTAAGTGGAATACGATCCAGCTGATTTTTTAAACTTTTAAATTTTAGTTTTTAAACTGCTCCTTGCAGAGCAGGGCAGTCTGCCCAGAGTAGCCGATTTTTCTTATCATATAGTTTTATTAGGTGCTATTTTTATAGCTAGCTACACGGGATTAGAATTTCCATGTGCTTTACAAAAAGCAGGCAATTGTATTATTGGTATTTGTAGTATCTTCCATACCATAGGCACGGTTTTGAAACATTGTGTGTAGAATCCATTGTTACAAATGCAACCAAATATAAAAACGCCCTTGGAGGAGGGGGTCCCCACCTGGAAGTAAACTGCAATGAATGATGGTGTGTACAATGTTCTCAAGTGAAATTCTTATCTGTTTGTTTGGATTGTATTTGGAATTTAGACAGCTACTTGCAGATCTAGGGTCAAACCGTTAGACAACACAGGAGAAATAATATGCTCCCATTTTTTTAAGCCACGTGGAATTCAAAACTGCCCTAAAATTTTGGGGAACAGCTCAAAATATTAAGAGTAGAAAGAGGCCGGGCGCAGTGGCTCACGCCTATAATCCCAGCACTTAGGGAGGCCGAGGTGGGCGGATCACAAGGTCAGGAGATCGAGACCATCCTGGTTAACACGGTGAAACCCCGTGTCTACTAAAAATACAAAAAATTAGCCAGGAGTGGTGGTGGGCGCCTGTAGTCCCAGCTACTCGGGAGACTGAGGCAGGAGAATGGGGTGAACCCAGGAGGCAGAGCTTGCAGTGAGGGGAGATCATGCCACTGCACTCCAGCCTGGGTGACAGAGTGAGACTCTGTGTCAAAAAAAAAAAAAAAAAAAAGAAAAAGAAAAAAAGAGTAGAAAGAACAAATGCCTTGAAAGGAGGAGCCCTGTTGAAGTCCTTTTGTGAACAAGCTGCTCTTTTTCATGGTTGTGGGGCCTGAGTTCCAGTCCTAAGTCTGTCACAGGAGATGTGGCTTATTGCAAAGCTACTTAACCCTCCTGGGCTGCAGTTATCTCAGGTGTAAAATGACGCAGTGGTATGAGATTATTAGATGAGCTTTATGGTCTCTTTCATGGTCTATGAGAAAATCAGGTGGGGTCTCAAATGCATTATGCATTTGAAACAGCTGTAGAAAAGGGGCTATATGAACATCAGTAAGCCATGCAATGAAAGACACTGGTGGGCTCTACTGTTATTTATCAACATCCTTCATGTCGGTCCCTCCCCCTAGCTGGCTTTAGAGAGCAGTAGCCTATGCAGGTATAGCCACAATCATTCTCCAGAGAGGACCTGGATTTGTGCATTTCATGGCTATCATTTTTTCCTCTTTCCATAGTTTCTGTTGGAAAGGCTCTTGTTTCAAAAGATACCCTGGCACAGAGATTTAAGAATTATTTTTCTTGGAAGAGTACTTAAACCTTACTGCTAAGCCTAAGGGTGTTCACCCCTGAAGATCTGGAAGTCAGCAAGACTGCTGATTTACCATTAGTGGAGAAACAGATAAAAGGCTTGGGGCCTTGAGGCTCAGGAACCTCCATTGTTGCATTGATTACACACCTAAGGACTGGCGGTCCTCAAGACCCCTGGTTGTTATTATCAGGAAATAAGACTTTTGTGCCCAGAGATCATAATGTCAATAATAAGAGCTCTATTGTCAGGCGTTGTACTAGGTCCTTTATATTACATTATCTCAGACAAAGATCCTATGAAGTTAGGTACTTCAGCCCTCATTTTATAGATGAGGATACTGAGGCTCAGATTTTTTTTTCTATTGCTGCTGCATAAATTAAGAGACTCAGATATTTTTAAAAACCATGTGATATTGCATCACAGAGCTACAACGGAACCCCAATTCTCCCTAGATCCCTACAGAAGAATAACAGTTGCCAAAAATAAATCTGTAAAAAGCCCTACATTCTGGACGATGCACACCCAGCCAATCGTGTGTGTGTGTGTGTGTGTGTGTGTGTGTGTGTGTGTGTGTGTGAAATTTCTGCTTCATCCCAACAAGTTGATGATGCTTTAATCAGATGGCCCAAGAGCAGAGGCCAGGGGCTTCAGCGCAGTAGCATGAATCCGACTCAATCTTCCTGCCTAGGGCGAGACCACATTGCTAAAGTGAGCCAATGACATCCAGGGAGTTTCAGGAAATTCACCAGACAATGAAAGTGGAAAGGACAGTGTTTAGAAGTGCTTCACTCTTCCAAAATGCAAGCACAGTGAGGAAAAGTTATTAAACCTGAACGGGGCTGGGGGTAGGAAAAGCAAGGCATTCTTTTCCAAGTTCATTGGTTGTGAATGAAATGAGCTTACATTTTATTGTGGGTTTTCCTTCCCTTATTAAGAACAGAACCCAGGTTCCTTGGGCACCTTAGGGATCAACCTCTACCATGTTTAAGTCTTTGGTGATTTCATCAGTGACCTTGCATAGACAGTGGCTTCTCCCTTGTCTAGTGCTTGTAGTTTCTAAAATCAGCTTTTTCTGGGATCTGCTGGGGATCCATGGAAGGAATTGGTTTAGCAGCACTTTCTAGACCACCCAGACTTGGAGATGGCTCTCATACTTGGGATCATGCCCTTTGGAGGGATCTTTTACTTTGGCTTCTCCAGATGGAAGATGTTCTTTAAGGGATGGCGCATCTTTGGAATATGAAATTGAATAACCAGCTCAGAAGGTGAAGGTGGAGTCATTTAGTCAGGTAGACAGGTAGTGAAGGTGGAGTCAGGTGGTATGAGTCAGAGTAGCAAAGTGATGGGCCCTCTGTCACTACTGGATGCAAGCCCTGGAATAGTACCTCCAAGACGTGTTCCACAACATGTCAACGCATTCCCTTCCCACCAGGAGACCAACGACTCACTCGACCACAGCCTACAGCAGTCACCCTCAGCCAGTGCTGAGATGCATAAGATGGTGCTAGGTGATGACTGTCACTACTACATTATTCCCCAAACCAGCAAGCGATGGTTCCTTTTAAATAGAGGTGGAATATCATAGAAATCAGGACCGTGGGCTCTATCTTTCCTGGCTATCTGGCCCATGGCAGGAGGGTACCTACTTTCTTCATGCCTGTGTTTCCTCTATGATAAGACAGAGATGATAATAGAACCTAAATGACTTAATACATGCCAAGGTACTGTACCTGGTACCTAGAAAGAGCTCAACCAATGTGAGCTATGATTATTGTCCTTGTTGTGTATTTACATAGAGAAGTTCTAGAACCTTTAGATAAGTTTACATTAAAATGTCATCTATAGGTATTAACTCCAGTTTTTTTTAGCAACAGTGGAAGTTCATAGAGGTTAAGTTAAAAACTGGAATCAAGTTTTTATGAACTCCTAGTTCAGTGCTCTTTTCACTATATCAAACATTTCAGTTATGATTAGGATATACGTGTGTGCATATATATATATATATCCTGAATATGTGTGTGTGTATATATATATATATATCTCCTGAATATATATATATCCTGAATATGTGTATATATATATCCTGAATATATATATATCCTGAATATGTATATACATATCCTGAATATATATATTTTTATATATATATATATCTTGAATATATATATATATATTCATATTCAGGAACATGATCCTTTGTGGATAATCAACCATGACTTCCCATTTATCATTAATTAAGAAATGATTAGATGTTTCCAGAGTGTCTTACCTTTGGGAGCCTGTATTTTTCTCTGAGATGAACTCTGAGGCATGCCCTTTCTGCCTTTTTCTGTGTAAATGCAGCATCTCTTTCCATCCTAAAAGTTAAAGAATAAAGGATCAGAAGGATACAGAGAGCTAAGGACATTCCTGCCCGTGCTCAGAGGAGCCAGACACAGGGTTACACCTTCTGAGATGCCACTGCTGGCAGACACTTGGGAACTATGGGATTTTTTTCCTAGGTCCCCAAACGTCTGCCTCTCTGTTTGTTACTCTACTGTCATAACTTTCAGTATATACCTCTAAGTCTCAAAGACAATTTGGTCCTAGGAATCTCTGTGTGATGCGAACCAGGAGATTTTTCCTAACATGGAGTTTTCCGTGGACTGTTCAGCCAGGGACCATGAGCCTCAGAATCACTTGGTGCACCTATGACAAATGCAGCTTCCTGGGCCTGATCCTAGCCCTGCTGCATCAGAATCTCTGGGTGCAGGGGAGGGGAAGCTACATTTTTAGCAAGCTCCCCGAGTGATTCTTACGCAAACTAAAATAGGGCCACAGTGTCCAGAACCAGGCAGTTCTTTGAAGACCGTTGTTGTTGGGGGATATAATATAAACCTGTCTCCCTTCATTGTTACTCTCTCCAGACCCCAATTTAGGTACGGTATTTTCTTCCCAGTTTGGAAGGAGGTAGCCCCAAACAAGGCAGGGTATGTTTCCAGAATGTCAGACTGGGGTCCTGCTGTGTGAATGATCTAATTGAACTCATGATGTTGCTGGTTTGAAATGGACGTTCTTGCTAATGATGATTCAGACAAAAGCAGACACCTTTGGGAATGTCTGCAAGGCTCACAAGCACCACCACCCGTCCCTGCTGCCCACAGAAGTCCTTTATTGGTAGCTGAATTTATATACATGGCCCTGCCCTCTGGCTATATTGGGTTAGACCAAGCTCCGTAAATGAAATCTCTTTGAAAATTTGGGAATGGTACTAAGAATGACAGACACTTGCAGTGTGGCTGTCAAAATAACAGATGAACTTGGTAGCCATTGGCTGTCATTTTCCACTAACCTTGTAGTCTGGCTGCTGAGGAAGAACAAAGCAGCCATGCCCAGATAGAAGCAATGGTAAGAGATAGGGAAAGAGTGCTCGTGGCCTCTCAACAGCCTTCTGCTTTCTGGTTTAGGCCCACGTGAGGCCTGATGGGAATTCTACTTGTGGATCTGGTGAACTATCTTTGCATAAAGCATTATCTGCTTAAAACAAATCCCCTGTTTTCATTTTCAGGTGAAAACTGGTTTCTATGTCTTGACTCCGAGTTTGTAAATAATCTTAACCATTATACAAAAAAACTGAGTGTTAAGGAAGGAGCTGCAGCAAATGATCAGTTTAAACTGATCAAAGGCCCTGGGCTCAGGTGCTCTCTGAACTCATTTCCATCCACAGAATGTCAGGTCTGGAACGGGCATGAGAGAACATCGGGTTCAACCTTCTAGTTTTGGAGAGGGACATCGAATAAAGTGACCTGTCCAGGAGATTAGCGACCTGCGGCATGGACAAGCAGCAGACCTTTTCTCCCCATGTTTTACTGTAAAAACTTCCAAACATACAGAAACGTTGAAAGAATTTTGATATCAAATCCATCTAGATTCTACAATTGGCATCTCACTGTACTTTTTTTTTTATCACACCTATTCCTCTCTTTATCCACATTTTACTTTTTTGATACATTTCGAAGTTGCAGAAATCAGTAACATTTCCCCCAAACTCTTCAATATGCATGTCATTAACTAGCGTGACATGTTTGTTTATAGTTTCTCTTTTCTTCTTGTGAAGCAAAATTTGTATCCAATGCAATGCACAAACCTCTGAAGCACACCATTCAATGATTCCCCAAAAAGCACACACCTGTGTAACCCAAAAACCCTCTCAAGATAGAAAACATTACTCTCACCTGGGAAAATTCCCCCATCCCCATTCCTGATCAAGGCCTACCCCCTAGCCCTAGAGGCAACCACCACGCCTTTTCTACCATAGATTGGTTTTGCCTGTTCTAGAACTTCATAAAATGGAACCATACAGTTCATCTTTGTGTAAGGCTTCTTTCACTCAGCATAAAATACTTTCGAGATTTAACCTTGTTGTTTTATGTACTAGTAGCTGGTTCCTTTTTATTGCTGAGTAGTAAGTATTCTATTGTTTGCGCAAATACAATCACCATTTGTCTAGTCATTTTTCTGTTAATGAACACCTGAATTGTTCCCCATTTGGGGTGACAGTAAGTAAAGCTGCTAAGAATATTGTTCTAGATTTTTTTGTGGACATATATTTTAATTTCTACTGGGTAAATAACTAGGCATGGAATTTGCTGGGTTCTACGGTAACTTACTGGGATGCATTTAGTTTTATAAGAAACAGCACGACCTTTCTCCAAAATGGTCATACTAGTTTATGCTTCAACAATTGAAACAAGAGTTCTAGTGGTTTCACATTTTGGCCAATATTTAACATTTTTTGTCTTTTTGATTTTAGCCATACTGGTGTTTATGGAGTGCTACTTTACTGTGATTTTAATTTTTTCCATTTCCAAGACAGCTAATGATATTAAGCAGCTTTTCATGTAATTTCCAGTAAGATTTTCATGTACTAATTGGCCATGTATCTATCTTTCTGAAGTATTTCTTCAAATCTTTTGCCCATTGTTTTTGCTTTCATTATTGAGTTATAGGAGTTCTTCATATTTCCTAGATTCCAGTCCTTTGTCAGATATATTTTCCAAATATATCCTCTCAGTCTGGCTTGCCCATTTATTTTCTAAATGGCATCTTTTAACGTATAAAAGTTTTTAACTTAGAGTTGAATTTATCATTTAATAATTTTATGGTCATTGATATGGTCATTGCCAATCTGGGTCATGATACAGAAATCTTCATCTACTTTCAAGTTGCAAAGATATTCTCCTACTTTTTTTTCTAAAAGCTTTATAATTTTGGCTTTTATGTTTACGTGTATGATGCATGACAAATTAATTTTTGTGTATAGTGTTAAGTAGGGGTCAAAGTTCAATGTTTTTCAGTTGTTTAGCACCATTTGTTGAAAAGACTTTCCGTTCCTGGTCTGATTATTTTGGCGCTTTTGTTGAAAATCAAATAACTATAAACCCCATTGATCGATTTGTTGATACTAATGCCACGCAGAGTTACATTCCAGTCCTCCAGAGCCAGTCTACAAATCACGCAGAAAAGCTGGTTGCTCTGTTTATAGTCACATGCAGCTAGCTAGTCTCCCCCCACCAAGTAAAGTGTAAATTCCTGCAGAAGAAAACCCATCTCTTCCATTTCAGTACATTCCTCACAATGCTATGCTCATACTAGGGGTCCAAACAATTACTGAATAAAACAAAGGTCAGAGTCAAGTTACAAATGATATTGTAGAAACTGTTGAAGCATAACTATGGCAAAGAAGCATTTTAATATAATTGAGAAAATGGCGGGAGAAACAGACTATTGTTTTATTTCCTTTCCAGATAGTCTATTTATGTTTAGACCTCTTTCAGTACTAATGTTACCAGTGGTGCGTGCGCACACACACACACACACATTGAACACAGAAAGAAAATAAAAATGAATGTGCATTATTAAATAGAGTGCATTGCTAAATAGTTTTTTATTTATAATTCATATAGTCTCCCCACTTCCTACAATGATGAGGATGGGTTTAGGAGGCTTTCATTTGCTAACATTGATTTTAATTATTATATATACTAAACTGTTTGTAGCTCTCTCTGCGTTTATCTTGTGATGAATTATTTTTAATGCCTACTACATATTGCATTCTAGGTGGTGAAATTCTTGAAAACTCAAACAATGGACTGAAAGTCATCCCTCTTTATCATAGGGAAGCCAAATGCTCCATTGTCCTGACACTATTTCTTACATTGAGTGACTACATAAATATATAATATTCTCACACACATATGCAAAAAGCTGAGTAGCTGACAACTCAGTCTGCTGATTGACTGTATGATTTGGCCATTTTGAGCTTTGATCTGTCCAGATATAAAATTAAGGAAAACTAGGACATTAGTTAATCAAATAGATGCCTTATCTGCAATCGGATCTGCTGCTTGAACATATTAGGTGATATTTTGCATGCTCACAACTGTAGTCTACATTTCTGTTTTCATTAGCCTACTTGATCTGAGAATGTTTGATGCTGATTTTTGTCTTCTATCCTTCATTACACAGTACTTATTTTGCTTTTAAGCTTTTTGTTCTTTTGCATGCCATAGGTAAAATCAGCCAATATTCAAGGAATGCTGCTTCTTTTGCCCAAGTCTTAGCACCATCATTTTTGCTAGTTGCATTGACTGTTTTTTAAAAACCAACTTTAAGTTACTGCAGAACCAAGCATAATGTATTCTAGGTAGTCTATAAGCCATGATTTCTTTCAGAAAAATACAATAGACAAGGTTTCCACTAAACGTAGTCTTTGTACTTTCTTTGTTTCCTCCAGGTCATTAACCTTTTCACCTATAATCATCTTAGCGATAGGATTTAGGCAACTATTATGTAATTGATCATTAGCAAAAGAGTCCTGGTGGCAAAAAAGAAATACTTTTCTTTTGAAACATATGATAAACATTTAACCTCTAGATTGATGTTTCATTTCTTAACTGATTATTAAAAGAATCTTAATTCTACCTTAAACATTTAAAAATTACACAGAGATTACATTTATTTCAGAATCAGTCTTCAAGTGGTGAAAAGTTGTTGGTGATATTCACATTCTATAATACCCAATTAAATGTTGCTTATATTTTATATTTTATTTTTGTTATATTTTATATAGCCAAGAAAATGCCTTTATTTTTTGGAGGAAGGTGGCTGAAGTATTTGGGGGTGAAGTACATGACATCTGTAATTTACTTTAAAAGCTATTATCTACCATCTATCTTTTTAATCTTTAAGCAAATGTAGCAAACTGTAAGCTGTTGATTTTATGTCATAGGTATATGTGGGTATTTGTCCTACTATTCTACTTTTCTGTATGTTTAGAATTTCCATATTAAACAGTCCACAAATCCATTCATAGTCTTTGATAAGCCAAGTCTTATGACATAATTGTCATGTTATGCTTCCTGGGTTTTTTTTTTTTTTCTCACATGCAAGATCAAAGAAGCTGCCCTCTATGTTATTTTAGGCCCTTTTCTAGGTATAAGGTCTGAATTCTTACAATTTGAAGACTTTCTACGTGCTAAGAGGGTGAAGTTTAGAAAGAATGTAAAGATAGTTAAACCTACCACTTTTCATCTAAATAATTAAATTGAGGTCAATCAAAACATGCCTAGACCAGAAAGTGTTAAGCTGCTTTAAGAACAACATATAGATTCATTTATTATTGTTCATTTCCATTCATACATGTAGAACATAGAACATAGTAGCTGCTGATGTTAGGGAACCGTTTACTTTAGAAGAACAACCTTTCCTTGGGTTAGAGGTAAACGGCAAAAGGAAAGGCATCTTAAAAAGCAAAGAGAAATAAACTGGAGAACTGAAGAAGGTATGGCCAGAATGAATTTCCTTTGCTTTTTAAGGGAAATGAAATAGCATGTACTCACTTCTCCTCAATCATTTGCTTTTGATACTCCTCATACTCCTCTCTAGTCATCCCTTGAGCTGCTGCAGGATCAGATGCACCTCCTTCTTCTTTATTTTCTTCAGACCCACCACCAAATCCTAAATTCTTTACCTGGTTACTTATCATACTTTTCATAAGGAAAGCCATTTTCTCTGCCCCAGAAAAATAAAACCAAAATTCAGACAAAAGCTGAAAAAAAAAATCCAAACAAACCCAAGAGAAAACCTCCAAATATTCTCAATGACAGCAATACATTTAAGAGCAAAGGACTTTGCACAACCTCATCTATTCAAGGGCATACTGATAGAGAAGAGTGGTTTGTCGGCCGTAAGCTGGATTAAAGTGGTGAACTCCTTAGTATATAGAGGCAGATGGTTCAGATTACCGAAGCATACAATCAGAGGCAACTGCCTACCTTCTGAATTAATACACTCAGCTAATTTCACAGGAAAAAGAAATCCCCACATCATCTACCCCTTTCTAAATTTTTAATTATAAGCACAGCAGGGCTTCATCAAGAGTCCTGTTTCAATTAAATTAATCAGAGCTGACTGATTATATAGCTGTTGTGGAATTTCCAAATTCCAGCCCTTGAGCAAAACATCCTGTTGAAAAACTGAGTCCAATGAGACTCAAAACCCAGAATGCTTCATTAAGCAAAAATAATCCTTTCGATCCATCATTTTATCTCATTGGACTTTAAGTACTATGCAAGGATTTGCTTTTTAGTTTGCTTGAATTCGGTTTGCTTCAATAGTTACTGTGTCCCGCACATAAATACACAACTGACAAATGCAAAGACCCAGACAGCAGGTCCTTGGTTTACATCTGGAAGATTATCTTAGCCTTCTCCTGCATGGAAATATTACTTGTCTATATGGAAATGATGTGCTTGACACTTCAAGGCTCTGATCCAGAAGGTAAGACCATTATGTGAGTCAAATCATCAATATGTAAGGGGTCACCTTTTTTCTCTTGCATAAAGAGTGCACCTCCTGGGTGCTCTATTTAAGCTCACTGGTGTACTTGGATGAAACTGACAATGTTTTGTATCCCACCAGATTCTCTATGGCTGTGGTTTTCTTCAGGTCAAGGGAAGAGTTGAGTATGGCTAAGACTTCAATCTACACTAGTATCTTTCTAATTAAAGCCTGCCAAAGAGGGTGGGGTGGGAAGGAAGAGATGTAATCCATTGTTATTTTATCTGAAGGCATGAGTCCTCTCAGAAACCAGGTGATTATCTCTCTGATCATATAGAATTACATAATCTGGATTCTTGCCTAAAATGCTTGCTTTATATATTTTATCGTCTGCTTTCCCTTTTAGTAATCTATTTTAAAATGCTGCTTAAATGGTCTCAATATGAAAGGCTAAAAAAGATAATTTAGGGTGAAATATAAGCTGTACTCAGGGCTTCGAGGAGAATGCCCATCAATATTGAGTTCCACTTTCTCTTTTAGATGGGTTGCTTGGAACTTAACACGTTCATACCATTATCTCTAAATTACCATTTATAATAAACTACATTGCAGTCCACTGAGGAATGTTACTAATTAATGTTGTCTCATAGAACTTTTCAAACCATAAAATAAAAGCCACAGCCTTGTGTTTCTGTCTGTTCGGTCTACATTTTATTATAAGTAATTATTTAGATTTATTATAAAATCTATTCTAAAAATTCCATTGTATGAGGAATTAGGAAATATTAATGGTGAGGGTGTCAATTCTAAACTCCAGCACCCATGTGTAAAGGAGTTTCTCCCTGTCCCGTCCTTTTCTGAATGTATGTTTGTGTGGAGGGGGTTAGGAAGAGGGGGTGTCATGCATTATGGGGACTCTTCGGTGGTAGCTTCAGCAGGGTCGCCGTGGAAGGTCTCCTGAGAGTGCTTTATGAAATCAAATATCTTATTATTTCCTCAACAGGTAATTCCATTGAGAATGAGGTCACGACTTAAAAAACTTTTTACTCCTTGATTTATTACAATGACCTTTGCCCTTGGACATCCAGGAACTACTAGCTGGTGTGTAGGATCTTTTTTTTTGGAGACAGCCTCACTGTGTTGCCCAGGCTGTAGTGCAGTGGCAGGATCTCAGCTCTCTGCAACCTCCGCCTCCTGGGTTCAAGCGAGTCTCCTGCCTTAGTCTCCCGAGTACCTAGGATTACAGGCATGCGCCACCATGCCCGGCTAAGCTTTTGTATTTTTGGTAGAGACAGGGTTTTGCCATATTGGCCAGGCTGGTCTTGAACTCCTGACCTCAAGTGATCTGCCTGCCTCAGTTTCTCAAAGTGGTGGGATTATAAGTGTGAGCCACCAAGCCTGGCTGTAGAATCTTGTAGAAATGGTGGTAGAATCTTCCGTTCCTTCAGAAAGGGGAAATGAATGCCCTGGATTCATGAATGGGACCTCTAGGTGTCCCCATCCCATGGCTCCCTACTGTCCTTGCATAGAATCCCCACTCCTTGCTGCAAGATTGCCCACTGCCTAGCTGCCAGCCTCTTCAGCCACACTCCCTTTGCTCATTCTAATCACATTCATGTCCTTGTTGGCCCTTAAACCAAGATTGCTCCCACCTATGTCCTTGTGGAACCTCCTGGCCTGTATTGCTCTTCCACATCTCTAGGTGGCTCACCCTTGCTTAATTCAGGTTTCTGTTCTCATTCACCTTCTTAGAGGGACTTCCCTGACCATCCTAAGATACCCTGCCTCCACTACCCCACCTTTTAATCCTCTATCCTATTCTATTTTTCTTCATAGTACTGCACTCTACCTGAAAGTATATTTTCCTTGATTTAGTTGTTTCCTTTCCATCTACTCCATTGGAATGTAAGCTCCATAAGAGAGACCAGTGCAATTTTGTTCACCTTTGCATCCCCATCTCTGAGAATCATGCTCAGCACATAGTAAGTGATCAATAAGAATCTTGGGGGAAAACAATGAATGAATGATTGCCACTAGGCCTAATGGCTTATTTTTGAGCAAATCGCTTTCAATGGAAGTAATCAAGGTACTACATCGGATGATGGAGGCACTTGGAGAGTTATCTTCAGGCAAAAGGGAGACAGGAGAATAGGGTCTGGGGGCAGGGAACCTAAGGCCAATTCATGCTGACTTCCTAGAACTAAATTAAAAGGAAAACCCCAACTTTCCACACCTAAGTAACAAAAGGACTGGAAGCTACTTCCTTACTCCCTTTGCAACTCCCGGCCCCCCACCCCCACCCCGACCCCCACCCCCACCCCCACCAACTTTTTCTACGTGGCAGATGGAAAATTCAAAGTATCTCTGATTGGCTGCTTTCTGCAGCCAATCAGACATTTGGATAGGAGTGTAACTTTGTAACTTCACTTCAGCCTCTAATTGGTTGCTTTCCACAACCAATCAGATACTTGCATAGGGTGTAACCTTTGTAACTTCACTTCAGTCTCTGATTGTTTGCTTTCCGCAACCAATCAGACTGATTGCAGGCCACTACTTCATTTACATAGGGTGTGCACCAAGTAACCAATGGGAAACCTCTAGAGGGTATTTAAACCCCAGAAAATTCTGCAAAGGGGCTCTTGAGCCCCTATGGTGGGGCCGCTTCCAGTCTGTGGAGTCTACTTTTGTTTTCCATAAATCTCTGCTTTTGTTGCTTCATTCTTTCCTGGCTTTGTTTGTGCGTTTTGTCTAATTCCTTGTTCAAAATGCCAAGAACCTGGACACCCTCCACCAATAACAGAAGTAGCATCTTAGTGCTTACAAATCCACCTCATAGTGGTTGCTGCCTTCTTTGCCAGCTCCCAGGATCAAGACTACTTGCCATAGTTTTTTAAAATCATGCCTCATTCTGATTTAATGGATCACCTTTGTAAACACAGATTCGTTGTGGCCTATTCAACTTGAAAATTTTGATGGTATCTGACCCAAAGAATTTGCTAAAGAAGCAATAATCCCATTAGTGGAATTAAATTTTAGAAAGAGATCACATTCAAACAGCATAAATCCATTTTGGTCCTTCACCTGGGATTTTTCTTTTCACATCAAATACCTAAATTTTGCTCCTGTAATTAAAATCGGCTAGTGGTATCATTTCTTTTTTGACCTTCCCCAAGGAAATCATGGTGATTAGGTTGTCCTGTCTCAGTTGTTATATCCTCTTAGCGGGTGACACAACATTTCAGGGGTAACCATGCAGCTAAACCTCTGTGCTCATGAAGGTCAGCAGAACTGAAGAAGAAAAAGGTCACCAAGCGCCAAGGCATGTGTCACCACACTTGGCTAATTGGCTAAGTGTAGAAATGATCTAAAGATGAGATTCACTGGGATTAATTTTCAACCTCTATTTTAACTGGGAAAAAAGAGGTAATATAAAAAGAGGAAAAAGTCTTGGGAAATAGAAGGACCATTACGGAAACCACAAAGGAAATTAAACACGTAGTCCTAATCCTAATAACTGCCTACTGGAGACATTTTAGTGGTTTGTGTTTTACCTAATAGAGTGTCATGTACATCATAGATGCTTAATACATATTTAATGAACTGTATTGAAATGCCAGGCCAAGTAGCATGTTTGTTTTCATTTCTATAGGATTGGTTAATATTCTTGTAGATACAAACTCAAGGCTATATACCAGCTGTGCAAAGAAATTCCCCAATCATGACAGTATGGTTTTCATTGAGCTACAGAACCAAAGAGTCTCTTCAGTACTACCTTGGCCCATTGTTATCTGATAGATTGTGAGACCATTTGTGACTCTGTGGAGACTCAAAGCATCTCAATCCTTTGTCTCCCAAAGTGGCCATTTTAAGAAATGTATCCCGGGCTGATTCTTCTGTCTTCCAGAAATATTCAGCAGTGTTATACCGAACGTTTCAAAATCTGTGTGTGAGTGTGTGTGTGTGTGTGTGTGTGTGTGTGTGTGACAGGGTCTCACTCTGTCACCCAAGCTGGAGTGCGTAACCATGGCTCATTATAGCCTTGACCTCCTGGGCTCAAGCGATCCTCCTGCCTCTGCCTCCTGAACAGCTGAGACTACAGGCATGCACCATCACACCTGGCTAATTTTTTATTTTTTGTAGAGATGAAGTCTTGCTATGTTGCCCAGGCTGGTCTCAAACTCATGGGCTCAAGTGATCCTCCCACCTTGGCTTCCCAAAGTGCTGGGATTACAGGTGTGAGCCACCATGCCTAGCCCCTAAAGTATTTCTTTTGCCAACACTGTATGACTGGTCTATTTCAGTTCACAGACATCACTTTCTGGTGAGGTAATAACTGTATTCTATTCCGTATCCTCTCTACCACAGAACTTCCATGTTGGTCGAGTGCTGAGTTGGTAGGCAATTCAGTGGTTGTTATTTTCTAACAGGACATGCTGGCTTCCATGATCTGATTGTAAATTGCCATGCTGGTTCTACATGGAAGGGGAAGATGGGCTGGGAACCAAAGATTAATTTTCTAACTTACTGTTTACACAGTGGGCTGACCAGTTTGAGCTGAGCTATGTTCATGCCTGGAATTCAGGTATATTTGGCAAATTGTAACATTCGTGGCATGGCTAGCAATAAGTCTATTTGCATTAAGTACTAAGGAGGCTCTTAGGAGAGACTCATCCAGAGCAGACACAGTAAGTTTGCCTCAGTTACAAAGCCTTAGTTCCCAGAGGCTTGAGGAATTCTGTAGTGTCTTTCACTCAGGTTCACCCTGGCCAAGGCTCATGAACCCATTAGGACTGTTTCCTAGAGATAGACCTTTAATTAAATAGTAACAGCCATTCTCACTGAGAACTCTGACACTGGGGCCCATGCATCACTGCTTTAGTATTTTCTTAACAGAAAGTAACATGCAGCGGGGAGAGAGTCATTCTTCTCCATTTGGCCACAAACTACCCATGATGGTTAATTTTACATGCCAACTTGACTGGGTCACTGGATGCCAGCATTATCTGGTTAAACATTGTTTCTGGTGTGTCTGTGAGGCTGTTCATGGAAGAGATTTGCATTTGAATTGGCTGACTGAGGAAAGCAGATGGTCCTCCCCAGTGTGGGTGGGCATCGTCCAATCTGTGAGGGCCTGAATAGAACAAAAAGCCAGAGGAAAGTTGGATTTGCTCTCTGCTTGAGCTGGGAACACTGATCTTCCTCTGCCCGGGACACTCATGGTCCTCAGGCCTTCAGGCTCAGATGGACTCTATACCGTTGGCTCTGGCTTTCAGGCCTTCCGGTTATACAACTGGCTTTTCTGGGTCTCCGGCTTGCAGATGGCAGATCGTGGGACTTCTCAGCCTCCATAATCATGTGAGCCATACCTTACTTATTTTATATGTATATATGTGTATATGTATGCGTGTATGTATTTAAAGGTTGTTACTCTGAAGAACCTAATACACCACTCCATGGACTGGCTCCTGGAAGCCTCCATTGCTTCTGTGGGCAATGGCAGTCGTGAGGGTGCCTGGTCCAGATGACAGAAGTGGCTGCTTGTTTGGCAGGACAGTGAAATCCTCCTGAGTAGCAGTGGGGCCTGTGTGTGTGATGGAACATGGCAGAAACGGTGCCACTGCTGGGCTGACATGGCAGAAATGGCAGATCCAGAATAAAGAGCAGTTAAGGGCCAACATAGGGGATGACGCCATCAGGAGGAGCAACACCCAATGGACATCACAGGGGTTCAGAGAAGAGAAAAAGAGTAAATGCCATGTGGCAGCTGACCAGGCAGCTTCTGGACTTATTTGTGAGGATCTGAGAAACGGAATGGGACTCCCAGCACTGCTGAGGACCATTTCCTTTTTTTTACAACTCATGAGCAGGTAAAGAGCCAAAAATCCTGTGTTGTACTGTTCTGGGTCAGTTCTCTCTCTGATTTTCAGACGCATAGACTAACAATAGCTAACATTTATTGGGCATAAGCATCTCGTTTCTAAGCTCTATTTATGGTGCTCTGTTATCTCAATTATCACCCCATTTTAGAGGTAAAAGATTAAGGTATGTCTCTGCCCTGACTCCAAGCCTATATTGCCTTCTGGCCATTTTTACTTGGTTAGTTAATGTCAGAATCTATGTTCCAAATGGAACTCAACCTCTTCTTCCCTCGTCTTCAATTCCCATCCTTTTTCTTGTGTTCCCTGTTTTAGGACACCTTAC
Organism: Homo sapiens; assembly: GCF_000001405.40. Taxonomy (NCBI): domain Eukaryota; kingdom Metazoa; phylum Chordata; class Mammalia; order Primates; family Hominidae; genus Homo; species Homo sapiens. The sequence continues at coordinate 59,325,437 of NC_000018.10, forward strand.
ATCTAATTCTACTAGCCAGAAACAGAGTATCATTTTACATTCTTCCTTCTCATTCACTCCCCACTTCTAATAGTCATTAGATGCTTGCTATGGCCTGAACGTTTTGTCCCAACACTCCTATGTTGAAATCCTAACGCCCAAGGTGTTACTAATAGGAGATGGGGCCTTTTGTAGGTGATTGGGTTGTTAGGGTAGGGTCTTGATCTTCGACTTCCCAGTCTTCCAGAACAGTGAGCAATAAATTTGTTTTTTATAAGCCACCTCATTTATGGTATTTTGTTAGAGTGGCCCAAACTAACTCTAATTGTCCAATGCTACTATTGATAAGAGTTTTGGCCTTCATTCAGGCCACCATTTTTCACTGGGAGCACTGCGGCTGGTCTCTCTCAAGTCTCCTTCCTCCAATCCATTCTCCATGAAGCAAACAGAGATTGCAATGTTTGAAATGCTATTGCCTTTCTGCTTGATTTTCATGGCCTTCCATTACCCTCTGGATGAAGTCCAAGCTCCTTTACAGAGCCTTGGGATCTGGCCTCTGTATATCCCACCCAACATTTTTCCCAGCATAGCAGAATAAGCTTACAGGTTCTCACATAAACTACAGTTTCTTAACTCCATGCTTTTGTTCATGTTATTTTTTCTGGTTGGAGTAAGTTCACTTCCAGTCCCCCTTGCACTACACATACTTCAGCATATGGCTCAGATAACATCTTCTGTGGGAAGCTTCTCCAACCTACAACCCTGCCTCAGACTCAAGATTCTTCAAATACGTGTGTGCATCAATTCTGAAAAATTCTTAGCTATTACACCTTTGAACAGTTCCTCATCATGACTCTCCCAATTCCTTCTAGAACTACTGGTAGACTTATGTTGTACCTTCTCACCAATTGCCAATTTATTGCATTTTCCACCACTTTAATATCTGTGTTGTACTCTCGGTAATTTGCTCAGGTCTATCTTCTAATTCAAGAATTCTTTCGAGCTTTGTCCAATCTGGTATCCAAATTTGATCCCCACCTCCCATATCAAAGTTGTGTTTTGGGTGGTCCTTTGGAACTCCAACTGTCTTATTTTTCAGTGTTTCATTCCTTCCTCATGATTTCCAGTCCTTTTATAAACTCTTCAGTATTTTTAATGTCATTTCAAGTATACATATTTGTTGTCTTCTTCTGACTGTTCTATCATCTCAGATTCTTGGAGGTGCCAGGTTTCATTATTGTATCTACTGTCACTCTTTCGTATTTCTCTGGTTTGGTTTATAGTTTTTAGAGCTCATTTTAGTTAGGACTGGCTGTCCCTATGGTTGTCTAATGTACTTTTGTTGTGCAATTATTGCTAATGAGTGGTTTTGTTTTGCCTTCTGGATTTTCCCAGACAAGAACAAATTTACACATTGTTTTTGACTTAAAAGAATTCCACACCATATAGGTAAAGCATACAGCTGGGCTTCAATTTCTTAACAAATGTCCCCTTACCCAGAGCTCCAGGGAGAGAGCTTCCTACGCCTTCTCGGAGCTGTTGGGGTGGAAGTAAGAGGTCCTTTCAGCCCATTTCCACTGAAGGAGCAGCTCTTCCAGAGTCCTCACTTTATCCTAGCATCTCAGTTCGAGCCTCCTGGGTTTTCTAGGCCTAAAGCCATGTCTTCAATGCCACAAATGAATTTTCAATGACAATGTCAATAATTTTCAATGACAGTACCTAGGGCCTATGTGTAGTCTAGTTTCTGCCACTCCCTACTACTAGTAGGCTTCCTGATCGGGTTTTAAGTTCTGAATTCTTTCGAACCCATCTATGTATTTAAATCTTTCATCTTATCCACCATTTGTCTTTACCAATTAGTCTATCATTTTTTGAAGCCTCCTTATAAAGACGCTCTTTTACTATGCTTATAACCATGCGAGATAAGTATTATGAGGAAACTGAAGGTCACCTCCAGTAAGTGAGAGAGCCAGGATTCAAACCTAGATTTGTCTAACCTCAAAGCCCTACTCTTTTATTTTTTTTTTACATTAACTCTCAGAATTGGAATTACTTGGTTAAATGGTACTTGTCAAAAAGATTAAAATATTTTTTAAACTACCACTAATTAGTAATGACTAGGAGTTCCAGCTTAACTACACTTCTGCCATCATTTGGTTATCAGAGGTAAAAACATCAAGTACATTGTTTTAATTAGTTTGTATTTTTCATTACCAGCAAGGGTAAACAGTTATCCATGACCATTTCTATGTTCTCGTGGCATGCTTCCATGTACTGCCTCTGCATGCAGCAGGCCACCTCGGGCAGAGCCTAAAGCATGTGATAAATGAAATGCTATCACAATACAGGTTGTGTCTGAAAAACAAATGGCAACTTATTATCCAAGATCAATGAAGGAAAAAGCAAATTTACTAAAATATTTCTTTATTTGAATAAGGTCAATGCCATTTCTTGAATTCCAGCTAGCATCAAATAATCAGGAAAAAAAAAACTTGACAAAATGTTATCCAATTGAAATTGACAGTGGATAGAAAACCCTTTTAAACTTTAAGTAATGTCATAAAAGAAATATATTAAACAAGCAACAGACAGATCTAAAAAGTTCCAAGTGTGGATTTCACATTAGATCTTATAAATTAAAAAAATCCTCAATATAATCATTTGTTCACTATCTTCTTTCAATAAGCACATGGACAGGGAAAGATAATCACACCTTAATATTCACAACTGCTATTTGTGTTCTTTACAAAAATTGTATCTCTGCAATGCAGTGAGGCAGGCAATCCCTTGTTCAAGTCATTTCTGTTTTCCCTAAGTTATCAAAAAGTACAACTGTCTGATATAAATTGTTACCATAATCACAATCAGGAAGGCAAAGAAGCTTTAGCAGGCAGGCTTGAAGATGGGAGTTTTCATGGCTTGACCATGAATGATCTCAAGATGATTTCATAAGATTAAAAGCCATCACGAAAATACTGAAAGCAACAGGTAATAATCTGGATTCAGTCTGTAGTTGCTCATGAACCACGCGTTTTAATAAAAGGAACATTAAGTAAATTGTAGGTATAAAAGAATCAGTGCATATCTGTTAATGTCATTGACAATAAAAATATATTATCTTCTCAGCTCAGCTCTAAATTAACAAAACACCTATTTTTTTTTTCCCACTCCTCATTTTAGTGGTTCTCAAACATTGGTGTGCTCAGAATCTCCTGAGGTGCCTATTGAACAATGACATCCCAAAGCCCCACCCCTAAGATTTGATTCAGGTTGTCTGAAACCAGGCGCCATGACCCAGATGGTCCATGGATCATACTTTGAGAAACACTGATATCCCCTTAATACATAACAAAACATTGTTTACTGTTTATGACTTCATGGTAAAGTTTTAAGCTGAATAAAACATTCAAACAATTATTAGAACACAAATAGGTACATTAAATAAGGATATAAGCCATTACGCAATTGCATTTTCCTTTTAAAAGTGGCATCATAGACACAATGACTTACATAAAAATTTTAAAATCAATTTTGTTTTAATCCAAGGCACCTGTAAAACACTTGCTGGTGTGAGAGAAGTGAACAAATTCAATTATACAAAATAGTACAGAAATGAAAGAATCCTGGCAGTGATTGATTTTTCCACAGAGCAAACCTTTTTGTTCAGAAATGAGCTCCTTAAAGTCAATGATTTTGAGAAAAACCACACTTCAAATATGATACACATCATGTGAACTACTTTGCTGAGTGATTTTCAAGCAAAGTATATCACTAAGTATAAAAGATAAAAGGCTCATGCTCATGCTGTTTCATAATAGCCATCTCCATTTGTAGTAAGAATAATCAGAATGATTCCCCTTGAATTTCAGCCTGAAAAATGTATACTGCATAGATCTGGTATTCCTTTAATGCACAGGCACATATGACCATGGACTTTATAATACTGGATTTGGCAGCCTTTTATCTCAAGAGGATTTCTCAAGTTTCATAGTTTACAACTTAAATATTCCTCTGAAGGTATTTAATTTTTTTTCATGGAGCAAGAGTAAATTCTGTGATGATGAAGCCTCTGAAACATGAATTTCAAAATGTTAACACTACAAAAGAAAAATGCTAGAGAAGCATTTTCTGTGTTGAAATGACTGAAGTAAAGTGAGTTATCACTGGCATATTCTCTTTCAGTGTTCTAGGATAAATATCAACATAAAAAGCAACGCCAGACTGTTTGCACACACAGCACTCGTTTGGTATTGCTATAATACAGAGTTCTTCAGAAAGTCTTTATATATAGATTTTAGGTCGTTAGCCCAATCTGTAAATGACATTTGAGAGCAAACCTAGGGAGGCTTGGAATAATTCAACAGTACTATTTTATAAGATAGTATTGTTTGGAATTCTATGGCAAATGAAAGACAACCATTTTAGCTAAAAGAAGTAAAAGAGTATTTTGAAGGCAGCAAAAATCAGTATAAATCAGCTGTGAACAGAATTAAATTTGCATCTTAAAATGTCATTTACAGACTGTTTCTGTAATACCTAGAAGTATGCACAAAGACTATAAAAACTCCTTCCAGTCTGACATTTCAAGGTTAAGTTTACTAACAAGTGCTTCACAATGTCCTTAGTTCTGGCACTAAAAGGAAACAATTAGAAGTATTCACTGTTTTTCAAATTTTGCCTTCAAGAATCTTAAAACTGCTTCTACTACAGCCTCCTTGATTTAAAAGAGTATGCAAATGGTCACTAACCCCAGCCAGCATGAAGTAACTAATGTAAACCAGAATGTAGTGGCAGGTTTTGTGAATTTAAATCCTCAGATCATGCAATTTGAGCTGAATTTACATGCTGTAGTAAAGGGAGAAATAAATTCCTTAAGTTACAAATATAAATATAAAAATTATTTTCATAATATTGACCTGACCCCATTGGAATGAAGACATTCAAGAATATGGGCAATCATGAATGAATACATTACCAGGCAAAATACCTATAAAAGCCATTCTCAGAGGAATGTTTCCACCCACAAGGTTTTTTAGGCAAAAAGCAGCTATTAATTTTCCTCTAAAATTTCCTTTAAAAGTGAAATATATCATTGATAAATAGAGGAAAAAAAAATTTCACTTAACATTTTGAAGTCTATTACCAGATCCTTAAAGCTCTCAGACAAAATATTCTTTGATTTCAAAGGAAGTTGCATTAAGATGAAAGGACTGCAGGCCCAGGCCTTTGATTAGGAAGTCTGACCTCTAAAAAAGACTTTGGTTACAAAATAAACCTGATGGGACTTCTTAATTAGACCTCATATTCTGGGAGGCATGAGGGCAAGTGTGTTTACGTTATACAGGGAAACCTGCAATATTGGAGACTTAGGGGGTAACATTCATATCCAGGGGTTGCCCCCACTTTATTTACCCTCTTACTGGTCAATATTCTGCTCAGAGGCTGCATCATACTGACCAGAAATTCACTGAAATTTAGACAGATTTACATACTGTGAACAAATTAAAATGTGGTTGTCTTTGCTTTAAGGTTTATTCTTAACTGCAAATCAATGTTTAAACAGTTATTTTATTAAGAAAATTAATAATTTAGACTATGAAGCAATTTAAATACTTAAATTCCCTCAAAACGACATCATTTTGTACACAAATAGATGAAGTACACAGGAAAATGGTAGTCAAAAGAATTTTTTGGCAGCTGCTTCTTGCTGAGACCTAATGAAAAAAAGAAACAAACACTTAAAGAAGTTCTATACGCTTAACTTTGGAAAGAAACAGGACTATTTAAAATTAAAATATCAATGCCTTTTGAAGTATACAACGCATTAAGATAAACATATATTCTACACGTGCACTTTATGTGAACTGAAATGAACAGAAATCACAATAAACTTAATTTTATAGGTGGTGAAAATTGTATTATGAACATAGATAACTTAGTTGAATATTTCTAATTAAACAGATGCAGAAAAATATTGGGTCACATTTTATCAAGAGACTTACCTATACATGATATAACCAATGAATAATACAGTTTGCACCACAACAAATATAATGAAGTGGACCGTAGACAAACATGATGGAAATGGTGGTAGTTCTGGGCATTTCGGCTTTTCATTTGATGGCTGTAAGGCAAATGACTTTCTATTACAGTTAGTCAAAATAGCAGTTTGGAAAAAGAAATAAATGTGAAATCTTTATAAAACTGTTTGCTATATAAACAAGTATTTTCATTTTTTCATCCCCCAGAAAACCTTCTATCCCCTTAACTTTTACTGACAACTGTTTTTGAAGGAGTAGTTGACACTGGAAGGCCTCCACCTTTTTACTACCCAGTCACTAACTCACTGCCTCCTGGCTCCTGTCTGCATTACAGTATATGATGATGTTGCTGTCCCTGAGGTCACTGAGACTAGCGTCACCACAGACAACTCCTCTGGATACTCCCAGTTCACGCTTGCTGTAGTGGTGTGATTATTAGCACCCCTTCATTCTCAAAAGTGTCCCAGGTCAGACAATAAATTACATGGTTACCCTACCAATGAACTACTTGACAAACAGACTGGCTTTTTCTCAGTCCTCATTCTCTACAATCTCATATCATTCAACATTATTCACTGGTGTTCTGAAAAATATTTCTTTCCCTATTTCCCTGAGTATTCCTTCTATTATAAGGAGGCAATTAAATACCAGGAACAAAGACTTCATCCAAGTACCCAGAGAGAATGGCTTCTAAGATTAGTTGTTCCCAATATAGTTATATTTGTGGGACAAAGTTCTTCAGTAAATTGATACACACAGTATCAATTTGGTCATTGCAACAAAGACAATGTACGAGAAAAATAACCTCAAACAGAACTAAGGGGACAGATAATAATGCTTTGGATGAGAGGTCATGATCAATAAGAAAACTATTAAGCCATCTTTGAAAAAAATGTATATTCAAGGCATATATACAGGAATATAGTTAAGAGAGTTATCAAAAAATATAAAGGAGACAAGATTAGAAGCTGAAGACCTAAGTTTTCTCCCTTTCCTACTTACTAGCTACTGACCTTGGGAGAGTCAGTTTAATGTAACATTATTATTAATCTATTAGTATATTTTCTAAAGGTCATCAAACGTTTTAAAAAGCTTTTAAAAAGATAAAACGCGATATAAAATATAAGGGATTGGGATTTCTGCTTCTGGTAAAGCAGACTAGGAAATATGGGCCAACCATATCCCAAATATGTCTTATAGAAGACAACCAGCAGAGTCAAAAACATATCTAATCCAATCCAAGCACACGAAACCTGGGTGAAGGTAAATGAAGCTAACAAGATAGCAAGAAATTACCAGATTAGAACCTTGACGGAAAAATAGGCCAAAGAAATACACTTTAAGCAATCCATGGGTCAGAGAAGACATTAACATGGAAATCAGAAAATATTTTCACGAAATGATAATATAAATATTACATATTAAAAAACCATGACTGCTATGGGAACTGTTCTTCCACCTTCAATAACTAGAAAACCAGGACACATGGAGATCTGCAATAAATGGGACAATTCTACCTTAAACATTAAAAATAAGCATTAGCATTAACTAAAGGGTTAAAATACTTGCAGTAGAGTATGAGTTCTTCCTTTCCTAAAGATTATAATTATAAAAGGAAAAGGAAACAAAGTTACCATATTTCGCTGCACTAAGTTATCTATGTCCCTCTTTACTATGTGCAGGTGCTCTTTGATGTCAATGAAGTGCTGTGTTGTCTCATAGACGCCTCCAGCAGAGCCAGGGTGCTGCATTCCACTGACCAGTCTGACGGTTTCACTCATGGAATTTCTGAAACAGAAAGTCTCTTGATACAATAAAATCACTATAAAGTTTTTTTTTTTCAGTCACAGATCTCCAATACTTTTACTTTTCAAGTCTAATATATTACATCATTTAAAAAAAAAAACAGGTAAAGTATCTTTAAAAATCGAGTTGTGTTCAAAATTGGAAAATAATTTATAAAACGACATTATGCCTTTATATTTTACTAAAGGTCATCTAAAAATACCATGTAGAAAATACTACTAGGTAATCTGTGTTAAAACCAATAGTATAAGTGGATATTGAATATAATGGATGATATTTTTAATGAAGTTATAATAAATCTTTCTAGGTGTTCAGCTGTACAGTAAAGGACTAGTGCCAAACGCAATCATTTCCTATAGGCACACTCACACACACACAGACTTGTCCGCTTTGTAGCTGCACATATAGATGATTTCACTCATACAGCATATAGTAGGAGGCTAATGGCTTTGTGACCCTGAGGACAGGGGTCACAATTCTGATTTCCTACGAGTGCATTCAACAGTTATGGTTCAATTTGGAGGAATAAATAAATAAGTTATTTCACTGGAGTCAAATGTAGTTTAAAAAGTAAGAGCTTTACCAAAAGAAAAAAAAAAAAGAGACTCAAATTACTTAAAAATAACACTATATGTCAGACAGAATGTTAAGTATAACATTTAAAAAATTATGTTTGAGTTACATGAGCAGTGAAGACTTAAAAGTAGTTACAAAATATCTCAAGTGCTTTTGAATCAATGTCACGTGTTGATTAAAATTTCTTTCAATGGCACATATGCTCAAGAAAATTCCTGTGGGGCTAAGCTTTTCCACTTAAACTCAAATTAAGCATAACATTTTAATATAACTAAAATAATACCAAGACCAAAACCTCACAGAGTATGTAACGTTGTCACATATTTGTATTTAAGAAATTCTGCTTCCCAGAAGCATGAACTTGCTTAGGTATAAATGTCTTTTTAATATACCAAAGATTGAGTCACTTAATTTGCTCCTACTCAGTCATTCATTCATTTGCCTGTTCATTCTGCTAACATTTATTTCATAAGTGCTGTGAGCCAGGGAATATTAGGGATATAAACTTTGCAAGAAGAATGAAATATCTGCCCTGTGGAGATGAATTGTCTAGCAGGAAAGCAACGTGACAGAAGCACGACTAGAGCTCTACAAAGAAAGATGCATTTAGCTGAGTGTCAAAAAATGAAGAGGAGCCTATGGGGATAGAATTGTGGTTGAAGGAGGTCATAGTTGGTTTAGGAAACAGGTCAAGTGAAAAGAGGGCTGGACAGAACGCTTGAAAAGAATACCTTTTAAGGGACGATGGAAGGAGAGCAAGTGAAGATAACTAAATGGAAGCAGAGGCCAAAGAATACCAGGAGTGAATGGTGTATCAGAAATCTTAAAAGGGAAGTTTTGAGATGGAGAAGTGGGAAGAGGCATCAACTGCTACAGAAAAGCTACATGCTTTCTAAGATCTCTTTCTGCTAAAAAAAATTTCTTTGATTCCTTAAGAATATAAAAATCCACAAAGAAACAAACTACCCTTTCCATTAAAGGCAAATATTTTCTATCTCTTTACATTTTTTTTTTGAAGCTAAATCCTAAAGAAAAAGTTCCAGAGCACTAGTTCAGAAACTTGAGCTCAGTTTTTATATTAACTTACTGTATGCATGACATTTATTCTCAGTAAGTGGGAGTTTGCAAGGATTGTTAACTCCTCTAAGAAAGGGATTCTATGGATAATACAACTGGACAGCTAGGACGTCCTGACAACTAGTTACATCTTTAGATGTCCTAGTACTACTGTTAAGTAAAACATGCAAAGCACAAAAGAGTATCTAGAATATGCTACCCGTCACATAAGAAAGAAAGGGACTTCAGAAAATATGGGCTGGGTGCAGTGGCTAACACCTGTAATCCCAGCACATTAGGAGGCCAAGGCGCGTGGATCACCTGAGGTCAGGAGTTCGAGACCAGCCTGGCCAACATGGAGAAACCCCATCTCTACTAAAAATACAAAAGTAGCCAGGCATGGTGTCAGGTGCCTGTAATCCCAGCTAGGCGGGAGGCTGAGGCAGAAGAATCGCATGAACCCAGGAGGCAGAGGTTGCGGTGAGCCAAGATTGCACCAGTGTACTCCAGCCTAGGCAACAAGAGCAAAACTCCATCTCAAAAGAAAAAAAAAAAAAGAAAGAAAAGAAAAAGAAAATACGTATATGCAGAAGAAATACAGGAAGAACAAACCGGAAGCTAACAGAATTGGTTACCAAGAGGGAATGGGTGGGAAACAGCTGGAAAGAAGGGGAGGATGGGAAAGTGGTAGCAAGGATGAAGAAGCGATATACACATGCTCTGCCCCTTAGAACCATAGTATTCATATACCCAAAATACAAACAATTTAAATCAACCAGGATATAGGAGGAATATAAACATTAACAAAGAATCTAGCTGGATCCTAAATGAGTAATATCAGCCATAATGAAAAGAGTAGGGAAAAAGAGAACTACACTAAGAAACTATCTGGAAAAGAGTATCTGGGCTGGATACTGTAAAGCTAGAGATAAAAGGAACTTTACATAAACTTGTCAGTAAATGTCTTTCTCACAGGGATACGAGCTAACAATTTGAAACCACTTTGTGTGTACTTATATGCATACTCAAGTGAAACCAATAAGTAAATATGTTATAGATACAGATAATAAGAACCAGGTTTTTCCCTGTTGGAGGAAGAATTTTCAAATAAGACAAGGGGGAAAGTTAAAAATTAACTCTGTAGTGTTCAGTCCAGCCAGAATCCAAAATATCTGCATAATCTCATGGTTTAACACAAGAGTAGGTTGACAGACACGGAACTACAGACTCATGTACATGCATGGGTTGGTATACATATGTATATTCCCTAGCTCTGTCCAGTAAGAGGCCTAGAGGTAACGGCACCGCGGTAGTAATGAGCATACCTAGTGCCCAAAGGTTGGTTTTCAAATACCTTTCTCAAGAAAAAGGAACCAGGGCTCACTGAGGGCAGAGAAAATACAAGATGACCCTAGAAGATAGAGCAGTACCATAAATTTTTAAAATGCTCAAAAAAAGATGAGGGCTTGTTGAGAGAACAAAGATGCCAACATGAAGGAGCTCAGAATGACCATACCTGAAACAATTTGAGCAGCAAAATAAATAAGGAGAGTGTTGGACTGTAACCTATGGAATAAGTATCCATGAGTCTGAACTGATCTAAATAAATAACTAAATAAATAAATGGGAGAGAAAAGATAGTTGGTCCTGACAGCAGAATTCCAATGAACAAATATGGAGGGAATTATTTCGAAATATAAACATCGGGGCCAGGCGTGGTGGCTCACGCCTGTAATCCCAACACTATGGGAGGCAGAGGCAGGAGGACTGCTTGAGCCCAGGAGTTTGAGATCAGCCTGGGCAACATGGCAAAATCCCAACTCCAAAAAAAATAGAAAAATTAGCTGGGTGTGGTGGCATGTACCTGTAGTCCCAGCTACTCAGGAGGCTGAGATGGGAGGATCATTTGAGCCCAGGAGGTTGAGGCTGCAGAGAGCTGTGATTGCACTACTGCACTCCAGCCTGGGCAACAGAGCTAGACCCTGTCTCAAAAAAATAAATAAATAAATACATAAAAATAAAAATTAAAAAAAAATCAGCATTTGGCAAAAACCACTTTCTTGTTACAGGCAAGAAACATCAATGGATGCTAAAATGAATGAGCAGAAGGTTGAAATGGATACTTACATAGTCTCAAAGTACCTTCTCCAAAATACTAACCACAAAGGGAAATACAGTAACTTTAAAGTAGAGATAGCAATAGGAAACCACCATAACCGAGTGATCACAGCCAACATCATCAGTAATATCTTACCAATCTTATATAATAATATATATAATTATATTATATAACATATTATAATATATAATATCTTCTTATCAAAATGTGGAACTTCCATCCAACCAAACCCAAATCAAAAGGTATTAACTGATTAATGCTCTTGGAAAATGTCAAGGTCATGAAAGACAAGGGAAGATGAACTACTGCAGACTGCAGAAGGCTAAAGAGAAAAAATAACTAAATGTAATGTGCGATTGTGGATGGGATCCTGGAATAGAATAGGCCTTGGTGGAGAAACTGATAAATTTTGAATAGGTCATTAATTTAGTTGATTGAATTGTATCAATGTTAATTTCCTGGTTCTGACAATTAAACCATGGTTATATAAATTAGAGAAAGATGGGTGAAGAATGTATAGAAACTTCCCATACTATTTCTGTAGCTTCTGAGGTCTAAAATTAGATCGAAATAAAAAGATTTTTAAAAAGGTTGCGTTACATGATCCAGTCTATTTCTAAAAGGATTCTATTCATTTAACTAAACTATTTGAAGAGCTAAACTATTCATCTAGCATCATAAATATTTCAATCATGAGTTCAGATTATGAAGATTTTTTAAAATGCAAAGAGAAAAATTGAAGAAATATAAATTTGCAGTTATAAGTTAAGTGCCTTTAATCTCTAGACATCAGGTATAATCACCTTCTGTTTGATCTAACCTTGTTTAATTCTCCAGTCCTAAAGAACTCACCTTGACATTCTTGTTTGTCAAGGGTTCTATCGGTTGGGACAGTGCTCTGAAATGTTAGGTTATGGAAACATGACACTATGGTTTGTTATCTCTGCTCCAGGCATTGAAAGCTATTAATTATCTGCATAAGTCAATCATTCTCATTAGAAATTTATTGTTCAACATTCTAAGGACACAATTATCTCCTCTCTGCTCCAACTCTGTCCAGTCTCTCTGAGAGTAAAAGATGGGAATGAAAAAGAGGTAGTCACACATATTACGTTCAAAATGGTTTCATTCCATCAAAAAGAATTTCCTGCATCAGGTCTGCTTGTATTATAGTCTTACAATGCTACACATATTTATTCCTCTAGTACTTTTCATAAAAGTGTTATATATTATTTCATATTCTTTTTATATTTTATAAATATAAGAACACACCTGGCTCTGTCAAGTAACTGACAAATCTCTTTAAAAGATGCCAAAACATTTTTTCTTTTCCAGCTCTAAACAATTAAAAACTTTAGACATGTTTGCAGTTTTTGAATATTAAAAGTTGCTGTATTTATGGTCCCCTATTTGTAAAATGAATCTAGAACGGGATTCTTACCCTCATGCAGAAATCTTGCAATACAGTGCTTGCACACCTGAAGTCACAAATTTAGGATAAAAAAAATCACATAACACACAAACGCTACTTTTCCATACTTACTTCATTTCATTTACTTGTCTCAGAATCTCATGCTGAGTTTTCACAACAGTATCCAGTTCTTGTTGAGTAATCTGGAGGAAGAAACAATGACGAGCAAGCTGAATAATCCACATTCTATGAGCACATAGTACAGTTGCCCTTCTTCTTTACTTCCCTTCCAGCAAAGGGTAAATGGGGCACATCTGCATATTCTGCAAGCCCACCTGCCCATGCTGCCCAGGCATTCCTGCTCCTCTTTTAGAGATTTCCTCTGTTAAGGAAGAGACATATCTTCTCTGTTCATCAAGAATCATATCTAACTGCCGGTTCAGCTGCTTGATTTCAAGATGAATACGATTCTGTCCTTCAAAGACTTGTCTTAGCTCTCGATCTCCTACACTCTCAAATATTTCCTCCGCTGAAAAGGAAATAAATAAAAATGATCAGAGTCACCTACACATATGTAGTTTTTGAAATAACGTAAGTGACCAAAGTGCCAACATTCAGCAAAATTAGGACATCACCATCACAGTGGTACAATCTCCCAAACAGAAAATATGCAAATAATTAATTCAATAATGATTAAATTATTTGTTTTCTGCCATTTCAGGTGATTGAACACTTATTATAAACTGGGTTTAAATTTTTTTATTTAAAAACAATTTTTCTTGGATAATCTCAGGAGGGATCAAAATGGCTAACCAGATGCAAGTAGTATGTACCTCCTCCACGGAGAAAAACCAGAGTAGTAAGTAGATACTTGCATTTCAAATAGATTGCCTAGGAGAGAATGCTAGGATTCATCAGAGAAGAAATGGGAAGCACCAAAATAAGGAGAGAGTTTGAGGCAGCTTGCCCAGCCAGGAGCTGACTGAGCACCAGAAGGGCTCCTAGATGATGGGAAACAGTAAGAGAGAAAACCCCAGGGCCCTGCAGTCCAAAATGGGCTTTTATGATCCTGGCTACAGGAGAAACCTCTGACCCACTAGGGCTGTGGGCTGGACATATGGAACTGCCTAAATATTGCACAGAGATGTTGCTCCATAAAGGGAAACCACATGGAATCCCACAGGCATTTGAGCCTACAACAGCTCCAGTTGGGCACCACTGTTGATAGCCTAGATACTGGGGATCTACAGACATGGCTGCAGTCGCTGCAATGTTCCAAGGAGAGAAGGGGGGACACTGGTCACTCCCATGCACCCCTAGGAAGGTCCCTCCTGCCTTGCTGAAGGGTGCTGCTGATACTGAGACATGAGTAGACAGCACTCCCCACAGCTTCTTGCCCATGCTGCTTGCCTGGAAGGGACCCTACCCTCTCTGGTCCCAGACCCAAGGTGAAACACTGAGAGTTTAATGGAGGGTTGTGCCCCACCCTCAGGCTATGTTTGGGCTGACAAGGCTGTAGCTACCACCTGGCCAAGGAGAGACAGGAAACAGGCTCTCCTATGCATATCTAGGACAATACCCACTGCCCTGCAATGGGCTCTTGTGAAACTGAGATGTGAGCAGACTGCACTCCTTACAGCTTCTTGCTCATGACACCTGACTAGGAAGGGCCCTGCTCTCCCTGGTCCCAGGCACAAGGCACAATTTTGAGAGTTTCATGCTGGGCTGTGCCCTATCCTTAGTCCGAGTTCAAGTTCATATGGCTGCAGTTGTTGTCTGGCTAAGGAGAATAACTAAGAAAATAATTGATGAGAGCTTCCCAAGTCTAGCAAAAGAGTTAGATGTCCAGATACAGGAGGCCCAGCAATCCCCAGAAAAATATATTGCAAAAAGGGTTTCACTACAGCATATTGTATTCAGAATGTCTAAAGTCAATGTGAAATAATTTTAAAATTAGCAAGAGAGAAGTATTTAGTCACTTATAATGGAAATTCCATCAGATTAACAGCAGACTTTTCAGCAGAAGCTTTACAGGCCAGAAAGGAATGGGCATTCTCAAAGTGCTAATAAAAGAAAAAAAAAAACTGTCAGCCAAGAATTTTATATCCTGCTAGAATCAGCTTCACAAATGAAGAAGAAATAAAGCCTTTCCCAGACAAGCAAATGCTGGGGAAATCCGTCATTACCAGACCAGCATGACAGGAAATGCTCAAAGCGGTCTTAAACATGGAAACAAAAGGGCAATATTCACCATGATAAAAACAGAAATATAAAATAAAAGTTCTTATAAAACAATCACAGAGGGGAGGAAGATGTAAGAATCAAATGGCAACATGACAGAATTTCATCAAATGACAAAGACAAAGATGGAAAAAAGAAAGGAACAAAGAATTTATAAGACAACTTGAAAATAATGAACAATATGACAAGAACAAAGCCTCATATATCAATATTAACCTTGAATGCAGATGGATTAAATGTTCCACTAAAAGATACAGACTGGCAGAATGGATTAAAATACATGGCACAACTATATACTGCCTACAAGAAACTTAGGTTATTCATAAAGACACACATAGACTGAAAGTAAAGAGGTGGAAAATAATAGTCCAAGCAAATGGAAACCAAAAGTGAGAGGAGTAGCTGTACTTATATGAGATAAAACAGACTTAAAAAAGAAAAGACAAAGAAGGTTATTATATAATGATAAAGGGATCAATTCACCAAGAGGATATAACAATCCTAATTTATATGCACCCAACATTAGAGCATCAAAATTCAGAAAACAATTATTACGAGACCTAAAGAAAGAGAAAAACAGTAATACAATAATAGTGGGAGAATTTAACACCACACACACAACACTAGATAGATCGAGACAGAAAAATAACAAAGAAACATTGGGCTTAAATTGGACTTTAGACCAAATGGACTTAGACATTTACAGAACTTTCTACAATAACTATGGAATATACATTCTTTTCACCAGCACATAGAAGACTCTCCGACACAGGACTACATATTAGGCCACAAAATAAGTCTTAGCAAATTTTTGAAAATCAGAATCATATCAAGTGTCTTAGACCACAATGGAATGAATCTAGAAATCAATACTAAGAGGAACTTAAGAAACTAAACAAACACATGGAAATTAAACAGCATGCTCCTGAACATTCACTTTGTCAATGAAGAAATTAAGACACAAATGTAAAAATTTCTTGAAATGAATGAAAATGGAAACACCAAACCAAAACTGAAAAAAGCAGTGTGAAGAGGGCAGTTTACAGCATTAAATGCCACATCAGAAAGTGGAAAGATCGCAAACAATCTAACATTATTCCTCTGCAAACTAGAAAAACAAGAACAAACCAAACCCAAAGTTAGCAAAGAAAAGAAATAACAAACATAAGAGCAAAGCTAAATGAAATAGAGACCAAAAAAATTAATAAAGGATCAACAAAACAAAAAGTTGCTTCCTTGAAAAGATAAACAAAATTGATAAACCACTAGCTAGACTAGGCAAGAAAAGAAGAGAGACGATCCAAATAAACACAATCAGAAAAGAAGGAGACATTACAACAGATTCCACAAATACACAAAAGATCGTCAGAAACTATTTGAACACCTATATGCTCACAAACTAGAAAACCTAGAGGAAATGGATAAGTTCCTGGAAACACACAACTTTCTGAGACTGAAACAGGAAGAAACAGAACTCCTGAACAGATCAATAATGAGTAGCAAGACTGAATCAGTAGTAAAAAAAAAAATCTCTTAACAACAGCCGGGACTAGATGGACTTATAGCTGAATTCTATCAAACATATCAAGAAGAACCAATTCTCCTGAAATTATTCCAAAACACTGAGGAGAGAATTCCCCCTAACTCATCCTATGAGGGCGGTATCACCCTGATACCAAAACCAGACAAGGACACAAAAAAATAGAAAACTACAGACCCATATCCCTGATGAACAAAGATGCAAAAATCCTCTACAGAATACCAGCAAAATGAATCCTACAGCACATCAAAAAGATAATACAGCACGATCAAGGTGGGATTTATCCCAGGGATGCAAGGAGGGTTCAACATATAAAAATCCATATATATGATACACCACATAAACAGAATTAAGAACAAAACACATGATCATTTCAACAGACTCAGAAAGGACATTCAATAAAATTCATCATCCCTTCATGATAAAAATCCTCAATGAACACACCTCAACATTAGGCCACATATGACAAACCCACAGCCAACCTCACACTTAACAGGGAAAAGTTGAAAACATTCCCTTTAAGAACTGGAACAAGACAAGGATGCCACTTTTATCACTCTTACGTGTAATAACATAATACTAGAAGTCTTCACCAGAGCAATCAGGCAAGAGAAAAAAATAAAAGGCATCCAAACTGGAAATGAGTAAGTAACATTATCCCTGTTTGCTAATGATATGATCTTATATCTCAAAAATCCTAATGACTCCACCAAAAAACTCTTAGATTTGATAAATGAATTCAGTAATGTTTCAAGATAAAAAATTAATGTACAGAAATCGGTAGCATTTTCATATACTGATAATGATCTAGCAGACCAAATCTAGAAGGCAATTCCATTTACAACAGCTAAAAAAAAAAAAAAACACCTAGAAATATATTTAACCAAGAAGGGGAAAGCTCTCCATAAGGAGAACTTCAAAACAACGATGAGAGAAATGGTAGATGACACAAACAAATGGAAAAGTATCCCATGCTCATGAATTGGAAGAATCAATATTGTTAAAATGACCATACTGCCCAAAACTATCTACTAGTTCTAGACACTCCCAATCAAATTACCAATGTCATTTTTCACAGAATTAGAAAAAAAAAATCCTAAAACTCATATGGAAAAAAAAGGGAGCCCAAATAGCCAAAGCAATGCTAAGCAAAAGGAATAAATCTGGAGGCATCACATTACCTGACTTCAAATTATACTACAAGGCTAAAGTAACCAAACCAGCATAATACTGGTATAAAAACAGACACATAAGTCAGTGGAACAGAACAGAGGACCAGGAAATAAACCCACATACCTACAATCAACTGATCCTCAACAAAGTCAACAAAAATAAACACTGGGGAAAGGACATCCTATTCAATAAACGGTGCAGAAAAAATTGAATAGCTATATATAGAAGAATGCAAGTGGACCCATACTTCTCACCATATGCAAAAATTAACTCAAGATGGATTAAAGACCTAAACATAACACATGAAACCATACAAATCCTAAAAGAAAACTGAGGAAAGACTCTTCTGCATATTGGCCTAGGTAAAGAACTTAGACCAAGTCCTCAAAGGCAAACACAAGAAAAACAAAAATAGACAAATGGGACTTAAACTAAAAAGCTTCTACACAGCAAAAGAAACAATCAACACAATAATCTAACCTACAGAATGGGAAAAAATATTTGCAAACTATGCATCCAACGAAGGGCTAATATCCAGAATCTACAAGGAACTCAAACAACTCAAGAGAAAAACAAAAAGCCCATTAAAAAACTGGGCAAAGAGCATGAACAGACATTTTTCAAAAGAAGACACGCAAGTGGCCAACAAATAAATGAAGAAATGCTCAACATCACTAATCATCAAAAAAATCCAAATTAAAACCACAATGAGATACTATCTTACACAAGTCACAATGGCCATTATTAAAAAGTCAAAAGACAACAGATGTTGTCAAGATGTGGAGAAGAGGGAATGCTTATATGCTGTTGGTGGGAATGTAAATTAGTACAACCTTCATGGAAAACAGTATGGAGAATTCTCAAAGAACTAAAATTAGAATTACCGTTTGATCCAGCAATCCCACTACTGGGTGTTTACCCAAAGGGAAAGAAATCATTATATCAAAAAGATACTTGCACTTATACGTTTATTGCAGCCCTATTTACAATAGCAAAGATATGGAATCAACCTAAATGCCCATCAACAGAGAACTTGATAAAGAAAATGTGGCGTGTGTGTGTGTATATATGTATGTATATACTATAGACTACTACTCAGCCATAAAATAAGAATGAAATTATGTCTTTTGCAGCAACATGGATGGAACTGGAAGTGATTATCCCAAGTGAAATGACTTAGAAAGTCAAATACCATACATTCTCACTTATAAGTAAAAGCTAAACAATGGGTACACATGGACAAATGGAGTGGAATAACGGACACTGGAGACTACAAAAGGTGGGAGGGGAATGAAGGTTGAAAATTACCCACTGAGTACCAGGTTCATTAGGGTGAGAGTACACTAAAACCCCAGACTTCACCACTATATGACACAAGCATATAAGAAATCTGCACTTGTACTCTTCCTAAATACATAAAAAGTTAAATAAAATTAAAATGGAAAAATATTTCTCTTTCATTACACTGTGTGATTCTACTTATAAGAATAGGCAGAACTAATCTACAGTGATAACAATAAGAATAGTGATGGGCTCTGTGGAGAAGGTTGTTGACTTTAAGGAGGCATGAGGGAACTTTCTGGGATGATAAAAATGTTCCGTGTACTGATCGGGGTGATGGTTAAATGGGTATACACATTTGTCAAAATTTACTAAACAATACTTTTCAAACACTAAAGTCAGCTTCAGGATATACTCACAAATTTTATGTGATGATGTTTAAAACAAATTCAAAATAAGAATGACCTTTATGTTTCATTTTTAAATTCATTAAGTCTGACTCATACTGTTGATCATTAAGAGAACTGCATACTACATAGAGTTCAAATGCTAGCCACAGCCTTTATTAAGTACACCTTTGATCACTTATGCTGACTGGGAACAATTCAGATAAAAAGCTAGCAGATAATATAAATTCCCTCAATTTGGCCTTAAAATGTTTTATTTTTGACATTAGCACACTCACGTTCTTAATAACATTGGGTTAGACTAGTATTTTATAATTTTCAAGTATACAGTCCAGGATTCTATCGAGTAGTATGGGGAGGAGAAGCAGATATGTCACATTACTTTCACAACAGTTTTGATAGATTTTAAGGATTATCTCCACACTATAAGGTAATTATGTGTCACTAAAACCAAAAATATACACTTTTGATGATTTCAGTCAAAAAATATTTACTGAACCTGAACTACTAGGTTAGCATTGTTTTGGATTTATTTTTAGGCTTAGTGGTCACAGCAATGAATATTAACAAAATCCCTGTCCTCATGGAGCTTTCACTCTAGCGGTCCCATTCCTCCAAATAACCATGGTACTCTTTATTTCATACATGACTAAGCCACATTCTCACTGGTAAAAATGCCAATCTCTTGACTCTTAAAGACTAAAGATTTGCTCCTAAATTGTTTCCAGAAATCACTTGGAATGTGCCTGTTCAGAGAGCAGGGATGAGCTAGGCAACACAGAGACTCAAGCGTCCATGATCAACAGCCTCAAGCCCTGCTGCGGCACCCATGTCAGCTTTGCTACAACTCACCAGGCTGCCCTTGGAGGTCGGGGTGGCCCTTCTGGAATTCCTCTTTTTTTTTATCCAATTCTTGTTGAAAGTGCTCAAATTCCTCCTGATACTTTTCTTTTTCCTTTTCCGAAATTTCTTTATCTGGTGTGGGCTTTTTTTTGGAGTTTTGGAATAGATCATTAAAAAGATAAGAAAATCATTAAGATATCTCTATACATGTTATTTTTCTCATTTTAACTCTTCTACCACTAGCGGAAAGGTTAACATAAAAATGTATTCCTTCTTTACTTAAACGATAGCAAATTACTCTTTTTTTTTTTTTTTTTTTTTTTTTTTAGAGACAAGAGTCGCGCTCTGTCACCCAGGCTGGAGTGCAGTAGCGTGATCTCGGCTCACTGCAACCTCTGCCTCCCAGGTTCAAGCAATTCTCCTGCCTCAGCCTCCCGAGTAGCTGGGACAACAGGCACCTGCTGCCATGCCCAGCTAATTTTTTTTGTATTTTTTAGTAGAGATGGAGTTTCACTGTGTTGTCCAGGCTGGTTTTGAACCCTTTAGCTCAGGCAATGCACCCGCCTCGGCCTCCCAAAGTGCTAGGATTACAGGCGTGAACCACCGCGCCTGGCCCTTTTTTCTTTTTTGAGATGGACTCTTACTTTGTTGCCCAGGCTGAAGTGCAGTGTCTTGATCTCAGCTTACTGCAACCTGTCCCTCCCAGGTTCAAGCGATTCTCCAGCCTCAGCCTCCTGAGTAGCTGGAACTATAGGTGTGCACCACCACACCCAGCTATTTTTTGTATTTTTGTAGAGATGGGGTTTTGCCATGTTGGTCAGGCTGGTCTCAAACTCCTGACCTCAGGTGATCTGCCCACCTTGGCCTCCCAAAGTGCTAGGATTACAGGCATGAGCCACCACACCCGGCCTACTCTTGCCTCTAATAATAACCACTACCATTTACTGAGCACTTGCTATACGTGCACTGTCTCAATCCTTCAATATCATGAGGTGGCCAGTACAAACATTTCTGTTTTAGCAATTAAGAAATGAAGCGTGGCCGAGCGTGGTGGCTCACACCTGTAATCCCAGCACTTTGGGAGGCCAAGGCAGGCGGATCACAAGGTCAGGAGATCGAGACCATCCTGGCTAACATGGTGAAACCCCGTCTCTAGCAAAAAATACAAGAAATTAGCCGGGTGTGGTGGCGGAAGCCTGTAGTCCCAGCTACTCAGGAGGCTGAGGCAGGAGAAGTGCAGTGTCTTGATCTCAGCTTACCGCAACCTCTCGCTCCCAGGTTCAAGTGATTCTCCAGCCTCAGCCTCCCGAGTAGCTGGAACTACAGGTGTGAACCCGGGAGGCGGAGCTTGCAGAGAGCAGATATCGCGCCACTGCACTCCAGCCTGGGAGACAGAGCGAGACTCCGTCTCAAAAAAAAAAAAAAAAAAAAAAAAAAAAAAAAAAAAAAAAGAAATGAAGCATTACAGAGGTTCAGTGACTTGCACAAGACCATATAGCAGTAACTGGCAGAAACAAGATCCAAACCTAAGTTAGTCTTCCAAAACGTTCAGCTAAAAGGCAAACTAAACTGATAAAGTTTTTGAAAATATGTGTAAAATTACCGGCTCTTTTCCAGGTTCAGTCAACTGGAAAGTCAGAAAAGAAAGGACATCATGGTCATCTACAAATTAAAAAAAAAAAAGTCTGAAAAAGTTCCATAGGAGATTACTTTTATCATTGTAAATGTATTTTATCAATATTTATTGTTTTAAATAACAATAACCAGTGAGGGAATTGACAAAAATTAGCACTAATTTGGTAAAGGCAATGGCACTCTGTGAGCTTAGAGACCAAAATTCACCTGAAAGATTTATATTAGAAATAATCCAAAACTCACTTTTTAAAACCCTAAATCAGAATATTTAGCAGTGTTTAACATATAATAGATGTTTAATCAATGTTTGATAAGAAATGAACAAACAAATGAAGGGTCAAAAGAAGTCCAAACTCCTTATTCTGGTACCAAGATCCTCCATGGTTTCCCACAAATCTCCTTCATGGACAACGTCCCAGACAAATGAGAGAAAATCCTGGTCTCCACATACTGCCGGGTACCTATATGTCTCTGAACCTTTCTTAAGAGTGCATACCACCTTTTGTCTTACTTTCTTATTTGTTTCTCTCACATGGAAGATATTAATAATTTTATCTTACCTAAAATCATATCAAAAAATCAAATTCAAGCTGTTTATGCTAAAAGCACCAGCTCAGCAAATCAAACTTCCTAACCCTTAACTAAAATACCAATCCTGGCTAGTCACATCCACCAATCAAGAGCAATTAATATCAATCGTACAGCAATCTTTATGCTTTGTACTGTTTTTACGGAATCTAGAGATGTAGACAGATTAAAAAGAAAACTATAATACTGTAGTGTAGACTAAGTAACTTAAGAAACTGTGTTGGGTAACAGGGCACTGAACCTGGAGTCAGAAATCCAGGCCGAGTCCTGCCTGGGGCTTACCATCAATTGGCCATACGATCTTCAGAAATTTCTTTCACCTAAAATTTGGCAAGTTCTTCTAAAAATATGGAAAATAGGATCTTCCCTCCCTTCTTCTCTGGGTTGTCAGGAACAATCCATGTATTTGAAAATATTTAAAACTACAATGTGTCATATAAACATAAAATGGCATTGACGTTGAATGGTAATTTATCACCTTATGTGGAAAAAAATGGTAACTATGGTTTTGTTTAAAGTTTAGTCACCAAATAACCTTTCCTTAGGTTGCCAAATTCATTTACATGTGATGTGACAATGATCAGGATCCTAAAACACTTGGCAATTAACCTTTCTGTGGATGTGACTAGCCAAGACTGCTATTTTAGTTAATTGTCATGTGGTTTGATCTCCAGCCTTTAAGCCTGCTGACTTTGATAGCCTCTACTTTAAATATGTCTCCTTCACTATAAAATAGCACCCAAACTGATGCTGTAATTGACACACTTGTATACAGCCCCAGTTAACTGTACACCTACCGAACAATGTAAGTAGAAAATTAGCAATCTCAACAGACCAAAAGACTGGCACAAGAGGTGATGGGAAAGTTCCAAACAGTCTTAAAAAGTTATTAGTATAAACAAGTCTACATATCCCTAATATACTATTCCCAATAAAACACACCTCACAAACTTTTAATATCATCAGACTGCAAGATTTACCTGCAAGACCTCCAGTTGCAGCAGATATTCCAAAATGCCCTTGTGCAGGGATAATCATATTTTCCACTTTGGCACAAAATTCATAATCATTTTTATCTGGTGTAAAGCCATTATTGATCATTACCTAGAAAGACATATCATAGCTATAGCTTTTGCAAAAGACATTAGAAAATAAATTTCAATCGATCCATTTTATGACTACTATTCAGTTTTGTTTCATTATTATAAAGAGTAATTTTAAATAACGTTTCCTACTTGGTGTCAATATACAATATATTTTACTTAAAAAAATGAGTTTTGCCCCACTATGTGTCAAAAGTTTAAAGAGAGAAAAATCTGATAACTTTCTATGAAAACCTTTCTAAAATGGAATATGGTTTGCCTTCTCTCAAGAAGACCTAGGGAGTCATCATTACTCCCTTGGAATGGTTCATGCAGCAGAGGGATCAGACTTGTTCTCAGATCCCAGTGACAGCTAAAACCAAGAGGTTAAATTTACAATTTTATCTGCAGCTGGTTGAGAATTAAACAGATTGTCTCAACAAGTAGTGAGCTCCTCTTAATTAAATTAGTGAGGTATCTGGACTGTCACAGGTTAGCAGAGAACAAAAGTGACAGAAGTCATACTGACAAGGCAGAGAAGGAAAAAACTAAAAAGATGTACGTTTCTACTTTGCAAAATGTATATTTGAAGGAATGATCCTAAATTTCTTAACAGAATCTTAGAATCCTAGGCAAGCACAGGAATCCACCTGACACATGAATGCTTTTCTCATTATCCCAGTCAAGCAGTGGTTCAGCCTCTTCAATACATTTCATTTCTAATAATCCTCTCACGAGTCCCACCCTAAACAACAGTCACTGAGGTTCAGGGTGGTTGCAGGAGAAGGCCCAAGGCACCAGAGTAAGGGAACTTGAGTCATTACTTCTAGAGTCAAAATTTTGTCAGAGACTTAAGATTCAGTCACACAGGCAAAATGTTCTGGTATTCTGTCCAAATTTTCAGCAAGAGAATAAAATCTGTCAATATGAAGAGTTACTCTCTATATACTGTAGAATGGAAACATGTGAACTAAAAATTAGTTTAAAATAATTAATTTTAAAAGATCATTTAGCATTTGGTTCATATTAATATGTTTCCTGTGATTAGTAATATTCCTATTTCATTTTACATCATTTACAACTGGTCCTCCTCCACAGAGCCTTTTAAATTAGAATCAACAATCAGGAAGTTATTTGCCTTTGAGTCTTAAAAAGACTGTAGATTATTACATTCAAATTACAATACTAAAATCCTCCAATTGTTCAGTATTTTTTTCCTTGAATTCTAACAAACTGAAAATCCAGCATGAGTCTTCATTGTCTAGTTCCAATTATTTTTATTTATTTATTTATTTTTTGAGACAGGGTCTCGCTCTGTCGCCCAGGCTGGAGTGCAGTGGTGTGATCTCGGCTCACTGCAAACTCTGCCTCCAGGGTTCACGCCATTCTCCTGCCTCAGCCTCCCGAGTAGCGGAGACTACAGGCTCCCGCCACAAAGCCTGGCTAATTTTTTTGTATTTTTAGTAGAGGCGGGGTTTCACCGTGTGAGCCAGGATGGTCTTGATCTCCTGACCTCGTGATCCGCCCGCCTCGGCCTCCTAAAGTGCTAGGATTACATGTGTGAGCCACCGCGCCCGGCCCCAATTTTTTTTTAAAGGACGTAACACATTTCATTGTACTGTGAGTTAGCAGGAATGTTAGGAAGGACTGTAACTGAAAGCCTAGGTACAAACTGTCCACTGATTATTACTTCTTTATGAGATCATCAATAACCTTCCTTATTCACCTTATGGTTTCAAACCATTGTTAAAGACTACACTTGCAATATTTAAGATCTCTTGCTTTGGCTGTGTTTCCCCCACCAACAGCACTTATTGCTTTCAACCTCCTCTTACTTTGTTTTTCCCTCCAATGTGGAAACAACTGGGACAAGCTAGGGTGCAAGTACTCATGAAAATAAATACTTCTTGAGCACTTCACATTGGCACAATATTAGGAACTAGGAGAAATACAGGATATGCCTATTGTGAGAAGTTTACAATCATATTGATAAGAAGAGATATACATATAGTTAATAAGCAAATCAGTACAACATATCTCAAGGCCAAATAAGCATTAGAGAAAAAAAAATACTCTAAGAGTTTAGGAGAGACAGATCATTATGAGCTGTTTAGGAAATCTGATAGAAAAGGGATCTGAATTTGTGTGCTCAAAGCTAAGTATGACTTTAACAAGTAGAAAGAAAAGGAATTATTACCAGACTGAGATGTACAGAGAGGTGAAAACCAATAAGTAGCAGTCACGTGTCCAGCCAGTCTCTTCAAAACGTGTACCTGAAAACACTAGCTCCATGATCACTCATAGACATTAGGTGAAAAAAAATTCCATAGTTAAGTCAGTCTGGGAAATGTGAGGTCTAATAAAGGTTTATTTATCCTTTCTTTATAAAGGATCCTTCATAAAGAAATCTTTAATGTGCTAATATGCAGAGTAGTGACCAATCTCATCAATTGTGGAACCCTTTCTGGGGAGTACGTTTTGCAAGGCTATTGTTTTGGAGTGCTGCCAGGGCTCACAGCCTCACGGTGTTGGGTCACACGGACAGTCTGCACCCACCATGCTTGATGTCTGGGCTTTGCTACATGCAGGTAAGCAAGACTTACTGATGACTCTAATGAAACTGTACAGGGTGAATAATTATAGTGGAATTCAAACCCAAGCTAATTATAATACATTGGACACTTGCTCTATTCTAAGATCTCTAAATTAGCTTGGAATTAAGACTAAGCCAATACAGTTTTCCACAGAACTAACTTTCTCAGAGATTTAGACCCAGGAGTGTAAGTCTAGCTCATGATTTAGGTGAAAGAAAAATTCATACACTATTTTTTTTACTTTTAAGTATTATATAACCAGGTATTAATGGCATCTTTAAAAAGCAAAGTTTACAATGCATAGTGATCTTAGTTATCATAACTGCCAGTTAGATATCTCCACCTATATGTTATGCTAACCTCAATTTACCTACAACTAAACTCATTACCAACCCTCTGATTTCCCATTCCTCCCCCAAACAGATAAAACACAAACAAATGTGCTGCTTCTTTGCTAGTAAATAGTACCAATTAGCTGTCCAATTGGCTATATTCAGGAACTCTCCTTGACTCAACAACTGTGTTCACCCCTAACCCCAAGAAAACTGGTACTAAGAATACTGGGACCTAAGTCATCTTTCTAAATTGCAAATCTGATAATTTCACTTCCTGCTTAAAACCCTTTAAACATTTTTAAAAGCTTCTTATGGGTTAAACTACAGGAAGCTGTGCAAGGCCTGTTACTGCCCTTTCAACCTCACTGCTCACTGATCTCTTCTATCTCCCAGCCACACCAAACTACATGCCTTTCCAAAATATTTCAAGCTCTCTCAAGGGCCTATGCCTGCTTTCTGTGCTTGGAGTACACCCACTCACTCGCACACACACACACCCTCTTCCCCCAACTCCCAGGAACTTCCTGATCTCCCTGTAGGGCACAGCTCAACTCTGAGAAAATGTTCCTGCCCTTCCCCACCTCCACCTGGCAGTTACAGGATTCTAACCACAGGACCGCTTGATAGTGTCTGCAACGCAGCATTTATCACACAGCATAGGAATGATACATTTGTGTGTCCTCTGTTAGGCTATAAGCTCTCTGGGGAGAAAGTCCATCTGTCTTACTCATATTTGTATCCTGAAGGCTTGGAGATTATCCGTCTATCTATCTATCTACCTATCTATCTATCTATCTATAGATATATATATCTCTCACATGTGCTATACAGTAGGGGGCTTAAACATTTACTGACTAAATGGAAACATACCATCAGGGGTTTACAACAGATGACCACTTACACTGAGCTGTGAAGCCACCTCCGTTCTCTTAGAGTAACAATGAAGAGTATGTAAGCATATCCAAATTTAAGTGCATTTAATTTCTATCAAAAATTCAAAATGAAAAGTGATACTGTAACATTGTTTATTTGATTCTCTCTAAATAGATGTTACTTACTGTCAGTGTGTTCTGGTAATAGGTAATCTTTGCTCGGACAGGATAGGGTTTGTTGCGGAAGTCCCTCTGGCAACTTGCCAAAGCTTGACTAGCCCCGTCACTATAGTGTAAGGGGGAGGAAAACAGACAAGACACTCAGCTTTTCAATATTTAAAAATTCAGGAAGACTAAAATAATATCAAGTTATGAAAAAGTCTTGAGATACTTTATGTTATTTACTCAAAAGACTACACGAGACTACATGAGACTAAGGCAGTGAATCTCTACCCTAGGGCAGAACATGAATCACTCTCTGGGCTTTTAACATGTAGATTCCACTCCAAATCAACTGAAGCAGAATCAAAAGGAGGTGGCCTAGGCACCTCCATTTTAAATAGCTCCATAGGGAGTTATGATGAACTACCAGGGCTGAAACTCACTAAGGCAGAAAAACAGTAAACAGGCACATGGATAAGTCACCTTTCTTACAGTTCACTGGTTAAAAGCTATTTCCTCCACAACAAACACGTGAAAATAAAAAATGTACATACCTAATTTATATACATTATAAATATACAGTCATCCTTCAACATCCATAGGACATTGGTTCCAGGACCCCTGTGGATACCAAAATCCTCAGATGCTGAAGTCCCTTATATAAAATGGCACAGTATTTACATATAACGTGTACATATCCTCTTGTATACTTTAAATCATCTCTAGATTACTTATCACACCTAATATGATGTAAATGCTTTGTAAATAGTTGTTACAATGTATTTTAAAATTTGTATTCTTGTTGCGTACACAAAATAATTTGTATTATTTTTGATCTGCAGTTGGTTGAATCCACAGATACGGAACCCACAAATACAGAGGGTTGACTGTACTGAACACTTAGAATCTCTGCAAACCACTGAGTCTTTAAATAACACAATATTGAAGTTAAATAAGATGGCATAAATTGCTTAATCATCAGCCTTAATAATCAAGGCTCAACTTTATTTTTTAAAGATCCCTTTTAATGAAGATAAAAATGCATGATTAGTGGCATCACTGAGAGCCAGGAACAGTCTATAAACTTTCAAAAGTATATTATTAAATAATTTGAGGTTAAATTAAAAACACATACCATGGTTGAATCTGAGATGGTCCACAGATAGAACTTCAGAACAGAACCAAATAAAATAAAACCTTTCTACCAAGTTACAAAATATGTCTCAAGAAAAAGAACAGTATTTTTTTCATTTGGAAGGTGTTCAGATTTGAAACAATGTATTTCATAAGGATTCCAAAAAGAAGCTGAAATCAGGAGTAATGTAAAAAACACACACTTACTTTTGATGGTCATAATGGATTTGTCCATTGTTGCCTATAATTACTATAGCAGGATTATTTTTCTAAAAAAAAGGAAAACATTTTAAAAAATGTCTTTAATCAAAGCATTCTACATCATTCTTGATGTACTATGAAGTGACTTACATATCTAAGATTCTAGGACTCAAAATTTTAAAATAACCTGGCCTTGGCACTCAAGGAATTACTAAAGTTCTTTAAATTGCTAACAATAACCCCTGAAAATTAATAGAGAAACAACCAGCTGATGGGAAGATCATCAACCTTAAGGCTGTTAAGCCACAAGCTAATGTTTCCAATTTGTAAGTACATTTTGATCTTAACTGTTTTAGGAGAGATCATCAGAAAAATTGGCCCGATCAAAAAGAATGATTAACATATGACCAGACATGAATATGTGAGCTAGCATTAGTCATGGACTTGGATGTGCTTATGTAAGTGTTTAGTAGAGTCTCCTAAACACTACTGTTTTCACCACCTACGTCTAAGGATTTGTATTTATCCATTAAATAGGGCCATGGGAGCAGGGGTCACTGCAAAGTTCTGAGAGTCAGGGCTCTACTATGCCCTCAAGCTGATGTACAAAAAATCATGCACATGTAAATTAAACTGATACATTCCTAGCTATATAAAGACTAATTATCACATTTACCATATAGCTTGGGGAGTTCTGTACTATCAAACTGATGAAAGCATTGAATAAGCTATTATTTCTCACAGCCTAACTCTGTTGATAGATGTATTAAAGTGGATAACAGTCCTGACAATAAATATACCTTTCCATCATTGTCAAAAGAATCAAAAAATATTCCAACACCATTCCACAGATCAGCTGATCCAAACACAGGGCCCTCCAAGCCTTGAT
The DNA here is from genome assembly GCF_000001405.40 of Homo sapiens. Classification (NCBI taxonomy): domain Eukaryota; kingdom Metazoa; phylum Chordata; class Mammalia; order Primates; family Hominidae; genus Homo; species Homo sapiens. The sequence goes on from NC_000018.10 coordinate 59,355,402, forward strand.
TTTCTGCATACCAAATTGCCTGAAAATATGTAATAGGGAACAGTTAGAGGCTAGTGGTATATGCATTTATGCACATTTTCTAAGTTAAAGAAATGATCATACTAGGCCATCAGCTCCAATTCGACCTCTTCCAGTCACTCGAAATGTCACCTCAACTTCCCAGTTCTCAAAGGCCGCTTTTGTCTTTGTCCACACTGAGCCTCTTTGGCTTTTTAAAGATGGTGCTACTCGAATTTGATCTGAACTTGGAATAGCATCTAGAACAGAAATCAGGGGAAAAAAGCTTTAAGTTATAATTAGGTAAAACTCAATGATCATTTCCAAACTGCTAAATATACCTACAGAGACTTAGTAACCTGTACAATAATGATTTGGAAAAAATTTCATGTTGACAGTTTTAACTTTAAAAGTTTAGGGCTAACACCTCCCTTATCAAATAAAAAAAATTAAAGCTACACTCATACACTAAAAATTACAGGGACAGTGGGTGAGAGAAAGGGAATTATGACTTTAAGGCAAACTATCTGAGTCTCATAACATTCTTTTTAAAAACCTTAAAAATTTGTATTTTTAGAAAAGCTGCAACGTATTTTACCTGTTTGCAAAGGTTAGAAAGCTCAAACAGTGTGAAAAGAACATACCACTAGGAATCAAGAGACTTGTTCCTAGTCTCAGTTCAGCTGTGTGACTTTGAGCAAATAATTCTCTTATTCTCTTGGATTCACCATATGTTTACCTGTAAAATGAAGGAGCTAGGCTCGATCACTTCCATAAACACCCTAAAAGTTATATGCAAAATACTGTACTTATATACATTCTTCCATGGAGAGGGTCAACTGAACTTCAAAAAGCAATTCTTCAGAAGATTCTCAGAGAAAATAGTGATCCCTAAAACGGTGGTTTACATCTCCAGGCTAGGTTCAAGCCCCAGCTCTACTACTTACTAGCTGTTTGATCTGTAGGCAAGTTACTCCATTTCTTGAACAGCCTCATAGGTATTTAAGTGCCTACACAAGTAGCTTTAAATGTTTCAATAAATGTTAGCTATTTCTCCTATTATTAGACTAGGTAATTACTAAAGGTCTATCAGACTTAAAATTTGAACAATTCTAGCTCTCAGATATTAACTAATTCTGAAACCCATGCTGGGAAATACAACTGTAACTGTAATCTCACTTTACAGGTAGAAAAAAGTTGACAAAAAGGAAAGCTGAGATACTTTAGTAGGATCAGTCACTGTTCACTGTTACTTACAAACATTCAAAGGATGGGGTGTGGGCATCATGGAAAGAGACTGAACACAGAATCAGAAGACCTAGATTTGAGTTCAACTTCACTGACACTTACTACTTATGTATCCTTTTTCAAAAACCTTAACCTTTCTGAACATCAGTTTTTCATCTATAAAACAGATAACACCCGCCTTGTCTACTAAGGATCAAATCAGAGAATGAAAGTGAAAGAACTCTGAGAGCTATAAAGGGTTACAAATTATCATTTTTTGCCCTTATGGCCTTAAGTGTACTAAAGGAACATTAGAGTTAAGAAAGAGAAACACCATAGATTTGGTCTTAATTTGGGGTTGAAGGTAAAGGGCTGTGTTTAAACTAGATCTTAAATTTCTCTACTTTTTTTTTAAAGTAATGAATTGCAGAGCAAAACGAAAAGAAAAAAATGATCAATGTAGTTACAGTGAGGCTTATGCAAAAACTACAGTGACAATGAAAGCAAGGGATGTCTATAGCAGAGATTCCCAGAGCCAGTAGCCAGATAAATCATGGCTAAAATACTAATACTTTGTTTCAAATTCATTCTAGCCACACGGCTTTAATTTACTGGTACATTATCTTGACATTTCTGCAGCAGAATAGATTAGTTGGTTCCGGCTCTGTAAAGGAAGTCAAGGTAGCTGATTTGACTAGTTGATTAACATTCCTAATTGGCTAATGTAGTGTATGTGAGTGTGAGAAAAAGAGAAAAGGGATAGAAGAACAGGCAGGCAGTGGAGAGGTGTAGAAGTGAAAATGTGTGAACAAATCCATCACTACTGAATAATTCATCATCCCACAAATAGAAACAAAAACTCCAAAAACTTGTGTTTGATATCATTTGCATCACCTTTGTGTATCAAGAATAGAGATACCTTGATAACAAATGCCCAGTAATATACCCTTGCTGCATGGGCACATAATAAATGACTGCTGAGTAACGAAATAACTGCACTCTACTTCAACTACTTAATGACTTGGTCATTAAGTCAAATTAAAATCTATACCTTTCAATTACACATTAATTTGAGAGAAATAGCGCTTCCTAAAAGGGTGCTTCCTATTCAGTAATTACTTTCTAGAAATGAAACATTTTGTTTCAAGAACTGGATAATCTAAAGTGATGTATAAAAACCTTATATAAAAGATTACTTATGGGGGAGGTGGGAGGGATAGCATTAGGAGATATACCTAATGTTAAATGACTAGTTAATGGGTGCAGCACACCAACATGGCAAATGTATACATACTAACCAACCTGCACGTTGTGCACATGTACCCTAAACCTTATAGTAAAAAAAAAAAAAAAAAAAAAGATTAATCACACACAAAGATAGAATTCAAACTGCCAGAGCTCCTCATCTCATATAAAGGCATTTGCCACTTGTTCAACGGGTATATCTGATGGTCACTGAACAGAGCTTATGTCATGCCAAGTGCTACGATTGACTCCTTAGTCAGCAGTGACACATCAGCACTAAAAAGTGCAGATATGTTTTCTTTCACGTAAGTAAATGCTCTAGCAAGGCTCTCTTATCTACAAAAGTGCCAAACACAGAGAGTGAATAAAATATGAACCCAAGATTATTTCAATGCTTCCAATTTTTTTAAAGGGCTAAAAATGTAATGCTATTCTTAGTCTCAGGTTCAGAAACAATCAATCCCTAAAAATATATCCCTTCTCCTAAAAAGTTACATAATGTGTTACTACGAGAGAAAAGATCAAAGACCACACCAAGTCACTGAGAGGAAAATGTGTAGTTCCAACAGTATAAGAATGTCTTCTGACATACAAAGACTTAAAAAATTACTCTAATACTACTATATGCCATCTCAGGAGCCGTCAGTGGGCATGGGGTTCAAGCGAAGCATTAACCATTGCTAACACCGGAGCAAAGAAATCGGGGATCGGGGGTGGGGGGTGGAAGCGGGAAAGGAAGTAAGGGGGCTTCTAGAACATGTCTCAGGTTGGGATGGCTGGGGGTAGGGCACATTTCTCCTAGAGACGTGGCGTTGTGAAACATGATACCTAGAAGCAAGTTTGAGTGCTAGGAAGTGTAGGAGGTAACCAAACACCTCTAGATCCAACGGAAAGTACCGACGAGATCAAAGAAGGGAAGACAGCAGGCGGGTGAGAGAGAACAGAATGGGTGAGGGAAAGACTCGGGGACAAGCGGAGGGAACCGTGCGAACCAGGAGGGACCCGGCGGAGGGGCTGCCAGGAGGGTCCCCTCCACAGCGCATATGGTGTGCAGCTGCTGGAACGGGAACCTCAGCACACCAGGGTAGCCGCGGATGAAAGGCGAAGAGGCAGCAGAAGGGGGAGAGGAACCCGGCCCCCAGCCCTCTGCTCCGGCTTACTCCCCGCGTGGGCCCAGAAGGGCACGGTCCCGTCGCTCTGCACCAGGTGCGGCCCCTTGAAGCTGTATTTGTACTCGAAACGGCGATGTGGCAACGCGACCGCGGGGTCTCCTCCCACGCCGTCGCCCCGGACGAAGCGACCGAGTGACAGCAGCAAGGCGCAGAACAGCGGCCGAACTCTGGCCCGGAGACCCCTTTGCCTGGATCCCGCCATCTTGGATTCTGGAACGCGGAGGAGGGCGGGAGAGGGAGGGGCGCGGATGGCTGCGGATGGCCAACAGGGCGCTCGCTGATTGGCAGAGCCCGGGGGACCCCCAAGGGCAAGGGGTGAGCCCCGCCCCCGGCCTCCGCTTTCCGCGCGGCCGCACGGCCAGGAGCAGCTGTGGGCGGGGCCACGCGCAGGGGGCGGGTCTGGGGCGGTGCGGTCCTTCGGCCCCGCCCACCCTCCGGGGGTGGGGAAAGGACTCCAACCTTCGCTTCCCGCGCGGCAGAGTGCGGGAAGCGCCGATGGGTCCTTACCTGCAGGGAGCTTTCTCCGGCTTCTTAGAATACCTGGGAGCAGGAATTGGCTAGCCCTAAGACCTCTGGACCCAGCCTGTACAAAACCTTTTTAGTATATTAGAAGAAAGGTGTTCCTTTTGATGTGACATCAGTTTTTCAGTGGCACAATCCCGAATGCTTATGGTCCCAGCCCACTGAGCTCTACCAAGCTATGTTAGAGCGTTGCAAACTAGAAACCAGCACCCACGGGGTTGTAGGATGCCTTAGGATTTATAAGTTGGTGTCGGAAAGAGGGTTTCTGTGAATTTGTCAGCCAGCCTTTACATCTCAAAATTTAATTCCAAGAGCTTTCCAAATTTTGAAACCATGGCAAGAGTGCATTCAAATGAAACTGACTTTGGTTTGGTTTGGTTTTGGTGAGAGGGATAATGTGCTATGGACCCAGGCGTCTGTAGAACCTGGACATTTGATATAGGATCGGTCTTCCACTCAATGAATACGTTCTATATTTTAAAGGGGACTCCTCTTTCCCTTGCTTAGGAAAAAATATCGTCAAAATATTCATGGTAATCCAAAGTTTTGTTTTTTCAAAAATGTGTCATGATGAGTTTTTCAAGTCCAAGAAACAGCAGTATGATTTATATTGTTTTTACACATGGCTTTTTATTAGCTCTGTTCGTGTGGGCTACATGAACGCCACACTAGCCCTAGGGACTCAATACCCGCATTACTTAAACTTATTTTTCATTAACTTCCCAGTTTTGGAAGTTGAATCCCATCTTCGGATTCATGGGCCATTACTGTTAAATCTCTTTCTAGTGCTCAAATAAAACCTTCAAGTTGAATATGGATTTAAGGCTTTCCGCCTGCTAGTCTCGAGATGTAATTTAAATGAAAGTACCATACTTACTGCTATCTCAGCAGCAGCAGTAACAAACATTTATCCACTGTATGGTGTATGTGCGTCATTGCCCTGGACTCTCCATGGTTTTCAACCCATAGGATTTAATCATTTTATTTTCTTTGGTTCTCTCATTGCTCTGGCAACCAGCTCTATGCCTTGCACAGAGTGAAGATTCCATAAATATTTGTTAAACAAACATTAATGTTATAAAAATGGCAAACACTTACTGAGTGCTTTCTGTGTGTAACTGCACTAAGCCTTCAACATATGTTAACTTATTGAATGCTGACAGCAGCCCTCTAAGGTAGATGCCATTAATATTTCCATTTACAGATGAGGAAACAGAAGCATAGATTAAATAATTTGCCCAATGTCACACAGTAAGTGGCAGAGGTAGGTTTCAATTCCAGCCATTCTATCATTGAAGCCTTCAATCTTAAGAACCGTTTTATGTTAAACATTATGTATATTAAGTATTTTCAATTCATTACGCATGATTTGAACTCATGAGGGACCTGAATTTCAAGCATAATACAAGTAAATATTTGTAATTTTGCTGAACCATAAATGTAAATCTTTATGTTCTGTGAAGCTGTTTCTTAAAAAAAAAACTGTTTTATTGAAGCATATTATATAGAGAAAATTATGCCAGCCTTAAGAATGTAACTCAATGAATTTTTCCCAAAATGAATACCTCCCATGCAACCAGCATCCAGATTTTTTTTTTAAAAAACACACATTTCTAGAGTTAATGGGTGCAGCACACCAACATGGCACATGTATACATATGTAACAAACCTGCACGTTGTGCACATGTACCCTAGAACTTAAAGTATAATAAAAAAAAATTTCTACTGGGTATGTAACTAGGAGTAGAGTTGCTGGGTCATAGTAGATCCTGCCAAATTTTCAGAGTGGTTGTGCTAATTTACACTGCCATCAGCAGTATGTGAGGGCTTCAGCTGTCTGACTTTTTTTGTTAGCTTGTAGAAACTCTTTATTCTGAATACCTGTCTCTGCTTGGATATATACATATAGCGAATATTTGCACCCACTTCGTGGGATGACTTTTCACTCTCTTAATGTTGTCTTTTAGTGAATAGATACTTATAATTTTAATATAGCTCAATTTACTATTTTCCCCCGTAAGGGTTTTTTGTGTGTCATGTCTGGGAATCTTGCTTGTTGTTTTGTCTAAGTTGTTAAACTTTAAATTTTATAGCATTTTTCCTTCAGAACTGAGAGCTTTTCGGTTTGAGTTAGATAAGACCATTTTACAAATAGCGAAATTGAGAAACTGGGCCTGGCAAACTGAAGTTTCAAGGATCAGAATGCTTTTACTCCAGGCCCCAGGAACTCTGGGCCAGTGAATTTTAAAATCTGTGTTTTTGAAGTAATCCATGTAGGGGAAATTCCTTACAATTAAGTGATGTTTTACCTTCAGGGCAATACCGTATTGCAAATTTTGTACAACACAATGAGGAGGGATTTCCTACTACCCTCTAGTGCCTGAGGCAATTTCCAAAAATTAAGCTCAGATTTTTGAATTGGGAGGGGAATAAAAATTATGAGGGTCCCTCAACACACCATTGGGCCCTGCACAGAGCTGGAGAGATGGAGTGGCAGTACCAGGGCTTGGTTTGCTGCCTGATTCCTTATAACTATCTTCTGGCAATATCCATGACTCATTGCCAGCCTCTTCTGTGCTAGCAAAAAGTATCCCAAATGCCAGAAGATTGACAGGCCTGTCCCATTTATAAAACCCATGGATGTCTTCTAGCACATAGCACAGAATGGTGTTTTGCTCTGGAGTGAATAAGAAGCCAAAAAGCAGATTGGGAGATATCTTTTCTTTCTGGTCTTCCTACTCACAGGGAGCCCTGTGGATTAATGGGTTGTTTTTTCATAATTGGTGATCAATTTCAATTTTCTTTGACCCAGATACACTCCCCTCATCAATGGCACACATAATTGTTGGCTGGAGTTGGGGTAAAATCCATGGTCTGTGAGCCACTCCAGTAGTCTTAAAATAGACCTCCGTTTTGCTTAAGCTAGCTGGAAAGAATTTCACTTAGTTACAGCAAAAATAGTGTTAAAACTAAGGTTACCATGCCAATTCATTGTTTGCATTAGTGGATTAACTATTTTTGGAGCCTCCTAATGACTTTGAATAAATTGTATTTGATAAGAGTAATGAAAACGATATTGTCTGCCTGCTCCTTCAGTGCATGATCATTCATTCACATGTGTTTGTTCTTATTCACAACATCAGACAATTAAGTGTTAAAACCGCTATACTAGAGGCAAGGCAGTAGGAATACAACTTGCTTGGGGAATTCAGATTTAACTTTGAACAGTTAGAAAATTATTATATGTGTTTTAATAAGTTGAATGCTTTAGGCTGCAAGGGCAAAAAAAGCCCCAATTCAAAGTGGCTTAAACAATAAAGAAATCTGTTATCTCACTGAACTGTAAATTAGATTAGGACTGGGCCCAGGCAGTTACGACTAGGTTCTCTCTATCTTTGAGAAGTTCTGGTTCTACCTCACATTGACTTTGTCCTCAGGTTAGCTTCTCTCAAGGTTCTAAGATGTCAGATCTTCTTTAGGTTCAATGGGAGAGACAGAAAATCTCTTTCATCCTTGGATAAAATTTCTGCCTTTCATTCTGATTAGGTCAATCTAGGTTACATGTCCATCTTTGGAACATTAACCGTAGCCAGGGGAAGACCAAGCACTGAATCAGTTGCTGGTAAAGAGTACAAGATTACCAGCCTTGATTGAGAACAGTGGTTCTCAAACTCTAATATCATTCAGAATCACTTCTGGAGTTGGTTAAAACACAAATTTCTGAGACCCACATTTCTAGTTTTAGTAGGTTGAGAATAGGGTCTAATAATTTGTATTGCTAACAAGCTCCAGGTGATACTAATGCTGCTTATCTGGGGACCACACTCTGAGAATCACTAGTTAGACAAATCCTGATCTACCCTGGGAACTGGGGATGGAGTTAGCTTCCCCTGAGTCACAAGGGTTATGTGTGTGTGATGGGGAGTGAACGTATGAACTCAACTGGGGATCAGTTCAGAAGGAGGAAGGCAGAAATGAAAGATCCAAATATAACCAACAGTGTGTCCTGCACAGTTAATCAAGAACATGATCGTGCCTTATAGATTATCTATTAGGATTACAAAATGCAGTAGTGATCCAAGTTAGAAGGATATAATTATATGATAAGAACAAAGACTTTTCGGTTCAAGGTTATGCCATAGATCAAATAATCAGTTTTCAACCAACAGGGATACAATATATGAGGTTTCTAAGGAAGACGAACACAGAGGTGTACTGAACCACTATGTAGAACAGTCACTCCACTCATCTCTTCTCATGACTTTATGGAGTCATTATTTTCTCTTCAAGTATAGTGCATAACTGCAAGGCAGAGTTACAAAGTGAAGAGTTTAAATTCTTTTCAGTAATGAGTTTAATTAGGGTCCTGTTTATAATTTTTACCAATAAAATTTAAAATATATTACAATCACAAATGCAAAATATGCTAATATAAAAATTAAAATAGTGGAGAACTGTATAAAGTAAAAACAATTCTCTCCCCCTCCCCAACTCCAATCCCACTTCTTGGAGTCAACCAATGATTAGTAGTGTGATACCCAACCTTCCAGAGAATTTCTATTCTGTGCATTTACAAATATATACGCTCTGATTTTTAAAAATAGGATCAGAAGATATAAATGTATGGCATATACATATTTCATTCCATAACATAAAGTAGTTATCTTTCTATAAGGTAAGCATGGATCTACCTAGTACTACCAGTATGATTGTGTCCAGAGCAGGGATGCCTGTCCAAGGTGACAAGAGGAGGTGGAAATCAGCCCTCAGTCTGTGAGTCTGCCACACTACATCCATCAGGAGGAAGTGCCTTTTTCTAACTTTAAGACAGGTGCTATATTAGCAGCCCTAGAAGTGCTTAACTATTTTTAGTACTTCATTGTACGAAACATATCATAATCATAATTTAATCTCATACAGACATTTGAATTGTTTTCCAGTTTTTGCTATTATGAATAACACTTCACAAATACCTTTAATCACTTGAGTCAAAGAAAATTGGAATTGATAACCAATTATTAAAAAACAATCCGTTGATCCTTAGAGCTCCCTCAGCAAGCGGGGGTTACAAAGAAGAATAGATGTCTCCCAATCTCCCAATCTGCTCCTTGTCCTTCTGCTCTCCCAAGACAGTATCAGCATGTGCTATGAGATGTCTATTTGGTTTAAAAATGAGACAGTTCTATTAGTCTGGCATCCTAGACACCTTTTGCCAGCACAGAAAAGAGGAGCAAAGAGTTAATCATATTATCACAAATTTTAGAAGGTTTGATCCCAACCAAGCTGTCATTTTTCTCAGTGTCTTTCTGCCTCTTAAAACACTTCTGGACAGGTGTGGTGGCTCACACCTCTAATCCCAGCACTTTGGGAGGCTGAGGCAGGCAGATTGCTTGAGCTCATGAGTTCAAGACCGGCCTGGGCAACATGGCAAAACCTCATCTCTACTAAAAATACAAAAAATTAGCTGGGTGTGATGGTGCGCACCTGTAGTCCCAGCTACTCTAGAAGCTGAGGTGGGCAGATGGCTTGAGCCCAGGAGGTGGAGGTTGCAGTGAGCCAAGATTGTGCCACTGCACTCTAGCCTGGGTGACAGAGCCAGACCTTGTCTCAAAAATAAATAAATAAATAATTAAATAACTTTGTAAGCATCAAAGACACCCTTTTCAGTAGGGCATCACCTAAATGCTGAAGGCAAGACTCCTGTGTTTTTTTTTTTGATTTTACAATGTTTTCAACTTGAAGGAAATCACAGAGATAATGAAACACAATCCTGTTTCAAACATTTTAGCAGCTTTCCATATTAACTTCAGATATTTAAAAGTAAACATATTAAAATATTGAACCCAGTTGAAGCCCTTTGGCAGGGTTCAATTAAAAATGGCTACAAAGAAAGAGCACGATCCCATTGTGAATATTTACCATGTGTAATATGGTAAAGCAACTGGACATTGTTGATAGATAAGAGTCAGCAAGTCTACTAGTTTTTATTATCTGTTGCTCTAGACACCCAGGACCCTAAAGCATTCTTCTTCACCCCATGAAAGGCCAGAAACCTAATCCATGGTGAGCTGTTAATGACCTAATATTCTTTTTTATCCTCTGTGATTTTGAGTTCCTATATAACATTTCATTCATAGAACTGGGATCCAAGCATCCCTGAGGTCTATGCAACATTTCTCCTTTTTTAAAATTTATTTTACTTTAAGTTCTGGGATACATGTGCAGAATGTGCCGGATTGTTACGTAGGTATACACGTGCCATGGTGGTTTGCTGCACCTATCAACCTATTGTCTAGGTTTTAAGCCCTGCATGTATTAGGTATTTGTCCTAAGGCTCTCCCTCCCCTTGCTCCCCACCCCCACCGACAGGCCCCAGTGTGTGAGTGATGTTCCCCTCCCTGTGTCCATGTGTTCCCATTGTTCAATTCCCAATTATGAGCGAGAACATGCAGTGTTTGGTTTTCTGTTTCTGTGTTAGTTTGCTGAGAATGATGGTTTCCAGCTTCATTCATGTCCCTGCAAAGGACATGAACTCATTCTTTTTTATGGCTGCATAGTATTCCATGTTGTATATGTGCCATATTTTCTTTATCTAGTCTGTCATTAATGGGCATTTGGGTTTGTTCCAAGTCTTTGCTATTATAAATAGTGCTGCACTAAACATACGTGTATATGTATCTTTATAGTAGAAAAATTTATAATCCTTTGGGTATATACCCAGTAATGGGATTGCTGGGTCAAATGGTATTTCTGGTTCTAGATCCTTGAGGAATCGCCACACTGTCTTCCACAATGGTTGAACTAATTTATACTCCCACCAACAGTGTAAAAGCGTTCCTATCTCTCCACAGTCTCGCCAGCATCTGTTGTTTCCTAACTTTTTAATGATTGCCATTCTAACTGGAGTGTGATGGTATCTCTTTGTGGTTTTGATTTGCATTTCTCTAATGACCAGTGATGATGAGCTTTTTGTCATATGTTTTTTGGCTGCATACATGTCTTCTTTAGAGAAGTGTCTGTTCATATCCTTCTTTCTTGATGGTTTTTTTTTTCTTGTAAATTTGTTTTAAGTCCTTGTAGATTCTGGATATTAGACCTTTGTCAGATAGATTGCAAAAAATTTCCCCCATTCTGTAGGTTGCCTGTTCGCTCTGATGATAGTTTCTTTTGCTGTGCAGAAGCTCTTTAGTTTAATTAGATCTAATTTGTCAATTTTAGCTTTTGTTAAGTGTCTGTTCATATCCTTCGCCCACTTTTTGACAGGGTTTTTTTTTTTTTTCTTGTAAATTTGCTTAAGTCCTTGTAGATTCTGGATATTAGACCTTTGTCAGAGGGATAGATTGCAAAAATTTTCTCCCATGCTGTAGGTTTCCTGTTCACTCTAATGATAGTTTCTTTTGCTGTGCAGAAGCTCTTTAGTTTAATTAGGTCCCATTTGTTTATTTTGGCTTTTGTTGTAATTGCTTTTGGTGTTTTAGTCATGAAGTCCTTGCCCATGCCTATGTCCTGAATGGTAGTGCCTAGGTTTTCTTCTAGGGTTTTTATGGTTTGAGGTCTTGTTTAAGTCTTTAATCCATCTTGAGTTAATTTTTGTATAAGGTGTAAGGAAGGGGTCCAGTTTCTGTTTTCTGCATGTGGCTAGCCAGTTTTCCCAGCACCATTTATTAAATAGGGAATCCTTTTGCCATTGCTTTTGTCAGGTTTGTCAAAGATCGGATGGTTGTAGATGTGTGGTGTTATTTCTGACGCCTCTGCTCTGTTCCATTGGTCTATAAATCTGTTTTGGTACCAATACCAGGCTATTTTGGTTACTGTAGCCTTGTAGTATAGTTTGAAGTCAGGTAGCATGATGCCTCCAGCTTTGTTCTTTTTGCTTAGGATTGCCTTGGCTATACAGGCTCTTTTTTGGTTCCATATGTAATTTAAAGTAGTTTTTTCTAATTCTGTGAAGAAAGTCAATGTAGCTTTATGAGAATAGCACTGAATCTATAAATTACTTTGGGCAGTATGGCCATTATATGATATTGATTCTTTCTATCCATGAGGATGGAATGTTTTTCCATTTGTTAGTGTCCTCTCTTATTTCCTTGAGCAGTGGTTTGTAGTTCTCCTTGACGAGGTCCTTCATGTCTCTTGTAAGTTGTATTTGTAGGTATTTTATTCTCTTTGTAGCAATTGTGAATGGCAGTACACTCATGATTTGGCTCTCTGCTTGTCTATTATTGGTGTAGAGGAATGCTTGTGATTTTTGCACATTGATTTTGTATCCTGAGACTTTGCTGAAGTTGCTTATCAGCTTAAGGAGTTTTTGGGCTGAGACAATGGGATTTTCTAAATATACAATTATGTCATCTGCAAACAGAGACAATTTGACTTCCTCTCTTCCTCTTTGAATACACTTTATTTCTTTCTCTTGCCTGACTGCCCCGACCAGAACTTCCAATACTATGTTGAATAGGAGCGGTGAGAGAGGGCATCCTTGTCTTGTGCCAGTTTTCAAAGAGAATGCTTCCAGCTTTTGCCCACTCCATATAATATTGGCTATGGGTTTGTCATAAATAGCTCTTATTATTTTGAGATATGTTGCATCAATGTCTATTTTATTGAGAGTTTTTAGTATGAATGGGGTGTTGAATTTTATCGAAGGCCTTATCTGCATCTATTGAGATAATCATGTGGTTTCATCATTGGTTTTCTTTATGTGATGGATTAGGTTTCTTGATTTGTGTATGTTGAACCAGCCTTGCATCCCAGAGATGAAGCTGACTTGATCGTGGTGGATAAGTTTTTGATGTGCTGCTGGATTCGATTTGCCAGTATTTTATTGAGGATTTTCACATCGACATTCATCAGGGATATTGGCCTGAAATTTTCTTTTTTGTTGTGTCTCTGCCAGGTTTTGGTACCAGGATGAGGCTGGCCTCATAAAATGAGTTAGGGAGGAGTCTCTCTTTTTCTATTGTTTGGAATAGTTTCAGAAGGAATGATACCAGCTCCTCTTTGTACCTCCAGTAGAATTCGGCTGTGAATCTGTCTGGTCCTGGGCTTTTTTTGATTGGTAGGCTATTAATTACTGCCTCAATTTCAGAACTTATTATTGGGCTATTCAGGGATTCGACTTTTTCCTGGCTTAGTCTTGGGAGGGTGTATGCGTAAAGGAATTTATCCATTTCTTCTAGATTTTCTAGTTTATTTGCGTAGAGGTGTTTATAGTATTCTCTGATGGTAGTTTGTATTTCTGTGGGATCAGTGGTGATATCTCCTTTATCATTTTTTATTGTGTCTATTTGATTCTTCCCTCTTTTCTTCTTTATTAGTCTGGCTAGCAGTCTATTTTGTTAATGTTTTTTAAAAATCAGCTCCTGGATTCATCGATCTATTTGAAGGGTTTTTTTCGTGTCTCTTTCTCCTTCATTTCGGCTCTTTCTCCTTCATTTCGGCTCTGATCTTAGTTATTTCTTGTCTTCTGCTAGCTTTTGAATTTGTTTGCTCTTGCTTCTCTAGTTCTTTTAATTGTGATTTAGGGTGTCAATTTCAGATATTTCCCACTTTCCGATGTGGGCATTTAGTGCTATAAATTTCCCTCTTAACACTGCTTTAGCTGTGTCCCAGAGATTCTGGTATGTTGTCTCTTTGTTCTCATTGGTTTCAAAGAACTTCATTATTTCTGCCCTAATTTCGTTATTTACCCAGTAGTCATTCAGGAGCAGGTTGCTCAGTTTCCATGTAGTTGTGCAGTTTTGAGTGAGTTTCCTAATCCTGAGTTCTAATTTGATTGCACTGTGGTCTGAGAGACTGTTTTGATTTCCATTATTTTGCATTTGCTGAGGAGTGTTTTACTTCCAATTATGAGGTCGATTTTAGAATAAGTGCTATGTGATGCTAAGAGTGTATATTCTGTTGATTTGGGGTGGAGAGTTCTGTAGATATCTATTACGTCTGCTTGGTCCAGAGCTGAGTTCAAGTCCTGAATATCCTTGTTAATTTTCCTTCTTGTTGATTGGTCTAATATTGACGTGGGGTGTTAAAGTCTCCCACTATAGTTATGTGGGAGTCTAAGCCTCTTTGTAGGTCTCTAAGAACTCGTTTTATGAATCTGGGTGCTCCTGTATTGGGTGCATATATATTTAGGATAGTTAGCTCTTCTTGTTGAATTGATCCCTTTACCATTATGTAATGCCCTTCTTTGTCTTTTTTAATCTTTGTTGGTTTAAAGTCTGTTTTATCAGAGACTAGGATTTCAACCCCTGCATTTTTTGCCTTCCATTTGATTGATAAATATTCTTCCATCCCTTTATTTTGAGCCTATGTGTGTCTTTGCAGCCTATGTGTGAGTTTGGTCTCCTGAATACAGCACATTGATGGGTCTTGATTCTTTATCCAGTTTACCAGTCTGTGTCTTTTAATTGGGGCATTTAGCCCATTTACATTTAAGGTTAATATTGTTATGTGTGAATTTGATCCTGTCATCATGATGCTAGCTGGTTAGTTTGCACATTAGTTGATGCAGTTTCTTCATAGTGTCATTGGTCTTTATATTTTGGTGTGTTTTTGCAGTGGCTAGTACCAGTTTTTCCTTTTCATATTTAGTGCTTTCTTCAGGAGCTCTTGTAAGGCAGGCCTGGTGGTGGCAAAATCCCTCAGCATTTTCTTGTCTCTAAAGGATTTTAATTCTCCTTCACTTATGAAGCTTAGTTTGGCTGGATATGAAATTCTGTGTTGAAAATTCTTTTCTTTCAGAGTGTTGAATATTGGCCTCCACATTCTTCTGGCTTGTAGGGTTTCTGCAGAGTTTCTGCTGTTATCTGATGGGCTTCCCTTTGTAGGTAACCTAACCTTTCTTTCTGGCTGCCCTTAACATTTTTTTCCTCCGTTTCAACCTTGGAGAATCTGATGACTATGTGTCTTGGGGTTGCTCTTCTTGCAGAGTATCTTTGTGGTGCTCTCTTGCAGAGTATCTGCTGCTTCTTGCAGAGTATCTTTGTGGAATTTGAATGTTGGCCTGTCTTGCTAGATTGGGGAAGTTCTCCTAGATAATATCTTGAAGTGTGTTTTCCAACTTGGATCCATTCTTCCCATCACTTTCAGGTACACTAATCAGTCGTAAGTTTGGTCTTTTCACATAGTCCCGTATTTCTTGGAGGCTTCATTTGTTCCTTTTCATTCTTTTTTCTCTAATCTTGTCTTCACACCTTATTTCAGTAAGTTGATCTTTAGTCTCTGATATCCTTTCTTCTGCTTGATCGATTTGGGTATTGTGTGCCTTACGAAGTTCTCATGCTGTGTTTTTCAGCTCCATCAGGTCATTTATGTTCTTCTCTAAACTGGTTATTCTAGTTAGCACCATTAGGTCATTTATGTTCTTCTCTAAACTGGTTATTCTAGTTAGCAGTTCCTGTAACCTTTTTTCAAGGTTCTTAGCTTCTTGCTTTGGGTTAGAACACGCTCCTTTAGCTTAGAGGAGTTTGTTGTTACGTACCTTCTGAAGCCTATTTCTGTCAGTTCGTCAAACTCATTCTCCATCCAGTTTTGTGCCCTTGCTGGAGAGGAGTTGCCATCATTTGGAGGAGAAGAGGCATTCTGGTTTTTGGAATTTTCAGAATTTTTGCACTCATCTTAGTGGATTTATCCTCAAGATGATGATATTCAGTGTTTTTTCCTCATCTTAGTGGATTTATCTACCTTTGATCTCTGAGGCTGATGACCCTTGAATGGGTTTTTGTGTGGGGGTCCTTTTTGTTAATGTTGATGTTATTGCTTTCTGTTTGTTAATTTTTCTTCTAACAGTCAGACCCCTCTTCTGCAGGTCTGCTGCAGTTTGCTGGAGGTCCAATCCAGACCCTGTTTGCCTGGGTATCACCAGCAGAGGCTGCAGAACAGCAAAGATTGCTGCCTGCTCCTTCCTTTGGAAGCTTCATCCCAGAGGGGCACCAGCCTGATGCCAGCAGGAGCTCTCATGTATGAAGTGTCTGTCGACCCCTGCTGGGAGGTCTCTCCCAGTCAGGAGGCACGAGGGTCAGGGACCCACTTAAGGAGGCAGTCTGTCCCTTAGCAGAGCTCTAGCACTGTGCTAAGAGAATCCTCCTTGTCAAGATCCTCTGCTTTCTTCAGAGCTGGCAGGCAGGAAAGTTTATGTCCGCTGAAGCTGTGCCCACAACCACCCCTTCCCCCAGGTGCTCTGTCCCAGGGAGATGGGAGTTTTATCTTCAAGATCCTGAATGGGGCTATTGCCTTTCTTTCAGAGATGCCCTGCCCAGTGAGGAAGAATCTAGAGAGGCAGTCTGGCCGCAGCTGCTTTGCCACGCTGTGGTGAGTTCTGCCCAGTGCGAACTTCCCAGCCTCCTTAGCAATGTCAGGGGAAAACCTCCTACTCCTGCCTCAGTAATGGCGGCCACCCCTCCACCCACCAAGCTTGAGCATCTCAGGTTGTCTTCAGACTGCTGTGCTGGCAGCGAGAATTTCATTCCAGTGGTTCATAGCTTGCTGGGCTCCATGGGAGTGGGAACCGCTGAGCAAGACCACTTGGCTCCCTGGCTTCAGCCCCCTTTCCAGGAAAGTGAACGGTTCTGTCTTGCTGGGGTTCCAGGCACCACTCAGTTGGAAACGCAGAAATCACCCGCCTTCTGCATTGGTCTCACTAGGAGCTGCAGACCAGAGCTGTTCCTATTCAGCCATCTTGCCAGATCTCCTATGTAACATTTCATACTTTGAGGAGTTTACCTGATCTGACAGCATCCTGTTTTAAACAAAGTTCCACTTGTTGGGATTAAGACCTATACCAATTTGGGTGATTGTAGTGGCAATATAGAGAACCCAAATCAAATTGGCTTTAGCAATAAAGGGTATTGGCTCATATAAGTAAAAAAGACTTGAGGTGGGCTCAGCGTCAGGTACAGTTGGATCAGAGTTTCAGCCTCTGCTTTCCTCCATGTGTCAGCTTCATCTCCAGGCACACTCTGATGATAGCAAAATGACTGTAGCACTTCCAGACTTCGCATCTCTACATCACAACATCTAACGAAGAAAGAGCAGATTGACTTATCACTCCCTAAAATGTTCTGAAGTTCACTCTTCATGGACTGCTTAGATCATGTGTCTTTCCCTGAAATAATCACGAAGGCAGGGGAATAGAATGTGATGACTGACTTGGCCAAGGTTACTTGCTCCTCCTTTTGTACAAGGTTAACGATAGCCTTTCTTAACTTCACGGATCTCCAAACACAAACTGGAGGACTGTTGGGAAGGAAGATGAGATAGGCCTGCCTTAGGCCCAATAATACCTTGAGAAATAGAACAGGAAAGCAGGTAACTTAAGTATAGCAGGACATGTTTTCTATGTTGGTATGTAAATCCTTGAGAGCTGGAGTAGTCCCTCCCTCACCTGAAGCTCTTGGGACTCTCTGTCCTAGTGAGACTCTCTGGCTAGTGCCATCTTTGTTCCCAAAGGGTTGCACAGATTGCTGATCTTCATGTATATATGCATGAGGAGCTTAGGGAGAACTGGGAAGCTGTAGTCATTCATTTGAGTTCTTATGTCTTGTATTCTTGGTAAAACCTGTTTGTTGGACTGGTAGTGAAAGCAACATCAGCAAAGTCCAATTGTTCATGCTCACCCATCTCTAACCAGCACACCCTTTGTGGCCTGACCTCACTCTGCAGGGAGGTAACTATAAACAGCCACTACAATGACACCGTCTCAGTGTAGTCCTTTCAAAATTAAAACTGATTCCTTACAGAAACATTCTCTGTTATGAAAATCACTCCTTATCTTTGCTGCTTAAGTCCTGAATGAGATACGTAGTTTAAAACTTCAGAATTAAGTTCAGGTAAAGAAAGCATTGCCTATTTAAAAAAATGGTGGCAAAATATTGGAATGGGTTACTAAGGGAGCTCATAGACTGTGCTTCTCTAGGGAAAAGTGAAAAACAGAAGAGCTTGTTGACAATGATAGTCTATTTATATATGGAAAAAATATGCCTGATTCCTAGGGGTGGCATTACGTTGTGCTTTATTTTAGTGTGTTCTGCTTACAAAGGAGCAATTATCTTTCTGTTGATCCTTGATAGTATGAAAGTTTTCAATTTGACAAATTGTGGTGTGTATTTCACTTAACTTTTACTGAGACTTTACCATGAGCCAATCTAGGAGCTTTGGCTGCACAAGACTTGGTTTCTGCTTGGAGGACACAGTCTAGTAGATGTAGACAGGTATGCAAACCAAAGTGTGCCAAAGGTGCTGTTGGTGTTCCAGTGACAGTGCTTCTCAAGGTAGTGTCCTTGGAACAGACTGATCAGATCACATGGGATTGCTTACTTAAAACCCAGGTTCCTGGTCCCTAACCCCAGACCCCACTGAACCATACTGGAGTAGGACAAGGTGCGCAGGGATCTCATCAACAAGCTCCCAGGTGAAGCTTTGCACCCGGAAATTTGGAAATTGGTACAGGGTACAGTGGGGGCATAAAAAGAGAGAGAATGATCAATGCTACCTTGGCAGGGGTGGCGATCAAAAATGTTTTTATCATAGAGGTGATATTTCAGTTGAGCTTTAAAAAGATGAGGGCGAGTTTTAAAGACAGCCAGGGTCAGGAGGGGGCTTCCAGCCAGGGGAACGGCATGAGTAAAGGTAATGAGGCAGGAAAAGCATCATCTATTCCTCGGAAGGAGCATCACTATCTCCCTTGTTCCTGGGAAGGAGCTGAATGGGGAACAGGAAGTGGTGGCTTACGAGCACAAGCCTATGCTTCTCATACATGTGACATGTTGATTGCAAGCCAGTGAGGCTTTGTTCCACATCTTCCTTCTGGGACACAAGTAAAGAAGCAGCCAAATGAAGTGGAAGGGCTGCTCAGGCAGAAGAAAGAACATGGCAGAGCCACACCATGACTGCTGAGCTTCTGCTCAGAGGCAGCACATGTCATTTTTATTCACAGTCTGTTGGCCCAAAGAGGTCACATGACAGCAATGGGGCAGGGACATATAATCCAATCACAGGGAGGGGCAGCAAATATTTGGAGTAATTATACAATCTCCTATAGGTGGGAGTTAGTAGAAATCACTGAATTAACAGAAAGACATAAACTATCAAAAGAATTGAACAGGCCAGTCGCAGTGGCTCACGCCTGTAATCCCAGTACTTTGGGAGGCCAAGGTGGGTGGATCACAAGGTCAGGAGTTCAAGACCAGCTTGGTCAAGATGGTGAAACCCCATCTCTACTAAAAATACAAAAAAATTAGTCGGGCATGGTGGCAGGTGCCTGTAATCCCAGTCACTTGGGAGGCTGAGGCAGAGAATTGCTTGAACCCGGGAGGCGGAGGTTGCAGTGAGCCTGGATCGCGCCACTGCACTCCAGCCTGGGTGACAGACTGAGATTCGTCTCAAAAAAAAAAAAAAAAGAATTGAACAAGGAGTTCAACAATCTTTTTGAAGTTAGGTTTTGAGGGTGTGATATTGGGATGTTGAATCATCAATTTTTTTATTGGTTATATCTGCACCTATTAGCCAAAGCAGGCTAAGAAATATATATAAAGGTGTTTCCCAGAGTGTGCTGCTTAGAACTCGCTGCTTCCAGGAGATGCTATGGGGTACTATGAGAACGGAAATTATGTAAGTAAATACATTTAGGAGACTTGAATTTTCATAGTGCACGTTTAAGTGTTAAAAGCTCCTGGAAATTCTTCAGTGGTAACAATTAATTAAATTTTTAAAAAAGTAACTTCGTTTTAATACAACATTTCCCCTAGTTTATTTAATCACAGAATCCTTTTTGTGTAACACTTATTAACATGCTGCAGGACTTTTATCTTCAGAATCATACTTCAGAAAATGCTGAATGAAACTACTTTAAAACAATATCAAAGACAATCTCAGTTTTCCTCGGTAACCACTCTAGGATTTACCAAAATTTCCTCTAAAAGAAATGTACTCTGATGCTAATTTAAGTATGTTACAGGCAGAGTCAATTTTCTGGTGCTACACATATGTAATGATAGATGTGACCAAATGTCATAAAGTGATTTTCATAGGACTTCTCTGCTAATTTCTACTTAGATGACTACAGGTCAACAAAATGGGGGCTATATGACACCTTATACACCATAGATGCTTAAATATTTCTAAAGGTGGCACACAGTTGAATATAACCACAAACACTCAAAGCTTTATACGTACTCAGTCAAGCCTCTGGATTGAATAGGTTTGTAGCAATCTGCCAACGACTCCTTCGGAAATCTGAGTGAATGATTTGAGGTGTTAAATCACCGATTATGTTTATTTCTAACACGAGCCCATTCAGTTTGGTTTCCTAAACACTTTTTGGAAGGATCCCTGTGAGATTCCAGGCTACATACCATTATTAGTTTGATACTTTAATGTTGAGATCTGTCCATAATATTTTAAATTTTAAGACAGTGTTTTTTTTTGTTGTTGCTGTTTTTTTCTTTTTTAACTTCTGGAACTCTACTCAGTAGCTTCATTATAGTCTAGATAACTAAACATCTTAAGTAAAGCTACATTTATGATTGCTAATGAAATTCTCATTCAATATCTGCATTACTTATATAGAACTTACTTCCAAAAAGCATTTGAAGAGGCAGCTCATTAAGGGCATTCTAAGAGTTCCCCTTTCTACTAATCTCCCTTTGAGGCCTATCAAATGTTAGGAAGGACACTCTAGTGCTCAAACTCTTTTACCCAAAGTGTTTACTTTCTGTATTTTAATAGCTTCTTCAGTTCCCTTGCCTGTCCCACATGGGTACATGAAGCCTTGTAATTGTGTAAATAAAGAGTAAAAACCTGCAATTATGATATAAATATGTACTCAAATTTAAAGCAACTAGTTATCAAAGACAAATGGATACAGGATCCTGCACCAGAATGAATCTGCTCAATATTGACATAGTGAATCGTCCTGAGAAGATTAAACCACAACTAGAAAAGCAGGCGGAGGGACAGTGAGTGACAGGGGCTTTATGGGGGGGCAGTGCCTCCCAGGGGGAGAGTTCATCTTCTTACTCAAAGAGACGCCTTCAGGGATCATGTAACTTGAATTCCCTGTGAATTCAGTGTCATCTTAGCTTGACCAGCTCTGGAAGAACATATTAACCTCCGCTTGTGATTTTCAGAAAACCATTCTAATTTAGCAAGTAATTAAGGGTCACATGTAGGACAAAGAGCTAGATAATCTTGGATTACCCACAGGAAGCTTTGTCTCCAAGGCAACCCCCGATGGAGGGGCTGTTAATGCGAAGGCCAGTCGGTTAATGAACTGGGAAAGGTAACTGGCTCCCAAACCTGTTAGAGCCAGGGAAATGGACATAACAATTATATGGCTATTGAATGACTCAGTGATAGAAAAGAAATGCTTCCAAAGCCAGTGGAGGCAAAACGTTTAGAGAAAGGATATAATTGTCACTGTTCTGCTAGACCAAATCCACAGATCTAAAATTAGCCTATTGTGAGTTCAAGCCAGGCCAATCTGTATTTATGAATTTTAGCCTAGTCTCCAGCTGAATCTTCTGGTTTCAGTGTTTCCTATGACCTAATTACCCCACAACCTGGTTTTTCCTGAGGGGCAGCCTCAGTTAGTACACTAGGCTGTGAGAGTGGCCCAAGGGAGTTTCGGAAGAGGAGACAAAACTTGTATTGTCCATCAGAGCCCTTGATACTCCATGCTGGGCTAAAAAATAAGATAGGGTTGCACAGAGAAGCACTATAAGAGGATTTTTAGACCAGGTTGGTAAAGGTGGAAGAGAAGACTGCAGGTGACCCAGTGACGGAGATGCTATGATAAGAGGAAAAGAAAAACAAAGGCATTCCCATGAGAAAACTTGAGAGGGACAGAGTGGAAAATTTAAGCGCCCTCGTCACTTCCTCAATGCTGCTCTCTTTTTTCTAATGGTCAAATTTAGGTCTTACATTCTCTACAAAGCCTTCTAAAACTCTACGAGCTCTTATTTATTTCCTGTCTTTGAACACTTACTGAACCACACTGCACACTTACCTGTATGTTCTCTTTCCATGTTCATTAAGAGTCTTGTGTACCTGGGTATTGTGTCTCTCGGCTTGTAAGGTAAGGGATCATGGGATATTCATTCAGCAGTCTCTAAATATTTACTAAGAATCTATTGTGAGGTGAGCACTATGCTAGCTGCTGGAGAAATAAAGATCAATAAAATACAGTGTCTGCCAGAAGGAGCTCATAGACTACTGAAGGATGCAGAGAAGCCAGCATGAAAGTGCAATAAATAAGAGTGACGTCTAAGCAGCTGGACATTCATCTGGTACAGTACATTCCTGGATATCGAGCAACAAGAAAGAGGAGCCGGAATGATTTATCGCCAAGGCCAATGTATGGCTGCCCATAATCACCAACTCAAGAAACAAGTGAAAGCAGAGAGGATTGAACTTCTGGGTTAAGGCAGAAAAGGATAAAAAGCAAAGACATTTTGGCAAAGACTGACTATGATTTCTTACCCAGGAAAATAAGACCAGTGTGGTGTGTTTTCAGCATCTGATGAGGTGCATGCCCTTTTGAGCTAATTCTTCCATCAGGACAGATTTGAGGGTGTAAGGAAGGCAAGTGATGCTAAACTGATCAGATTTAGACCACAGGGAATGGAAAGAGATGATTCACTTTAAATCTGAAACTAAATGGGGAAAGGACTGCTTTCACAGTTGTAGGGGACTCATCTTAAAATTCTCTGGAATAGAAGTATAAAGGCTGAAGGGACCTATTTGGATCTATGGATGATTATGTAGGAAACTATATTAATGATAAAGAAATAAACACCCAACGTCAACAAAAAGTGGAAAAGACAAAAGGAAATCTATCTGATAGAATAAAGCTCAAAATGCTCTGGTGAGTTGAAACCCAAATAAGACAGATGAGCAAGAGGCAGGGCAGAGTCCCAAACAAACCTCAAAGAAATTTAGAGTTTTCAAGCCCAAAGGTAAAAAGTGAAAATGAGATACAGACTCCACCAAGGGAAATGGAAAATACCTCCTTATATAATGAAGACGCAAGAAGTCAGGGAAATCTGCTGCTTATTAGATGGGCTTATGAGAAAAACTCTATGATGCTCATCTGAGATGTTCACACAGTTCTGTGTGCTTACAAAGGAAAACAGAACCAGCACGGGGAGAAGGGACATCATATTTTCCTTTCTCAGAGTAATTATAAACAGATACAAAAAACCTGGTGGGAAAAGTAGATGTGGAAGCAGACAATGAAGAAGCCAATTGGTAGGCTGAGTTAAACTGTGGCAGTTTGTCTGATGGCTGTTTCAATGGTCTGGAAGTCTTTGGGAAGGTGTTCCATGTCTATAATTCTGACAATATAGTATTCTCTGGGTGACATTTTAGATACACATGGCCATATCTGAAAACCATGGGGACATGCAAGAGGAAGTCCTGAAACTGTAATCAACTCATTCATTCATTGAATAAGCATTTATTGTGCACCTAGATGAACAGAACCTAGCACTGTTTTCGCATTAGGGATAGAGCAATGAATGAGAAAAACAAGGCCTTGGCGTCATAGTGTCTTATGGGCCAGAGGGGAGAGATGGACAATAAAACTATGGACAAGCTTTTAAAAATAAAATTTCAAATTGTGATATTGGTAAGTGCTGTAAAAGCAAATAAACAAAAACCAGAGAGGTGAGATAGAGAGACTGGTAGGCAGGAAACCTTGGTGGTTTAGGTAGAGGGCTCTGGGAAGCCTTTTGGTGGGGAAGACATTGGAGCTGAAGCTTGAGGGATAAAGAGGCAGCTCAGTGAAGATCGGGGGCAGAGAGTCCCAGGCAGAGGGACAACAATGTAACGTCCCAGTGGCGGGAAAAACATGGCATGTTCAAGGAGCAGAAGAGAAGCCCAGAATGAAGGGAGTGTGGTCAGAAGTGGGAGAATGGAGGCAGAGGAGGCTGGAAGGATTGACAAGGACCTGCTAACCATGGAAAGGGGTTTGAAGTATATTCTAACTGCAGTGGGAAGTGACCAGAGGGTTTCAAGCAAAGGCTGCTATCATCTTTCTATGTGATCTCTGCTGCTCCACAAATCTAGTGGACCAGCAGAACCACCACCCCCGGGAAGATCTCAGATCCCACCGCAGACTGGCTGCAGCAGAATCTATACTTTTACAAAATCTCTGAATGCTGCATGCGTACGTGAACTTGAAGAAGCACTTCAAGAATGATATCTATGCTTTAAAAAGACTGCATGGTACACCCACTAGGATGGTTATACTTTTTTTGAGAAGGAAAATAACAAGTGTTGGTGAGGATGTGGAGAAACTGGAACCTTTTCACATTGTTGGTGGGAATAAAAAGTGGAGCAGCCACTGTGGAAACCAGTTTGGCTGTTCCTCAATAATGCAAACATAGTTACTCACTTAGAACATTTCCACTTCTGGGAATATACCCAAAAGAATTGAAAACAGATGTTCAAAGAAAAACTTGTACATAAATATTCAGAGCAGCACTACACACAATAAACGAAAGGTAGAAACAGCCCAAATGTTCATTTACTGATGAAAGGATAAACAAATGTGGTCTATCCATATAATGGGATATTATTCAGCCATAAAAGGAATGAAGTACTGATACATGCTACAACAGGGATAAATCTTGAAAACATGCTAAGTGAAAGAAGCTAGACATGTTAGGCCACATATTACATGATTCCGTGTATATGCAATATTCAAAATAGGCAAATCCATAGAGACAGAATGCAGATGGTGGTTGCCAAAGGCAGCGGGGAGGAGAGAATGGAGAGACTGACTAATGGGTACAGGGTTTCCTTTAGAGGTGATGAAAACCCCAAACTAGATAGTGGTGATGGTTGCACAACACTGCCAATGTACTAAGTGTCACTAATGGTAAATTTTGTGTTATGTGTATTGTACCATAATTTTCAAAACAAGACTATAAAGAGCAAGGGCAAAAAACACACCAAATGGTAGTTCTCCAAGAGCTATTGTGGGGTTAGTGGGTGGTTGCTAATGGTGTCTTAATTTTGTAGCACTTCAGTAATGGTCTGGATACTAAAAACTTTAAAATGCACATACATTGTTTTGAGAAAACACCAGGCTAATAGACCTAGTCAATATCTTGTTGAAAACTCAAACAAAAATGAACAAAGCTGAATTAGGTCCAAATTAAGTAGAATGCAGTTCAGCAAGCTTGAAAAGAAGAACTGAACAGTTGTCAAGGGCAGGAAGGTGAAAAAAGGTGCAAGAGATAAAAATCGAGGAGTCAGGAGCATGGCCACTGGAATCCGGAAGAGAGCACTGTGGACAAAAGGTCAATTTCAGTAACTGGATTCATACGTGGGTGAATCACAGATCACACAGAAACCACTGGGTTCCCTTGCCATTCCATTCAGCGTCGCTTACCTGCATTCTCAAATTGTGCTTCCAACTCTGGGGTTTACACCTGGTAACCTGAAAAACAAAGAACCATGGATTGGTTAGATTTACATATTAACACTTAGGAAGAGAAGGTATTGCATATTCATTCATTTGTTCATGCCCTACTTCCTACTCCCTATCCCCATCCAATCTTCTGGTCACCTACACTACTCACCTCTGGAGAGGCCGTAGAGCAGTGGTCAAAAGCATGACCTGCCGGGCGCGGTGGCTTACGCCTGTAATCCCAGCACTTTGGGAGGCCGAGGCGGGTGGATCATAAGGTCGGGAGATCGAGACCATCCTGGATTAACACGGTGAAACCTCGTCTCTACTAAAAATACAAAAAATTAGCCGGCCGTGGTGGCGGGCGCCTGTGGTCTCAGCTACTCGGGAGGCTGAGGCAGGAGAATGGCATGAACCTGGGAGGCGGAGCTGGCAGTGAGCCGAGATTGCGCCACTGCACTCCAGCCTGGGCAACAGAGCGAGACTGCGTCTCAAAAAAAAGAAAAAAAAAAAAAAAGCATGACCTCTGAATCTAGAGTGGCTTCGAATCACACCTCCAACGTTTACTGTAAGTGATGCTGGGCAAGTCACTTAACCTTTTGCGCCTCTGTTTTCTCATCTATAAGGTGGGAATAATGATTCAGAATTATGCGAATTAACTGAGGCAATACATGCAAAAGGCTTAGAACAGTACTTGGAACTTAGGAATCACACAATTCCATTAGCTGCTTAATATTATTATTAACATTAATTCATATTATTATTACTCTGCTGGGCATTGGGATTGTGGAAAGAATCAGATGTTCTCCCTGTTGTGGCAGAGCTCATGTCTGGTGCGGGAATCTACTAAAATGCTGCTTGGAAAACATAAAGGAAGAGGTGGGCACAAGTTCTTTGGGGTCCCATAAAAACTTTAATTCTGTCCAGTGGGAAAGCTAAGATTTCAAAGACCAGGGGGCATCTGAGTAGCAGAGAGGATGACAGTGATTATTGGCGAAGGGAGCAATATGTACAAAGGTCAGAAAGACGTAAGAGCCTGGCTCCCTTGAGGAACTGTGATTGACTCGGTGGAGCTGACATAGGGTATGAGGGACGGATCCTCTGCAGATAAGCTAGAAAGGTAGCTCCCCTCACTTCTGGTGCTTGCTAGCAATCTCTATCATTTCCTTGCTTGTGGTTGCATCACTCCAATGTCTGCCTTCGTCTGCACGTGGCCATCTTCCTTCTGTGTTTCTGTGTCTAAATTTCCTTTTTATAAGGACACCACTCACTGATTAAGGTCCACCCTAATCCATTATGAGCTCATGTTAACTTGATTATATCTGCAAAGACCCTATTCCAAATGAGGTCACATTCATAGGTACCAGGGCTTAGGACTTGAACGTGTCTCTTGGGGAGGGCACAATTCAACCCACAGCAGGGCCTGACCAGTTAGAGCAGCTGGGAGCTGCAGACAGACACACATTTTACATGGATCACTCCCGTGATTTGACGTGAGGAGGCTGGAGGGCTATGAGATGCTGAAGGATCAGTTAGGAGTTTATTGCAAAACAGCAAGTGAGAACCTCAGAGGCCCGGAAAAAGGCCATGTTTGTGAGAATGCTGAGCCATCAGAAGCGCTGGCCAACCCAGTTGGAATTTTTGGCAAGAATAGTTCATAGGCAGAGGGCAATGTGAACTTCCATTAGGAGGCGCATCGTGCCTGGTTATGAGCAGGTACTGACCATCATTTCCTAGATTCGTTATTTCATTAAGTTTGATAAAATGGTGACATTCTAATTCCATCATGTCCTCTTCATTTATTAGTGGGATGCTTCTAGAAAAAGTAATTTCCTCTCATCAACTATTTTTATTAACTTTGATGTACAGTATAAGCAGGAAAATGCTTTTACTTAAAAAAAAAAAACTAGTTTTAAACTACAGAGTTGGTTCTCAGGCATCCTCCTAAAATAACATTATTTTTCTTGTTGTTGGCTGTCATTGTTTTTCTGTTTGTTTGACGTCATTTTGAACTCATGGATTTTAGCATATTTGATGTATTTCAGTCCGTGCCAATTATTATCCTTGATAATGCCAAAACCATTCTAGTAGAAGCCTCTTCAAGTTGCCTCCTGAGTCCTGTTAATGCAATCCCAGTAATCTTGCCAGTTTTCTTGCTTTTTTGAACTTCTCCAAGTTGGGTGAAGATTGGTATATTATTGAGTATTAAATTGCATTTCTTTTATTAGTAACAATATGCAGGAGCTTTTCGTGTATTTAATTGGGTGTATCGTAAGCGTGCGGCTGACCAGTACATGGATCAAAGTATGTGGCATGCTGCACTCAAGAGTGCACTGAGCAACCAGCCTGGGCAACATAGCTAGACCCCATCTCTACAAAAAATTTAAAACTTAGCTTGGCATGGTGGTGTGCACTTGTAGTTCTAGCTACTTGGGAGGCTGAGGTGGGAGGATTGCTTGGGCCCAGATGTTTGAGGCTGCAGTGAGCTATGATTACACCACTGTACTCCAGCCTAGGTAACAGAGCGAGAGCCTGCCTCTATTAAAAAAAAAAAAAAGTGCACCGAATTATCAACCAGGAGCCCTATTCTCTAATCTTGCCATTGGCATGACCTATAACAAAGTCACATATCTTTCTGGATCTTCCTTTCTTCCTTATTAAATTAAGAGGTGTGGCTCTATAGTCTTCCAATCCCCCTGTCAAGCTAAAATGCTGAGATCTTTATTTCTGGCTCCTATGTGCCCCAGACCTCATATAAAAGTTTTTTTTTTTTTCAATAGAGCCAATTGAATAATTGTATAACTAAGTTCAATTTAATTTTTGTGTTTGTGCAAGTTATTTTATCAAATTAATTTGTAAAACAAAAAAACTGTTAGATTACATGTCCTTTTTAAATATTATTATTATTTAAAAATATGGTCACTGAACTGATGAAGGCCACATTGATTGACCCTTCTGCCTGCTCTTTCAGAAGCTGCAGCCAACTGGCAAATAGCTTCCCCAGCCTCCTGCTGAAGCATCTGCTAATGCTCTGCAGATTACTGTGTCCCCTCCGCCTCCCCCCACCTTCCCTGTCGCCCTCCATCCTCAGGCTGCTCATTAACTCATTAGAAGCTGCTTTCATAGCAGCTGGAGGGGAGGTTCTGCTGCCTGCTGATTGTAGCTCAGGGTTTTCAAAGCACCTGCCTTAGTGTCACCTGGAGTCTTCGGTAAATAGGACCGTATTCGTCTACTCGGTGCTTCTCCACAGCATTGAACATAACATCAGGAATCAACACAATCCTTGTGAAAATCTTTATGCAATGTCTGTCCCATGCACTGGACAATAAGCTCCACAAGGACAGGCTGTGTCAGGTTTTGCTGACCTTCGTATCCCTGGCAATCAGCTCAGGACTTAGTACTTTGTGGGCATCCCAAGATTTCCTGGATGCTAAATGCATGAGTGCAGGAGTGACTGAGTGAATCAGGTTGAACTTGGGGTTGACGTGTATGTCTAGGTGTCCATATATGTGTGTAAATGTATGTGTGTGTGTGTATATATATATATATGAATCTATACAATGGGGTCTCCTGTACTAATCTAACATACTCAGAAACTTCAGAGGAGGAGGCTGGCAAGTTCTTCATCCTGTGAGTCTGTGAGCTATTAGGAAAAACAGGCCTGGCACATGGCTCACGTCTATAATCTCAGCACTTTGGGAGGCCGAGGCGGGAGGATCACTTGAGGTCAGGAGTTCGAGACCAGCCTGGCCCACATGGTAAAAACCTATCTCTACTAAAAATATAAAAATTAGCTGGGTGGCAGGTGCCTGTAATCCCAGCTACTCAGGAGGCTGAGGCAGGAGAATCACTTGAACCCTGGAGGTGGAGGTTGCAGTGAGACAAGATTGTGCCACTGTATTCCAGCCCGGGTCTGTTTAAAAAAAAAAAAAAGAAAAGAAAAAGAAAAAGAGCACTGGCCTGGTAGGTCAAAGACCTAGAATCTGCTGCAGACTTGGCCACTCTCCATGACCTGGATGGTTTTGAGCCCATCACTTAATCTGCAGAACAGTGGTCTGGGGCCAGAGCATCTGTAATGCTCCTTCTAGTGCCAGTATCCTAAGTTTCTCTCTGTGGGGAGTGCTGTGTCACTTACTGAGATAGAGCTCAGATGCTGGCAGGCTGCCTTCTCAATCTCTGAATGACATACAACATGTTCATTCTACGTATCCACCCTACACAAAACTCTTCTGTAGATTTACAGTTTTCAAAACCAAATGCTGACTCTCTTGCCTTGCACAATCATTTCTGACTTTTAAGACTATCTGCTTCCCAGGTTTCTCTCTCTCACTCTCAGTCACCTTGTGTCAGCTTTAAATTACTGACCCCTAACTGAGTGCCAGGCACTGTTCCCACCACTTGGCAGGTGTCAACCCATTTCCCAAGGATAAAATTCGATCCCACTAGGTTTTGCCCATGTCACATGCTCGTATTTACAGGCCAACCGTGTCATGTCAATTTCATTTTTCTTTGGCTGATGTGCTACAGCGTGTGGCTTGATTTTACATTGGGGCAGTATGGAAAAGGTAACTTAAGCTTGGACACTTAGGTGGGAGTGGAAGACAAACTGCAGGGTCATTGCCCTAAAGTGGGTTAGAGTGTATGGGGAAATTAACCTTCAAGACGTGGTGGTTATTATACACAATATGAGGTAATATATAAAGTGCGAAATCCCGTGGCATACTTTATAAATCCTCCAAGATACTCTGGAAATACTTTATCAATCCTCTCGAGGCCAGGGAATGGAGAGTTGAGTGGGAGCCTGTGTAACCCTCAGGTGTGATGCTTCTCTCCGAATGTCCATGGTGTCCTGACACTCCACGGGTCCTGCTGCACAGCAAGAGCAGGCAACCCAGGCTCGGTGCCCCTGAGAGGATGTTTCTAGAAGTCCACTTTCTCCACATCATACCTCTCCTCCCTGCCACACACTCCATTCTATTTCTTTGCTACTTAAAGTAACAAAGTCATCTTGAATAAATACATTAAAATTTTATTTTATTTTTTTGAGACGGAGTCTTGCTCGGTCGCCCAGGCTGGAGGCCAGTAGCAGGATCTTGTCTTGCACTAGTGCAACCTCTGCCTCTCTGGTTCAAGTGATTCTCATGCCTCAGCCTCCCGAGTAGCTGGAATTACAGGCATACACCACTACGCTTGGCTAATTTTTGTATTTTTAGTAGAGACAGGCTTTTGCCATGTTGGCCGGTCTGGTCTTGAACTCCTGACCTCAGGTGATCCACCCACCTCAGCCTCCCAATGTGCTGGGATTATAGGCGTGAGCCATCGCGTCTGGCCAAAATTTTATTTTGCTGATGATATAGAGGCTCATTCTAGAGATTGGAAAGCATAGAAAAGCATAAAGGAGAAGGAAAACAAAAAAGCAACCCCAAACCAGAACACACCCAACTTCACAGTCACTGTTGGTAAGTCAATTCTGTTTTCTTTCCCCCAGTTCATATCCCTTGAAGACATGACCACCACGCTTCACTCCCCGCCTGTGACACAGAGGAAGCTCTGAGATGAAGAGTCCTCTCCGCCACCAGAAGCAGCAGCGAAAACCCATCCAAAGGGTTCAAGAAAAACTTTCATTCTGAGAAGAGGAACAGGGTCGGGGAGGCACGCCGGACTCCACATCATTTCTTCCTTCAATTTTGAAGGAGAGTCGAGGGCTGGACCATCAAGGCTTTAGTCTGAATTCAGGCCTAATGTGAGAATTAAAGAACAGAAACCGCCAGACTAACCAGATTCTTCTTCTTCCAGCTGACCTTGAAGATGCTGCAGAAAGATTTTTAAAATAAAACATCTTGAGCTCCCCTTCTTCTCCCCTCAAACCTTCCCTTTCACCCCTCCTAGATACACACAAACCACAGCTTCACTTTTGTCAAGCTAACTATATGAAGTTTTCTCTCTTCTTCCCCCTCTCTCATTAACTCCACTCCCTCAGCCTCCCTCGATTTTCCAATGATTAAAGTAGTGGGCTTTTTAAAAAGGCCTCCAATTAGCACCTCATCAGCTCCAATTAGAGGAGACAAAAGCAGTGTAAAGATAACTCAGTGAGAGGGGCCGGCGCAACATCATGTAATCACTTAAGACAAGCACTGAGCATTCTTTTTGCGAACCACGCTGGGCCTATTCACCTTTCTTTCTTCCTTTTAGATGCATTTAAGACTGTTTTGCTGGGAAGCCAGGCCTCCCAGGAGTCTCATAATTCCTCATTCAGAGGCTACCTGTTTACAGCTCACAGAGTCCAAGGACCTAAACAATCCTATATTGTCTGCCTAGTGCTTCCTTAAACTCCAGCCCCATAATGGTGTGTTTTCTGCGGCCAGCCGAATAAGTTAAAGGCTGGCTTTATACTCCCAGAGTGTTCTCCTTGTACTGTCTTCTAATTACAAGGGAGGGCAACAATGTATTTTTTTCAATGAGAGTTCTTTGGAGCAGTTAATTTGGTGCCTGTACTAAATGCCCCCAAACATTAATTAGGGTGGAAGGAACCCTAATTTCCTCAGCAGCTTTCCTTTCCACTTACTTCCCTTGTTTTCACATAGGCCTGGATGAGTCTCCATAATGAAATTACCTCATTAATGCCTTTATTCACAGTAACTCATTCAAAACCGACCATTTAGCTTTAATTTAATGCTGTCAAAAGGAAAAAGGTGCATTCATGGCTTTGATTAGCAAAAATGTCTCCCCCCCAAAGGGGTGGACAGATTTAAATTATGAAGATGGTAAGTAGTGAGTTATAATTGGGCACAAGCAGCACTTCAGGAAGGCTTCCCTGCTTTCAAAGCCTGGGCTGGCCAGGCTGCGGACTATTAACTGTGTCCAGGGCCTTGTTCTCGGGATTTGAATTGATGGCAACTTCACTATAAAAAAGAAAATGGGGTTTAATTTTTGTTTAATACACAGTGGGGTTGTATTTACCCACAGAGCAATAGCTTTTCAATGAGCTCGGGCTTTGTTCCCTGAATAATTTATTATCCACGCTTTCTAACATGAGTTTTGAAGGGCACCACGCATGTCACAGTTTCTGGGGAACAGGAAAACCTGAAGTGCACAGACTGAGCAAGTGGGTGGTTGACATAACACCTTGGCCAGGGTAGCACCAGATCGATGAGCTCAAATCACAGGATTCATCATCGTTTTTAAAGCTACAGCACACTGGGGAATTTAACCTTGAAAAAATTCTTCCTTCACATTTTCTCATTTGAGACAACAATCCTATGAAGTGAGATTCAGATAGTAAGAATCGCCCGGTGAGAAAGCTGAGGCTGAGGGGCCCAAGGGAGTTACTGAAAATCACGGTTAGTGGCAAATGCAGGACCAAGCCACTAGTGCATGCAGGGGAAACACAATACTTTGAGTTTTGAGGGTGGAGCTGCTTTTTTTGTAACATCCAGAGGGTCAAGTGTGTTTACATTGGCTCAACCTCAATTTGTATGTAAAGAAGACAGTCTACATCACCAGGCGTTGCTATCCTAGCTGCAATGTCTATGTTCTATATAAAATGATACAGCACATGGGTTATGTGTCAGTGAATCATGAATGAATCAAATAGGTCTTTCTGGATCCAAAATGGTGTTCAATCATTGAGCACAAGCTGAGAGAAAGACACACACGCACACAGACGCACACACGCGCGCACACACACACACGCAGACAGAAATACCTTATAGGAAAGACCAACAGAAGTATGTTTATTTCTAAACCTCAGTCTGGTTCAGGCAAGATAGGGCTTTCCAGTGATGGGATAAATATAGTAAAAAACAAATAAAACCAGATTGTTCTTTTCTTTCAAAACCAAAAAACAACCAACAAGGCGGTATGGAGGTTAAACAGAAAGAGTGTGGGACTTGGTGTCAGGTCGGCTTTAAAAATCTCACCTCTGCCATGATCGTGCTACTTCAATGTTCTCAGCCTTAGTTTTCTCCTTGTTCAAGGGGACGGTAAAACCCACATGGAAGGATGAAATAAGATAACATCTGTCAAGGGCAAAGAAATAAACAGTGACTTGCAAGTTTCAGAGTGAGGAAAGGATGGTAATAATAACCAAGTATTGAAGCAAGCTAAATGCTTGGAAAAGCATTCCATACATTGGAAGAGCCCTAAGATGCATCAGTTCCTATATTTTTATGTGAATTCATATAGTATTTAATATTTATGGCTTCTGTGATAATATTTTAAGTGATAACTTAATTATCACCTAAAGTGATAATTTTAAGTGAAACTTTCAAAATTGGTAGATATTAGGCATGCTATTAAAATACTCTGTGCATTTCTGAGCAAAGATTATTATATTCAGCCTGCACACATCAAGTAGAAGTAGCTCTGACCTTTTAGAAAATACCAGCAATGGGAAACAGATGTATTTTTTACATCGAGTCATTGCAACTTCATCAGATAATTTGCATATGTTTAACTTCATCATTGTTAAAGCTAAGCATGTTATTTACAAAAAAAAATTTTCTTCATCAGCAAGGCAAAATAGCTCCCTTAATTAATATAATATTAGTGTTTTAGCAAAGAATCCATCACGCCAACATGAAAACCAATATTTTTCTGGCCTTTGGTCAAAATTCGCTGGGCTTGGTCATTGTTGAAGTGGCCCTTCCCCTGTGTGTTCCTGATCAAGACCCTTATTTTTTGACTTGAAAACATGAAAACAAATTCCGGTATTGAATAGCTGGGAAACACCAGGCCTCCTCTGCAAATCTTCTCAGAGAAAGTTTCTTTTGTGTTGGCTGCTGAATTCCTCCACCTCAGTAAGCAGAGTGACCTTCTCCTTTCCTATTTATAGTGTGTGTGTGTGTGTGTGTGTGTGTGTGTGTGTGTGTGTGATTGCAAAAGGTTAGAATCCCACCAGCTGGCTTGGCTTGTGAGCCTTCCTGTTTTTATGACACAATGATTACACAATGTAGACAGCACTCTCCATTAAATGCAGGATTACATGCAATGGACACATCACTGCAAACCCTACTCCCCTTTCCCTTATTCCAATGGTGCCGTTTTTAGACATGGCATTGGTATTTTGACACTAAAAGAGAAGAATTTGTGCAGAATCTAGTTATGCACTCCCTCTTTAAATTAGAACTTTCTGCTGTAACATCACTAATATTAATAAATCACAATGGTTTAGTCCTAAAATTAGAAACATTATTATATTATATTATATATTATATTATATTATATTATATTATATTATATTATATTATATTATATTATATTGGCAAAGTATTCCACATGATTCCAAATTGCAATTTGCTTGGTGGGTATTGGAAAATAGGTGTTATTATGAGTTGACTTGTGTTCCCCTGAAAAGATATGTTTAAGTCCTAACCTCAGTGCCTCAGAATGTGACCGTAGGGTCATGGCAGATGTAATTTTACAGTAGTTAAGGTGAGGTCATATGGAATAGGTGAGTCTTAATCCAATATGGTGGTGTCCTTATAATAAGGGAAAACTTGGACAGAGAGACAGATGTGCATGGAGAGAAGACAATGTGAAGGCACACAGCAAGAATTGGAGGGATGCATCTATGAGCCAAGGCACAGTGCAAAGATGGCTGGCAGGCCACCCGAAGCAAGGAGCAAGGCTTAGCACAGATCTGTCTCTTCATCTTCAGAGGAAGTATGGCCCTGCCAATGCCCTGATTTTGGACTTGTAGCCTCCAGAACTGTGAGATAATACATTTCTGTCTTTAAATCACCCAGTTTGTGGTTCTTCATTTTAGCAGCCCTAGAAAACTAATATAGGGGCTAGACAAATATTTTTAGAATTGATTATTTAACCTCATTATAAGTAATGGGCATTACAGTCATCATGAATATGGGTGATTTATTATATAAATTATATAATATATATATAATATGGCCTTATTAGAGCAATATTTATTTATTTATTTTTATTTTTATTTTAGTTTAGTTTTTGAGACAGAGTCTTGCTCTGGTGCCCAGGCTGGAGTGCAGTGGTGGATCTCAGCTCACTGCAACCTCCACCTCCTGCGTTCAAGTGATTCTTGTGCTTCAGCCTCTCTAGTGACTGGGATTACAGGTGTGAACCACATCACCACACCCAGCTGATTTTTGTATTTTTAGTAGAGATGGGGTTTTGACACACTGGCCAGGCTGGTCTCAAACTCCTGGCCTGAAGTGATCTGCCTGCCTCAGCCTCCCAAAGTGCTGGGAATGCAGGCATGAGCCACAGCGCCTGGCCTATTTTTTGTTTGTATAATCCTTTTCTTCCTAAGATCTTCAAGCAATAACAGTTTGATCATTGATAGAAAATATATTTCCGAGGCACTCATTTGATACCTTCTCCTTCTTCTCTCCCTACCCCATTCTCCTCCCTACCTCTTCTTCCCAAATGTGTCATCTATAGGCTGCTTCAATATCTTGCCTTTACTGTATGGTGTTCTTGACCATAGAGAGAACGCCAGATGTCAGCGTGACCTTCTCACTACTAAAAGGAAATTATTTTGATCTCTCATTGGTAAATGAATATAATATATACATTTTAAAATATACATATAAGAGAAATGATATATTTATAACAATGACACATATTTAGCATTGGATAAAAATAATATCTGACATTCACTGAACACTCACTATGACCAGGAACTAAACTACAGCTTTACACATATTTTCTCAACTTAATTCTCCAGAAAGTCCTATAAGGCCCCTGGCATTATAATATCATTATACTCTTAAAAGACGAGGAAACTGAGGCACAGAGAGTTGACATTCTGTGTGACAGTAAGCTACGATGCAACACAGTGCGCTAGAACTCCAGCTTGAGAGCTTTGCCTTTCTCCTGTCCAGAAATGCTAGCCTCCTTCTACTCCTTCAAATCAGAGCCGAAAGCAATGGCTAGCTTTTCTCCGTAATGCAAGTTTCTCATACTATTTACATACAGCATTCTTTTTTTTTTTTTTTTTTGAGATGGAGTCTTGCCCTGTCGCCCGGCTGGAGTGGTGTGATCTCGGCTCACTGCAACCTCCGCCTCCTGGGTTCAAGCAATTTCCTTGCCTCAGCCTCCCGAGTAGCTAGGACTACAGGTGCACACCACCACAGCCGGCTAATTTTTTTGTATTTTTGTAGAGACAGGGTTTCACCATGTTGGTCAGGATGGTCTCGATCTCCTGACCTCGCGATCCGCCCGCCTCGGTCTCCCAAAGTGCTGGGATTACAGGCGTGAGCCACCGCGCCCAGCCATAGAGCGATCTATCTGTCTGTCTGTCTGTCTGTCTATCTACCTACATACCTACCTACCTATCTCTCTCTCACCACCAAAAAGCAGGAAAACTAATATTAGGAGGAAAACTAATATTAATAAGCACAACTTATGGACTGAGCATTGGGCTGTGTGCTTTGACACGTTGCCTCTTTGGTCCCCTCAGCAGCTTGGTGAGGCAGGCATTGTTATGCCCGTTTTTACATGTGTTGAAACTTAAGGGATTCACCAATGCTGCACAGTGTGTGAGGAACAGAGCTGGATTCCAATACAATTTTACCTGAA
Organism: Homo sapiens; assembly: GCF_000001405.40. Lineage (NCBI taxonomy): Eukaryota > Metazoa > Chordata > Mammalia > Primates > Hominidae > Homo > Homo sapiens. Next base: position 59,392,527 of record NC_000018.10, read on the forward strand.
GCACATGCTCTTTGCAGGACAATGTATGTTCTAGGAGGAAACAAAGGCCAAGAGCGCTTTCAAATGACACGGCGGTGAGGACCATCCAGCAGGTCTCCGGAGAGGGCTGATGTGCGGATTCGGCTAGGAGAGCACAGCCTTAGAGGACCTGGACAGGAAGGAGGAGAACCCTTCAGTGGAAACAAGCTTGGAGAAAAGTCAAAACAGGATTTGTACCCTCTGATCTTAGAAATAGTCCTAACAATCAAGTAATGTTGACAGTTTAAGAAACTCTAAGGCTGCTCAGCCAGAAGCAAGAGCTGGTGCAAGTGACACCATGGTAAGTGTGAAGGGTCCCTCCTCTGCCAACAGGGAGCTGAGCAGGGATTTCTGGGAAGAGGAACTTAGGATTACGAGGCATGGGGAATCTTGAATGAGGCAGAACTGAGAAGCAAGTGAAAATTTTCTTCATAAATAAGTGGGACACAAAGTTGAAAGTGCCTACCAAGTTCAAGGGCTGGTACATAGTAAGTGCTTAATAAATACCCATTTCCCTCCATCTCTTCTCTTTTATATAATGGGGCATTGCAACCAGTGTTATCGAAGCAGGGAAATAAAGCAGCGAATCCTGTTGTAATCAAAAAGTGATGTGAAAGATGTTTAAAGAATTTTGTAAATTCTTCAGACAAATTTAAAATACACATGATGTGAGCTTGAAGGAGCTTCAGAGCCATGAGTTTCAAACAAGGCTTTAAAAAATGTGGGCTGGACATACCCAGTGGTCTTGGACATGACCTCTTCTAGCCCTGAAAGCCCACGTCACCTTGTTGCTTGCTCCTTTAAGCAGTCTGCCTTAGATACAATTTATTTGTGTCTATAAATTATCTCCTTTAACAGGCTGTAAGCCCCCAGAGGGCAAGGGTACCTTCTATTCATATTCAGTTTTGTTTATTTGGTCCACAATTACTTTACTTGGTACCTTGGCCCAAGTATTCTCATTCCTATCTTTTCTACATTATGTACATACCTGCCTTTGCCAATAAGATAGGAACTCCTCAACGGCAAGCGCCAGTGCACAGGTACATGCTTACTACCACTTCCTGCTCTGGAGCACTGGAAAAATTAATCTACATTTCAAAGCCACCCTTGTTCCTGGCAAAATTCTCTTGGATCTGTGCTGGTTTCCTCCCTTGGGTCAGGGCCAAATTTTAACCCTTGTTGTGCATGAAGTGTTTCCATGACATAACTCAGTACTGTGTATGTCGTAGGTAGTCAGCAAATAATTGTTGTATTGAAAAGAATCAGAGTATGGCACCCCAAAATATGCCCTTTTGGTGTAAGGACTGTTTTGAACTTACAGCAATTTGCTCTCTGCTCTCTCCATTTCTGTCAAAAAGCAGGGCATAATTTTCCCTTTGTAAATGTAACATCTGTTGGAACGGTATCTCACTCTTCCATAACAGGAAGAGAACCACTGAGACACTCCTATCACCTGAGATGACTCTTATCTGCATAACAGAATCCCAGCACTTTGGGAGGCCGAGGCGGGCAGATCAAAAGGTCAGGAGATCGAGACCATCCTGGCTAACACGGTGAAACCCCGTCTCTACTAAAAATACAAAAAATTAGCTGGGCGTGGCGGCGGGCGCCTGTAGTCCCAGCTACTCAGGAGGCTGAGGCAGGAGAATGGTGTGAACCCGGGAGGCGGAGCTTGCAGTGAGCCGAGATCGCGCCACTGCACTCCAGCTTGGGCAACAGAGCGAGACTCCGTCTCAAAACAAAAACAAAAACAACAAGAACAACAACAAAAAAAAAACAGATAAGAGTCTGATAAGGGTCGCACTAAATGACCCTTGTTTACCATACTTTTTTGTCCCCTTTCCATAACTTAGCATTCCCCACGAGCCCCAAACCTTTTCCCTTTAGCCTCTTCTCCACAATTTATTGCTCTTTGTTAAGACACAGTATACAACCCCTGAATTCTAATAACCTCTTTGAGTTATTCATCGCTGAGTTCTCTAGCATGTATGTGCACTGCAAGTATAAACAGACTATTTTTTCTTCCTTATCTTTCGTAACTTTAATTTGCAGAGCCCAAGTCACTGAACATGAGAGGACAGAGGAGAAGGCTTTTCCTCCCCTAAAGTGTGAATTATAGTTTAACATATGATAGTTAAAAATTGTCCAGTCATGTGGCTTTTGACATTCATAAAAGGTTAGTTTGAATATGGGAAGAATTGTCATACAATCAGTGCAGGGAGTAATATTAACCAAGAGCAAGTCTTGTAGTTAGCTTTATTTTATTTCTTGTGTCTTGATTTAAACAATAAAAATAAGAAGGCCAGTCATCATTTTTAAAAACCATATTCATTTTACAGGGGGAAGTTTCCCAATGAATACATAAACTTGCGAGCTTCAGGAGCATCCATCTCTTTTGAACCCTGACCCATTTGATTCATATTAGACTACGGGACCATTTGGAAGAACAGGAAGGCAGTTTAGAGCTGTGCCCTGGAAAGCGCATAATTTCGTTTTCTTCACCACGGTTGCTCTGGAAGGAAAACTGAACACAAACCTCCTTCTTCTCTCCCTTTCCTTCCTTGTTGCATCTGGTCAATTCTAACAAACATTACTAATGACCAGGCTATATCGGCATTACATAGTCAAGTAGCCCATTCAATTTGCTCAAAAGAGCACAGACATAATCAGGCATTTGGCTGAATGAACAATTCCTACTGAATAGGGCAAATATTTGGATTCAAGTATAGGTCAGCAGCAACCAATTGAAATATTGATAAAGGAAGCCTGTGGGAACTAAATGTACATAAAAGAAAGAAAGAAGGAAAGAAAAGAAAGAAGGTTCTCAAGGGGTGAGGCAGGGCAACAAGACCACAGGGGGCGATCTGTGTCCCCCACAAGAAGGTAGGTGGCTTAGCTGGGGAGGTGAGCAGAGCCGTGGCTGACAGCCTGTGATTCTAGCTGCAGGAAGCACTGTGTTTGAACTGTTTTGTGTAGTTTCAAAGTATAATTCATAATCTACTACAAAATACCATAAAACTTTCTAATGGGAATCCCCCTGCCCCTGCCCACCTGACTTTATTTAAAAAGAGAACTAGGCTAAAGTCTCTTTGTGGGTTTTTATATTGTCCTATTCAGAGGTCAGGTCTCACCAAGGCTGGTTTTGCTGGCTTGAAAACACCTCCCCCAGAGCACTGAGGAATCTCTGGTAACCTGCTTGCCTCCAACTCCCACCATTCACTCACCCGTGAGGCTTAGCAAATCCAGAGCTCTGTTGCCCAAAGTCAATGCTGGCCACACTCACAGCCATTTATAATGCCTTGCTTTATGGGTGGTTTAATTGTCAAGCATCCCCTCTGCATGTGGGCATTCACGTGCCCCAGTGCCACACTCAGCCACATCCTCTTCCTCCTAAAAGGGTCAGAAATCCACATTTCCGACTTAACCACAATATTTAGCTTTCTTAGCATTTCCGCTTCCACCTCCCCGTCACCCGCTGCCCCTGCCCCACCTGCAGATTCCTCCTCAGGCCTAGCCAATTTCCACCCAGTTCTTCCTTGAAAAGCCTCAGCGAGTGGTGATTGGGCAAAACGCTGGCTGTAACCATAGTTTTCCCAGGTTTGCACTGTGGTGGCAGCCATCAGTGAGTGAGACATGGCAACAGCGTGTGCCCCCCACACTCGGAATCTGACCGGGCTTGTAGGGTTGTGGATAATCATTTGGCATCCAGGGCCATTTCTTGGAAATGAAGATTCTACCTCCAGTCTCCAACCCGGAGGGACTGTAATGTCCTTCAGAGAAGTGAGGACTGTGGGCTGTTCTGAGCTTGTTTGGAACCCTTTCCTCATGCCACCTTCCAGGAATGTGCCGTTCCCCGGGGACAGTCCCCTGGGCAACAGAAGGCAGAAAGTTGCAGATCCCTGTGAGGAGAGACATAAGGCTGGGCTATGTGTCAGAGAGATGAGTGGTTTACTGTTGGAGGAAGGTTCTATAGGAAGGGACATGTCTCCAAGGGAGAGCAGTATTTGGATACGAGGAGATGGGTGGGAAGGGTTAACAAGATTGTGTGTGTGTGTGTGTGTGTGTGTGTGTGTGGTGGTGGTGGTGGGGAGACAGCCTAAGCAAAGGCCTAGAAGCAGAGGGTGGTCACTGCCAAAATAAAAAGAAGTCAAAATAACATTGGGTCAGTCAGAATCTGGGATCCACGCAGCCCGGTCTTCCTTGGCTCTTACAGTCTTATAAACAATTATTGCAAACATCCTAGCTTCCCTCAATATGTAAATACATTTAAAAAGAGTGCATATCTGTTAGAAATAAATGCTGAAGGCCAGGCACGGTCGCTCGCGCCTGTAATCCCAGCACTTTGTGAGGCCGAGGCGGGTGGATCACCTGAGGTCAGGAGTTCTCAACCAGCCTGACCAACATGGTGAAACGCCGTCTCTACTAAAAATACAAAAATTAGCTGGGCGTGGTGGTGGGTGCCTGTAATCCCAGCTACTTGGGAGGCTGAGGCAGGAGAATAGCTTGAACCCAGGAGGCAGAGGTTGCAGTGTGCCGAGATTGCGCCATTGTACTCCAGCCTGGGCAACAAAGAGCGAAACTTCATCTCAAAAAAAAAAAAAAAAAAAAAAAGAAAGAAATGCTGAAATCTTTACAGATTAATGATATGTCTGGGATATGTTTTAAACTATTTTGGCAAAAAAAAAAAAAAGGTGATGGGGGATATATAAAACAAGAGTGGTAAATTGGTTTTTTTGAAGTGGGGTGATGCGTGCTGTGTGGGTTTTTTATGAGTCTTTTTACTTTTGTGCATGCTTGAGAACATTTGTGATACAAATTTTTAAAAGAATTCACTTATAGCATTTTAAAAATTAATTTAAAATCTTAGAAGAAACTAGGTTGGCCGGGCGCGGTGGCTCACGCCTGTAATCCCAGCACTTTGGGAGGCCGAGGCGGGCGGATCACGAGGTCAGGAGATCGAGACCATCCCGGCTAAAACGGTGAAACCCCGTCTCTACTAAAAATACAAAAAATTAGCCGGGCGTAGTGGCGGGCGCCTGTAGTCCCAGCTACTTGGGAGGCTGAGGCAGGAGAATGGCGTGAACCCGGGAGGCGGAGCTTGCAGTGAGCCGAGATCCCGCCACTGCACTCCAGCCTGGGCGACAGAGCGAGACTCCGTCTCAAAAAAAAAAAAAAAAAAGAAGAAACTAGGTTTCCAGCCTTTACCATCTCTTACGATACTGTTCTCAAATAATGTTTCCATGGCAGCATCAGCAATATCTGGGAGTCTGTTTAAAAAAAAAATCCAGCTTTCCAGGCATCCACCCTGGCCTGTGCAACTGGAATTTCTGGAGAAGGGCCCAAGAGTGTGTTGAAACAAGGCTGCAGGTGATTCTGATATTTCGTAAAGTCTGAGAACCACTGTCTGCCTACAAGCAATGCGCTTCATGAGCTTTCTAGACCATGTCTCCTATAGGGATAACATTCTTTTTATACTTATCCTCTCCTTGCTCTGGGATTTCTCTTTTTAAATGGGAAAGTCCTATCCTTTGAAGTCTTGGCATCTCTCTTTTAGTTGCTTACAGCATCATTCTTGGCTGGACATTCTCCAGCCTTTCTACATGGCATGAGGTGCCATCAACCGTGAATAAGCCATGGGTTTAGTTAAGTATGGGATAACGTGTTATATTTCGAGTCTATTCTGCATGGTGATGAGTATATTTTTGGATAAAAGCAGTGCATTCATTCAATTGATCCACCTGTATACAACATGGACTGTGCCAGGCACTGTTCTAGTCCTTGTCTTCAAGGAGTTCACAGCTCAGGGGGCCACATCTGTAGAAGAGGCATTGTGACACTGTGCAACAAGGGGAAAATGGACGGCCTGTTTGCCAAGTCTCGGTGGGACTCTATCATTTCCAGAAATTATGCTTGCTTGCTGATTTCATGTTTGCATTATCCTGTATCAAATGAAGAAAGATAATTATGATCAGATATTACAATAGTTGATAATTTAAGTTCCAGGAGGGATTTTAAAAAGGGCCAGACGATCTCCCCTTTGTGGAAAAGTCACTATGGTGTACCCATAAAGTTTAGTGAAGAGTTTCAGGCAAACTCCTTGTGTTCCCTCTGCATGCATGAATTAGACAAAAGAAATAGCCTGGGGTTGGAGGTGGGCCTGGATGAATCAAAATTTAAAACTAATTCTTCCTTAGCAGACAGTTGAAATGTAATGTAGGCAATAGCTGAATATTCCCTAGCAGGTCTTTGGTAGAGAATATAGGGGACAGTAGAAAACCCCTTTGCCTGACCTCTATCACTTGGGGTCCAGAAATTTCTGCCACATAATAAATGTGTGTGTGTGTGTGTGTGTGTGTGTTTGTATCTAGTCTTGCCAAACATAAATGTGAAATCAAAGCAGGCCATTTATGATTTTGGCAAGGTTCTAAAACTCTTCTGAATAAATTACTGAATGAAAAGACCTAACTCCAACCTTGAACTGACCTTTACATACTCCTTTCATCCCAGGAACCTCTTGTTTTTTCTATTATTGTCACACATGTAAACATTAGTGGTAAATGCAATTGTACTGTGTTTAAAACATAAAAAAGAAGCCCCTTATGTAGGAGTAGTTGGTTGGTTAATTGAGAAAGTCCATCAAACACAGGATTTTAAAAAAGCAAACATTTTCATTTAGCTTAAAGCATAGAAGTGTATATTCAACCAATCTTAAAATATGAGCCTATCATCTTTTTTCTTTGATGGGATCTACTGATTAGAGCTTTGCATCGTCTATTTTGCACAAATCACATCCTTAATCCATTGACGATGATTTCCAGTTTTGGTTTCTTTAAACTGCAGAGACACTGCAACAGAATAAAAGTGTAGAATTATACTAAATTTTAAGTACTATCCCCCAAACTTTTATAGTAATCTTGGCCATCTCTGATTTAATTAAAAAATATGTTTTAATGACTACTTTTTTTTTTTTTTTTTTTTTTTTGAGGCAGAGTCTCGCTGTGTGCCCCAGGCTGGAGTGCAGTAGTGCAGTCTTGGCTCACTGTAACCTCCGTCTCCCTGGTTCAAGTGATTGTCCTACCTCAGCCTCCCAAGTAGCTGGGGCTACCGGCATGTGCCACCACGCCCGGCTAATTTTTGTATTTTTAGTAGAGATGGGGTTTTGCCATGTTGGCCAGGCTGGTCTTGAACTCCTGACCTCAAATGATCCACCCTGGGATCACTTGAGGTGATTACAGGCCTGAGCCACTGCACCCGGCCAGTGACTATGTGTTTTTTTTTTTTTACCAAGTCTCTTCAGTGTATTCAATTTAGTGCTGATAGACACAGGATTCATTTTCAGTGCACTCACTTTTATAGATTTAGTCAATATTGGATTGGCTACATAATTAATTACATTAACAAGTACTTGGGGTTACACCTGCATGGCCTGACAGCTCTCAACTCTCCTGGCTCCTTCTTCATTTTTCCTCAGTCCTTTTCTGTAACAGAATGCATTGAATTCCATGTTTGCATCTGCTTCTTCAAAGCCCCTCAACTAAAACAGCACACAACACACTTAGTAGAAAAATTCATAATGACTGAAACCAAAAAGTCAATTACTCTTTCAGGAGATTTCCTGAGATTAGAATCCACATTAAACAGGCCGGGCACGGTGGCTCACGCCTGTAGTCCCAGCACTCTGGGAGGCTGAGGTGGGTACATCACGAGGTCAGGAGATCGAGACCACCCTGGCTAACATGGTGAAACCCTGTCTCTACTAAAAATACAAAAAATTAGCTGGGTGTGGTGGCAGGTGCCTGTAGTCCCAGTTACTTGGGAGGCTGAGGCAGGAGAGTAGTGTGAACCCAGGAAGCGGAGCTTGCAGTGAGCAGAGATCACGCCACTGCACTCTAGCCTGAGTGAGAGAGCGAGATTCCATCTCAAAAAAAAAATAATAAATAATAAAAAAAGTTCCACATTAAACACAATCTTCAATGCCTACGTAGGCACTTTCATTCTTTGTAGTGAAAATGGCTCAGAAAGAGAAGCTTGAAACCTTACAGTACGCTTAAACATAAAACAAAAGCTCCATTCTCTAGTATGTACTACGCATTAAGCCAGGAAACTGGAGCCGTGTGTTTACTGAATGCATTGCTATTAATATCAGAGTATTATAACACTATTATAGGAATTTGTAAAATAGAGGAAAGAAAAAGGAGTCTTTCCAACTAAGTAAACATTGTTGTTTTGGTGAAGGGTTAACACATGAATTTAGGAAAGTTTTATAAGGATCAAAGCAAAGAGGACTGTGAATTAACTGTCATGTAACCAGAATATTCAATTAACTAGAGCCTAAACCAGTGGTCCATCGATACTCCTGATCACCAAATAATCCCAGTGGCTGGAGCAGAGCTGGGATGGCCCTGTGGCATGAGGGCCTGCTAGGATCTTGCGTCCAGGCCTTTCCTCCGAAGCCTGGCCTGATGGAGTGTAGTGGAGGGTGGCTTAGGAAATGAACCGGGTGTCCTTTTGTGCCTGCATTTCCCAGGCTGGTTTTGGTGTGTTGCAGTGTTGTTCCATCCCAGGTCTGAGACAATAGCTGCATCATCATATAGGAATCTAGGGCAGAGTCGCCCTAGTGATAGGTCTTTACTTTATGGTTATCAAATCTGGCATCGGTTACATAATTACACTAATAAGGTCTTGATTTTGGCAGTTGGAAAGGTCTTGGGTAATCACCTGGAGAACCTAAGAGTTCTGGAAGGCAGGTACAGGTCCTCTTCATGCCCTGCGGCCCTATCTGGCCCTCCATACCAATGGTTTTCAAGAGCGGCCATATTTGCTTCCAGAGTTTTTTTTAGGAAGCGTGTGTGTCTGTGTGTGTAGGAAGGGTGGCTATTACAACTATTAGGGAGCCTAGAACCTACCTATGTTTTGCATATAAATGCAACTTATTTTTATGGCATTTATCTATAATAATTGTATGTAAAATAAAGAAAGATTATACTTACATTTGGTTGGAATTTTACTGAGTCATTCAATGCAGCGCATGGTACCTGAGTCACCAACACTTAATTTGGATTTGTGGCCATGATATTTAGGATAATGCTGTGAACAGACATAAGCATCAGACTATTTATGCCTTCCAACATAGTTGTGTCTGCATATTCACACATGGAAATACATATTAATTCAGTATAATGACTTTGCTTTCATTTATTCTTTATATTACTGCAAGGACATTAGAGGGATTAAATATGTGCATAGACAAGTTGTAGTATCTGCGCATCTCATTGTAGGATACTAGAGGGGAGAGTTACACAGTATTTGTTATGAAAGGGGGGCATTAGGTCTGATAAGGTTGAGAAGTGCTGTTCAAATGCAACTTGCAGCCCCCAGCCATTCTGCTGCTGGAATTACATGGAAATGTATTGTTTTGGAATATTACCTCTGTGGGCTCTGCCCTGGCAAGCTGTAGTCACTGCCCCTGTGCTTGACATTCTGCAGCTGTAACACAGGTATCCTGACCCAAGCCCTTCACTTGTTTGTCGTTGGTCCAGTGCTAACGCAGCTTCTTGGAGGAGGAAACCCTGGAAAGTTAGGTGCAGGATTAAAGCTCATATAATTCTAATGGTGTTACGGAAAGGTGGTCGTCTATAAGAAGCTGCCTCTGAATATCCTATTCCAGTCTTGTATCCAACCTAGGACATCAACTTTCCTTCACTCAAACAGACCAAAAAATGGAGAGCCAACACATTCTGTTTCCAAAAGCTAAGAAAAACTTCATTAAACCGAGGTAATTAACAAAATCTCCCTTACGGACAGAATATTAATTTGATAAGAGCTTGGCCCCGAAAGAAGTACCTCTGAAGCATGCCCAAGAGCCTGCAGGAGAGCAGCAAACACCTGCCTTCACTGTCCTTCCACAAGGAAACGACACACTTTGCATCCATGAGAGCCCCCAAGCGGTTCGGTGTTGAAGCCAAATCTCAGTCTGTGTTGTGACACTGCCATTGCTGCCGCCTGCAGTACCACTGCCGCATCTGACTCACATTCTAGAAGGAAGGTAGGTTTGTCCCAATGAATGCAGCTTGGGGCAGCTGCCTTGTGGAGAGGTGACTGAGGCCGCTGTGCTGAGGCTCCCTGGGCGATTCAACTACACCATCTGCCGTGTCAGCTTGGAACTGCAGGAGACGCTAGAGGGGAAGACGGAGAAAGGAAGGGAAACAAAGATTGATATGACCATATGGTCTGCATATTGAGCTTGCTGTCTTTTACATTTGTGACTTAGAGGAACCTGTATCAAGAAAATGTCATTATTCTTATTCCACGGTTGAGGAGACTGAGACTCAGAGAGGTGAATTAACTTTCCACAAGTTCACGCAGCTATGAGGCATGCTTGACTTTTGCAAGGCCTCCTAACTCCAGTAGGGGAAAGGAACGTTGCTGATCAGGCACTATGTTAAATAATTTCACTTTTAATGTCTTATCTAGTATACCAAGGCTTTGAAGTAGGAGCTTTCCTGATTTTCAGAAATGCAGAACCTGAAACTTACAGACATTAGGTAATTTATCCGGGCTCCAAAGTCGCGAAATTAACAGAGTTCTCTCTGGTTCCAAAACTTATGACCCTCAGAAATGTAGAGTTGAAGGTGGACAAATAGAGACAGAATAATATTACACCTATAAATAAAGACCACTGCCCTATATTAATTTTGGATTTACTGCCACTCTTAGCACTTTCCAATGAGCAGATTTATTTAGCTTTACATAGCACATAAAGATGAGAAAAGATGTATGTAAGTAGAATCTTGGTAAACTGGACACTTCGTAAGGGACCTAGGAAGCTCATGATTGGAATAGAGTCTACTGGAAATTGAATGGTTGCAGAAAAGAATGAATCTAAAGGCTTTTCTGTAAAAAAAGTTTTCATATTTTGCTTGCAATTAAAAATAAATTTCACGTTTTCCTTATATGAATAAAAAATTACAGATAAGAATAAAGTCATTTCCCCCACTTTCCCAACACTCCCCTCCTCCACACTATCCAACTACACTCCCCAGAAGTAATATCTGTCTAGATTTTTTCTACATACTTGCTTTCCTATCTTGAAAATATATGTTATTGTATTATCAGTATCTTTACATAAATAATACAAAATCTTCAAATTGCTTTCTCTCCCCACGACCCCATTTAAAAATATGATTTAGAGCTCTTTCCATGTCAGAACATAAAGATCAGCTTTATTATTTTAAAAAGTATTTTATAGAATGAATACATTACAGTTTATACAATTGATTTCCTATTAATGAACATTTGCTTTGTTTCCAGGGTTTTTTTTTTTTGCTATTATAAACAATGCTGCATTGAACATCTTTGTGCATGCCTCATAGTACACACATATAAGATTCTTTTTTTTTTTTTTTTTAATTATACTTTAAGTTTTAGGGTACATGTGCACATTGTGCAGGTTAGTTACATATGTATACATGTGCCACGCTGGTGCGCTGCACCCACTAACGTGTCATCTAGCATTAGGTATATCTCCCAATGCTATCCCTCCCCCTTCCCCCGACCCCACCACAGTCCCCAGAGTGTGATATTCCCCTTCCTGGGTCCATGTGATCTCATTGTTCAATTCCCACCTATGAGTGAGAACATGCGGTGTTTGGTTTTTTGTTCTTGCGATAGTTTACTGAGAATGATGGTTTCCAATTTCATCCATGTCCCTACAAAGGACATGAACTCATCCTTTTTTATGGCTGCATAGTATTCCATGGTGTATATGTGCCACATTTTCTTAATCCAGTCTATCATTGTTGGACATTTGGGTTGGTTCCAAGTCTTTGCTATTGTGAATAATGCCGCAATAAACATACGTGTGCATGTGTCTTTATAGCAGCATGATTTATAGTCATTTGGGTATATACCCAGTAATGGGATGGCTGGGTCAAATGGTATTTCTAGTTCTAGATCCCTGAGGAATCGCCACACTGACTTCCACAATGGTTGAACTAGTTTACAGTCCCACCAACAGTGTAAAAGTGTTCCTATTTCTCCACATCCTCTCCAGCACCTGTTGTTTCCTGACTTTTTAATGATTGCCATTCTAACTGGTGTGAGATGATATCTCATAGTGGTTTTGATTTGCATTTCTCTGATGGCCAGTGATGATGAGCATTTTTTCATGTGTTTTTTGGCTGCATAAATGTCTTCTTTTGAGAAGTGTCTGTTCATGTCCTTCGCCCACTTTTTGATGGGGTTGTTTGTTTTTTTCTTGTAAATTTGTTTGAGTTCATTGTAGATTCTGGATATTAGCCCTTTGTCAGATGAGTAGGTTGCGAAAATTTTCTCCCATGTTGTAGGTTGCCTGTTCACTCTGATGGTAGTTTCTTTTGCTGTGCAGAAGCTCTTTAGTTTAATTAGATCCCATTTGTCAATTTTGGCTTTTGTTGCCATTGCTTTTGGTGTTTTGGACATGAAGTCCTTGCCCACGCCTATGTCCTGAATGGTAATGCCTAGGTTTTCTTCTAGGGTTTTTATGGTTTTAGGTCTAACGTTTAAATCTTTAATCCATCTTGAATTGATTTTTGTATAAGGTGTAAGGAAGGGATCCAGTTTCAGCTTTCTACATATGGCTAGCCAGTTTTCCCAGCACCATTTATTAAATAGGGAATCCTTTCCCCATTGCTTGTTTTTCTCAGGTTTGTCAAAGATCAGATAGTTGTAGATATGCGGCCTTATTTCTGAGGGCTCTGTTCTGTTCCATTGATCTATATCTCTGTTTTGGTACCAGTACCATGCTGTTTTGGTTACTGTAGCCTTGTAGTATAGTTTGAAGTCAGGTAGTGTGATGCCTCCAGCTTTGTTCTTTTGGCTTAGGATTGATTTGGCGATGCGGGCTCTTTTTTGGTTCCATATGAACTTTAAAGTAGTTTTTTCCAATTCTGTGAAGAAAGTCATTGGTAGCTTGATGGGGATGGCATTGAATCTGTAAATTACCTTGGGCAGTATGGCCATTTTCACGATATTGATTCTTCCTATCCATGAGCATGGAATGTTCTTCCATTTGTTTGTATCCTCTTTTATTTCCTTGAGCAGTGGTTTGTAGTTCTCCTTGAAGAGGTCCTTCACATCCCTTGTAAGTTGGATTCCTAGGTATTTTATTCTCTTTGAAGCAATTGTGAATGGGAGTTCACTCATGATTTGGCTCTCTGTTTGTCTGTTGTTGGTGTATAAGAATGCTTGTGATTTTTGTACATTGATTTTGTATCCTGAGACTTTGCTGAAGTTGCTTATCAGCTTAAGGAGATTTTGGGCTGAGACGATGGGGTTTTCTAGATAAACAATCATGTCGTCTGCAAACAGGGACAATTTGACTTCCTCTTTTCCTAATTGAATACCCTTTATTTCCTTCTCCTGCCTGATTGCCCTGGCCAGAACTTCCAACACTATGTTGAATAGGAGCGGTGAGAGAGGGCATCCCTGTCTTGTGCCAGTTTTCAAAGGGAATGCTTCTAGTTTTTGCCCATTCAGTATGATATTGGCTGTGGGTTTGTCATAGATAGCTCTTATTATTTTGAAATACGTCCCATCAATACCTAATTTATTGAGAGTTTTTAGCATGAAGAGTTGTTGAATTTTGTCAAAGGCTTTTTCTGCATCTATTGAGATAATCATGTGGTTTTTGTCTTTGGCTCTGTTTATATGCTGGATTACATTTATTGATTTGCGTATATTGAACCAGCCTTGCATCCCAGGGATGAAGCCCACTTGATCATGGTGGATAAGCTTTTTGATGTGCTGCTGGATTCGGTTTGCCAGTATTTTATTGAGGATTTTTGCATCAATGTTCATCAAGGATATTGGTCTAAAATTCTCTTTTTTGGTTGTGTCTCTGCCCGGCTTTGGTATCAGAATGATGCTGGCCTCATAAAATGAGTTAGGGAGGATTCCCTCTTTTTCTATTGATTGGAATAGTTTCAGAAGGAATGGTACCAGTTCCTCCTTGTACCTCTGGTAGAATTCGGCTGTGAATCCATCTGGTCCTGGACTCTTTTTGGTTGGTAAACTATTGATTATTGCCACAATTTCAGCTCCTGTTATTGGTCTATTCAGAGATTCAACTTCTTCCTGGTTTAGTCTTGGGAGAGTGTATGTGTTGAGGAATTTATCCATTTCTTCTAGATTTTCTAGTTTATTTGCGTAGAGGTGTTTGTAGTATTCTCTGATGGTAGTTTGTATTTCTGTGGGATCGGTGGTGATATCCCCTTTATCATTTTTTATTGTGTCTATTTGATTCTTCTCTCTTTTTTTCTTTATTAGTCTTGCTAGCAGTCTATCAATTTTGTTGATCCTTTCAAAAAACCAGCTCCTGGATTCATTGATTTTTTGAAGGGTTTTTTGTGTCTCTATTTCCTTCAGTTCTGCTCTGATTTTAGTTATTTCTTGCCTTCTGCTAGCTTTTGAATGTGTTTGCTCTTGCTTTTCTAGTTCTTTTAATTGTGATGTTAGGGTGTCAATTTTGGATCTTTCCTGCTTGCTCTTGTAGGCATTTAGTGCTATAAATTTCCCTCTACACACTGCTTTGAATGCGTCCCAGAGATTCTGGTATGTGGTGTCTTTGTTCTCGTTGGTTTCAAAGAACATCTTTATTTCTGCCTTCATTTCGTTATGTACCCAGTAGTCATTCAGGAGCAGGTTGTTCAGTTTCCATGTAGTTGAGCGGCTTTGAGTGAGATTCTTAATCCTGAGTTCTAGTTTGATTGCACTGTGGTCTGAGAGATAGTTTGTTATAATTTCTGTTCTTTTACATTTGCTGAGGAGAGCTTTACTTCCAACTATGTGGTCAATTTTGGAATAGGTGTGGTGTGGTGCTGAAAAAAATGTATATTCTGTTGATTTGGGGTGGAGAGTTCTGTAGATGTCTATTAGGTCCGCTTGGTGCAGAGCTGAGTTCAATTCCTGGGTATCCTTGTTGACTTTCTGTCTCGTTGATCTGTCTAATGTTGACAGTGGGGTGTTAAAGTCTCCCATTATTAATGTGTGGGAGTCTAAGTCTCTTTGTAGGTCACTCAGGACTTGCTTTATGAATCTGGGTGCTCCTGTATTGGGTGCATAAATATTTAGGATAGTTAGCTCCTCTTGTTGAATTGATCCCTTTACCATTATGTAATGGCCTTCTTTGTCTCTTTTGATCTTTGTTGGTTTAAAGTCTGTTTTATCAGAGACTAGGATTGCAACCCCTGCCTTTTTTTGTTTTCCATTGGCTTGGTAGCTCTTCCTCCATCCTTTTATTTTGAGCCTATGTGTGTCTCTGCACATGAGATGGGTTTCCTGAATACAGCACACTGACGGGTCTTGACTCTTTATCCAATTTGCCAGTCTGTGTCTTTTAATTGCAGAATTTAGTCCATTTATATTTAAAGTTAATATTGTTATGTGTGAATTTGATCCTGTCATTATGATGTTAGCTGGTGATTTTGCTCGTTAGTTGATGCAGTTTCTTCCTAGTCTCGATGGTCTTTACATTTTGGCATGATTTTGCAGCGGCTGGTACCGGTTGTTCCTTTCCATGTTTAGCGCTTCCTTCAGGAGCTCTTTTAGGGCAGGCCTGGTGGTGACAAAATCTCTCAGCATTTGCTTGTCTATAAAGTATTTTATTTCTCCTTCACTTATAAAGCTTAGTTTGGCTGGATATGAAATTCTGGGTTGAAAATTCTTTTCTTTAAGAATGTTGAATATTGGCCCCCACTCTCTTCTGGCTTGTAGGGTTTCTGCCGAGAGATCCGCTGTTAGTCTGATGGGCTTTCCTTTGAGGGTAACCCGACCTTTCTCTCTGGCTGCCCTTAACATTTTTTCCTTCATTTCAACTTTGGTGAATCTGACAATTATGTGTCTTGGAGTTGCTCTTCTCGAGGAGTATCTTTGTGGCGTTCTCTGTATTTCCTGAATCTGAACGTTGGCCTGCCTTGCTAGATTGGGGAAGTTCTCCTGGATAATATCCTGCAGAGTGTTTTCCAACTTGGTTCCATTCTCCCCATCACTTTCAGGTACACCAATCAGACGTAGATTTGGTCTTTTCACATAGTCCCATATTTCTTGGAGGCTTTGCTCATTTCTTTTTATTCTTTTTTCTCTAAACTTCCCTTCTCGCTTCATTTCATTCATTTCATCTTCCATCGCTGATACCCTTTCTTCCAGTTGATCGCATCGGCTCCTGAGGCTTCTGCATTCTTCACGTAGTTCTCGAGCCTTGGTTTTCAGCTCCATCAGCTCCTTTAAGCACTTCTCTGTATTGGTTATTCTAGTTATACATTCTTCTAAATTTTTTTCAAAGTTTTCAACTTCTTTGCCTTTGGTTTGAATGTCCTCCCGTAGCTCAGAGTAATTTGATCGTCTGAAGCCTTCTTCTCTCAGCTCGTCAAAATCATTCTCCATCCAGCTTTGTTCCGTTGCTGGTGAGGAACTGCGTTCCTTTGGAGGAGGAGAGGCGCTCTGCGTTTTAGAGTTTCCAGTTTTTCTGTTCTGTTTTTTCCCCATCTTTGTGGTTTTATCTACTTTTGGTCTTTGATGATGGTGATGTACAGATGGGTTTTCGGTGTAGATGTCCTTTCTGGTTGTTAGTTTTCCTTCTAAAAGACAGGACCCTCAGCTACAGGTCTGTTGGAATACCCTGCCGTGTGAGGTGTCAGTGTGCCCCTGCTGGGGGGTGCCTCCCAGTTAGGCTGCTCGGGGGTCAGGGGTCAGGGACCCACTTGAGGAGGCAGTCTGCCTGTTCTCAGATCTCCAGCTGCGTGCTGGGAGAACCACTGCTCTCTTCAAAGCTGTCAGACAGGGACACTTAAGTCTGCAGAGGTTACTGCTGTCTTTTTGTTTGTCTGTGCCCTGCCCCCAGAGGTGGAGCCTACAGAGGCAGGCAGGCCTCCTTGAGCTGTGGTGGGCTCCACCCAGTTCGAGCTTCCCGGCTGCTTTGTTTACCTAAGCAAGCCTGGGCAATGGCGGGCGCCCCTCCCCCAGCCTCGTTGCCGCCTTGCAGTTTGATCTCAGACTGCTGTGCTAGCAATCAGCGAGATTCCGTGGGCGTAGGACCCTACGAGCCAGGTGTGGGATATGGTCTCGTGGTGCGCCGTTTTTTAAGCCGGTCTGAAAAGCGCAATATTCGGGTGGGAGTGACCCGATTTTCCAGGTGCGTCCATCACCCCTTTCTTTGACTCGGAAAGGGAACTCCCTGACCCCTTGCGCTTCCCAGGTGAGGCAATGCCTCCCCCTGCTTCGGCTCGCGCACGGTGCGCGCACACACTGGCCTGCGCCCACTGTCTGGCACTCCCTAGTGAGATGAACCCGGTACCTCAGATGGAAATGCAGAAATCACCCCTCTTCTGCGTCGCTCACGCTGGGAGCTGTAGACCGGAGCTGTTCCTATTCGGCCATCTTGGCTCCTCCCCTAAGATTCTTAAAGATAGATACTAGGACATGAAATTGCCAGGTAGTAGAGCATATGCATTAAAAGTATGAATAGAGTCAAATTGTGCTTCCAGAGTGTATGTACCCAGCACCAACATCCACTCTTCCCATTGCCTTTATCAACTCTTATTATTATTACTTTAAAACTTCAGCATTAATTTTGGGTGAAATTATCTCAATTTAACAAATTACATTTCTCTGATTCTTAGAGTCTAAGTTTCTCTTCTTCTGTTTACCCATCAATCCTGTCCTGATTTGCCTACTATGCCCTTCTTTCTATGAAATAGTTTTTTCCTTATTGTGATATATGAATTCTTTTATTAAATAAAAGTATTACATCTTGAGGTAGTCAAATTTAAATCTTTTTCTTTATGGCTTTTAATATTTTATGGGTTGATTAAAAATCCTTCACATAGAGCAAGATTATTCTACATAGGCTCTTATATAACATTTTCTTTTAATACTTTTGAGTTTTTATGTTCATATTTAATCTAATTGGATTTAACCCATGTTAGTGGTGTGAAGTAAGGACTAAACTTAGTTTTTCCAAATGGAAAGCCTATATTCGAACAACTTTTATTAATGATCTAGCCAATGATTTGAAGTGCCAGTTTTATTACATACCAAATTTTAATATACACATAGGTCCATTTCTGATTCCTTTTTTTTTTTTTTTTTGAGATGGAGTCTTGCTCTGTCACCCAGGCTGGACCGCATGCAGTGGCATGGTCTTGGCTTACTGCAAACTCCGCCTCCCAGGTTCAAGCGATTCTCCTGCCTCACCCTCCTGAGTAGCTGGGATTACAGGCTCCCACCACAATGCCCAGCTAATGTTTGTATTTTCAGTAGAGACAGGGTTTCACCATGTTGGCCAGGCTGGTCTTGAACTCCTGACCTCAAGTGAGCCTCCTGCCTCAGCCTCCCAAAGTGCTGGGATTACAGGCATGAGCCACCACGCCCGGCCCCGATTCCTAATTCTATCTGTGACTTTTCTGTTTGTTTACTTACTGGTATAAAAATATTACACCCTTTTAATTATGGTGGCTTTATAATATGTTTATGTTTTAATATTTGTTAGAGCAAATCTTTCTTTTTTGTTTTGTTTTCAAAATTGGCATGACTAATTTGTGCTGTTACTCTCTTTTAGGAATTTTAGAATGAGAGTGTCAAATTCCAAGAAAATCCTGTTGAAATGTTGTTTGGGGTTGTTTTGAACATATATATCAATTTTGGGGAAATAGAAAACTTTACAACATTGAATCTTTCTATCAAAGAACATGGTACTTATTGCCATTTGTCTAGCTTGTTTTTAAATGTTTGTTGGGAAAGGTTTATAGTTTCTACAAAAAGGTCACATACCTTTCTCGTTAGCTTTATTCCTGGATCCTTTATATTGTTTGTTGCTATGGTGCATAGAATCTTTTAAAAATAATTTTCTCATTGCTTATGGCTGGTACATGGCAACACTATGGATGCTTGTAATTTGATCTTGTCTCTGGTCACTTTATTGCAATCCCTTATGTGTCTTTTTTTGTTATGATCTCTTGGTTTTTTAAACATAGATTATTATATATTGGGCAAATCATGATAGTTTTGTCTATTCTTTCCTATACTTGCGTCTTTAGATCTCCTGGTGTTCTTCCATTTTACTACGGTGTATATATGAGTGTGTCTCCTTTCCATTTAATTGCATTTTGTTTGGCTTTTTGAATCTGAAATGTTGTCTTTCAACAATTCAGGAAAATTCTCTGCCATTCTCTATTACCCTGTCACTTTATCTTTTTCTATTTGTTTTGTTTTGTTTTTCATTTTGAGACAAGGTCTCGCTCTGTTGCCTAGGCTGGAGTGCAGTGGTGCAGTCATGGCTTACTGCAGCCTTGACCTCTCTGACTCCATCCTCCTGGTTTGGCCTCCCAAGTAGCTGGTACTACAGGAGTACAGTACCACACCTGGCTAATTTTTTTAGAGATGTGTTCTATGTTGCCTAGGCTTGTCTCAGACTCCTGGGTTCAAGTGATCCTCCCACCTCAGCCTCCCAAAGTGCTGGGATTACAGGTGTGAGCCACCACGCCCAGCCATGCCCTGTCACTTTCTAATGCTTCCATCTAGAATTCCAATTAGCTTCATTTTCATCCTTGTCATATTGTTCCATATGTCTCTTCCTTCATATTTTTCATCTTTGCCTCCTGGTCTTCAATTTACTTTCCTTCAAATCCATTTTCCAGTTCACCAATTCTACTGTATCTTACCTGCTGTTTAAACCATTCACTTCATTTAAAAATAATAATTATAGTTTTCATTTAGAGAAGTGTTTTCGGTCCTCTTCCAAATCTGTCTGATCAAATTTGATAGTTCCATGTTCCTTGCTTTTTTTCAATGCCTTTTTTTCTTAAATTGTATTAAACATACTTATTGTCGATGGTGTATCCAATAATTCCATATTTGCATTCTTTGCAGTTCATTTCAGCACTTTATTGCTTCCGTCAACTCTTACTCCTTTTTTTTGCTATGTTTAATGATTTTTGACGAGGGGCTCATGTTTCTTGGAAATGTATCCGTGAGACTTTTCTTGGAGGCCTGAGTTTAAAGTATGTGCATCCAGAGGGATTTGTGTTTGCTTCTGCCAGGTGCCTGGGAACACTATCAGCCTGGGATTATTTGAAACTAAATTTTCATTGCAGACCATTTGAGGTCACAGAAGTTGTTTCAAGTCAGGCTGGTGATGCCTATGGATTCACTGGCTCCTCTGTGGATGTTTTCACCCCTACTCACCCATTGAGCATGTTGTACTTTGAGTATCCAGACTTTGGATTAAGACTTAAATCCAGTTTCCTCCTTTATTTTGGTTCCTAGGGTTGGGATAACAAAGTGCCACAAATTAGGTTGCTTAAACAGCAGAAACTTATCATCTCACAGTTCTGGAGGCTTGAAGTCCAAAATCAAGGCGTTGGCAGAGTTGGTTCCTTCTGAGGGATGTCCCATGCTCTCCCCTGGCTTCTGGAGGTTTGCAGGCGATCTCTAGTATTCATTGGTGTGATGGCATCACCCCAATCTCCGCCTTCATCTTTACATTCTGTGTCCATATTTTCCCCTTTTCATAAGGACACCAGTCATTACATTACATACATTAGAGTCCACCCTAAATGACCTCAAATTAACTCATTACATCTTTAATAACCCCATTTCCAAAAAAGGTCATATTCTGATGTACTGTGGGCTGGAATTTCAACATACGAATTTTGGGAAACACAATTCAACTCATAACATCCCTGTTTTGTCCCAAGCTTTCTTTCCAGTCCACACGTACATTTACATGTACATAGACACATGTACATGTCTATTTAAATGGTGGCTCCAAATAACAAGGGACTAGCAGACATGCAGTGGTAAATACCAACTCAAGTTCCTACTGGCCTCTTTGGATTTGTCATTTCTTTCTTTCCTTTCTTTCTTTCTTTTTTTTTTTTTTTTTTTTGACTGAGTCTCACTCTGTTGCCCAGGCTGGAGTGCAGTGGCATGATTTCAGCTCACTGCAACCTCCGCCTCACGGGTTCAAGTGATTCTCCTGCCTCAGCCTCCCAAGTAGCTGGGATTACAGGCATCTCTGACCTCCAAATAATCCCCTTAGTTTCCCGTCAAGTCAACCATGCATCTAAAAATATGTTTTTAAAATTTTAATCATCATGTTAAGCTTCATTAAAAGAATGAGTTTTTGTGAATATTTAGTCCAAAATATACCTGGAAATGGGAACCACTTTTGATGTAAGACCAAGGTAGAAGTCCACATGATTTCTCCTTGGAAAGAAACAAGAATTTCAAATTATTGGTTTAATGTGACCAACATTTTTGAGTAAATCTGTCAAATATTCCTCATCTTAAAAAAAGCACAAGATATGAAGGTGATGAAAACTAAACAAAATATAATCCTGGCAGGAATTCTATGTTAAAAAAAAGAAAATATTTAGCAGTACTGTGTATACTGCCTGAACTGGTGAGACCCTAATATAAATTTGGAAAGATTCAAATTTGTTTTCTTTCCCCTGACATATTTTTTAAAAGTTTGAGAGAATCCTCCAATAACTCTTTATCCCACCAGCAAATTACAGAGCTATAGAATGAAGACTATCTGCCCACACATAAGATCTGAACGTAATAATATATTTTACTTAGTCGCTTGATTGACTTAAGCAGATTGATGCTTATAAAGCCTGGATGCATGTGCTAATTTTTCAAGTGGCACATTTTACAGAGAGGATTTGTGTTTGCTTCTGCCAAAACATGGTTTCACAGTAACTCGGTTCTCAAATACTAGGACGGAGATTCGTTGAAGCATGCCATTAAAAAAACTTGATTTTACACTTTTCCGCCCACCTTTTTCACAACAGCACAGCAAAACCTAGCTTCTTTCCCCAAACTCCTCCTTCCCCTCCAACTTCATGCCTTGCCTTCCACAGGCCTGCCTGTGCCCCGCTGGCTGTGCTCCTGGCAAGAACTGTTTTCCTCCCACTGTCACTGCTTTTTAAAATGAGACGCATTCTGCAGCATTCTTTCTCTCTTCATCTCCCTTCTCTTCCTCAATTCTATTTCTGGATGAGTACATTGGCACATGTTTTTATTGTCAGGTTACACTTTCCCCCTGGTCAAAGAGAGGATGAATATGAAAGGGAGCCTCCTACATATTATTTATATTTCAAGTCTAATACAGAGGTTCTCAATGTATTGTTCATAGAACTTGTTAGAGAGGCAAATGTTCCAGTTCTACCCCCAAGATGTACTGAATCTCACACGCTGGGGGTGGAGCCAGCAATCTATTTTAACCATCTTTCCAGGTGATTCTTTTTTTTTTTTTTTTGAGATGGCGTCTCACTCTGCCGCCCAGGCTGGAGTGCAGTGGCGAAATTTTGGCTCACTACAACCTCCACCTCCTGGGTTCAAGTGATTCTCCTGCCTCATTCTCCCGAGTAGCTGGGATTACAGGCATGGGCCACCATGCCCGGCTAATTTTTGTATTTTTAGTAGAGACAGGGTTTCACCATGTTGGCCAGGCTGGTCTTGAATTCCTGACCTCAGGTGATCTGCCCACCTCAGCCTCCCAAAATGCTGAGATTACAGGCTTGAGCCACTGCACCTGGCCAGGTGTTTCTGATGGGCACACACACATTTGATAACTGCAGGGCTGAGGGCTAACGTCTCTTTTTTTTTTTTGGAAGAAGTTTTACTCTTGTCACCCAGGCTGGAGTGCAGTAGTGTGATCTCAGCTCACTGCAACCTCCACCTCCCGGGTTCAAGCGATTCTCCTGCCTCAGCCTCGAAAGCAGCTGGGATTGCAGGCATTCACCACCATGCCCAGTTAATTTTGTATTTTTAGTAGAAATCAGGTCTCACCATGTTGGCCAGGCTGGTCTCAAACTCCTGACCTCAGGTGATCCGCCCGCCTCGGCCTCCCAAAGTGCTGGGATTACAGGCGTGAGCCACCGCACCTGGCCTTTTTTTAAACTTTTCTTCTCTTACCAGGCGTGTGTGCAGTTCCTTCCAGAGGCCCCTGGCGGTGCTGACAAGCATCAGTCTCTTCTTACAAATGCTGGCAACAGGAAAAGCATATTTCCAAAGGGCAAGCATTCAAACATGTAAGTGTGAGCATTTCACTGCCTCCCCTTCCAAGATTAGAGTTTTTGGACAAGAAAAAAAGCAAGTCTGAGAGCAAACAGCCACTCCAAGCTACTCAATGCCATAACCAAAAAAAGCAATATATCTCTAGTCTTCACCTTTTCAGAATTTATCTCACCAACCCTGGGGTCTCTTAAGTCACAAAGGACGAGAGGATGAATGACTATCTTATTTCTGTTGAAACAGGTTATAGAATGTTTGTAGTCCATCCCAGAAATGAGGCTGAGTTTTGGAGTGAGGACTTTGTTAACTTTCACTTGCAGAGCATTTGTTTGTTGAGAGTTTTAACAGTTGGATTAGGTTTGACTGAATATTACAGAAAACTCAAAATGCTAGTAATTCCAGTGGTTAAATGAGACTCAAGTTCCTTTTTCTCTTACATACAAGGCCAGAGGCAGGCAGTTGTTGATGAAAAGAGTCAAACTCTGTAAAAGATTTGAAGATATTTATTCTGAGCCAGTATGAGTGACCATGGCCTGTGACACAACCCTAAGGAGATTCTGAGAACATGTGCCCAAGGTGGTCGGGGTGCAGCTTGGTTTTATACGTTTTAGGGAGGCATGAGACATCAATCAAATACATTTAAGAAATACATTGGTTTTGTTCAGAAAGGCGGGACAACTCAAAGTGGGGGCTTCTAGGCTACAAGTAAATTTAAACATTTTCTGGCAGACAATTGGTTGAGTTTATCTAAAGACCTGGTACTGATAGAAAGGAATGTTCAGGTTGAGATAAAGGATTGTGGAGACCAGGTTTTATTGTGCAGAGGAAGCTCTCAGATAGCAGACTTCAGAAAGAACAGGTTGTAAATTGTATCTTATCGGGCTTAAAAAGGTGCCTGGCTCTTAGTTGATTATCTCCTAGATCTGGGAAGGAAGGAAGAAAAACAAAGGGGAGAGGGGATTCTCCATAGAATGTGGATTTTTTCCACAAGAGGCTTTGCAGGACAATTTCAAGGTATGGCAAGGAAATATATTTTGGGGTAAAACATTTTGATTTTCTGCCTTGTTATGCCAGCATCAGATTGGAAAGTAAGTCACGATATACAGGGCTAAATAAAACCCATATGATGAGGATTTATGGTTTGTAGGGCATGACTCCCCAGATCGTTTAGAAAGGGGTCAATGATTGGGGTAGTGGCTCCATGATTGTCAGGGGCCCTGGCTCCATATTCTTTCCGCCCTGCCATCTTGAATGAAGCACTTCCTAGTATAAAACAGCTGCTTAAGTTCTCAGCATCATATCCAAATTCCAGCCAGCAGAAAGGAGGAAGGGCTTCCTTTGAGGGAATGTTCTAGAAGTTACACATAATTTTTGCTTACATCCAGTGACTGATACCTAGTCACATGACCATCTCTAGTTGCAAGGGAGGCTGGGAAATGTAGTCTTTATTTTGGATGGCCATGAACCCAGCTGAAAACCAGGAATAAACACACTAAGGGAGAGAGTTAGGGGCAATTAGCAGTCTCTGCCTCAGGGGTCCAATTTTAAGGGCCATAGGCCACACCTACACCACTTCTGGCTTTCCAGGTCTATCTCAGAAATTGTAGCCTGAAGTTTTTTGTTTTGTTTTTTGGCCAGTTCTGCTGATAGACTTACCTTCTTTTTCCCTCACTTCTAATTAGATTCAACAACTACAATAAATCAAGTGGCTCTCTGGGGTGCCGAGGAAGTTTTAAATGGCTTATTATTATTTTTTGAGATGGAGTCTCACTGTGTCACCCAGGCTGGAGTGCAGTGGTGCAATCTTGGCTCACTGCAACCTTTGCCTCCCGGGTTCAAGTGATTCTTTTGCCTCACCCTCCTGAGTAGCTGAGACTACAGGTGTGCACCACCACATCTGGCTAATTTTTGTGTATATATATATATATTTTTTTAAGCAGAGACAGGGTTTCACTGTGTTGGCCAGGCTGGTCTCAAACTCCTGACCTTAGGTTATCCATCCTCCTCAGCCTCCCAAAGGGCTAGGATTACAGGTGTGAGCCACTGCACCCAGCCGCTTATTAATTCTTTACATTCTTCCATGCAACTCACTTTGGAGACTTCTGAGGTTGCGAGTGCCACATTCTGAAACTACTTGTGATTCTCTGAAAGACAGCACCTTGACTTGGAGCTCTCAGACAGAACATGAAGCAAAGCACTCTTTGTAGTGGAAAAAATGGCTTGCTGTGATAAAAGGTAGCTCTTTGGAGTCTTTAATAGTATTTAAAAGTATGAAAAGGTGTAGATTGAGATCAAAAAGTTTGAGAACTGCTGAGATACGTACTTACTAATGAATCAATCGCTGTAGCCAAGACTTCTCTAACAACTGAAATTCACATTCATTCATTTACGTAATAACTGTTCACCTACTGTGTTCTAGGCACTGCTGGGCATCAAAGATACCATGTAAATAGGCCTGAGTCATACACATGTCCAAATCTTGGAAGTGGGATATCCCAACCCTATCAAATGGGTTCCCCAAAGAAATGATAGATTTACTGTTATCTTTTTACCAGAAAGAAGAATTGTTGGGTAGTCAACAATAACAGAGATACCCTTATCCCACAGTAGATACTATGTTTGTTGATGAAACTCAAATTCTCTAATTCATTTTAGTGGAATTTACTGAGTTGGCCAATGAGGTGGGGGAAGTAGTCCCATTTCACCCATGTCACTTTTATTGAAGGCCAGAAAGAATGGGGAGAAGCTGATATTAATGGGGCCTGGTAGTATAGAAGGGGTCCTGAAGAGAATTCCACGTTAACATTTTTAGCTTGTTGGAGCTTGAAACATTCTTTCCATTAGGGCCCAAACCTAATCCTAGTGCTTTTTGCCTGTGGCCATGGGGAGAGTCAGGCAACAACTTTGCCAAATCCCCAGATAAATATTAATAGAAGATTAACCCACTAACGATTTCCAGAGGAAAGACCTTGCCCAGAAATGGCTGTGAAGGCTGCAGAATTCAGCTTCCTCCACCAATACTGGGCCCATGAGTAAGAAAGGAAAATGAAGAGTGAAAAACAGAGACAGAGCATTGATTTCATTTCATCCAAAGTGTCTGGCTCTGGTTTCTCCAGCACAGAGCCCATTCTATAAAATGGCAATTGTTGTAGAAAGGGAGATGGCTCAGAACTTCCCCTCAAGGGAATGTTGTTTGCAACCCAAGTGGATACTGGACTGTGACCTCTACCTCAGAATAGATAGCACTTTCATTCAATAACAAGCAAGTGATTTTTTTCTTACTAAATTCATGCAATTTTGTTTTTTTGCTATTTCTTCTTTTTTGTTTACTTATTGATGTTTTTTGTTTTTAACTCATGCAATTTTGAAAGACTTATTAAAGATATTTTTATTCCTACATCCATACAGAAGTGGAGGAAATATTATCATTGTCTTAGTCTGTTGGGGCTGCTACAACAAAATACTATAAACTGGGTAGCTTTTACAATTATCAACACACATGCAATATTGTTTTATCTATACTACCACCCCATCCCTTACCCCGTGAGATTATTTTAGAGAGATCATGTAAAAGACATCTTTTAAATACTTATTCTTAAAAGATTTTCAAAATCATAAAATACATATAGAGTGTTTTAATGCTGTTAGGAACAGATCTCCACAAGCTTACAAATCAGAATTAGATAAAACTGGCTAAAACAACCATTTTCCATTTTTCCCTCCCACACCTCTCTCCACCTGCCCCTGAATGAGTCATCTCAATCAAGAATAATTATGGAGATAATTTGGACATCCCCTATGCCAACAGCGTAATTTGATTATTGGCCCAAGGTCAAAGAATTGTGACTCTGCAAACAAATCCACACATGCATGTGTTTCTCCCTCCCATTTTGAAACCAAATGACCCCAACATTTGGTTTGCTATGAACATCTTTCACTTTTCACTCTCCCATGGCATTTGAAGGAAATCTTTTGCCTGTGTCTGGATTTCCTCACATGCATTCCCTGAGGAATTTCATTAGTTGTGAAATACCAGAATGTTTACAGCAGAGACATTTTTCTTCTGAGAATGGAGTTCAGAGTTCTGACGGATGGTGGTAACGACAATAGGATGCTGTATCTCAAAAGGATAAAATAACGTGTCTAAAATTTCAGATCCACAGCTTTGTGGGCACTTGCATTGAACCCATGCAAACTTAAAAGATAAGAAAAGATACACTTCCATGTAAAAATAAAAATAATTGAAGTAAAACCCCAAGTCACTATAATGTAGACTTGAAAGTCCTAGTTTAAAAAAATGCATCTCATCCCTAACTGATTTACTGAACAGTGTAAATGAGTTGGGCATCAAAACCGGATTTAACTTTTGATGAATTCACCCTCTCTTTTTTGGCTGTGGCTCCCTTCATGAAATCCTGCCCAAATTTTAACTTTCTAGGCACCTTTGAGATTTAAGACCAAGACCTGTTCATTATTAGAACCTGAGCCTTGAACTTGATTTAAAGCTTGGCTCTTCCCTGCTCCCAACCCCAGGGGGGCTGGGGCTGTGGGCCTGGCTGTTTGGAAGGAAGCAAAGGTCTGGTTCTGACACTCCTCTACCTCCTGCTTAACTGCCTCTGCTAATTCAAGCTTTTAGAGGGATGGCAAGAGGCTGGAAGAAAAGGGCCAGCTTTGGTGGCTGTGCACACATCAGAGTAAGGAACGGTCCCTGGCATTGGGTCCCTGCCTCTCCTTTCCCCTCTGTGTTCCTTCATTTTCACACATCAGGGAGTAGATGGTTGCCTCACCTTCCTCTCAGGCACAATATCCACAATCCCTTGAAGCCCTGTGAAAGAGGCTACTCCCACCAGGCCTCTGACTTCATCGGAACAAGTGTTATCTCTATGAATAAGTATGTCCCGTCTTTTCAGGGCACACATGCCAAGCACGCCTTTCTCCTTCCCCATGGTCATGGGGAGGTCTAGTGAAGAGGAGACTCTTGGATCATCCTCCCAAGAATGCTTGTGGCAGGTCTTGCTTCAGGGGCAAACAACATAGACCTGGCACACATCCAGCCAGAGAACATGCTGCCCTCTTACATTATTAAGGCACCCCAAGTTGTTATGAGTAAACTTTTGGAGCCCCCTCTCACTTGGCTTTAGGGATGGGTACCTCTCCCCTAGCCACACTCTAAGTAGGGACAGACTTGTCATCAAGAATACTGTATTTTCTGTAAGGCTGTCTACATCTCCCTCAACCCGGTCCTCTTCTCCCACAGCTGGGGTCAGGTGGGAGAGGCACAGTTCTGAACAGGAGCTGCTCACTAAGCTCCCTGGGGAGGTGGCAGCTCTCAAACTATTTGATGATGCTCACTTAAGAACATGGGGATGCTGGCTGGGCACAGTGGCTCACGCCTGTAATCCCAGCACTTTGGGAGGCCGAAGTGGGTGGATCATGAGGTCAGGAGATTGATACCATCCTGAACAAAATGGTGAAACCCAGTCTCTACTAAAATACAAAAACTTAGCTGGGTGTGGTGGCGCACACCTGTATTCCCAGCTACTCAGGAGGCTAAGGCAGGGGAATCGCTTGAACGGGAGACGGAGGTTTCAGTGAGCCAAGATCGTGCCACTGCACTCCAGCCTAGTGACAGAGCAAGACTCCGTCTCAAAAAGAAAAAAAAAAAAGAACATGGGGATGCCTAGTGCATTTTGCCCTCAGCTTTGAGTCTAAAACACAATTTTGGTTCAATAGGAAAATTCCACTTCCTGGGCAGGACTTGCAGGTTGTGAAACCCACATATCTACGCTCATAGATACTGAGCGTAGAGGAGGGAATAGGAGACCTATTAGAGGCTGTCTCTTATTGGCCAGTATGCAAAGTCACTTGCTTTTCCTTAAGAAGGGTAAAAACCAGAATAGGGGGTATCAAGGATGAAGAATCCAGTTGCAAATTGTAAAATAAAGATTGCTCAGCAAACTTCTGTAAGGAAAAAGAAATAAAAAGGAGATGGGGCTTCAGTATGTACCAGTACAGATCTGTGACTTCATTCACTAGATTATAATCTATGTATAAATAAATGTACAATCCCATTAAGACAGGGACAAGTGCTGACCATAGTATATGAGAGCATTCAATACATATCTGTTAAATAACTAAGTGAATGGAAGTAACTGAGGGCCACTGGTGGCTGTATCTTTAGCAACCGCTTGCTTTCTGTTAACATCTTCTGAGCACTTAATATGCACCAAGTACTGCTGTAGGTCTCCAGCAACTATGAAGATAGTTAACTCTTGTCCTTAAGTAGTTTGTGACTAAGGGTAGGAGACAGATTGGCACAACTGCCTACAAATAAAACCTCCAGATTCCATTTGGGAGAAAGCAAGGACCCTGTCTTTGAAGTCAGAAAGGAGTGGGAAATGGGGAAGCCCCTGGTACAGCTAGCTCCTACCTGGACACAGCCCTGATCCAAACTGTTCCAAATGAGGTGGAATTCACGTCTTCATGTTCCCTAGTATGATGCGAGGGTCACCCAGCTAGTAATGGAAGTGACTCAAAAACCATGAAATTCACAATGATGGTGGTGGAGAGACCATTCATTGTATTACAGGAGAAGGTGCTTTTGAGAGAACAAAGCTCCTGGGTTGTTTCAGCTTATTTTACAATTCCACCCTCTTCCCTGGAATCTAGCTATGCCCAAGTTTAGCTCTGAGATTAATTCTATCTTCCTCCTCATTATATTTCACATATTCCCTCAAAATTGCTTTGTTTGGGCCTTAATATGGAGTCAAGTGACTAACTTCTCCATGTACCTGCTGGTTAATGGATGAACCTACTCTTGTAACTGAAAGCTGTAACCTGAGTGAATGGTACCTAAGCAGTGGAATGCGTGGTGAGAATTTCAGACTTGAGGCAGACACTGGAAGGATTGTCAATTGCAACAAGTTTCCTCAGGCCCCTTCCATGCAGCCAGGATCCCTCACACCATCCTTTTATCCCCGAGGGACCCCAGAGCAAATTTCTCCTGAGAATAGTACTCAGATTTCTTGGCCTCAGTGGGGACTTCTGGAATCAAGTAAAAGGCATGAAAGAAACTGAAGTGCCTGAGGGAGGGATGCCTGTGTACCTCTTTGCAAGATAAGTGTGTGTGTGTGGGGTGAGGGTAGTATAGCAGCAGCCCCCAGTACCATCTGACCACAGATAAGCTACCAAGGTGAAACTGTGAGTCCAGTAATCACGGGATTAGCAGAGGAAGGCTTAGATGCAATGAAGTTGCTGATTACTCCACAAAGACTTAGCAAGAAAAGTTCTCTACACAGATCACAGATTTTATCCTTGGTAGAAAGGTGCCTATGTAGCTGGAAAAGCCAATAAATACCTGGGGGCTAACTTCATTTATTTGGAACACACATAATCTCAGCAACCCAAAGACCTTCATCCCACTTCATGTGAATATTGACATGCAAAGTCTGTGTCAATCTGGCTGGTAGTATTGGATCTCAGTGGTCAATAGCCACATAGAATAAGCCCTGAAGGAAAAATGTATTTGGCTGGTATTCTTGGAAGGCTCTTTTGAAGGGACCACTTTTTGAAATGTTTTCCAGCTGTTATTTCCTTT
Source organism: Homo sapiens (assembly GCF_000001405.40). Classification (NCBI taxonomy): domain Eukaryota; kingdom Metazoa; phylum Chordata; class Mammalia; order Primates; family Hominidae; genus Homo; species Homo sapiens. Next base: position 59,423,197 of record NC_000018.10, read on the forward strand.
CTGAATAATCTGAGCCTAATTCGATTTGTGCACCTTTTTCTTTTCCAGAAGGCAAATTACCCGCCTATGAGTAGTTGTGTATATGATCTGCTGGTTTTGGCTGAGAGTTTTACAGAACTGTAAATAAATGACCCTGTCAGTACATGGGAGAAGTGTTCCTTTCACATTACATGGTCCTGCAATTACATGGTATGATGGCAGTTAGTAAGATTCTGTGTATCATCTCCAGAGCCCTGGGGTAAAAAGGTCTATAGCCATGTCCAAGATGGGTTGGGGCAGATCCAGCAGATTACGTTACTGTGAGGGGGTGGTGGGGAACACAGCCAAGAACGTCCATGGGTTACATTTTTTTTAAACCCAACAAAACTTGACTTTGGAAACTGTTCTGTCCACATACATCACAAAAACTATTTGTAAAGCAAAAAATGACTATAGATACAACTCTGCCTCTGATTTAATCATTTTTCCCACCCAGCTCTCATCCCCAGTGTGGTTGTGATGCTACAGACAGAAGAGGATAAGAAGCCACAGAAAACAGGCTGGAGGAGAAGTGCGGATTCAGCACATAAGTTGTCACTTCGCCAGAATCGATGAGAATCAGGAGTCCCTGAATCGCCTGGGGATGCTGGTGAAAGCGACACCATGCGGGAACAGGTGAATGAAGCTTACCTGGGTCAACGTGCTGCATGGACGTCATTTCTGCCCTCCCACCTGGGGAACCAGCCTCCAAAATATTAGCAACTTGAGGCAAGGCCAGGGCCCATGCTGGGGAGGGAGTCACCTTCCCAGTCTCCCTACCCAGAATCTCCCTCCAGACATCTTCTTCCCCTGTAGCAGCTATCAACTTGTTGCCTGCTAACATGTTAATGGAGAGGTAAGGCTTAAGATGTGCCATTTCCCAGGGAAACTATGTTTTAAATCATCAAAGACATAGGGATTAAATAATTGAGACATAATAGCCATATGTGAATTCCTGATGCTTGTCAGAGTTCTAAATTAATCTAATTTTCTCCTGCTCCCATCTAAAGTCCAGAACACATGCTCCTGTGGGAGGGAAGACTTTGCTACTCACGGTGTGGTTCCCAAACAGCAGCACTGAAGGCAAACCTCAGACCCCTGAATCAGAATCTTCACTGTCATAAAATCCTCAGATGGTTCCTATGCACAAAGAAGTTTGAGAACATCAGTCTAAGCAAGTGGTTTTCAAACTGTGGGCTGCTACCCGAGAAGTCAATTTAGTGGTTGTGACCAGGACTTTTTTTTTTTTTTTTTTAAGATGGGGTCTCACTCTGTTGCCCAGGATGGAGTGTAGTGACACAGATCAGAGCTCACTGCAGCCTTGAACTCCTGGGCTCAAGTGATCCTTCTGCCTCAGCCTCCTGAGTGGCTAAGACCATAGATGTGCACCCAGGTATTTTTTTTTTTCTTTTAGTTTTGTAGGGCTACGCAGGGTCTCACTTTGTTGCCCAAGCTGGTCTTGAACTGCTGGCTTCAAGCAATCCTCCTGCCTCAGTCTCTTAAAGTGCTGGGATTTTAGGTATGAGCCACTGTGCCCAGCCAGAATTTTTTTTAAAAAGCAAATTGCACAGAGAAAATGAGAGTGCACCCAATGTAGTAAAGGTAAATATTGTAAAACATGTCTCAATTGCATATGGATACATTTGAATGTTGTATCACCGCGTAAAATATGTTTTCCCAGTGGGTCATTGTCAAAAACATTTGAAGCCTGCTGATCTTATGACATGGCTGGTTATTTACATATCAAGGCAGTCTATGTTTTATTCTTTAACAAAGTTCACCCATCAGATTAATATTTGCAGCTCATTAATTTAATCTCTATGCAAAGACACTTGAATTAAAACATGCCTTCTAATGTTCCCTTACTTCTAGCATGAAGCTTTATAAGAAATATATGTTGATCTGTGACTAATAAAGATTTACCATATTCTTTCTAGAAAAGAACCTTTCCTGAACAATAGCATGTTTTTTATTAGCTAATGTTATTTAACCTATTTTTTTTTTTAGTTTTGACTCTGATATGGTTAAGCTTTGTGTCCTCATCCAAATCTCATATTGAATTGTAATCCCCATAATCCCCACGTGTCAAGGGAGAGACCAGGTGGAGATAACTGAATCATGGGGGGAGGTTTCCCTCATGCTGTTATTGTGATAGTGAGTTCTCATGAGATCTGATGGTTTTATAAAGGAGTCTTCTCACTTTGCTCAGCATTTCTCCTTCCTGCCACCTTGTGAAGAAGATGCCTTGCTTCCCTTTCGCCTTCCGCCATGATTGTGAGTTTCCTAAGGCCTCCCCAACCATGCTGAACTGTGAGTCAATTAAGCCCCTTTCCTTTATAAATTACCCAGTCTCAGGCAGTTCTTTATAGCAGTAGGAAAACAGACAAATACAGACTCCCAGTTATTTTGGGGCCATATCGAATACTAAGTACAGTTGACCCTTGAACAGCATGGGTTGGAACTGGGTGCATCCACTTATACGTGGACTTCCTTCTGCCTCTGCCACCGGAGACAGAGACCAATCCCTCCTCTTCTTCCTCAGCCTCAGCCTCAACCTACTCAACCTGAAGACGAGGATGAATATCTTTACGATGATCCACTTCCACTTAATAGTAAATATATTTTATGATTTTAATAACATTTTCTCTAGCTTATTTTTGAAGAACATAGCATATAATACCTATAAAATACTTGTGTCAATCAACTTTATTATTGGTAAGGCTTCTGATCAATAGTAAGGTGTTAGTAGTTATGTTTTTGGGGAGTCAAAAGTTATCTGCAGATTTTTGACTGCATGGGGTGTTAGGAATCAACTATAACAGTGATTATATTAGTATCATTCTTCTTTTATTATTTTCCATTAACATCTTAATAGTTTTACTATATACTTGTTAGCCACCTCATAGCAGGAGGTCAGAAAGGTTGTCAACCCAGCATAGATTAGAAAATTGGATGGTGGGAAACAAAAGGCCCTGTGTCTGGACAATTTTCTTGTGACTTTCTGCACCATGGAGGCCCATTCTGTGAAGTCACATGTGATTCCAAAGTGGGAGAGAATGTGGAGCTGAGTGTCTGTGCTATGTTTATCTGATGGGATTAAACCAGCACAGCGCATTAATGTTCTGAAATACACCTGCGTGTTATGAATGTTTACCTCTTAGGATATGTATACATTGAGGATACCAAAAGTACCTACCTTACAGGATTTTGAGAAGACTAAATGCATTAACTGAATTAAATTCACTATATAAATATTCATTCAACTCCTATTGTGTCCTGGATATTGTGGCAGACACTGGGAATATGGTAGAAAGATAGTTCCTGCTCCTGAGGATTTTCTAGCCTAGCAAGGAAGCAGATAAGCAAGTACAGTATCTGCCGGTGCAGTGGCTCATGTCCGTAATCCCAGCACTTTGGGAGGCTGAAGTGGGCAGATCGCTTGAGTCCAGGAGTTTGAGACCAGACTGGGCAACGCCAGGAAACCCTGTTTCTACAAAAAATACAAAAATCAGCCCGGCATGGTGGCTCGTGCCTGTGGTCCCAGCTACTCAGGAGTCTGAGGTGGGAAGATTGTTTGGGCCTGGGAGGCAGAGGTTGCAGTGAGCCGAGATCGTGCCACTGCACTCCAGCCTGGGCGACAGAGCAAGACTTTGTCTCAAAAAAACCCCCAAAACAAAAACAAAAAAACAATCACAGTATCAATTCTCATAGTGCAGACAGTCAACGAACAAGTACAGTCATGCATCAATTAACAACAGGGATACATTCTGAGAAATGTCTCATTAGGTGTTTCATTGCTGTGTAAACATCATGGGATGTACCATTTACACAAACCTAGATGGCATAGCCTGCTACACACCTAGGCTGTATGGTATAACCTATTGCTCATAGGCTATGAACCTGTACAGCATGTTATTGTATTGAATACCGCAGACAATTATAACACAATGATGAGTATTTGAGTATCTAAAAGGTACAGTACAAATACTGAATAAAGATAAAAAATGGTACACCTGTATATGGCACTTACTATGAATGGAGCCTGCAGGACTGGAAGTTGCCGTGGGTGGATGAGTGAGCGGTGAGTGAATGTGAAGGCCTGGGACATTGCTACACTACTGTAGACTTTGTAAACACTGTACACTTAGGTTACACCAAATTTATTTAAAAATAAATTATGTTATATAATGGCTATCACATCACTAGGCGAACAAAGTTTTCAGCTCCCATATAATCTTATGGGTCTACCATTGTACATGCAATCTGCCATTGATTCCAATGTCAAGATTTGGCACCTGACCGTACACTGCTTCAATAGTTTCCGAATGCATTTCCCTACTTCCATTCTTATCCCTTCAGCAACTCTCTATGGGTCCACTAGGAAATGCAAAGTCCTCTTGCAGGGCCTTAAGGCCTTGCCTCGCCCCTGCCTGCCTCTGCATCTCCTACCCCACTTTCCCTCACTTATTCCGTTCCAGCAACATGGGTGGCCCCATTGCTACTCTTTGAGCACACCAAGCAGATCTGCCTCAGGGTCTGGCTGTAACCTCTGTGTGGATCACTTTCATCTACAGGGTTCACTTCTCCCTTTGTTCAGGCCTCTGCTCATACACCACCTTTCCAGAAGTCCCCATCTAAAGTACATGCTCCCACCCTCTGTTATTTTTCACTCCTCTACCCTACGTACTTTTCCCCACAGCACTTCTTAGCACTGACATATAGTGTGGTGGTTAATTTTACTGTCAATTTGGCTGGGCCAAAGCACCCAGATATTTGGTCAAATATTCTAGATGTTTCTATGAATGTACTTTTTAGATGAGAGTAACATTTATATTAGTAGACTGAGTAAAGCACATTACCTCCATAATGTGGGTGGGGCTCATCCAATCAGCTAAGGGCGTTAATAGAAAAAGACTGACCTTCCAAGCAAGGAGGAATTCTTCTAGCAGGAAGCCTGTGGACTCCAACTGCAATGCCAACTCTTCTGTCTCCAGCCTGCCAGCCTGGCAGATTTTACACTTCCAGATCTACAGTTGCATGAGCCAATTTCTGAAAATAAATCCCTGTCTCTTGGTGCTGTTTCTCAAGAACCATGACTGATACATGTATTTCTGTTTGTCTTCCTGGACCAGAAGCTATGCTCCACCAGTGTAGGAACTTTGTACCATTCAATACTCTCTATCCTCACTGTCAATATGTTTTTGTTGAATGAAGTGAATAAGAATTTCAAGTTGGAAAAAAAAATGCTATTAAAGGAAATAAGCAGGATAAAAGTCAATAGGGAGAAAATTTCCTTCTTGTACTGGGTTGAAGTGTCCCCTCAAAATTCATATCTACAGGAGCCTCAGAATGTGACCTTATTTGGAAATAATCTTTGCAGATATAATTAAACTGAGATGAGGTCATATTGCATTAAGACAACAAGTAGTACCTTTTCAAAATTATTTTTTCTTTTTGAGAAGGAGTCTCGCTCTGTTGCCCAGGCTGGAGTGTAAGTGGTGCAATCTCAGCTCACTGCAACTTCTGCCTCCTGGGTTCAAGCGATTCTTGTGTCTCAGCCTCCCGAATAGCTGGGATTACAGGCATGCACCATCATGCTTGGCTAACTTTTGTATTTTTAATAGAGATGGGGTTTCACCATGTTGGCCAGGTTTGTCTCGAACTCCTGACCTCAAGTGATCTGCCCACCTCAGCCTTCCAAAGTGGTGGGATTACAGGCGTGAGCCACAATGCCTGGCCACTAGTAGCATCTTGATAAGAAGAGAAAATAGGTACACAGAAGACTTAGAGAGAATGCTGGAGACCACCAAGTGAAGCTGCAGAGGCAGGCGGGTAGAACACCATATGATATTGGAGGCGAGGAATGCCAAGACTGTGGGCAAACACCAGAAATGACACAGGGATCAGATGGTTGCTCCCAAGAGCCTCCAGAAGACACTGGCCCTACTGACACATTGATTTCAGACTTCCAGCCTCCAGAACTGTCAGACAATAAATTTCTGTTGTTTCAAGCCACCCAGTTTGCGGTACTGTTTTGGCAGCCAAAGAAACCCATCCACCCCTCCACCAGTTCCCCAGATCTTATGATCAAACTGCCATCACCCACACATCTTGGCAGAGTTGCCTTTTCCTTGTGGACCACCCAGTGGCTGAGCGCCACTTCCCATTTGGCCGTCCTGTAACCCTGCATCTATTCATGAGCAAGGCTGTGGAAATTTGCACGTGGAGCCGAGCTGGGGTGTTCAAGGTTTTGGGCTTCAAAAGCATAGCGAGCTTTGTCAAAACTGCAGTGTCCTGGTTGAGAAGAAACAAGCCTCAAATTTTGCTGAGAATCAAGACTGGAACACGTGACGTTATCCATCAGCTGCACAGTGAGATGTCAAGAGGCCATGAGGACTGTAAGTGCTCAACCAGCTTTTGGTTCATTAAATTAAGGGCTGGAAAAATTACACATGAAGTTGTCTCCCAGATTTCCATGATCTGCTATGTCACCTAGAGCCTTTGTAAAGCTGCTGTCTGGGAAAGGCTGGAAGGGGCCATGAGGTCCTGTGCAGCTGGCGTGAATGCTGTTGGCTGCTTTGAGCGTGTGGCTCTGGGAAGGAGCGCATCGTGGAGCCAAGGGTGGGCTCCCCTGGCATGAACCCTTATTGGCTCTTGTAGCGCCCAATACTTCGTAGCTTATTGCGGTTTGTAATCACATATTTATGTGATTATTTTGTCTGGAAGGATCCTTATCTGTTTTGCCAAAAATCCCCAGCAGGACAGGGATTAAGATGTTTTTGCTCCCAAATGTGTCTGCAGTGCATAGCACAGTGCCCAGATTGCAATAGGCACTTAAATATTTACTAACTGAAGTGAGATGTATAAATACAGGTGAACTTCAGGACACTAAACACACCCTGCTAAGGGTGGCTAAAATCCCTTAGAAATAAGCTCCCATTTTATCCTACGACTCCACTTCCCATATGGCCCAAATGGCAAAAATTTCCCTCCTCTTATCTTTACATAGAAGACTTTAGCTACCAGTTCATGAGAGTTCCTCCCTCCAACTTTATTTTTAAGGTAATCAACTTTCCCCCCACCCTAAAAGGAAATTTTCTCTTTCTAAAAAGTCTGCTTTATTCAAAAAGAGGCAGACTGGTTCCTGGGGTTTCTGCCCTTCTAGGGGAAAGTGCCACATTTAATAAAACTTTTTTTTTTTTTTAAGGGATGGGGTCTTGCTATGTTGCCCAGACTGGCCTTGAACTCCCGGGCTCAAGTGATCCTCTCACTCCAGTGTCTGGGACTACAGGCGTTTGCCACTGCATCCCCCAGAGGAAATCTTACATGGAATTCTAATCCCAAACAGAAAACTAGTTGGACATGGAGTCACTGTGAGTGCAGCGCTGGGGGCAGGGAGCACTCAGTCTTCACAGGCCTCTTGTTTGTGAGCTCCTAAGGCAGCTCCAATGAGCGTCTAGAGGGTTCTCGGTTTGAAAATCTCACCCTGGGAATCTCAGCTAGGGAACTGGATCTCTGAGACCCACATGCAGTGGTACCTGCGCCTTCAGACCTTGATTCAGATTCAAATGCTCTGAGCACACCCAGACCTCAGGAGGTGGCTGACCCAGATTCTCGATTCCAGCTCTCAAGAGAAATGTACCTCTCCGTCTCCTTGTTCACTGGGTAAAAAGATAACTTGCTTCACAAAACCAGGTGTCAAGACAAAACACAGTAGAGCAATGTAAGAAAAATAACTTTGTTATTAAGCATATACAATCATAACAAAAGTACATCATAGTATCACATCCATAATTGCTTGAATGCTAACTTGACTGTTACATGGACCTGTTACAAATAATGAACAACAGAGCTACTCCAGTATATGACTAGTCACTGTGAAATAAAAACAGACCCACGGCACACATGAAATTCCTAAGGGGACTTGCTTTGATCCCCTGGGGAGTAAGAGGGTCCTTTTCTATGATTTCCCTAGAGCAGTAACGTTTGTTGAGGGAGCATGTGAAGTTCATGATTATATGCCTTAACAATTACAGTCATGGTGTGTTTTGTTTTCCAAATGGAAAATTATTTTTGACTTGTTGTGAGATATAAATATTGACTATGCCAGGAAAAAATTCATCTATTTCCCTGAACTCATTATTAATAACTTTAGATGGCTCTATTCTACTTGTTGTTTGGCCTGGATTCCTCCAATAACTTTCCTTTTCAGGAAGGTTATTTGACAGATGTTAAGTCTGCAGAATGAGGCTGCTGTGGTTGTTTCTGGGGCACAGGCTGAGAAGTGGGGAGAGAGAGTGGGGAATGACACCCAAAATATGATGGGGGAGTTGCTACCTGAAAACCTACAGAAATGTCTGGCCTGGAGAAGCCCTCCCTTGCATACCTGGGAACAGGGCTCACCAGGCCCACAGCAATTATGAACCTTGGAAAGATGGCCAAAGCCAGGGTGCTCTTCGCTGGTATTTGGTGGGGTAATACTCACCTTTCCTTCCTTCCAAAACCAATGAACATTTATTATTTACTTGTTGGGCTATGATACTCCTGAGTTTATACAGTAGAAATGACTTCCTTTGGTCAATGAATCCAATGGCAGATGTCGGGCATTAACTCAGAAGGTGAGAAAAGGCACCATTCTCTCTGCAGCCCCACTCACTTTTGGCACAGTATAGCTTATAATTTCTCCCTCTGGAACTGGGAAGGGAGGGGGGTTTCCTAAACTAAAATGCATGCCCTCCATGTACTATTTTCTTTTTTCGAGACGGAGTCTCACTCTGTAGCCAGGCTGGAGTGCAGTGGCGCAATCTTGGCTCACTGCAACCTCCACCTCCCGGGTTCAAGCAATTCTTGTGTCTCAGCTTCCCGAGTAGCTGAGACTACAGGCGTGCACCACCACGCCTGGCTAATTTTTTTTTTTATTTATTTTAGTAGAGATGGGGTTTCACCACGTGTTGGTCAGGATGGTCTTGATCTCCTGACCTCATGATGCGCCCGCCTCAGCCTCCCAAAGTGTTGGGATTACAGGCATAACCACTGTGCCTGGCCCCATGCACTATTTTCAACAGCATATTTTTATTCCCATTGCTTTCCAAGAACAGAGGCAACTTATGAGGTCCTGTGAAGAGGGTGCAAAAAATCGAAGTCAACATTTCTACTAACAGGTTGAGGAGGTGTACAAAGATCTTTTTCCCTATAAAACATGAAATGACCTAGAAGCACTGTTACAAATCTTACCCCAGAAATAGCTTTCCCATTAGGTTTTGAGCAGAAGTCCTGTTTAGACAGTAAAGCTTTTTCTATCTAGTTAAAAGATACATTAGAAATAATGATGCCTTATGATGTCCTATCTTTGAAAAATATGATTTGGGCATAAAAAGTACATATCAGTCTTGCAGTAGTCCAAGTTTTGAAAATCTGAGGATTAAAAATTATTTTCTAAATTAACTTGGTCCAGCAGATTGACATTATAAAATACAGGTTACCATAAGTTTTGCTGGAGAATATTATCTGGAATAGTTTCATGAAACCCAGACAATACTACTTTCCATTAATTCTTTTAATATATTATTCTAGCCTATGGCCAAACATGCAGTTTGGTTGCATTTTATGAGCATTTCACAATAAAGATCATATTTCTAAATACAGTTCACTGTCAAAGAAAAGGTATTAAAATTCTTCTTTTAAAAAAAATCATAGATGGACCTAGCCATCTCTCATACAGCTTGTGCATAGTTTTGTGTGTTTTTTTTTAAACATTCATCCATCCACACCCTTTAAATACCATGCTCCACAAGCAGGCAAACATTAAATATATTCCAGATGGGAATCAACAGCTGTTCAGTTCCTCTCTCTATAAACCCGTGGTTGGTGTGGCCCTCTGTCATGAATGTTGAATTTTGCAGAGAGAAGGAGGAAGGAAAGATGCTAGATAAAGAGCACCCCACCCTAAAAAGAAATTTTTTCTTTTTAAAAAGTCTCCTTTATTCGAAAAGAGGCAGACTGGTTCCTGGGGTTACTGCCCTTCTAGGGGAAAGTGCCACATTTAATAAAACTTATTTTTTTTTTTTTAGGGATGGGGTCTTGCTATGTTGCCCAGACTGGCCTTGAACTCCTGGGCTCAAGGGATCCTCTCGCTCACTTTTTTTAAAGTGAAAGTTTGCTTTCACTTTAAAAATGTTAGTGGAGAGTCACCAGGAATTTTGCATAAATGAGACATAGAGGAGCAAAGTGTTCATGAAAGACTCGGTCACATGCTGACTGACATGAGTCCTGCATTTCCAACGTGGTAGGAAGAAGGGAAGGAAGACTGTTGCCACTAGAGGTTTGCAAAGCCCCTTCCTAACATTCTTAAGGAAGAAGACTGAAAGGTGGCATTCAAACACAACAAAAGGGATATTTTTTTTTTTTTGAGACAGAGTCTCGCTCTGTCGCCCAGGCTGGAGTGCAGTGGCACGATCTCGGCTCAGCGCAAGCTCCGCCTCCCAGGTTCACGCCATTCTCCTGCCTCAGCCTCCCGAGCAGCTGGGACCACAGGCGCCCACCACCACGCCCGACTAATTTTTTGTGTTTTTAGTAGAGACAGGGTTTCACTGTGGTCTCGATCTCCTGACCTCGTGATCCGCCCGCCTCGGCCTCCCAAAGTGCTGGGATTACAGGCATGAGCCACCAAGCCCGGCCTTTTTTTTTTTTTTTTTTTTTTTTTAATGAGACAGAGTCTCCCTCTGTTGCCTAGGCTGGAGTGCAGTAGCGCAATCTAGGCTCCCCCCGCAGGTTAAAGTAATTCTCCTGCCTCAGCCTCCTGAGTAGCTGGGATTACAGGTGTGTGCCAACACGCCCAGCTAATTTTTGTATTTTTAGTAGAGACAGGGTTTCACCATGTTGGTCAGGCTGGTCTCGATCTCCTGACCTTGTGATCTCCCCGCCTCAGCCTCCCAAAGTGCTGGGATTAGAGGCGTGGGCTACCACACCCGGCCAAGAGGGATTTTCTTTAAGCAAGCTTTCACAGTAGTGGAGTTAAATGATGTGGGCTAAAAGGTGGAGGCAAAAAAGCCAAAAAGAAATGGGAAAGGACATGGCAGGATGGGAAATTCCAACATGAGCTAATATGAGTGTGAGAACGATCATTTGCAGGAGAGTGAAAATCTCCCGCAAAGGTAGATAAAGAGCCACTTTGTGTGTCCAGTGAGAAAGTGGACTGTGAGTAACCTATAAGCTGCTCATTGGAAACAAGAGGGCCCTCAACAACGTTACAAAGGAGCAGATCATCCTTCTGGTCTCTTGCTCCTGGTGCTTCTGAATCCACAGCAAACCTTGGCAGGAACATGCTTCCCTTTGCCACCCAGAGGTGCTCTGAGAAAACACTCTAACTCACTAGGAGGTGGAGATATAGACCTTTTTCTGAACTGCTTCTCACATGCAGGGGAAAATAAATCAAAGAGAAGGCCTAAAAGAACTGGAACTTGGACTAAATTAAAGAAAATTAAGAAAAAATGAGAATAGGAAGGAAGTTTTTGCAAACAAGGAAAACCACTATTTTTTTTTCTCCCCATCCAAGATAACTTTCAATAGTGTATTACTCTCAATATGTTGGTGGCAAGCTTGGTTGGCTCCAGACAAAAACTTGTAATACCCAAGGAGAAAAAATTTACCTACCGCTGCTGATGGCATTAGTGAGGTCAGCCCAAGCCAGCAACCTCCTTGCAGACTTCAGCCCCACTGTATATTGGTTCAGCCTGGATCATGGCACCTAATGGTACCTTCTGGGCACCTGCTCAGAACCAGGAATTCTGCACCTCTCTCTAAGCTCAGCCAGTTTATTGAACAAATAATCTATATTTATAGAGCAGACTCCACTGTTGATTAAACAGCTTTAAAATATTATAGCAAACGAGAGCCCATTGTTTTAATGTGAATCCAGGCATTTCACTTTGTTTTTTTGAAAAGAGAGTTTAATCTTCTTCCCTAAATAGGATACTTACAGATAAGCATGGCATGAAACCTTAAGCACCGTATTTGAATTTTAGAATGTGGCAATCTATATAACAGTAAATATATGACTGTGATTCTTTTCTATCTTCTCTAAACGCCATTCAATTCTCTCCTCTCTTTAATTGAATTTGGGAAACAAGGTTTGACAAAGGGATACAATATTTAAAGTCTACTAGAAGCACAAGGAAAAAATTCTCCACCAAAGCACATCGACACGTTTGTCCTCCCCACCCCTTTTTAACTGAAGAGCCCCAATTTTGATACTAGAGGAGTTATGGTCTATTGTGAACACACATCTTAGAAGTAGCCTCACATTTTCTTAGAGCTCACTTTGTCATTTTCCCCCTTTTGATACTCTGCCAAATTTAACTTCAAGAATTTATGATTTAAGACACTGTGAGAGTACTTAAATCCAAAGTTCCTGGAAAAATAGGATGTAAAAGAAAAGTTACAATGCAAACCACCCCAATGGACTCTTAGTGAGAAGCAGGTAAATCAATCATTCACTCCCTCATGTCTGCAGGCCTAGGAGGGGACTCTGAAAATAGCATCGTATTTGGAAGAAGAGGAGTGGAGAGACGTCAGGAGAAGAGAAGAGAAAAATGTATGTTTTCTAGGTCTCCAGTGGTCTTTCTTCTCTTTAGATGGTTTAACTGCAGGTGAGTTGATCTTTCTCTTCCTTTGGCGTGACGGTGTTGGGATGTGCTATGGGTAGAAGTCTCTGGGGGCTCTCAAGTCTCTTGTCTCAGTTCTTCTTGGATGGTCATCTCCAGAGCCCAGGTCCATGGCTTCTGGGTAGCTGGGAAATTCCTGAGGTAAAGGGAACTCCTCTGCTGAAGAGTGAGTCCGGTGCCCGAACACCTTTTCCTGCAGCTCAGTGATGTCATTGCGGATGTCAGCCAGCATAAGTAGCAGGAAGTCGAAAGAACCAGGGGGTCCCTGTGTACATGGGAGGAATCAAAGCTAGAATACGACAGACAGCAATGGCCTCCGGGGCTCCATGACTTGACCTGCTGCTTGCTGGCAACTACTTTCTCAATAACTCTGTGCCCCAAATGGAGCCAATGTGAGGACTGCTACAGGAGCCTGGGGGTCCTCCATATTGTTTTCTAATTCTGTCACTTCTCAGCTGAGCTTTGGTGATGTATTCACCTTTCCTCCCTCCTAACGCTTTATCAAATCCAGTAGAGGAAAGGATATAAGAATAACTCTCCTAGGTTACTTTCCAAAGCAGTCTGGAAGATGCTTATGAAGGCAGCAGAGCAGTGGTTAAGAGACTGGGGTTCTGTTGGATTTGAATCTCATCTCTGCCGCTTACTAGCTGTGTCATCTTAATTTCTTGTGGTTCAGTTTCCCCATCTGTAAAACGGGGATAATAATAGTCCCAACTTCATAGGGTTTTGTAGGATTCATAAGTGAGGATTTAAGCAAGTAAATACGTGTAAAGGGCTTTGAGCATAATACGTATTCAAAAATGTTATCTGGGCCAGGTGTGGTGGCTCACGCCTATAATCCTAGCACTTTGGGAGGCCGAGGTGGATGGATAGCTTGAGCCCAGGAGTTCAAGACCAACCTGGAAAACATGGTGAAACCCTGTCTCTACAAAAATTTAACAAAAATTTAGCCAGGTGTGGTGGTGGGCACCTGTGGACCCAGCTACTTGGGAGGCTAAGGTGGGAGGATCACTTGAGCCCAAGAGGTCGAGGCTGCAGTGAGCCAAGATTGTGCCACTGCACTCCAGCCTGGGTGACAGAGTGAGACCCTGTCTCAAAAAAAACAATGCTGTTATTTTTTAAAAGCAAAATTATTAAAATGTTTATAAGATGGCTGACTATAAGCACAAACTAAATGAAGTTGAGAGGATGTTGTAAAGACGTCAACTCCTCGTTGACTAGGAAAGGTCCAAACAAAATCTTCCTAATTTTTCTATGTATTGAGTATCCTTTATCATCATATAGTATTTACTAAGCCTTAATTTCATATAGCGCTGTGTGGGGCATGGTAAAAAAGAAATGCACAAACACGCATGTTCTGGGCTTGTCAGAAGCTTGTAGTAAAATCGTTATCATCTCCCGCAACTGCTGCTACAGCAGCGGGCACCGTGGAAGCAGAGCTTACACCGTAAAGCACTAAGAGAGGCACAGTATTTTCATATCATTTGACCCTCACAGTAGCCACTTCAGGGATGGCAGGTCAGATTCCACTATCGCCACTGCACAGTGGGGGGCAAGAATGCCCAGAGACCCTCAGTGAAGTGCCCGTGGTCAGAAAGCCAGCAGGTAGAAGAGTTGAGATGGGAACCCACGACTCCTACCTCTGTGGCCACAGCCGCTGGATTTCAGAAATGATACTTCTTCAGAAGCAGTGACGTGGTTTGAATTTTCTATGCTTTTGAATACTACTATTTCTCATTTTTAATCTCCCAGATACTATGCTTATATGCAGCTAATTTCTTCTCAGGTCCTAAACAGCCCTGCGTGGTTTTGCACTTTTTAAGAGGAGATGGCCATCTGGCCTGCTAGGGTTGCAGCAGTGGCTAAATTCTCAAGTACGCAGAGTTATGATTTAAACCCATAGATTTCCTTCCTAGACCTTTCAAATGTTTTATGATAATACTTGGAAACAGACTCATGGCATAGCAGGGTTTTGAGCTTTAGGAAAGACATTTCAAATAAAGATTAGCCATGATAAAAGAGAAAACAGCAACAGAAAACAAATTTGAAAAATAAATCCAAACTAGCAGCTAAGGGCTTCTATGACTCTCTTCCTAACCACAGAGTTCTGTTCAGGTGGGCTGAGTGGCATCAGGAAGGGGCGGGCTTTTGCTACTAGACCAACCTATAGGCTCATCAGAGCTGCATCCCTGAGAACGTTCCCCTGGGGAAGCAGGACACAGAGTGCTACTTACTGGAGACCCTCTGGGCCCAGGCGCTCCTCTCTCCCCCTAAAAACAGAAAGGCCAGGGTTAGCTTTCTAGAGCACATGGATATCACAAGAATAGTCTCTATTTATACACCCACCATAACCACTTCCCTGCACAAAACAATAAACATTTTCTATAGAAAACATATGTAAAACTGAGCTGGACTCACGGGACCACTTATTTGAACAGGACTGCTTGGGTCAAGTGTCTCTCATTCTGATTTCCCTCAAGCCCATCTATTTTCAAACCTTCTTGGCAAGAGGAATGTTCATATTTCCCAACAGCATGTGGAGTAACAAACTTTCTGAAGTAACTCACACTGACTTCTTTGTGAGGCAAAAAAGAGCAGGCAGCTCTCAGAGGGGAACCACCCTGCTTGCAAAAAGAATGGAGCATCTCCTGTTCCTGAGAAATCTCACAGAAATGGAAACACACAAAAAGCTATCCCGTAAAGCAACACTGGTTAAAGAGAAAAACACATGTGAGAATCACAACACAGAGGCTCATTTAAAATTTACAGGGGTCACTTTTCCTATGAGTGGTTGTGGTGGTTGTTTTTGTCTTTGGGGTTGGTTTTGGAATTGAAGACAATGGCTTTTCAGATTTTGTTCCCAGCTTTGGGGAAAAAGTTCTATCTGGTATCTGTGTCTCACTTCTGCTGCATGCAAAATGGGGTTGGTAAACAGTGTCTGGTGAGCTTTCCTGGATGTCAGTGCAAGAGGTAGAAAGTGAGAGACCTTCAGGCCGGGAGCGGTGCCTCACACCTGTAATACCAGCACTTTGGGAGGCTGAGACGGGCAGATCACCTGGGGTCAGGAGTTTAAGGCCAGCCTGGGTAACATGGCGAAACCCCGTCTCTACTAAAAAATCCAAAAATTAGGCCGGGTGTGGTGGCTCACGCCTGTAATCCCAGCACTTGGGGAGGCCGAGGTGGGCGGATCACGAAGTCAGGAGATGGAGACCATCCTGGCTAACACGATGAAACCCTGTCTCTACTGAAAATACAAAAAAATTAGCCAGGTGTGGTGGCGGTCGCCTGTAGTCCCAGCTACTCGGGAGGCTGAGGCAGGAGAATGGCGTGAACTCGGGAGGTGGAGCTTGCCGTGAGCTGAGATCGTGCCACTGCACTCCAGCCTGGGTGACAGAGTGAGACTCTGTCTCAAAAAGAAAAAAAAAGAAAAATCCAAAAATTAGCCGGGAGTGGTGGTGCACACCTGTGGTCCCAGCTGCTTGGGAGGCTGAGGCGGGAGAATTGGGCTTGAGCCAGAGAGGCAGAGGCTGTAATGAGCCAAGATTGTGCCATTGCACTCCAGCCTGGGTGACAGAGCAAGACCATCTCAAAAAACAAAAACAAAACAAAACAAAAAAATCGAAAGTGAGAGACCTTTAGCTTGTGAGGACCACTCATAAGGCTTACCTTAGAACCATCTCTTCCTGGTGCCCCTGGTGGACCCTGTAATACAAAAGGATCTGGTTTAACCACAGGCAAAAGCATGGGACAAAAACACATTTTCCCCCAAAAAGGAAGTGGATCTCTGATAAGATACTGACCACAGGGCCCCTCCGGCCTTGCTTAATGTGGGACAGATCAGGAGATGGTCCCATGGGTCCCATTGAGCCCCGTGGGCCGGGCTGCCCAGGAGGGCCTGGCATACCGGGGAAGCCTGGGCTTCCCTTTGGTCCTGGTGAGCCTGTAATCAAAGAACACCTCATTAGCTCACAGCACATGAGAAGGACAAAGGGCCCTGGCTAACAAGAGTCCAGGACCCCTGCAGCCATTTCTCTTTGTACTCTCTCTGCCTTTGCCTTCTGACATCTCCATCAGGCTGTCCCACAGGCATTTTAAACTTGATACGATCAAAAGCGGCTTCCCCATCTTCCTCTCTTTTCGCGGACTGCCAGTCATACATCCACTCAAGCCAAAAACTGGAGAGTCTTCCTCTATATTTCCCTGTTTCTGCAACCTCCTTTTTGAATCAGTGGCCAGCTCCTGTGCATTTTACCTCTTTAACATCTCACAGCTGTCTGCTCCCTTCTATCCACTGGATCACAGCAGAGTAGTGGCCACCACCACAGAGAAGTGGTGATCATGGCTGGAGAGCAGTACAGGTTTTAGCATCAGGGAGACTTGGGTTTGAATCTGACAAGTTGCCTGAGCCATCTGAGCTTTAGTTTCTCATCTCATCTGTAAAAGTGGGCTAATAAAAATCTTCCTTATGGAGTAGTTGCATTACATGAGATTTCAGATATATACACAGCACTTAGTATAGTACTTCACACATAGTAAGTACTAAAACATCTGCTAGGCCTTCCTTATATTTGCTTTGACTCTTGCCTCATTGCTAGTCTTTCTGCCCCGAACCAGTCTTTTCACCCCTTGCCCATTTTTGATATTTCTATAGGGATGACACATCTAAAACAAGTCTTACTATGTAACCCACCTACTTTCAACCTTCTGGTGCAAATGTCTCAAGGCACTCGGTGGGTCAGCAAACTCACTCTCTCTTGCAGGCCCCAGAGAAATATCCCTTACTTCTTAGTGAGGGGTAGGAAATGTTCTTCTGGCTAAGATTTGCCACAGGTACAAGGCATGCTGGGGGATGAGTTGGGGGATATGGGGAAGATCATCTCACCCCAAGGCCCAGAAGCATAGGTCATGCTTAGGATTGCAGCTGGAGCAGGAGAACTGAAAATGTCCCGTTGCCCCACAACTCTAGCATGGAGTAAGTAATAGCAATCTACAGTGTGGGGAGAGAACCCCTCTGTGGCACAGGTGTGTGTGTAGGGGCTGCTGAAAGCTCAGAGTATAAACACTGAGAAAAATCCACTGGTAACCTAGGCCTCCACTAAGCATAAGGTAACAGCATCCTTCCATTGGAGGAATTATTTGAAGACTGTGGAACACAAAGTAAATATAGTGACAATAAAGCCAAAACCCAGCTCAGTTATTCATTAGGTTGACTTAGCTTCCCATGGCAGTGGCCTGACAAAAGAAGAGAGTACCCATCTCCAGGAGTGATAACCATGTGCCTCAGTCTCTACTGTTTCTCTGCAAATGATGTCTGGCATTCAATCCAAAATTTTCAGACATGGAAAGAAAAGGGCTGGGCACAGTGGCTCATGCCTGTAATCCCAGCACTTTGGGAGGTTGAGGCGGGTGGATCACCTGAGGTCAGGAGTTCGAGATCAGCCTGGGCAACATGGTGAAACCCCATCTCTACTAAAAATACAAAAATTAGTCAGGTGTGGTGGTGGGTACCTGTAATCCCAGCTACTCAGGAGGCTGAAGCGGCGGTTGCAGTGAGCTGAGATTGTACCACTGCAGTCCAGCCTGGGTGACAAAGCGAGACTCCATCTCAAAAAAAAAAAAAAAATCAAAACAAAAAAACACATTGTCAAGTAATAGAACAATCAGCAGGACAAGCCTCAGAGGGGACCCAGATGTTGGAATAATGAGATATGGGCTTTAAAATAACAGCATGTGAACGGTGCTGTTGGAAAAGATAAACAGTGTGTCTGAGCAGATGAGGGATTTCAGCAGAGAGATGGAAATTAAAGGAAAAAGTCAAATGGAAATGAAAAATATAATATCATGTATGAAAACAATATAGGCTCATCAACAGACTGCTCCCAGCTGAGCAAAGAATCAGTGAACTTAAAGATAAGTCAACAGTTACTCAAAGTGAATCACAAAGAGGAAGATAAAATGAAGCATCCAAAAGAGGTGAGATAATATCGAACCATCTAACATAAGTGTAATTGGAGTCCAAGGAGAAAAAGAAAACCCTACAGTGGCTCCCCTCTGCATAGAGAATAAAGCTCTAACTCCTCAGCATAGTATCCTTGTTCATTCTTGTCTTTCTTGCCAAGCATTTTTTCCATGATTGCCTCCTTCCTAATTGCCCCATAGTCCCATCCTCCCTGAATAAACCATACCATAGCACACAATCCAGCTCACACTATTCTTTCTGTCTTGTCTCCATCACCACAGATCACCTATCTCCAAAAACATTTTAACATCTCCCCCGTCGTACCAACAACTATCATCAGACAGGCACAAAAACAGATGACTTGTTAAACTCGGTATAGTCTCAGTGCTGTGTCGATACAGGCTTCTGAAAGTTAAACTCGGTATAGTCTCAGTGCTGTGTCGATACGGGCTTCTGAAAGTAAGAATTAACTGCTTTCTTCATTGTACATGCTTGCAGTAT
Organism: Homo sapiens; assembly: GCF_000001405.40. Lineage (NCBI taxonomy): Eukaryota > Metazoa > Chordata > Mammalia > Primates > Hominidae > Homo > Homo sapiens. Next base: position 59,442,337 of record NC_000018.10, read on the forward strand.
ATCTATAGTATAATGTGTGTGTTTATATGCATTCATGCACTGTACATGTATGTGTTTTCTGTTTATGTGTATCATTTTCTTCCGAGCATTCTTAACATTTAAAAATTGGGGCCAGGTGCGGTGGCTCATGCCTGTAATCCCAGCACTTTGAGAGGCTGAGGTGGGCAGATCACTTGAGGTCAGGAGTTTGAGACCAGCGTGGCCAACACAGTGAAACCCCATCTCTACTAAAAATACAAAAATTAGCTGGACTTGATGGCAAGCGCCTATAATCCTAGCTGCTTGGGAGACTGAGGCAGGAGAATCTCCTGAACCTGGGAGGCAGAGATTGCAGTGAGCCGAGATCATGCCACTGCTTTCCAGCCTAGGCAACAGAATGAGACTCCATCTCAAAAATAAATAAATAAATAAAAATAAAAATTGGGAGATTTCATATAAAAATCTGGGTTCCTGACTCTGGTTTGAAATAGGAAGCACAAAAACCACAATTCCATCATCAGCACAACCAACTGGAGTTCTCAGTAGGGGCTGCCCCTTTACATGGGGTGAGTGCTCTCTGGTTTGGTTCAGTTCCCTTGTTTCTAACTGCTCCCCTGCCCAGCTCCCTTCTATGTATCTATGTGACCTGCCCATCTCTGTAGAGGTTGAGGGGTTGTGTTTTGTTTTGTTTTTTTAATTCTTTTCAGAGGCCTGTATCGACACAGCTCTGAGACCATACCGAGTTTAACAAGTCATCTGCTCTTGTGTCTGATAATGGTTGTTTGCATGTGTGCCAGAATACGGCATACCACCTTATCATGGAAGCTGATGGGGAAGAGACCTTTAGGCATCATCTATCTTGACCCACAACACAGAGAGTTGTAAACAGCCGCTTTGTATTGGGTTGGGTTAGCGGCGCTTCCCCACTTGTGTGTGGAACACAGCATTTCTGCCCACACCGGGGACTCTAGCGGACACCTTGCTGGCTCAAGGGCCACAGCTGTGTCTGTGGGGCAGCACCTGGGTACAGACATCAGCATGTTCACCTCTGCTTTAGGCCTTGAACATCAGCTGGGGGGATGAGGGAAGAGAGAGTGGGGGCCTGACAAGCATTTTTAAAAACTTGTGATAAAAAATCCACAAAATTTGCCAACTTTTTTTTTTTTTTTGAGATGGAGTCTTGCTCTGTCACCTAGGCTGGAGTGCAGTGGTGCAATCTCGTCTCACTGCAACCTCCGCTTCCCAGGTTCAAGCAATTCTCCCGCCTCAACCTCCCAAGTAGATGGGATTACAGGTGCCCACCACCACCCCCGGCTAATTTTTTTGTATTTTCAGTAGAGATGGGGTTTCACCATGTTGGCCAGGCTAGTCTTGAACTCCTGACCTCAAGTGATCTGCCTACCTCAGCCTCCCCAAAGTGCTGGGATTACAGGTGTGAGCCACGGCCCCCAGCCCATCTTAACTATTTTTTAAATGTAGTGTTTAGTAATGCTAAGTATATTCCCATTGTTGTGCAACAGATCTCTATAACTTTCTCATCCTGTAAAACAGAAACTCTAGACCACCGAATAACTCCCCATTTTCCACTCTGCTCAGCCCCTGATAACAACCAGTCTACTTTCTGTTTCTATGAGTTTAATTATTTTAGATACCTTATATAAGTGTTAATTATATAGTGTGTCATTTTTTGACTAGCTTATTTCACTTAGCCTAATATCCTTAAGATTCATCTATATTGTTCCGTGTCAAAATTTCCATCTTTTTAAAGGCTGAATAATATTCCATTGTAAGTGTATGTCACATTTTGTTTTTCCATTCTTATCCATTGATGGACACCTGGGTTATATCCATTGATGGACACTTGGGTTGCTTCCACCTCTTGGCTATTGTGAAAAGTGCTGCTATGAAGATGCGTGTGTGAGTATCTCTTCAAGATCCTGCTTTTAATTCTTTGGGGTATATTCCCAGGAGTGGCATTTCTGGATCTCATTCATATATATACATTTTTTTTAGTTAGGGTCTCTGTTGCCTAGGCTGGCCTCGAACTCCTGAGCCCATGTGATCCTCCTGCTTAAGCCTCCTGATATGTTTAATTTTTTGAGGAATCTCCACACTCTTTTCCACAGTGACTGAACCATTTTACATTCACACCAACAGTGCCCAGGGTTCCAATTTTTCCATATCCTTGTCAATACTTATTTTCTCGGTGGTTTTTTTTTGAGAGGGGGTCTTGCTCTGTCACACAGGCTGGAATGCAGTGTTGTTTTCATGGCTCACTGTAGCCTCGACCTCCTGGGCTTAAGCGATCTTCTACCCCTCAGCCTCCTGAGTAGCTGGGACTATAGCCTGGCTAGTTTAAATTTTCTCTTATACAGACAGGGTCTCCCTATGTTTCCCAAGCTTGTATTTTTTCAAAAATAGTGGCCATCCTAATGGGTGTGGGATGGCATCTCACTGTAGTTTTGGTTTGCAATGCTCTAATGATCAGTGATGTTGAGTATCTTTTAATATGGTTTTTGGCCATTTGTATGTCTTCTTTGGAGAAATGTCTATTCAAGTCCTTTTCCCATCTTTTTAATCAGGTGCTTTTTTGTTGAATATTGAAGTTCTTATATATCCTAGATATTAACCCCTTATCAGATATATGACTTACAATTATTTTCTTCCATCCTGTAGGTTGTTTTTGCCCTGTTGATTGTTTGATTTGAGACACAGAAATTTAAGTTTGATGTAGTCCCATTCATCTACTGCTTTTGCTGCCTATGCTTTTGGGGGTCATATCCAAGAACTCATCACCAAATCCAATGTCATGAAGCTTTCCTCTATGTTTTCTTCTAGGATTTTCATAGTTTTGGGGTCTTACATTTCACTCTTTAATCCATTTTGAGTTAATTTTTGCAGATGGTGTAAGGTAAGGGTCCAACCTCATTCTTCTGCATGCAGAAGGACATTGTGTTTTAACCCATTTTAGATAATCAGCTCTGTGAGAGCTTGAATTGTGTCTTATTTATTAGCATATCCTCAGATAGTCCTGGATACATAGTGGGCTGCTTAGTAAATGTTTTTTACTAAGTGATTGCATTGAAGAGACTGAGAAGATTGTTATACTATACTTGTCTCATAATTGTTCTTTTAAATGCACATAGTAATTGCTTTTTGATCATACCTAACCCCTAGTACTGACAGAGCAGTGACAAGATGGAATGACAGTCAGACTCCAGCAAATAAAACAAAGAAACGGAGACTTTAAACTTTTCACATTTAGATAAGTCTTTTTTAGTTCACAGAATAATTACGCCAAAGTTAAAAGCAGTCGATGTTCCATCCAAACATGTCTCACACCCCTACTCTTAATACTGGTTCCAGGTATATCTACAATGAGTTTGGGAAGGGTGCCAGATCCCTCCTTTTACTAAATATTTTACCTCCAGTAGCACAAAAAAGAGGCCAGAGATAATATCTCACCCACATTTACACAATCAGTACACTACAGAGATCACAGTATGTCAAGTGCCTTTGAAATGTGGGACTTTAATGTACAAACGGCAGCACCTTACGTATGACAGTGGAGGCCAGAAAGCAGCAGCCGCCCCCTTACCACCAAAGCTAAGCAGATTCCAACCCAGAGTAGTTTCCTGTATTGGTGCTCCAGTCTGATTCACCACAGGCCTCGGAACTGGACTTTTATTTAAGGGTGAGAGAAAGCCTATTAGCTTTCTAGCTTCCCTAATAAGTCTCAGTGGTGGGTACCACAAACACTAGAAGTTAAGAGAGAGAAGGAAATGGGTTTGGAATGTCCCCATTCAAAGGCCGGGTCTGTTGCAAAAGCTTATTCATCCTCAATCATTCTCTGCTCCATCAAGGACCCTGGACAGCTCAAACCATGTTACAAGCCAGATGGCAGCATTGGAGAAGAAAGCTTGCAAGGCATTTATTAAGCAAGACAGCCAATGACTCCCCTGCTCCTACAGTTGGTTTTGTTCTAGTGATCTATAGCCTGGAGTTGACTTCCTCCAGAGAAGCAAAGCAAGAGCATTCTCTTAGAGGAGGGTGGAGAGCACTATGCTAGGAAGCAGTTTATAAGGAGAGACCCCAGTCTGTTTAGAAGCAGCCAGAGGGTGCCTGTGTGAAGTGTTTGCTGGTGAAAACTCCACCATGACCCGGAGTACCTCAGGCCAAGGGAATGAACGAGGATAAGCCAAATCCTGAATCGTCTTATTCTCTGGATGGACGGAGACTCAGGCTTGTGTTTGAAGAGTTTAAGACATAAGTGGAGAGAAAACACACAAATCCTCCGTGAAGAACTCTGAGCTTTTGTTCTTGCTGACTTTCCAACCGAAAACCCACCTGTGTCCTTCCTCCTTGGGCAAATTCTACCAGTCTGCCATGTCCAGATCAAACCTAAATGCCGCTGACCACTGCAGACTACAGTGCTCGCTCCCTTCAAGCTCCCACAGCAGGAAGCATCTGTGCACTTACCTGGAGGGCATGTGGGTACTGTTTTATTCTATTTGCATATGCTCTATGTGTCTGGTCTTCCCAATTAGGATGTCAAGAGGTCATTCATAATGCCTAGCACACTGCTAAGCAATGATAGCCAGGGATAAGGCACTCAAAGGTTTAGAATCATTTGCTAACACTAAAGTCATTTCCCTTACCAGTGTGGAGAAAAAAGTCTATTGCTCTATACCTCCATAAGTACTAAAAATATAAAATAACTTGGAACTATTTTTTTTTAAGTTCTCATTGTATATTTCCTGATGAAATGATAGGATGTTCGGGATTTTCATCCAATTAATAAGGGTGAATATTCAGAAACAGTATACTGAATGAAAGAAGCTGAAAGTACACATTCACAAGAATTTCTTTATACACACATATATATACACACATACGTATATATGTGTGTGTATATATGTGTATAAAGATTCTAGTCATATGGAGTTCTAGAACAGGTAAAACTACAGTGAAAGAAAGCAGGTCAGTGTCTGCCTAGACTGGGAGTTGGGGAAGTGGACATGTGCACATGGACAGAAGGGAAATTTCTGGGGTGATAGAAATGTTCTATATCTTGAAATATAGGATGGGAGTTACATGGGTAAATACATCTGTCAAAATTTGAATGGTAATTTAAATGAGTACATTACATGTCATTTGTATGTCAATACAGTTGACTTGTAAAAACATATAGCTAGGTATAAAAATAAATATAGGTATAAATATGCGAACAAATAAGGAAAGGTGGAAGGAAGACTGGGGAGCAGTAGGAAGAGGCTGGCTCTGAGTTGTTAGAATTGGGTGAGGAGCCCCAAGCAGGGGGGGTTCATAATACTGTTCCATTTTTGTATATGTTAAAATTTTTCCAGAAAAAGGTTTAAGATAGTTTTCATTTGGTTTTTTTAACTTAAAATGATCTTTAGGAATCTTATCCAATCCCAGGACAATGAGCTTTTTCTCCCACATTGCTATTGGCTATGAGGGTTTCTCAGGCTTGAGGGCCTATTTCCCAGGCTCTCTCATTGCATGGGTGTGTGGCAGTCCCATGGACACCTGCCTTGTTTCTCCTCGATGGAAGCTGGAGAACATTGTCCAGGCCCCAGCAAATGTGAGCTTTTGGCAGGCTTTTTCTGTTGGTGATCACCCTCCTGTGCCCTCTTCCACACTCACCGGGAGGGCCCTGGCCCCCAGGCAGGCCAGGAGGTCCTGGAAGGTAGGTGTTTGAGGCCAGCACCTTGTCACCAGTGATATACTTGCCCAGGTCAGCTGCATTGTTGGGGAGCAGAGCAATCTGCAAGGAGAAGAGGAAGCCTCAGTCAGGAAGCAATGGCAGAAGAGAGCCTCGGCATTTGTCTTGGTGGGAGAAGCTGCAAAGCCTTTTCATGAGACATATGTATATACTTTTTACTAGAGCTAGTTAGAGCTCAGAGAAACTATAAAGAGCCTCTTTCTAAACCTAGAGGCATTCTAGGGCAAATAACTTGTATGACATTACTCAGCTAGTTAGTAGGTGAGCTTAAATAAGCTCCAGATGGCCTAGATATCACTAGAACTCATTATTACCATAATTAATGGGATCTACTTATTTCATACTCTCAATTTTTCAATGACCTATTTTATGTCTCAAACATTTATTGAACACCTACTATGTGCAGGTCCTGGCTTGGTTCTGTGGCTACAGTGGTGACCAAGACATGGTTCCTGCCCTTAAAGAACTCTCAGCCTTGGGAGTTAGGACCGAGAACATGGCTGACGGTTCCCCAGCACACTCAGGGCTGACCTTCAGTACAACTGGGCAATCGTGACTGTGGTGGTTGTAAAATGTGTCCACAAATTCTTTGACACTTTGTGATCACGGGAGTCAATTCTCCTTAATAAACTCCCTTTCATATACACATGTATCCCATTAGTTCTGTCTCTCTAGAGATCTCTAATACAATTCCCCTGTGATTGTTACTCAGAATTCAGTAGGGATGACTGTAAGAATCAAAATCTTGTGCAATCTGAAAGCCAGCTTTGTACAACTTCAAGTCAGGGCTCATGATTCAGAGTCACCACTGTGTGCCTGGGATATATTTAAAATGGTGCTGACATCACTGTGTCATAGCAATAGACCACCACAACCTGCAGGTGGGTACCTGTGGCCCTGGGGAGGAAAGGAGTGAACCTCTTCCCTCAGTGAGTGAGGGAAATGTATCAGTAAATCTACTGCAACCATGAGGCAGTGGGTCAACACTGGCAGCTGAAGCCTGATCCAATTTTATCATCTGCTTCCAACTAAGAAACTGAAATGTGGGTCCCACTCTTGGGCCTTGGAATAAGGCAGACTTACCTTTAAATCTGAGCCCTGCCACTTTCTACCTGTGGGATCTTGGGTAAGCTACACAACCTGGATTTCCTCATCTATAAAATGGGGATGGTAACGGCCACCTAGAGGCACTGCTGGAGGGTTAAAGTGATGTTGTCTTTAACGTGCCTGACTCAGTGTCCAGCCATTGTCATAGACCAGCAGAAATGCTGTCTGGGGGCCTGGGCACTGTGGCTCATGTCTCTAATCCCAGCAATTTGGGAGGCCAAGGCAGGTGGATCACTTGAGGTCAAGAGTTCGAGACCAGCCTGGCCAACATGGTGGAACACTATCTCCACTAAAAATACAAAAATTAGCTAGGCATGGTGGTGCACGCCTGTAGTCCCGGCTACTTGGGAGGCTAAGGCAGGAGAACTGCTTGGACCCAGGAAGTGGAGGTTGCAGTGAGCCGAGATCGCACCACTGCACTCCACTCCAGCCTGGGCAACAGAGTGAGACTCTGTCCAAAAAAAAAAAAAAAAGAAATGCTGTCTGGGGGCTGCTCCTGACTTTGTTCCTAAGTAGCTGTGTGACTTTGGTAAGTCCCTTCATCCTTCCAAGTCTACAAAATGTGCAGTTTCAACACATGATCAAGTCTTCGTATTTAAAATTTTGTAAACAGAACCTCAGGATGAGGCCTGCACACAGATGGGCTCCAGAGATGCTCCCCTATTCCCCCCAGTCCTCTTTGCTTGATTTGGCCTCTTGAAAAAGTGACGAGGTAAGGTGGCAAATGTTGACCTCAGTGTCCCGGCTGACCTCCTGCTGGGTGGCTGCATCCTGGTTCCCTTCAGCCCCTCTGTGTGGCAGCAGGAGTGCAGAATGAAGGCACTGGCACTTTAGAGGCGGCTGTCCAGAATCTCTGGCCCCACTTTCTGCATAAACACAGCAGACGATGGGCTGTGGGATGCCAGGAGTTTGGGAGGAAGGTTGTAGTAATGTAAAAAGAGTCTGCATTTCTCCCAGATTCCAGTCAATGGAATTATGCGTATCATTTATCTCATATTAGCCTTTGTGAGAGAGCTTTTGCCTCAAAGAGCTGTTGGGATGAATCCGTGAGATGCATCTTGAAGGTACTTTGTAAAGAGTGCTAATAAATAATATTTTTACTTGCTAAACATTTGTAGAGCTCTTTCTAGATGGATGGCGCTGTTCTCAGTCCTTTGTAAATATTCACATTTGATTATCATAAAATCCTTAGGCAGTAGGTATTAATGTTGTCGTTTTTTAAAAGTAGAACTGAGGCACAGAGAGGTTAGGTAACTTACCGAGAGTCACACAGCCAGCAGACGGTGGGTCTAGAATTTAAACTTAGCCAGTCTGCTTCCAGAATCTGTGCTCCTAACCATTAAACCAAGCGGCAACCTACAGTCACTTTTTAAATTTTGTTTTGAGACAGAATCTCACTCTATCACCCAGGCTGGAGTGCAGTGGTGCAATCTCAGTTCACTACAACCTCTGCCTCCCAGGTTCAAGTGATTCTCCTGCCTCAGCCTCCCGAGTAGATGGAGATTACAGGCTCCCGCCACCACACCCAACTAATTTTTCTAATTTTAGTAGAGATGGGGTTTCACTATGTTGGCCAGACTGGTCTGTATCTCTTGACCTCAAGTGATCCGCCCGCCTTGGCTTCCCAAAGTACTGGGATTACAGGCATGAGCCACTGCGCCCGGCCTACAGTCAGTTTAATATGGATTCCCAATAATCCTGGGAAGACCCATTTTATAGAGTAGCAGAGGAAACCACACATTATTGAGAAGCCATATAACCACCTGAGGCAAAGGTGATGCTAGACCGAGCAGGTGCAGCCATCGGGTTGCAAATGTACTCACTTGAAATCCTAGGGGCCTCTAAATTCTCAGGCCTGACTGTTGGCCCCACTTCATTTGGCCATTGTTTGCTGATTTAACACCGTTGGCATGGTTTCCCCATAAGACAGTAAGTTTATTTCAGGCAGAATCCTCTCCGTAGTGTTTTGTATTTCCCCATTTCCCAGCCCACAGTAGGTGCTCAACGAGCACTTCCTGAATGATTATCCACACTTCCCTCAACTGCTCAACGTGGGGAGAGTCGCTGGTTTAAGAGTAGAGAGAGAAATTCTCAACTCCCCAGGCAGCCACCGAGGGAGGCCAAGCACACCAGTCAACCCAGGACAGGCTGAGTGCAGGCTTGAGTGCCAGCCCTCTCCTTCTGGAGTCTCCCTTCCCAGGGAACTCTCTGCAGCAATTTCACTCTCAAATCCGATAGTCCCTGCTGCCAGAACACAAGCAACTTAAAAAAAAAAAAAAAAAAAAAAGGACAGGAGAGTTGGCTCTGAATTTTAAGTGCTCTCGCGGGACAGAGACCCATCTAAAAGTTAAATGACAGGCATCGAATCTATCCCCACACTCTCCCTTTCTCACCACATCACTTGTTTTCTTCCCACACCACAGAAGAAGTGGTGGAGGTGGAGGCACTGAGGTCTATACACCATTTAAAAACATGTTTTTATTGCAAAATAAAGCAAAGAACCTGGAAACTTCACAACACAAATATATAACTTAGCAAATTGTTATAAAGCAAGCACCTCTTCAGTTGCAGCAAACCACCATGGCACACATTTACCTGTGTAACAAACCCGCCCATCCTGCATATGTACCCCAGAAATTAAAAATAAAAAAAGTAAGCACCCTTTTAAAGAACTCCCAAATCAATCCAACAGAACTTTGCCAGCCACCCCAGACCCCCTCCTTCCACGTGCCCCATCCCAATCAGTCTCCTCTCTTCCCCAACAAGTCACCACTTTCCTTTCATAGTAATAACTTCCTATGTTTTAAAAAATAATGTATTACCCACCTGTGCATGCCTAGATATTATGGTTTAGTGTTGCTCATTTAAAAAGTGATAGGTCCTTTAAGTTTCCTGTTGCCTGCAGACTGCCGGAACCCAGGGCATTTGACCTGTCGTGTTTCCCATGGTTGGAATGTTGCCGACTGGATGTTTGTGGTGTGGTTCAAGGTGTTTAAACACCGTTTCATGCTGTGGGGTTGGCCATGGTCTAGGACTGCTAGCATCTCCTTCTTGGCTAATGTTTATTTGGGCAGATGTCCTATGTTCTTTTGTGAACAAATGGCATTAGCAGCAGCAAGACGACATTAAAAAACAACTGACAGGCCAGGCACAGTGGCTCATGCCTGTAATCCCAGGCCTTTGGGAGGCCGAGGCGGGTGGATGATGAGGTCAGGAGTTCAAGACCATCCTGGCCAACATAGAGAAACCCTGTCTCCACTAAAAATACAAAAAAAATTAGCGTGGCATGGTGGTAGGCACCTGTAATCCCAGCTACCCGGGAGGCTGAGGCAGAGAATTGCTTGAACCTGGGAGGCAGAGGTTGCAGTGAGCAGAGATCACACCACTGCACTCCAGCCTGGGCGACAGAGCGAGACTTCATCTCAAAACAAAACAAAAACAACAAAACCAACGGACAGTTCAAACACTGGCACAGGAGTAGAAATGAGAGGACCTAGGTTTTAGGCCTGCCCTCTCGGACGGTTATTGCACCTCTCTAAGACCATCAGTATCTTTTCCACGGGGTCATGGTGCTAATTAAATGTGATTCTGGATATAACGCTTTCTGGGCTGTGGAATGCAAGACATTCTAATAGGAACCTTTAGAAATAAATTGCTCCTCATAACATTCCTTGAAAGTCTACATTAGCTTGGGATTGCCACAATGCATTTGCAGAAAGATTTTGGTATAAGGTAGAACGATGCTAGTCCAACTCAATTGCATAAGAGTTACTGGAGTATTAAGATGACCTCGTGGATTTTTATGTAGCTCTCCAGCAGGGTCTTTGAGGGTGACAAGTATTTCAATGCAAGTTTCTCCACTTCTTTATTTTTATACATCACAAAAAAACATGGCAAGGAGATTAAGGGAAAACCACACTTTGATTTAGCAACTGAATTTCTGAATGACTTGCGCTATTTAGCCCCCTGTTCCTAAAGATCATCCTGGCTGGAAATAAATTCCCTAAGGCACACAGATTACTTCCAGGGAAGGAAAGTGAGGGTAGCTTTATGCCTTGAGAGGTACATCTGGAGATATTGATCGACTGCCTAACCCAAGCCCTTCTGGCTTATGAAATGCAAACTTACTTCTTCCTCGAACCCTTCTCTGGGTTTGTTCAATACAACTAACATCAACCTAAGCTCAAGCTGGGGATATCTGTGTTGGATGTATTTATTTATGTCTCTGTGTTTATAGTGATAGACAAGGTTTTCTGCCTAGTCTTCCTATTAGGATCATAAGCTATTTAGGGTTAAATCTATGTTTTATTCATAACTATCCATCAGATATATACATGTTTCTGTTAAGCAGATCACGTCATCAGAGTCGTAAAAAAGGCCTGCAAACCATTTCTCTTCTCAGCCTGTTGATCTACTGAACTGGTAGCTGTGGTTTTCATTAGGGGCTGGCTGCATGTTTGTTGAACATGGGAAAGAGATACCATCTCAGGCTTACTCTCAAGCCCTTTAGAATCACTGGATGCCAAAGTTCAACAGGGAAGATACACCTCTCTGATGTGCTAAGAGCCTTGACTGGAAGCCGTTAAACAAACAAAACAAGAAGATGTTTTATCAGTTTAAGGGTGATTTCTGAGTCCCTGACAAACTAGCGAATTGAGCAATCTTAGGTAGAATAAATACTGTTTATCTGGGTCCAGGACAGTTGTTCAAGAAGTCAGATTGCCAGACCCATCCCGGGGCATTACTCACAGCAGAACGGTGTTACTAGAAATCTGCTATACCGTCAGGCATTCGGACAGCCTTTTATAAAGTGCATTAGTCCTCATCCTTGGTGACACAAAGTACCCACAGGGCTGCTTTTCTAGGTGCAGGAAACTCAGAAAGGGCATAGACTATAATTTTCAAAAGTGAAAAAGAAAGCTGCTGCACAAGTTCCTCACCAGCTTATGGCAGTTTATAGAGACAATATTCTCTATAAATAATGTACAGATCTTAGATAAAATAGAATTACTTAGGCACATGTATTCCCTAAGGCACATAGATTATTTCCATAATCTATGGACTTTCCGATGGCATGCCTAGAAATTTGTTTTGAGTTGGAGTTTCACTCTTGTTGCCCAGGCTGGAGTGCAATGGAGTGGTCCCAGCTCACTGCAACCTCTGCCTCCCAGGTTCAAGCAATTCTCCTGCCTCAGCCTGCCAAGTAGCTGGGATTACAGGTGCCCACCACCACACCCAGCTAATTTTTGTATTTTTTAGTAGAGATGGGGTTTAACCATGTTAGCTAGGCTGGTCTTGAACTCCTGACCTCAGGTGATCCACCTGCCTCAGCCTCCCAAAGTGCTAGGATTACAGGCGTGAGTCACCGCACCCGGCTGGAAATTTATTTTATGAGAAGTTGCAATAGCCGTAGCTCACCCTATCTATGGCTTTGCCACGTGTCCCTTACCTAGTGTCCATTTTAATAATTGCCTCTGCAATCCCTTGCCATCATTGTGTCCTGATGCCCCTTGGATGGCTCTGAGGGTGGGCAAAACATCCCAAGTCCATGCAAACCTCACTGGCATCAACTGCGTGAATGCTCAATGTGGATATTTTCTTATTTGTAAATATCCTTCCACCTGGCCTTGGCCAAGCCCTCCTTCCATCAGGCATCATCGTTCCCACCCCAGCGGCACGTACCTTTTGCTTCAGCTGCAGCACGGTCTGCTTCATCTGGTAGAACTCCTTGCATGTGGCACAGCAAGTTCCGGCTTTCACCATGTTCTCAGACTTCTCATGGCCTGAGAAAGGAGATAGGCTCAGTCCTGTCTGGGAGGCTGGATGCAAGCCAGACCCAGAGAGACAGCATCGGGAAGGGCGGTCCCAGGGACAGAGTAGCTGACAGCGGGACATGCGAGGGCTCAACTGTGGGTGATTTTACAGCTCTCAGGTCCTGCCAGCATGCCCCAGGGTCAGGGAAGAGGGGAGGACAGAGGGAGAGGGGCCCTGCTAGAAGCTGGGCTCAGCTGTTCCTATTTAGACATGCCAGGAAGACCCTGATCTTCCTTTCATGTGTGAAAATGCGTACCATGGCCTTTTATCAGTGCTTTTCCAGAAGGCAGGCTCTATAAATCTGACATGATTTATACTCCCCTTAAAGGGCTAATGTTCACACACTGTAAATATTCCCCAAGTGCAGGCACTGGGCCTCAAAGCTGCCTTTATCACCTCTGCTAATCCAGTTCTTCAAAGGGAGCACAGCAGTGGGCCGGGAGCTGACCTCACCGACGCGTGAGGCCAGGATGGGAAATGCCCCAGACACTTCGCCACTCCATCTGGGGCCATTCAGGACAGCACTGGAAACGCAGTCGGGCCCAACCACTGCAAAGGGTCCCAAAGCCCTGCTGTAGAACACTAGGTGCTCCATGGGCTTTTTGTAAAAACATTCTTTGCTAAAGGAAAACTGGGTGAAGTAAATGGTGATCTGGCCAAGAATACAGACAGCTCTCTTCTTCCTGGCACTGGAATGGCCTACTTAAGCCTGCATGCTGGGGAGACCAGCCACCTGGGTCACCTTGCTGCTGAGGACCTTGCACAGACTGCCAAGGTCTGTGCCAAAGGTGGCAGCAGTGTGGGCTGAAAGTGCTAGGTTGAGGGTGTTTTGTTCAGGCAGGCAGGACAGTTTGACACCCAGGGAAGCATAAACTCTCTTCGCTTAGCAGCCCTTTGGCGTTGGGCCAGGTTTGCTCTTTGTGTGACATAATAACCACGACTATCTAGAACGCAGACTGGGGAAGTCGGGTAATGCGTGACCATCTCTTGTTCTTCCTGGCCCGTATACTTTGCTTCTTACTGTTCCTCTCTTCTGCAAAGCCCTCTGTTCCATCTCCACTTGTTGAATCCCACCAAGATGCACATCAAATGTTCCATGAAGCCTGCTCTCTACCCACGGAAGTCTGAAAATCAGGCAGCATTTACCGTGTGTCCCTCCCACTCACAGGCTGGTCTTCTAGGCCTCCCTGGAGAGCATCTCTTAGGGCGCATGCCACCAGGTAAGCTGCCTAAGAACCAGGCTCACTTCTTGGTATCTCACGTAATGGATGCTCGAAAAATCTTTGGGAAATGGATCGTTACAGGTTGAATTGTGTCCTGATTCCCAGTGCTTTAGAATGTGACTTTATTTGGAAACAGGATCACTTCAAATAAAATCAGTTAAGATGAAGTTATACTGGAGTAAGATGGGATCCTAGTCCAATATGATGGGTGTCTTTATACAAAGGGGAAACTTGCGCACAGGAAGAATGCTATGTGAAGATGAAGGCAGAGGTGAGAGGCAGTGGAAGCCAAGGAACACCAAAAATTGCCCGCTGATGACCAGATGCTGGGGAAAGGCACGGAATGGATTGTCCTGCATAGCTGTTAGAAGAAACCAACCCTGCTGACATCTCAGACTTCTAACCTCAGACCAGAAACAAATTTCTGTTTCAGCCACTTAATTTGTGGCATTTTGCTATGGCAACCCTAGGAAACAGACACTTGAATGGATGGAGGGAGAGATGGGCATGAGGGCAGCCCACATGCAGGCAAAACTTCCTTACACAGCCCGACTGCCCAGTCCTCTTCCTGGTGACATATGCAGTGACCAGGGCTTCTGCCCTTTGGGAGGTGAGCAGGCCCAGAGGCAGCCTGGTAGCTGAGCTCTCAGACTGTGCACCTTCAGCACAGCAGCAGGAAGTTTCAGAGCTTACCTGCTGCACCACCATCCCTGCACCATGGGAGACCTGGGGTTGGCAGCACCCGAGCTAGGTACACATTTCTCAAGCCAGCAGGTTGACACAAATGATGCCATGCTGTGTAGTTGCGTTTCCACAAGTGACAGTGTAATTGTTGAATATACAGGGTCAACATAGCTCTTTAGGCAGGTTTTGAATGTGTCATCGGAGAAAAACACTTGAACCTCTGCAAAAGTGGCAGTTTTTAAAAATCCACTTTATGTGTAACCAACATAACAGGGCCATCTTGTTAATGCCTGCTTTCTAGGCGAATTCCCGTAGCTTCCTCACCTGTACTCCCTTCAATTGGTGCACTGGAGGGATGGTTTTGACTCACTGCAGCTGTGTGATAACGAGCTGAGCAGTAAGGGGGAATAGGGAAGGGCTTGTATCAGAGATGGTAGAGTGAACTGATTACCAGCACAAACTTGAGTCCCACTGTTCTGGGTGCAGGTCCCATCTCTGTCACTGAATAGGCTCAGCGACCTTGGGCAGGTTACTTGGCCTCCACAAACCCCACTTGCCTCGACCACAGCCCTGGAATTACAATTCCCACCACATGTGGCTGCTGTGATGACTGGGCAAGGTAATGCACGGAAAGCTCTCAGCACACAGCTTGGTTGTAGGTAGATGGGAGGCGATGCCCAGCAGTTTTCAGGCCCACCAAACCCCTTAAATTTCCTTTGCCTGATAATCCCAGAACCCTAGAATAACAGGATGAACATGAATAACAAAATGAGGGAACTGAGGTCTGGCGACTTCCTGAAGGTCACCTAGCAAGTATCTGAGGTGGGTTTAGAATGGAGTTGTCCTGAAATTAAGTCCAATACCTTTTCCACAAATCAGATGGTTTCCTTTGGGTTTTTTACCCCTGTTCAATGTACCAATTTATAATCCTATGGAGCTTGAATACTCCTGAGAACCAGAATTATTTAGCTCAATCTCCAACAGACTAAGGCAGGCAAATTTCCATGCAATAATATACTTAGTTGTAAAGGGCTGACGCCTTAACTTTGGTTGTGCTGACTGCAGGAAATGGTGGGCTCCTGCATGAAAAGATGACCCAGGCTCCAGGTTTATTATGTTAATACCTAAGGACAGATGAATGACATCCATCTTTCCCAACTAGTCTTTCATCCACTCCATCTCATCTACTGGTCAATTTACAGAATACCATCATCAATCTAGTCTGTCCATCAATCCATCCATCCATCCATCCATCCATCTATCCATCCATCCAACCATCCATCCATCCTTCCATCCATCTTCCCATCCATTCCATCTTCCTAACCACTTATCAATAAGTCTGTCCATCCATCCAACCTTTCCTTCCTCTTATCCATCTATGGAGCATCTGCTGTTAGCCAGGTCCTGTGTCAGGCACTGAGAATGCAAAGTAAGTGAGGATATCTGTTTAACAATTTTCAATTCACCTTTAAGAATCTAGCCCTGTTGGCAGAGCGGGGCCGCCATGAACAAAAGTTAAAAGCTCATGTTTCTGTCCACTTTTACTTTTACATACTCAGTTAAATTTTCCAAGTGTTAATGTGATTAACCAATTCAACAGCTTCATGATAAGATAAACCTCTTTACCAGATTCTCGACTATTTCATTTAGATCATGGAATGTTAGAACGTATCTTTAGTTCAATCTCTTTTGTAGATGACAGTGAGATCCAGAGAGAGACAGTAACTTGCCTTAGGTCTTTCAGATTGCTGTGCGAAGAGACCACGAACTCAACTGGGTCCCAGCTGGCCGTTTTGGAGGAGTGGGTGCACGCAGTGAGCCTGCTATTGGGAATTCTGTTGAGAACACCTGAGAGCTATCTGTCGGCCAGGCTCCAGGGCAGAAGCTCTGCGGAGTGACCTGTTACATGCAAATTCCTGGGCTGTTTTCTGTTCCTTTGTGGAACTGTCAGAACACAGTGAACCAAGATTAACATTATCCAGAAGACTTGAAGCTCCTCTGACGCAGAAGTACACAGCATGGTAGTAAGGAGAGTAGGCGCTGGTGGAGTTACATGATCAGAACTTGAATACTGATGCTGCTAACTAGTACCTTTTAAATTGGACAAGTCATGGTTTCTGTGAATGCCCATTCTTTGAACGGTAAAAAGGTAACAGCACCTATCACTTGGAGCTGCTACGAGGAGCCAGTGATAAGATATGTAGGTTCCCAGAACAGTGCCCAGCTTATGTTAAGAGCTCTATTCACAGTACTCATTTTTATGTTATTTATTGTCGGTATTACTATGATTCAGTTCTCTACAAAATCAGATATGTGGGGTTGGGACCTTACATCACCTTTTCAATACAGCTCTCAAGGGTTTAAAGATAAACAAGGACTCATACCTTTTGTATATGTAGACCTGGAACATAAAACCTACTCTGATGACGGGTTCACATCCACCTTGTAATTTGTCTACAATAATGTCAACATGGAGCTACAAATAATCTCACATATGCTACATTAACAGTTTACTTAGAAATTGGGGTAGATGTCGCTGCATGTTTTCAATCCTCTCAACTAATGCTGTGGTCACACTTCTGGGAAAAGCCTAGGATGGTATCACTTAACATTTTTTCTTCAACTTGTTCAGATTTTAAAGGTGCAATATTATTGATTAGCCACATGGGGGCATGAAGCTCTAATTTTTCCTGAAGTTGACCAGGACGTCTATCCTAAGCATTAGAAGTTGTAATGCCTTAGATATCTTAGAAAAACCAAACAATGTTCCTGAAATATTTTATATGGGCAGTGTTAGAAATGAACAAAGCATGTTTGTGTTTAAAAGTTGATCGTGCAGATTTGTGTTCTGGCTGTAATATCCAACCCCGGAGGCACATTACAATCACCTGGAGGGCTTTTAAAATATGAATTCTGCTGCACACCACCCGTCTGGGGATGGCAAGGCAACAGTATCAGCATTTTTAAAAAAGCTCCCCAGGTAATTGCAAGGTTGAGAACCGCTGATCTATGGATTAGTGGAGCTTGAAAGTAATATGAAACACCTGGCCATCTGACACTGACCTGTAATAAGTGATGCCAGGGGTCACGGTCACGTTATCAGAAAATAAACAAAAGTTGAAAAATAAAGACTGGCAAGCTAATTACTATTGGAGCCAACATTTCCTTAATTTGTCTCCCTATTGAGGCTACAGACTCCCTGGGGTGACTAAACTGGCTCCGGCTACATATTTTCAAAGAGAAAATCAAAGTGACTGAATGTCCATTAGCCAGACAGCTTGTCTCACTGAGCCTGAAGCCAGTGGATTGCAACCTCTCAAGCCTCAGAGGCAGTCCTGGGGCCACCCTCCCTTCTCTCCTCCTGGATTCCTAACAACCAGCTGAGGTTGTGTTTGATTTCAAATTCCTCTGATTGTAACAATACAGGCATTAGATATGCAAAGTTAAAAAGGAAAACCAAGGAGGAAGAGATGATTTCAGATCACATGTGGTTATACTCAAGAATCACTCTCAATTCATAACAAAATGACCATAACGAAATATTGAGCTTACTAATTAGTCCAAAACAGATGAAAATGCTTATCAGCTTCTGATGTTCCGGAATGTGGGACTCTTTTTGGCCTGTGACATTTCTTATTGCTGAATTGAATGTTTGGATGTGTAATAATTCATCTTTTAGATATTTTGAGGAAAGTCCTCTGCTTAGAAGGTGTGGAGGCTGGGTATATTTCTTAGATGGAGGACTAAGAAATGAGGCGTGGGCCAGGAGCTGTGGCTCACGCCTGTAATCCCAGCACATTGGGAGGTCAAGGCAGGCAGATCGCCTGAGATCGGGAGTTCGAGACCAGCCTGGCCAAGATGGTGAAACCCCATCTCTACCAAAAATACAAAAAGGTTTAGCTGGGCATGGTGGCGCACGTCTGTAATCCCAGCTACTTGGGAGGCTGAGGGATGGGAATCGCTTGAACCTGGGAGGCAGAGGTTGCAGTGAGCGGATATCGCGCCACTGCACTCCAGCCTGGGTGACAGAGGGAGACTCTGTCTCAAAAATAAATAAATAAATAAATAAATAAATAAATAATAAAATAAAAATAAAAAAATGAGGTCTTCACATGGAATCACAGGGCTTGTATCACTTATGCTAAGTCATACCAAATTATGAAAAATGTCTGAAAGGGTGAAAGGGTCTTCAAAGCTCATGTAGTTCAACCTTCTCATTTACAGATAAGGCAACTGAGGCCCAGAGACCCGCTCATTGTTGCTCAGTTAATACTGAACCAACTTTGGTTCCGCATTACTTCAAACTGTCAAGCCTAGGAACTTTCCACTGCATCACAGCTGTTAAAGAAATGATCCCCTTCCCCGCCACCACTGGCCCTTGCTGGGCCACACTGCTGAAGAGTGGAGGCACTTTTTTTTTTTTTTTTTTGCCAGAACCATCAAAGCCAGCCCCCACCTTCCCAGCAGTCCAATCTCTTGAATCATGACTTTAATGTTCAGGGCATGCAACGGCCTGTCCTTTCTCATAATTTTAATTATGTGTATGAATTGCTTCCCTCTACCCTTCTCTCTACCCTTGAGTTTCTACTTTCAAATATTCCTGGTTACTGGTGTTTCAATTTTGTTTTACTGAAATATAAAATCAAATGCTAGTCCTCTGTGCATAGGTGATAAATTCAGTGGAGACAAATTACTGAAAATACTGTAGAAGGGTGCTGCTGGAGAGCACCCTTAGTAGAGTCATATCAGGTTTCCCTTTTAAGACTATTTGCAATTGCTATATTTGGGGAAGGATGTCAATGGAAGAGAAAGAGGAGAGGATTCCCAGCCAGGTGTAATCTTTTTTTTTTTTTTTTTTTTTGAGACAGAGTTTCGCCCTTGTTGCCCAAGCCAAGTGCAATGGTGTGATCTCGGCTCACTGCAACCTCAGCCTCCTGGGTTCAAGCGATTCTCCTGCCTTAGCTTCCCAAGTAGCTGGGATTACAGGCGCCTGCCACCACGCCCAGCTAATGTTTTGTATTTTTAGTAGAGACGGGGTTTCACCATGTTGGCCAGGCTGGTCTTGAACTTCTGACCTCAGGCGTTCCTACCGCCTCAGCCTCCCAAAGTGCTGGGATTATAGGCCTGAGCTACCATCCCCGGCTGCCAAGTGTCATCTTTTGCAATGAGTTTTGAATGACAGTAAAGCTCAATGATATAACCAGCAGAATGCTCTTGATTAAACAGGACATCCCTCATTATAGTCACTTGTAACTGTCTCTCAATATGGCAGAATGGAAGGTAGTATCCTACTTCCATTCATCAGATGCCATGCAGTCTACAGAAAACACTCCTCTCTGGACTCCGGCCGCTTCATCTGCTGATATCAACATCCTTGCCTGAACGTTGACCAGTTGGCTTATCGTTTGGCCCCAGAGCTAAGATCTTTGATGCTAAGTTGATATTTTCTAAACTGTTCTTCAGGATACCATCACTTGTGATATGTCTGTAGGAATAATTTTGGGTTTAATCAAAGTTTCTTTTCTTTTTTTTTTGAGACAGGGTGGAGTGCAGTGGTGCAATTATAACTCACTGCAGCCTCAACCTCCTGAGTTCAAGTGATCCTCCCACCTCAGCCTCCTGAGTAGCTGGGACTACAGGCATGTACCATTATGCTCAGCTAATTTTTAAACAATTTTTAGTAGAGATGGGGTCTCACTATGTTGGCCAGGCTGGTCTCGAACAGCTCAAACGATCCTCCCACCCTGGCCTCCCAAAGTGCCGAGATTACAGGTTTGACCCACCACACCTGACCTAATTTTTTTTTTTTAAATGGCAATCTCTCTGGGCTTTTAGTGCATTCTAATTGTGACCCCTTAGGAAGTGGGTGCAGTGAGGCACACTCCTCCAAACACCTGAACACAGGACCTTAAGAAAGATATGCTTATTGACAGCTCACAGGAACCCACAGGTCTGCAGAACATCATGTGGGGAAATGCTGCAGTAAACGGTGGAGATAAAATATGCCTTTAACGCAAATAATACTAGAGAAGATACCAAAAAACAATGTAAAATAGATCCTCTAATATTACTACTGCTCAGGTATTTTTACTGAATTCTTAGCCACAGAGGTCACACTGGTCATCAACTAAAAATAATTCTTGATTTCTTGTACTTATCTGAAACTTTACTTGAAAAATATTTAAGAAGTACATTTCATTTCTCAGGGAAGGAAAGAGGTGCATGTAGTCCCAGTGCTGACTTAGCAAGAGACTGCTAATTTCTGGGAACTTCCTTTTCCTTCCCCCTTTCCCACCCTAGCCTGCCCCCAGCCCTTTCTGGGCCCACACTGCTGAAGGTTGGAGGCACAGGTGACTGTCTCTCACCAGGGCAGACCTTGTCACTGCACTCTGACCCACAGCAATCGTAGCTCACTGCAGCCTAGACCTCCTGGGTTCAAGTGATCCTCCCATCTCAGCCTCCTGAGTAGCTGGGACTCCAGGCACGTGCCACCACACCCAGCTAACTTTTTTGATTTTCTCTGACTTACAGCCACCGCCAGGGCACCACACAGCAGGGCCATACACAGGGCTTGCTGCCTTGGGGACTGAAGAGGAATGTGGGTGGAGGATCTAGGAATTACTGCAGGAGGTGGAGGCTACCTGAGACCAAAGCACAAATAAACTCAGCATTTAAAATCTGATACCAGTCTCTGGAAATTCCATCCCGCTTCTCTGGTCATTGCTAGTGATGGTTGGTCTCCCCGCAGGCCACTCTCCCTCACAGGCAGGAACTCCTTGTGGGCGGGGCCAGGTCCTATTATTTCTATATCCCAACATCGAATCTCAACCTAACCCCCAGCAGTATTGCGTTTGTTGCTGGGGTTCCCGGTGATTATGCTCAAGCATAAGCCTTGGTTGCTGGAGGCTGCCCTTCATGAGCATATAAGTGGGATTTCACCTGTAGATAAATCTGAGGCAAAGAGACAATGGACTTGCCAGGCTGGGCTGTCCATAACGCATGGGCTACCTGGCTCAGAGCATAGCTGAAAATCCAATTCCCAAAATGAAAAATTAGAAAGCTGCTTTCTTGTGACTGATTCTCAAGCAGGCCCCACACATTCATAGATCAGTGGCTAAATAGCTGCACCCTGTTTTTCAGTGAGATTCCTGTTTTCAGTAAAGGACATCATCTATGAGGTAAGTTACACTTGCCTGCCCCTCCCCCACTGTCTCCACCATGGGACAAAACTCAGTGATTTTAATTTGGAACTTAAAAAGTAGTCAGGGCATGGTGGCTCATGCCTGTAATCCCAGCACTGTGGGAGGCTCAGAGGCCGGCGGATCACCTGAGGTCAAGGAGTTTGAGACCAGCCTGGCCAACATGGTGAAACTACTAAAAATACAAAAATTAGCAGGGAGTGGTAGCAGGCACCTGTAATCCCAGATACTTGGGAGGCTGAGGCAGGAGAGCCCCTTGAACCCGGGAGGCTGAATTTGCAGTGAGCTGAGATTGCACCACTGCACTCCAGCACTCCAGCCTGGGCAACAGAGCAAGACTCTGTCTCAAAAACAAAACAAAACAAAAAAGTGGTCTGTAAATGTTACTTTTCTCCAGTCAACCTGGATGATCGACAAGCCCGTTTCCTCTGCCCTATGAACACCCCTGGGCAGGCACATGCCACATGCTTCAGGCTTTAAGAAGTGTCACCAAGTCCTCAAATTCACTCAAATTATTCAAATCGCCCAATCCTAAACTGGTTCCAAAGACTTATTTTGCATTTACTTCCGACATATGGCAGCTTCCTTGTGACTCAGCCCAGTTGCTTGTCAGAATTTCACTTTGTAGTTCTCCCTTGCCAGGCAGCGGAAGCTGGTCCTCAGCTGTTTGCTGTCCTCAGCTGATGGCTGCTGCCTTCTAGCCCTTTTTGAAGCTTGGGCTACACCCAAGAATCACCACCTCCTGAGTGCCCAAACAGCTCTGGTTTTTTCATCTCTGCATTTCTGGCTATGGGTGATTTGTCCTAGGAACCCCAAAGGAAGGTTCAGGCCCAGCCAACCTCTCCCGACAGAGCTCCAGCCACCTTCCCTTCCCGAGGTAAGTAGAGAAGAGCTAAGCCCTAGGCTTGGGGAAGAGGACAGCAGCTTCCTGGGCTACAAGTAGTGGGTACAGGAGCTGGTGGCTGTGTGGCACCAGCCTCAGGCCCTCTAAGTGGCTGAGGGCTTTCTCCCCAGGGAAGTGGTCCTGCCAGCCATTGTCAATGGAGTCCATTTTGCTTCAAAGTTCACCCTTGCTAGAAAGGCCCTTGACATGTAGGCTAAAATCCTACATTTTCATGGCTAGGCTGGCACTGACAACTTGGCAGGGGGACCAGAGCTGCTTCACACATGCATATGGTGGTATTTTGATGACAAGGCATTGCCTGGAGCATTGATATTAGTTTAGGGGCTCTCTTTCTCCTTTCTCTTTCTTCTTCTCTCTTTCCTCTTCCCCCATCCCTCCCCTTTTCCACTCTGCCTCGTTCTTCTTTTTTCCTCCGAACTCAAATAAGGAAATAACCCGAACTTCAGCTGATCATATGCTTGAGTGACCAGACATCTCAGTTGAATGTCGCCGACATAATGTAAATCAGCTTCTCAGCTCTGTGCTAAAGGCCCAGCTTTTAGAAATTTTCCAACTGCCTGTGGACTGATACTTCTGTGAAACACAAAGATGAACCACTACAAAAATAAGATGTAAAATGCAAGCATAAATTTTTGGATTTAAACAAAATTCCTCTGTCAGATTGATATAAAAATTTTTAAACACTCTCAATTTTTGTTTTTATCCAATTGTGAATCTTGCCTGTCCCTAGACCATATTTTGAGTAGCATGGATACAGATTGTTTACCTTACAAGGAGATGTTTCATATTTATATTTCAGCCCATTTTCTTTGGGAAAACACAGCGTTTCTGACCTCTTCTCTGCTCATCTTAGTTTGTCTAAACACATATCTAAGCTCTACTCATTTCTCTAAGAGCACACCACTTCAGCTTGGTGGAGAGCTTCCTCCAGTACACACTAGCTTACAACCCTTGAGCTAATGGGCATCACTCTTATTCTTTCTCTTTAGAAGGAGTTTGAACTTATATTCTCTTCCCTAGGTCCCATTTACAATTCATATATGTGCCCCTTCCTGCCCACTTGCCTGCTTGTCCTCTGAGGTACCTGATTGTGCTCTTAATATATAAAAATATATGTTATATATATTACATATAACTACATGAATATAAAATACATGATATGGTTTAGCTGTGTCCCCACCCAAATCTCATCTTGAATTATAGCTCCCATAATCCCCATGTGTCATGGGAGGGACCTGGTGGTGGGTAATTGAATCATGGGGGCAGGTCTTTCCCATGCTATTCTCATGACAGTGTATAAGTCTCAGAGATCTGATGGTTTATCAATACAAGGGGCAGTTCTCCGGTACACGTTCTCTTGCCTGCAACCGTGTAAGACGTGCCTTTGCTCCTCCTTTGCCTTCCACCGTGATTGTGAGGCCTCCCCAGCCATATGGAACTGTGAGTTTTTTAAACCTCTTTTTCTTTATAAATTACCCAGTCTTGGGTATGTCTTTATCAGCAGTGTGAGAACGAACTTATACAATAAATAATTATGTATAATTACATATAGGCACTTGGAAACTTTAGACATTAAACATAATGTGGCATACATTGTATATAAAATTACATAGCATAATTACATAAATATATTTATATATACAATTATATAATCATATCTATATAATATATAAACCCCCAAACTGGTTATATATATAATATATAAAAATATGTAATTAGGGAGATATTTAGACTTGCCCTACTTACCAGTGTCATTGGGATATTTGTCTCCCCTGGTACATGTCTTCCCATCATCTTCCCGGATGTAGCCTTCCCGGCACTCGCAGCGGTAGCTGCCCAAGGTATTGATGCAGATGTGGGCACACAGCGTCCCATTGCTGCTGGCACACTCATCAATATCTGGTTTGAACCAAATGTAGAGAATACTAAGTTTCTGAGAATTCACTTCTAATACAACAGATGACATTGGGCTTTGCCTCTCTGTTAATAACAATGAAGGACACTTGGGCCGACCTTGATCAGAGCAGCCTGGAATAAAGTAGGGAGCTAGAAATGTGGGTCATCCATAAAAACAGCACTTTTGGCCAAGTGGCCATTGTTACAGGCTGATCAGTGATGGGGTTCCTGGCTGTGGCTCTGCCACTCGCAAGTCATGTGGCTTAGACTGCTAGCCTTCAGAGATCTCACTTACAGAACAATAACAATGAAGCCTGCCCTAAACACTTCAGAGGGCTGCTTAGAAATGACAATGAGATCACCAGTGACAACACTCAGAGAAGCAAACATTATAGAGATGATTTTTTGTGAGTGCCCTACTGTGCTGGGGATTTTTAAGTTTCCCTTTATGGTATAGGTTCCAAACAGCATGACGATGACCCCACAGGTCACTTAGGAATGGCTCCTTCCCAGTTAAAAGCCATGATGGCACCTGGGAAAAGATACTTCTAATAAAAGAAAATAGTCATAATGGGTCTAATGGAAAGAGTCTTCCCCAGGAAATTTCTGCCTCATCAAGAACCCAGACAGACCCCTCATGAGCTGTGGAAATGAGCCATGGGACCATCAAACAAGTCCCCATGAAGAGCCCATGTTAACTATGCACATCATGGACTTGCTCCCCTGCCGCATGGTGGAAACAAAAACGTTTCCCACCACGAGGACAGTGGGAGGCCCAATTCCATTTCCTGTTCACTGGTTGAAGACAGTGGGTAGCAGTGGGTGGGAGCCGTGGCATGCAGCCCCAGACTGTGCACATGTGCTGCGTAGACACAGGCCAGCCCTGAACTTGAGGATGGCAACAACTTCCCAGCCACTCCCTGCACAAGCTGCCAGTGACTCAGTCCCTGTGTACGCTGAGGGGAGGGTGGTCATCTGGACGCTCCCCGGCAGTACCAACTATGTCACCTGTAGACCGGATGTTGCAGCTGCATCCTCCTCTGCAATTCCTCAGGCTCACTGCCTTTCCCCAGGTGTCCCTGCCCTAAACCTACATGTGATGCTGCCTGTACTGCCCAGAGAGAGAGGAGATGAAGTTGAAATCAGAGATAGAAATAGAACTCTTAGTAGAAGCCAAGTTCTGCTGGTCCCCAAACCCCCAAACAAAAAGAACAGGGGGCTGGGTGCGGTGGCTCATGCCTGTAATCCCAGCGCTTTGGGGGGGCCAAGACAGGAAGCTGAGCCCAGGAGTTCCAGGCCAGACTGAGCAACATAGTAAAATCCCATCTCTATAAAATACGAACAAAATTAGCTGGGTGTAGTGGCGCATGCCTGTAGCTCCAGCTACTCAGGAGGCTCAGGTGGGAGGATCACAGGAGCACGGGAGGTTGAGGCTGCAGTGAGCCATGATCACGCCACTGCACTCCAGCCTGGGCAACAGAGTGTGACCCTGTCTCAAAAATAAATGCATAAAGAATAGGGTACAGTAGCTGCTATAAAGTGAAGTAAGAGCCTTGTGCCTGGGACCTGAGCCTCATGGAATGGCCTGTACCTTTCTCTGCAGGAGAGGCCAGAGATCCCTGCCCCATTCACTTGGGAGTCACAATCCCATTGTCTGGCATTGTGGGGCACCATTCCCAAATGCCGACAGGGAGCAACCAGAGGACCTACGGTTAGAACTTCTCAGAAATGGTGCTCCCTAGAGCCCCTGCTAGGATAGAGAAAGAGGGATGCTCATGACAGCTGGTTTATCTTCCATGTAGGTCTACCTGCTAGTCTCTGGCAGTTCATCCTCCAGTTGATTCTTAAATCTCACCATGCCTAGGAATCATTAGAGGCATTGGTGTAAATATGCACGTCTGGACCCACTCTCAGAGTTGTGATTCATTAGGTGTGGAGAAAAGGCCAGGTTTTTTTTTTTTTTCCCCAAACGAGGACCCCAGATGTTTCTTGGGTTAGTTATGAACTGACCACACTTTCAGACACATGGTTCCAATGGAAAATGAGCCATAAAGCTGCCTTAGAACCTCAAGGAGTGCACGGCTGGGATAGCCAGTTCATGAGGGTGGCAGTAAACAGGCTGGTGCCGTGGATGGTGCAGGCTCTGCTCAGCTGCAGCCCAGGTGGCTGGCTTCAGCTCCCTCTGACTTCCTCCCAACCTGTCTGCCATATGGCTACTTCCTTTTTTCCCCAACCATCTTCTAAGAGAATGTTTATTCTTGTTTTGTTCTGTCTGCGTTTTTACTTTTCTGACCACTTATACTCTGTTTTACATTATTCTAGTTTATATTTGGGCATGTTCCCCTTCTCCTGCTCTTATGTCTCATTGCCAATTAGGACCTTGCTGGTACCAAATCCCGGAAGAATTCCTTGGGCCTAATTGGTTTTAGTAATTGTGATGAAGGGCAGTGATAAGCTATCCCTAGGATAATATCAAACACAACTCCATCCAACAAGTATGAGAACTGAAGGGTCCAACCAAGGACAGAACCATCTGAACAAGGCACATGTTCAGAAGCTGGAAACAAGCACATTCCCAACACACCCAGACAGTATGGCTTCTCCCGCTTCCGGTGTCTCTCCCGGTCATATCGGTATCCCGGATAACAAGTACACAGCACTCGGCCAAAGTTGTCCGTGCACTGCTGTTCACAGGGAGCCTCGGCACAAACGTCGTAATCTGAAAAAGCAAAGTGAGAGCTCACATCAACTACAGGAGGAGGCGGAGTAACCTGGCCCTGGCCTGGAAAGGACTTTCTGGGCTGGGCTCTGCTCAAGGGCACGTGTGAAGTGTGGACAGATATACTTGGAGGGACAGGAACTCTTTAGGGCTGTGGGTCACCTTCTAAGAGTACTGCAATGGGTAACTTACATGGCATCACATCACTCGTGATTTTTCCCCTAGGTCACCTTGTCATCCTTTGGTCTTTGTCACTATCCAGAGAGAAAAGACTCTTAAGAGGGCCAGCCTCTGCGGATTCCCTCGGGGTTGGGGGTGCTGTTTTGTCTTGTTCATCAACTGCTGTAGAGGCAGGTGACTCCACCCAGCAGAATACTAAACAAAGGCCAGCTGGGGTGACAGGCACTGGTGTCATCATGTGGGAGGAAGGGCTGGAAGTCAGGCAGGCTCAGAGAGGTAGGAAGGGGGCTTTGTGTATACATGTCTAGTCTTATGCTGCTGATACAGACATACCTGAGACTGGGTAATTTATAAAGGAAAGAGGTTTAACTGGCTCACAGTTCCACATAGCTGGGGAGGCATCACAATCATGGCTGAAGGTGAATGAGGAGCAAAGCTGCTTCTTACATGGTATCAGGCAAGAGTGTGTGTGCAAGGGAACTCCCCATCAGATCTCGTGAGACTTATTCACTGTCATGAGAACACCATGGGAAAGACCCACCCCATGATTCAATTACATCCCACCAGGTCCCTCCCATGACACGAGGGAATTAAGGGAGCTACAATTCAAGATGAGATTTGGGTGGGGACACAGCCAAACCATATCACTTTGTAATAGAAATGTGCATGACTTATAAGAGGGCCGATGCTTATGTGTGTATACTGTATAAGTGTGCATCCTGGGGGGTTGATCTCTCATGCTGAGAAGGGGTTGGGTGAGTTTGAATGGCTAGAGGTCTCTTTCCAGCTCTCAGCCTGTACAAACTGAGGTGGATACACTGCTACTCATAAAGAATTAGGGCATCTGCTCCTCTCAGTTCCTATGAACTGATATGTAATGAGCCTCTGAAGGGACTTTGGCTCTAATTCAGTAGCTCAGGCACAACACTGACTCCCGGACCGGAGCCAGCACCTCATTAATCCTTGCACTATCTCTTCCAGGTGCTGACAGATAAACTATACTTGGACACAGAGCGAGTCTGGCTTTGCTCCACCACATATGAAGGTGAACGGGTGGGCTGTCAGCTCCTGATGCAGGGAGGGTTTGTGTGACAAGTATTGTGCCACTCTCACGATGACCTGGAAAGCTGCCCTTGTAAAATACTCCTTCCCATGATTGTGATTTCAGGCCTGCTTTGCCTGCATGGTGTTCTGACCAACCCTGCAAACTGTCTCTGGCTACACGTTTCCCCCACTTGGCATCGCCTCTAGGCAGCCAAGGTTCTGTGCTCTTTTTGTTGGAGAGCGTGATCCTGGCATGACTGGCTCTGAGCTTCCCTGTTGGCTGTTGCCACCATTCCGCAGCAGCTGGGAAGGGGAAGAAGGAGGCAGAGAGGCTGTCGAAGTGTTTGAGTTGATCATGGTGCCTAACAAGGCAGTTCCCTGTCTCTCCTACCATTTCTGCTTCCCTGAGGAACCGCTCTCAACTCTTCTGATTCTTTCTATACTCACTTCTGCATCTCTAAATAGCTGACTTGCATTGCTTTATTTTTATTTTAAATCCTCTCTATTGACTTCCAGTAACAGAAGAGATGCATTTAACTTTTTCACGGCCTCCTGTGCCCTGCAGTCACACCCATAACTTCATATTCCCTCCATCTGGCCAATACAGTTATGATGATATTTTGGTGCGGTAATTGTTAGTATTTGCACCATAATGACAACATAAAAGCTATTCTTTGCTGAGCCTGGAAGTATGCTTGAATTACTTGTACCTTCTTGAAGACCTTTTTGTCTTCTTTGGAATTAAAAGAATTACCTTGTATATTTTTGGGGTGCCAGTTACTGAGCTTTCCCTCTTAGCTTCAAACACCCACCTTCTTCTTCCATGGGCTACTTTGTGACTTGGGCTCTGGAGACCACATTATTCCTGTGTCAGTTGCCAGCCTCTTCATTTCTGACAGTGACACACATAGAGACACAGACAGATACAGACAGGGAGGCTGGAAGAGGAAGAAAGGATATCTGCCTTTTTCTGGTTTGCTTCCTGGGCTTCCTATTCATGAAAGCCTAATATCAGCCTTTCTCTTCCATCCCACTAGCAGACTGTTTCAATAGCAGCTGCAAGCCGGGCATGGTGGCATGTGCCACCTCCGGAGGTTGAGGTAGGAGGCTGGCTTGAGGCCAGGAGTTCAAGACCAGCCTGGGCAACATAGTGAGCTCCTGTGTCTACCAAAAAGAAAACAGTAGCAGCAAAATCCAGCTTGTATTTTTTCCAACACTTGCAAAATCAGCCTCACTATATCCCATTTCAGAGACATCAGCACCAGCCAGCCATCTGGTAGCCCCTCCTCAAAGGTCTGGGTCCCTGATCCACTAGTAACTTCCTCTGAGTTCTGAGAAATAGGGCTTG
This sequence comes from Homo sapiens, assembly GCF_000001405.40. Lineage (NCBI taxonomy): Eukaryota > Metazoa > Chordata > Mammalia > Primates > Hominidae > Homo > Homo sapiens. The sequence continues at coordinate 59,472,180 of NC_000018.10, forward strand.
CTAGCCAGTACCTCTTCCTCAGAGTGCTGGGTCCTCCAAACTTCTAAGTTTTCACTGGCCCAGTATCTTCTCTTTGTTTCCCTAGCCTAGAGGCGGTAGCTGCTTCCTGCAGTTGTTACCTCAATGATACTTAGTTTTCCTTTGCATTTTTGGTTCTCAATTACTAGTTAGCAATTCTTCATATTAATTGCTTTCTGTTAAATAAGTGGTGAAGGCTCTGTTTCTGGACAATTCAATCTACATATTCAGTTTTCTACAAATTGATCACTGATTCATCACCAGAGATCCCCTCAATTTTGCGAATCTCTTCTTATAGACATTTTTTCAAATTAATCTCAACTTGCTCTAATTAGGACTCTGTAGGTCTGCTGCACAGCAGCTACTACTCTTGGTCTTGAACTCCTCAAATAATCCTCGTCTCAGCCTCCCAAAGCGCTGGGATTACCAGCACCGCGCCCAGCCTACAGCTGCCTCCATGAATGTGCATTCACCATGAACCTAGGGATGCCCATCACCTCCCTCTCTCTTTTGTTGGATTCCTGTTTCCTGGATCTCTCATGTATTAGTCTGTTCTCACGCTGCTAATAAAGACATAGCTGAGACTAGGTAATTTATAAAGGAAAGAGGTTTAACTGACTCACAGATCCACATGGCTGGGGAGGCCTTACAATCATGGAAGAAGGCAAATGAGCAAAGTCATGTCTTACATGGTGGCAGACAAGAGAGAGCTTGTGCATGGGAACTCTCATTTATAAAACCATCAGATCTTGTGAGACTTACCACCATGAGAACAGTATGGGGAAACTGCCCCCATGATTCAATTATCTCCACCTGGCCCTGCCCTTGACACGTGGGGATTATTACAGTTCGATGTGAGATTTGGGTGGGGACACAGCCAAACCATATATCCATGTCTTTCTCTCTTCCAGTTTACTCCCTCATTTTAGTGGAGAATATTCTCCATTGGCTTCCTGAAAAATGTCATAAAAGGGGTAAAAGTTTTGAGATCATGCATGTCTAAAATATACTTTATCAACCCTTATGATTACTACTGATAGTCTGTGTATATAATTCTAGGTTGGAAAACTTTGCCTCAGAATTTTGAAGGCATTGTTCCATTGTCTTCCAGCTTTTCAATGCTGCTGCAGGGAAGTCCTGTGAGATTCAAACTCTTGAGCTTTTGTATGAATCACATCTTTTTTCCTCCCTAAAAATTTTTAGGACTTATATGGTACCACTTCAATCTTTGGTAAACCCTTTTTATAATCTGGAAATTAATATCCTTCAATTCTGAAGACTTTTTGAATTATATCTTTAAGAACTTACTCCCTCTGTGTGGAATTTTAAATTATTTGGATGTTGCATCCCCTGGACTTTATGTCTAATATTCTCATCTTTTTTTTTCCCTATTGTTAATTTCTTTGATCTCTTGCTCTCGTGCTTGGAAAACTTCTTCAGTATCACCTTCCAACCCTCCCACTATTTCCGCCCTCCACTACTCACCATCCAACCCTCCCACTACTCCCCCCCTACTACTCACCTTCCAACCCTCCCACTATTTCCTCCCCCACTACTCACCTTCCAACCTTCCCACTATTTCCTCCCCACTACTCATCATCCAACCCTCCCACTATTCCCCCCTACTACTCACCTTCCAACCCTCCCACTATTTCCTCCCCCGACTACTCACCTTCCAACCCTCCCACTATTTCCTCCCCCTACTACTAGTCTGCAGTGTCTTGTTCCTATGTTTATGTCCATGTGTGCACAATGTTTAGCTCCCACTTATAAGTGAGAACATGTGGTACTTGTGTTTTTCTCTTCCTATGTTAGTTTGCTTAGGATTATAGCCTCCAGCTCCATCCATGTTTTTGCCAAAGATATGATTTCATTCTTTTTTATGACTGTGTAGTATTCCATGGTGTATATGTACCACATTTTCTTTATCCAATCCACTACTATGGGCACCTAGGTTGATTCCATGTCTTTGCTATTGTGAATAGCACGGTGATGAACATAGAAATACATGTGTCTTTTTGGTGTAATGATCTATTTTCCTTTGAATATATACCACTGCTGGGCCAAATGGTAGTTTCCCTCTAATATCTGATGATCCTGAGACGGCTGCTCTAGTTTATTCACGGTGTATTTAAAACAGATTAATAGAATCTGTTTGCATATAGTTTTATGATTTTATGACATCTGGGTATCACTGTAAGTGATTTGGCCAGTGCATTACAAGTTCAGTTTCTTAAGACCTTTTCCTTGGGTTGTCTAGAATGCCCACAGAAGACATTTCCAAATCCTTGCCTGAGAGTGAAGTCATTCTGGAACTCAAGTGAAGGGAGAAGGCTGAGGGCTTCAAAATTCAATGTGTGAGCATTTACCGAAACCCTCCTTTTTCAGTACTGGGCATTCATTTTCAGCTGACTGGTCTCCTTCAGATCCTTGAACCTCTGGTGTACTCTCTTAGAAAATATATCTTCTGTCTTCTGTCTGGTTGTGGAAAAGGCAATATCCTGTCTGTATGGAGCAGAGGACAAGATCCAGGAGTCTGACTTCTTCTTAAACTTTTAATCAATCCTGTTTTCACACTACTTTTACCCCTTTTTCTAGTTTATTTGTAGTGTTACTGATTACTGTTTGTTTTGGTGTAAATTGGGGTTGCTCCTTGGTTTCCTTAAGCTGGCTACAATTCAACCTTTTGGATTGTGCTAAGCTATTTACCACCTCCCTCTCTGTTCTCCAGCTTCCAAAGTTTTATTGCTATTATCTCCTCTTCCCATTTTGTCCTCGTGGGTTTGTCTTTTGTGAATCTTTCCAGCCTCCTCCTCCTGCCCTGCCCATTTTGTGCATTTTCTGGAGGAGGCAAGATTAATGAATTTATTCAGTCCTCCATTTTTGATGCTTGTTCCCCAGAGCCTACCAGCTTTCAGTCATGTAGCTTTTATCTTTACAGTGTATCTATTTTCTATCCTCTCTGTCCTATTTCTTTTGGCACCATTCTAACTCAGACCTTCAGAAACTCCCTTGTAAACAAGATCTTCATCCCAAGATTCTTACCATCCCAAGATTAAATCCATTTGGGATAACACTGCCAGGCTAACCTTCCCAAAGCATAGCACTGTGTACACCATCCCCTTGTTTAAAAACCTTTACAACTTGCTACTAATCAACATGAAATATAAATGGTTCGCTCCTGTATTTAAGTTCTGGCATTATATCCCTTGAGACTTTTCTAACCTTGAGACTTATCTGTAAGTTCCTTATACTGCAGCAAAACTAACTTCTCTTTTTCTTCACCCCTTATTCACATCCTTGCCTTCTCACCTCCATACTTTTGTTTATTCTGTTTTTACCTCTTGCAATGTCCTTTTATAATTGTTGATATCTTATCCAGTTTTTCAAGAGTTGATACAAATGCTACCCCTTCAAGAAGCCTTCCTTGACCTCCTCAACAGAGTTTAGTTTGTCTACCCTCTCACCGCCCATGGGACTCTATACCTCTTTTATTCCCATGCTCTGCTATATTTATTTATTATTTATTTATTTTTTTGAGATGGAGTCTCGTTCTGTCACCCAGGCTGGAGTGCGCTGGCACAATTTCGGCTCACTGCAACCTCCACCTCCCTGGTTCAAGCAATTCTCCCTGCCTCAGCCTCTGGAGTAGCTGGAATTACAGGTGCCAGACACCAGGCCTGGCTAATTTTTGTATTTTTAGTAGAGTCAGGGTTTCACTATTTTGGCCAGACTGGTTTTGAACTCCTGACCTCAGGTGATCCGCCCGCCTTGGCCTCCCAAGTGTTGGGATTACAGGCGTGAGCCACTGCGGCTGGCTACTCTTCCACATTTACTGAATGCTTACTCTGTGCCAGGCCCTATTCCAGGAAGTATGTAGCTTTAGGGTGCATAGTATAGGTTCTGGGACAACCCTCCCATCTCTGCCACTATCTCGGTGATCCTGGGTTCTTTATGCCTCAGCTCCTACAAAATAAAGATAATAATACCCACACTTCATGGTGCTTTTATGAAGATTAAATTGGATGATGCCATTAAGCACTGTGCCCGATGCACAGTACAAGCTTTACCTGCTCTTCTGCTTCTTTTGCTGCTGGTTCTTATGACTGCTCAGCTACCTGGCAGGGACTGTGTCCCCTTGAGAAACCAGTACTGCTCCCTTCCCACAGTTTATGCTGAATTAATAATTGCTGAAGTAGAACAAATGAGATCATCCTATCACCTGGCCAATCAAGACATCACTTCTAGCAGGGGTCAGCAAACTTATGTTAAGGGGCCAGATGATATTTTGGCTTTGTAGATCTCTTTTGCAACTACTCAACTCTGCTGTAATTTGTTGTAGTGCAAAAGAAGTCACACATAATACTGAAATAAATAGGTTTGACTGTGTTCCAATAAACCTTCATTTACAGAATCAGAGTTAGGGCACAGGCCACAGTTCACTGAGCCCTGACTTAGAGCAGCAAATACGAGGCAGCAACGCTTAAAAACTATAGCTTCCACTCATTAGTTAACGTATTTCTTTAGACATTCTAGTTTCTTTTTGCCATCTGTGATGGTTAGTGCTACATGTCAACTTGGCTAGGCCATGGTACCCAGCTATTTAGTCTGGAGTCAGGTTCACCAGGAGGATATATATTCTCTGAATCAGTATCCAACATATGGTATGGTTTGTCCCATAACCAGGATTCACAGGTCCCAGAATCAAGGGGTGGAAGTGGGAGTGGCACCACTCACTGTTATCCCTACTGATCCACTAGCAAAATTTTTGCTTCCTGTTCCTATAACTTTATGTTATATTGGCCTAGAGGGCCTAGTTTCAAAGGGAGGAATACTTCTAGCAACAGAAGCAAAAATGATTCCATTGAACTGAAAATTAAGGTGCCACCTGGCTACTTTGGTCTCCTCATGCCTCTGCATCAGCAGGCAAAAAAGGGAGTTATTGTTCTAGCTGGGGTGACTGATCCTGGCTACCAAGGGGAAATTGTACTGTTACTCCACAACAGAGGGAAGGAAGAATGTCTGGAACACCAGAAACACCTTAGGTGGTCCCTTAGTATTGTCACACCCTGTGATTAAAAAGTCAGCAGAAGACAACAACTCAATTCAGGCAGGGCTAACGTCTCAGATCCTTCAGGAATGAAGGTGTGGGTCACCTAACCAGGTAGAGAAAGAACCACGATCAGGCGAGGTGCTTGCTGAGGGCAAAGGGAATATGGGTTGTGTGGTAGAAGGTGGCAGGTTACATGTATCAGCTATGACCACGGGACAAGTTACAGAAAAAAGCCCTGTAAATTGTCATGAGTATTTCTTATCTTTCCATGGATTATTTCCATGTCTCTGTGTGTGTGTGTGTGTGTGTGTGTGTGCACCTGCATGCCAATCTTTGTTTTCTTCCTTCTTTTATCTTCTTATCATATGTCATAAGATGTAGTGACTTTATATCACAGTATTTAAGTACTGTTAACTTTACATCACAGTATTTACATTAAAGCATATCAAGGAGATGCTGGAAAAGTCCAGTGCCCCAGGACTTCATACCCTCTTCTGGGGAAAGGGTTAGTGTGTTTCATGCAGCATAGTTGCAGCATGTCAGATGAACATACAACTTTGTTATTGCCTTTATCTGGAGATTAGGTATGGTTTAAGAAGATGCATATGGGTGCCAAGTTGACAAGGCATAGATTTGTGATAATTTTTTGTGACACCTTGGCTAGGCCAAAGTGTCCAAATATTAGGTCAAACATTATTCTACGTGCTTCTGTGAAGATATTTTTTAGATGAGATTAACATTGAAATCAGTAGACTTTGAGTAAATCAGATGACCCTCCATAATGCGGGTGGGCCTCATCCAATCAGGTGAAGGTCTTAATAGAAAAAACCTGACCTCCCCTCCCACACCCCACCAATCTAAGGGGGACTTCTGGCCAGCAGATTCCAACTGCAACTCCTCCCTGGATCTCTTGCCTGCCTGCCTGCCTACAATGAAGATTTTGGACTTGCATCTCCACAATCTCATAAGCCAATCCCTTTAAAAAAGTCTCAATCTCTCACTCAGTCTCAGTCTCTCCCTCTCTCTCCTACATAGAAAATCGAAATCAAAATTGGTTCTATTTCTCTGGAGAACCCTAATATACAATATTTTCTGAAATACTGCATTTGTACTTTGCATTCTTTGATGATAGAAACAATTATGACTAAAGATATCTTTAGTAAAAGAAACAATCATTGACTTTTTCCCACAGATTAAAACAAACATGCTATGAAAAGTGTTCTAGCAAAAAGCAACAGAGCAGATAATTAGCTCTGGCAAAACAACTTTCAGCATGTGTGACCACTTTTCCTGAAAATATTCAGTTCTGGGTTATGTTAATTATAGGTGCTGTAGTCTCTTTAGGATGAGGGAGACTACTTTTAAGGCCTAGATGTTTGAAACCACTAATATTGAAAGAAACTCTAAGTATGTGGTATCCATGCAATGTGTTTTTAATTAGGTTGGGCAAGGTCTTTAGATAAGATCTTAAACCAAAGGGGCTAAACTTAATTTTCTTTCGAGTCTGCCAAACTGCAACATAAAGGACACAGCTGGTGACTGAGAAAAGCTGTTATAGAAAGAAGTGCAATTATTGTGACTTTTGTGGGTTTACCCATCATGCTATAACCAACAGAATTGAGAAATTCAGCAGAGAGAAATTCAGCTTAGAGAAACCCAACACCACATCAACCATCACACGTGGAGCGATTCCCAGCCAGCCTTCCTATGGCAGCTTTCTCAAAGGTCACAGCTATGGTTCAATGAACTGTCCCAACCTTCCACAGAAAACAGCGATAAATGGGAGGGATTCATCTGTTTCTAACTGATCAAAAATGGTGCTCTATGAGATAATGCAACAGAATTAGCTTGGCTGGGCTCTAGATCTTCTATAGAGATCTGGCTTCTTGGGCAAAGGTGAAGAAAACTGTTTCACATTCCCCACCCACCTCACCCTAGCCCTGAACAAGCTTAACCTCATGCCCTTCAAACAAATAGTCTTTACTGCTTTCTGTGTCAGGGCTCTGCCTGGAACCCTCTGTAGCCCTCTACTTTCTACTTGTTTAAGTCCTGGGCAGTCTTCCTTGATAACATGGTCTCACTTCTCCCCTCATTTCTGAGACCCTCTTTGACTGCCCTGGGCCTCTGTGTATATGTCCCCTCTGAACACTTTCTGCTTTGAATGTCTCTACTGCACATATTGCAGTTATTACTAACAATGACAACAGCAGCAATAACAGCAGCCACCATTTATCAAGCATATAATAAGAAACAGCCTCTGTTCCAAGTGCTTGACATGTGGCAAAATTCTTAAAACCATAATTTAACCCACATACTAATACTACCCTGTAAGAACTAAGGCTTAGAAAGTAACCTGAACTTGCCCAAGGTCAAAGCTATTAGTAGGACATAGAAGCATGATTAAAATCTAGGTCTCTCTGATTCTATCTGCTCCCCATCCTGGCTTCTCAACTTGAATGCATACAACTTGAGGGCTGGGTCCCCGCCTTACTTTGCTCTGTATCTCTATCTGAGTGCTGGGTTGAACACTCAGGTACTGTTTGCTGATGGTCATGTAAAGGGACTTAAAGTTTAGCAGGTGAAAGGCAGGTAAAGAAAGCAGGTAGAGAGGTCAAGGGAGGAGGGTTGGTTCTAATTGTGTGTAAAATTACACAAATGGGCTAATTGGGGGATTATAGCTCATTAATCATAAAACCTGAAATACTATATAAGAATGACTCAATGTGTGCAAGCACATCATGTAATGATTCAGACACTGCACGCTACATATAACAAAATTGGCGTCAGAAAAATTTGATGCCAAAAAATATACACAGACAGATACACAGATAATCAGACACAGATAAGACCTATATTCCATGAACATCTGAAGTTGATAGACTTTGAATGATTAGTTGTGAATAAAGTCAGACAATATCTTTTTTATATTACATACCTTCTGGGATGCATTGTCCAAGAACAAATTTATATCCTTTGCAGCACTTTTTCCTAAGAGACAAACAAACATTTAAAATATAATAATTAGGCTAAAAATAAAATTCTTTCCAGTTATTGTTGTTTGAATGAAATAACTTGTGCCCAGGAAACATTGAGGCATAAAGCAAAGTAGGGGTGAAGTATTTTTAAGGCAATCTGAGATTAAAAGAAAAAATATCAATAATACATGACATTTTCTAATACCGGGATATTCTTTCTGCTACATAATATATGAAATCAACATTTTGAATCCTATGAAATTAAATAATTAACTCCGACTTCAAGATACTTATATTAAGCAATTAAAGGAGTATAGGGCATAAATAGGAAAAGGACCTTTAAGGGTGACCAGGCCTCTCATTCCACAGGCCAAAGAGATACAACTTGTTTATTATAACAATGAATCATAATAACAATACTTGGCTAATTATAACATAATGATTGTTAATTGTAATATAACAATAATTAGGTAGTCAACTATTAAGACCAAGACTGGAACCCAAGCATTCTGATTCTCATTTGAGTGATTTTTTTTTTTAAAACACTTGTACCATATAAGAAACTGAAAGGTACCTAAATGATCTGAATTTAAAATATAGCAAACAGGTCATTCCTAACATAAATATTCAATACTTACTCCACTTCAACCAAGCTAATTTAACCAAGTTAACTACCTACTAGAAGAAAAATATTTACACTCTCTGAATGAATACAGCCAGATGCAGGCTCTCCACAACATAACATGTACAAATGTGACCCATTCTCAAAGAGAAGACAATCAATGCTGCAATCTCCAAAATAACCTATATGTTGGAATTATCAGACTTTAAAGTAGCTATTTAACTATGTTCAACTACATAAAGGAAAATATACCTGCAATGAACAAAACAGAAAATCTCAGCAGAGAAACTACTAAAAGAACAAAACAGAAATTATAGAACTGACAAATAGATCTGAAATTTTTAAACATGCTGCTGGATGTGCTTAGCAGAAGAATGGGGGAATGATGCAGGAAATAATTTGTGAATTTGAAAATAAATGAAAATTATCCAATCTGAAGGAAAGAGAAAAAAAGACTTAAAAAAAGGAACAGAGACGTGTGGGCTAATATCAGAGTCTAAGGTCTGGTACTTGGAGTTGTAGAGGGAGAGGAGACAGTAAATGGAGCAGAAAAATATATTTGAAAAAACAGTGGCTGAAAACCTCCAAAATTGAGTGAGAGACATAAATTTTCAGATTAAAGAAGTTTGGCAAGCCCCAAACGCCTAACTACACACATACACAAAATGCCTAGAGATGTCATGGTCACGCTGCTGAAACCTAAAGAGAAAATCCTGAAAGCAGAGAAAAATTACACATGATATACAGGGAAAGGATGATTTTAATAACCACGAACCTCTCATCAGAAAACCACAGTAACCAGAAGACAGTGATATGACATCCTTTGAGTGCTGAGAAAACAAACTTGTGCAACCCAGAATATCCAGTGAAAATATCCTTCAAGAATGAAGATGCAATGAAGACATTTCAGATTTAAAAAAACTAAAAATTCATTACCAGCAGACCTGTGTTAAAGGGAGTTCTTCAGGCTAACAGGAGATGACACTAGAGGGAAATGTACATTTTTAGGAAGGAATGAAGAGCATTATAAACAGTAAATATCTGAGTACATATGAAGAATTTTTAAGTTCTGGATACATGTGCAGCGCGTGCAGGTTACATAGGTATACGCCATGGTGGTTTGCTGCACCCATCAACCTGTCGTCCAGGTTTTAAGCCCTGCATGCGTTAGGTATTTGTCCTAATGCTCTCCCTCCCCTTGCTCCCCATCCCTCAACAGGCCCCAGTGTATGATGTTCCTGTCCCTGTGTCCATGTGTTCTCATTGTTCAACTCCCACTTACGAGTGAGAACACGCGGTTTTCTGTTCCTGTGTTCGTTTGCTGAGTGATGGTTTCCACTTTCATCCATGTCCCTGCAAAGGACGTGAACTCATTCTTTTTTATGGCTGCTTAGTATTCCATGGTGTATGCCAGTTAGAATGGCGATCATTAAAAAGTCAGGAAACAACAGATGCTGGAGAGGATGTGGAGAAATAGGAACATTTTTACACTGTTGGTAGGAGTGTAAATTAGTTCAACCATTGTGGAAGATAGTGTGGCAATTCCTCAGGGATCTAGAACCAGAAATACTGTTTGACTCAGCAATCCCATTACTGTGTATATACCCTAAGGATTATAAATCATTCTACTATAAAGATACAGGCACACATAGGTTTATTGCAGCACTATTCACAATAGCAAAGACTTGCTCTGAATTTCTTAAAGCAAAAATAATAACATACATTGTCTTACAAGGTTTATAATGCATGTAGTTGCAATAAATATGACAACTGTAGGAAAAAATGGCAGTTGGTTAAATGGACCTATATGGTTATAAAGTCTCTACATTTTATGTAAAATAGCACAACCCTGGCATTTCTGCTGGAGCTAATGTTCCCTTTGTCTCATTGTCTCCTGCTCGCATTACTTTCCCCATTCCTTGCTTTCACCACTTCCATCATCATATATGAGAAGCTGAGAATTAACCAGCTTACAGTGGATCTGCAAATCTCAAGAATATACCCCAAGATATTTTGACTATAAAGGTTAAATTACCGTTTTTAAGAAGTATTTTTTTTTGTAACTATTAAAGACATAAGATTCAAGGTCATTCCTACTGCAACATCATTCTCGCTCATTTGTGTTTGGGCATGCTTTCTAGGAAGAGAAACTGAGTTAAACGTGGTCTACCAGCTGGGAACTGCATGTCACCTACAGCCTATCATGTCACCTGTGTGAACACACCATTTACACATCATGGTGGAGAAAGGAGCACAAACCACTGATTTGGGAAATTAGACATTATCTGTGTCTTAAAACAAGTTTCAGCTTTGTCAAATAATTAGAACTTTCATGTAGGTTACATAAGGTCTTCTAAGAATTTTGGTACACTTTATTTTTTATTAAAATGTGATGAAAAAAATTATTTAAGATCATTATTTTCTACTCTTGCAAATTAGTATAATCTGATTTTATTACAGGTTGAGTAACCCTCATCTGAAATACTTGGGACTAGAAGTGTTCGGATTTCAGATTATTTTGGAGTTTGGCATATTTGCAGAATACCAGCTGAGCATCCCCAGTCCAAAAATCTGAAATCTGAAATGTTTCAATGAGCATTTCTTTTGAAAATGTTTCAAAATTTTGGATTAGGGATGCTCAACCTGTATTGGTCAAATCAATTTGCTGCACTACAATTTGGTCTGCCAGGTAAATTAACATTCCTAGGAGAAACTTAAGTAATCTCCTCCTGAAACAAAATTTATAAAAATTTCATAAAATCCCTAATTAGTTTTATGTGAAATTTATGAAAAGTTCATACAATTGTTAAAAGTCAAATTTGGTAACAGAAATTCTGAAGCATAACTGGGAACAGCAACTCCACTTCATTCCTCTCCCTGTAACATTTCTCACATGCAATGCAGTGGTGGTAGATATCTTACTTCAAAAGCATATGAAGTATGCTTTCAATATAAAAACAGTGGCATTTGGGATGCTATCAAAACAGACTTGAGTGATACAGCTAAGGTCCCCCTGCCTGTACTGGAATTCCCAGCATAGATTAATTTGACATTTTATGTTAGAAGGAAATCATCCATCCAATTTACCAATATGAATGATGTGTGGCAGTGTCCAGAGTGCTCTTATTAGACATAATTTTCCAACCTCTCAAACTAAATTATAATTTTACATACCAAGAGAAGCCCATGAAGATATAAATTTATGATGAGGTACCAGAAGTACAGGGTCCACCTTTATATTGCATGAAACTTAAACTCTGTCTAGTTTTCCATAGTTTAAAAAAGTTCAAGCTCCTAACAACCAGAAGGAAAACTGGCTTGAGTATTCACTAAAATTTTACGGTTATTCCTTACTCCATTACTTGAGGCTGTCCTACAGAAAACTATAAGAGGAAGAAAAGTGTACTAGATGATTTGAAACTCCAGTGATTCATGAGAAAGTTGGATACAAGGGGGAAAAACCCACGTGTTTTTGATACTCAAATCGAACATCACATTTAAACATATGGTTTTATTTGTCTGTTTCTATTTTAATGCTGCATTTAAGATACAACCTCTGAGCTGTTTGATGGCGTTTTAAAGTTCATGCAAATCAATATGATCCCTTACAATCTCTCTTTCCACATCCAAGACATTAAACTTGGGCACTGTGACCTTTATGAGCATTTCAAGGGCTTAGGACTGTCCACGCAGTGGAGTAAGAAGCAACCTGTCATTTGCCTTTTCATGAAATCAGATAATGAAGTGATCTGATATGCTTTCAAAAGGCTATGGAACTCCATCAAGAGAAGATCTGAGTTTCAGGATGGGCATGCATCATTTACATACCTGCTTAGCTAAGAATTTCCCCTTTGCGTTTTTTAATTGCATAACTGACCCCAGCTGTCTGCTCAAGGGAAGGAGTTGTGAGATTCCAGTGCGCCCTTCTGTCTTCCCTAGAGTTCCTGGGAATACATTATTTTGCATGTGAAACACCCATCAATCATAAATCACCATTTAAAATAAATAATGACATATTCTGAAGTATTAAAAAAATAAACACTGGTTGCACGTTATACTGTTTCAAAGATTACTTACAACATTATTTACGTACAATAAAGTTGAGACAGCCAAAGTGAAATCTTGTTACGCAAGCATGGGCACTTGTTAGATCTAACTACAAACACTGCTGTGTGGTTTTTATCTTTAGAAAAACAAACTAAGATGGGGAAAGCTCGTGTGGATTCTGGGGAGACAATCATTCTTAATACCCTTCACGTGTTGTAGCTTGGTTTTCCAAATACAAATACTTTTCTCATTTCTTGGCAAGGGGAAGTGATTAGATGGTTGTTACATAGAAAGGGTGATATCTTGTAATCAAGAAAGTCTGTGGAGTTTCCCCCTGGGTGCCCCTGAGTATTAACACATGTAAAAAAAATAAATAAATAAAAGTCGTGCAGGCAGAAATACAGCCCTCCAGCCAGGAGTGTGTGTGAGCTTTTGGAAGGAAAAACTACATCAGAAAAATGAAGATAACAGAGACTGCATCATCAGACTGTCTGCTGATCATTATGTTAGAGACTAGAAAAGAATTTTAAAAATAACTTCCTATAGTATTAGAAGACTAAAAGTGACCATGAAAGGCCAAGTGAATTAGCAAATATTTGCACCCTTGCTGCAATGCAAGGGTACATTTTTCTATTATTTATTTGGGGTTTTCCTTGCATGGCTGCTTATTCATGCGCCAGATATATCAGATATTTATTTATTTATTTATTTATTTATTTATTTATTTATTTTTTGAGATGGAGCATTGCTCTGTTGCACAGGCTGGAATGCAGTGGCATGATCTCGGCTCCCTGCAACCTTTGCCTCCCAGGTACAAGCGATTCTCCTGCATCAGTATCCTGAGTAGCTGGGATTACAGGCGCCTGCCACCACGCTCAGCTTATTTTCGGTAGACAGGGTTTCGCCATGTTGGCCACGCTGGTCTCGAACTCCTGACCTCAGGTGATCCGCCCGCCTCGGCCTCCCAAAGTGCTAGGATTACAGGCATGAGCCACCGTGCCCGGCCAGATTTTTTTTTTTTTAATGAGAGAGAAAACTGCATGTTTGAGAGTATTTGAGAGTTCTTGGTGTTAAGGTAATGTGTAACAAATGGAGCATTGGCTTTGGGGTCAACAAATGTGGGCTAGAATTTTGGCTCTGACATTTACAGAGCTAGGGATTGCTTGCGCCTTGCTCCTTGGCCTTGCTCCTTAATCTTGGCCTTGCTCCTTAATCTTGCTGAGCTTCAGACTCCTCATGGACAAAACATGAATAAATAGTATCTGCCTTATGAGATAATTGACAGTATTACAGATAATATAAGAAAGGTGCCTAGCACAGGGCCTGGCTTGCAGTCAGAATATGTTCTAGCTGCAGCTTTGTAAATACAACAAGCAAATGGCAAAAGCAACTCTTCCCAGTTGCTTTCATCTTATGACTCATCTCTTTCTTTCCACCTCTTATTTAATGGCTGACAAATCTTTTCTTCTAAAAACAAAATAGGGGAAGAAATAGGGGGAAGACAAGTAGGGGGAGAAATTTTTGATTTCAAGAGGCCGGAAAAGAAATGTTATATTGCTTTCTTCTTTTACAAGTTAACCTCAAATAATGAAAACCAGAAATAAAAATGCAAGCCCCACACCCTATGGATTTAGGAGGCTTCTCTAACCCTGAAACACAATGTATGAACATGGCAAGAGGATTGTGCAGGGTGGAATAACTTCATACCTGGGAGGCTCCAGGGGTGGCTACCGTGGAGAAGCCAGCCAGTCCTCCCTGCAGAACCTCAGCAAGGCTTAGAAACCAGAAGCACCAGCTATTAAGGAAAGTGGAGACCAGGGTGCAGCAAGATGATCTCCAAGTCTGGTGAGAAGGAAGACTTCCATCTTTCTCCCCAACCCCAAAGCAAGTAGCCCCTATCATTTTCCTACTGCAACAAGAAGCAAGAGGTATATTCTTTTGGAAAACTATACCCAAATAAAACAAGGAAACCCCAAACCTACCTATTTATTTATTTACGTGTAAGCTTGTTATTACCAAATCTCAGTGACAATATTAAGAGAATCATAAAAAGCATATCCAAGAAACTCCAGACTCTGGGCTACCAAGCCAGAGAGCTGAGTAGAACCTGGCCTCTAGTAGATAATCCTGGTCAGGCACACAGAAGTCCCAAATGTTTTTAAAGAACCTCTTCAATTTAATATTTCATTCCAAAGCAACGAGCTCCTTCTGATGAAGGCTTCTAAAGGCACACTAGATGGTGGCTTCCTCGCACTGTCAACTACTCAGGCCTAAATGGAGACTTCCGAGACATAAAAACTGGAGAACCCAATTTGCATAATTTTCATCATTCCAGCCACACTGTGGCATGCCTAAGAAGGGAGTCTGGAAGAGATTTTTTTGCCAGAAAGTACAGAGAACATGATCTCCTGGGGCTAATTTTAAAAGGCTGAGGGTTTAAAAGTGGTCCTGAATTTTTCTGCAAAGTTCTTTAGTATGAGGAATCTTTCTTTTCAATGTTCTTCCCTTGCTGAAATCTTTATTGAGCTTTGCATGACTTTGTGTGAACTACTAGAATTCCTTTTACACTACATCCCCCAAGAACAGAACTGAATAAAATCAGTCTCACATCTGAGCATGCTTGGTTCCAGCCTTTTAGCCAGAAAGACTGCTCCTCCCAGGCAAACGTTAAGAGTATCATGGTCACTACAGCAACCACTAAGATAAAACTAAAAACAAAATCCCCTCCACCCACCACCACCAAAACCTGCCTATTTGTTCATCTACATGTAAGCTTGTTATTACCAAATCTCTGTGGCAGTATTAAGAGAATCAGAAAAAGCTTGTTAGGCATAACTTGCTAACACGTACAATTACTGATGGTCAAGATCAAATGAGAAAAACAATATAGTGACACCTGAAAAAAATTAAACATAGAATTACCATATAATCCAGTAACTCCACTAATGGATATGTAGTCAAGAGAATTGAAAGCAGGGACTCAAACAGATATTTGTACACCAATGGTCATAGCAGCATTATTCACAGTAGCCAGAAGGTAGACACATCCCAATGTCCATCAATGGATGAACGGATAAAGAGGTGGTACATACATACAATGGAATGTAGTTCAGCCTTAAAAAGGAAATTCTGATGCATGCTACAACATGGATGAACCTTGAAGACATTATGCTAAGTGAAATAAGCCCAACACAAAAGGAGAAATACGGCATGATTCCACTTATACGAGGTACCTAGAGTATCCAAATTCAAAGAGACAGAAAGTGGAAGCGTGGTTGCCAGGGACTGTAAAGACGGAGTTAGTAGGAAGTTACTGGGTAACGGATACAGAGTTTCAGTTTGGGAAGATGAAAAATTCTGGAGACGGATGGTGGTGATGGATGCAGAACAATGTGAAAGTATTTAATGCCCCTGAATTTTACACCTAAAGTGGTTAAAATGGTAAAATGTACAGTTATTTTTGCCACACACACATACACGCAACAATTAAGTGAAGAAGTAATTCAGTTGAAGTCATTCCTCTAATCATTAAAACCCTGGTCATGGTATCATCTGGGTTTTAACTGTTCAAATTACAGAAAAGTAAAAGGTATATGTGGGAGAGTTATTAAATGGGGCTAAGGTAACAACCAGAAGGTACTCATTCCAACAAGGCCGCAAGCGATGATCTTTTCATAAATTAATCAAATACCTCCTCAAAAACCAGAAGACCTGGAAGTCTGGGCACTGGGCCTTGGGAATGTACTCCCCAGGTGAGAATCCGGGCTCTGCTGCTTGCCGGCTTCAGTCCTTAGATAACTGACATTAAGTTCTTCTAACTCAATTTCCTCATCTGTAAAATGGGATAGTAACACTATCCACTCCACAAGCTTGGGGTGAGGGTTACATGAGTTTAAAGGCATCAAGAGCTTGGTAAGCGCTGGCATGCATCAAGCCCAACAGCACATGTAAAAAGACATCTGCTGTTTTTCCTGTTGTGTCTCCCCCACCGAGCCCACCTGAAAGACACTGAGTGCTGCAAGCAGGGACATCAGGACACAAGGAGCCCCTGCTATAGTCTAACTCCCACAGGCCTGGCTTGAAGTGAAAAGCTGCCAGTCCTCAGTGACAGTAAAACAGGGACCAGGGTCTCAACCATATGTGTTACCACGTTCACTCCTGCTCAAAGACACAATAATTTTACTGGCTAAAAAGAGAAGTGAAACCTCTTAGGCTGCTGAAGCATTTGACTTCTTATGATCAGTGCGATATCCATCTCAATGATTAAAGGCATATGATTGGTTCTCTGTTTACTGAAAGCAGGCCCAGAACTTATAGATGTCAACAGCAGCACACACTACAAGGCTGAGAACATGCTTGCTGGTTCTGACAGTCCTCTCTATCTCCCTGGCATATCAGTGTGCTTCAGACCCACAGGGTCAATGTCCTCAGCAGACACAGACACTCAGATGGCCAGAGCCCCAAGGGGCTTTGGAGACAAGAACCCTGGAATGATTAACTTTCTTATTTTTCTTCTTTTTATTTATTTATTTTTTTTGAGATGGACTCTCGCTCTGTTACCCATGCTGGAGTGCAGTGGTACAATCGCAGCTCACTGCAACCTCTACCTCCTGGGTTCAAGTGATTCTCCTGCCTCAGTCTCCCAAGTAGCTGGGATTACTGGGATGTGCCACCATACCCACATAATTTTGTATTTTTAGTAGAGATGGGGTTTTGCCATGTTGGCCAGGCTGGTCTCGAACTCCTGACATCAAGTGATCTGTATGCCTTGGCTTCCCAAAATGCTGGGATTATAGACGTGAGCCACTGCGCCCAGCCCTGATTAACTTTCTCTTGGCAACTAAGTCAGTGCTACACACTCCACCTCTCTTTGAACCCAGTCTTCCCTCTTTATCTCCCTAAATGAATTTTCTACCTTGTCAACCCTCATTATCTTGCTTGCTGGCTGCCTTTGCCTTAGTTCAAATGAGAAGAAGATCATCACTAAAACATAAGGAAAAAATGTAACAAATTAAAAAAGGCTTGATATTACCTTTGTAAAAAATAAAATATGATTATATTGTATATGTATATACTTATATACGCATAAGGAGTTTTTTTTTTTTTTTTTGAGATGGAGTTTCCTTTTGTCGCCCAGGCTGGAGTGCAGTGGCGTGATCTTGGCTCACTGCAACCTCCACCTCCCAGGTTCAAGTGATTCTCCTGCCCCATCCTCCTGGGTAGCTGGGATTACAAGTGCCCACCATGCCCAGCTAATTTTTTGTATTTTTAGTAGAGACGGGGTTTCGCCATGTTGGGCAGGCTCGTCTCGAACTGCTGACCTCAGGTGATCTGCCTGCCTCGGCCTCCCAAAGTGCTGGGATTACAGGCGTGAGCCACCACACCCAGCCGAGATACTTATTTTTACGTAACAAAATAAAGGTTAGTTTGGAGATTCACCAAGGTATTCACAAGTGGTTCTCTTTATGCAGGTGCGAGACAGGATATTCCCCCTTTTTTTTTTTTTGCATATTTTCTGAATTTTCTATAATGAGCATGAATTGATTTTGTAAGAAAAAATAAAGGAAATAATAAAATAATCATTATTTTTCAAAGTCTTTTGGTTTATTTCTAATGCCAGGCTTGGCAATGGCTTCAGAAACTTCTGGTTTTGAAACTGGGTAAGGAATGATGTTCATGAATGCATGTTTGGCACGACTACATACAGGCATGTCTGCGCCAATCACGATTCACTTCGCCAACCCAAAACAGCAACATTTTAAACAAAGTCGTTGTTGTGACCAGCTATGTTTTAACCAAACAGCTTTTGACTAAGTCACCTGGAGCCACCATATGGTAATTATTAAGAAACTGCTTTAGGAAACCATAGTATCATTTAGTAGGATATTCATTAATTTTACTTTTTTCACCTAAAATTACTGGCTTACTAGAGGTTTACTTTACATAAGATTTTAATGGAACAATTTTCTCCTTTGTAAGACATGTTTAAACCAACAAATCTCTGCTCTCATTTATTTCCATGGTGGCTAATTTTTGGAAGCACTGATGGCTGTGACTCTTACTCTGGAGGTCATTGTCCGGAGACAGCGCATGAAAGACTATTCCTTGGCAGCAATATGGTTCACTGCGAACAGTAACAATTGTGGGATCCAACACCCAAAGACCTGGGCATTTATTTATTTTGATTTTATCCTTAGCTCTCTGAGCATTTTAGGAATACCTGAATGACTATTAGTAATGCTACAATGGCATTTATCAAGCAAATCATAGCTTCAAGCATTAGCATGATACATGATAAACTGACCAATATAACAAAAATTGTTCACCATGGTTACCAAGCATCCTGGAAAGTTTCTGAACTGTCCCCTTGCCACCTCGCCCTCTCACCCTGTAAATTTTCTCTGCAAGTCTGCCATTGCTCCCCCACCTTTTTCCCTTCCTCACAGGGTGGATCCATTTGTAGGATTTATACCCTCACCTTACTGTTCATGGCTCCCTCCTAAGCTGCAAATGTGGGCATTTTAATTGCCTTCATTTTTCTTGCCTGTATTTTCTAAGTTTGTTTAAATAATTATTACATTATTACTGTTGAAATGAGAAAACATTATATTTTGAAACTAATAGAAAAAATAAAAATGGCCAGCCGTGGTGACTTATGCCTGGAATTCCAGCATTTTGGGAAGCCAAGGCGGGCGGATCACCTGAGCTCAGGAGTTCAAGACCTGCCTGGGCAACATGGCAAAATCCCATCTCTACCAAAAATACAAAAATTAGCTGGGTGTGGTGGCATGTGCCTGTAGTCCCAGCTACTCGGGAGGCTGAGGCAGGAGAATCACTTGAGCCCAGTAGGTGGAGAATGCAGTTGAGCCGAGATTGCACCACTGGACTCCAACCTGAACAGCAGCGTGAGACTCTGTCTCCAAACAAACAAACAAACAAACAAAAAAAAACGTTTCATGGTCTATTCCCCAGCTAAGGTGGAAAAGAAAAGCATTCTGGAGGGCACTTTGGGAGGCCGAGGCGAGTGGATTGCCTGAGCTCAGGAGTTCGAGACCAGCCTGGGCAACACGGTGAAACCCTGTCTCTACTAAAATACAAAATTTAGCCAGGTATGGTGGCATGTGCCTATAATCCCAGCTACTCGGGAGACTGAGGCAGTACAATCATTTGAACCTGGAAGGGGGAGGTTGCAGTGGGCCAAGATTGTGCCACTGCACTCCAGCCTGGGCAACAGAGTGAGACTTTGTCTCAAAAAAAAAAAAAAAAAAAAAAAAGAAAAGCATTCTTGGTGTAGCCAGAGGTCTATGGCAAATAATCCACATGCATATTTTAAAATATTGCCTTCTATTTTTTTTTCCCTCTGGTAGAAGCCCCAAATTACCTACAACAGCTGCGTTTTCAGGTCACTAGTGTGACAGAGCCGTTTTCCCATATCTGCTATTCCCTTTTATCTATGGTAACCGAAATCCAAATTACAGCTGGGCACATAACCACCCAGAATTAAGGTAACATTTCCCAGCCTCTCATCCCACCAGGTATGGTCTTATGGATTAGACTGACCAACAGGATGTGAGTGACTGATGGTGGGCAACTTCCAGGCAGTGCCCTTAAACAGATGGGACACATGCCCTCCCTCCCTCCTTCCCCTTCTCCTTCCCATGAGTGTGAATGTGATTGCGGAGGTGATGAGCCATTTTGGACAATGTGACGTCAATGCCCTAGTGATGTAGATCAATACACAAGAAACCTGTATCCGTGACACCACTCGGTTGTGCATAAGAGAAAAATATTTCCATCTTATTTAAGCTGTTGTTTTTGGTTTCAATTACAGAAGCCCAATACACATCCAAAGCCAAAATGACAGAAGGAAATGGAAGAAAGGCCACTGAAATGCAGAGTCAGTGCACCTAAAGAGGCCCAGAGAAGATGTGGCCTTTATTTTGCCCCAGTAACAACTGTGCATGGAGCCCTTGACCCTTACAGAATGCTGACCCTTGAAGTGTAAATGTCTAGAGCCTTCCTTGTAAATTACCCAATGTGAAAGGAGGCTCTGCTTGGACAGGGCTGTGATCCTTCCTCCCACCACACTGTGGGCAGTTCCAGTGGCGCTCGGCCTTTCTGCTGCAGTTCACTGTATAAATGTGGCATTTCCAGGGAGATAGATCAGTACAGGAATCTGTAAATACAATTTGCTGATTCCAAGTTTCGTCTGCAGGTCAGTCACTTGAGAAATTAATGGGACAGTCTTAAAGGAGAGAGTTTCACTTGTAATGACTTTGAGAAGACAAAAAGGGAAGTGATCTGAGATAGTCTTTCTTAGGTTAATAAATCATGATGTGACAGATCCCATTCCTCACATGCATAAAATCCTCAAGGACAATGAAATACAATGGACATTAATTCAGGCCTAAGTCACTGGAAGGAGAAATTCATGTAACACCGAAAGTAGGATTTCTACTTTAAATCATTTACAGATGAGAGGAGGAACCTTCTATTTGTTTTAAATTCTGAACTTCACAGTGACCCAATATCACAGTAAAAATTTCTATTCCGATCAGTTAAAAACTGGAAATATTAAGTTTGACTTAAAGAAGAACTTACTATATACCAAGATAAGCATTTTCCATAGATTATTTAATTCTCATAAAAACTTTTTTTTTTTTAACAGGTGAGAAGCTGGAGCATAGAGCACTTCACTTGTTAAAATTAGTAGCTAAGCCAGGACATGAGCCCAGGCTGCTGGGCTCCAGAGCCCACCTCTTCCCTGAACTGCGTGTTACAGGAGACACAGATTAGTAAGATTTACATTTGGTAAACGAGCAATGTGGGAGAAATGGATATGCTTAGTGGTATGGTTTGACTGTGTCCCCATCCAAATCTCATCTCAAATTGCATCTCCCACAATTCCCACATGTCATAGGAGGAACCCAGTAAGAGCTAATTGAATCATGAGGGTAGGTCTTTCCCATGCTATTATAGTAATAGTGAATAAATCCCATGAGATCTGATGATTTTTTAAAAACAGGAGTTTCCCTGCACAAGCTCTCTCTCTTTGCCTGCCACCATCCATGTAAGATGTGACTTGTTCCTCCTTGCCTTCCACCATGATTGTGAGGCCTCCCCAGCCATGTGGAACTGTAAGTCCATCAAACCTCTTTCTTCCCAGTCTCAGGAAGCAGCATGAAAATGGACTAACACACCTGGCTAGGGACACACAAGACAGAGCAATACAAGCTTCGTAACAGAAGTGTAATGTGTCCTCTCAGTACAGAGGATAAACTCAATTTCAGGAGCCAGGGAAATACATAGGTTGGAGTTGCCTCTGCCCTAGAAAGATATACATAAGGGGCACCCATCCTCATTCACTACCAGCCCTGCCCCTCCAGGGTGGCCCAAATCCACTTTCTCTGTTGTGCAAGCTCAGCTTTCCTCTGGGGAATAATTTTCTCCATCCTTGGTTCAGATGATCCTTAGACAACCTTTAGGATGTCTCTCCCAAACCTGAACCTAATTTAATCTGTAGGGCATAAGAGGCTGGAAATAAAAGACTACAGACAGAGTCGTTAAAAAGGCTACTAAAATATTTCAGCCTAGAGATAAGAGCATGGAGTTGAAAAATGAGGACAGATTTTTTTTTTTTTAATGTTGGGGTTAAAATCTGTAGGACTTCCTAACACACTGGATATACAGAATAAAAAAATCAGAGAAGTCCAAGACTAGAGATTTATTTTTGTAGAGCTGCCTGGGGGATGAGGTTGCCATGAATGAATATGAATTAAATCAGAAGAGAGCTAATTACAAAAGATTTTTACAGCACAGAGTTGGGGATGACTAGAAGGTATTACATTCAGTTTGAACATGCTGCTTAATATGTTTTAGGCTATAGGCAGCTCCAGGGCAAGGCAGGGCATGGAGCTCTAGCGACGACCTGCAGCATGGCAGATGAAGCCAACAATGGATAAATGCACCCAGGGAGGGACCAGGTGCTGTGGCTCACGCCTGTAATCCTAGCACTTTGGGAGGCCAAGGCAGGCAGATCACTTGAGGCCAGGAGTCTGAGACCAGCCTGGCCAACATGGTAAAACCCTGTCTCTACTAAAAATACAAAAAATTAGCGAGGCATGTTGTCCCAGTTACTTGTGGGGCTGAGGCAGGATAATTGCTTGAAACTGGGAGGCGAAGGTTGCAGTGAGCCCGAGATCACACCACTGCACTCCAGCCTGGGGCAACAGGTAAGATCTGTCTTAAAATAATTCCTTCTAGCTCATGTTTCTTTTTTTCCCCTGAGGATGGAGGTGTACTTTTTTTGACCTATACTTTTTCTCTGAAAAAAAAATAGCCATTCATGGAACATTTCACACTTTCATATAACAATTACGTAACTGTGATTAACATGGTTAATCACCGTTTATGTACTTTGGATAATCGGTTTGGATAATTATTCAGACCCAGAGAATTCTTGAGCAAGGGGAGACCTTAACAGTCAAGTCCAGGGCCTCTTTTTTTTTTTTTTTTTCCAGAGCGGGAAACAGAGGTTCAAAATAGGAAAGTGATTTGTTCAGGTTCAGACAGCCAGTTTGTTGGCATCCTTGACATCACTTCCCTGACTAGCTCTTCCCTTTTTAACTCTCTGGCTTCTTTACTGTGCCCAGTTAGGCCACGTGGACATCTCCCCAGCCATGTCCTTGGCCCACGCCATCCCTGGGTGCTTGCCTTTTTTTTTTTTTTTTAAGAAACTTGTCTTGGTCATTCCACACATTGGTATATGTGAGCAGCTATGACTTGGAAGTGTTTTTGCAAACACGTGGAAAAGGAAGATGACCCTCTGACCCTCTGATGTGCCTTTAGATGTGGCACGCACAGTAAGTTCGGTATGACAGCCCAAGATGTACGAGGGGGCACTGCGGCCGCCCTGGTTCTCCAGGCAACTGCCGCTCTCGGGTGGTAATGACCTCTGGACAAACCTACACAAGTGGTGGTTCTCAAAGAGTAGATCACACGCTGGTCAACACGTGACTAAACTCAACCAGGACTTCCAAGGCCCAAGAAGAGATGTTCCTGGTGTAGGGTATACTCTTTTAAAACAACTTAGGCTCTTTGATAGTGGAAGCATTGTTTAATTAGAAGAGAGAAACTACCCCATCTCTATATTGAGTCCTATGGAGTTTGTCACTTATCATAATTTTTTTTCCTTTTTGCAAATTTTAAGAGATAGTGCCTTGGTGTCTTAAGTCTGATCCCTGACAATTACAGCTTCAGTCTCTGTGATAAGGGTGGCTCTGTAGAGAATATCTTACGGGTTACAGGAGGCTATACAGATGTCTACCATTGTACATCCACACTGTGTCTCCTCTAATTGACCATGAACACCTAGAAGGCAGGGGTTGAGTCTCCACTATCTTGAGCACTTAGCCCAGTGTCTGACAAATCACACATGCTCAACATGTTTTTCCTGAAGTTGGCAAGAATTCTCTCCTTGGGAAGAACCTATCCAAGATATTATTTATAAAAATAAGTGTCATAATTTTCTCTTTGTATCTTCTCCAGTCTCTCATTCTTCCTGCCTGTCTCCTTTGCTGTATTACAGGGTATAGAAGGAATTAGGGATTGACAGGAGCAAAGGACAGACTCAAAACAGTGCCTGGCATGTGGTGTAACCTCAGTCATGTTTCTTGTATAAAATAGTGACAGATCCATCACCTTTACCATCTTCTGCCTAATGGGACTGAAAATATTCAACTTTATTTGGAGTAAATACCATTCACTCTGTTTGTGATGAAGAACTCGGAGACTCAGGCAGTCCAGGCAAGCTGTCCAAGATCCAGAATCCAGGGGCTGCTCGGCAACTCAGCCACCTTGTCCAGCTAAGCAGCCGACCTAGGACATTCATTTTGTATCCCTGCTGAGTGGTCACATAAGCCTCTATGTTCAAGAGGCCTGACTGAATCAGAATTATTAACAAGTATAAAATGTGGAGACGTCACATGGTATGGTGGTTATAGGCAGCTGTTTTAAAGACAGGCAGACCTGAGTTTAGGGCTTGATTCTACCACTTGCTCATTTTGATGAATTGATGTAAATTATATATGAGCTTACATTTTAATTTTTTCTTCGGCAAAATGGTATCTCAATATGTACCTTGTGGAGTTATTTTGAACATTAAATGAGATACGTAAAGTACCTAGTATAGCACCTACTATATAATACATGTCCACTAAAGAGTAGTAATGATAGTAATAGTAGCTATTATTATCATCTCCTGTCTTCGCTCAATACAGGGGTTTAAGTATATATTAAATGAATGTTTATAATAGTTACGATGAAGCTCTGTGAAATACTCGGAAGCCAAACAGAATCAAGTGATAATTGAATGCTGACCCTGAGCAACTCACTGATAGATGCCGTGGGGGAAGTACAAAGAGTTATAAGGTAAGAAGAACTCATGGTATCACTGAGCACAGATCATACTGAGTAATATACTGAGCAAAGAACATAAGTGTCTAACAACATCACGCCCTTTAAAAAGAAAATACCCAAGACATCAAAAAGCACTCAGCCCATCAAAAATTACCATAGAATAGAGCAGGGCCAGCTTGGCCTGGTTTGAGGCATCTTTGTACAGTGTGATTTGGATTTCACAGAATAGATAAGGCCACTTAGGGCAGAGAGAAGGCCACAGAAAAGCATGCAGAGGCGCTGGTTATCTCAGCCTAGGGACACCGCACTATTCAATCTTTTTGTTATGTGGTGACAAACACCAGTGCTTTATTAACTAGAACCTCCAACCACCCAGGTACCCCTCAAACCAGTGGTGTCCATCACTTCCTATGGTCCACAGGCCCTTCCTAAGGAAAACTGCCCAGCCCGCAGTCCTCCTGATGGGGTCACTGGGATGGTCCGACTTTGTACCATGAGGCAACGCTCCTGCCCCTCCAGGTTAAAAAGACAGAGAGGGGTATCTCCCAGCCAATCCAGCCGCCTCTGTCTGCCAGGACAAATCCATGTGCCAGACCAATTACAAATCCTGTCCAGGGCTCTAAACAAACATGAACCCCGTGGATCATGCTGGCTGACTGGTCGTTAAGATAGGGTCTGGAGAGACCAGAGTAAGCCAACAATGCGAGTGAGAAGAGGACATCAGCACTGGTGATTCTCCCGAGAGGAGATGCCATGAGGGAGGCACCACGCCTAGGACTGCCTCATTTTCTGCCATCTCCTCACGTTCTAACTCCAGGTATCCCAATTACCACTTCCTTCACTATGGAGATTCATGTGGCATTTCTGTTCTTTGCAACCAAGATCTTTTTTTTTTGTCCAGTTATACTGGTGACAAAAGATACAATTTTGAAACAATTGCATTAATTTGATAAATTATACAATTTGATAAATTGATAAAATTTGATACAATTTTGAGAAATAATAATAGTAGAAAGGGCTTTGATTTGGGTGTTAATCAGAGTTTCCGTGAGTGTGTTTTATCAAAAGCTCAAATTTCTGTTTCGCAGACAGAAGTCCTTCATAAATGGTTCAAATGTAAACTTTTTTACTACCCTGTAGATTCAGTCCATACCATATTGAGACTTGCATTCTAACAGTAACAGCTGAATTTCTATGCATTTTATGGAATTAGTGAATTATTTACTGGTAACCTTAAAGAGTTAGAGCTTGAGTTTAAGCAACAAGAAACCATCTGTACCAGACAGAGCAAAGCAGGCAAGAGTAAGAAAATGTTTCATAAACATGAGTTTGCTCTAAATAGCAGAAGTTTTAGTGTTGTAGGCAACGTTAGTGCATAATTCATTTTCCGTGCCTTGTTGCTTTCTGTCTGGCTGGCTTTTTCTGAGGTCTGTGCCCAGCCAAAAAAAGAGAAATCCATTTGTGGGTTCCATGAGAGAGAAGTGATAAGATTGATAAACAGATGCATTTCTATTTCATGTGGTTGGCCATTCCTTTCAGTTATATTATTAACTGACCCACCTCCCTCAGATCTTTGAAATGCTTTTTAATCTGGTCTCCTGATAAACCCTAAGGCCAAGTGGCTCTCGGAATTTGGAGAGAACAGTTTTTCCTCCCTGTCCTGACTATGGCATTTAAGATAAAGAGCAAATAGTGCCATGTGATTAAACGATATATGTAACCTTGAAAACTTGCCATAGTGGTTTCAGTGTCATTTACTCATACATCCTAAGCACTGCTAGAAAGTCCAGTGATAAAGGATTCCTTCATTTAATTCTAGGGAACAGTCAAGCAAGAGCCCACAAAAGAAATGGACACCATAAGAAGATACCATTATGTTAGTGCATTGACTGTAAAAAGGATGGCATTCAACTAAGAGGAGCAACATTTTGATGGAATTTCAGGCACTATAATAAAGTGAAGAATCCTGACATTGTGGTGGGAGTGACACTTTTGTGGTGGGAGTGATGCTTTCGTGGTGAGGGAAGGGAGGTAGGGGGGCTTTCTGAAGTCCAATAAATGACACCAGGTGTATTAGTCCGTTTTCACACTACTGATAGAGACATACCTGAGACTAAGTAATTTATACAGGAAAAAGGTTTAATGGACTCACAGTTCCACATGGCTCGGGAGGCCTCACAATCATGGCAGAAGGCAAGGAGGAGCAAGTCATGTCTTACATGGACGGCAACAGGCAAAGAGAGAGAGAGCTTGTGTAGGGAAACTCCCCCTTATAAAACCATCAGATCCTGTGAGACGTATTCACTATCATGAGAACAGCACGGGAAAGAACTGCCCTCGTGATTCAATTACCTCCCACCAGGTTCCTCCCACAACACGTGGGAATTCAAGATGAGATTTGGGTGCGGACACAGCCAAACCATATCGCTAGGTAAGCACTGTCTTCTCTAGGCACAACAATGGCCTGCTGGACCTCAGATACCACTTTGACAGTGGGCAGACTTTGAGATCTCTCCAGGGCCTAAAGCCTGTTTGTGTGTGGTGGTGGGAGTCCAGCTGTGAACAAGAAGGGTCTTCCAAAGGAGCCAGCTGTGGTAGAAGCTTCCCTTTTAGGCCAGTATCTTCCTAGGGATTGGAGTTCAGGGGGCTTTGGACAACTGTGGAAAAAACTGTCGGGGAGTATGTATTATGCAATCAGGGTCCACTTCTGGAAGACCCAGTTCCACAATGTAGGGCTTAGCTCTTCAGCAGGGGCTGCCTGAGTCAAAAGATAAGTCCCAGAGGAAGGTAGCAAGACTATCCTGAGGACCTCTTAGGCCACCCGCAGGTCCAGAGATATCCCACTGGTGCTGGCCAGAGCATGGTTCTACTCTGCAGTTGTGTTGATATATGCTGATCAGCCAGACACACAGCAGGATGCTTTCCCACACATCCTAGGAGACTGGTTTCCCACCCTGGGACTCAGGTCTGGGAGACCTCTGTTAATAAAACTCTTCATGATCCTTTCTCTATTTGCACTGTTACAGAAAAGTTGACCCTCAAAGCAGTGGGAATGAAGTCTTCGGAGGAAGGGCAGGCAGGTCTTGGCAGTTTCCCTTTGGCTTGTTGGTGTCTTTCTGCTGAAGCGTGTGCTGAACTGTGGGCCATGCTCTCCTGGGTATCTTTCTAGTAGAAGCCTCCCAGCAGGTTCAGGCCCAGGACTGAAGCCAGGGGTAACAGCTGGCTTCATCCAGAACTGTCAATGACACCCTCCAAAGTCCCCATGGCACCTTCTTAATGAGGAGCTCTGCCTAGACCCACAGTTTGATAAAACCTGGAAATCCAGCAGGGAGGGGCCTGTCCCTGGAGGGTTTGTGGTAGAAACAGCAATGGCAGTGGACAGCATTTACTGCTCACTCCCTGTGCACCTGAGTTTGTAACCATCGTGGCCTTCAGCAGAGAGAGGCAGAGAAGCCCAAGGGAAACCACACACTCAGGACCTGCTGCCCTTCTTCCAAAGACTGTTCCTACTGCTGTTGGATCCCTCCTCCCTGTAACAATGGAAACACAGGAAGGTGGGGAAGGGTTTTGCTACTGATGGTCCCCCAGAGCTGAGTCACAGGCAAGAAACTGCCACCTCATACAGAGCTCCTCTGAATCCCCACAACCACCCACACATTGGTTCTGTGATTACACCCAGTTTACAGGTGGACAAAGGGAGTGTCAGACAGTGCAAGAATCTGCCAAGGTCATAAGGTGAAGATGGGTTACACCTAGGATTTCAATCCCCAAAGTGTGAAGCACAGTGTCTAGCAAAGGATAGCTGCTCATTGAAGAGATCTGAATGAGAAGAAATGCAGACATGGATGTGGTGATGCCATCCTTAGCAGAGCCCACTCTAAGCCAGAAGCGTCAAGGCTGCCGGCTGGGACGTCAAGTCGATGGTGATTTTGGGGACCCTGTCCTGGGGCTGCTTCGTCCTCCATAGGGACAGCACATCTCCTTTTACTTACCCCCATGGCTTTAGAGGGGAAGCACCAGGCTTGTGGTTCCCAAACTGGGAAAGAAAAGTGGAGAAAGCCAGTTCCTCCTTCCTAAGATATAGATCAGGACTGTGGGGCAGTTAACAAAACTGAGTGAGTGGCCAGGCTGGAAGTGAGAGTGGAGTCACTAACAACCTGACAAGCTGTGTGGAAGGGAACGTCTTCAAGTCTTTATCTGTTGAACTAAGTGTCGACACTCCTCCCCTGCTGAACCCCAAACACATCTAACCTGCTTCCTCCTCCTCCTGGAAGCCTTTCCTGAATTCCTATCCACCAAGAAGGGATTTCCACTTTCTCTGAGCACCCACATTCCTACTACCTGTGCTGGTCTCAGGATATTTTAGGAAAACTAAAGATCTTTGGTTCTCAATCCTGGCTGCAGGCTAGAGTCCACTAGAGAAATGCTCATTTAATGAAAAGTACTTATGCTCAGGCAAACCACAGAACAACTAAGTCAGAATCTCTGAGGCATTCATTCCTTCATTTATTTTGAGACAGGGTCTCACTCTGTCGCCCAGGCTGGAGTGCAGTGGTACAATCGTAGCTTAATGCAGCCTTGACCTTCTGGACTCCCCTCACCTCAGCCTTCCAAGTAGCTGCAACTACAGGCGTGCACCATCACGCCTGGCTAATTTTTGTATTTTTAGCACAGACAGCGTCTCCATATGTTGCTCAGGCTGATCTTAAACTCCTGAACTCAAGTGATCCTCCCACCTCGGCCTCCCACCAAGTGCTGGGATTACAGGCATGAGCCAGCACACCTGGCCTACGAGTCAGCATTTTTAAAAGGCAGCCAAGATTGAGAGCATTGGCTGTGTCACCTTGGGGTCTGAGCATGTCCTTTTCTCCCACCTTGCTGAGCTGCCCAAGGGTAAGGTCCAGCTGTGGGCAGTGCTCAGCACCGAGCCCAGGCCTGCACAATGTCAGGGCTCATCAAACCTATGCTGAGCAACTGCACCCTCGCCTTGAAACCTAAACAATCCCTGGTGGGACACAGGCACGGGTTTTGCTTTTTTGTGTGTGAGGTAAGAGTCATATGTGTGTCATCCTCTGATTTGGGCAACCCAAGAACATGAGTGCCAAAGAAAATAATCCACCCCCACTACCCCTAACATCCCAAGGGAGGAACAGGTATCCATTATCTCCTGCTTTTAATTAAGGAGCCGTCAGCCAGATTCTTTTGTGTGACTGAGTCCCAAGCCTTGTACATGGCACACTTTCAATTATTTATCTAAACAAAGGTGAGCCAGAGGGCAGCATTAAACACTCGCCTGGTAAACTTGAGCCCAACTCTGAGCCCTTGGAATTCTCAAGCTAACATGTTTTGGCTTTGTGGATCTAATTTCCTCCCCCTCCCCCCGCAAAAAAAAAGGCACAGCAGATACAAAGTCATAAATTCCATTGCAGAAAGGCAAAGCATGTCAGAGCGGAGCTTTAAGAGCGCTGTGCTTGTCGACTGATGGTGATTCTGTTGCTAGGCCACTTAAATCAAACAGTCCTCACTCACTGGCAAGGAGGGAGGCCTGCTGCAACCCTTCTAGTTTTGCAGTCTCTCCTATCAAAGGATGCATACGTTCTAGATCACTAACGCATAATAAATCCCCTTACAAAGGAACAGTGACCAACAAACGGCAATCCACGATCATGGCCAGAGGAAAGGCTGTCTCCTATTCAAAGACAGGCTTCCTGGCATGCAATCACACAAATGTGCTCAACTGTTTTTCTTCTTCCTGGGGGTGGGCCTGTGCCTGTTCCCTCAAAGGACAGGCCTGTGATGCAGATGTGACACAGCCCACTGTGACATGAGGACAGCTGGAGGCCAGGGAGTGAGCAATGAAAACTGTTCATGTGGAAATCCAGTCCCCATTCCCTAGCCATTAAGTGTCTTAGGCAGCGAGCTAGAAATCTGGGGACAGTTCCGCTGGACATCAGGATACCTGGGTGTAACAGCAGCTACCATTTACGTAGTGCATGTTATGGAGCCGATCAACCTGCCGAGTGCTCTGAACTGTGGTATCACAGAGGGCATTATGCTACTTTACAGACCAGGAAACTGAGGTTTAGAGAGGTTAGGCAACATGGCCTGGTCACACAACCTGTAAGTGACAGGGTTGAAATTGGAGGCCAGATCTGCCTTACTCCAAGCCTGGGTTCCTAATTATGCTATATGTACAACCTCTTTAGTCCCAGGACTGACACTTGGAAATGTTTCCAGTCTGCCTCCCTTCTCCATCCCTGCTACAACCTACCTTCGTTCAGACCTCTAAATGGCTCATCCTCACCATTTTTATGGCTTCCTAATTTACTTTTCTGCCTCCAATCTTGTTTCCTATTCCATCAAGTGCAGATATTTAAAATATATATGTATTTTCTATCCTATTAATATAATTTCTTGGCTCCCATCACCTCTAAGTCAAGTTCAAATTCTTTTGCAAAGTACAACAGGCCCCACTTCACTTCTTCAGGACTTTATCTTCCCATCATGACCCAGTCACATACCAAATGTCTACATGTTCCTGGACAGGCCCTCATCTTCACACCTTACTCTCCACCTATGGGTACAACTCAGAAGATCCCTTTGTAAGACATTGCTGTCTCCTCCTTTAGCCCATTTGTTTACGTGTTTGTCTTTCCATCCCGGCTGTGAACTCCTAGAAGGCAGGAGGCTTGCCTTGTTCATCTTTATCATTTCCCCAGGATCTGGCCGAAAGTGAGCGCTGAATGTGTTAATCGCCAACTCACTCACTGCCTGAGTGAACAGAATCTCAAAACTGGAGGAAAAAATGATCAAACATCATTGAGTTTTTGACAACTAAATATACATACATAGGGTCTCTGTGTAAGTCATCTCATCTTCACAATCTCCATGCTATAGCTTTATATCTTCTATTAATCTTTGTGATAATCCCCAAGAAAATAGATTTTTTAAATTACACTCTAGCTATACACATTTTCTTGACATTGTAATCTAGGTTTATTCCACCCAAAAGTATTTTCCTCAGTAAAGATTTACTATTATTGTTAGTAGTATCTGATCCTAGAATGTCTTCCTTTTTTTTTTTTTTTTTAAAGCCCAGATGCAATTTTCTTGAGTAACTGAAAATTCTGGTTGACCACAAGTGTCCTTATTTGTTTAAATTAAGAGCTTGTGCCTATATTTATACACATCCTGGATTTAGGATAGATGCTAAATCCACTGACAGTGTCTTTGTGAGAGACAGAAAAGGACATGGAAAAGGCTGAGAAATAAAGATGGGGGCAGAGATCGGAGCAATGCACCTATAAATAAGTGACCAACAAATTAAAGTGGATGTGCCTTAGAAGTCCTAGACAGTACATTTTGCATGGCAAATGCTCTCATGTTAACCTGCTGGAGTCTGCGATGTCCTCCTGCCTCCACATGTGAAATGAAACTTATCTAAATTCTGCCCACCCTTCAGATTTTATATTGATTTCCTCCTCCTCTTTGATGCCTTCTCTGGCTCTCTAAGCCAAGCACACAGCGACCTCCTCTCCCCCTGAACTTCCATGGCATTTGCTTTCTGTGCCATTTGGCCTCATGAAGGTCACAGGTAGCAAATCACAGCAGAGAGGACACTGCCATGGGAGGCAAAAAAACCCCAAGAGTCCAAACCTGGGCCATACCCCTGCCATCACACAAATGCATCATGGGGCCCTGGGTGGTGGATTCACTTCTCTGCACCCTTGCTTCCTTACTGCAAAGTGAGGGAGTTAGACTACTTGGATTTCATGGCCTCTAAGCTTCCAACTCTAAAATTTGATAAAAATGATAAATATCTTGATAACATTTGAAAGCTCCCCAGTGGGGTGGAGGGAGGAGTGGAAAAGTATAGAACTTTGGGCCACATTCAAACCATTTATAGTTGAAAACAGTGACTACTGTGTTCCTCTTCCTTTGCCAAAGGACCACATGATGGCATCCTCAAACTTAACATGAAACCAAGAGATACCCCAGCAGGACCAGGGACGCCATCCTTGAGCCTGAGGCCACAGGCTTATTAACTAACCTGTGAAATGTTCATCATGATAAAGTTGGGTGATTGCAATTGTATACACAGAATTACACACAGAGGAAAACCACTTAAACATTCCATTCTGTCATAATCAACCCATATGAATTCAGATTAGCCACTGAATATCCCCCAGAATGTAAAAAATAGATGCTAAAATTTGATTCCTCTAAGGATGAGCTTTAAACTCCAAGCAATTTGGCAAGAGAAAGGGAGACTTGGAGAACCAGCACTTTTCTTACTGTGTTACACAATTTCATATCTTCTAAAATAATTTATAAAGACATGTTAAAATTGGAACAAAATAGTCATTTAGTATAAAAGATAAATATAGCAGAAATTTAGGCTAAAGAGCTTCTACAGTTAAACACTACATTTAGGGCTCATTTTCCTGGCAGCTAAGCCCAAAGAGGGAGATAAGATAAGTTCATGCTTACACAGGTTTGTATAGGGGGTAAGAAACTTACTAAAGGGATGTTCACCAGTCAGAATCTTAAACAGAAATAGAAGGCACACTAAAATTAGGGTAATTTAAAGAAGGGTTGTTTACAAGGGAACTAAAGTACAAATATGTGGGCAGGGTGTTGGGAACCATGGCGGCAGGTGCAGGAACTCAGGGCTGACCACAGCGGAGCTGGGTGGGTTGAACAGTGTCTCCCCATTCACATATACCCAGGAACCTCAGAATGTGGTCTTATTTGGGAATAGCGTCTTTGAAGATGTAAATAAGAATTGGGATGAGATAATTATTGGATTAGGATGGACCCTAAATCAATAACAGTGTCTTTGTGAGAGACAAAGAAAGGACACAGAGACATGGAGAAGGTGGTCACGTAAAGATGGAGGCAGAGATTGGAGTGACACATCTGCAAGCAAAGAAATGCCAAGGATTGTCACAACCATGGCAAGCTAGGACAGAGGCATGGACCAGTTTCTCCCTCTGGAGCCTCCAGAAGGAACCAACCCTGAGGATACCTAGGTTTCAGATTTGTGGTCTCCTGGCCTGTAAGAGAGAGCAGGCTTTTGTTATTTTAAGTCACTCAGTTTGTGGCCATTTGTTATAGAAGCCCAAGAAAACTAAGACACCACTTCACTTGCTAAAGGAATGAAGGGAGGGAGAGGTAACCAACCCCAGCAGAAGAAAACACTGTGCTGGGCAGACCACTTTCAGATGAGCAAAGACCTTCGGTCAAAGGATAGAGCCCATCTGTAAGAACCTTGTAAAAATGGAGCCTGATATACCTGTGTCCCAACCTCAATCTCTTTCCTTCCTCTCTCCAGTCTCCACCTATGGGTCCCTCACTGGCTACTCCCAACAGGAAGCCAGGGGCAGGGGAGCCCTACTGACATGGTGCACCCAGACCAGCCTCCTGGGGTGGAGAGGAGCAGATAGAAGAGTGGAAAGTGTGTTTCTATCTGGATGGAGCAAACAAAAGATTAAATTTACAACTATCACCTCTGGGACAATAAAACTGGAAAGTATCAACCTAAATTTTTGCTTCCCATAAAGTGACTATTAGTCTCCCCAGATATAGAAGATGTTGAAGTCCCATTCTCTGTCCTGTACTGGGTCTTCTTTTCCTCCAATCTTAAGCCTCTCTTTCAGCCCCTCTACTCTTTCCTTCTGTCTCCATGCTCAGCCTTCATGGTGGCATTTACTGTAAGTGCCAGTTCCCACATCTACTGTAGCCTAACCTCTTACTCCAGCCCAAGTCCCATTTTCCAATGACCCCTGGAAATATTCACCAAGATACCTCACACTGTTCAAAGTCAAAACATCTGAAAATCAACCATATCTTCTTTCCAAAACCAACATCCTCCTTGCAATTGCTCATCTCATTCCCCTAAACCATCCAGGATTCAGCCCTCCATTTCATTCACTCTACCAAAGATCAAGCCCTGTCAGTTTTAACATGCTGCTTCTCACCTATGTCTCTCCATTTCTACAACTGCCACTACCTGTGTCGAGGTCACATCCCATCCATGCCCAGAATAATGGCAAATAAGCTCTGAGCTGGTGGTCTCACTGGAGCTTCCCAGCTCTCCCAACTTTGCCATAGCCAAGGCAATATGACCTTCCTCATGCCATGCCCAGGGTGACATTGTTCAATGATTCCTTCTGCCTCATGTTCTTCCTTGTCAGATCCGCCACCCTCTGTCTGGCTTCTGAGGATCTTCAGCTTCTGACTCTGTACTTGTCCAACCCACTTCCAGAAAGTGTTGATGAGAATTGTGCTGTGGCTGTTTCCTTTGCTGTCCCCATCCTCATGCTGTGCTTATGCCTGTCCCTTTGTCACATGAGAGTAGTTACCTAAATCTCAGGTACCAGGGTCCACCATGAAACCAAATGAACTGAAAGCATTTGTTAAAAATCTCACCTTCTAACAATATATGCAGTCAACATTTCCTTTGTGATTAACAGTAAGTATATACCTGATCATAAACCTTTACATCTTTCCCTGTATCCTTATTTTCAAGATTAATTTGCAAGCAGTGTGTTATGTTAATTAGGTTTTTTTCCTCTTTCTTTTCCTTTTTTTTTTTTGAGATGGCATCTCCCTCTGTCACCAGGCTGAAGGGCAGTGGCACGATCTCACCTCACTGCAACCTTCGCCTCCCGGGTTCAAGTGATTCCCCTGCCTCAGCCTCTTGAGTAGCTGGGAGTACAGGGAAGCAAGCACCACACCCAGCTAAATTTTTTATATTTTAGTAGAGATGGGGTTTCACCGTGTCGGCCAGGATGATCTCAATCTCTGGACCTCATGATCCGCCCGCCTCGGCCTCCCAAAGTGCTGGGATTACAGGCATGAGCCACTGCGCCCCGCCGTTAATTAGTACTTCTCTTGGACAAAGACAATATAGTACAGTGACTAAGAGCTTTGGCTTTGGAGTCAGACCAGAGTTAGAATTCCAGTTTTATCATCTGCTAAATGGCAATTTGAAACTTGCCTCACTGGGTGTGGTGGCTCACGCCTGTAATCCCAGAACTTTGGGAGGCCGAGGCAGGTGGATAATTTGAGGTCAGGAGTGAGACCAGCCCAGCCAAAATGGTGAAACCCTGTCTCTACTAAAAATACAAAAAATTAGCCAGATATGGTGGCACATGCCTGTAGTCCCAGTTACCCAGGAGGCTGAGGCAGGAGGATGACTTGAGTCCGGGAGGCAGAGGTTGCAGTGTACTGAGATTACACCACTATACTCTAGCCTGGGCAAAAGAGTGAGACTCTGTCTCACAAAAAAAAGAAAAGTAAAAAAAGAAAAAGAAACTACCCCATAATGTTCTTGTAAAAGCATGAAGAGATAACTTATGTAAAATGGTTTAGCACAGTACACACATAGAGTTACGCTTTTTTTTTTTTTTTTTTTTTTGAGGCAGGGTCTTACTCTGTTTCCCAAGGCTGAAGTGCAGTAGGGCCATCATGGCTCACTGCAGCCTCGACCTCCTGGGATCAAGCAATCCTCTCACCTCAGCCTCCTGAGTAGCTGGGACTATTGGCATGTGCCACCACATACACGGCTCTTAATATAAACAATGAACGGCAAGGTCATGCAACTTATATTCAAGGCCAATAAGTGAGTGCAGTTT
The DNA here is from genome assembly GCF_000001405.40 of Homo sapiens. NCBI lineage: Eukaryota > Metazoa > Chordata > Mammalia > Primates > Hominidae > Homo > Homo sapiens. Next base: position 59,508,951 of record NC_000018.10, read on the forward strand.
TTAATAGTATGCAGCCCACAGATAAGCAGTTTGTTGCTGGGTTGCATTCTATGGTCCCTATTCTCATTTACCTTGTCTTCTTAAAGGCAACATTTTTACTTAATCATGCTGGTTCTGAGAGCAAGCAGAAATAAGCTTTGAGACTACAGTTTTTCTTAATAACCAAACCTGGAATCAGTGCTTCTGTGGTCCTCAAACTCTAATGTCCTCGACAGACAGACTGAGAAACTGGCCACAGAAGGCAGTGGCTGCCACAATATTTCCCTATTTATCAACATTGGTAGTTAACTCCTGGGCATTGCCTAACAAAGTCAAAAGCTAACAAAAGGTCTATGTAAAAATGCAGATATGAATAAAAATCATATATATACACATAAATATATATATATACACACACACAGTAGCTACAATGGATAGCAATCTAGTCTGATCAAGAATTTTAATGATACTATCTATAAACTGCTATCATTTAACCACAAAACAAAATCCTGGAAATTATATTTTTATTCTGATTGTTGTGCATTCATAGATGCATGATAAATACTAGGAAAATGTTCATATTGCTATTTTGAATGTAATACAAGGGGATAAAAAAGGAAAAACAAGAAACTTGGTCCTTAACCAGAAACCCTCAGGGGCACACACTGAAACACAAATTTTGGCCACATTTTGAATCTAGCACATGTCTTAAGTTGACAGCAGCACACCACATAAAAGAAGAACTTCAGTGCCCGGTGGAAACAAGCCATCTTCATACAGGAGGGAACTGGAAAACAACTATTTCATGTGCGCCCTGCACTGACCTTGAAATCCAGAGGGCTTCTTCCCTCTAAAAAGTATTTTTAGATCGGGCTGATTTACTAAATTACTAAATTACTCATTATTAATGAGCTGGGTGAGAAAAGGAATAACTATTTAAGCGACCCAACATGTTTTCAAAGCGATGTCATGGGGATGGTCTAAGGGGAAGGCCAGGGAGGGGAGTGGCTGTGCACATTTTGTTGTACAAGGACACCAGGCTGCCAGAGGCGAGAAGCCAGCCAAAAAAACATCACGGAACCCAAACACCAAGCTGCACTGGTGCTGGGAGTTCAAATTGTGAAATGTGAGCTATCATCATGGCAGATCCAAATACCGCCAACACTGGGAAGGCCAGCTGCAAAGAGGAGGAAACATCTTTTCCTTTGATTGTGAGAGACAAATCTATCTGGGTATCTATTTTTCCTGCAAGTCCATTGATCCTTGCTGCTGTGTGAATGGCAGAGGATGCTGGGGCCATTAGCCATATTTCACTGTGTGCATGAGTTCTGACAGAGGGAGCAGGGTGCTATGTTTATTAGGATTTAATGATATTTGCAGTTCAGAATTCTGCCACCTCTACTGTTGTTATGGAAGCTCATTAACTGAGACATTATCAATTGTAAGATGCACCATTAGTCTTTATAATATGAATAATTTTTAAGTTGCAAATTGAACTTTTTTTTTTTTGAGATGGAGTTTTGCCCTTGTCACCCAGACTGGAGGGCAATGGCGTGATCTCAGCTCACTGCAACCTCTGCCTCCCAGGTTCAAGTGATTCTCCTGTCTCAGCGTCTCAAGTAGCTGGGATTATAGGTGCCCGCCACCACACCCAGCTAATTTTTGTATTTTTAGTAGAGACGGGGTTTCACCATGTTGGCCAGGCTGGTCCTGAACTCCTGACCTCAGGTGATCCACCTGCCTCGGCCTCCCAAAGTGCTGGGATTACAGGCAGGAGCCACCACACCCGGCCAGTTGCCAATTCAACTTTCATAAATGCTTCCTTATCACTAAAATTCTTCCATATTGATTAAAATACATTTTTTCCTGATTATTGTATATTGCATGCATGCATAAAGAAACATAGACTAGTTAAGATGGTCTTAAAATGTCTTTGCATATGGATTCTGATTCTCCTGAATCTCTCTTACTGTCATCAGCTCCTGAGCTTTATCACAAAACACTGTCCTTTATACCATCAGGAGCATCGGTGGTGAGAGCTACCAGTCATTAGTACCAGCCCCATTCAGCTGGCTCTGGAAGGACCTAGAGCCTATGTCTGACCCCTGCTCTGAGAATACTGCTGAAGACAAGGGATTCACCACTCCCTACCAGAGTCCTGTGTCTTCAGGACTTTCTTTCCAGCAGCTGAAACCCTGACTTCGTTTTTATGCTGCTATGTTTGCTGTTTGTGCACTTGCAAGTACTGGCAACTATACCCTAACTGGTGCCTAACTAACTGCCAATAAAAACACATTCCAACTTCAGAGATACAAAGATACAGAAGACAGAGAAGTTCAAGACGAGCAGTGGAGCACTGATGATGGCACTAATTGATGGCATTTAATCAGAATGATAACGATTATGTTCTAGTTCTAGAGAACTTGACATATTCAGAGCTCCTGAAAGGCCCTTGCCCACATCACACTTTAGAACCTCTTGCTCCATCATCAGTGAACACCAGCCTTGAAGAGATCCATTTACAGTTGGGCTGAGCCAATCAAATTTGCTTAGGAGGTTTGAAAGTTATTTTATGGATACACAGCAGATGTACATATTTTCTTACATTCATATAATGTGTAAAGATTAAATCTGGGTAAGTGGGATATCCATCACCTTAAACATTTATCTTTCCACGAGGAACATTCAAATTATTCTGTTCTAGCTTCTTTGAAATGTACAATCGATTATTGCTAATTATAGTCACCCTGCTGATCTGTCAAACATTAGGTCTTATTTCTTCTAACTGCATATTTGTAACCATTAACCAACCTCTCTTCATAAGAGATTGATGTCATCAGCAGGCTGTTGTGAGCACAACTCTACCCACTCTATAGCTGATGTAGCCATTTGGGGGAATCCATGTAAGTTGAAAAGCACAGGAACATGATCAAAAAGAGGCAAAATGGAACAGACTCGGAATCCATCGAGAGACAGAACAGGCATTTCATGAGACGGAGAAAATGACCTTAGCCCTTGATTTCCATTTCTTGTTCACATGAGGCTCATGTATCCTTCATTTTTTGTTTTTGGGCTTAATAGTTCCTCTGTAGCCATATGATAAATCTTCTTTTTCACCTGAGGTAGTTTACACAAGTTTCTACTTCCAGCAATCGTTAAGAGCTACAGTAGCGGTGTGATATGGAAGGAAGGCAGGAAGGGAAGTGCTGGGAAAGGTGTGGTCCCTTTAAATGATACCAAAGAAGCGAAGTGCTGGGTAGAGAAGGGTGTGGTCCCTGGCTAGGGCTCCATCCCTGGGCCTGTGCCCAGGGTCTAATTGACCTGGTTAACACAAGCCACCTATAGATGGCAAAACTGAAAGAGCACATGATAGCACATGCCCACTGGGGCTTCAGGAGCTGTAAACATCTACCCCTAGACACAGCCGTGGGGTTGGAGCCCCACAACCTGCCCATCTGTATGCTCCCCTCAAGGTTTGAGCAGTGGGGCACTGAAGCAAAGAGCAACAGTGCCTGCTGCATGCCCTGCAAGGGGGTACAAGGGAACCTTTCTAATTTCAGCAGGAGTTAGAAACCCCACTGCCCTCAACTCATCCATTAGAGGAACAGAATTAAAGAATGTGCTGGCCACGTGCCATTCCCTGTATGACAGACAGAGAGGCACGAAGTGCTGAGCGCCTTCCTGTGGTGCTGGCAGGCCCAGGGCAGGAAAGACCCCATAGTGGGGAGTCTCCACTCTCAGGGACTTTCTCAGGGTCCTGCTCTTAGAAACAGCACACTGTCTGCTAGATGACATGGAGCTGGCTGGCTGTTGATGAGGAAAAGGGTATTATTGAGATATGTGTTTAGGGAACAAATCCCGGGTAAGACAAAGAGCAGGCCCACGGCTCTCACTGGAGGGTGAAGATGTGGGAACATCAGCACCCCTTTCCTCTTACCTCCCACTCAGAGCCCATCCTGCACCCACAGCCTGAGAAACCTGGGCAGGAGACATCAGAGCACCTCTACGACAGGAGGGAAAAAAGAAAATGAGACTTCTTTGGAGGATGTGTGGTTTTCTTAAAGCAGAGGGTGAGGTTTGTCCATTTAAGAAAATTGAAAGAGCCCAGGAGCAGTGGCTCATGCCTGTAATCCCAGCACTTTGGGAGGCGGGTGGATCACTTGAGGTCAGGAGCTCGAGACCAGCCCAGCCAACATGGCAAAACCCCATCTCCACTAAAAATACAAAAATTAGCTGGGTGTGGTGGCAGGCACCTGTAGTCCCAGCTACTCGGGAGGCTGAGGCATGAGAATCGCTTGAACCGGGGAAGCAGAGATTGTAGTGAGCGGAGATTGTGCCACTGCACTCTAACCTGGGTGACAGAGAGACTGTCTCAAAAAAACAAAACAAAACAAAAAAATTCAAGAAAGGGCACAGGTGCAGGTGTTGGGAAGAATTAGCGGGAAAGTAATCCAGGCCCCAAAGGAGGGACAAGTCCAGGTACTGAGGTGTCTCTCTTGTCTGGCTGTCCAGGAAAGGACGCTTTTCAACTGTATACTTCCTTTGTGGCAATTTCTCAGGCTGCTCAGGCCTAACTTCAGTGTGGAACTTCCGACACCACAGTCAGGTAAGTCTGGAGGCAGGTGGCAGGACAGGTGGCCAGCTCCTAGTTCCATCAAGGAAGACAGGGGTGATCTGCTGGGTGGGAACTTTTGGTGGCAGAGATAGCCCATGAATCTCGAGGTGACAGAGAAGATAGCTTCTGGCTATCCTGAAAATTAGCAATGGCTACACTTTAGAGAAAACGGGGACGGGCCTGGCAATGGTAACATTAGAGGGCTTATCTCAAGTAGTGCTTTGTACCTCATATTAGAGACATGGAAATGGGGGCTCAGTGCTGGAGTTCAGACTCATGTCTGACTGGCTCCAAGCCTGTGCTCCTTCTGTTATGCCCGGCTGTCTCCCAGGAAGCAGGGGGAGAGAAGACCCCCTATGCCACACTTGGGCCATCACGGGCTAGCTACTGGAGGAACAGGGGACTTGCACAGCTCTGCTGATATGCAGTTCAGCCTGCAGGGACCCCAGTAGCCACAACGAGAACAGCAGTATCATCACCATCTTGCATGGGGCCGTGGCTTTACTATCCTTTCCAATGAACCCTCATATACACCACACCATATGCCTATCGCAAATTTGTAAAGTCAGTTCATAAGCCCTTCAAGGGAGGGACCAATTCTGCATCTTTTACATAGCAACATTTAGATTACAAAGCCTCATCCCAAACAGTTACGGATCCCATATTACCGATACGAAAATTGAGGCTCAAAGATGCTGGACCTGAATCTTTTACCGTATCCAATACACTGATGCTAAATCAGTGGCGTTTAATAAGTGCTGACTGCCATGCCTGGACTCTTGGTAGCGCCCCTGACACGGCTCCTCCATCCGCACGTGGCCCTCCCAGTGAGTCATTTTGAGAGCGGCTGTCACTCTGCTTTAATCTGGCACTTTGTTTTCCTGCAGTTCAGCCTTCCATGCAGCCAACACCAGCAATCTCACAAGCTAGTCTGACTTGGAAAGCCACCCTGACATTTTCGGCTGGCCCAGACTCCGAGGTTGGAGCCCTGTGCGTGTGAGGGTAGCTGCTGGCGGGGTGTTTGTTTTCTATGGAATACAGACTTCCTTTGGGGAATTTAGGCATGCTCTCCTGTTTTTTTTTTTTTCTTTCCTTTCCTTGAAAAAAAAAAAAAAAAGGAGGCTACAATTCTAATCTAAGCGGCATCTGCTGACTTTAAAGAGCAAACACTTCATCCTTGCCCCAGAGTACCCTTTGCCACGACACAGAATGCCTTTCCAATCACTAAAACATCAAGGAGAAGTCATCAGTTTCAGCAGACACATTTTAAGTTTTTTTTTGGCCACAATTCCTTAGGTTTTTCAGTGGTCATCAATAAACCTCTATAATTCCGATTTCTGAGTTTCCTGATCCTAGCTCACTTTACGCCTAGAATTACAATAACCCAAGGGGCCAGGTTCCGACACACATGGTTTTACTTTTATGTTTGCAAAGCTGAGAAGCAGGAAGCTCTGATGTTTATTTTACTTTTTAAATTTATGCATGTTTAGCTATCTCCAAAGATGATATAAGGATATGTAAAGTAATACATAAAACACAAGGGAACAGAAGTAAGAAGTGCAGAGGTGCAACAACAAGAAGGGTAGGAAGAAAGAGGAGAACTAGAATGAGGCCCAGAGTAGAAAATGTACACGGTTGCAACCTACACGTTCTTTGCGCTGAGCCACACATCTGTCTGTAAAGTTTGCTAGCTGGCATTGTAGCTACACAAATAACAGTCATGTTTTATTTGAAGAGCAATTGTTCAGGCATAAACACAATGAGTCTTAAAAATAGCATCTATTTATTAAATGCCTACTATGTGCCAGGCATGTACTAAGCACTGTCTCTACACCCAGGAGGGGGGCCACTTCTCCTAAGCATGGCCTTCAGCTGCAATGTGTCCATAAATGGTATCATTTCCAAATCTGGGTTGAGATTCTCCTCTGCTCATGTCTTCTCAGAGTTACTATGTTCCAAGTTTCTGAGACCTGAAACGCACGATATTTTGAGTCTATCTTTGAGCAGCAGTTCACCTGGATTGTCACAAGTCCAAAGTAATCCTTAAGTTTGATGAAAATTAATTAAATAGTAAGAAAAATTATTTTGGGGCAATAAACACTACCTTAAAAGCTCTGCTGGCTCTATGTTGCTCCCCTCTAACTCTCATAAAGTCATCTTTAGAGATAGGCAGGGGAGGAGGCAGCAGAGGAGACAGGCTGAGGTGTCAGGCTACCTTGGTTCATTTCCTGCCTCTGCCACTTTCCAGCTATGACTTCAAGAAGTTAATCTCCCCGAACCTCAGTTTTCTTATCTGCAAAATGGGCATAGTAAGAGGATCTACTTTACAGGTTTGAGGAGAGGACAAAAGGGGTAATCCAAGTAAAGCTGAAGAACTGTGCTTGCCCTATTTTGATGCTCAAGCAACATTTGTGCTTTTACTTTTATTTTTTTGAGATGGAGTCTCACTCTGTCGCCAGGCTGGAGTGCAGTGGTGCGATCTCTGCTCACTGAAACCTCCGCCTCCTGGGTTCAAGCGATTCTTTTGCTCCAGCCTCCTGAATAACTGGGATTGCATGCATGTCCCACCACGCCCAGCTAACTTTTGTATTTTTAGTAGAGATGGGGTCTTGCCATGTTGGCCAGTCTGGTCTCAAACTCCTGACCTCAAGTGATCCACCCGCCTCAGCCTCCCAAAGTGCTGGGATTACAGTTTGTTTTTTTTTTTCTTATCAACTCTGGAGAGCAAAGTTGTCCTTATACATAGATACCATGATGCCAAGGAAAGGGGACAAGGACACAGACTTTCCTCTTCAAAAAGACCTCTACTTTTTCTTCCTTGCTAGGAATGCAAGTATCTGCAACTTTTCATTAAGGCTGGGGGATAAGAAAGAGCCAGTGAAAATGAGAAGGGCCAGCAAATATGTCAAGTGGCCGATAGTAGCTGCCAGTGTTTGTTGTTGCAACAGGACCTCGTGGATGGACGTGAGTCATTAACATTCCACTGATAGGGGCAAAACAATCTGTGCTGAAAAGGAAAGTCCAGGGGGTCACTGCAGTTTATCTTTGTTTACCTCCTGTTATGACTCATCTTCAGGGTCTGTTTCTCTTCTTAGGAGATGATTTGGCTCATTACCACGGACCTTCCTGGCTTGCTAACTAAGTTTCTATTTAATTGGTTTTTACAACATGACCTAGTTCCTGAGACTTCAGACTCTTGGAAGGCAGAATGTGGCAGGAGTGTAAGATCACCTGCACAGCGGCCAGAACATCACAGCAAACACACAACACACAGGTGAGTGTCTGCAAGCTGTCCACACCACTCTCTGCCAGGATAGATAGAGCCTTTGTCCAAATTCAACTTTCCACTCAGCTCTTCCTTGGAAAACACCGGGTAACCTTTCTTATCACTATCTCCAGTTCAGGTTATCTTAAAATAAACCAAATACTGATTAAGCTCCCCAGGGCCAGCCAGATCACTTGTATATCACTTCTTCTTCCTTGCAGTTTCCCTTAAACCACACAATATAGAAGCATGGAAGCTAAGAGTGCACACTTCTTAGTGTGGCACAGCAGGTGGGACAGGTCATTGGAGGTGGAATTCTGGTACTACACAAGTTATTTTTGACTTCTGTGCTTCTATTTTCTCATTTTTGAAAAATGGGTGTAGACAACATTGCTAAAGCCCTTTTGAGAAAAAGAAGCTAAGAACAGGGCATCAAACTGGCTTTTATTGATTCACCCATGAACAAGTTGTGCCTTTACACTGTTGTTATTTGTAAGGAATCCTGGGTATTTGGCATTCCTGGAATATTCTATTTAGCTACCTTGGGGTCCAAGTTCCCTTTAACTGGGGGAGAAGAACTTTTCACCTGTTTCTATGCATGCTCACAAGGATAAGCCTCCATGATGGCAATTTTGGCTCTGTTTCAGATAAAAATTCATTTAGTAACATATAAAGGATATCAAGTCATGAAGGCACTACATAAATGTAAGTACAGCTTAAGCCAGAGCTCACTGACTCTCCATCTCATTTTCATCTGCCAGCATCATTGGACCCGAAGTCATATGGAAGCCACATTTTAAGCCTAAGGGTGTCTAAATTGATTTGACAAAGCCATCAGTCAGTTCTATCCCTTTCTTCCTAGACTCATTTATAAGCACCACTTAAAACCAGATGCCACTAGCAGTGAGGACACAAAGCAGCAAGTTTTCAGAGCACCGAGTTTCTCCACTGGCCATTAGCAGTTAGGCTGGAAGGGGGTTCAGAGCCACAACTACTGAAAGTCTCACTCCTTGAGTTTGGAAGAGATAATGAACATTTTCCTGAACATTCAACAAACATGGTCAAGGGGGCTGGGGATTCCCAAGATCAAAAGAGGGATCTGTCACAAGATCATTATGTCCAGAATTGTTGGGCACAGGGGTGTGCTGTCTCCTATGTCACTGTCCGTGGTTCTGAACCCAGCTGGGCAATTCTCTGGGAAGTTGGGGGCGGAGGAAACTTGCACCCATTCCTAGGCCCTTGGTGAGTGTCCTGAGAAAGAAGGAGATGATACATTGTGGACTGGGGCATAAAACAGTGTTAATCAACACTTTGTTTCCACCCCCATAGCAGGCACAGTATTCAGTCAGTTTTTACACACATTTTGATGTTAAAGTAATGATTAAGAGAACAAAGCTGGCTGGGCACAGTGGCTCACTCCTGTAATCCCAACACTCTGGGAGGCCGAGGCTGGCAGATCACTTGAAGTTAGGAGTTCAAGACCAGCCTGGCCAACCTGGTGAAACCCCATCTCTACTAAAATTACAAAAATTAGCCGGGTGTGACGACGCACGTGCCTGTAATTCTAGCTACTTGGGAGGCTGTGGCCGAAGGATCACTTGAACTTGGGAGGCAGAGGTTGCAGTGAGCCAAGAACAAGCCATTCATAAAATAACTATAAACAGAATTCTAAATCAATTGTTTGTTAATGGATCTTCTCTTGTCATCATATTCACTGCTGTCTTCAGCTATAACTCATGTTGGCTGTATGTTAAACTTGGCTATTTTCTAATCAGTGGGCAGATCAGGAAAAGGTAGCTCCCCTTAAAATGGCACAGAAGAGTACATGCGACACGTGGATGAAGTGGACATTAAGTTACAAGGAGATGCTTGCAGCAGACACTATTGGGAACCCACCCACATCCCCTCTGTCCTCACACTTTCCATGTTTGTGGGGCCAACTGCCCACAGCTGGCCTCTGCATCACTTTGCCTGAAGGCTTTCTCTGGCTACCAGAGTCTGCACACCCGCTGGCAGCCTAAAGTGAGAAACAGGAAAGTGCCTGGGAACTAATACCTCCCTGGGAACAGCCCTGAACCAATGACTGACAGCTCCCTTGCCCCAGGCTCTAACTTTATATGATTCCCAGAGTTCCCAGCTGGATTAAGCTCCAGAAACCCACAGAAGTAACTTGCTTCTGACCACTCTACTGGCTGACTTCCCTGCCTTGTCTCACTTTCCCCCAAGTGCTCCTTGGGATAACCTCCCAAATAAACTTCATGAACTTAAGTCGTTGTCTCAGGGTGGTTTCCAGGGAAACCCAAACTAAAACCCACTACCGAGTACACCCATATTATAAGCCAGCTCTGAGAGCAGGCCAGTGGCAGACAAAATGGGACCAGGTAGGCTGTTCCTGGGTCTCAGCTGTGGTCCAGCTTTTTAGCCCCTCCACCTTTTTAGCCCACTCCTGGAGTTTCACCACAGATCAAAACCAGCTTGGAGGTTCCTGGACTTACTTAGAAAAGAGCAGTGCTAAGAAGAATAAAATAAAAGAGGGGGGAGAAAATGTTTAGGTACTATGAGGTTGCACACTAATATCACACTAAATATGAGAATGATTGAGCCCTCTGGATGCCAAGTTACAACTAATGGAAATTCTGAATGAGCTAGAAAATTGTATCCTGCCACAAACATATGGCTTTCCAGAGTCTTTGTTTTAAAACTTAAAAAAAATAGCACTCATTTGCTTGTCAAATTGTTAGAATGGTGTGAAAGGATCTCTATCCTTTGTCAGATGAATAGATTGCAGAAATTTTCTCTCATTTTGTAGGTTGCCTGTTCACTCTGATGATAGTTTCTTTTGCTGTGCAGAAGCTCTTTAGTTTAATTAGATCCCATTTGTCAATTTTGGCTTTTGTTGCCATTGCTTTTGGTGTTTTAGACATGAAGTATTTGCCCATGCCTATGTTCTGAATGGTATTGCCTAGGTTTTCTTCTAGGATTTTTATGGTTTTAGGTCTTACATTTAAGTCTGTAGTCCATCTTGAATTAATTTTTGTATAAGGTGTAAGGAAGGGGTTCAGTTTCAGTTTTCTGCATATAGCTAGCCAGTTTTTTCCAACTCCATTTATTAAATAGGGAATCATTTCCCTATTGCTTGTTTTTGTCAGGCTTGTCAAAGATCGGATGGTTGTAGATGTGTGGTGTTATTTCTGAGGCCTCTGCTCTGTTCCATTTGTCTATATATCTGTTTTGGTACCAGTACCATGCTGTTTTGGTTACTGTAGCCTTGTAGTATAGTTTGAAGTCAGGCAGCATGATGCCTCCAGCTTTGTTCTTTTTGCTTAGGATTGTCTTGGCTATACAGGCTCTTTTTTGGTTCCGTATGAAATTTAAAGTAGTTTTTTTCTAATTCTGTGAAGAAAGTCAATGGTAGCTTGGTAGGGATAGCATTGAATGTATAAATTACTTTGGGCAATATGGCCATTTTCATGATATTGATTCTTCCTATCCATGAGGATGGAATGTTTTTCCATTTGTTTGTGTTCTTATTTCCTTAAGCATTGGTTTGTAGTTCTTCTTGAAGACGTTCCTTTGCATCCCTTGGTCCGTCAACAGAGATGAGTTCTTGGGTTAAGTTGAATTCAGCATAGGTTATGTTGACCTCTTTGATTTGACAATGAAGCAATGGTAGTTTTTAAGAAAAAAACCCATCTGTTCAGATGTTTGCTAAGCAACTTCTTGCATGGTGAACTTTTCAAATGAATGTCAAGGTATGCATACAGGAAAAGGAAACGTGTTGCAGTTTTACATGCTCATGTGCGCCTGCACACACACATGCCAATTAGCTGACAAAACCTACAGAAGGCAACAAAGTTGACTCTAAGATTCAGAATATCTGAAGTCATGTTTCCTGACAGTATATCATCCATCTGAACCATGTATATCCAATTTCCATAATGATTTTGAGTTGAGCTGAATTTGGCTGATTGCCAAAATGAGCATTGTTTTCTTCTCTGAAACATGTTTTTTCAAAATCATAAGATCCTGACACTAAAGACAGACACAAATTAACCCAATTTGGCACAATGCCTCCTACCTGCAGCAGTGGATGTAATTGGGTGCTGTGTTGATACAGTGATTTTTAAAAAGTTAATACATTTTTGTTGGTTTTCATCAGTCACAAAATAACTATAAAGCTATTTATTGGAATGATATTCTCTGAATGCTGAAATTCTCCAGTTACTTAATCCATCTGTCCTCATCCCTCAGCCAGAAGTGCAGATTTTACAGTCCTAACTGGAATCATTAACCCTCACTGCCAATAATCTCTTGTATTATATATTTGCATTCAAATATTGCTTTAACAGTCGAGATGGCTATTTTAAGCAAACAAGAATTTTTACAAAGTTGAAAATTAAGAGCCAAATTCTAAAAAGCATTACACCCATAAAAATCCCCCAACTCTGACACGGAGATTTATCACAACAGATTTTGGATTTATTTCATGATTTCAACACAACTGTGTTTTCAGTACAGACTTCCCTGGTTCTTGGTTGTGGTGACAATAAAGAAATGTATCCATGAGTTACGTGGATTGCAGGTGATTCTGGATTGAACACATTCTTTGTTTGTTTTTTGTTTTTTTTTCTTTCTTCAGGAAGCATTTCCCAAAACACTGAGCAGAGAATTCCAGAAGGACTCTGAGAAAACACATGGCCTCTGCAGTCAGCAGCAGATCCAAGGCCTCTTCTGTGGAGTCTGTTCCCTCTTCCCACCCACACATCTCTGGATACTTCTGCCAGCCATAGATTTTCCTTCTGTGTTTACCTCGTTTGAGGCTCAGGTGAAAAACCAGATGACTTACAAAGGAATCAGATATCGCCATTGGCCTTTTCTCACAAGCCAAAACATCATGCCACTCGATCTGTTTTTGTTTGCTTTTTAACATGAAAAAAATGCAGGCTGTGTAGAATGGAAAATTTGTGAGAAATTCTATTGAAAGAGAAATTCATTGAACTTGGTGGACATCGACAAAAAAGTTTAGTCATACTTATTTTCTAAATAATAAACTATACTTTGGTTGGGTAAGTTTGGAAAATGTAAAGCATGAATAAATGACACACATTCCTTAATCCTAATTCTCATATATGCTGTTTACATTTTATTGTATAATGCCTATACACAATAAACAAAATCCAGGCTGTATTCTTTATACGATTTTATTCCTTGCTTTAATTTGAATTATAAATCTTTTCTATTAAATATTTTGTGAACACAGGAAATTCATTGGCTACATTATATTCCATCAGAGGGACAAACCATGGCTTAACTTTTCTTTTTTTTTTTTTGTACATTTGTATAATCTAAATTTCTATGCTAATACATACAATCCTTTAGTGGACATTGTTTACATGAATCTTGGTAATTTCTTTAGTATATATCGTAAGTCCTCACTTCACATCATTGATGGGTTCTTGGAAATGACAACATTAAGTGAAACAACGTAAGATGAAACCAATTTTACCATCGGCTAATTGACATAAAGAAGAGGTAAGTTTCTATAGCATGTTTCTGGTCACAAAAACATCAAACTTCTAAGTAAAGACCTGAAATACTTCTAACATTAAACATTGAAATAAATGTCAGCTATAGACACATTTAAGAAAAGTTAATAAAAACAAGTAAGATAATCATGTACACAATTTTTGGAGAATTAGTGCGTGACTGGGATCATAGTGGTGGTGGGTTAAATCAAGGAATAAATGTTTGCAAAGTAAAATTTAAGGAGTGCCTCCTACCACAATACAGTTCAAAAACAGTAACAAATACTGGAATACCTGAAGAAACCCCATGAAGACATGGGGAGAATATGCAGATTCTCACAGTAGCCCCAGCTGGGAATTAAATTTTTTTCTTGGCCGGGCGCAGTGGCTCACGCCTGTAATCCCAGCACTTTGGGAGGCCGAGGCGGGCGTATCATGAGGTCAGGAGATCAAGACCATCCTGGCTAATATGGTGAAACCTCGTCTCTACTAAGAAAAATACAAAAAATTAGCCGGGCGTGGTGGCGGGCGCCTGTAGTCCCAGCTACTCGGGAGGCTGCAGGAGGAGAGTGGTGTGAACCCAGGAGGCGGAGCTTGCAGTGAGCAGAGATCGCGCCACTGCACTCCAGCCTGGGCAACAGAGTGAGAGACTCTGTTTCAAAAAAAAAAAAAAAAAAAATTCTCAATGTTATAACGAAATGACATTGAACAAAATGATATTCAAAAACCTGCTGTACTCCTGAACAGGACTTAGAAGCTTTTGATTGCCAAATCACTCTCCAGAAAGTTCCACCAATGACTACTCCTATAAGCATGATGTAAGCGTGTGTATCCTCATGAGCAATGAGTGCTGACTTAAACATGGACAGTTGAAGAGGGGTGTATTGAGACTTGGTGCAGGTACAGAGGTGGGGGTGAGCTACATTTCCAGCTTAGAGACAATGGTTGGGCAGAGCCCAGTGGTGGGCAAGCTACTGTGACAGAGAGACAGTGTGTGGGTTGATAGGGATACAGCCTTTGAAGTCAGGCATTCTAGATTCAAAACCTGGGTCTGTTTCTTACTGGGTAGGTAGTCTTAGACAAGATGTTTAATCTTTCTGTATCTCAATTTCTTCAACTGTATAACAGTACCTATCTCAAGATGTGAAGTTAAATTAGATAATGCATATAAGATGCTTAACAGTGTCTGGCTCACAGCAGTGAGCCAGTGTCTGGTTCACTAAATAGCAGCTATCATTCTATTATTGTTGCTATAAAATATAAATTGTAATAACCTTATAACGAATTAGCACTTGATTGTCAAGGTTATTTCATGTAAATTTATTTCACTTTATTTTGAAGACAATCATGAGTAGGTCAGGGTTGGATAATGTTAAACGCTTGGAGATTGAGAAACTGAAGCTAAAAGAAGTGAAGCATTCTATGGTTCACAAAGGGTGAGCCAGGATAAAGTTTCAGATCCTGCATCTCCTCCCCCTGGGCCCTCTGCACTGCACAATGTCACATGTTTGTGCAGCACAGCCTTCTGCATTGGTGATGTGATACTATGATAAGCCCTAAGATATTTGTACTTCTAGATGTATTTGATTTAAAGAAATCTTTCTGTGACTATCTGAACTTCTCCACCCAGGAGCAAGGTAACAATAGTCCAGCTCCTTTACCGAAACAAGCCTTTATGGCTACAAACTTTTAAAGCATTATTCAGGCCGGGCTTATTGTCTCACGCCTGTAATCCCAGCACTTTGGGAGGCCGAGGCAGGCAGATTGCTTGAGGTCAGGAGTTCGAGACCAGCCTGACCAACATCATGAAACTGCGTTTCCACTAAAAATATAAAAATTGCCAGACATGGTGGTACATGCCCGTAATCCCAGTTACTAGGGAGGCTGAAGCAGGAGAATCGCTTGAACCTAGGAGGCGAAGTTTGCAGTGAGCCAAGATTGCGCCACTGCACTACAGCCTGGGTAACAGAGCAAGATCCTGTCTCAAAAACAAAACAAAACAAAACGAAAAACCCTATTATTCAAAAGACTATTTATATTTATTTTGCACTTTGTTTTGTGAAATTTGGAAAATAAAATTTTAATTTATTGTAATAAACATCTGCAAGATGTTTCTTGTAATAAACCTTTGCATTCTATCCTTCAACCAGAAGGATAGAAACAAGAATTTTTCAAAACTTGCAAAGTTCAATAAGTGTAAAAGAAACATAGATAAGTAACCTTAAAATTAGGGTAACCTTGAAATTTGCATTTACTTATTTTTTTCATTACCTTTTTTAAAGTTCCAAGATACATGTGCGAGATGTGCAGGTTTGTTACATAGGTAAATGTGTGCCATGGTGGTTTGCTGCACCTATTAACCCATCACCTAGGTATTAAGACTTGCATGCATTAGCTATTTATCCTGATGCTCTCCCACACCCCTCGATAGGCCCCAGTATGTGCTGTTCTCCTCCCTGTGTCCATGTGTTCTCACTATTCAGCTCCTACTTGTAAGTGAGAACATGTGGTGTTTGGTTTTCTGTTCCTGTGTTAGTTTGCTGAGGATAATGGCTTCCAGCTCCATCCATGTCCCTGCAAACTACATGATCTCGTTCCTTTTAATGGCTGTATAGTGTTTCACAGTGGTATATGTACCACATTTTCTTCATCCAGGGTTGATTCTGTGTCTTTGCTATTGTGAATGGTGCTGTAATGAACATACATGTGCATGTATCTTTATAAGAGAATGATTTATATTCCTTTGGGTACATACACCATAATGGGATTGCTAGGTCAAATGGTATTTCTGGTTCTAGGTCTTTGAGGAATCATTTCACTGTCTTCCACAATGGTTGACCTAATTTACATTCCCACCAACAGTGTGAAAGCATTCCTCTCTTTCCACATCCTTGCCAGCATCTGTTATTTCTTGACTTTTTAATAATTGCTATTCTGACTGGCATGAAATGGTATCTCATTGCGGTTTTGATTTGCCTTTCTCTAATGACCAGTGATGTTGAGCTTTTGCTCATATACTTGTTGGCCACATAAATGTCTTCTGAAAAGTGTCTGTTTCATGTCTTTGCCAACTTTTTAATTAGATTTTTTTTCCTGTAGATTCTGGATATTAGATCTTTGTCAGATGGATAGGTTGCAAAAGTTCCTCGTAGATTCTGAATATTAGAACTTCGTTAGATGGACAGATTGCAAAAATTTTCTCCTATTCTGTAGATTGTTTATTCACTCATAGTTTTGCTGTGCAGAAACTCCTTAGTTTAATTAGATCCCATTTGTCAATTTTTGCTTCTGTTGCAGATGCTTTTGACATTTTTGTCATGAAATATTTTCCTGTGCCTATGTCCTGAATGGTATTGCTTTGATTTTCTTCTAGGGTTTTTATAGTTTTGGGGTTTACATTTAACTCTTTAATCCATCTTGAGTTAATTTTTGTTTAAGGTGTAATGAAGGGGTCCAGTTTCGATTTTCTGCATATGACTAGCCAGTTCTCTGAACACCATTAATTAAATAGGGAATCTTTTCCCCATTGCTTTTGCCAGTTTTGTCCAGGAGCAGATGGTTGTAGATGTGTGGTCTTATTTCTGAGTTTTCTATTCTGTTCCATTGGTCTATGTGTCTGTTTTTGTACCAGTACCATGCTGTTTTGGTTAATGTAGCCTTGTAGTATAGTTTGAAGTTGGGTAGTGTGATGCCTCCAAGCTTTGTTCTTTTTGCTTAAGATTGTCCTGGCTATATGGGATTTTGGTTCTATATGAATTTTAAAGTAGTTTTTCTGGTTCTGTGAAGAATGTCAATGGTAGCTTGATGGGAATAGCATTGAATTTATAAATTGATTTTTTGAAGGGTTTTTCGTGTATCTATCTCCTTCAGTTCCACTCTGATCTTGTTTATTTTTTGTCTTCTGCTAGCTTTGGGGTTTGTTTGCTTTTGGTTTCCTAGTTCTTTTAGTTGTGATGTTAGGATGCTGATTTGAGATTTTTTTTTTTTTTTTTGGAGATGGAATCTCACTCTGTCGGCACGGCTGGAGTGCAGTGGCACCATCTCGGCTCACTGCAACCTCCGCCTCCTGGGTTCAAGCAACTCTCCTGCCTCAGCCTCCCAAGTAGCTGGGATTACAGGCACCCACCACTATGCCTAGCTAATTTTCTTTATTTTTAGTAGAGATGGGATTTCGCCACATTGGCCAGGCTGGTCTCGAACTCCTGACCTCGTGATTCACCTGCCTCAGCCTCCCAAAGTGCTGGGATTACAGGTGTGAGCCACCATGCCCGGCCAATTGGAGATCTTTTTAGCCTTTTGATGTGGGCATTTAGTGCTATAAAATTTCCTCTTAACATTACTTTAGCTGCATTCCAGAGATTCTGGTATGTTGTCTGTTTGTTCTCATTGGTTTCAAAGAACTTCTCGATTTCTGCTTTAATTTCATTATTTACCCAGGAGTCATTCAGGAGCAGGTTTTTCAGTTTCCACTTAGTTTTGTGGTTTTGAGTGAGTTTCTTACTCTTGAGTTCTAATTTGATTGCCCTGTGATCTGAGAGAATGTTTTTATGATTTCAGTTCTTTTGCATTTGCCAAGGAGTGTTTTACTTCTGATTATGTGATCAATTTTAGAATAAGTACCAAGTGGTGCTAAGAAGAATGCATATTCTATTGTTATGGGGTGGAGAGTTCTGTAGCTATCTAATAGGCTCACTTGATCCAGAGCTGAGTTCAAGTCCAGAATCTTTGTTAATTTTCTCTCGATGATCTAATATTGACAGTGGGGTGTTAAAGTCTCCCACTATTATTGTGTGGAAGTATAAGTCTCCTTGTAGTTCTCTAAGAACTTGTTTTATGAATCTGAGTGCTCCTGTACTGGGTGCATATATATTTAGGATAGCTTTTCTTGTTGAATTGAACCCTTTACCATTATGTAATGCCCTTTGTCTTTTTTTCTTTTTTTATCTCTGTTGGTTTGAAGTCTGTTTTATCAGAAACTAGGATTGCAACCCTGTTCTTTTCTTCTTTCCATTTGCTTGGTAAATTTTTCTCCATTATTTTGAGCCTACATGTGTCTTTGCACAGGAGATGGATCTCTTGAACACAGCACACTAATGGGTCTTGACTCTCTACCCAGCTTGCCATTCTGTGTCTTTTTATTGGGGCATTTAGCTCATTTACATTTAGGGTTAATATTATGTGTGAATTTGATCCTGTCATGATGCTAGCTGGTTATTTTGCAGACTTGTTGACGTAGTTGCTTCACAGTGTCATTGGTCTTTGTACTTCAGTGTGATTTTGTAGTAATGTTTTTTCCTTTCCATATTTAATGCATCCTTCAGGAGCTCTTGCAAGACAGGCCTTGTGGTGACAAATTCTCTCAGGATTTGCTTATCTAAAAAATACTTTATTTCTCCTTCCAGTATGAAGCTTAGTTTGGCTGGATATGAAAATCTGGGTTGGAAATTCTTTTAAAAAGGTTGAATACTGGCCCCTAATCTCTTCTGGCTTGTAGGGTTTCTGCTGAGAGATCCGCTGTTACTCTGATGGGCTTCTCCTGTAGGTGACCTAGTGTTTCTCTCTGGCTCCCCTAACATTTTTTTCCTGCATTTCAACCTTGGAGAATCTGTGATTGTGTGTCGTGGGGTTGATCTTCTCATGGAGTATTTTACTGGAGTTCTCTGGATTTCCTGAATTAGAATGTTGGCCTATCTTGCTAGGTTGAGGAAATTCTCCTGGATGATATCCTGGAGTATGTTTTCCAACTTGGCTCTGTTCTCCCCTTCTCTTTCAGGTACCCCAATCAGTTGTAGGTTCAGTCTTTTCACATAATCCCATAGTTCTTAGAGGTTGTGTTCATTCCTTTTCATTCTTTTCTGTCTGATCTTGTCTACCTGTCTTACTTCAACAAGATAGTCTTCAAGCTCTAAAATTCTTTCCTCTGTTTGGTCTATTTGGCTACTGATACTTGTGAAGTTCTCATGTTGTTTTTCAGCTCCATCAGATCATTTATGTTCCCACTAAACTGCTTATTCTGGTTAACAGCTTGTTTAATGTTTTATCAGGGTTCTTAGCTTCTTTGCATTGGGTTAGAAGATGCTCCTTTAGCTCAGTGAAGTTCGTTATTACCCACCTTCTGAAGCCTACTTCTGTCAGTTCATCCATCTCAGCCTCAGCCCAGTTCTGTGCCCTTGCTGGAGAGGAGTTGCAATCATTTAAAGGAGAAGAGGCACTCTGGATTTTTGTTTTCAGCGTTTTTTTGTTGATTTTTTCTCAATTTTCATGAGTTCATCGAGCTTTGATCTTTGAGGCTGCTGACCTTTGGATGGGGTTCTTGTGGGGACTTTTGTTGATGCTACTGTTGTTATTGCTGTTTGTTTTTAACAGTCAAGCCCCTCTTCCATAGGGATGCTGACATTTGCTGGGGGTTCACTCCAGACCCTATTTGCCTGGGTTCCTCCTGCACCTGGAGGCATCACCAATGCAGGCTGCAGAACAGCAAAGATGGCTGCTTGCTCCTTCCTCTGGGAGCTCCATCCCAGAGGGGCACTGACCTGATGCCAGTGGGAATGCTCCTGTATAAAGTATCTTGTGACCTCTGTTGGGGGAGGGGTTCTCACCCAGTCAGGAGTCATGAGATCAGGGACCTGCTTAACGAAGCACTCTGGCTGCCTCTTGGCGGAGGGGGTGTGCTGCGCTGAAGGAAATCTCACTTGTCTGGACTGCCCAGATTCCTCAGAGACAGCAAGGGGAAGAGACTAAGTCTGCTGATCCACAAAGACCACGGCTGTTCCTTCGCCCAGGGGCATCGTCCCAGGGAGATCAGAGTTCTGTCCGTAAACCCCTGGCTGGAGTTGCTGAAATCCCCACAGGGAGGCCCTGCCCGGTGAGGAGAGATGGGTCAGGGTCCAGCCCAAAGAGGCAGTCTGGTCATGATCTGCCACAGCTGCTGTGCTGTGCTGTGGGGAATTCCTCCCAGGTCCAAACCACCCAATCTCCCAGGCACTGGCAGGGGAAAATGGCAGACTGGAGCTCAGTTGCCTTAGGCAGCAGGCAGTCGCAATTATGATGGCCACCTCTCTCCCCGGGAACTTGTAGTCTTAGGCAGTCTACAGCCAAGTGGCTATGGAGAATCTGCACAGCTCTGTGCTTGGGACCCAAGGCCCTGGTGGTGTGGGCTCATGAAGGGAACTCCTGATCCACAGGTTGCACAGATCTGTGGAAAAAGCATGGTTTCCTGGGGAGGGTAGCAATGTCACTCACTGCCTCCCTTGGCTGGGGGTGGGGTGGGAGCTCCCCTTGCCCTGTGTGGCTCCTGAGTGGGTGGTCTCTCCACCCTGTTTTCACTCTTCATGGGTCACACCAACCACCTAGTCAGTCCCAGTGAGAGAACCTGGTACCTCAGTTGCTGGTGCAGGATTCACTCACAGTTTTAGTTCTTCTCAGTGGGAGCCTCCAACTGCAGCTGTTTCTGGTCATTGATCTTGGCCCCTCCTAGCCCCTGGTGGCATTGAAATATCTAAAGTTTTTCAAGCTTAAAACCATATGGATCTTTTGGAAAAAACTGTGCTCTCAAACCTATACTGTCTTGAATGCATAGGGTCTTGTTCTGAAGTTCTCAGACATTAGCAAGTATCAGAACAACTTGAAGGGCTCATTAAAACAAAGTTCTAGGCCCCAATCCCAGAGTTTCTGAGTTAGTGGCTATACAGTAAGGATCAAGAATCTGCATTTCTATGACGTTCCCAGGTGATGCTGATGCTGCTGTTCTAGTTTGAGAATCACAGGTCTACAGCCACCCTTTCCCCTTGTGGATTCTGTGTGTTTATAATCTAGTAAGTTGAGATGGATGGGCCTGACTGAGGCCCACTGGCAGAGAAGAGGCACCAGGTGGCCAAAGAAGACAGCCCCATGGGGAGAGGAAGTCTGGAGTCAAGGTGGGTGTTGGCAGCACTCAGAACTTTCTGTTCATTATGGCTCATGAGTTCTCAACTGAAAAAAAAAATGCTAAAAGATGGCAGGATCTATAACATTGAGTTGTGAAGTAGGTGATGCCACTTATAATTCCTTTAATATTTAGATCGCCTCAATACCCATGTATAATTCTGGGTTGGTCACATCACTGCTTTTCTGACATTTTTACACTCTCCTCCTGCCTTCTTGAACCTCACTCTAAAGTTCATCATCTTCATTCATTCACTTTTAATTCCATGGCACCTACAGGACATGCCATTATCTCTCAGAAACTGAGCACTCTTTCCCTCCTGTACACTGATAAGATATCTGCTCCCCTTTATATGATCCCAACTGTTCTGAAAAAGGCACAAGCATTCACATGTGACTATGTAAAGATGTTCATAAAATTGACAGAGCTTCTGTAATTCTCTGGAAAATCTGGCTTTAGCTATGATTTAAGGCATAATAAAGGAACAAACAACAAAAACAGTGATAAACACATACAAATGAATTTCCTTACACACCACATCCCCATTGTTCTCAGATAGTTTTCTTAAATATCTTATTAATCAATACTATTAGGAAAGCTATCGTCTTCAACAATAACTATTTTGACATCTTAATACTGGATCTATACTATTTCTTAAATTATTTATGATGTTTTTTCAAATATAATATTTAATAGGATGTTTTATGACAATGAGCAAACTTTTCCATTTAGACCAAGTCAGTTATCTAAGTGGTGGCCCTGAATTGAGGAGTTTAAACTTGCTAAAGTAAAATACCAAAAACTCAGTTGGAGCATCCCCTAGAAAGGGCTGTATTTTCAAATACATCTGAGTACTCCATGTTTTTCCAGCATAACAATGGATCACAGAGTGAGCTGAATGATCTGATATTCCCCAAATCAGCTTGTTGGCCATGCGATTACCAAAACTGAATGAGAACTCCCAACATTGAGAAGAAATGACCCAGACACTGGAAATCCTGCCTCATCAATACCCCAAGCCAGTGTGAAAGATGAGAAGAGACACATACAAGATAAAAACACAAACCAAATTTACTTTCAACCACATGTGATCTTTTTTTCCTCTTCTCCAACAGTCTTATGGGCTATCAAAGCAAGTCTCTTATTAGAAAGAATAACAGAAACAAATGTGAGAGAGGAGCCAAAAAAAATTTTGTCCCCAGGAACAAAAATTATGAGACACCTACTATGAATTTCAGAAGCACTTTGGGAGGCTGAGGCAGGAGGATTGCTTGAGCCCAAGAATTCAAGACCAGCCTGGGCAACACAGCGAGATCCTATCTCTACAAAAAATTTAAAAATTAGCTTGGCATGGAGGTACATGTCTTTCGTCCCAGATAATTGAGAGGCTGAGGCGGATCACTTGAGCCCAGGAAGTTGAGGCTGCAGTGAGCTGTGGTCCTGCCACTGCACTCCAGCCTGGGCGACAAAGAAACCCTGTCTCAAAAACAAAACATATACACATATGCTCCTGCAAGCCTACAGATCATTCACTCAACTGTAGGGGATTCTAGGAATAAGTGCTTTCTAGAATCTACAAATGGGGGTGGGAAAGGTACTCAAGACCGAAACAAGTAGAAGCATCAACTATTGTGAAGATCAGCCTCAATTTAAAGGGACCCAAGGCATCGCTTTTCACCTTGGTCCCTAAAATGACCATGTATCACAACAATTGAGTTTACTTGCAACACGTATTTCCCTATCATTTCCATGTCCACTGGACACCAAATAAACATACTCATGACCGTCTATGTATCTCTACATTTAATGTTCTTACTTTTTTTTTGAGACACAGTCTCACTCTGTTGCCCAGGCTGGAGGGCAATGGCATGATCTCTGTTCACTGCAACCTCTGTCTCCTGGATTCAAGCAATCCTCCTGCCTCAGCTTCCCAAAATAGCTGGAAATACAGCTGATTTTTGTATTTTTAGTAGAGATGGGGTTTTGTCATGTTGCCAGGCTGATCTCGAACTTCTAACTTAGGTGATCTGCCTGTCTCAGCCTCCCAAAATGCTGGGATTATAGGCATGAGCCACTGCACCCAGCCACATTGCCTCTTTATATGGAGAATGTCTAGAAGGCAGGACCTGTGTTGATAAACGTGGTTTGCCTCGCATTAAACTGACTCCTTCCAGCCACAGCACTAGGCAATGTGGACCTGTACCAATAGCTTGCTTCACCTACAAGGCCGCTGGCTGTGAAGGCTACTGGTGTTATGCTTTGAAGACTAGCTTGGGCAGGAAGAGACAGGAATTAACATTTACTGAGTATCAATAATTTGCCTCCCATTTTCTCATATGTTGTCCCATGTCATCCTCAAAATCCTATGATGTTACCCACTCCACAGACTGAAGAAACATTCTTGCAGATGTTACAGCTAATTAACTTGGATTAATTATAATGATGACAATCTCCCTTCCATGCCTGCTATCTGATTCCAAAGTTCATGTTCTTTCTACCACGTGAAGTCACTTTGGAATTCAAAATACGGAGATTTCAAATTAATCTTTCCTCCTGAAAACAATTATATACAATAAAATTGTTCTGGAGGCTATCTAGGCCTTGTCCTTTTTTACTGAATCCCATCAATGGTACACAGGACTGCTGCATCTGCCTGGGAATTGTGACCTCCTGCCTGGCAGTTCACCAATGGCCACAGGCTTTAGAACCTCTCACGGAGTATGGAGAGTGAGGAACCAGAATGAGAAGGTCAACATAAAAGCAAAGTATTGCATTTGATTATTTCCTTTTCATAATATTTTGAAACCTTGATCCTAAGTTCTCTTTTTTCCCCCTCTTCAAGCTATTCTTGGCTTTTATTTCATTATAGTTAATATATGTTCAAACAAAATCTTTAGAAACAAAACAAAGTAGATCGCAACTAGAAATCACATTTATTCTGAACACAAAAGTTCAAGACTTCATGTTAGAATTTTGTTAGTTTAAAATTAAATGCTAGTGATATTAGAGGTAAGTGTAAACAATTTTCCATCACTCCCGATTATGAATCTGCATTTGTCTTTTGAAATAGACGAAAATTGAAACTTAAGCCAAGGTAAACTTTGTTAGAAAACTTAAAATAGCTTCACTAAATTCTCCCATAAAAGGCCAGTTATTTATAAAAATAGAGATTATAAAGAGAACACTTTTTCTTGTATTTTTAGTGCATACTTTTCAAAATTTTATATTCACATATACATACCAACTTTGACTATGTATAACTCTTATGTTAGAAATATGTAAAGAAAATAATGTAAATAGTTTTAACTTTATTCATATATAAAGCATTTTATTGTGAATAAAATACACATAGAAACTAGCACAGAAGCTATATATTCATTATAACAAACGTTTATCAAGACCTGTGTAAGTATCATCCACGTTAAAAACAGACCTTCATGAGCACCCCAAAATTCCTCCCCTGTACCATGCATTAATTCACAATTGTTATTTTCTTTAAATTGTTTTGCTTATACAGAAAGATCATCTTGGTTGTGATATCCAAGTTACTCAGGTGATCCACATATATCAATGCTGTATGTGCATATAATTTATATATTCATATGTATACAATATGCGTGAAAACACATTTATCCGTTTATCTAAATAAGCACAAATGTACTTCATAATGGCAATCACCAAGTGTTTCTACTATCATATGTCCTGTGCTCTGTGTTTCCATAAACCTGAGATGACCCATTTCATTGAGAGATTCCAAAGAAAAAAATTGACTTGGAGAATCCCCATAACCACCCTGTTCCTCCTTTTCAAAAGTGTTCGATTCCGCCTTAGTGATCTATACATGGAAGACTATAGATTACTAAGATGTTGGCTAATGATAATGTTGGCTAATGATAAATGAATGTTTGACTCTATCTTAGAAATAGTTTGGTTAGTCATACATTCCTAGAAGTCTACCGACCTCAAAATAACACACCTATAACTTCGGTATCATGTACTAAAACCTTTGCTAGAATTTTAAAAGTTGAAAATCAAAGTAAAAATGTATTGAATCCCAAATCTGTAAGGCCCTGAGGTTTTTGTCTTGTCCTTAATATTTTAAAACACATGCTGACTTTAAAATAAGTGGGATATTATTAAAAGCATGAAGAATATAGAAGTCAGCCATACACCTAACCAGCCAGGCCTTTGGGCTGTAATATTACATAACAACCTGCATCTGAATTTGATCCTCTGTCTGAGAGGGGCTTCCTGGTCCAGTGCCTCCCCTACTTTTGGGTACATTGCTTCAAAGCAGTGATTCTCACAGTGTGGTCTCTAGCATCAGCATCATCTGGAAACTTGTTAGAAATGCAAAAGTTTTGGCTCCACCCAAGACCTATGAGATCAGGAACTCTGGAGGTGGGGCCAGCAGGCTGTGTTTTCACAAGCTGTCCAGGTCATTTCTGATGTCCACTGTAGAGAATGAGGCTCCATCTAGATTGTTTGGTTCCAGAAGGAGAACTTCTGGCCCCAGATCTAGAGCTGCGTAGCCTGGAATTCACAGCCTGTACATTTTCTGTCTCCCAATAACAGACCATGCATATAGAAATGCTCTCTTGAGCATGAGGAGGGAAGGATAAAAGTAGTAATAAGTAATGGTGCCAAGGCTTAGAAGAAAAAACAGAACAAAACTCATTTTCCCTCATTTTTAATTCCCAAATTGAAAACTATCATTACTGACTTTTAGAGAGGCAAATAAAATGTTACACGATAGCTCCTTCACACCAGTTTCGAATCCCCAATTTCCCCAAATAATATCTCAAGTCTATATAACAGAAAGACTTGTGAAAACTGCACTAAAATGTCTTTGATCTTAGACGAGGCATTCAGCATGCTGTAGTTCTGCCTTCAGCAGTAATGAGATTGACAGCATCATGAAGCCTTGATGCTGGAAAGATAAACGTTGAGACTGTCAACGCTGGTGAGCTGAGACTGTGCTGGAGGCTTGACAAGAAGATGGTATTCAGTAAGCATGGACTTACTGAAGGGGAGGCACTTTTTGATAATTTCCTCAGTAGTAATTATAGAAATCCAAATTAAAAACACAGTGAATTATTTCACACCAAGACTGGCAGAAATGTAAAAGCCCGGCATTACCGGGTGTTAGTGAACGTAGAGAGGAACAGAAATTCTCATACTCTGCTGTTGCAAGTGAAAATTAGCATAATCACCATGAAAAGTAACATGCAATGCATAGCCAAGGTCAAAGTGTGCACACTACCCCTGGCAGCTCCAGTCTGAAGTATGGGAGGGGATGGGAAAACTGAGAAATTCAAGTATATGAGTGTAAGGTCACTGTAGCAATGCTCTTAATAGCTGAAAAATTTGGAAGCAACCCAAATGTTCAACAGAATATGTAAATTATGACATACTCATACAGAGAAATATTACATGTATTAAACAATGTAAAGCATTAAAATGTTGTACAAGAATAGGTACAGTCATGATACCATTTATGTCAAAGATTAAATACTTGAAAAACAGTATTTATTGCTAAGAAAAACGTACATATATAAGGACATTTATCAGAAATAATAAAATCAAGATTTAGGATAGTGTGTACTCTTTTTTTCCTAAGGAAAAGTCTATGTTGCCCAAGCTGGTCTTGAACAGCTGAGCTCAAGCAATCCTCCCGCCTTGGCTTCCCAAAGTGTTTGGATTACAGGCACAAGCCACGGTGCCTGGCTGGTGTGTAATTCTATGAGGAGGAGAAAGAAACAAAGGCTTCAATTTTGTTTGTAATGTTTCATTTTCTTTTCAGATGAATATAAAGTATTTTTATGATATTCTTTAACATTTGTAAAGGTCTGAAATAATTCATTAAAAAACCATAATAGGTTTTGAGTCTAGAGAGATAGGAATCTCAATTCTAGCTCTTACTAATAGTGAAACTTTGATCAAATCGATCTTTATGAGCTTCCGTCTTCTCATCTGGTGTGCAAGAGTCTGACGGTGTGCCATCTGCGAGGTGCCCAGCATCCGCATAGAGCCTGGACAGCTCATGGCAGGCACTCAGGCCATCTGCATATCATTTCCCTGGGCTCTCTCTCCTCCTCCTCTCCTTTTTCCACACCATGAGCACCACCCTCCAGCTCTTCCTTCAATGACTCACTCCTCCAAATTCTGCAGCATGTGCATGAGACGGGCTTGTATTTGGAAATACCGAAGACAATTTCAAAAAGATTTCTATGTTCAAAGGAAGAGAAGGTTGTCTTGGGCTGGGAAAATGTCGACTTTCCCAGAAAAACAAAAGTAAGAATAAGAAAGTGCCAGGGGAACTGCAACTTGGCAATGGTCATAGTGTACATGACAAATAAGAACGACCAATGCAACAGCCATGAAAACAACACGTATTCAACAGGCATCTCCATTTCTTGACACTAAGTCAAGAAAATAAAGGAACATTTGGCTGGGCGCAATGGCTGACATCTGTAATCTCTGCACTCTAGGAGGCCGAGGTGGGCAGATCACGAGGGTAGGAGATGGAGACCATCCTGGCCAACATGGTGAAACCCCATCTCTACTAAAAATGCAAAAAAACATTAGCTGGGCTTGGTGGCATGCACCAGTAATCCCAGCTACTCGGGAGGCTGAGGCAGGAGAATCGCTTGATCTTGGGAGGCAGAGGTTGCAGTGAGCAGAGATTGTGCCACTGCACTCCAGACTGGCAACAGAGTGAGACTCTGTCTCAAAAAAAAAAAAAAAAAATGGATGTTTTTCATGTTTCTGCTCACATATAAACTAGAAAAAGCAAAGTTAATGCTTAGCATACAGCCCCTGGGTATATTCAGGAGACCTCTGATCTTATCAGCTAAAGACTTAAGAACTATCTTTTGGGCTGGGGTTTTTCAATCCATTTTATGATAGTTCTGATCTGTTTTCAAGACTACCACTTTCTAATCTTGTCTCTAAATTTCAAACTCAGATTCTGGAGTCGTCTATCATATTTACAGTCTCTGTAGAATAATGCCAGCCAAAGCAAGGTGACATATACTCAAAGTGTGGCTGATATGGTTTGGCTGTGTCCCCACCCAGAACTCATCTTGAATTGTAGCTCTCATAATTCCCACGTGTTGTGGGAAGGACCTGGTGAAAGATAATTGAATCACGGGGGCAGTTTCCCCCATACTGTTCCCATTGTAGTGAATAAGTCTCATGAGACCTGATGGTTTTATAAGAGGAAAACCCTTTCGCTTGGCTCTCATTTTCTTGTCTGCTGCCATGTAAG